>NC_000017.11:64435980-65685980 GCF_000001405.40 Homo sapiens | reverse complement strand
CAAAAATAATTAGAATTAGGCTGGGCACAGTGGCTCATGCCTGTAATACCAGCACTTTGGAAAGCCGATCACCTGAGGTTAGGAGTTTGAGACCAGCCTGTCCAACATGGTGAAATCCTGTCTCTACTAAAAATACAAAAATTAGCCAGGCGTGGTGGCGGGCGCCTATAATCCCAGCTACTTGGGAGGCTGAGGCAGGAGAATCGCTTGAACCTGGGAGGTGGAGGTTGCAGTGAGCCGAGATTGTGCCATTGCACTCCAGCCTGGGCGACAGAGCAAGACACCATCTCAAAAAAAAAAAAAAAAAAAAAAATTAGAACTATTGTCACAGACACTTTTTAGGATCTGCTAAATATGAGTTTACTAAGGATATCTAAAATGTTGAGATTGTTACATTATGAATGTATTTTTCACTGTTCATCAAAGCAACTTCAATAACAGTAGCTAGCCTCACATCAGCCAATCGAACAACTAAAATGTGTTTGAAACAGCCCCTGAGGACTATCTTCTCTTTCTTTTCAAGCAAATATTGTTATCCTGATACTGGTTGCATTAAGGAATCAAAATTGAAACTGGCAGAATTACAAAAGACAATCCTAAGCTGCTTTTTTTAACTTGCTTGCTTTAAAAATGTTTAAATGGTTTCTGGTTTTCATTTAAGAAAAATGTCTATGTTTTGATTCTATAAAAACAAGAAATGAATGAGGCATTGTAAAAGTTATGTTTTTAATTAAAAACCAAAAGCTGCTTCTCATCAGGTCTTGATGGGTGGCATCTTTGCTGTCCACCACATGCCTTGGTGCCACCAACTCTCCCTTCTGTCCCCTCAAGCGGACAGATCAGCACACAGAGTCCCCAGGGAAGATGTGCTCATTGTGGGGCACAAAGGGTTAACTTTCTCCTTGGGCAGATTCAAGAGAAATAACACCAATAGAATCAGAAAATAAATTTTCTAAGTCAGCTTTACAAAAACGTGATGTTTTCTCTAATCAATAAACAGCAATTTAAAATCACCATTATTTTTATTCATAGGAGGAGGTAATAATTTCTAATTCCAGTTTATTCTGAGCAAGAACCCCATAATTTCATCAAAGAAGGGAGATCAGAGCTTGAGTCAGACTTTTTCATTGTGCAAAGAAACTGAGTCATCAGGAAGGATGTGACTTCCCTAATGTACAACACACTAGTGGCAGACCCAGGGTAGGTCTGTAAGTGGTCTGCTTACTCCCAGAATATTATTTTCCACTGCGTTAAACACTGCGTAAAATGGATATATGCCATCTGTCACTCGGGTGCAGGTACAGATTAAAATATTTTGGGTAAAACTAAAATTCACTTAGTTTCATTATTCACAATGGGGAGCAAACAATGTTTCGTTATTCACAGTGAGACTAGATAATTTGGTTTGATAAATTATAGAAAAGAAAAGGAAGAAAATAAATAGTCTAAAAGTTTTCTTGTTATTCTTAACACTGTGTAAAGCATGTATTTATAACAAAGACACCAAAAAATGTCAGATTCTAACATACCAATCTGTGGATATTAACATACACAGAGCAAAATTCCCTGCTTCAAACTGGCTATCTTAAAATTTGAAAGTATGAATAGCTTTAATTACATTGATCACTCAGTTTCCCAGAAGGATATTTTATTAAACAAATTAGTGAGAAAAAAACAATACTTTAGAGATGTTCTAATAAATAAAATACAATGCTGAGTGTTTCACAGGAGACTCAGTCTTTTTTTACTCAACATTTTATTCTTTTAACAGGTGTATTTTGCTAAACAGTGTTAGGTCTGAGAAGAAACGAAGATGAATAAGTTATAGATTTTGCCCTCAAGGAGTTTACAGTCTGATAGAGTAAATGGGATGTGTATAAAATGTAGACCCCAGGTGTGGAATGGAAGTTGGTTTTGTTTTTGTTTTTGTTTTTGTTTTTAATGATGGAGTCTCGCTCTGTTGCCTAGGCTGAATGCAGTGGCACTATCTTGGCTCACTGCAACCTCTGCTTCCCGGGTTCAAGTGATTCACCTGCCTCAGCCTTCCGAGTAGCTGGGATTACAGACGCCCACCACCATGCCTGGCTAATTTTTGTATTTTAGTAGAGACGGGGTTTCACCATATTGGCCAGGCTGGTCTCGAGCTCCTGACCTGGTGATCTGCCTGCCTCGGCCTTCCAAAGTGCTGGTATTACAGGCCTGAGCCACCGCACCCAGCTGGAAGTTGGTTCTTTTACTAAATGGCTTGGAGGCTCAGAATCACAATATGCAGAAAGAATGCAAGCACTGGTCCTTCCTTCCGTCTTCCCTGATCCTATGGGAAGGAAGGAGAGGATCTTTAACCAGGAAGAGGTTAGGGTCCCACTGCCTAGGCAGTGTGTGGCACTTGCTAATTTGGGGTTGTTTCAAGAGCTTGCAGCCCTCCGGGGAGCCGGGTCCTTCCAAAGCTGTTCGGCAGGAATCAGCATTCTGCCAGCCTTCTCTTGAAGGCTCCTGGCTTCTACCTTGTCTTGCTGTCTTGGGTTGCCCCCGGGGTCCTCTTTGGTTTTCTGCTCAGTATTTTTTTGCAGCCAGCTGGTTTAGTTGTAAGTCTCATCTGGTTTTGCAAGCATTAAAGGTCTGGACTGTGCAGGCACAAGTGACTCATAAATTATTTTAAAATAGCTAAAAGTCACACTTTAACATTTCGATCACAGCTTTGCAGCAACCAACTTCATATTTAAGGCCTAGACACATCAACTAATTTAGGAGAGACACTAGTGACCAAAGACGGTCTCCATGGTAATTGTGTGTGTTTAGGGGTTGCAGGGTGGGGAAAGAGGTTCCCTCGTGGGCTGCAGAGTCCCAGATACCCTCACCAAGGCACAGGGAGAGAAACCAGAAGAGGCTTCAAGGACTGTCGTGATCTAGTGGGAAAAGTGCTGCTGGTTCTCAGTCCACCTTTGTCACTACTAATCATGTGATCATGGGTAAGCCACTCAACCTTTCTGGATAATGGATTCCTAATCAGTAAAATGTTAGTAAAATATCTTCCCACAGGGTTCTTGGGAACATCAAAACAAGATAAAGTGTGTAAAAATACTTCAAAAACTATCAAACATCATAGAGATGCAACGTGTGTGATTATAGTTGTTTATAGCGGAGAAGGGAACATCTGGCCTGGGCATTAACAGAGAGGAAGGACATTCTAGTTAGAGGGCAGAGTGAAGAGCAGAACATGCCGAGTGTTCAAGGGACATTGAGTAACATCTTGGCCAGAAGGTGTGATATCAGTGAAGAGGAAAACAAGACCAGAAAGTTCGTTTTGTTCATTTCATCCATTAAAAAAAGGGAAGAGGGATCATTTGTTACTGAGTGTCTACTCTTTATTGAGCGCTGTGTTGTGTGTCAGGACCAGCAGCCAATTCTGGATGGAATGCTGAGCAGTTCAGTCATTCGTTAGAAAGCAGTTGTCAGCAATGGGGGACTTTTTCTTTGCTGGGGAGTGCTAGATGACTGAGGTTATATTTTACAAAGATTAGTCCAGCAGGGAAGATGAACAAGAAATGAAAGGAGACCAATTCAGAGGTTATGGCCTAAAATTCACATCACTGGTCACAAGAGAAATACGGAAGGCTTGAGCTGGATATTGTCAAAAGGGGTAGAAAGAAGAGGGTAAATGTGAAGATGCATTTAAAAGCAAAAATTCAGGCTGGGCGCGGTGGCTCATGCCTGTAATCCCAACACTTTGGGAAGCCGGGGCGGGTGGATTACGAGATCAGGAGCTCAAGGCCAGCCTGACCAAGATGTTGAAACCCTGTCTCTACTAAAAATACAAAAATTAGCTGGGCGCGGTGGCAGGTGCCTATAATCCCAGCTACTCAGGAGACTGAGGCAGGAGAATTGCTTGAACCCGGGCAGCAGAGGTTGCAGTGAGCTGAGATCACACCACTGCACTCCAGCCTGTGTGACAGAGTGAGACTCCATCTCAAAAAAAAAGAAAGAAAGAAAAGAAAAATTCAGGCCTGGCGTGGTGACTCATGCCTGTAATCCCAGCGCTTTGGGAGGCTGAGACAAGCAGGCTGCTTGAGCCCAGGAGTTCCAGACCAGCCTGGCCAACATGGTGAAACCCTGTCTCTTAAAAAAAAAATTGCAAAAATATTAGCCAGGTGTGGTGATGTGCACCTGTAGTCCTAGATACTCAGAAGGCTAAGGTAGGAGGATCCCTTGAGCCAGGGAGGCAGAGGTTGCAGTGAGCCAAGATTGCACCACTGTACTCCAGCCTGGGCTACAGAGAGAGATCCTGTCTCAAAAAAAAAAAAAAAATTAAAAAAAGGAAAAATTCACAGAATATAGAGATTTAGAGAGTGGAAGAAAGGAATGTGTTGAAAATAATGCCTTTTTAAATTGATAAGCTGGTATATAGTGGACAATGACACTATCATTTTTTTAGATGTTGCATCCTAGATGCTAGCAGGAGGACATTCATTTGGAGGCATTTAAATGAAAATCTGAATCCAGAAGTCAAGAAAGAGCCCTAGGACTTTAAGCATGTCAGAGTCGTCTTGATGCAGATATAGCAGAAGCCCAGAATGTGTGGATAATATTGACAAAGAAGAGCATAGAGGGATATAAGAGGGCCATGAGCAGATTGGTAGGCAGGGTCACAGCCAAGGGACCAGAGAAGATAGAGGAGGATGCAAAGAGGATTGAAAAGGAATGGGCAGGAAGAGCAGAGCCAGGAGAATTTAAAGGCAGGAAAACCAAAGAGAATTTCCTACTAGACATTATGCCCCTTAGGGTAAGGACCCGATCTGTCATCTTCATGGCATCCACCAGCGCTTGTTGAATTGAATCACTCTGTAAGGCCTTTGCTTTCCGGAGCCCCTATCCTCAAAACAGCCCTGCCCACCTGATGTCCCACTTTTATCTATCTGTGCCTTTGCAGCACTTTCTGTGGCCCCCTGATATGGTTAGACTTTGTGTCCCCACCCAAATCTCATCTTGAATTGTAATCCCCTGGTGTTGAGGGAGAGACCTGGTGGGAGGTGACTGGATCATGGCGGGCAGTTTCCCCCATGCTGTTCCTGTGTTAGTGAGTTCTCACAAGATCTGATGGTTTTATAAGAGGCTCTTCCCCTTTGTCTCACTCACTCTGTCTCCTGCCGCCTTGTGAAGAAGGTGCCTGCTTCCCCTTCCGCCATGATTGTAAGTTTTCTGAGGCCTCCCAGCCATGCAGAACTGTGAGTCAATTAAACCTCCTTTGTTTATAAATTACCCAGTCTTGGGTAGTATCTTTATAGCAGTGTGAGAACGGACTAAAATGCACCTCCCCGCCCTCCGCATTAAAGCTTTTTCCATCAAACTCCCTCAGTAGGTGGTACACTTTGAGGGTGGGACCTGAGCTGGGACTGTGTCATGTTTATCCTTGTATCCCAGCGTTTAGCCCAGCATCAGGCCCAATGGTGCTCGGTGAATTAATGGGAGGAAGAAGGACGGGATGGAAAGAGGGAGAGGGAGGGTGACAGATGGAGAGAAGGAGGGAGGAAGAATTAGCAGCATCACAGGCCACAGGGACTTTGAGGACGAAGAGTTCCAAAAGTTGCTGAACTTGGGTACTGATCACAGGCCCTTGGTATTGGGCCTCCTAAACATATTCTAAGTGACTTTTTCTCAGTGTATTCTTGTCTAGACTTTTATCAAAACAAATATTAAAGATATTCTTTTATCATTTTCATCCGGGGTGGTCATTTCATCTGGTAGGATCATTCATGGCTTCTCTGGGCCCTCAGCTATTCCTCAGACATTATAGCACCAAAAAGCATTCACAGGTCAGGGAAAGATGAAGAGAAAGCAAAATGCCAGTGCCCTGCCCGTGGCACCCACCTTTCTGCTCTCCTCTAAAACAAGACAGATTTTTCTTTCAAATCTCTCCTATAAGAAGGCCAAAGCAGAAAAGACACCAAAAAAGTCCTTGATTTTTCTCTATAGATGAACTTAGCATTCTGCTGATTCCTTCCTAGGTCTCTGGGTTTTTAAAGAATAAAACTTGGTCCCTTTAGTATAAGTAGCTTTCGGGTAATATTAGACGACTCTGGAAGCTCCTTAGCTCCTTCCGCCTGTTATACCGTTACAACTAGTATCATTTGTATTCCCAAAGAGTTGATTTGCCTCCCACAATGCCCAGTGATCTATCCAGGAGTAGCATGGTTATTAGGAGAACCAAAATCAATAAACTTAAAGCTTTCAGTGGATAGCACTGCTTATCTTTAAACCACCTCAGTCATCATCAAGGGTAACCAACAAATCTATGGAGTCACAGGCAGCCTTAAAGAAGAAGATGCTATAGAGACAGAAAATCAATTGTGCAATAATTGTGACAATTGTTAAAAAGAATTGGTCTTCTACAGATTTCCAAGCCTTTAATTTTCATTTTCCATAAAGGATTTTAAAACTTCACAGTCTTAGCTGCTGTTGGCTAACTCATCTGCAGTGAAGTCTATTTAAAAGTACTAACAACTCAAAGCTATGTTTCATCCCAAAGCACGTTATGAAAACAGGAATTGCAACAGAAATGTAATTCAAAGACTTTTATTGACTTTTCATGTTTAATGGTTATTATTCTGGTTTGTTTCGAGTAATTTTAATAACCACAGTTTAATTACAAAATTCAGACTAATTCTTTTGTTCCCATGCCAACAAAATACATTTGTTCCCAGACAGCTGGTATGATGCATCATTCTAAGACTTGTTATGAGAGATAGAACCACATGTAATTTTGGCCACATGTTATTCTCCGTGACAGTTTGAACACTTGCCTCTGTTTTCTGAAAAAAAAAAAAAAAAAAAAAAAAAAAAAAAAAAAAAAAAAAGCTTGAACCACAGTGTCAAGGACATTAGTATTTTTATTAAATACACATCTTATCAAAATATTTCTTATAAATCAGTTATTCTAATAGATTTTGGTGGCAAAGCGCCAAAGCAAGTCAAACACTTGTACCCAAAACCCTCACTAAAAACCATACACAATGATTGCAATGCCATTTTTAAAGGATCACTTAAAGCACTCTTCTGGTGTTAACGTGCTCTGTTTCATCTTTGCTTTCTTGAGATTCTCTTTGTTTTTAACCTCACTGGGCTGAGTGTGCTGCGGGAGGAGAGAAGAGGCAGGATCCTCTATGTGCTTGCTGCATGTTTTTAATCCTGTGCTTTGCTGACATATCAAATCCACGTGTCAGCAAAGCACCGACTGCATCACTGCAGCTGTTTTTCCATAAAGCATTTTCTACATTGTTGAAGTGGCTCTTCGTCCCTGCAATGAATACTGACGGATGACGAAGACCACGGGGAGGGCCGCAGGAGCACACAGATCTCTGACCTGGGACTGGAGGGTTCAAAGCCAGGCTTTGCCTGCCTTGGGGCTGGGTCTCATCTTCTATTCTTAGAATGGAGTAATGTTGTGGTATAGTCTCATGTCTTTTCGTTTAATTTTTAAGACAGTTTTGGCTTTCATTTTAGCCTTATTAAAAATTATGTTTTCGATCAAGACATATGATTTACTCCAAACAAGTAAATTATGGAGGCTCTTAAAGAATAAAATAGAAGAAACTTAAAACCAAGATGTGTTCTATCCCACCTTTTAAAATTGGTGGGCAAGCAGAATAGAATTATCAAGTATTAACCTGGGTGATCAAATATAGTTTCCCAGGAAGATAGAAAGGAATATATATGTTTATGTTCCCACAGTATTCTATCAAGGCTTCCTGTTCTGACAGCTACTAAGCACTGAATTCATAGAATTCAGTGAACAGGTAGAAAGAGAAAGTAGAGATCAACACAGTGATGTTAAAAAGAGGGTGGGGTTGAGTCAGCAGAGAGAAATGTTTGATGACTACTGATTGTGCTTGTCATGTTTGGAAAAACGTATCAAACATTCCGAGGGGCCACTTAACTTGCAGTTCCTTTTTTTTACTATAGTCCAGCCCTTTTTCTGTTGAGAAAGGGCTATTTTGAGGTAGAAGCAATTGCAATTGTTTATTGGCAAACAAATGAAAAAGCAGAGATTTATTTATTTATTTATCTTTTTTGGAGATAAAGGTCTTGTTCTGTCTCCCAGGCTGGAGTGCAGTGGCGCAATCTTGGCTCACTGCAGCCTCTGCCTCCCGGGTTCAAGCTATTCTCATGCCTCAGCCTCCTGAGTAGCTGAGATTACAGGTGTGTGCCACCACACCTGGCTAATTTTTGTATTTTTAATAGAGACCTGGTTTCACCCTGTTGGCCAGGCTGGTCTCGAACTCCTGACCTCAAGTGATCCACCCACCTCAGCCTCCCAAAGTGCTGGGATTACAGGCGTGAACCACCACACCCAGCCGAAGTAGAGATGTTTTAAAGGTACCAGATGTACGTCAGTTTAAACTAGAAACAAGGAAAGAAAGTTGATTTTTCAATGCAACAGACAATTCAGAAGTTTAAAAGGCCATTTAAATGTATGTTCCATGTAGATATCCTGTTGGATTTATATACAAAATTAGAAGGCATAGTTCCAGTAGAAAAAATATATAGTTAGAAAGTGTTCAAATGCATGTAACTTATTGAATTAAATGAAAAACTAAGAATTAGTAAAGAATATAATGTAATTGGCATCATTTAAATTTTATTAAGTACAAAGTTTGTTTTGAATCCAGCAACTTAATACGTACTTAGCTCTCAGTATATACAAATAGCATAGAAAATGTGGTTATACTCTAGGAACTTCTATTATAATAAAGGAAAATAAATAGTTTAAAGATCCTTTTTAGGTTTTGTATGTGAGATTTACAGACAGGTTTATTCTAAAATGGTGAGAAGAAATAGGAGGTAAAGAGCACGCTGACAGCCAGATTGTCCAGTTTTTTATTATTAATAAGAAGGAATTTGCAATCTGTTTGTCTTGGCCCTGACAAACTTATTTGGGGGGCTCTTCTCAGCTCAGTTAGGTAGCAGCCATGTTGGGAAGGGCACAGATATCATGTTCAGATGCTTGTCCTGTTTCTTAGGGTTGATAATCCAAGGGGTGGTGCTCCAGGCCAGGCTCCCCCAGTTGAAACCAGAGCAGCAATTTATCTTATTTTTCTACTCTTCAGCTTAAGATTTTATTTGCCTGAATGCCCTGAAGAAAGAATGAAAAACTAAACCGAATGATCCCAACTGCTCCATTCAGCATATAAGATTTTGAGGCTTTGTGTGATTTCATAAACAGGAAGGTAAATGAGATGGTATATCAGAATGTGCCATGGTAACTGAATGAAGCTCAGCGTGAACTCTTACTGTAAACTCTTTAGACACTTTGAAACTTCAATTCACCAAACATTTACTGAGCACCTACTATATGGCCTGGATATACGTTGCTGAACAAACCGAATGAAAATCTTTGCCCTTGTGAAGTTTACATTTCAGTGGTAGGTTCTTCTGATTTCTATATAAATTTTAGACTTGGTTTGTCAATTTCTAATGTCTTCCAGTCATTACTGTGAACATAGTATATCCCTCTACTTTATTTAAACATTAATTAATTTTTCTGTTTTACATTTTCTATGAAGATATCTTTAACATCTTCTGGGTGGTAGGATTTGCTCCTATTTATTTAACACATTATAATGCTATTTTTAATGGCTTCTTTTTTTTTTTTTTCTTTTAAGACAGAGTCTCACTCTTTCACCCAGGCTGGAGTGCAGTGGCATGATCTTGGCTCACTGAAACCTCCGCCTCCTGGGCTCAAGCGATTCCCCTGCCTCAGCCTCCCAAGTAGCTGGCACATGCTACCATACCTGGCTAATTTTTGTATTTTTAGTAGAGATGGGGTTTCACCATGTTGGCCACACTGGTCTCAAACTCCTGACCTCAAGTGATCTGCCCACCCCTGGCTTCCCAGAGTGTGCAGTGCTACGTGAACCACTGCGCCTGGCCTTAAATGGCATTTTTAAAAATTGCATTTTCTCACAGTTTGTTGCTGACATACTGAAATACAATTGATTTTGTATAGACTGCCTTCATCACAGTAAGGAATTTTCTTTCTATTCTTAGTAAGAGTTCATTTTCCATTTTTAAAATCACAAGTAGATGTTGAATTTTCTTAAATGCCTTTTCTCCATCTTTTGAAGTAATCATATGAATTTTGTTTCTTATTCAGTGAATGCAGTAAAATTTACAGGTTTATTTTCTAATGTTATTGATATAATAATATTAATAATATAATAATATTGCATTCATGGAATTAATCCCATTTGTTATCCCTTTTTTTTAACCTGTAGATGGATTTTGGTCTACTAATATTTTGTTTAGGATTTTTGCATCTATGTTTCTCAGGGATATTGGCCTATAGTTTTCTTTTATTATAATATTCTCATCGGATGTTGGTGTTAAAGTTTGCTGGCCTCATAAAACAAATTATTCTGTCTCTGTTTTCTGGAAGAATTTGTATCAAGTTGATAGTCTTTCTTCCTTTAAAATATTTGGGGTACCGAGCATGGTGGCTCACACCTGTAATCCCAGCACTTTGGGAGGCCGAGGTGGGTGGATCACTTGAGGTCAGGCATTCGAGACCAGCCTGGCCAATATGGTGAAACCCCATCTCTAATAAAAATACAAAAATTAGCTGGACATGGTGGTGAACACCTGTAATATAGGTGGTGGAGTTCACTGATGAAGCCACCTGGGCCTAGACTTTTCTTTGTTGGAAGATTTGTAATTAATTATAGATATACTTTTTTTAGTAGTTACGGTATTTAGATTTTTCTACTTTTACTTCTGTCTAACTCTATCTCTCTGTCTTCCTTCTGGAAATACAATTATGTATATATTAGACCTTCTAGCCCTGTTTCCTATGTCTGTATTTATTCTGGATATTTTATTTTTACCCAGTCTCTAGCTCACTAATTCTCTCCTTAGCTGTGTCTAACCTACTGTTAAACTCATTCTTAATTTTGCTTATTATATTTTCCAGAGCTAGACTTTCTACTTAGTTCTTTTTAAATTACTTATTCTATATCAAAATTCACAATCATTTTTCTTATTCTGTTGGACCTATGTCTTGGTTCTTGTAAAGTCTAAGTCTCGTAACCATGATCTGGAGCTCACAAGGATCTTGTTTCATTGTCTTTTGTTTCTCTTGGCATGTTGTCTTGCTTCTTGTGAGTCTGCCTATTTTTGATTGAGTGCCAGATATTTTATATGAAAATTTATAGAAACAATTTTAAGACCTAGGATGATGTTAATTTCCTCCAGAGAACTTAGATTTGTTTCTAGATAGACAGGTAGTGGCACTTGTAATCTTGAATAGCCTTAATTTATTTTCAAAGATTGAGATGACTTGAAGCTAAACTTCAGTTCTGGAGAGAGCTGGTTTATTTCCAATTCACTCCTACTCCTAGAGTGTAGCCCTTTGGAATCCACCCAAAGTATAGGGATTTTATCAGACACTCCTCCTGAGTGAGCCCTGGACTGCAATTTTTGTCTCTTTGGATTTTTTGTGTGTGAAACTGTTAAAAGAAAGATTTGTTCAGCTTCTCAGCCTCTCACCAACCACTCTAGAATTGGCAAAGGCCACCATGTAAAAATGTCCCCACATGCCAGCTTTACAAATTCTTCTGCTTTATGTCATCTCCAGGATCTTGACCCCATAATTCTTCCCTGCCTTGCCTAACATTTTGAAACAGACCTGGGAATGGATTATCTAATCATTCATTACTAAGAGTGGAAAGTATTTGCATTTCCATGAATTGCTTGATCACATTTATTGCTAATTGTTTCTATTGATTTGTTTTTCTAATTTGATCTATAGAAGTTTATTTTTTGGTTGGGCATGGTGGCTCACATCTGTAATCCCAGCACTTTGGGAGGCTGAGGCGAGCGGATTGCCTGAGGTCAGGAGACCAACCTGACTAACATGGTGAAACCCTGTCTCTACTAAAAATATAAAAATTAGCTGGGCTTGGTGGCGCACGCCTGTAATCCCAGCTACTCGGGAGACTGAGGCAGGAGAATGGCTTGAACCCAGGAGGTGGAGGTTGCAGTGAGCCAAGATTGTGCCACTATACTCCAGCTTGGGTGATGGAGTGACACTCCAACTCCAAAAAAAAGAAAGTTTATTTTTTACATAGTCTGTATGTTAATCATTTGTTAGTTAGATAAGTTGCAAATACTTTCTCAGAATTCAGAATTGCTTATCTTTTAATTTTTTATTCAATATTTTAATTTTTTGAGAAGATTACCTTCTATCTTTTTCCCTATGGTTTCCAAGCTTGCTTAGGAAGGTACTCTCTAACCTAGATTATGAAATATATTCTCTTTTATTTTCTTATACTTTTGAGAGTTTCGTTTCATACATTTAACTCTTTAATCTACCTCAAATTTGTTATGTTATGTGGGATATATTATGTGGGAGAAGGATTGGGGTAGACAGAATGGCCCCTGAAGGAGGTCCATACCCCAGTCCCTGGCATCTGTGACTATGCACATTGCATTGCAAGAGATTTTGCAGATATAATCAAGGTTACTAATAAGTAACCTTAAAAAAGGCAGATGATCCCAGATTATCCAAGTGGTGGGGCTGATCCAGACACATGACCACTAAGGGCCGAGAACTTTCTGCAGCTGGAGGCAGGAGAACATGGCAAATGTGGCAAAAGAGGGCGGGGGGGCTAGAGAGATTTGAAGCCTAAGAACCATTGCGCCATTGCCACTTTAAAGAGGGAGAGGACAACATGATGAGGAATAGCAGTCGCAAGGAGATGAGAGGGACGCGCAGCTCACAGCCAGCCAGGAAATGGGAACCTCAGCCCTGTAGTGCCAAGGAAGTGAATTCTGCCAACAACCCAAATGAGCTTAGAAGTGAATTCTCCCCCAGAGCCTCCAGATAAGAGCCCAGGCCAGCTGACACCTTGATTTTGACCTTGTGATACCCAGAGCTGAGGATCCAGCTGAGCTCCCTCAAACTTCCAACCTACAAAACTGTGAGGGAATAAATCTGTGTTGTTTTAAGCTGCTAACTTTGGGTAATTTGTTACAGCAATGATAAAAAACTAATACAGGGATTTTACTAGTTTCCTTTCCAAATAGATAGCCAGTTATTAATACTAATACCATGTATTGACTGAGATATATTTCTCCCATTTTTTGGAAATGCCATCATTTTCAAAAATCAAATTTTTGATATGTGTGTGAATCTGGGACTTTCTCTTCTTTCCCATTTATCGATTTCCTGTGCCAATATGAGCCATCTATTAGGGTACTTAAGAGCATGAGCTTCAGAGCCACAGTGCCTGGCTTCAGATCTCAGCTCTGCCACTTCCACTTACTTGCTATGGAACGTTAAGCAAGTTACTTGCTTGATTTGCCTCAGTTTCCCTATCTTGAAAATGAATTAATAGTGGTACTCACCTTATGAATTTGTTGTGAGGATTCAATCAGGTATTACAAGCAAAACCTTTCTGAAGAGTACTAATATGTAGTAAATATCATCTATAAAGAGAAGACTCCTCTCATCATCTTTTTAAAAATTTAAACTAAATTGTCTTAGTTATTCTTCAGCATTTTCTCCTTCACATGAATCTTGGGCTAAGATTGTAGAGTTCATTTTTTTTTAATCCCACTGATTGTCTTATGGGGACTGTATTGAATTTATGAATTAGTCTCAGGACAATTGACATCTTTGCGATATTGAGTCTTCCCATTCAGGAACTTTACATCTCTTTGCATTTCATTAGTTTTTTCATTACAACTGAAATCTATCCTAATATGGATGGATGTGTTGTACATTTCTTATTAAACTTATTCCCAAATATATTATGGTATATTTTCTTTTCATGGGTTTCCCTTGTTTTTTCTAAATGGATAATTCTGGTATTTAGGAGTATTACAGTTGTCTCACCAGAGCTCTTACCAACATTACTTCTAATGATCTTTCAGTTGATTTCTTAAATTTTCTAAGTAGGCAATTGTATCATTCCTAAACAGATTTAATGTTTGTATCTTCCTTCCTGTATTTCATCCTTATTTATTAATGTTTGTCATATTGCACAGGTGAGGCCTCCAGTTCCATATCAAGTAGTACCAGTGATAGTATGTGTCCTTGTTTTTTTCTTATCTTTAATGAGAATTCCTAAGTTTCACTGAAAGAGTTTGCTTCCTGAGGATTTCTAATAGCTACCTTTTGTTGAGTTCAGACACATCACCTTCATTCTAATTACTTGTGGACATATTTTGTCATTTCCACTAGACTAAGGTTCCTCTGAGGGCAGTGAATGTATTATAGTAGGAATACACACACACATACACACACAAGTACTATAAATATACATACACACACATACTATATATGTACATACACACATACATACTATATATATACATACACACACATATATATGTTGTGTGTTGGTGTATATAGTATGTCTGTTTGTTCCACAGTCAACTTTCACCACATAGAAGATGAACAGAGTTTATCTCCAGTTGGTTCAGGGAGTTTGTACCAATGAGAGACAGAAAGCCTCCAAGTCCTCTTGCATATGCAGGATAGAAACACCATTCTTCTTGTCCGTACATCAGTCACAAAGAGACTTTTTGACCCTTTTCTCTTACACTCATCATGGGCTCCCGTAGACACAGTGCAAGATCCTCTTTTCTGAGATGTAGCATTCCCTGTACATGGGGGTACTTCTCCCCTTATGGATGCTACCTCCCAATTTCCCCTTCGGGAGCTCTTAAAGTGTAGTCAGGGCTCTCTTTTCTGTGATGTCACCCTGTGGTATGACCTTCAGATTCCTGACCCCCAGTGACTACTGTTTTCCCTTTTGCCACCTGCTTATAGTCCTTCTCTTTCCACCAGCTGCGTACTATTTGTTTTACCCACCCCCCTTCTCAGCCAAACAACCCTAACAGACATCTGAGAAATAAGTTTCCTTTCAGAAATAATAGTGGATATTTATATATTTATATTCTTTGTATAATCTATTATGTTGTTTTGATGCATTTCTTTATAATAATGGGTTATTTTTTCAACGACTGTAGTGTGAGTTGATTCCCCAGTTATCTGTACTGAGCTTAGTCTTGGTCTGCCCCGCCCCCCCCGCCCACTACCACAGTGCTTTGTACAAAGCAGGCATTCAACTGCATGATCAGTAAATACAGTAGTAATACATTCCATAAGGTTTTAGACCCTGAGTTGGCTGACAATCAGATTCATAATTCTGAAGTAGTATCTACTTAGTTTTCATTAATCCTTAAAACTGCTAAATTTTTGGTTCGGTGTATACTGACCTTTTTAGTGAAGCTTGTGAAAAACTGATTGTAGCATATGTGAAAATTAATATGTAATATGTATTGATTGATGGTAGCATCTGTGAAAATTAAGTTGGTTAATTGTTGCAGGCTCTATTTCTCTGTGAGCTGTGATATTTTGGAGCTTCTAAGTCTAGAGGAAGGTGGGGTTAAGGTGAAGCCTGAAGAATGCATGATGGGTTTTAAAAGTTGACACTTGTTGTTATTCAGTTTTTAAATAGGGGACAAAGAATAATAAATGTGTTTGCATTTGTGTATATTAATATACTGCCAGTAAATAGAAAAGTTCTTGAGAATTTCAATTATGAGGGTTTTTTTTTTTAGTTACAACTGAGTTATAAAAATATACAGAAAGTAACAGGACCCAAACAGTGAGTTGAAATCCTGCCTGTTGGGAAATTCTAGCTATGATACCTATATAACTATTAGGGTATAATTAGAGGGTATTTTGAAAATGACAGAACACAAAAGTTTCAGACCCTCTTTTAAGCATCAGTTAAAAAAAAAACAACAACAACAACAAAAACAAAAAAACCTCAAAGAACATATGCCCCACTGAAGGGACAAACAGGTTATTTTTAAAAAGAGAAGGCACTTATTCAGCAAACATTTATTCAGCACCTACTATGTGCCAGGAGCCATTAGCCTTCGACTGTAAGATAAATAAGAGAGTCTTTTTCCTGAAGGAGCTCATAGCCAAGTAGAAGAGATTCCCAAGGTTAATTTGCATTGACTTCTTACCCCAGCATAATTCTATTTTTCTCTCTTTTTTTTTTTTTTTTTCAAGACGAAGTCTCGCTCTGTCGCCCAGGCTGGAGTGCAGTGGCGCGATCTCGGCTCACCGCAACCTCCGCCTCCCGGGTTCACGCCATTCTTCTGCCTCAGCCTCCTGAGTAGCTGGGACTACAGGTGCCCTCCACCATGCCTGGATAATTTTTTGTATTTTTAGTAGAGACAGGGTTTCACCGTGTTAGCCAGGATGGTCTCGATCTCCTGACCTCGTGATCCACCCGCCTTGGCCCCCCAAAGTGCTGGGATTACAGGCATGAGCCACCGTACCCGGCCTTTTCTTCTTTTTTAGACAGCAGCTTCTCAATCTCTTCTATTGTCTTCTGATTTTAGGCCTTCCCCATACAGTAAATAATCTCTGTTTTCTGGTATCTATTCCCTACTTCTTTCCCAGCTATACATTCTCTCTCCCTCAATGATATCATCTATCCCCATTGTCTTCAGGTCTCATTTATTGTGGTGATTCTCAAATTGTTATCGCCAGGCTATACATACCCTTTTTCAAACTCCAACCCTACGTTTATACCCCTGTGGTAACACATGCTTCTCAGTCTGGCTCATCAGACTCTAAAGTCTAAAACTATTCCTTAGAAGAGAATTTCTTGCCACCAAATCTAGTTTTATACTTGAATTTGGGGCTCGATGTCATAACATATTTTCAAAAGGAAAGAGAAATGAGTCAGTAATAGGCAGTAGTAAAAGAATTAATCTTAACACCAGGCGAAGTCAAACTGGTAGTGTGATTTCAGTGAGGAGAGAAGGGCCAGCTGCCGCTCTCCCAAAATGTTTCCCCTGCCCACCTGCCGAAAACTGAACTGATGGGGGCCAAAAAAATTCACTGCGAGACTAGAACTTTACTTGACAATCAGAGGCTTTCTAATGCAAGTTACCCGTTGAAATTGTCACACATTAGAGATTTTACCAAAAGAAAGTTAGCTGGGAGAAAATGTGACAATATGGGGCATTAGATGGGGAGGGCAAGATTCTGTAAGTGGAGTGATGGAGAGAGAAAGGAGAGGCCAATGGAACCAAAGAAAAGCATCTCATGCCAATTTTGTGTGGTGCTTGCCTGGCAGTCGAAAACAGCCTGTTCAAAAGTGACTTTGGCTAAAAGGGTGGAATGAACTCTTCCAGCCAATCAGTAACACTGAGTTGAGAGAATAGAAACCATCCAAATTCTAACAAACATGGAAAAGAAAGGAAACACTTCTTGTTCCATCCCAGGAAAGAAGGGAAAGTACCTCAACTTGGTGCTGTTGTGAGAGAGCACTTTTATTCCTTTTCAGCTTGTGTGATCACAGGAATGTTGCTTCCCGAAAGCCACATACAGGCAGGTGGTTTTAGAGTTTTCTCTGCCCTCGCGGTTATGAATTATATAGACTTTTAGTACTTAACTACAAACAGAAGATCTTCCAGGTGGGGGATCTGAGTTAGGAAAAGAAAAATGCAGAAATACAAGTCACAGGGGTAATAAGGTCTCTTGGATGTGGGTAGAAAGTTCCTGACTTAATGCCAAAGGCTTAACGTGTATATTGAACAGCTTGACATACCTGGAGGGCCCTGGGGATTAGTGAAGGAGCAGGGCAGAGATGTTTTCGATGTGTGAATTGTTTACAAGCCAAAAACAAAATAAACATTGGCCCTGTCACCAACTTATAGTTTATTGAAATGGAGTAGGTCCCCTAAGAATAGTGCCCAAGGAGGCCGGGCGCAGTGGCTCATGCCTGGAATCCCAGCACTTTGAGAGGCTGAGGTGGGCGGATCACTTGAGGTCAGGAGTTCGAGACCAGCCTGGCCAACATGGCGAAAACCATCTCTACTAAAAATACGAAAATTATCCAGGCATGGTGGTGGGCACTTGTAATCCCAGCTACTTGGGAGGCTGAACCAGGAGAATCACTTGAATCTGGGAGGCTGAGGTTGCAGTGAGTGGAGACTGCGCCACTGCACTCCATCCTGGGTGACACAGCGAGACTCAGTCTCGAAAAAAAAAAAAAAAGTGCCCAAGGGAGTGGCGCAGTCGTCGGCCTCCCTCTGAGCACAGTGGCTGCTGCAGGTCAGACGTCACTGCTAGGTGAGCTTCCATGGGTCCTGCTGTGACTCATTATTGAGTGTTTTGCTCTTCATGGTTCTACAAGTTACGTTTATCCTCAGTATACAAATATCACAAACTGATTTTAATCAGGTTTCTAAGTTTGTCTAAATGTGAGAAATTTAAAATACTATATACCTGTACCTAAAATTAATGACCACCCTAAAATATTATTGCTTCTAATTTTTAGCCTCTATGAGAGATTCCTCTCGATAGGTTTTGTGTGTGTGTGTGTGTGTGTGTGTGTAAGAGTACAAATGTTGTTAAAACTCATATCCTTCTTAAATTATAGATGTACGAGTGAAAATAATATATATTTTTTTGCTTTCTAGCACATTATAGTGGGACCACAGTTTTAGTCAATCCTATAAAAGATACCAACTCAGAATATGTCATTTTACTCCCCCCTCCATTGCCCTGGAGTTGTGATTCCTCCGTAATTCATCGGGCTTCTACATTTTGTTCCCTGGACATTCTCCCAAGCTTGTTCAACCATTAGCCCTCTGGAGTTCTGGGTTTAAGTACTGTCAGATCAGATTTAAATCATGTGTTAAGGCTTGGTGGGTCCATCATTGTCCTCAATTTAAGAAGCATTATAGAGGTCACGACATTGCTACAAAGAAGGTGGCACTAATCCCTCACTTTATAAAAGGGAATGCTGTGGTATGCATTACACCAAAAGACCCAGCCCCACCAGCACCACAGCCCAGAGAGCCAGCAATGTGCTCATTTCCTCCACCCTCCCTGCATACTTCCAGGGATGGGTAGTACAAAACCAGATGTAAACTATTTTTCAAATACTCCTCTGACTTAGCATTAAGTTTCCCTTAGACCAGATGCCAGTGTTTAAATAATATCCTGAAGGATCCAAAGAGAAGGAATTACTCATTGTGTTTCATTCATATAAAACCTGAAATACAGAGGGAAAGAGTACAAAGGAACCAAGTACCTTGAGTATGCCTTGCCAGAGTATAATAATTTGAAAAGAATACTGCCTCATGAATGCTCAAAAGTGAAGTGTTTTTTTTTTCTTTAATTATCAATTGAACTTTCCATTATTTGTTATTAGTGCTCTTTAGGAAAAATTAAAAGCAAACCATTATGATTTCTTTTGCAAAGCAATTTCGTTATGTTTTCAGGAAATTGAGCGACACTTGCTTTAAAGTGGCTCTGTCCTTCAATCACTTCCATTTACTTATTTTATTGATTTATACCTTGTTCTCTGCAATTCCTACTTTGATGGCTTGCATCAATTAAGACATACAGCAAATAACTAAACTTTTTGTCTTTGTGTAAAGTTATTTTCTCTGGTGCTCCCTAAGTATTACCAAAGGCTTCACCCAGCACAAGGGACCAATGAACCCTAGATTACACCAGGGTCAGTCATCAGCAGATCGTCAGTAATGTTGGCTACTAAGTATGTGGGTGTCCCATGAGGTAGACATTGTATGAAAAAGGCCCCTACACTATGTAAAACAGAGAGCAGTTAAAGGTTGACCAGCAATGGAGAAGGTCCATTGAGGTTAAATAGCATGAATTTCTAGATGACCCTGTTGAAACAGCATGTGTGTGTTTTATTATTGTTGTTTACTTTCTGTAGCAACAGGCGGTAGCCTGGGGATAAAGCATGCAGGTGTCAGGGAGCTCCCAGAGTTCGGATTTGGCCCAAAAAACCTGGCAACATATGATTTTGTGTATAAATTGTAGGTTAAGTCACCAAGAGACTACACAAGGAAACTAACTCATTAATTCAGAAAGTAGGCAAGTTTTGAGTGATCAGAGTTGAAATGCAGATGAACAGTGAGGTAGGCAAGGTATTTGGAGATGTGGAAGTTGGTTTGGGAGCTGGGGCAGGTGTCAGTACCCAAAGCAATCCAGTCCAGCCAGTAGGGTGTGGCAGAGTTTAAATCGAGTGGCCCTTACTACCTTGCTGGGGGACTGCTGGGGCCAGCTCATAGGGTACAAAGTCTAGGTCCTTGGCAGGGAATCTCAGCCCCAGTCAAATAATTTATTAGAAATAATTGGTTGAAGAACAAATGGCTTAACCAATAAGAAGAATATGTTGCTTCATGTCAACTGAGAAGTAGCATTGGCTTCAGGGGAGGCTTAATCCAATAGCTCAAATTATGTGACCAAAAGCCAATTATTCTCTCTCCATTTTTTAACTCTGTTCCCTTATTGTTGGCTCCATTCTCCACAAATTGTCCTTTTCATGGTTGCAAGATACCTGCTATCAGTTCCTGAGCCTATGTTTCCAGGCTCATATCAGAAGAAAAGAGAAAGTTCTGTTCCACAGAACCTCGCGCAGTATCCTAGGCTTGTCTTTCATCTGCCCTGTGCTCTAATTCTAGCAGAGACCTAGAGCAGTAGGCAGGAGGGAATGGCAGAAACCCATGCATATGACCTGGGTTAATGAAGCACACCCTTGAGTTGGCCTTGAGGCCCCTGATACTGGGTCTGCAATAGCAAGAAGAATTCAGTTGTCTGCAGCTGATGGACTGAGGCTCTTAATGTACCTCCTGTCCTGACCTGCATTGTCTCAGCAGTTTGGTGTAGGGCTAGGCTTGCCAATGGAAAGGAGGCCAGTGACACAGCAAAGTGGGGGTGAAAAAAATCTCTGGTGTGGAAATAAAAGGCATTAAAATTGAGGTGGTGTTATGGGCTGAATGTTAATGCCTCTCACCCCGCCAAAATATTGAAGCTCTGAGCACCAGTGTGATGGTATCGGAGATGGGGCCTTTGGAAGGTAATTAGGTCATGAGAGTAGGGCCTTCATGGTGAGATTATTGCCCTTACAAAAAGAGACATAGGAGAAATATTGCACTGTCTCTGCCATGTGAGGATACAGTAAGGAGGCAGCCATCTGCAAGTCAGGAGGAGAGCCCTCACCTAAACCAGACCATGCTGGTACCCTGATCTTGGATTTCCCAGCCTCTAGAACTATGAGGAATAAATGTTTGTTGTTTAAGCCACCCAATCCACAGTGTTTTGTTATAGCAGCCTGAGCTGACTAAGACAAGTGGAAACCAGGAAACCAAAGGTAACAGAGATAGTTCAGTGGGGATGCTGTGTCCTTGATGGTGTTATCAGGATTGAGAGGAAGACTGCTGGAAACCTTGGCATTCATTGTCTTGGGCTCTACCTGCTGCATCGGTCACATCTTATAACTATTTCATCACCAAGTCATGTTATTTCTACCTCCAAAATGTCACTTTAGTTGTATTCATCATCTCCGTTCTCCCCATGGACATCTTTGACTCTTAATCACCTTGGATTTGGACAAAATGGTCTCTTCCTAGCTGCGTCACATCTGGGCAATCTTCCTAAAATACCATTGTCATCATGTTATTCCCCTGCTCAGAAAAACAACTGCCTCACACTCACTTATTGGATCTCTCTGCCAGACTTTTAAGTTCTCTTAAAACTTAATTAATGGACTATCCAATATTATTTCTAAGCATTCCCAAGCATCTCCTGTCAAGCCCTCAGCCAAGTGTGGGTGCTCAGCTCTCACACCAGCCACACTCATTTTCGCCTTGGCTCATGGTTTTTCCTTCACCTGGAATTTCCTTTTGCCAAACTTCTGCCTGTTCAGCTGCTACTCAGCTTTGGGAGCACAGCTCAAAACTCACCTCCCACAGACCTTCCCAAGCAATGCCATGGCCAAAGATCTTTTTCTTTCCCCAAATGTCTGTTATACTGAGTTTCCCTGTAGCTGGATGTATAATGTTTATTTTATTTTTTATTTATTTATTTTTTTGAGACAGAGTCTTGCTCTGTCGCCCAGGCTGGAGTGCAGTAGCACGATCTCGGCTCACTGCAAGCTCCGCCTCCCGGGTTCAGGCCATTCTCCTGCCTCAGCCTGCCGAGTAGCTGGGACTACAGGCGCACGCCACCACGCCTGGCTAAGTTTTTGTATTTTTGGTAGAAACAGGGTTTCACCGTGTTAGCCAAGATGGTCCCGATCTCCTGACCTCGTGATCTGCCCGCCTCGGCCTTGTATTATGTTTATAGGTTAATTTTGCTTCCCCCCAAAACTGTTACTTCCTTGAAGACAGGGTTTGATTCCTCCTTTGTGTTCTGCACAGAACAGAGGCTACTTCTGGTCAACTCTTAGGCATTCAGCATTGTTCAGGGAGGCAAAGGAGGAAGCTGGCATAAAATGCAGATGTCTAGTTCTGTGCTGGGTTGCAGGCTGGGTTTCCTAGGCAGCTCCACCATCCTAGCACTTTCTCACCTAACTACCCACCAGTCTCTACCATCCAATTGGCTCAGAATAGTTTAAGAAATATAGGGAGCTCCTACCTTCTACTGGCCGCCCCCCTTTTTCTCTCAGACTTCTTATGGTTGCCATATGTGATCCACAAACTAAGTTGAGCTATACCATGTGTAGACTAAAAAAATCTCAGGCAAGTCTCCTGAAAGTTCTCATTCCATCAAACATCTACTTTGCCATAAGGGACATTTAAAGTATATATTAACCTAAGTTTACAATACAACAACCCTTTTATTTCCAAAATTACTGGATATGACAAAGATCACAGAAGATTACTGGATATGACAAAGATCACATAAGCCACCTTTAGTACAGGGACTTGGTTTCACCTGTCTTAGTATTTTAAAGCTTCCTAAGGACATAAAGAAGCAAGATTAATTCAGTTCATCAAAATGAAGGAGAAAAAAAGAATTTTCTCAAAGCTGGATGAAAAAAGTTAACATCATACAAGATAAAATAGTACCCTTATCCCTAAAATCTTAGCCTTTCTGCTGCCAACATCAGTTTTAAATACGTGTTCAAGATAAAGAGAGGGAATGAAATTGTTATAGAGACCTAAGTTGCCAACTTGGGCACTCAAGCTACACAGAAAGATCCTTCAGATAGGAGCCTCTTATGGTTGGAAATAAAGCAAAAACACACCCTCTGGAACTCTATTTGAATAAGAAAAGATGCCCTTTCTGTTTGTTTTCACTTATAGATGAAGTTGGAATTTTCACCATAATGTGTTTTACCATGTGGGCCAATAAACATGAAGAGTGGCATTCATCGTAATATCCACACACGTTTAGGATTTTTTTTCTAATTGTAAATCGTGAATTTTTTCTGCCATTTGAAGTAAAGAAAAAAGCTGGCCCAATGAGGATACTGCGGCCCTCAGCCACCAGTGATTGTTGAGAGCTTTTTTCTTTGTCTTTTTACTCTTTACCATGAATTCTTTTCAGACATCATCAGAATATGATTTCTACATTTCAGTACATTTTTAATATTAAAGAAATGCCTTCAACGGAAAGAACAAAATCTTCCTGCTCTTTATTTGACCTTTTTTGGTTTGATGTGATTTAAAAAAAGATCTGGGCAACAGTTTTATAAAGAATGCACAGAGACATTCCTGAAA
Organism: Homo sapiens; assembly: GCF_000001405.40. Taxonomy (NCBI): domain Eukaryota; kingdom Metazoa; phylum Chordata; class Mammalia; order Primates; family Hominidae; genus Homo; species Homo sapiens. The sequence continues at coordinate 65,662,412 of NC_000017.11, read as the reverse complement.
GAGCACACTAGTGAAAATAATCATGAAAAAAAGATTAGAAGATGCAGCCTCTTGCTCAATCTAACATGACTATTGCTCTCCCAGTACTGTTTCTTAAGGTTGCACTGGTTTTATCTAAGTCAGTAACAGTGTACTTATCTTTTTCATATTCTTATGTAAGTGTTTCTAACAGAAATTGTCCTTTCATGTATGTCTAAGTGGACCAAGCCAAGTTAATATTCATTACCACCAGGCTGGGCAACATGGTAAAACCCAGTCTCTACAAAAAATACAGAACTTAGTCAGGCGTGGTGGTGCCCACCTGTGGTCCCAGCTACTCAGGAGGCCGAGGTGGGAGGATCACCTGAGCCCATGAAGTTGAGGCTGCAGTGAGCCATGATTGCGTCACTGCACTCTAGCCTGGGTGACAGAGTGAGACCCTATCTCAAAAAAAATTTTTTAATAAATAAATAAACATATATATACACACACACACACACATATATATATTCATTACCAGTTTATCTGCTGTGTAAAAAAAATATAGATGTCAATCTCTCTTGAAAGATGGAAAATGAACTACTAACTGGCTGCCGTTTCTCCATCTCACCTAGAGCAGATGAAATGCCGATGAAGTGAGCCCAGGTCTACGTGGTTGTATATGATCTGCTTCATGCAAACTCCAGCCTACATAATAGGTTAGCAAAAATGTCTTTACATTGGCAAAAACAGTCCATGTAATGGTCTCAAACTTCAAAAGAATAATTATTTAATCTTATATACTTTTGAAATAACGTTGATCTCCGGTTCAACATAGAACTTACTCTCAGGGAACCCACAGTCTAATAGGAGAAAGCAGTGTGCAAATCAATAGTTATAATAGTATCTGATAATGAAGTACAAGCGGAGGCTCTCGGGTAAGGAAGACCTTGTACAGGTCCTGACTCAGGTACCAAGTAGCTGTGTGACTATGGATAAGCCTATTTCTTCTTATGTAAACAGCCATGAAAGTACCATATAGCATTCGTAGAAGATTAAATGAAATATAATATATGCAAAAGAGTACACTATGGTGCCTAATACATAGAAAACACCCCTTAAGTGTCAATCAGTAACTGTTAGATGAACATAATACCAAGGCATTTTAGTGGAAGGGTTGGTTACCGTGACTAGAAGGCTGTGGGAGGGTGTGGTGGAGAAGGTCCTATGTAAGAATGGAGAGTGGTTCTCTAGCCAGTTCAGAGGAAGGAAGGGCGCAGAGGAGCACAAAACAGCATGTGCAAAGGCATGAGTCACAACATGACATGGGACTTTTGGGGAAAATGCCAAGTCATTACTGGAGCACAAGGTCCTGGAAAATTAGTCTAAGACCATATGAGAAGGTTCTTAGATGATCCATGCAAAGGAGGTTGTCTTTAATCTACAGATGAAAGAAATCACAGAAGTGTTTTTATATGGGAGTGGGGTTGGGGTGAGATGATCAGATCTGCATTTTAGAGAAACATGCAACAGTGTGGAGAATCAGCTGGAGAAGGAAAAAACTAGAAGCAGGATGGTGACATTAGGTTTCTCTTCCTGTAACAGAAATCAAGGTATGGCCAGGCGGCGCTGTGGGAAGCCAAAGTGGGTGGATTGCTTGAGCTCACCTCAAGCAGGTAGATTGCCCAGCCTGGGCTGGGCAACATGGCAAAAACCTTGTTTCTACAAAAAAAAATACAAAAATTAGCAAGGCATGGTGGTACACGCCTGTAGTCCCAGCTACTTGGGAGGTTGAGGTGGGAGGATCACCTAAGACCAGAAGGTGGAGGCTGCAGTGAGCTGTGGTTGCATCACTGCTGTCCAACCTGGGCAACAGAGTGAGAACCTGTCTGAAAAAGAAACGAGAAGAAAAAAAGAGAAGAAAGGAAGAAGGGAAGAAGGAAGGAAGGAAGGAAGGAAGGAAGGAAGGAAGGAAGGAAGGAAGGAAGGAAGGAGAGAGAGAAGAGAGAGAGAGAAAGAAAGAAAGAAGGAGGGAGGGTGGGAGGGAGAAAGGAAGGGAGGGAGGGAGGAAGGAAGGAAGGAAGGGAGGGAGGGAGGAAGGAACGAGAGAGAAAAAGAAAGAAAGAGAAAGAAAGGAAGAAAGAAAGAGAGAAAAGAGAAGGAGGGAGGAAGGAAGGAAGGAGAAAAAGAAAAGAAAAAAGAAAGAAAACAAAAAAGAGGAAGGAAGGAGGGAGGGAGGGAAGGAAAGAAGGAAGGAAGGAAGGAAGGAAGGAAGGAGAAATCAAGGTATATTAGTCTCCAATCAGAAACCTTGAGTTAGTTTTTCCATTGTCTTCAGAATAAAGCCCAGGTACCTTGGCATAAGCTTCAAAGTCCTAACCACCTTGTCTCCACCTATCTCACTTATCCCCTGCCCACCCCATGACCTCCACCCATACTCTACCCTGTGACAGTCCCTAAGCATGCCACACACAGTCACCTCTATGCTTCCTGCCCTTTCCTCAGCTAGCAGTTTTTTCTTCCTCTCATCCATCTTGAAAGTTCCTACTCATTCTTCAATGTCCCAGTCAAATCTCATCACCTCTGTGATGGCCTCCATTATCCCACATAGGAGTTACTGATGTCTCCTGTTCCCTTCCTGGCCTATTATATGTCAGTTATGTATTTCTGAAGCTCCTTTTTACTTCTCGTGTAAAAAGTATAAGCTTTTTTCTTTCAGAAAGCCTAAAGGAAGTATTTTGATGACGTCACACTCCCTAAGTTTTAATTGAACAAAAAATTCTTTTCTCTCTGCTGTGTAAAGGTGAACAACTCCTGAATGGAGTCAGTGTTTACAATGGTGTTAAGAAATGTTCTGCTGTGAGGTTGTGGGGTCTCAGTTCCCTTTAGCTGGAAGGTGGGAGATTCATGCACAAAATCCTCATTAGCGTTCATCGAGCTGCCTAAGTAAATCCGGGGTGCACCGGTGGGACAACGGCTGCCTTTGTCTTCCTATTTTGTGTTTTGTATAGAATACCATATCTGGCAAGACATGCCTTCTCAAACATAAGGAGATAATTGGTACTTTGAGGGAGAGGTTTAGATTATTTATAATTGTCAAGAGTTTAAATATGCAGAAAAGAAAGAGCAGTCGTAGCTTGCCTCTTTTGAAAAATGCCCTCAAACCAGGTCAGAACTCTCTGTCTAAATCAGATATTTTGAACGATATTTAACTGAAGGTTAGATGTGGATCTTTTAAGTTTTGCTTTAAAATAGGAAACTATATGTTTATCAACAAATTAATTTCTTCTTAAACTCCCCTTATCTGTAGCACTGTTGATCACCAAAATCCGTCGTGATTAATCTGCTATCTAGACCATTCTATTTCCTATGCGGTGGTGATATTCAAGGCAGGGGATAGAAATGGTCTGATATTTTTTTTTTTTTTTTTTTTTTTTTTGAGACAGAGTCTCGCTCTGTCACCCAGGCTGGAGTGCAGTGGCGTGATCTTGGCTCACTGCAACTGAAATGGCCTGGTCTTCTGCTTATTTTCCTTGATCTTGGCAGCACCTAACACCTACTTTCCCTCCTTCCCTTGTGAAACCTAAAGGCTTGCTCCCCGCTCTCCTAACTTTCGTCTCATCTCTGGGGCCATTTCTGGTCATTCCCTGCTTCTGCTTCCTTCTTCTACATCCTAAATGTGGAAGTCCCTTATAGATGAGCCTTGGCTCCTGGGACATTCCTGTTCTCCCCTTTCCCCTTCAGAGAGCTCTTCCATTCCCGAGGCTACAGCTTCTTCTTCTGGCCTGTGATTCTTGGGCCTCTAGTCCTGCTTTTCTCCTGAGCTCTACTCGCATATTTCCTTATGAATGTTTCCTCTGCTCCTCAAACTAAGTAAATGCAAACCCCCAAACATACCTTGTGTCCTGCTTACACCCAGACCAACTCCCTGTACTGTACCCATTGCCTTGTCTCTGCAGGAACATCACCCTTCTTCTAGGCACATGGCTGAAGCATATATTCTCATACAACTCATCTCTTGCTTCTATTCTATGAGACAGGTAATTAATCAGCTTCTATTTTATGACCTTCCCATAGCCATCACCTCAGATCAGACTAGGAGTTCCTCACTTTCCTAGATCACTCCAGCAGCTCCCAGCTGCCCCCCTGAATCCCAGAATCTCCTCTCCTGAGATTCCATCACAATATTTCCAGATCAATCCTATTCCCTTCTCCACCTCCCAGTAATAAATGGGCACAGTACAGGCTTAGATGTCAGGTTTCAATCGTGGTTCTAGCAGTTACGCACTGTGTACCTGTTTCCTTCTCTATGGAGTGAGTAGATAATGTCTGTCTTCCAAATTGTATGTAAGAATTAAATAGAATCATCACAGTATGTAAAAGATTATGCAGCAATTGCTTAATACAGTATCTGGCACATATAAGGTGTTCATAATGTGGGGTTTTCTTTGCTTTTTCTATTTTTTACTACATTCAATCTAAATTTGTTGACATAACCTTTACTACCTTCCATAATTTCAAGGTGCCACCTACCTATTCAACAACAACTTTGTTCAGCCTTTTACTCATTAAAACAATATTTACTAAGCATTTGCTATGTGTCCAGTGCTCCAACCTTACTTCTATGTATAAATTGTAAATATCAGGGAGACTCCAAAACCCCCATCAGCCTCACTGAGTATCAGCCTTATTCTATAGGTTTTCTTGGGTCTTTTATTAACAAAGTCAGTTATAAACCTCAAGAGTCTCACCTACCCTTTGGTTGGGGTTTTGGTCCTTTGTTGATGAAAACTACCTTTTTTAGGAAGTCCAGCCCCAACCAAAAAGGCCTAGTCACCCTCTTTCTGAGAGGAAAGTCAGACATTGTAAACAGAAGTGAAAAACACCCTATCCCTCCCCCAGGTTTTCCCCAAACGCTTTCAGGGATGTACCTTGCAACATAGAGAAGGTGCTTCCTTCCAACTTGTTTAAACTTGGTCCTCCAAATATTCACGTTCTTCAACATGTACCTGTCCAGACTTTCCACATTCAGCCTTTCTCATCCCATGCCTGTAGAATTGCTGTACTGCTCAAACTGCTTTAGGACCTGTACCAGCTCTTCTTTAAAAGAATGGAGTATTCATAGTATATATCAACCTAAGGAAAGAAAAAATATTAGGAATGTTATTATTAACAAGAAAAACATTAGAAATGAGACCAAAATTATATATTCTAGCAAGAAAGGAGCTGGCATTTGGTTTTAGAAGAAAAGAGGCATGAGTCATTGACTATCTCAACCATATATAAAAAGTCTGATAGTGAGTAAACTGGAGAAGCACAGAGGAGGAAAGAGCATGATGAAACCAACTCCCCTCCTTCGGGGTGAATCTCTAAGATCCTCTTTGATCTCAGCAGCCCCGTAGGCCCTGGTGTTTGCCTCCGACTTTCTCAGCTTTGAAGCCAGCCTACTTATTAATAGCCACTGTGCTGATTAAGAACTGCAATACTGAGATGACAGAATCTTCTCTTTGTCTTTAGGGAGAGCATGTGTGATGAGTTTACTGTAGACATTCCGAAGACCTTGTCATTTTGAGACAAAGACTGACTTAACACCAAAGGTTGTAAGCTCTGTGTGATTCGTTCATTCATCAGCAAATATTTATTGTATTGAGTTGCTACCATATGCCAGGCACCATGCTAAATGCTGAGGCCATAGCAGTCAGCAAAATGAACACAGTCCCTACCTAGTGGAGCTTGGTCTAGTCACAGGGGTCAGCCAACTTTCTATAAAGGGCCAGATAACAAATGTTTCAGGGCTTTGTGAGCTATAAGGTCTCTGTCAAGACTACTCAATACTGCCATTGTCATGAGAAAGCAATCACAGACAATAAGTAAACAAATGAGCATGGCTGTGTTCCAGTAAAACTTTATTTACAAAAACAAGCAGTGTCCCAAATTTGGTCTGCAGGCTGAAGTTTGTTGACCCCTGGTCTAACAGATGCAACACGCATAAATGTAAGTGAATATTTTGCATATTCTATGTTGTTTCAATTCAGACCGTTTGGGTTGCAAGTGACAGAAAATCTAACCCAAACTGAAAAATCCAAAGACAGGGCTAACTCTAGGTACAGATTGATAAAGGGCTTAGTTTATTTTTCTCCACTTCTCAATTCTTCCCCTGGATTGCCAAAACCCTCAGTTCACTTCTTACTCTGTGGTAGCAAGATGGTTGTCACAATTCCAGAATGACATCAATGGGGAAAGTCCAGTGGATGAGAGAGTCTGCATCCTTTGACTGTCAGTGACTCTGGTTACCTGGACTTGGATCATGTTACCAGGCCCTCAATAGTTATGGCTCCAGATAATGCGACGTGATGATTGCCTTAGGGTCCCGTCACATACTCTACCCCTGACCCTTGGGTGGGTCAGAGAATGGGAGAGGGGTAGATTCCAGTTACCAGAAAACTGGTGAATAATGCTGGAGTAAATGCTGGAATGAATGCTGCTGAATAAAATCTCCGCTACATGTGTCTTGAGAAATTCTAAATGAGTACCTCCCAAGGCCACATTTATTAATAGGAGCTCTGTAATATGGTTTTAGCTTTTCCATCTCCATCAGGAAGTAAAGGGTATTGCTTATATGCAAAATACTGTCCAAAATTTTAATATTCACATGTGTTTATTTTACATCACAACCTCAATCTTTTTTTTTTCCTGTTACCAGTATTTTTATTCAGTTTAGCTTATGCCAGAATATAAATACATAACAATATGTCCTTTCTTGTAATGGGTAGTCTTTTACATAACTAAAATTTGTGGCTAGCAGTTTATATAACAAAAGAAAAGCTAAATCTGTAAATTATCAGAAAAGAAGCAAGGATAAAGGAAAATAATACATTTTACATGAATTATAAAGGACAGTTACAATGAAAATCCATTACTTTCCTCTCAACCCAATTTTACAAAATAAAGTCAACATGTATTATTCTGTGAGCTGCTAAGAGTACATAAACACTGTGGCCCATTCAAAAGACAGCAGTCAAAGACAAAATGTTATCTTCATGTCATGTACTGTTCTTAGTTCTTTACTGGAGTTGAGCTTCCTTTCGTAGTCTTCTTTAGGTGGTGGTAATTTGGCAAGATTTTCATCGAGAAATCCAGCTGTAGTGTCTGAGGCTGCGGTCGCTCAGCCTGCACCCAACAAAGGCAGTCTGCACCATAGATCACCGTATTCTCCGGGATGACTTCAAAAGTGTTTAGGTTGCAACAAGCGCCAGTGAGACAGCCACTTGTCAATATTAGATTTCTGCCTACATACACTTTTAATTCAATGACATTATTATCTCCCATCTCCATGGCTTGGGAATGACGCCAACTTTAAACACATTATTGGTGCCAATGATCATAGGTTTTGGTTCTGGATCTCCAGTGTCAAGAGTGATACTATCCGAGGAAGCATTTATGATAAGGGCCTGTTCTTCTATCAGGTTCCCTTTGCCAATCACTATTGGCCCGGCTTCCGCAATAATTTGTGCTTTAGGATGGATCGCTGTCCGAGTTCCTCTTCTGAGTCTTTGCTGCCATGGTACGACCCCAGTGACAACCTCAATCTTATTCAGAATTTAAGTCTTTGATTCATGAACAAATTCAGACAGTTTATTAGTAATTTTCTGGCCTTTGACTATGTTATCCATTTTCTGTCTTTCCTCTGTGTGTGAATCCTTAGAGGCAGACTTACCAGACCTTTGTTTTCTTTTTGGTGTCAGAGAATCTTTTGAACTACCTGAAGCTGGATTTAGAGCACCTAAACCTAATTAAAGTGCTAGGTTTGAACCATTCACTCATGCTAAAGCCACCTTTTTCTCCACAGGATCAGAAAATGGTCCTGAAAATATAACCCTTTCCAGAAACTAGTTCATGCCACCTTCAAACAACAGAGGTCGGCAACTGCTTCCTGCACCAGCCACCCGCTTGCCTTGGAGTCCCAGGCCTGTTAAGCAGCAGGCTTCACTCCCTTGCGGTGGAACGGTTCCTATGAACAGGGAATGGAGGACTCCTATTGCGCTGCACGCTTAGTTTGAGAGGACGCCAGTTAGAATAAAGAAAGTGAAGAGGAAATGATATTGAAGAAAGGCGGGAAATGAATATTTTTAAGATTGTTAAGAAAATTGCAGTTATTTCTACATTTTCACTTTATACTTCAGAATCAAAGTACATGAGCTCTGCAGCAGAGCACCTTTCTTAAAACGGATTTTTCTTGGCAGTTGCTGTGGCAACACATGATACTTTAACCCCAATAAGAATGGAATTTCTTAGAAGGCGGTACATTTTCTCACCTGTACTACAGCATTTTTTTGGCATCATCTTTTACTACTATTTCTTTCATTCCTATTCTTTTTTTTTTTTTTTTTTTTTTTTTGATGGAGTCTTGCTCTGGTTGCCAGGCTAGAGTACAGTGGCGCAATCTCGGCTTACTGCAACCTCTGTCTCCTGGGTTCAAGCAATTCTCCTGCCTCAGCCTCCCAAGCAGCTGGGACTACAGGTGCGCACCACCACGCCCGGCTAATTTTTGTATTTTTCGTAGAGATGGGTTTTCACCATGTTGGCCAGGCTGGTCTTGACCTCCTGACCTTGTGGTCTGCCCGCCTCTGGCTCCCAAAGTGCTGGGATTACAGGCATGAGCCACGTGCCCAGCCCTCATTCTTATTCTTGAAACCAAAATATACTCATTCCCCTAAAAAGCCTATGCAAAAACGTTTGGCTGCATAAAGGCCCATCCCTCAGAAACATCCTCCACATTCCTGTTTATGTTACATCTGATCCCTCCCAGCAAGCCTTCCTGTGCCCAGCTCCTGCCCACCTCCTCTGGCCCTTCGCCACCCTTCAGAAGCCCTGTGTCTTTTTGCTGCACTCTTCTTACACCAGATGGCCAATTGCAGTGCCTGCCCTTGTCCACCCTCCCTCAGAGTACACGCCATGCTCCAAAGTCACCTCTTTTTCTCCCTCCCCTCCTCCTGCCCCCTTCAATCTACCCACCAGTCAAACTCACTTTACTTAACACATTCTGCTAAGCCAGACATTCAAAGAACAGTTTCTGAATAATCCACAAGGAGTAGAAGTATATGTTATTTTCCCTTAATCCTCCTATGTATTGGTGGAAATCCAGATGGAAAGAGAGTTTTGAGCTGAGATCCTTCCCTTAAATTAAGTCATTTACAATAAAGCAATGGTTCCCCACCTGTGGACCAGAGTTATTGACAAGGATCTGAGAAAATTCATATGCACACTGCTATACAATGAATGTTTGTGTCCCCTCCCAAATTCATATGTTGAATCCCTAATCCCCAATGTGATGGTATTCGGAGGTGGCCTTTGGGAGGTAATTAGATCTAGATGAGGTCATGAGGGTAGGTCCCCCATAATGAGATGAATGTCTTTATAAAAAGAGGAAGAGAGACCAGAGCGCATCAAGGAAAGGCCATATGGGGAGGTCCACATACACATTGCTGTAAACTGGAAGCAGGAAGAGAGCCCTTTCCAAGAACCTGGCCATGTTGGCACCCTGATCTTGGACTTTCAGCCTCCAGAACTGTGAGAAATATATGCTTATTGATTAATCTGCTCAATCTATGGTATTTGTTATAGCAGCCCAAACTAAGACACTCACTAGCCATTGTTGGTATCCTGGATAAACAGGCACTACTGTTTTTCAAATATATATAGATTGTTTTGAATTATAAAATATAAATTCATTTAAAATTGATTCTGGATTCATAGGAGCTTTTGGTAAGGTACTTTCTCAATCCACAGATACTAAAAAATACAAAAACATTTCAATGGAGTCCTCAATCATTAATTTATGCAAATAACTTGCTATAAGGATTTCTAATGTTGCAAATAATTAGAAATAGCAATAAAGTCTAATGATAGAGAATTGGCTAAATGGAATATATATATAAATGTAATTCATGCTATATACATAATATAATGAAATATATATAATAAAAATCTCCATTAAGTCATATAATGATAACTAATGTTTATTGAACATCTATTATGTGCAACTTATAAAAATTTTGCAGGTGTTAAATCATCTAATCTTCACGGTGGCCTTGAAAAGTTATTTTCCTGATAAGAAAACTGAGGCACAGAGAAGTTACTCTTTCTGGGAGCACACAGATTAGGGGCACAACTCAGACCCAACTCCAGATACCCCAGTTTCAGTATCTGGGCTCTTAATCCCTACACTTTATTAAATCAAAAGATTACAAAAGAGTCTGTCCTTTTCTACTAGATGGCTCTATTAGCTCATATTACCAGGCACCCCCTCAGCTCCAAACACTCTACAATGATTGATAAAATATAAAAAGAGATCACATTGTGGTTTTGATTTGCATTTTCCTGATCATTAGTGATGTTGAGCATTTTTTGCCATTTGTATAACACCTTACACTCTCAAGAATGGCCATAATCAGCTGGGCGCAGTGGCTCATGCCTGTTATCCCAGCACTTTGGGAGGCCAAGGCAGGCGGATCACCTGAGGTCAGGAGTTGGAGACCAGCCTGGCGAACATGGTGAAACCCTATCTCTACTAAAAATACAAAAATTAGCTGGGTGTAGTGGTGGTGCATGCCTTAATCCCAGCTACTCAGGAGGCTGAGGCAGGAGAATCACTTGAACCTGGGAGGTGGAGTTTGTAGTGAGCTGAGACCATGACACTGCACTTCTGCCTGGGTGACAGAGTGAGACTTGACAAGAAAGAAAGAAAAGAAAGGAAGGAAGGAAGGAAAGAAGGAAGGAAGGAAGGAAGGAGAAAGAAAGAGAAAGAAAGAGAGGAAGGAAGGAATGACCATAATCAAAAAATCAAAAAATAATAGATTTTGGTGTGGATGCAATGAAAAGGGAACACTTCTGCACTGCTGTTGGGAATGTAAACTAGTACAACCACTATGGAAAACAGTGTGGATATTTCTTAAAGAAGAGAGAGTAGAACTATCACTTGATCCAGCAATCCCACTACTGGGTATCTACCCAGAGGAAAAGAAGTCATTAAATGAAAAAGATACTTGCACACACATGTTTATGGCAGCACAATTCACAAGGGGTGCATAAACGTGGAACCAACCCAGATGTCCATCAATCAATGAGTGGATAAAGAAACTGTGGTCTATATGCAATAGAATACTACTCAGCCATAAAAAGGAATGAATTAATGGCATTCACAGCACCCTGAATGGAGTTGGAGACTATTACTCTAAGTGAAGTAACTCAGGGATGGAAAACTAAACACCATATGTTCTCACTCGTAAGTGGGAGCTAAGCTATGAGGATACAAAGGAATAAGAATGACACAATGGACTTTGGGGACTCAGGGAGAAAGGGTGGGAAGGGGGCGAGGAATAAAAGACTATACACTGGGTTCAGTGTACACTGCTCAGGTGATGGTTTGCACCAAATTTTCCCAAATCACCACTAAAGAACTTACCCATGTAACCAAATACCACCTGTTCCCCAAAAACCTTATGGAAATAAAATATATATATACATAAAAAATATATAGAGAAAGAGAGAAAAAAAAGAGAGCGAGAGAGAGAATTAGAAAGATGGATTTGTTTTCTTGGCTCACTGCAACCTCCGCCTCCTGGGTTCAAGCGATTCTCCTGCGTCAGCCTCCCTGAGTAGCTGGGACTACAGGCACTCACCACCATGCCCAGCTAATTTTTTTTTTTTTTTTTTTTTTTTTTTAGTAGAGAGTTTTCACCATGTTGGCTAGGCTGGTCTTGAACTCTTGACCTCAGGTGATCTGCCCACCTTGGCCTCCCAAAGTGCTGGGATTACAGGCATGAGCCACCGCTCCTGGCCAGTATTTGGTATTAAAAGCAAGACGAACATCTCTGTGATGTAGAAACAGAGCAGAACCCAAGTGGTGAGTGAGGCCACAGCCTCCAGGTACTGAGCCCAGCAGCAAGCAGAGGCAGCTGGGAGGAAACGTGTTAGGGATGACAGGGGCTAAAAATGCTAGAAGTGCTCCTTGCCAGGAAAGTGCTAGGAGCCTGGGTTGCAGCTTGAAAGCAAGGGCTGGTGTGGGGCCCGTTTTTGCTAATGAAGCTCATGCCTGCCACACTCAGGGCTATATGGCTTGTCTAAAGGGGAGTCAGTTGGCCCCAACACAGCCTCATCATGAAGGTCTGGCCAAGCTCCCTCCCCCTGGGTGCCTAGATCTGCACCCTCCCTGACATCACCACAGAGCAGGGGCCCCCAACATCCAGATGTCCAGATGGACACAGTGGCAAAACCCCACACAACAAGAAAGAAGAATTAGAGAAAAAACAAGAACCATCCTGTTGTGAGAAAAAGCACAGGGCATTGGTGAATGAATTGGAAGAAAGCAAACATGTCTGGTATTCCAGAGGCCAGGTGACTCTCTGGAGTTGCAGGAGGTTAGCAGGTGGATAGGGCCAGACAGTACAGGGCCTTGTTGGCCATATACAGGATATTAATTTTGATCTTAAAAGTTAAGCAAATTCTGCTTGAAAAGCAAAACCAACATACCAATATTGCAGTCATCCAGGTGCAAGATGAATGTATTGAATGTATTCTGGATTGGGATGGTACCAGTGGCAAAGTGGAAAGAGATTAAGGAGATAACATCCATAGAATTTTTACTTAGTTCCCCTTTTTCTCTGCTGAACTGCCCCCAGAAATGCTTGTTGGGCTTTGTAAAGTAATATTGGGCACACTTTTTTTTTTTTTTTTTTGAGACAGGGTCTTATTCAGTTGCCTAGGCTGGGTGCAGTGGCACAAACATAGCTCACTGAAGCCTGGATCTCCTGGACTCAAGTGACCCTCCCACCTCAGACTCTCAAGTAGCTGGGACCGCAGATGCATGCCACCACGCCCAGCTAATTTTTTTTTATTTTTAGTAGAAATGAGGTCTCATTATGTTGCCCAGGCTGGTCTTGAACTCTTGAGTTCAAGCAATACTCCTGCCTCAGCCTCCCAAAGTGCTGGGATTAGAGGCATGAGCCACCACACCTGGCCTCATGCACACTTATTTTCCTGAACTGCTTCACCCTTACTTCAAAATATGATAATAAAGGACTATGCAGAGACATATAAACCACCACTGTAGCATAAACCAGTGGCAATGGAATAGGAGGTTCCTCTTTTCTCAGCTCCTCAAAAGACAATTCCGTGTTAGGCACATTGGAGCTTGCAATAAAATAACTTGCATTTGAGGCCTGTGCCTAAGCTGATTGCACAGAGCTGCACATTTCCATCTTAGTTTTTGTTTTATTATAAACCAGTTGACATATTTGACATGGTTTTGACATATTGACATGATTGGTTGATACAGTGTGTGTGTGTGTGTGTGTGTGTGTGTGTGTGTGTGTGTGTGTGTTTGTTTGTTTGTTTGTTTGTTTTGAGACAGACTCTCACTCTGTTGCCCAGGCTAGAGTGCAGTGGCACGATGTTGGCTCACTGCAACCTCCACGTCCTGGCTTCAAGCGATTCTTCTGCCTCAGCCTCCCGAGTAGCTGGGATTACAGGCGCCTGCCACCATGCCTGGCTAATTTTTGTATTTTTAGTGGAGATGGGGTTTCGCCATGTTGGCTAGGCTGGTCTTGAACTCCTGACCTCAGGTGATCCACCCACCTCGGCCTCCCAGAGTGCTGGGATTACAGGCATGAGCCAGTCCACCCGGTCAATGTGGTGTTTTTTGAATAAAAACATCATAAAATATGTTTTAGTTCTCCCTTCGCTATTTTTAATGAAATTATAGATTTTCAAGGCTCCTTTTTTCCAATGTCACTTTGAATTTTTATCTCTACGGACCCTTTGGCTCAAGTCAACTGCACATTCCATACACCTTATAGTCTATTATTTATGCAAATGATCATTTGTCTGATTACCCTTGATTTCAGTTCTACTTGATTGGAACATGAAACTCTAGTTAGGGATGGTCTTGGTCTTCACAGTTCACTTTAAAAGTTAAGGGAATCATAGTGTCAGTGCCGTGCCTTGGAGGGAAAAGTGGGCAGTCTATTGCCATGGAGCAGGGCACAGCCCTTTAGTCACATGGGCACCATGTTATAAAGACCCCATTTCCACTCAGCTTACAGGAGTCATTACTAGTTATAGAAATGTCATTATCACAATGTCCTGAGTGAGTTTCCTAATTTTATTTTGCTAAAGGAAGGAAGATGAAGGAAGGTAGAGAGAGAAGTAACCGTGGTGGAGAGAGGGAAGCCCCTCTCTTTGGTGCGATGTGGTTGAGGGATGTGGAAGAGCACGTGATTATCCACAGTGCTTTTTGAGGATGATGGGAATGGAGAGAGGATGGAAATGAACCACAGCAGACCAGCCTTTGAATACCTTCGTGTTTAATAGACATCACTCACTGGTATAATAGGACACTTTATGCTAATGAATTTAATATTCAAATATAATAATAAAATACATGTATGAGTAAAAATTTTGATCTTGAATCAAAGGAATTTTGTGTCCATCAAACCCATTGCTTAACTCCACTCAACCTCATCTTGCTTCATGGTCTGTTGTAAGGCCAGATTGTTTCATAGTCAAGCAGTTCCAAGTTCATGAATAGTCCACAGGTAAAAGTTCTCATTCTCTCATTGTTTCCCCTTAAACACAGCCTGGGTCAGAGGTGGGGATAGAAAAGCAGTAGCAAAAGCCAGGCATGGTGGCTTATGCCTATCATCTTAGCACTTTGGGAGGCCGAGGCATGAGGATCACTTGAGCCCAGGAGTTTGAGACCAGCCTAGGCAACATAGTGAGAAACTATCCATATGGGGAAAAAAAAAAAAAAAATTAGCTGGGCATGGTGGCACGCACCTGTAGTCCCAGCTACTCGGGAGGCTGAGGCAGGAGGATCACTTGAGCCTCGGGAGGTTGAGGCTGCAATAAGCTGTGATTGTGCCATGGCACTCCAGCCTAGATAACAGAGCAAGACCCTGTCTCTTGAAAAAAAAAAAAAAAAAAGGCCGGGCACAGTGGCTTATGCCTGTAATCCCAGTACTTTGGGAGGCCAAGGTGGGTGGATCACCTGAGATCGAGAGTTCGAGACCAGACTGACCAACATGGAGAAACCCCATCTCTACTAAAAATACAAAATTAGCCAGGAATGGTGGTGCATGCCTATAATCCCAGCTACTCGGGAGGCTGAGGCAGGAGAATCGCTTGAACCCAGGAGGCGGAGGTTGCGCTGAGCCGAGATCGCGCCATTGCACTCCAGCCTGGGCAACAAAAGCAAAACTCTGTCTCAAAAAAAAAAAAAAAAACAAGAATCAAGAGTGATATATAGGAATATAAACTAATTATTTCCTTTTCTTTTGTCATTTTGCCATGTGACAAATTTACATGTATCCTTCACTGGTTGGATTTTTGAATATGTGCTTCTTTGGGGAATTTGTGAAACTTTTATTTTAGGTCAGACATATACGTTGCATTTGTGTAGGTTTTCTTCAGTTGGTCGTATATAAATCTGTAGTAAGCTAAAATTTTAAAATCAATGGGAAGGCGTGGGGAGTCCTCTGGAACCAGTTGTTGTTGTCATTGTTATTGTTGTCACATTTTTAAAAAGATCGCTGACTAGATGGATGTCTGGAAGCACTGCAGTTCAACGCCCCATCCCCTGGCCCTGGCCCCTGTTGTGCTGGGGAAAGCACTAGAGCGTGGTAGCAAAGACTCCTCTAACCCACGTGTCTCTGGCATTCTCTTCCCCCTGGGGTGGAAAAATCAGCTCAGCATTTAGAAGGATTATTTGAGAAACTGTAGAGCAAAGTGGACAATCATATGTGCTTGAGAGTCAGACTACCTGAGTTCAAATCATGTTTTACCTCTCTATGCTTCCCTCATTGGGTCATCAGAAGGATTAAGTCCATATAAAAACATGGAGAGTCACACCTGGCACACAGAAAGTCCTCAGTAAATGTTTGCTCGTGATAATTTTATTAACCTCATAAATAGAATGAAAACAGATTGGTTAAAGTTTTTCATGACTTTATTGAAGTAACAGGATTCAGCTTTACATAATGATTTTTAAATTGAGCATTTGAGTTTAAGAATTCAGGGTAGTAATATTTTCCCAGTTGACAGTCTCACTCACACATGAGGTAATTTCATATTTTCCAGAGGCTTATTTTAAATTCATTCAAACTCACTAAAATCACAAAAACTAAGAATAAAGGAGTAGACAGGAAGTATAAATGCACGAATCTTCAATAAATGTTGGAAAATATAACTTCTGAATTTGAAAAGTGATGGAAGGAATAATGGCGATCAAAGAGCAACCTTAGTCACACCCAATCTTCTACTCTCTATGGCCTAGCCTCCTACTAGAGAGAAACCATCACATGTGAATAGTGGGCAGGGCAGGAGGAAGGAGAGTCAAGAGAAACCAACCATAAGCGTGAACCAAAGGGCTTAAGTACTTGGCCGTGACCTCCAAAGTACTTGAAAACTGAGGGACATAGGCCCCCAGAGCAAATGAAATCATAGATTTGGTCAAAGTGTAATGAAGACGACAAAACCAAAGCATAGCTGTGGCCTGACCCCAGCTGCCCCCACCACACCTCAACTCTCAGCAAATAGCTGGTTCCATTCAAAAAGGAGGTGTAATTTTTCTTTTAGAAAAAGGAACTAGCATATGATCTTTGCTGGATTAAAAGAGAGGAGAAGAAAGAATGTAAGCAAATACTGTTCTGTATATCAAATGGAAAATTACAGGAGGAAGGTTCAGACTAATTACAGTTCTTTATAACAGCTCTTCACAGTGTCAAAGCATTCACAAAACACATTTAAACATCTCTCTCACAAGGAAAATGGTGGAGGGAGATAGAGAAATAGAAAAAAGAAGAGACATATCTAAAGATGATATAAGTCAACAGACAGATGAAAAGTGATCTCTCAGAGCTTAGGAAAAATGGTAGACAAAAGCAAAAGATTACAGAGATTGAAACCATAGTAGATGAAACAAAAATAGAAAAATCATAACTAAAACCATCCAAGGAAATATAGTAATTAGGCT
This sequence comes from Homo sapiens, assembly GCF_000001405.40. Lineage (NCBI taxonomy): Eukaryota > Metazoa > Chordata > Mammalia > Primates > Hominidae > Homo > Homo sapiens. The sequence goes on along the minus strand of NC_000017.11, from coordinate 65,645,425 downwards.
AGAGGCTATTATACAAAATGAAATGAAAATATAAAATAGATATAAAACGATAAGAAGAGTTTGGTGCAGTGATGCATGCACGTAATTCCAACTACTCAGGAGGCTGAGGCAGGAAGATTGGTTGAGTCCAGGAGTTGGAGACCAGCCTGGGCAACATAGCAAGACCCTGTCTCAAAATAAAATGATATGAAAATAAAAGTAATAATAGATAAAATGTATAATTATGGGAGATTGTCAAAGAAGGGTCAACACATGCAAAGTTTGTGTCTCTGAAGAAGAGAACCAACAGAAAAAAATACATATAAGTATATATATATAATAAAATACAAGTAATTATTCTAACAAAGGAAACTTCTGTTCAAATAATGCAATGTAAAGGTAGAAAGGGCACACAATGTCTCAGGAAAATTAATATAAAATAATTAGTATCAAAGCATTTCCCAGTGAAGTTACTAAATGAAGGAAAAAGAAAATCATAGCATCCAAGCAGAAAAAGAAAGTTATATTCAACATGAAAAAAATCAGATTGGCCTCAGACTTTACCATGGCAATATGTAATGCCAGAAAACACTGGAGAAATGTTCTGAGGGGCTCAAGTAATCCTCCTACTTCAGCCTCCCAAGTAGTTGGGACTACAGGTGCACACCACCATGCCTAGCTAACTTGATCTTTGTGTTCACAAAGTTATGAGAGAAAGAAAGTGGGATTGAAGCATTTTTATACCCAGCAAAGTTGTCTTTTAAATATGCAGGCAATGGATAGACTTTTTTGTTTTTCTACTGTGAATATACTTTATAATTTGTGTTTACAATTGAAATTCTGGAAAGTCAAAATCAACGTCTTTGCCCATGAGCTCCTTATAGACATCAGAAAAAGTTTTGACCTTGTGTTCCATATTGTTCTGCTGTGCTTTGTCCAAATTAACCTGTATGAGCTGGCTGCCATCCAGTTTCACGTGAGAAGACCGAATCCTCAAGGACTGCATTATAAATGCAACCGAGCTAAGCCTTGAGGTCCGAGTTCATCTCCAGCTTCAGAAGACCCTGGAAAATGCCAGACTTGAACTTGTCCGGCTTCTCACCATTGGGCTTCACCATCTTGGCACTCAAATGGAACATGGCCTTCTTGCCGAGTGCCAGCTTAGGAAAACAGATAGACATTCTAAACAGATAAGGATGTAAGAAACAGTTCATGCCCCAGTTCCCCCAGCTATGGCCACTTTCTGGTCCCCAACGCAACCATAGCTGAAGAACAACTGCAAGTTGAATTGTTCGTGAAGGCTGGCAGTGATGGGGCCAAGATTGGGAACTGCCCCTTCTAGAGACTGTTCATGGTGCTGTGGCTCAAGGGAGTCACCTTCAATGTCACCATCATTGACACCAAGAGGCAGACCAAGATAGTGCAAAAGCTGTGCCCAGGAGGGCAGCTCCCATTCCTGCTGTATGGCATGGAAGAACACAAGGACACCAACAAGATTGAGGAATTTCTGTAGGCAGTGCTGTGCCCTCCTAGGTACCCCAAGCTGGCAGCTCTGAACCCTGAATCCAACACAGCTGAGCAGGACATATTTGCCAAATTTTCTGCTTACATCAAGAATTCAAACCCAGTAGTCAATGACAATCTGGAGAAGGGACTCCTGAAAGCCCTGAAGGTTTTAGACAATCACTTGATATCCTGCCACTCAGAAGAAGTGGATGAAACCAGTGCTGAAGATGAAGGCATCTCTCAGAGGAAGTTTCTGGATGGCAATGAGCTCACCCTGGCTGACTGCAACCTGTTGCTAACGCTCCACATAGTACAAGTGGTGTGTAAGAAGTACCAGGGGGCCCGGGTGTCATGGCTCACGCCTGTAATCCCAACACTTTGGGAGGCCGAGGCAGGCAGATCACTTGAGGTCAAGAGTTCAAGACCAGCCTAGCCTACAAGGTGAAACTCCATCTCTACTAAAAAAAAAAAAAAAATTAGCCAGGTGTGGTGGTGCGTGCTTGTAATCCCAGCTACTCAGGAGGCTGAGGCAAGAGAATAGCTGGAACCTGGGAGGCAGAGGTTGCAGTGAGCCAAGATCATGCCACTGCACTACAGCCTGGGCGACAGATTGAAATGCCATCTCAAAAGAAAAAAAAAATACCAGGGATTCACCATCCCTGAGGCCTTCCAGGGCGTGCAGCAGTACTTGAGCAATGCCTATGCTCAGGAAGAATCTGCCTCCACCTGTCCAGATGATGAGATCAAGCTCACCTATGAGCAAGGATCCAAGGCCCTCCAATAAGCCCCTCTTGGGACTCCTTCAGCCCCCTCCATTTTCTCCACAAAGGCCCTGGTGGTTTCCACATTGCTACCCAAAGGACACACTCCAGAATGGCCAGTGGGCAGGGAATCCTGGAGCACTTGTCCCGGGATGGTGTGGTGGAAGAGGGGATAAGGGAAAGAAATAGGGAGCCTGGATGAGATTTTTACTGTGGGGTGGGATGGGTAGGACAACATATTTCAGTAGTAAAATACAGAATAAAATTTGTTTAAAAAGGAAATAGCGCATGCATGAGTTGTTTTTAAAAGAGTTGAAACTCAAACTTTCAGAACCAGTGTTGAGTGATAGAAAAAAAAATAGTCAATATATAACCCATGAACCCTCAATAAATGTTACCCTGAGGTCTGGTTTATAAAGCATGCGTTTTGCTTTGCATTTTTCCTTCATTTGAATCAGCTAACTGACTCAAGTAAGTGAGTAGCTGGAACTGGCTCACTTGGAGGTAAGCTGAAGAAGAGAAGGTGAGAAAAATCAGTAGACAGGAGAATCAACAGATATTTCATCAGCAAAGACTTTGCATCTGTGGGAGAGATCATGTTTTATTATTTCTTTTTTTCCTTTAGGTATAAGTCACAGGATTATAACATATCCCAAAAAAAGCACTTTGCCAAAAATTGAAAATTTATGTTCTATAACAGTGGCCACAGGATTTTAGTAGGTAATGAAATGAATTGTTAAGCACATTTTTTCCTTAATTCAGTTTAGTGTAAGAAAAGTTCGGTCTTAAAGACTGTTAATTTTAAATTGTCTTCAGCAAATTGATAGGCTTATCCAACTCAACTCAGTCGTACACAATTTTCATAGTATATTGCCTATTTCCAGGTGCGTATGATGAATCACTTGGTATGATACACTGCAACTCAGCTTTAATGTTTGGTTAAGTCATGCACAGCACATGCAACAGATTTTTAAAATAATTAATTCTATCCTATTTCACAGTAGGTGGAAGAGAAATGCAGAAACACAGCTGGAAAAAGACACCAATATCTACACATGCATATTCACGCCTCATCCATGCACATCTTCATCCTGCTCAGGCATATTCTTCCAAAGGCTTTTCTTCTACCCTCTCACTCACTCCTTTAGCCTTGAGAGAGATGAATGGGATGAGCCACCAACCTATTTTTTTTACTAGCCCAGTGAGCATCAGTTAGTTAAACACAGGCCCGATAGTATTTGGGAGGCAGAAAGAAACCAGGAACCAGGAACCTTCCTATGCCCAGTGCACTCTACCTGTCTACTTGTGTCAAAGAGGGTCGGAGACACAGCTATGCAGATTCTCCTTCATTCATGTCTTCATGATTATATGAATCACATTTAGTGCCCCAACTACCTGACAGTTTGGAGGAGTAGGGATTTTTGGGGGTTTTGGTGGAAAAAGTCTTACTCTGTCACCCAGACTGGAGTGCAGTGGCCCGATCTTGGCTCACTGCAGCCTTGATCTCCTGGGCTCAAAGGATCCTCCCACCTCAGCCTCCCAGGTAGCTGAAACTACAATTGTGCACCACCATGCCCAGCTAATTTTTATATATTTTTAGAGATGCCCAGGCTGGTCTCAAACTCCTGGGCTCAAGTGATCTGCCCACCTCAGCCTCCCAAAGTGCTGGGACTACAGGCGTGAGCCACCACCCCCTCAAGGAGTATTTTCATCAAAGCAGAGACATGCTATGAGTTGTCCTCAGATGACAGCTTAGTATGGTTGGAGTTCACATCCTGATCAAGGAGAGGCTGCAGGGCTAGCATAGTGGGGAACCTCATGAGTGAAGAGGAGAGAAAAATTATTTTACTTATCAGATGCTGAAAATTGTGTTCATGAGGATTTTAAATAAATAAAGCATTGTTACAGGGACCATCTCTCTCAGAGTCACAGGGTCAGACTGGGTAGCCTTTTCAGTTTTTAACTCTTTCTTCTTATTTCATCTTTATTGTCTGGTTTCTGACCGCGTGTAACAAACCTTTCATTGTGATGAACAGATCTGTTCTGGGACTTCTTAAATCCAAAACAATCATTTATGTGGTAAAAAGATAACTCTTAATTTTTTTCCAATTTAGATAACTTACATACGACAAGAATATGAAACAAAATTGAAAGGATTGATGCCAGCATCCCTAAGACAAGAACTTGAAGACACCATTTCCTCCCTAAAATCACAGGTAATTACTAGAATCAAGGCATTTTCCAAGGATTTAGGGGATACTCTGAAAAGAAACTTGCAAATAAATCTGATTCCAAATTGTTGCCAGAAATCAATGTGATGTCATTGCATAACCTACTACTCAGGATAAATTTTCATTTTGTTTTAAATTTTTTTCTTACTTGTTTAATAACTCACTGTCTCAATAAGAATTTCTTTAAAGCACCCTTAAAATTGAAAAGTTCAGTCAGTTATAACTTCAATTCATTTACAGTCTACCTTCCAATATAGCCTCATCCTTTTATTCTTGGTATCAGGTCCAAAATGCCATCACTTAGCATATGGCTGATTCCTCACTGTGCAGAAGGGCAGAGAAATTGAAAGCACAGTTATGTTAGAAGCACTTTTATTCTGGTGTATTTTACATGGTCGTTAGAGATAACAAGATGTATTCTAAGTTCAAGGCAAAATAATGACAAGGTATTCAAACAATTAGGTTAAATAGTTCTTGTTGAAATGTGTGGTTCTTGGCTGGGCATGGTGGCTCATACCTGTAATCCTGTCACTTTGGGAGGCCGAGGCAGGCAGACCATTTGAGGTCAGGAGTTTGAGACCATCCTGGCCAACACGGCAAAATCCCGTCTCTACTAAAAATACAAAAATTAGCGGGGCGTGGTGGCCCGTGCCTGTAATCCCAACTACTTGGAAGGCTGAGGCAGGAGAATCACTTGAACCCCAGAGGCAGAGGTTGCAGTGAGCCGAGATCACACCACTGCACTCCAGCCTGGATGACAGAAAAAGACTGTCTCAAAAAAAAAAAAAAAAAAATATATATATATATATATGGTCGGGTGCAGTGGCTCACGCCTGTAATCCCAGCACTTTGGGAGGCCACAGCGGGCAGATCACCTGAGATCAGGAATTTGAGACCAGCCTGGCCAACGTGGTGAAACCCCGTCTCTACTAAAAATACAAAAATTAGCCAGGCATGGTGGTGCATGCCTGTTATCCCAGCTACTCAGGAGGCTGAGGCAGGAGAATCACTTGAACTTGGGACGCGGAGGTTGCAGTGAGCCGAGGTCACGCCCAGTGCACTCCAGCCTGGGTGACAGAGGAAGACTCCGTCTCAAAAAAAAAAAAAAAAAAGAAAGAAAGAGAGAAAAAAAAGAAATGTGATGTGGTTCACGATGTGAGAAAAACTTCTAACATGTTTGAATGTTTTACGTATTGTTGGTATCATGAGAAAGAGTTTACATATTCACATCTCCAATACACTTTGATTTTTTTTTTTTTTTTTTGAGACAGAGTTTCACTTTGTCACCCAGGCTGGAGTTCAGTGGTGCTATCTCAGCTCACTGCACCTTCTGCCTCCCAGGTTCAAGCGATTCTCCTGCCTCTGCCTCCCAAGTAACTGGGATTACAGGTGCATGCAACCACGCCCAGCTAATTTTTAGAAACGGGGGTTTGTTTGTAGAGACAGGGTTTCGCTATCTTGGCCAGGCTGGTCTCGAACTCCTGACCTCAAGCAATTCGCCCACCTCAGCCTCATTTTGCAAGCATGAGCCACCGTGCCCAGCCCACTTTGAAGTTTAAGACATATTTTTTCCTTGAAAAATTCCATGAAGGAAAGGATTTATTTACTCCCTGTATCAAGTACTTTGCCTGGCACATAACAGGTGCTTAATAAATATATTTATGAATAAAATAAATGATATGGTTTGATGATATCCACGTTATCTATTTATAGTATGTAAGATAAAATGTGGAACACATTTTAGCTGTTCCTTTTATATTCCCCTAGTAAAACTTCTCTTATCTGAAAATGAAATGTTCATAATCTCAATCCATATGCTACTGTTTGCGATTTTGCTTCTAAGGGCTATGAAATTTTGTTCACGCCTGCATATAAAAATAAGTAGTGGAGGAGAATGGGAACATACAAAGGGTTAAATAATTTTTATTTACATGAAAATCTCCACTCCAGGTGTGGTTTACCCATTAAGTTTGTAGGTGAGCTACAGATAGTGTCAGCTATGTAGGACCTGACGCCTTCAGAGGAGTTTTTTTAGGAAGAGGAAAAAAAAAGGAATCTGATACCCACCTGCAGGGCTTCTGTTATCATTCATATCATTTCACTGTAATAAAAGCCACTTCAGCCTCCTAAAACTGGATGCTGACCCAGAAAGAGAGTGCTGCCAGCTGCGATAGGGCCTCAGAGTTGGCAGCTGCACGCAGGAGTCACAGGCCATACAGTGAGCAAATTTAGTTTGAAAGCACAGGTGCCTGTGTTTTTTGAGAATTGTTGGAATTCCGATTACAGAGCATGGTTGGGGGAGGGAAGTTGAATCAGTGTAATCCCTGCATCTGTCAAAATTATCAATTGTCCTATGGGTCACTTGAGCAATTGGATAAAATGAAGACCAGGGTGCTATACAAATAAGCAAAACCAGGAGGACCACTTTGAGATGCACCCACTTAGAAAGACTGTGTTTTCTTCTCTTTCAAGCACATTTTCTGTTCTGCCAGCTGTACTCCCTTGCATAACTATGTTTCGGGATCAACCGTTGCCATGGTTTCAGTTCAGACCAAAGACGTAAGAATAAACAATTCTGAAACGATCAAATACCACTGACTCTTGATTACATTAAGCCATGGTATAAGTTGGCCCCAAACCATTTGGGTTGTGTAAGGTGCTTTTGAATCCACGCCTGATACAGGCATCTTTAACAGTACAGAAATGTATGCTACACAATAATCAAATGCTTTGTAAAGGTCTGATTTAAGAGAATATGCTAAACAACCCAGTTTCCTCCAGCCCCCTAAGAATGGCGGTCTGGGGGTTGTACCTGCTTTGAGCTCTGCACTAGGCGGTTTCTATAGTTGTTTCATGTCATCCTCATAACCTTGGGAAGTAGCTGTCATTAATCCCATTTCACAGATTAAGCATCAAGAGCTTAAGTAATTTTCCTAGAGCCACAGATGGCAAGCCAGGAATTGAACCAAAGTTGGCCTAACTCCAGACAAAGCTCAGGCTCTTTCCGCTATGAAGTTCTGTCTCTCCAACCTCAGGGAATCCCTAGAATGGATTGAGGTTTCCAGAAAGCAGTAATTTTCCTTACACTCACTCATTCATTCATTCATTCAACAGCTAGTGAAACCAGCTACATGCCCAGCCCTGTAAAAGAAACTGGGGTGGAAAGACAGAAAAGTCATTCCTGCCCAAGAGAAGCTCTCAGGTTTAGGGAAGAGATATGAAAACAAATAACCACAAAGCAGTTTGAGAAGTACCAGTAATAGAGGGGAGGAACACAGAGGAGGGGACCGCTGGCTTTGCCTGGGGCTAGGAGGCAAGGAGCAGCTGGGGAGGAGGTGAACGATTCCACAGGAGAGGTGACATTTAAACCAAATGGTGGAGGATGAATGGGAGACAGAAAGACAAGTGTTCCAAAGAGAGAAAATGGCCTGGGCCAAAGAGCAACGGAGCGAGAAAGACACGGTGTGGAAGCAGCAGTGGTGGGCAGGGCGTGAGGACAGGTAAAGCCACAATGATGGGGGTGGGCCAGATCAAAATGGCTCTGCAATGAGGAGTTTGAACTTTATTCTGTCGTAACTGATGGATTTTCAATAAGGATGGGATGTGACCAAATGTAAAAAACACAACATTGACATTCAACAAATCCTCTGAGTTTTATCTAGGGAATTGTCTGAATTTAAATAAAATCTTACCATACTATTTGCACAATATTGACATGTAAGCCACGTCCACCTCTTCTCACACAAGGTGTCTTTTCTAGGTTAATTTTCTGCAAAAGAGAGCTTCCATCCTTCAGGAAGAACTGACTACATATCAAGGCAGAAGGTACAGCCCATAAGCAGGTGTCTTGTCTCCTGATTAGTTTGTGTTGTGTCACCTGTGAGCCTCCTTGTCTGGCCTTTGTCTTTATTAAAATGCTTGGATATAATACAAGTTTTGAAAAAGACTTGTTTTTAGTAAGTAGCATGTCTTTAAGAAGTCACCCCCCTTCTCATCCCAGTGCTTAGTCTGTACTATCAAAACAAGATGAGAGAATCTGCCGGGCACAGTGGCTCACTCCTGTAATCCCAGCACTTTGGGAGGCCAAGGCAGGAGGATCACCTGAGGTCAGGAGTTCAAGACCAGCCTGGCCAACTTGGTAAAACGTTGTCTCTACTAAAAATACAAAAATTAGCTAGGTATGGTGGCACACGCCTATAATCCCAGCTACTCAGGAGGCTGAGGCAGGAGAATTGCTTGAACCTGGGAGGTGGAGGTTGCAGTGAGCTGAGATCACACCACTGCATTCCAGCCTGGGCAGCAGAGTAAGACTCTGTCTCCAAAAAAAAAAACAAAAGAAAAAGAAAAAAGAAAGATGAAAGATGGAAGGATCTGCAGGGGCATGGCAGGTCCAGGCCTTACCTGGACAAGAGGACAAGATGTTGTCTTGAGGCCCAGTGATGGAGTGAAGGAGACACGATCTTCCTTTAAGATAGTGAGATGATGCAGTACTTGCTAGGATAGCTCACATCTTCAAAGTCCTTTCCCCCAAGGGTTTGGCATTGTTCTCCAGACCAGAATAGACCAACAGCTCAGTGATCCAGCACTCACAGTGACTTGAGTACCCTCAGTGCTCTTTTTGGGGATGCATGAGACCTTTTGTAGTCAAAGGTTCCCAGTGCCATCACTAACATAGATTGTGTTTACCTGCTGTAATTCCATCAAACGCCCTTCCTGTTTGTGCAGTGAAAGACTGAACTACTTATTTGGCTTTGAATTAAAAGGAAAGATCTTGTGAATCACACATTTTTCGAAAGATTCTGTTTGCTCGGTGTAGGTAAGATTTGATCCCTTATAGATAAGCATAAATTATGACATTTTGATATCAAATAGCCTTTTCAACCCCTATCAACTTCTCCAGAATTGAAGCTTATTTTTTGATTGACATACCTGTTAAACCTAGAGAAAGTCGTGACTGCGATTTTTGGTTTACAGGTAACTGCACGAGAGAATGCAACGGATGCAATTTCCAGGCTGTGCTGTGGACTTCTTCCAGCAGGTTTGAAGATTTGGATATTGTAAACTGTGAGATCAGTGGCATTTTTTAAATCCTTAAATGTAATTAAGATCATAAAAACATGCATCATTCATACACTAGTGGGGTGGTTTTATTTGTGTCTGCCTAAGTTATTTTTTTAACATTCCTTTATTTCCGATTTTCATGTTTGTGTGCATTTGAGTATGTGCTGAGAACTGCTTATATTGGGCAAAGTGATTTCCTATGATATGCCTTGTTAATCCTTTTGCATAGAATTTTACCAGTTGCGTACGATCAAAATCACGTTTGTAGTATCATATCAAAAATTCTAACCTGTTTACATTGTTTTCATGTTCATGTTCCTATGTTATTAAAATATTATTTTGTACTTACCAGTTTTATTTCTACTTTTTATCAAACCTCATTTGCTAAAATAAGTGTGACATATATATGATATTTTTCCCAAGCAAATGTTAGCAATCTCAAATTGTACTTTGGGAAAATATACCTTATATCATGTCAACAATCAAATCCATAATTAGTGCATGAATTGGTGTTTAGGATAAAATCGCTGGATCATCTGATATCAGTCCAAGTATTTGTCTTGTTGGTCTCCAATCACGTCCTGGAACCGTAGAGGCAGAATATGGTGTAACAATTTTAGATAGCTGCTGTGGTTTTATTGTTACTTTCTTGATCTCCCTTTTTATGGTTGTCGTTTTAATTATAATATCAATCGATGATCCTTAAGAAAGCCTAAAAAATGTGAGGTCAGGTTATGAGGACACAACACATTGGCAAGTAGTCACAGAATGTGCTTTACTCGGTACGGTTTGCATGTGGTCACTGCCTGGTTGAGAGACTATGGTGTTGCTTCCATGAGTGGATGGTTAAGTCTGGGTCCCTCTCCCCACCCAAACGCCCAAGAGCTGTTCTGTGATGATTGGTCAACCCATTTGCCAAGGAAATTTTGAATTGCGGAGAATGAGTGAAGGGATGCCCCAAGTTCTTTCGACTGCAGTGTGGTGTGTGCCATGGGCATTTTGAGCTCTCTAAAAATCTGGCCCATGGGCGGGGCTGTAATCCTCTGGTTTACTGTAAAAGGACAGGGCACAAAGTTTATTTACACTTTTTCAAAATTCTTTTCTCTTTCCCACGCCCAAGTCTGTTGTTTGCAGCCCAAGGATTAATTACCCCTTTTTGTACTGTAACTGAGCCACAGAGATGATAAGGAAGTAACAGGTTTTACAGCCACTTCCAAAGCCAGGGAGGGAATTGGCATAAACAGGGCTGGGCTGTGGCCATCAGTAGGAGGCCTGGGATTCTTGCACTAACTCATCTCTGTGGGGCTACCACTCAGCCTGGTAATGTTCAGACACCCTGACACCTCCCTCAGGAATATAAGTCTCTGTCTTTTGGAAGATGAGGTTTTTCCTGCATATACAATAAATTATAGTACTGGTTTCAAGAATATTTAGGAAAAAGCAAAATCATTGCAGATGCTATTAAAACAAATGAGGATTATTGGTACTCAGACTATGATTTAGTCTGAAAGGAAAGATTCCTACAGGATTCCTGTTAAGTACTTCTTTCTGTACAGACCATGGAAAACAAGTTGAAGCTCACCAGATTTCATTAGTAAGGTTATTAGGTGCTTGAGGTGAAAATACTTGTGAATTGTATTGTATGCTGGCTTTGGAACTCCCACTCAAGACTATTTGTTTTCCATGAGTAAATATCAGTAGGTGTTTTGGAAGGTTGCCTGCCATTCTTTCTTTTCCTCATTTCAAGGGTTATGAAATTACAAACACTGGTGAACCTTTGACATTACCCAGATCCTGTTTCCCTTCTGAACCATGTCATGTATGTCTGGGAGTAAAGGGAATGAAACTTTAGGTCACTTTGATTGGATGTGATAGGAATGGATGGTTGACTCTAATGTCTTTGTGAACGTTCTCTGATAAAGGAAGAGAAAGAAAAATTGCATTTGGCATGTTTGAAATTCCTTACCGAGTTGAGCGGTGAGTATAGAAATGGCTACTGGGAGAAAAAGAAAGAGCTCAGGAAATAAATTATAAACACTGTGCCTTATTATAAAATCATCTAAGATTCCATCTGTTCTTTTATCTGCTGGAAGATCAATTGTTCATCACAAGTACCTAATTTTGTTACATCTCAAGTTATCATTATTGGCTGCTGTACCTGAGTCATCCACCTGTGCTTTTTCTATTTCAACACGTAATTGTCAACAGGTAGTGGCTGGTAAAGGGTTTGGAACAAGCCAAGCAGAAGAAACACTCTGCAACCCCAGGTTCTTGGTGTTTGTTATTATCCACTTACGGGGTCAGGGAAGAGAAGGGCTAACAGCAAAGTTAGCTATTCAGTCATCCACGTATGTCACAATTTTGTTCGAGTCCACCATTTCTGCATCACCAAGCAGTGCGCCCTTTCAGGGGTCTGAGCTCTGATTTTGCAACCTCCCCACTCAACAATGAACTTCACAGAAGGCAGCCATCGGGGCATAATGAAGAAAACAGGAAGACTGAGGGAACAGAGAATGACGGACTTGCTTCCTAGACCGTACAAAAGAATTGACTGTGATTAAAGGGAAATAGCTCAGATTCAAACATTATCCTGTGATGTCACATATCAACAGTGATTTCTTCAGAAACAGGTGTATGCTTACAGTGGTGAGCAACCTCATTAAAGGCATCTGCAGAGACAGTGCAGACAGAAGAAACTGTGAGTTGGAATTAACAATTAACAGCCCTCTTATTGAAGTGCATCACCATCCATAGAAGGCAGTGGTGTCTTAGCTTGCTTTCTAAGAGTAAAAAGGAAAGGTAAAACATCAAAAATGGTGGGAGAAAAGTTTCAGAACACAAGGTCATTTTAATTCATAGTTTCCTTAAAAGAACTATCTCTTCTGAGCTTTCATATTTTGTTCAGAAAGGTCGTCTCTTTTAAGCCTTGTCATTAAAGACGGTTTGCTCTTTAAAGTGAATTATCAAAGGGTGTAGGAATTGCAAGTTACTGAAACTAAAATACATGATCAATTTTAAGTCTGCTAACTAAAGCCTACTTAAAATTGGATGTGCTTTTGTCCTGGCAGCCCCTTTGATAAAACCAGAAAAAGATACATGGTTGGTCAATTCAAAGTGGGGAATGAAGATAATTAGATAAAACTTTCTTTCAACTGATATTGAAGTGGTTCTTGGCTTTGGAGACTTGATTAGGAAGCAGTGGCATAGGCTGTAATGGTATTTGAAATGTGGAAATGGAGGCCAGGCGCAGTGGCTCATGCTTGTAATCCCAGCACTCTGGGAGGCTGAGGTGGGCAGATCACAAGGTCAGTAGATTGAGACTATCCTGGCCAACATGGTGAAATCCTGTCTCTAGTAAAAATACAAAAAAATATTTAGCTGGCCTGGTGGCGTGCACCTGTAATCCCAGCTGCTTGGGAGGCTGACACAGGAGAATCGCTTGAACCTGGGAGGTGGAGGTTGCAGTGAGCTGAGATGGCGCCATTGCACTCCAGCCTGGGCAACAGAGCAAGACTGTCTAAAAAAAGAAAGAAAAGTAAAATGGAATACCCTAGATTTTGAGCTGGCTAGTGTTAACATTCTTCACTATATTGTTTTAAAATCAGATCATGTGATTTACTTCTCATATGGAGGAAGAGAAATTAAATTTGTAACATAAGACTGAAGAAATTTTAAAATCTGGATTCCTCACTGATAGCTAATTCCACTGAAAATCTGTTCTTCCAGACATTTACATTTTAAGCGAGGATTTCCGTCAGACAAATGTTTGTTTTGTTTTGTTTTGTTTCTTTGTTTTTAAGACGGAATTTCACTCTTGTTGCGCAGGCTGGAGTGCAATGGCACGATCTCGGCTCACTGCAACCTCCACCTCCGGGTTCAAGCGATTCTCCTGCCTCAGCCTCCCGAGTAGCTGGGACTACAGGGATGGACCACCATGCCCAGCTAATTTTGTATTTTTAGTAGTGACAGGGTTTCTCCATGTTGGTCAGGCTGGTCTGGAACTCCCGACCTCTGGTGATCCACCCACCTCGGCCTCTCAAAGTGCTGGGATTACAGGCATGAGCCACCGCACCCAGTCCAGGCAAATGAACTGGACCGAAAACCAAAAGAACCAAAGAACCAAGATGTTGCTATGGGTGCTGCTATTTTGAGAACGCTTAATCTAGACTTTAGGCTAATACATATATTTTTTTATTTTTTTTTATTTTTTGGAGACAGTCTTGCTCTGTTGCTCTGTTGCCCAGGCTAGAGTGCAGTGGTGCGATCTCAGCTCACTGCAACCTCCGCCTTGTGGGTTCAAGCGATTCTTCTGCCTCAGCCTCCCAAGTAGCTGGGATTACAGGTGTGCACCGCCATGCCCAGCTAATTTTTTTTATTTTTAGTAGAGATGGGGTTTTACCATGTTGGCCAGGCTGGTCTCAAACTCATGGCCTCAAGTGGTCTGCCCGCCTTGGCCTCCCAAAGTGCTGGGATTACAGGTGTGAGCCACTGCACCTAGCCTAATTCATACTCTTATATCATCTTTGGAAGTCTGCCACGTAAAAGAGGTCTCATGGAAAATGGCTAGTTGGACACAAAGACTTTATCATGGAACAGAAAGAGAGGGCTACCAAGTTAGAAGCCTGATCTATTTAATTAGCTAAAATGTGGCTATGGGAGGGAGACCATTGTATCCATACCCTTTACTTTAGCTAGGAAAGGAGATTCGTTCACAGGTGGAGTCTAACAATTAGTTTTGTTTCCTTGGGCAATTCTCTTGACCTGTCTGGCTCACTTTTCTAATCTATAACATAAAAGGGCATAACTCGACCAATATTTCCCAAACTCTACCATTTCAACCTTCTCATTTATTGTTTCTCAGACTAGCATTCCGTCAAGCCCTGTTCTGCAAAATTTGTCTTGAAGTGTTCAGGTGTCATATTTAGGAAATGTGACGTGCTATATCACCCTCTGGAAGATTCACATTTACTCAGTCACTCACTCAGTCATTCATTCATTAAATAAATAGTTGCTGATTGCCAGCTGTGTGCCATACAGCAACATGAACCACCCCAAAACTTAATGGCTTAAACAGTAACTTCCTGTCATCTCGCTCAGTGCTGAGGGTTCATCGGGCTCAGCTAGGCTGTTCTCACTTGGGTTTCAGGCAGGTGCAGTCAGGTGTTGGCTGGTGTGGCAGTCATGGGAGGCAAGGGCTCAAGCCCACAAGACCCATTCACATGGTGGGCAACTGATGCTGCCCATCTGCTGGGGAATGGCAGCTTTGAGGTGCCCTCCAGTGCAAGCCCAGCCAGAGACCAGACATTGAAGCTACCAACCCCATAAGGCCAGTGCCCAGAAACTGGCAGGATCACTTCAACTGTCAAAGACAGAACCTACCCAGAGACAAGGGCGGAGGACGCAGACCCAGCAAAGGCAAAGAATCTGTTGCCGTCTGTAAGCTGCCACACCCTTTGCTAAAGAAACCAATTTATCTTTCTTTTTTCTTTTCTTTTCTTTTTTTTTTTTTTTAAGACAGAGTTTCGCTCTTGTCGCCCAGGCTGGAGTGCAATGGGGTGATCTCGGCTCACTGCAACCCCCACCACCCGGGTTCAAGTGATTCTCCTGCCTCAGCCTCCCGAGTAGCTGGGATTACAGGCATGTGCCACCATGCCCGGCTAATTTTGTATTTTAAGTAGAGGCGGGGTTTCACCATGTTGGTCAGGCAGGTCTCAAACTCCTGACCTCAGGTGATCCGCCTGCCTCAGCCTCCCAAAGTGCTGGAATTACAGGCATAAGCCACTGCGCCCGGCCTACCTTTCTTTAATCTGCAATT
Source organism: Homo sapiens (assembly GCF_000001405.40). Classification (NCBI taxonomy): domain Eukaryota; kingdom Metazoa; phylum Chordata; class Mammalia; order Primates; family Hominidae; genus Homo; species Homo sapiens. The sequence goes on along the minus strand of NC_000017.11, from coordinate 65,630,072 downwards.
TCCTAAAATGATTTGATCCATGGAATTATCTTTCAGCTTCTTCTGTGACTCACATATTTTATTGTAGAGTTCTGTGAAATATTGATCAGAGAAGCCCAAACCTAAGATATTGCTTAAAAGTTCCTTCCTGTTCAAAAATTCTGTTAATCTATGTTGCATTTCTAGAATCACAGGTCCAGTTGGGGATTTAGAAACACTTCTTGGGAAACCCTGAGTTAGGGATATTTAAGAGGCCATGTCTTTTTTCTCTGTTCTTTTAAAAGATGGAAGTAACCTTAGTTGAATTTTTTTTCACCTCTCCTCGGCTTGAGGTTTGGTATGCATTACTTGACTTAATTATATTAGCAAGCGTATTATTAAAAGGTCCCTCAAAACCCATACCCTGTGCTCAGGAGCCTTCTTTCGTGGAACTGTCAGGCACATGGAAGGCTGTGGACCTGATAAGCCTTTGAGAGGAAATTTCCTGAACCACAGAGCACTTCAAAACTATTCAACTAAGTAGAGCATAATCATCTAGATAAACAAATGAATCAGCCTTCTAATTGCCCCGTTAGCTTTCTCACTTTCTCACCACCACAGCCCAGTTCTCTCTCTCCTGGCCTCTTAGCCCATCTCCTGGATCTCATTCTTCTCAGCCTGAGCCTGGGGGTCGGGGGAGAAGGTAACTGTGTAAAGGGAGCCAGGTGCAGGGGCTGGGCGGCCCCTCTGCTCTCTTAACTCTCCACATCTTACTGAATGCCACAGTCACCAGACAATTGGTCTAACCCTGTGATCCGCAGGTGTTTTGAAAATAGCTAAACAGGCTGGGCAAGGTGGCTTGCACCTGTAATCCAGCACTTTGGAAGGCCAAGGCCGGCGGATCACCTGCAGTCAGGAGTTCGGGACCAGCCTGGCCAACATATTGTGAAACCCTGTCTCTACTTAAAAAATACAAAAAGTAGCTGGGCGTAGTGGCGCATGCCTGTAATCCCAGCTACTTTGGAAGCTGAGGCAGGAGAATCGCTTGAACCCGGGAGGTTGAGGTTGCAGTGAGCCGAGGTCGCGCCACTGCACTCCAGTCTGGGTGAGAGGGTGAGACTCCATCTCTAAAAAAGAAAGAAAGAAAGGGAGAGAGGGAGGGAGGGACCGAGGGAAGGAAGGAAGGAGAGAGAGAAAGAAAGAAAGAAGGAAGGAAGAAAAGAAAAGGAAGGAAGGAAGGAAGAAAGAAGACATCTAAACGGTTGGTTTGACTGAATTCAGCTCAGTCCAAGAAGCAGAGCCTGTGAGAGTTTGAGGGAGAAAGAAAAATAGAAAAGACACTGTTTCCTTAAGAAGAAATATTTGCCTAAGAGGATCGTGGAGGGTCCTGCGAATCTTGCAGTTTTTAAAGAAACGTCTTGCCATCGACTGAGATTTCTCAAAACTGAATTTTGCATTTCCCAGTTTTGCTTCCTGTGAGGTGACGGCAGCTGTCACTAACCTGACATCAACCCTGATGCTGCTCGTCAGGTTCGTGTAAGCTCGGGTTCTAGCCCACTTTCCCAGCTACTGCAGTGTCACAGTCCTGTGGGCAATCTTTGTCAGGACTGATCGTTTGGCCCATTACGCATCACTGTGTTTGTAATAAAAATATTTACCCAAGCCGGGCCACGGTGGCTGCTGCGTGAAGCCTCAGCGGCGTTGACTCATCATGTCTCCACCTGTTCTTTCTCAGAGTTAAGGATCTGGTAGCAGTTTTCTGCCTAGAGTGATATTTCCTACAATGTTAGAGAACCTTTCTCTGACTGAGTTCCCACTTGTATTATCTGATTTTCTTCTCCAGTATTTTTATTTATTGCATTCGGGCATGTGAATTTGGAAGCTGCTGAAATAGAAATGGGGTAGATTAAGAGTTTTCTTTTAAAACCCTTTCTACTGTCTTATTTGGATTGTGGGGTGTGTGTGGGAGGGTGTGTGTGCGTGCACGCGAGAGTGATGGTAAATCCATATACCTTCAAAGGCAAATCCGCACATCTTTATAGTGCCAGAAATCTTTTTTAAATAGGCTAATTAAGATAGCAAACCTAAGTAGACCTCCTACCGCTGGTCCCTGCTGTCAGGTACTTTGCCTAAAACCATATAATGTTCACTCTCTCTGCCTTTTTATTGGCAAAGAAGAAAGACTAATTGGCCCCATCTCCATCTCACATTGTAATTACTGTTCTCCCTGTGATATCACCTCTAACACGTGAGGAACACATTCACTTCATGCAGACTGTAGATTGAGCTCAACGCTTCAAAGCTGGATTAAATTTGTGCAAAAATTAAATATTCTACAGAATTTTGCAAGTGCCTCATCTGTCCCAGGGACTGAGCCTGGAATTAAAAGGCAAACAAGGTTGAATAAGACTTTGGCAACATGCTCCTTGCCCAGAAAGAGTTTGTGATTCAAGAAGGAAAATAAAACATATGCACAAAAGGGAAAAAATGATAATATAAGAGAAAACATGATCTTTGCGTAAGAGAAATGGCAAGTATTATGAGATTTCCAGGGAGGCAGGAACATTTGCAATCAGGTCTTCTAGGAAGAGGTGACACTTAGCTAGAGTTTAGGATAGCAGTAGGACTTCAATAGGTAGAAATGCAGGGAAGGGCCTTGTAGGTGGAGTCGCAGCCGGTCAGGTAGTTCAGACCATGGAGATGACAACTGCTGGGAGAAAACTAGCATGAGATAAGCTTTTGAAGGTGTGTCAGAGTCAGATTATGGAAGACAAAGGGAACTACATGTACTGTCTACCTGCAGTACTAGGCAAGGCCTCAGCACAGGTCAGTTAAGGATCTGGAATTGGGCTGGGTGCTTAGCTTCTCTGAGTCCGAGTTTCCTGATCCTAAAAAATAGAGGAATAAGGCCAGGTGCAGTGACTCACGCCTGTAATCTCAGCACTTTGGGAGGCTAAGGTGGGCGGGTCACTTGAGGCCAGGAGTTCAAGACCAGACTGGCCAACATGGCAAAACCCCATCTGTACTAAAAATACAAAAATTAGCCAGGTGTGGTGGTGCATGCCTGTAGTCTCAGCTACTCAGGAGGTTGAGGCGTGAGAATCACTTGAACCCCGGAGGCGGAGGTTGTGGTGAGCCAAGATCGCGCCACTTCACTCCAGCCTGGGTGACAGAGAGAGATTCTGTCTCAAAAAAGAAAAAAAAAGAAAAAAAGAAAGAAAAGAAAAAAAAAGAAAATAGAGGAATAGTAGAACATGGTTATGAAGATTAAATGAGGTGTTGCATTTTAAAAAGTCTAACATGCAATAAACTTTCAATAAATGAAGGCTGTTTTAATTTTATGACAATTCTCAATAAGTTTATAAGTCTTATTTCTATTTGGGGAAGCTGAAGCAAAGAGAAGTTTGGAAATTTGTCCAAGGCCACATATCTAACATCTGGCAAAAGCAGCAGTTGGAACCCTTGTGTCTCTGATTCACTCACTTTTGCTCTTTTCACTAGAATGCATTGTCTCCATGCAGGAAAAGTTTGGAGGTTATTTTATAAGCAAGAGGGGAGCAATTAGAGTCATTTGAACAGGGGAATAACATCATCAGAAATTGCTGTATAAGCATGTGTCCAGCTACAGCATGAAATGGGATGGAATTTTTTTTTTTTTTTTTTTTTTTTAGATGGAGTCTTACTCTGTTGCCCAGACTGGAGTGCAGTGGCACGATCTCGGCTCACTGCAACCTCCGCCTCCCGGGCTCAAACAATTCTCCCTTCCTCAGCCTCCTGAGTAGCTGAGATTACAGGCACCTGCCACCACGCCTGGCTAGTTTTTGTATTTTTTAGTAGAAACAGGGTTTCACCATGTTGGCCAGGCTGGTCTTGAACTCCTGACCTCAGGTGATCTGCCCACCTCAGCCTCCCAAAGTGCTGGGATTACACACATAAGCCACCGCACCCAGCGGAGATGGGGTGGATTAGAGCAGCGGTCCCCAACCTTTTTTGGCACCAGGGACCAGTTTCATGGAAGACAATTTTTCCACGAACAGGGTAGGGGCAGGGGGTAGGACACAGTGGGGATGGTTTCAGGATAAAATGGTTCCACTTCGGATCATCAGGCATTAGACTCATAAAGAGCATGCAACTTAGATCTCTCGCATGCACAGTTCACAATAGGGTTCACACTCCTGTGAGAATCGAATGCCACCCTGATCTGACAGGGTGGAGCTCAGGTGGTAATGCTTGCTCCAAGGCGGCTCATCTCCTGTTGTGAGGTCCCATTCCTAACAGGCCACACACCAGTACAGGTCCTCAGCCCGGGGGTTGGGGACCCCTGGATTAGAAGAGACAAGAGGCTGCAGGCAGAGAAAAATGTAAGCAATGTGTGCAGTATTCCCATAAATTGGTCCAAGTCGTCAGTGAGAGAGGCGTTTCTCTGTGAATGGAAAGTGGGGCAAAGATTCAGTAGCCACCATGACACCTGAATAAATGAGATGATTGCAAAAAAGAAACAGATGTGGGGCCAAGGCTTCCAGCTTCAGAAGACATGGGGCCAAGCCTTCTAGCCTCAAAAGGTGTGTGGCACAGGTTTGAGTCAGGGAAGAAGGATGAGTTTGGGTTTAGATATAATGAGCTTCATCAGGCAACTGGAAACCGGGGTCAGGGCCCAGAGATTTGTCAAGCCAGGAACATCTGGGTTACAGTTGATGCTGGGAGAGCCAGTGGTTTCACCAAGAAGGGGAAGGTCTTGGGGAAAACAGAAAAGGAGAGGAAGAGGAATCAGAGAGGACCAGGGGAGAGTGCACTGTTCTTTCTGGAAGCTGAGGAAAGGAGTTTTTTTGGTTTTTGTTTGTTTTTTGAGATGGGCTCTCACTCTGTCACCCAGGCTGGAGTGCAGTGGCGCAATCTCGGCTCAATGCAACCTCCACCTCCCCGGTTCAAGCGATTCTCCTGCCTCAGCCTCCTGAGTAGCTGGGATTACAGGTGCACGCCACCACACCTGGCTAATTTTTGTATTTTTAGTAGAGACGGGATTTCACCATGTTGGTCAGGCTGGTCTCGAACTCCTGACCTTGTGATCCGCCCGTCTCCGCCTCCCAAAGTACTGGGATTATAGGCATGAGCCACCGCACGAGTTTTTGAAAGAGAAGTAGTGGATAAGAGAGGGGTGGCCAGCAGGGTTAGACAAAGGGTACTTCAAAGACGATAAAGTCCTTTGAATTTGCCTTTGAGGAGGAAGTCAGAATGGGCAGTGGGTTAGACGGACACATCTAAATTCCTTGAGGGTCCAAACTAAAGAGTGTAGTGGCTCCCAGACATCTAGAGTCCTGAGCTTAGTGGCGAGTGGACCAGACATTCTGAGAGTTCCTTAGGGATTGGAGGAAGTTCCTTTGATGCTAGATAACAGTTTGCAGTGGGGGGTGGCTCCAGCAGACACTAAACCCACAAAATCACTGGAGCTCATACAGGCCTGGCCATGTGAATTGGTATCCTGGATTATTTACGAAAGTTTAGGGAAATGTTTTTCAGCTCTTCTCTCATCCTACAGTCTGCACCAATTTATAAATTTTGTAGAGTTGCTAAACGAAGTTAGCCACTTTGCCAGCTAGCCCTCCCTCGGGATAAATCCTGATAATAAAATGGATCCTCTGAGAGAGAAGTTCCTCTGCACTCAGTAAAATATTTTTGCTTCTGATCCTTACTAATATTAAATTCTGGAATTATCATTGGTTTTCAGGCATTTTTATTCTAACAACAACAGAATGTCAACTTTGACTTAAGCTGATATTTAGGTAGAACTTAACCTCAAGTTAGTATACTTATTCACAAAACTACTCTTATTAATATTATCCAGCACTCCCCTCAAAAAACAAGCAAACAATAGTTAACCCAGGCAAATGATTGTGAAGACATTGTATTAGGCCATTCTTACATTGCTATAAAAAAAAATAAACCTGAGATTGGGTAATTTATAAAGAAAAGAGGGTGGGGCACAGTGGCTCAGGCCTGTAATACCAGCACTTTGGGAGGCCTAGGCGGGAGGATCACAAGGTCAGGAGATCAAGACCATCCTGGCTAACACGGCGAAACCCCGTCTCTACTAAAAATACAAAAAAAAAAAAATTAGCTGGGCCTGGTGGCAGGCACCTGTAGTCCCAGCTACTCAGGAGGCTGAGGCAGGAGAATGGTGTGAACCCAGGAGCTTGCAGTGAGCTGAGATCGTGCTACTGCACTCCAGCCTGGGTGACAGAGCGAGACTCCATCTCAAAAAAAAAAAAAGAGGATTAATTCCCTCACAGTTCTGCAGGCTATACAGGAAGCACGGCGCTGGCATCTGCTCAGCTTCTAGGAAGGCCTCAGGATACTTCCAATCATGGTGGAAGGTGACGAGGAAGCAGGCGTCTTACATGGCAGGTGCAGGAGCAAGGAGGTGGGAGCAGGTGCTACACACTTTTAAACAACCAGATCTCATGAGAACTCACTATCAAAAGGACAGCATCAAGGAGATGGTGCTTAATCATACATTAGATATCTTCCTGTTGGCCCAACGTGGTGGCTCATGCCTATAATCCCAGCACTTTGGGAGGCCAAGGCAAATTGGATTGTTTGAGCTCAAGAGTTTGAGACCAGCCTGGGCAACATAGCAAAACCCTGTCTCTACAAAAAATACAAAAATTAGCTGGGCGTGGTGGTATGTGCCTTTGGTCCCAGCTACTTGGGAGGTTCAAGTGGGAGGATTGCTTGAATCTGGAAGGTCAAGGTTGTAGTGAGCCGTGATCACCCCACTGCATTCTGGCCTGGGCAACAGAATGAGACCCTGTCTCAAAAAAAAGAAAAAAATAAAAGAAATATGCCCCCGTGATCCAGTCAATTCCCACCAGGCCCCACCCACCTTCACCATTGAGGATTACATTTGAACATGAGGTTTGGACAGAGACACACATCCAAACTATAGAAACATTTTGGGGATAGAGAAGATTGCATTAAAAACAGCCATGTAGGCTGGGTGTGGTGGCTCACACCTGTAATCCCAGCACTTTGGGAGGCTGAGGTGGGCGGATCACCTGAGGTCAGGAGTTTGAGACCAGCCTGGCCAACATGGTAAAACGCTGTCTCTACCAAAAAAAAATACCAAAAATTAGCCTGGCATAGTGGGAGGCACCTGTAATCCCAGCTACTCAGGAAGCTGAGACAGGAGAATCGCTTGGACCTGGGAGGCGGAGGTTGCAGTGAGCTGAGATCACGCCACTGCACTCCAGCATGGGCAACAAGAGCGAAACTCCATCTCAAAAAAACAAAAAACAGCCATGTAAGGGGCTTTAGTATTGAACACCAGAAGATAATACAACTCTTTAAAAGGGAAATTAAACTTGTTAAATTCTGTAAATACTGGTAAGACTTTCTTACTACATAAAAACATTTTCATATCCTAAATTCTTTAGTAAATTTTATAAATGCTTACTACAATGTCTAGAAGTCATAAATATCTTCCTTTGCTTATGTTTTTCATAGTTTGGCACCAAAATTCCTTCATGCCAACACTAAAAGTTATTAATAGGGACTTACAAAGCAAGGCAAGACATTACAATTCTGTCAAATAGTTTAGGTTGTGAGCTTATTTAGAGGAAGGAAGGGGGAAAATGACTTTTTCTACTAACGAAAATTGAGAACAGGACATTTGGGTACTTTACAGTCTCCAGGGGTGGGGAGGGAGCTATAGAAGTAAATTCAGTAAATGCTTTTGATCTGCTAACTGTCCTTCAAAGAAGTGGCAAAGGAAAGCCAATTTGTCCCGATGCCCTTGAGATGTTGGGTAAATTCAGTCAGCTCAAACTGACTGTAGCATAGCTTTGAGAGCGTGTTGGGGGTAGCATTCCCTACCAGGAACGCCTGTAGAATTGACTATGGTTTGAGTAGATGTACCAAAAACTGGGGGCTGTGCCACCATGAATCCAGCCCTGGATTTCTCTTTTAGTAATAGAATGTGCCTCTCCCAGGTGGAAAAAGAGAAGTTGAGACCAAGTTGCAACTTTAAAGCATGTCAGTTAGCTAGTCGATCGCAGAGACCGAACAGTGAGAGAGAGGTTGGTAGCATGGACTTGGGATTTTTCGGTGGCTGGTATCGTAAAAGTGGTGCCACTTTTCTGCCAGGTGGCATTGGCTGAAATCAAGCTAAGAAATGCTGGGGGTGATGGTGAGCTTGATTTTAGACTACTTACCACTCACTGCTGAGTAGGATGTGCTTTTCTCCCAGGCACTTCAAGTAGAGAGGATCCCAACACAGGAAAATTGTAGTATTGTGGACAAGCCCTGAGTTTCGTTCCCAGAAATATATGTAAAACTGGAAGTAACATTTCTCTTCATCTGAAAGAAGTGTTCAGGCCAAAAATAAATGGAGTCTTATTCCTGACTAGCTTCACTGTAGTATAATTTAAATAATTCCATTTTATGTGCTGAGCTTATGCTATAATTCCTACTTGGTCATAATGGTTTTATCTGTATTAGTAAAGTGATTACACCCCTAAGGATAGTTGAATTTTACTTAATTGCCTTCTGACCATGGAGAAAAGAAGGTATAATTCTACTGCGTCTTCAGGCATGTTATCAAATTCTTTGTAGTGAAAGTATAGTTCACAATACTTAAGGAGAGAGCTTGTATTGATAGCCAGATTCCATTTCTAACACTTTGGTTAAGTTGGCCTTTAGGCTAGCCACTTAAATTCTGTATGCTTAGCTTCTCCGTCCAGATAAATAGACAAGAGATAATGACTGCAGCCTTATCAAACTAGTGATGTGTTTAATATGTAGAAGCCACACTGTAGAAATCACTTAGACCATCTTTTTTTTTTTTTTTTGAAGTGGAGTCTCACTCTGTCACCCAGGCTGGAGTGCATTGGCACGACCTCAGCTCACTGCAACCTCCACCTCCCAGATTCTAGTGATTCTCTTGCCTCAGCCTCCCAAGTAGCTGGGATTACAGGCGCATACCACCACCCCCCAACAATTTTTGTATTTTTAGAAGAGAGAGGGTTTCACCACGTTGATCAGGCCAGTCTCAAACTCCTGACCTCAAGTTATCTACCCGCTTCGCTCTCCCAAAGTGCTGGGTGGGATTACAGGCGTGAGCCACCATGCCCGGCCCGCTTAGGCCATCTTGAAAGAGAAATGTTACCTGCAGCTGATATTGACTGTAAACGGCCCCTCACCCTTCTTGCTGAACAGCTTAGTCTTGTTATCTGTCCTTTCTTTTTTTTTTTTTTTTTTGAGACAGTCTTTTTTTTTTTTCAATTTATTTCCATAGGTTTTGGGGGAACAAGTGGTATTTAGTTACATGAAGTTCTTTGTAAAAATTTGGTGCACCCATCACCAGAGCAGGATACACTGAATCCAATTTGTATTCTTTTTTTTTTGAGACAGAGTCTTGCTCTGTCACCCAGGCTGGAATGCAGTGGCGTGATCTCAGCTCACTGCAACCTCCACCTCCCGGGTTCAAGCAATTCTCTGCTTCAGCCTCTCAAGTAGCTGGGATTACAGGTGCCCGCCACCACACCTTGCTAATTTTTGTATTTTTAGTAGAGACGGGGTTTCATCATGTTGGCCAGGCTGATCTTGAACTCCTGACCTCGTGATCCACACACCTCGGCCTCCCAAAGTGCTGGGATTACAGGCGTGAGCCACCACGCCCGGCCCCAATTTGTAGTCTTTTATCCCTCACCCCACTCCCACCCTTTACCTCGAGTCCCCAAAGTCTATTGTGTCATTCTTATGCCTTTGCATCTTCATAGCTTGGCTCCCACTTATGAGTGAGAACATATGATGTTTGCTTTTCCATTCCTGAGTTACTTCACTTAGAATAATAGTCTCCAGTTCCATCCGGATTCCTGTGAATGCCAATAATTCATTCCTTTTTACGACTGAGTAGTATTCCGTAGTATATATAGAGCACAGTTTCTTTATCCTCTCATTAATTGATGGGCATTTGGGCTGGTTCCATATTTTTGCAATTGCAAATTGCGCTGCTATAACTCTGCCACCCAGGCTGGAGTGCAGTAGTGCAATCTCAGCTCACCACAACCTTCCCCTCCCAGATTCTAGTGATTCCCATGCCTCAGCCTCCCAAGTAGCTGGGTCACAGGCGTGTACTACCACACCAGGCAATTTTTGTATTCTTAATAGAGATGGGGTTTCCCTGTGTTGGCCAGGCTGGTCTCAAACTCCCAACCTCAGGTGATCCCCCAACCTGGGCCTCACAAAGTGCTGGGATTACAGGTGGGAGCCACCACGCCTGGTCCTATGTGTCCCTTCTTTAAGGTCTTTTCTTAACCAGAGTTAAGACCCCTACTAACCACAAAAACCTGTATTTACTATCACCTATATCAGTCTTACCAGTCAAAGTCAAGATTGCTAGTGATTCATCCTGAGCATCAGGAAAAAAAAAAAAAAAAAAACAGATCTTTTTGGCAACACTTCATTTTTTAAAAAATTCAAGTATTAAAATGTTTTCTTGCTTCACTATATTTAAGGAAAGTAAATGTGATGTGCAGATTTTCAAATCAATGAAATGATCAAGAAAGGCCATAGTTTTGGAAATAACGCATTTAGTCCAAAGTAAGAGGTTTCATTTGATGGTGAGCACAATTGTGAAGGACACAGAAAGTATTTGAAGCATGTAAAGTGCCAATTCCTCAGTTATAAGAGAATGTGATAGACTCATTTATGGAAGAGGAAAAATTTTGATAGGATACTACAAACCCAATCAGATGAGATGAATCCATATGTTTCAGAATCAAGCAGTAGTTTGAGTAAAAGAACCAATTCAGTTTGAGTAAAAGAACCAATTCTCTTCCTTTTTTTTTTTTTTTTTTTTTGACAGTGTCTCACTCTGTTGCTCAGTCTGGAGTGCAGTGGCGCAATCTCGGCTCACTGCAACCTCTGCTTCCTATGTTCAAGCATTTCTCTTGTCTCAGCCTCCTGAGTAGCTGGGACTACATGCACGTGCCACCATGTCCACCTAATTTTTGTTTTGTTCTGTTTTGTTTTGTTTTGTTTCGAGACACAGTCCCGCTTTGTCGTCCAGGCTGGAGTGCAGTGGCATGATCTCAGCTCACTGCAACCTTGGCCTCCCGGGTTCAAATGATTCTCCTGCCTCAGCCTCCTGAGTAGCTGGGACTACAGTCACACAGCACCACACCCAGCTAATTTTTGTATTTTTTAGTAGAGACAGAGTTTCACCATTTTGGCCAGGCTGGTCTCCAACTCCTGGCCTCAAGTGATCCACCTGCCTCAGCCTCCTGAAGTGGTGGGATTACAGGCACCAGTCACTGTGCCTGGCCTAGAACAAATTCTCTTCTAAACACATGAGAACATGTAGACATTTTTAGCACCACCAAAGCAGTGTTTCATCACTTCCAAAAATGAACTTGTTGGCTTGATGTCAACAGACAAGAGAAAGCTTTAAAAACCTATTCAGACGCATCAAAGAATTGTGCAGAAAAATCAATGAAGGAGACAAGGGAATTTTTCTCTTCCTGCAGTTACCATTCAATGGATTTCTAGATCATCCATGCACAGTAAGTCCACAGTAACTATTTTCTAGAGATGACTCTAATTTTGAATGCAATGCCAAGGCCCTTGGATCAATGAAAAATGCTGATATGAAGGTAATATTTTCTGCCCGACATCATTGAGCTCATATTTTTAGAAAATTCAACCAGTTCAGCCCATGAAGAAAAGCCTTCAAAAAGGAATATTTCAGGCTGGGCACAGTGGCTCACGCCTGTAATCCCAGCACTTTGGGAGGCTGAGGCAGGCGGATCACCTGAGGTCAGGAGTTCAAGACCAGGCTGGCCCATGTGGCGAAACCCCATCTCTACTAAAAATACAAAAATTAGCCGGGCGTGGTGGTGGGCACCTATAGTCCCAGCTACTTGGGAGGCTGAGGCAGGAGAATCGCTTGAACCCAGGAGGCAGAGGTTGCAGTGAGCCAAGATCACACTACTGCACTCCAGCCTGGGTGACAGAGTGAGATTCTGTCTCAAAAAAAAAAAAAAAAAGAAAGAAAAAAATAAGAATAATTTAACTTGTTACCAGCTTGGTAACCAATTAGCTTGTGGAGGATTGTTTGTCTTTATTTAGTGAATCTGGAACCAAGAATTGTTAAATTCACTTCTTCCAACTTTTATAAAGATAAAACATGTAGAACTTTTCATTGTAATAACCCAAGAAGGGTGGAAAGAGTAGAGCTGTTGGGTAGTCAGAGAAAATGGCCTTTGCTGAATCAAGAACTTTCCAAGAATGTGTCTGGAAGATTCCTTTCCTCAGATCAGCTTAGCAAGCGGCCCACGTGGCTGCTCCTTTGGCAGATAGGTACCCTTCATCAACGGTTCAGTACCACTCTGAGGACGGAGTTGGCTAAGAAGTGACCCACACCGTCTAGGAGAAGTTGGGTGACAGACTGGGCCACGTTCCTCGACAGAGGGCACAGTGCCTTCCACATACCACTGTGGGAGCTGCACACTCTCCATGGCATGGTGTACTTTACCTCGTCTGCCCAGGCCGTAACCAGTTCCCTTTCTCATTCACCAACTCAGGGAACGTTTTCCAGTCTGCTTGATATCGTCTGGCTGGGTCCCTACCCAAATCTCATCTTGAATTGTAGCTCCCATAATCATGGGAGGGACGGGTGGGAGGTAACTGAATCATGGGGAAAGGGTTTTCTGTTTGGTTCTCATGATAGTGAATAAATCTTATGAGATCTCATGGTTTTATAAAGGGCAGTTCCCCTGCACATGCTCTCTTGCCTGCCACCGTGTAAGACATGACTTTTCTCCTCCTTTGCCTTCTGCCATGATTGTGAGGTCTCCCCAGCCATGTGGAACTGTGAGTCCATTAAGCCTCTTTCCTTTATAAATTATCCCGTCTTGGGTGTGTCTTTATAGCATCGTGAGAATGGACTAATACACCGCTCATGTTCAGACTCCTCATTTCCTTCCTTTGCTTTATAAGAATAACATGCCTCATTTAATTTTTCATCCAAGATTCATCCTGCAGGTAGATGAATACACAGCCTGTGCCTAGTGTTGCCAAACTGGCCAGTCACAAATTTGGGCACAGTCATAATTATCTAATGAGATGGATTTCTCCCAGTTCTCCCAGCCCCCTGTAGAGTGATTGACCCTGGTTGGAATGAGGCCAGTTTTTCCCTTTGGTGTAGCCTATTCAGGTGGCCACTACTTAGCAGATTTTAAGATTCAGTGAGGCCCGACACAGTGGCTCACACCTGTAATCCCAGCACTTTGGGAGGCCGAGGCAGGCGGATCACCTGAGGTCAGAAGTTTGAGACCAGCCTGGCCAACATGTCGAAACCGCATCTCTACTAAAAATACAAAAATTAGCTGGGCGTGGTGGCATGTGCCTGAAATCCCAGCTACTTGGGAGGCTGAGGCAGGAGAATTGCTTGAACCCGGGAGGTGGAGGTTGCAGTGAGCCGAGATCATGCCATTGCACTCCAGCCTGGGCGACAAGAGCGAAACTCTGTCTCCAAAAAAAAAAAAAAAAGATTTAGTGATTCAGGCCAGGTGCAGTGGCTCATGCCTGTAATCCCAACACTGGGAGGCTGAAGCAGGAGGATTACTTGAGCCCAGGAGTTTGAGACCAGCCTGGGCAACATACTGGGACTGCATCTCTACAAAATAATAATGATAAAATTAGCTGGGCATGGTGGCAAATGCCTGTAGTCCCAGCTACTTGGGAGGCTGAGGTGGGAGGATAACCTGAGCCCAGGGAGGTCGAGGCTGTGGTAAGCTGTGATCGTACCACTGCACTCCAGCCTGGGTAACAGAGTGAGACCCCATCTGAAAAAAATAAAAAAAGATTCCATGATTCATTCTGTGTATATTCAAGACACATCCTCTGTGTGTCAGGCACTGATTCAAAGATGAATTAGGCAGAAGTCCCGTGCCCAGGGAGGTCACAGTCTAGAAAAAAAATAATAAAGTGGTATATAAATACCTGTAATGTATAGGATTTGGTGGTACATTTCATAAGAGGGTTCTAAATAGGAGCCCAGGAGAAGTGCTGTCTCCTAACCTGAGAGTTCAAGGAAGAGTAGCTGTAATGATCCAGGATTCAGGATGAGTGAGAACTTGTCCCCTTTCTAGAACAGTGTGTTCCATTGGAGAAACACTGGTATATGTAAGGTCAGTGCGTGTCCTTCCCAGCCTTGCATGAGTGCAACCCCATCAGAGTAGCTACAGGCTCAGCTTCATATTCTCAAGTGTAAGGGAGCATGGACTTCTGTGGAATTGGACGGGAGTAAAGAAAAGGCCACTTCCTGGTGAAAACAGCCAATCCCAATGTTACAGGGAAGAGAAAACTCAGGTCAGAAAGGTAGGCCTATTTATACACCTTCCAGAAGCCCATGGCTGAGCAGACCCTCTTAGATTGCAGTACAGAGCAGATTTTGGACACTCTGTACAAGAACTCTTGTCTGCGTCGCTGTTAGCCATAGAGTAGACCCAGGAGGAAGAAACATTCTCTGAATTTGGCTAGAACTCCCTTCCGTCAAATCTGACCCAAGTCTGTGTGGTTTAGAAAGCCCCTTCATCCCCCTTTGAGGGAAGCTGCCGGACTCCTTTGGCTATTTTGTTTCTACCTTAAGAGTGCGGGCCAGGCGTGGTGCCTCACGCCTGTAACCCCAGCACTTTGGGAGGCCAAGGCGGGCAGATCACGAGGTCAAGAGATCAAGACCATCCTGACCAACATGGTGAAACCCCGTCTCTACTAAAAATACAAAAATTAGCCGGGCTTGGTGGCACACACCTGTAGTCCTAGCTGCTCGGGAGGCTGAGGCAGGAGAATCACCTGAACCCAGGAGGTGGAGGTTGCAGTGAGCCAAGATTGCACCACTGCACTCCAGCCTGGCAAGAGAGTGAGACTGCATCTCAAAAAAAAAAAAAAAAGGAGTATGCAAAGTTTGCCTTGCACAGTTGGTATTTGTAACCCAGCCTGAACCTAATAAAACATGCGCCTGTAGTTGGGTTTGTTTGACAGCTCCAGGCCTGAGTCTCTGTTGGTCTCTTTTTTTGTGTTACAAATTCAGGTTCCCAAAGATGTATACTAAGTCTAAGATAAGCTGAGAAATCTCAGCTAGATGTATAGCTTAGACTGGGAGACCAGTGTGTTCAACCATTCTATCTCAGGGATGTAGAGAGGAGGTCAGCGAATTTTTTCTATAAAGCGCCAGATAGCAAATGTTTTCAGCCTCAGGCCATATGCTGTCTGTTGCAACTACTCAATTCTGCAGTTGCAGTGCAAATGCAGTCATCGACCATGTATATCTGCATTGCAGTACAATTTTATTCACAGAAACAGACAGCAGACAGGCTTTGGCCCACAGGTGAAGCTTGCAGTGGATTGATTTCCTCATTTGCATGCTTTTAATTAGAATTTTTTTTTTTTGAGACAGAGTCTCGCTCCTGTTGCCCGTGCTGCAGTACAATGGCGCGATCTCGGCTCACCGCAAACCCTGCCTCCTGGGTTCAAGCAATTCTCCTGCTTCAGCCTCCCAAGTAGCTGGGATTACAGGCATGAGCCACCACTCCCTGCTAATTTTCTATTTTTAGTAGAGATGGGGTTTCTCCATGGCTGGTATCGAACTCCTAACCTCAGGCGATCCACCCGCCTCAGTCTCCCAAAGTGCTGGAATTACAGCGTGAGCCACTGCGCCCGGCCTAGAAACTTTTTAGGCTCATAAAATCTCTAGGTTGCCAGGAGCCCTTAAGGTCACTTCTGGCTCCGTCTCTTGTGGAATGAGGCCCAGGACGGAGGGGTGGGATTCAATGGATGATGGAAAAGTAGCATCCAAGTCAGGCTGCTTCTGGATGGTTCCCCAGCATCATCATGTGCTGGTCTTGAATCAGCTAAAGGCTTCCAGTCAAAAGGTAAAATTTTTATCTTCCAAGACAATCCATTTCATTGTTGGAAACGCTTCTTGGTTGGAAGCTGTTCTTTATATTGGCTCAAAATTGTCCTTCCTGTAACTTCTACCCATTAGTCCTATTTCTGCTCTTTAGGAATACCTAAAAGGAAATGAGTTCTTCTCCCTTATGACAGGCATTTGGGTATTTGAAGAAGGCTCCCTCAACCACCATCTCAGATGAAGAATCCTCAGTTCTTTTAGTAGCTCCTAAGTGCCATTGTTTCCAGATCCTTCATCCACTTGTGGGACCTCCTGGGCACACTTGGTTTGCTGATCATCCTCTTAAAAAGTGGTGCCCAGGCCGGGCACAGTGGCTCATTCCTGTAATCCCAGCACTTTGGGAGACCAAGGCGGGCAGATCACCTGAGGTCAGGAGTTCGAGACCAGCCTGGCCAACATGGCGAAACCCTGTCTCTACTAAAAATACAAAAATTAGCCAGGCATGGTGGCGGGTGCATGTAATCCCAACTATTCGGGAGGCTGAGGCAGGAGAATCGCTTGAACCCGGGAGGCGGAGGTTGCAGTGAGCCAAGATCCCGCTGTTGCACTTCAGCCTGGGCAACAGAGTGA
The DNA here is from genome assembly GCF_000001405.40 of Homo sapiens. Classification (NCBI taxonomy): domain Eukaryota; kingdom Metazoa; phylum Chordata; class Mammalia; order Primates; family Hominidae; genus Homo; species Homo sapiens. The sequence continues at coordinate 65,613,577 of NC_000017.11, read as the reverse complement.
AACTCCATCTCAAAAAAAAAAAAAGCGGTGCCCACTGAACGCCTTCTTCCAGACATGGTCTGGGTTACTCTCTTCCCTTCAGCCATGCTTTTCTTAAAAGCTGTTACACATAGGTCTCCGCTCTCCAACTGTTCTCTTACTTTTCAACCCACTAAAGACTCGCTTCCCATGCCTGTAACTACTGAGACTGCTCTTGCTAAAGTTACAACATTGTCAAATCCAAAGGATATCCCCAGTTTTGCCTCACCTGCCTTTCTTCCACTCTCTACTCTCTCAAACTCTTCTCCTTTGGCTGGTTCACCTCGACCCCCACCCACTGCCTCCATGTCTCTGCCATTGCAGTCTCCTTTATGGGCTTCTCTTCTGCATTTGTTTTTGTTTTTTTTTGTTTGTTTGTTTGTTTTTGATGGAGGCTCACTCTGTCACCCAGGCTGGAGTGTAGTGGCGCATGATCTTGGCTCACTGCAACCTCCACCTCTGGGGTTCAAGCAATTCTCCTGCCTCAGCCTCCTGAGTAGTTGGGATCACAGGCACCCACCACCACACCTGGCTAATTTCTGTATTTTTAGTAGAGACAGGGTTTCACCATGTTGGCCAGGCTGGTTTCAAACCCCTGACCTCAGGTGATCCACCCGCCTCGGCCTCCCAAAGTGCTGGGAGCCATTGCACCCGGCCTCCTGCTTTCCTTAATTGTTGGTTTCTGTAGACCTCATTCCATATAGGATCATTTCCGTATCCAAGCTTCAACTTTTACCCATCAACTATGACACCCACCCAGGCCTTTCTTCTGAACTTAGAGCCATTTCTTCAACTAACTACTGGATGTCTCCACCCTCATGCGCAGTGAGCGACTGAATTTCAAAATGTCTAGAACTAAACTTGTCCCCTTTACTAGTTACCCACATCAGAAGCCCAACAGATGCTTGAACCCTGTTTTTCCCTTCATGCTTACATCTAATTAGTTCCCAGCTTCTGCAAGTTCAAGCGTCTACAGAGCTTTCTGGCTCTTCTCCTTTTCTCTGTCTTCACTGTCAGCACCGTAGCCCAAGCCTCTGTGATTTCTCAACTATTGCAGTAGCTTCTTCAGCAGCCTCACTGCTCTGCTGTCCATTTTCCCCACCGTCTCCAGCCTATCTTCTGGGAACCCAGCTCTCACCCTGTTACTCTCCTGCCTGCACTCCTTAATCTCCGTTTTCCCCTAGCCCCTGGTCTAGCTGATCTTAATCAAGGCCATTCTCCGCATCATAGTACTCAATATCCTTTACAACCTGAGTTGCCTCCTCTGTGAGTCCATAGCAGGCAATGAGCACATCCTATGCACACAATATTGTCCATGCCTGGATGTCTTCCCCAACTGGACGAAACTCCCTAAGGGCAGAGTTGTATTGTTTCCATCTTTGTATTGACAGAGCCTGGCATCTAGCAGGCACTTCACAGGTACTAATTTCAGTATTTCCCAAGCGAAGGAGTCTTACCCCCAGCAGCCACCTCTACTGTCCCACCCACAGGCATCCCTGCCTTGCTACATGACTTACAGCTTTCTGGCGAGGCCATGTGGCCTCATGCCTTGTGGTATTGTCACATGCCATTCCCTCTGTCTGGAGCTACCTTTTCCAGGCAGCCCCCTGGCTAATGCCCACCCATTCCTCGGGACTCAGCTTGTATCAACCATCACCTCCTCAGGATAAAGAACGTCTGCTCTGATTCCCGCAATGTGATGTCCACATCACTCTCGTAGCTCCTAATGCACTGTGTGTGTGATAATAGTTTATTTCCGGGTCTCCCTGGACTTTGAGCTCTTTGAAAGCAAAGATATAAAATTTGAATTGGCACATAGTAGACTTTCAATAAATGTTTGTTGAAGAATGAATGAATGAGTTCTGTCCCCTTTGTTTTGTTTGTTTTGAGACGGAGTCTCACTCTGTCACCCAGGCTGGAGTGCAATGGCACTATCTTGGCTCACTGCAACCTCCGCCTCCCAGGTTCAAGCGATTCTCCTGCCTCAGCCCCTGAGTAGCTGAGATTACAGGCACACGCCACCACACCCAACTTATTTTTGTATTTTTAGTAGAGGTGGGGTTTCACTATGTTGGCCAGGCTGGTCTCAAACTCCCAACCTCAGGTGACCCGCCTGCCTTGGCCTCCCAAAGTGCTGGTATTACAGGCTTGAGCCACCATGCCCAGCCGGTTCTACCTGCTTTGATCTGGATCCTGTACATGTATCACTGCAGCTTAGGGGTACGTATACTTTCCTGGTTGCTGTGTCAGGTTAAATCTCAAGACACCTGCCATACTCACAGCACCCTCTTTAGGGGACCTGCCCTTCCCCTAGCCCCTGTTCTAGCTGCAGCCAACCCAGCCCCCTTCTCAGTCACTGGGCCAGTGATCTGTGGCCTGGCCTCATCCAAGAAGATTCCCATTGACAGGAGTTAAAGCTCAGAGCTAGCAAAGGAATGGGGCTGATGTGCTGGTGATGCCACCCGCCTATTCAAGGCTGACAGAGGAGTTTCTGCTCCTTGCAACCACTCAAAGTCTATTGTTTTGGCTTCTACTGACCTGTGGCCAACCAGAAGCCTTTCCCTTGTTTTCCTTCCTTTTACTTTCATATATTTAAAAAAAACCTTTTCTTGGTTCTTTGACCCAAGGCCTTCATTTCTTTCCAGAATTGGTCCCCTTTGTTATAATGTCTTCCTGTCTTAGGAATTAAACATACCACCTCCCTTTCATTTGACTTTATCATTATAAAAATCTTGTTTCATCCATTAACTCAATTTTCCCAAAGGTGTGGACAAACCCTTATAGCTGGTATTAATAATGCCCCCACACTTTTTTTTTTTTTTTTTTTTTTTACAAATGAGAAAGCTGAGAATCTCTAAGGTAAAATGATTTTTCTGAGATCAAAGGTCAGCTACCTAGTTGCTAAAATTAGGTCTAGAATCCAAGTTTTTGGCTTCAAAGTCTCTTTCCTGTTGCTTATTCCCTGACATCCTGATATGGTTTGGGTCTGTGTCCACACCCAAATCTCATGTCAGATTGTAATCACCGATGTTGGGGGTGGGGCCTGGTGGGAAGTGATTGGATCATTCAGGCAGATTTCTCCTTTGGTGCCGTTCTTATGCTAATGAGTGAGTTATCAGAAGATCTCTCTTCCTCCGGCTCTGGCCATGTGAAGACGTACCTGCTTCCCCTTCACCTTCCGCCATGATTGTAAGTTTCCTGAGGCCTCCCCAGCCATGCTTCCTGTGTAGCCTGGAGAACCATGAGCCAATTAAACCTATTTTCTTTATAAATTACCCAGTCTCAGGTATTTATTTATAGCAGTGCAAGAACAGACAAATACACACCCACAGCTTACTGTGGAGTATTAGACACATCAACTTAACCCATGGTGAGATGAGCCAAGTCTTTTTTCTTTACAATGGTCACTCATGGGCCAATGTCCATCTACTAGTTTCTTCAGGATTTTATGTGTCTTGGGTTGTAGAAGGGTTGAAAGGCTTAGTCTGCCATGGCCGTGGGAACAGTGTGTGTTTGGAAGTGTAGGATACAGCAACAAAGCTTAATTTCATAAACCATCTGATAAGACATTTTATAGGAGAACAGCACTTGGCCAGGGTCCCAAACAGTGGTATGTGCAAGAGTTTGCTCTTGGGTAAGAGTTTGAGAAATGGAGTGGGAATAGCAAGAGGGGAGTCCTGGCATCCCTTCCAAATGGCTTCGCTCACTGTTGATTGTTCCATGCCTGGGCCCTTGGTTTCCTCCCAGTTCTCTGGAGAGAGATTCCTCTGGGCAGTTGGGAAAGGATCCATGAGGAAGCTGCAGCCTTTCCCATTATTTGCGAGGTTAGAGTTACCATTTGAGGTAGGTCTTCCCTTGTCCTTGAAGGTAGCGGGCCCTCATTCCTCTAAGTCCTGGAGCAGTGGTGTCAGGAAAGCAGTGGGAGATGGGAGATTGCATTATGTGAGCCCGTGATCTGTATCTCTTGGGTCTTTGTAACGCCAAAACTCTATGACAAAATCTTAGGAAGCAGATAAGTAGCTAACCTTGAGCAATGGGTGGGGAAAGTGTGAAGCAATCAACAGATCTTTGATGTCCAGCCAGATGTCCCCACACTGGGACATTATTAAAACTGGATCCCTTCACAACACCTCAGACCCATAGGATTTGGCTTTCACATTGCTGATGTCTCTGATTTTCTGTTTGGAGATGATGGAAAAACAGCTGAGGAGAGATGTGGATGGAATGTTTCTGGTTCCTAGGGCAGCCAGGAAGGAAAGAAGCTGAGCCCCCTCTTTTCCAAGCTTGATTCTCTCTGTGGCCAAAGACAGATTCAAAATGTTACATTTCTTTTTCGTTTTGCTTAAAATAAAATGCTCCAGGAGAGCATAATGTGCAAATCATATCTCAGAAGCCAGCAGCTTCCAAACCCTTGAAAGTCAGGAGGCAGGTTTCCTTCAGAATAAGCCTGGAGCCCCACTTTCTATAGTTTACACAGAGGTGAAAAACGGGGTGTAGACAGTTCCTGAGTCACTGGCTGTGTTTATTCTTTTTTATTTTTATTTTTTTGAGACAGGATCTCACTCTGCCACCCAAACTGGAGTGCAGTTGCATGATCACGACTCACTGCAGCCTCAACCTCCTGGGCTCAAGGGATCCTCCTACCTCAGCCTCCCAAGTAGCATGGGAGTGCTCCCAAGTGTGCACCACCATGCCTGGCTAATTTTTGTATTTCTTTTTTTGTAGAGATGGGGTTTTGCCATGTTGCCCATGCTGGTCTAAAATTCCTGAGCTCAGCAATCCATCCGTCTTGGCCTCACAAAGTGCTGGGATTATAGGCATGAGCCACCGTGCCCGGCCTGTTCTTGAACAACATAAAACATGAAAACTTTGAACTCAAGGTTTTCAAGTGTGGATCAGTTCTGATTGTAAATCATCTATTTTTGGAGGGCATGGCCCTTTTACAGGCATTGCTCCCTGAACCCTCTTCATGGCCATTCTATGAGGTAGAGTCCCTTAGCTTTTCTTTTCAGATGAAGAAATGAGTCTGGGAGGTTATCTCTCAAGGAGAAGCAGCCGTGATGATGCAGCAGGGCCTGATGAGGACTTCTACTAACTTAGGGAGAGGGCACAGTGCCTCTCACCCTGGGCTGCACATCAAAATCACCTGAGGAGCTTCTAAGACACACCCAGGCCTGGAGCCCACTGCAGACCAATTAAATTAAAAGCTCAGGGCTGGGGTTGCGAATGTTTTTAAAACTTCTTAATGATTCAAAGGTGCATCCAGGATGAGAACCACTGTTAGAAGACCTTCCGATGTCACACTTCTTGGTTTTTCTTTTTTTTTTTTTTTGGAGACAGAGTGTCACTCTGTTGCCCAGGTTGGAGCACAGTGGCATGATCTCAGCTCACTGTAACCTCCGTCTCCTGGGTTCAAGCGATTCTCCTGCTTCAGCCTCCCAAGTAGTTGGGATTACAGGTGCCCGCCACCATGCCCGGCTAATTTTTTTTTTTTTTTTTTTTTTTTTTTTTTGGTAGAGACGGGGTTTCACCATGTTGGCCAGGCTGGTCTCAAACTCCTGACCTCAGGTAATCCGCCCGCCTTGGCCTCCCAAAGTGCTGGGATTACAGGTGTGAGCCACCGTGCCTGGCCCTCATTTTAGACTTTATAGAGCTTTACAAGAATTTCTTATAAAGAATAGAGAAGGAAGTCACCCGGGAGGAGGGAATGTGCCCAAACTGGCCACTAGATCAAGGTTTGGTTGCCGCTTTGAAGCCTTTTCTGGTGGGTGGGAGCGGATGCCTTGTGGTGGAATGAGGTTTCCTATGAGCTGTTCATGAGGTGTGTCCCTGCCTCTGCTGTTGATACTGGGGAAATAAATCTGTGAAGGTAGGGGACCCCCTGCACAGTATGGCCATTTGGCTGTCTATGGGGGAGGAATGAATAGTTGGGGCCTGCACTGCTTCAAAGTCCAGTGTGAACTTGGAGCTGCCAGGTGGTGCCCTCTTTCCTGCAGATGCTTCTTTTGCTCTCATTACCCCTTGCATTGGGAATGAACGGAACACATCCTTGCCTCTGCATCTCCCAGCCTAAAGGGAAGCTCTCCCAGATACCCACTTCTCATAAGAACTTGTGCAGTCGTGTCTGCCAGCCCTTGGTGCCAGCAAAGAAACAGAGGCACTGTCCTCAGATCCCCTACCCCTCCCTCGTAAGCCTCACTCCTTAGGTCAGAAAACCTGTGGTTGCTGTAGGATTAAAGGCAGTGGTGCCCATCATGCCAAGCCAGGGCCTAGCACCTGCAGAGCACCCCACACACGGCGACAGGAGCGATGGCAATGAGGAGGAGGACGCCGTTTACTTTTCCAGTGTGCTTCTCTGCTTTGGTGCCCTGCCCCACCCCGCCAAGCCCGGGGTCTCAACACCAGGTTCTTAGGAATACACAGGAAGGCACTCAATCCAGGGCCCTCCTACTGAGACGTCCCCTGCCCAACACCACCATCCCACAACCCAGACTCTTCCTCATCACTCTCTTCACTTACGGCTCAGCCTGGGACTGGCCCATTCCTGGCCAGGGGACTGTGGGTGATAAGAATCTGCTCCTAAGAAACCTAAGGAACCAGCACGCACCTGACCAGGGTAGAGCATGGCTCAGACCTGACTCAAGCCTGAGCTGCCTTTAGGTCTGGTTCTGCCATTGACTAACTCTGCAACCTTGGGAGGCAACTTGGTCACACTGAGTTTAGTCTCTCCGCCTGCAGAATAGGGATATTACACCTACCCTACCCCTCATTGTACTAAGCCTAGCACTGCCTCTTCCCCTCCAAGGTGACACATCACCCTAGCCCAGAAAAAATCTTTCTTCAGAGTCCCAAGATGAGCAGACATTTGGGGCTGGCAGGCAAATACACCTTTTATCAAAATCCCTAAAATTGACTCCTAGAATCAGTCCTCTGCCTCCTACCCCTTCAAAGTTTCCACCCCCAACCCCAGCTTGTCCTCACTTCCACTCCAGAGCACATCATTTTTTCAAATGAAAAGTACTTTACGATCCATCCTCCTTCGCTTCCAGATCCCAGGGAGCATTGTACAACCAAATCCATTTAAATAAAGATCCTGTTATACCATTCACTGTGTCTTCATAATGACCAAAAGGGACCAGAGGTTAACATGAAATTTTATTTATTTATTTATTTATTTTGAAATGGAGTCTCATCCTGTCGCCCAGGCTGGAGTGCAATGGTGTGATCTCAGCTCACTGCAATCTCCACCTCCAGGGTTCAAATGATTCTCCTGCCTCAGCCTCCCGAGTAGCTGGTATTACAGGTGCCCGCCACCACGCCCAGCTGATTTTTGTATTTTTAGTAGACACAGGGTTTCACCATGTTGGCCAGGATGGTCTCGAACTCCTGACCTCGTGATCCGCCCGCCTCAGCCTTCCAAAATGCTGGGATTACAGGCATGAGCCACCGCGCCCAGCCCAAGATGAAATTTTTCTAATTGAAAATCAACAGGACTTTTCAAACTTCATTTTAAAATTCCGTTTTGAAAACATAGCAAGCATTGCCTTTAAATCTACAACCTGTGTATCCAATTCAAATACCCCTCCCCCTTCAGTGGCAGCATCTCTCATGGGTGACCTAAGAATTATGGTGAGTCCCGACACACACCACAGATGATGTGGTCTCTACCATGAAGGATCCCCAGTGTTTATCCCAATGCCCTGTCCCCACGGATGCTTAGGAAAATTTCAAATAGGAGCATACACAGCCATCTCCTTGAATGCTGTTTTCCTTGACACCACCCCCTCCAACATACACACACAGAAATATACACATACTCTAGATATTCCAAGGTATCATGGTGTGAACGTGTCCCTCAAAGATCATGCGTCAGCAGCTTAATTCCCAATGCAATGTAATAAGTGGGCTTTTTCCTTATGGAGTTGGTTAGTGCTGGCAGAAGGGATTTGGGTTGAGAGTCAGCTATCCTCCAGCCCTGACACCATGAGATTTAATCCCCGCTCTCTGATCCTTGAGGAAATGAAGAGACACTGCCCACAGATATTGTGGAGACTGAGTTTGAGGAATTTCATCCTAAGAGACCACGCAATGCCAAGCCTCCCCAAGCTCTTGTGGAAGGTGGAGGAGGGGAGATTTGCAGACAGAAGCAAAGCAAAAGTGGAAGCATTTGGGGACATCCTTAGGTCAAGGCCAGTTGGGGTGGATGGGGTAAGGCAACCACAGTGAACTTATGAAGGGGGCTTTGGCCCGAGTTCACCGACTAGAAAATTGCAGAGCTGAGCGTGATGTGGCCTGAAGCCATGGTCGTGTGGCTTTGTTTAGTCAATTGAATTAGTGAACCACTAAAATGCCTTTTCTTTGATTTGTTAAAAAACAAAGGGTAGCAAATACATCACTATTGTTATGAGAGGCCGACTTAGGCATTTGGAAGAGCAGTGCAGTCACAGCCCATGGTGTCACATCAGTTGTGATGGGATTTCTTGATGGATGAGATGTGTCGTGTGACAGAGAAAATGCAAGCTCCAAAATGACTGGCCTGGCCGAGCATGGTGGCTCACGCCTGTAATCCCAGCATTTTGGGAGGCCGAGGCAGGTGGATCACCTGAGGTCAGGAGTTCGAGACTAGCCTGGCCAACATGGTGAAACCCCATCTCTACTAAAAATACAAAAATTAGCCGGGCTTTGTGGCAGGCGCCTGTAATCCCAGCTACTCAGGAGGCTGAGGGAGGAGAATTGCTTTAACGTGGGGGCAGAGGTTGCAGTGAGCCAAGTTCACACCACTGCACTCCAGCCTGGGTGACAGAGGGAACTCCATCTCAAAAAAAAAAAAAAAGAAAACAAAAAACAAAATGATTGGCCTGAGCAACCCAAAGCAGGTAGTTTTCCCAAAAAGAGATGAGAAGACTGCAGGTGGAGCAGATTGAGAGGAACAACCAGGAGCTCGGTTTTGATTGTGATGAGTCTGAGATGCGTAGTCAGCTTTTGCTGGCACCCACCAGGTTTATAAAGTGCCACGCGCCACACAGGAGGTGCTCAAGAAGTAATGGCTGCTATTTCCAGATTGTCATCATCAACACTACTGCTCCTGTGCCACCTTGAATCCTGAAGGGATTAGAGCTTTAGAAAGGACCAAACAGATTCCACAAACACATCCTCATCATTCGGGTGACTGGCTGTCCTCATGAATATGCATCGGAGAAGTGAGTGGGCCAGGGGATCCCCTTCCTCCCAGTGGATCTCATGCCCGGGCTGAGCTGCAGCTGACCACCTGCAAGTTTCCTGTGGAAGGAAGCTGACTCAGGCCAACGTCACCCTGCAGCTTTGAGCTTCAATTCAAGTCCCCAAGCAGAAGTGTCAGCAAGGACCCCTTTGCTATCTGTGAACTACAAACACATTCATGTTCTTGTTTGACCACAGCAAGAAAATCTAGGTCATATGGCTAGGCCCTCATCATTTGAAGATGAGGAAACTGAGACCAAATTATAAGAAGAGACTTACCCAATATCACATAGCCAGTTAGTGATGGATCTAAGATTAGATGTTGCTATGGTATGAATGCACCCCTCAAAGATCATGTGTCAGCAACTTAATTCCCAATGCAGCAGTGTTGGGAGGTGGGGCCTAATAAGAGGTGATTAGGTCATAAGAGTTCTGCCCTCATGAGTGGATTAATGTTGTTATCTCAGGAGTGGGTTAGTTATCACCAGAGTGGCTTTGGTATAAAAATGAGTTCAGCTCCATTTGCTCGCTCTGTTGCTCTCTTGCCCTTTCCCCTTCCGTCTTCCACCATGGGAGAAAGCATCAGGAAAGCCCTCACAAGATGCCAACACCTTAATATTGAACTCCCAGCTTCCAGAACTGTGAGAAATACATTCTTCTTCTTTATAAATTACCCAGTCTATGGTATTCTGGTATAGCAACACAAAATGGACTAAGACAGGTGTAAATTTTTTAATGCCCAAAGTACCATACCACACAGCTGTTTTCAACTGGGACTAAATGATTTGCCATAAATTGCAGTGTTTCTGGGTGAAATTTTGTTGTTGTTGTTGTTGTTGTTGTTGTTCTATGACAATGTTATAAGATCTCTGAGAGCAGGGAATTCAGTTCAGGTCAACATTTGCTGACTTTTGATTTTGTGCAAGATGCTTTCTTGGCCCCAGTGCCTCAGAAGCACAGATGGTGAGGTCTCTACCATGAAGAATCCCCAGTGTTTATCCCAATGCCATACCCCCACAGATGCATAGAAAGATTTCAAATAGGAACAGACCCAACCATCCCCTTGGATGCCATTTTCCTTGACACCACCCCCTCCAACATACACACACAGAAACATACACACATCCTAGATGTTCCAAGGCATAAGAATCACCTCCACAGGCCGGGCGCAGTGGCTCATGCCTGTAATCCCAGCATTTTGGGAGGCCAAGGCAGGTGGATCACAAGGTCAGGAGTTCAAGACCAGCCTGACTAACATGGTGAAACCCCGTCTCTACTAAAAATACAAAAGTTAGCTGCTGGGTGTGGTGGCACGTGCCTGTAATCCCAGCTACTCAGGAGGCTGAGACAGGAGAATCGCTTGAGCCTAGGAGGCAGAGGTTGCAGTGAGCCGAGGTGGTGCCATTGCACTCCAGCCTGGCCAACAGAGTGATACTCTGACCCCCATCTCAAAAAAAAAAAAAAAAAGCCAGGTGCAGTGCTCACGCCTGTAATCCTAGCACTTTGGGAGGCTGAGGTGGGCGGATCACGAGGTCAAGAGATTGAGCCCATCTTGGCCAACATGGTGAAACCCTGTCTCTACTAAAAATACAAAAATTAGCTGGGCGTGGTGGCATGTGACTGTAATCCCAGCTACTCAGGAGGCTGAGGCAGGAGAATCACTTGAACCCAGGAGGTGGAGGGGTGGAGGTTGCAGTGAACTGAGATCATGCCACTGCATCCCAGCCTGGCGACAGAGTGAGACTCCATCTAAAAAAAAAAAAAAAAAAAAAAAAAGAATCACCTCCACAGCATTTTTCTTATTTTTTGAATGAATGGATATGTTAATTGTATAAAAGATTAAGAGACAAAGATCATAAAGATTGTGTCAAGTTCCAGTTCCAGTAATAGAGCTGGTTCTCTCATTTGGAACTATTGTGAATATAGCTGCTATGGATATTATTGTATATGTCTTTTGGTGAACATGTACAATTATTTCCCCTGGATATGTACCAGAAATAGAATTACCAGGACATAGGACAGACATATGTTTAGCTTTAGCAGGTATTGCCAAACAATTTTCCAAAGTGGTTGAACGAATTTACACCCTTATCAACAAGGTATGTGAGATCCCATTGCTTCATATCTTTGCCAACACATGGTATTGACAGTTTCTAAAACTTAAGCCATTCTGGTGAAAGTGTAGTGTTAACTCATTGCGGTTTTGTCTTCCCCAGTACAACATGATGTATATGTTGTGTTGTCCAGCAACTGGCACAGACTAGGGTATACAGTGGGCACTGAGGGTTTGTTGGTTTTGATTGAGTGAGCTCACTTCCTGTGCAGCTCTTCATCAGCCTCCACCCTATCTCAATTTTGCAAAGAGACTATGGGACAGACTTTTGCAAAAGTCAAAATGGGAAATTGGTAGTGGGGAAGCAGGGATACATACCTATTCCCCACCTTAAGGCTTTGCCTTTGAAATAGGGACATTATGTCTACATCTGTATTCCAAGGGTGCTAGAACTGGGCATTCTAGACCCTTTATTTCGAGGGTCTAGAATTCTTCACAACACATCTGTCCAGTGAGATCGATGACTCAGGACTACCCCTATAATTTGGCTCCAAGAAGGAAAGTGGCTGTCGAAGGTCATTAAATCAAGATGGTAGCAAAAATAAGATGTGAACACAGGTCACCTGGCTGAATCTAAACCCATGGCTGATCCCCTACAACATGCAGTCCAAGGCAAGCTGCACTTTGATGCCTTCAAAAGACCATCAGCTCTGGACCCATCCTATTTTGGGGCAGTAGCTTGTTGCCAGGTGGCAGATATGTGGAAACCCTTTGCCTTGGGCCCTGGATGGGAAGGACTTCTTTTCATCCCTACCTAGATGTTAATCACTTTGCAAGCTGCCAGCCTGTTGCCAGCTGCATTCCTTGATGGCCCATGTTTTAATAAGGCATGAGCACTCCTGGCAGGCTGGAATACAATGTGTGGATTCACCAGACAGGATTACAGAAGGGGCTTTTCTTTGCTGCAACTAGGGTGGGGGTTTGTGTGCATTTCTGCTTCGACACAGCATCTCCAAGGAGGTTTTCACTTTCTGAGAAGGATGCTACCCACTGAGCTATTCAGAGTGGGTAAATGAGAAAATGGGTTAATAAAATACATGCTAGAGAAAAAGAAAATAAGATTAGAGGCCTGATGTTTGGGCTGAGACTGCTTTGCTGGGCCCCGGGAAAAATAGAACAACATGATCATTTTCTTTTTTTGGCCCAAAGGACGTCATGCCCAGAACACCACCACTAATCCAATTTTCCTGTTCTAACAAGTATTTTATCAACACCTTTTTAAAAGTTCAATTCTTCTACTGACTAGCCAGTAGCTCCACTTTATAGATATATTTTCAATTTCTTTGGCAGAACTTGACTACACAATGCTTATTTGTCCTGACACAGGGGGAGTTGGGTGTGTTCAATGTCATGTTTCTACCACAATCACAATTTTAGGGTTTCTCACTCTTAATGGCCCAAGAACCTATGAGTTTTTGTTTTAAAAAGATACACTGGGACCTGATTAAGAGTCACTCAGGTAATGTAGATGTGAAAAGTCAGCAGCCAGCACCGAATGCCAGTCCCTTTCCCAGGCTGATTAGAGTTGACCTTGTTTGGTGAACAGACAATAATAATTTTTCTCCTTAACCAAAGGAGGGGGAAGGGAAGACACAGGGAAGCTAAGAACTGAGAATTTCATCAGTTAAGACTCTCTCACAAACTTTCAAGCTGAAAAGGTTTTTGAAGAGTTTCAAGCATGTTTTTGCAAGACATTAAAAAAGAAGAAGAAAGGTTAAATATAAAAATTGAAGTTTGGCAGGCAGTATTCCCTGAACTCAATGCATTGCTTGTGGTATTTTGAAAAAAGAAAAGAATTTTGCTTTGAAAATGTCATACTCCAAAGAAGTTTTTGGAAGTGATTTCTAGGGGAGTTGACTCCTATTTAGTTGAATGGATGATTTGACTGTTCCTTTAAAGATATTTCATACTGTTCCAAACAGTCGCTCTTTTTTTGAACAACAGAAGACCTACCCTACACGATGTTCTAGTAAAACAGGGTAGGAGAGAAGACATTTCCATTTCAGTGGAGAAATACTAATTACAAAAATGCTAAGATGTTAAGGCTCATGCCTGATAATCTTCTCCAAAGATATGGAAACAAATGCCATTCAGCAGCTCCCAGGAAAGTCCCCAGATTTTAGGCAATCAATCAGGTGACTATCAGAAGCCCTGCAAAGGCGAGGAACGTCTGGGAAGAGCCACTGTGCCATCAACGTGGCTGTTTTAGGGAAAGAACTCTCCCTGTCTTTATTCTTCCACCTCAAATAGCCCAACTTCCTCCTTCCCTTCAGGAGGTGCTCAGAGAAGAGTGGATGTGCTGTCATGTACCTAACTTGTTTCACTTCGCGTCAGGGGACAGGCATGGCATCAAGGCCTTAGTGCTTTGGCAGTTCTAATAAGGAGCCTGCCAGAATGGATGGCACCAACAGTGATGAGGCGCTCAGGAGGGAGGGAGCAGGCTTTTGATAGAGGAAAAAGACATCTGTGTGTGAAGAGAGATGATGTGGCAGAACATGATTATGACAGACAGTGAGAAAATTTATTACCACCCTTTAGTAACACTGTGTTTATCCAGAGTGATGGCGATTACCTGCTCTTTTCCACACAGAGCATGATGCTTAGAATGTTTTTGCTGAAAGAGACTTTGGAGATGATCTAGTCCAACCCCTCACTTTACTGAAGAAGCAACTAATTGACAGAGAATGTAAATGGCTTGGCCACGGCCACCTGGCTAGCCAGGGATCATCAGTACTGCTGAATTGCTCCAATGACTCTAACACGAGGTGAGCACGAGAACAAATGTGTCCCCTAGAGTACCCCTTTTGTGGTGCTCTAGTAGGGCTTCAGTCCTTAGCACAGTGCCCAGCACATAGTAGGTGTTCAGCAACTGTTCATGGAAACAAGTGAATAGACAACCTCATCAGATTATCTGCACAGCGCCTCTTCCCAAGAGCAAACACTAAGGCAAGGGCATGACACTCACGGGTTCCAGCAAAGATCACTACGAAGTGAATACTGTTTTCCCATTGACTTCTATTGCAAGACTGGAGATACTGTCTCCAGGTGGAGGAGAGGAGCCTCTGCAGTTGGTTAGTTCAGTCCATCAGACCATCCATCAAGTCCATGGTTCTGAACCGCTCTTGGAACATCCCATTTTTTAATGTGCCACCATTAGAAATTGTGCCCTAGTCAGTCATTTTACATGTTTGTGGTGGGTCATGAAGCTCAGACAAGATAGCCAGGGCAGATGGAGGCAGATTTATCTCAAGTGCTGGCCAAGCAGAGGCACTCCCTAGGATCAGATTCTTGTGGGAAGGATGTCTGTGGCATGTTGAATGTGCTTAATGGCCCAGGTGTGGCAGACTACCAGCAATTTGAGAACTTGGTAGCATTTGACTCTTCCTAAGTTGAAATGCCTCCTCCACATTTATCTCCTCTTCTACTGATTCTATGGGTTGAGGATCCTTAAACTCTGAACCTCCTCCTCTTCCTCCTCCTTTGCAACATCTAACAGACTGAGGTTGCATTTCCAAGCTCTATCAGTAGATGCCCCTGTTTAATACACACAGACTTCAACTTGTCCTTAAAGTTTGCCATCTGTTCGATAAAAGTAATGGGTCCGATTTTAACAATCCTGTAAGATTATGCTTTTTTTTTTTTGAGATGGAGTCTTGCCGTTGTTGCCCAGGCTGGAGTCCCATGGCATGATCTCAGCTCACTGCAACCTCCGCCTCCTGGGTTCAAACGATTCTCCTGCCTCAGCCTCCCAAGTAGCTGGGATTACAGGCGTGCACCACCACACCCGACTAATTTTGTATTTTTAGTAGAAACGGGGTTTCAACATGTTGGTCAGGCTGGTCTCGAGCTCCTGACCTCAGGTGATCCACCCGCCTCGACCTCCCAAAGTGCTGGGATTACAGCCAACACACCCGGCCAAGATTTATGCTTGTGTAAAGCAAAGACTACTGTAGTTCTCATCCCCTATCCTCTCCTGACCAACAGCAGTTCTCCAGTGATCTATAACAGCAACCACAACTGTGTATTAGTGTCCATCATACTCCCAGCAGTGTGCTAGAACTTGAGGCTACAGAGTGAGATGCAGTTCCTACTCTCAGAAAGCTTACAGTCTTGGAGCCTAAACAAAACCCATTCTTACCTATTTTTGTTCACACAGAAGAATTGTTGGAAAAATAAGGCCAGGCGCGGTGGCTCATGCCTATAATCCCAACACTTTGGGAGGCCGAGGCGGGTGGATCACCTGAGGTCAGGGGTTTGAGACCAGCCTGACCAACATGAAGAAACTCCGTCTCTACTAAAAATACAAAATTAGCCGGGCGTGGTGGCGCATGCCTGTAATCCCAGCTACGCGGGAGGCTGACGCGGGAGAATCGCTTGAACCTGGAGGCGGAGGTTGCGGTGAGCTGAGATGGCGCCATTGCACTCCAGCCTGGGCAACAACAGTGAAACTCTGTCTCAAAAAAAAGGCGGGGGGGGGAAAATAATGAGTATACTGAGTGCCTGATACAATGTGGCAAAGACAGTACACCACCTCTAATAAGTCCCCAATCCTATGATGCAGGAGTCCTCCTCTGTCTTACAGGCTAGGAAATTGAGGCATGGAGGGATTGGGTAACTTGTCCCAGGAAACCTATCCTCAGTCAGTATGTGGCAGAGTGAGGCATGGACTCGGGCTATACCCTATAGAGAAAACTCTGCAAAGCCCGGATTCCTGGGGCGGTAGGTGTGACTTACCCTGGGGACTGTGGGTCTTAAGTTCACTCTTGCCTTCTACGAGAGTGAAAAGCATTCTGGAGTGTCCCCTGCTCCCGCAGAATGACACCCCCACTCACGCACACTCACACACTCACATGCACCCCACCCCACCTCCAGTGTGAGACTGGACGGGAAGCATCCATCCCTGAGTGGGACCAAGGCCCTGTTTCTGCTTTGAGGCCGGGGACTTATTAAAAAGAATATCCCTGGCTTCGGGCCTTCTCCTGCTTCCAGCAAAACCACCTTTAATAGGAGCCTGTTTCTGACACCTACTCTCATCACAAACGAAGACTTCCTCTCTGCAAACAACATGAAAGGAAAGCCTTTTACTTGGTTCCTAAAGTAAGACTTCTCTCTGTAGCCTGCAGCTTCTTTTGGAGAAGGCTCTTCGTAAACTGGGGTTTAGCTTCACTTGGTAATTAACATCCGTTTTCTCTTGCTGCAGAAATGTTTGTCACATAAACAAACAGCCCCCGCCACCAACACTATGTAAAGGTGAAATATTGGCATATTCCAGTGGGTAATATGGAAAAATGATGCTGGGATCAAGCCAATCCCTGACCCCACTTACCCGAAAGCCTTCAACGTTGCCCAGCTAGACTCCTGGGGCCTCAGTGCCAGCCCAGAGCCCTCTTTCCCCATAGTCCTTTCTGCCCAGCAGAATTGCATATCCGAAGCCAAGATGAGACTGTCCCAAAACGGATCATCAAAAATATACTTCAGACCAGGCATGGTGGCTGTGCCTGTAATCCAGCACTTGGGGAGGCTGAGGTGGGTGGATCACTTGAGGTCAGGAGTTCAAGACCAGCCTGGCCAACGTGGTGAAACCCCGTCTCTACCAAAAATACAAAAATTAGCCCGGTGTGGTGTTGCATGCCTATAATCCTAGCTACTTGGGAGGCTGAGGCAGGAGAATCGCTTGAACCTAGGAGGTGGAGGTTGCAGTGAGCTGAGATTATGCCACTGCACTCCAGCCTGGGCGAAAAAGTGAGACTCTCTGTCCCAAAAAGAAATAAAAAATTTTAAAAATAAAAAATTATATATACTTCATGTCACGTCTTCCTTTTGTGAGGAAAGAAACTTTTAGAATAACCCAGGGCATTTAAAAACTCTTTACAAAATCCAGGCCCTCCATAATGGTTTTTTTCCCCTCCGCATAGAAAATAAGATGCTATAAGGATCCCCAAATATCTTACTTTCCAATTCTAATCTTACAATGCAAAGATTAGAAAACCACCATAAAATGGAAAATCCTAAAGTGAGGAGAGATTACAGTTATTCTTAATGTGGGCCAATTTAGGCTTACCATGTTTTTTGTTTGTTTGTTTGTTTGTTTGTTTGAGACAGGGTTTCACTCTGTCGCCCAGACTGGAGTGCAGTGGTGCGATCTCGGCTCGCTGTAACCTCCCTGTCCCAGGTTCAAGCGATTCTCATGCCTCAGCCTCCCGAGTAGCTGTGATTACAGGTGTGGGCCACTACTACCCGGCTAATTTTTTTGCTTTTTTTTTTTTTTTTTTTTAGTAGAGACGAGGTTTTCCCATGTTGGCCAGGGTGGTCTCGAACTCCTGACCTCAAATTATCCATCCTCCTCGGCCTCCCAAACTGCTGGGATTACAGGCATGAGACACTGTGCCTGGCCTTACCGTGCTTTTCAAATCTTTTATTTCTTCACAGTAGAAATGCTTGAGCAGTTGTAGTTTGGGCAGAAAAGCAAAGGAGTCCCTCCAATTCAAGTAGAAGTTCCTCCAGGGTCTGCATAAATTGTATTATAAAGCCCCTTTTAGGTATCTAGAATAATGACACTTGATCTGAAGAAGTTTGCTTTTTGTTGAGCTAACTTTAGCATTCGCTTTCATTAGGAGCAGATACATCATAGCATCCTGGACAGCCCAGCACATTTGGTTCACATATAAATACATGCATATCTGTCTAGGCACTGTGTCCAAGATCATCACAGCTGAGGACATCACCACCCTGACCGTTGCTCAAGCCATCCTAAACTTCTGTGACTTCTCATTGGCTGGGCCTGGATCATGTGACTCTGTCCACCAGCCCATCATCACTCAGGCTCTCATTCTAACTAACCCTCATCCCCCAAAGCAGGATGACCAGAGCCCCGTGGCTCATTTTGAGTGACATGTCCACATCTCTGACCCCTCTGGTTTCTTTAAATCCAAGAAATGGAAGAGTGACCTAAAAGAAATGAGGGCTGAGGCTTTAAAGGATTACTATCTCTGAGAAAAAGTTCAGTCCCTGGGAGAAAAGAGCCCTAGGCCTTTGGAGAAAGTATGAGAAACATTTTGATCTTTTCACATAAACCACTCTACTTTTCAAAACCTGCTGTCTTTTTTTTTTTTTTTTCCCAGAGTGCTAGCTGAGTGTGTGTGTAAATACGAGAGAGGAAATAAAAACCCAACACAGGAGCGTTTTGAAATAAAAACCCAACAGGCTCATTTCAAATTGAATCCCAAGCATACACATTAGGGTCTCCAAGCTGTTTGTCCTTCTTCCCGGCACTGGCAGGAGGGCCTGACTCAAGTTATTCCTATGAACATGAGAATGCTCAGCCATTGCTTCCTGTCTGAACAGACTCAGGGGGCTACCGGCTGCCTCCCTTAAACTCAGAGTCACATGAAGCCCAGACCCCAGAACCCAGGCCAAGGGGACCCGTGCTGGCTCCAACATCCAGCAGGCAGAGGGCAGGCCTGTTTGTCTGACCCCCTCCCAGGCTTTCTCACCAGGGCTTCCAACCCCCAGCCTTCATGACACATTGCAGGAGGAGATGCTGGCTTTGTGGTTGCAAACACTGTCAGGACCTAGCAGATGGAGAAGGGAGCTTTCCAGATGTTGCACACAATAAAAGGAGTTTTTATTTTATTATTTCTTTTTTTAATGAGGAGTAGGGGAGTTGTAACAAGGGCAAAATGTGAGCTTTCAAATCCTCAACTGGCGGTGTTTGTGTGTGCATGTGTGTGTCAGGCTGAGAGGTGCGGGCTGCGCGGTGGAGGGGCAGACGCGGCTCTGTCACATCTAAAACCAAGCTGGGGCAGCTCCTCGTTACTGGAGAAGGCTTCTTGCTCATTCCAGTGCGACTGGCTCTTCCCCCCTGTGTTTTCGTCTTCTCTGTGTAGACAAGCATTCCAAATGGGATTAAATGAAAAGGAGAAATGAAACACACATTGCCAACATTCGTTAGTGCACACACGCTCCGTTTTTTTGTTGTTGTTGTTTTGTTTTGTTTCCTTCTTTTCTCCTCTCTCTCTCTTTCCTTCTCTCTTTAAACAGGGAGAGGCCAGCACCAAGTATAATAATCCTGAAAGAGCTGCTGCCTCTGGGAACCCAGAAAGACTTTTGCGAAAAAAAAAAAAGAGTTGTGGTGTTTTTTCCTCCTGATGGTGAGGATTTAAGTGAAACTGACTTTGCTCTTTGGTGGGAGAAGCGGCATGGAAGTTTCCCCTTTTTCTGGCAGCGTCTTTGGGGGACGGATCTTTTTAATAAGCCATTTCCTGGCGCTTGAATAGTTGGTCCCCCTCCCCCTTTAACAGTGTCATGCACCATGTCAGACATCAAAGCCCTAATTAAACCCATTCTTTAATTGTGTCTTTTTGCTTCATTACTTTCCCTTCCCCTTTGATGAGGGCTGCACCTCTCTGATCGCCCCCAAATTATCGTTTTCTCTTTATTTTCTAGAAGATCTGAAAATTGCTCGCTGGGTCATTATCAGGTACCCCCACTTCCTTTTTTACTTCTTCAAGTTGGGGACACGGGGCCTTCTCGGCCCCCATCCCCCACCCCCCATCCCCCTTCCCCCCAACGGTTAAAGGGATATTCACACCTTTTCCCCTCCCGGGTCTTCTATTCTTATGAAGTTTCCATTGATTATTGTCCTGAAATTCCTTGGTCCAGTCATAGATAAAAGGATAATGACTTCAAAGGGAAGAGTTAAGAGTTTAACCCCAAGCGAAGAGAGTGGACAACTAGGTAATTGAGGGTAATAACCCATCACAGACTTGCTTTCAAAGGATCGCCCAGCTGAACTCTCAGGTGGCTTTAATTTTATTAACATTTGTAGCCGCTGACTTGAGAAGACGGTCTGGAGACATTACAAGCTTCAAAGCTCCAGGTAACACTCCGCCCGGCCGGGAACCTGACATCAATTTGGGCCTGAGCGCCCCCCTCATACGGATGGCAGTGACTGCTGCTAACCCCAAACTTCTCTGCCAAACCAGACCCCAGAAACTCTGGGGAGGCGAGATCAAAAGTCCCACTCAGCCACACCCCTCCACAACGGCAATCAAGAATTCAGATCAAACAAAGACACTTAAAGGCACAAGGTTTGGGGGCGGAGGGGAGGAAAGCCTTCCTTTCTTGGTGTCAGTGGACCTGGGTCTTCATGGGTGCGCCCAGGGCACCCATGAAGGCTTTGCAGGGCAGGCTGGGAATCCCCAGGGACCAGGGAGCCCTGTGGGTGGGAGGAGGGCTTGATCCCTCAGGGGCCTCCCCCGCTTCCCCCACCTCTCTCACTCTCCTTGCATCCTCTGAGACATCCCTGACACCCATCAGAGAGAAGCAGACCTGGTGACCGGGCCAACATCTTTATTTTATGAATGAGAAAATAACATTTCAAAAGCCAAGATGGCTTGCCTGGAGAGCACCCGTGAATTGGTAGTAGCAGAACCCCCACCAAAGGCAGAGCTGACTCCCACAGCTAGAGCTGGATGAGCAGACAGGACCTGGGGAAGAAAGGAAGACTGCATCCAACTAGAACATTGCCCCAGGGAGACCCAACACTTGTATGACACTGGCATCAGCCCTGGCTAGCATCTTTCCAAGGCCTCCTGGCGGCTTCTTGCCCTGCACACCTGTGCGTTGCCCTTCAGTAAATCCCAAAGCCAGAGGGGGCCTCCCCTGGGTCATCATGGCCCCTGGGGTGCCATCCCCTGATTTATTGGGCTGATTGCCCAGCTCAGGTCTCCATTCTAGGGGTTGGAGAGGTTGGAGGGGAGCTCAATAGACTTCCTGGCCACCAAAATTGGGAGGCCTTCCTGGCGCATGGCTTCAGGCTGTCCTTTCGGCTGTTAGAAGTTTAACAAAAAGCCTTTGAAATGGATAGATGCTTGACCAGCTGCCAGGGCAGCTATAGCCTCTCTGCAAACTCGGGGCAGGGCTCTCTGACCACATTCCTAGGCCCAACCAGTGGGAAGGCTGGGTGCTGGGGGAGGTTACTAGAATATCTTCACCACTGCCAACATGCCTCAGCCCCACCAACCCTCCTTTGGGCTTCTACAGAGAGCCATCTGAGTCCTCCAAGGACCAGGAAATGCACCCCAGACCCACCAGGGCAACACAGTGCTCCACACAGAGTGTGATTCTGTAAATGTTTCCTGAGTGCAGGTAGAGTGCAGAGGCCTCTGTCCAGCTCTCAGGAGACAATCACCAGCACACCTGAGAAGACTGTGGCCCATCCATCTGCAGCCCTCACTCCATTCCTTACAAAATATGGCTGTCACAGTGGCTCATACCTGTAACCCTAGCTCTGAGTAGGAGGATTGGTTGAGGCCAGGAATTCAAGACCAGCCTGGGCTGCGTGACAGAGTGAGACCTCGTCTCTGTAGGAAAAAAAAAACAATATATATATGTATGGCAGGGTGGGGGAGAGAGAGAGAGAGAAGGTCTCGCTCTGTCACCCAGGCTGAAGTACAGTGGTTTGATCATGGCTCACTGCAGCTTGAGGTGGGCTCAAGGATCCTCCCACCTCAGCCTCTCCAGGTGAGTTGGGACTACAGGTATGCACCACCACATCCAACTAATTTTTTTAAAAAATTTTGTAGACATAAGGTCTCACTCTGTTGCCCAGACTGGTCTCAAACTCCTGGGCTCAAGTGATCCACCTGCCTCAGCCTCCCAAAGTGCTGGGATTACAGGTGTGAGGGACCGTGTCAGGCTGAAATAATTTCTTCTTCTTCTTCTTCTTTTTTTTTTTTTGAGATGGAGCCTTGCTCTGTCGCCCAGGTTGAAGTGCAATGGCTTATTCTCACTCCACCGCAACCTCTGCCTCTCGGGTTCAAGTGATTCTCCTGCCTCAGCCTCTCGAGTAGTTGGGACTACAGGCATGTGCCACCACGCCCGGCTAATTTTTGTATTTTTAGTAGAGATGAGGCTTCACCATATTGACCAGGCTGGTCTCTGATTCCTGACCTCAAATGATCCAACCATCTCAGCCTCCCAAAGTGCTGGCATTACAGGCGTGAGCCACCATGCCCGGCCTCTGTCTCTATTCTTTAAAAAACCAAAAACACCAAAAGCTTCTCTGAAGCAGTATAAATGTACCCTAGGGAAAGAGACTGCAGCATCTCAAGACACAAGCCATACTTGGGCCTCAGGTGGAAGAATCAAAGGAGGGCAGGAGAGAGCTGGGGACCTCCTACTCCGTCTGCAACTGACTCTTGTACCGTGGTGTGGCTGCCCTGCAGCTGCCAGACCTTTGCAGAAAGGCTGTATTGGGAAGATGACTCTGGCCAGAGCCAGCAGCCGCCTTGATTTTATTACCTTTTAACACTCATGATCTAACTAGCTGACCAAATTTCACTTCCAACCTTTTATCCCCCTTTCTGGTTTTTTAAGCTCAGAAAGAAACACTGTGGCCGGGCGTGGTGGCTCACGCCTGTAATCCCAGCACTTTGGGAGGCCGAGGTGGGCGGATCACGAGGTCAAGAGATCAAGACCAGCCTGGCCAACATGGTGAAACCCCATCTCTACTAAAAATACAAAAATTAGCCAGGTGTGGTGGTGCACGCCTGTAATCCCAGCTACTCGGGAGGCTGAAGCCCGAGAATCGCTTGAACCCGGGAGGCGGAGGCTGCAGTGAGCTGAGATCGTGCCACTGTACTCCAGCCTGGGCAACTGAGCGAGACTCCATCTCAAAAAAAAAAAAAAAAAAAAGAAAGAAAGAAAGAAAAGAGAAACACTGTGGCCAACTGTGCCTGGATTATCAGAGATCATAGAGAGTGTTCCCTGAAGAAGGGCAGGTAATGTGTAGCGGTGTGTAACATAGACTCTCCTTGATCACAGATAGGCTATGCATTCATTTGATTTGTTCTTGGAAAATTCTGATGATTAGCTGGGCATGGTGGTGTGCACCTGTCATCCCAGCTTACTTGGGAGGTTTGAGGTGGGAGGATTACTTGAGCCCAGGAGTTCAAGGCTGCCAAGAGCCATGATCACACCACTGCACTCCAGCCTGGATGACACAGCGAGCCCCTGCCTCAAAATTAAGAATAAAAATAAATAAAATAAAATTATGGCGAATATTCAATGTAGCCTGATACAGGGAAATGATATGATTTGTTCCACAATCCAATCCAAAAACTTTGAAAATCATCTGCTAATTTAGATTTTTTTTTTTGAGACAAGGTCTTGCTTTGTTGCCAAGGCTGGAGTGCAGTAGTGCAATTTCGGCTCACTGCAACCTCCACCTCCCCGGTTCAAGCGATTCTCCTGCCTCAGCCTCCCAAGTAGCTGGGATCACAGGTGTATGCCACCACACACAGCTAATTTTTGTATTTTTACTAGAGACGGGGTTTCACCATGTTGGCCAGGCTGGTCTCAAACTCCTGACCTCAGGTGATCCACCCGCCTCAGCCTCCCAGTGCTGGTAACTCATGTCTATAATGAGCCGCTATGCCTGGCCACTAATGTAGATATTATACAAGGCAGCCTACATCCTCTTAGAGAAGAGAGAACTTGGTGGTAACTGAAAACATCTGTAGTATGGCCTGTCCTTGCCCCCAGAGAGGCTGCATGGACAGTGCCCTCTGCACTGTCTTCCCCAGAGCTCCTGTCAGCAAAGGGGTGCCTGAAGCCAGGGTCGCCAGTCCTTGGCTCTGGGACAAAACTGGTCCATGTGTGAAACTGGATGCTGGGAACGTATTGCCAACCTTTGATTTTTATGATGTTGTAAACCCAGATGTCTTAGCTCAGACATATGTGTAATGTATTGGAACAAGCCCAGACTTTGAAGTCAGACAGACTTGTGTTCAAGTCCAGACCCTGCCGTTCACTGACCAGCTTAGCTTGGGCAAGTCCCACAGGCTCTCAGATCCTCAGTATTCCCGGTGGTGTGTGGTGGGTCCCGCATGAAAGACACCTACCTGTGCTGGGCCCCTGCTTTGGGTGAAGTTCTGGAAATGCAAAGGTGAATGAATCTTTTCCTTGCCCTTAAAGAGCTCACACTGTAGAGCTGTGGGCACAGGTTCCCGTGCTGTGCAATGGGGTGGGGACTTTGAGGTAGACACTGGGGGTGGCCAGGAGAGCCTGGCCATCCTGGAGCATGGCACAGACTCCCCGTCCCCCTCACTCTCATCCCCACATCTGGGGCACCAGGGTTCCCACAGTGAGGTGGGGCATAAACCCTGCCTGGCAGAGAGGCCGACAGAGGTTATACAGGCGTTCCCTGACAGTTCAGATGTTACAGTCAGAGTCTCGTTGTTTTCTTGCAGTCTTGAGGCTCCAGACAAGTCAGCTTTGTAAATGGGCCTAGGGTACAGATTTGAATGTTTCAGAGGGAGATGCTCTGCTTTTGGGTCTATCAGTGACAGGACCCAGTGGGCTGTCAAGGGGAAGGGGGAAAGGGATGGTGTCCCAGCCATGTCATCCACAGTCCTGGTTTTCCAAGAGAAAGGTGACTTCCGTGCGTCATTATAACAGGGAAGAGGTTAACCTGGAAGCTCAATGGTTCTGGGACACTGTGGAAGGCTGGCCTGGCCCTGGAGGGTGGGGGGCAGGACAGGCAGTTGACATATGGGTGGCTGAGTGTGTCTGGCTGGATCAGGAGTGCGGGCGGCCAGCGAGCTGGCACCGGGCCTGGTTAAAGGCCTATCAGAGTCTCATTGACTGGCTGTCTTTGATCTCTGTTTATTCACAAGTCTGAAGAGGTAACGCCCGTGCTCAGTGATTAATTGCATTTTGGGTGGAGACCACATGCCTTAGTGATAGCTGCAGCCACAGGGACAGACCAAGGTTTCTGTCAGTATCCAGCCTTGAAGGTCAAAGTTCTCCCTATGCACCTTCTCATCACCTGCATGAAGCTTGCAAAGGCAGCCGCCAACCTGTAGGGGACATTCAGTAAATGTCACTTTTCTCCCTGCTGGCCCTTGTCTGACATTACTCAGCATTTCAGAAGTGGCATATACTATGGACTTACAACAAGCCTTGAACATTCTTGGAAAACTTGCCCAAGCTGGAATCCCATTTTTATCTTTATAACCATCTTAGAGATGAGTAGGGCAGGTAGAGTCGTTGTGATTGTGGAGATAAAGAGCACTGAGTAACCGATGGATGGGAACTTGGCCTTCCCCACATTAGTTAACCAGTCAGTGGCAGCCCTTGGATGGGCCCCGATTCTTGCAGCAAAGCCCTATTGTAGCCACTGATGTGGTTCTCGGTTAGCTGGTGAGGTCAGTATGGGGTCATTCCTTGCTTGCCAAATCCCTTGTCCACTCCCAGCTGGAAAAAATTTTTTCGAGTTATAAAGTCCCCATAATCCCGGAAAAGGAGCTGATGCGGCTGTCCTGTTTTGGGCTTTCCTCGACATTCTAGATTTGAACCATACTAAGTACTTCCCAAGCAGGAATTCCTGGCTGGCCCTGGCTAGTCATGAGATGCACTGGAAGTCCCTGGGCAGCCTCACATGGCACCAGATGCCCTCAGTGCTCTGCTCTCCAACCCCCTCTCTCCCCACCCCCACCCCACCCTGGAGACCAGCTTCTTCCTGCTTCACTCGCAGCGTTTCCTGCTGCCTCTCTGGTGGAAGCTTCTAGAATGTGTTTTGCTGGCAACTGGGAGAGCAGCAAGTGTCTGCATACCTTTAATCTCCTCCCAGCCCTTAACTAGTGGTGGACAGATGCTGGGGTATAAATCCTCCAGCTCCCTTGTCCCCAAGCCAGAACAGTGGTGAGCAGTGGGCTACGCTGTCTCCAGATTTCCCCATGGGTGGAACCAAAGTCCCCCCTCTGTGGACACTGCTCGGTGTCACAGCCTTGCTTGGCTTCCTTCCCTTCCATTCCCTCGCTCCCCTGCAGGATTTTCCTTACAGTTTTCCTAGTAATTCACATGCATTCCCCTCACAGAGTCAGTTTCTGGGGAGCCCTATCTAAGACAGTTGCTGAAATAAAATGTGAATATCTAAACAAATATGATCGCTTACATTCGTGTAATGGACTCCCATGGGGTCCCTGCTGCCTGAATCCTACCTCTCATTACATCCAGCCCCAACACGCCCACAACAGGGAGCTTTCTAAAACCCAGCTCAGGTTACGTAGCTCCTCCACTACCCAGTTTAAGACAATTTATCTGCGAAGTCAAGGCCATACTCCTAGCAGAGCCCTGGGTTTCTCCTTGATCTGGCCACAACAACTTCCACTCCAGACAGCCCCCTGTGGGTTACGTACTGTCCGGCTCCACAGGGAGCCATCCCCTCTCCCAAGGCTGCGTCGAGCTTCAGAGCCTGTGCTCATGCTGTTCCATCTTCCAGGTTTGCCCTTCTCAGTTTCCTTGAGCTGATTTTACCCCTTGTCATCTCCTGTAAAGTAGACTCAGTGCCCCCTTTTGCTCCCCTAGCACCCTGGGTACATCTCCACCTTGGTCGTTACCCTGTTTCTATGTTGATCTCTCACACAATGAGAGCTCCTGAAGAGCAAAAGTCCGGGTCTGACCATTGCTGACACTGCCCCCGAGTCTAAGCCAGTGCCCACCTGGCAGGCACCTGACATGTGGGTCAGAACAACCTGGTGATGCTCCCAGAGGAGCTCCATGAAACATGGTGCTATGGACCCAATCTGTCTCCCCAAAATTCCCATGTTGATGCCCTGACCCCCAATATTCAGAGATGGGGCCTTTGGGAGGTGATTAGGTTCAGATGAGGTCATGAGGATGGGGCCCTCATGGTGGGATTAGTGCCCCTATAAGAGGAGACACAAAGGCCAGGCACAGTGGCTCACGTCTGTAATCCCAGCACTTAGGGAGGCTGAGGCAGGCTGATCACCTGAGGTCAGGAGTTTGACACCAGCCTGGCCAACATGGTGAAACCCCATCTCTACTAAAAATACAATACAAAAATTAGCCGGGCGTGGTGGCGTGTGCCTGTAATCTCAGCTACTGGGGAGGCTGAGGCAGGGCAATCGCTGGAACCCAGGAGGCAGAGGCTACAGTGAGCTGAGATCGTGCCACTGCACTCCAGCCTGGGCAATAAGAGTGAGACTGCATCTAAAAAAAAAAAAAAAAAAAGAGATGCCAGAGAGCTTGCTCTCTCTCTGTCTCTCAGCCATAGCAGGACATAGCCAGAAGGCAGCCCTCTGCAAGCCAGAAAGAGAGCCCTCACCAGGAACCAAAGACGTCAGCATCTTCATCTTGGACTTCCAGCCTCCAGAACTGTGAGAAGTAAATATCTGTGATTTAACCACCCAGTGTATGGTGTTTTGCTATGGCAGCCCAAGCTGACTAATGCACATGGGTACAGTAAACCCAAATGTACATTTCTGGGCAAATACCAAAGATCCTGTTCTAGAATTCAGTGTCAAGACCTACCAAATATTTTTTAGGGTTGGTTTTTCTTAATTATGGGAGAAAGAATTGAGGCATTTCTGTCCATTAATTTTACCTGTATGTAATGACAATTACATCCATTGTTTTAGGCTATCTTGATCCAGGGTGGTCTAAAAATCACTGGGCTAAGCTGCTGACCCCTCAGCCTGACCTCCTGAGTCTCCAGAGAAAAGCTCTGGAATCCGGCTTTGTGTAGACCTCCCCCAGGACTCTGATGCAGAGAACAGGTGCAGCCCATGGTGCTGTCTAGCACCCCTGGACCTAAAAGCTCTAAGGCCAGGTCTGAAACTGAACTCATGAATGCTCTCACTCCAAGATCCCACTTGATCTGTTTGATCTATTTGATCCAGTGTGATCTGTTTGATATTTAAGTTTTATGAATTGTTTGCAAGTGACATACAATGTCAACAGTGAGTCAGGCACCCCCAAAGCCAAATAGGGTGGATTCATCAGAGATAAAAGCAACCAGCGAGACTGGCCTGCAAGAGTCATCCCGGCCACTCTCAAGGCATGTGAACGTTAGCCTCACCTTCCAAGGCCCAAAGTCCCTGCTCTTCCTGAGGTTCTCTTGGATCGGCCAGAGGGGCCCGTGTATGCGCTCTGCATTCTGCCTCGGGTTGGGGGGTTGGCTAAGAAGGGATCTCCTAGCTTCTGGGCCCTGAGCAGCAATCAGAGCCTCCTGGGGCCTGCGGGACTTCCTGGTGGCGCCACCAGCCCTTTTAGTGCCAGCACGTTGGCCTTGGCTTTGCTGGCTCTTCCAGCAGCCAGCACTGTCCCTGCCAGGAACTGTGATCCCACAGCCAAGGCTTTGTAGCCTCTTCATGGAGAGAGAGGCTGTGCAGCTTCCTCTTCAGCTGGGCCAGGGTCCCTTGGGGTTCCCTTTCTTCCAAGGCCACATCCCTTAAGAAACAAAGCAAGTCCTTCTCAGGTGCTCGTGATCCTTGCAGGGGGTGCCTCAAGGACCTTCCAGGCAGGTGGAGAGAGGCAGTGACCTAGTCTTGCAGGAAGTGTCCTCAGTCTTCATGCAGAAAGCCTTGGGGACCTGGGCAAGAGAAGAGTTAAGTTCTGGGCTGAGGCTTCAGTGTTCAATTTCTTTATTTCCTGTTGATGACATTATTGCCTTCCTACAACCATTGACACATGTTGCTTTCATCTGTTTCATTTCAAGACATGAGTACACTCGCTGGAAACTATGCTTAATAGCTAAACTCAAAACATTTGGATTTCCTTTCCTTCTGTGACTCTTTGCTGGTATGCTGCATTCTCTAGTTTTTTTGGGTGGTGGTGGCATGTGTGTTTTTTTCAGCCACCATTTCTAAGCAGCAAAAAGAGAAGTCACTGGCTCTCTGGCCACCTGCCTCAGGCCCATCTGCTGCATATGGGATATTTCCCTTCGCTGGAGGAGGCCTATGTTTGCCCCATGTTGTGGTGGTTGGAGAGCATCTCTTCGTCCTCTTCTTTTACCCAGCTCCTTCCCCTGCCTGTCAGGGAGAGGACCAGCCTTGTCAGGGAGAGGACCATACCTACAGGATGGGCAGATGGCTTCTTCCAGTTGCTGTGTGCCCTGGAGCCTGCACCTACCCTTCCCACCTTCCCCAGCAGTGCAGGGCTGCATGACTCATGGCTTGGACCTTCTGAACAGAGCCTCCGGAATAGAGAGGTGAGCTTGTCAGTCTGGACCCGAGGACTCAGGGGAACAAATAGGACTTGCTGCCTGGGCTGCCTGTGGAGGGGATCTGGGCAAAGCTCCCCTTGGCCAGACCTTGGATGGAAAGCGGCCATTGGAAGCAGGCCAGCCTCATCTGGTTGGAATAGGGTTTGACACGTGTTTCCAAGCCTGGTCGCAGAGCTGCAGCTGCCACTAGCCCTTCCCTGGGCCCGGACTGCGCTGCCCGTTGACAGTCTGCAAAGCAAGCAGTCAGTCTGCTATGGAAGGGTTTGCAAGGTGGATGCCCCCCTAGCCTGGGGTGACTGCCCAGCCCCCACCAGCCTCCTGGGAGGGACATATTCCCAGGAGGAAGCCAGAGGGGAGCGGGAGGGGAAGGCAGCCACAGTCTGACTCCCTAAGATGAAGAAAGTCACTTGCGGTATGCATGGACCTTTATGTCCATTTCTCCTTTTATCCTTCCCGTAACAGAACGGCTTATTCCCATTTTGCAACTGGGAAAAGTGAAGCCCAGGAAGGGTGAGAAATTTGCTCAAGCTAGGCCAGGTGTGGTAGCTCACACCTGTAATCCCAGCTGAGGATTACAGCTGGGAGGCTGAGGCAAGAGGATCACCTGAGGTCAGGAGTTCGAAACCATCCTGGCCAACCTGGTGAAACCCCATCTCTACTAAAAACACACAAAAATTAGCAAGTTGTGGTGTCAGACACCTGTAATCCCAGCTACTCAGGAGGCTGAGACAGGAGAATCATTTGAACCCGGGAGGCAGAGGTTGCAGTGAGCCAAGATCATGCCATTGCACTCCAGCCTGGGTGATAGAGCGAGACTCCGTCTCAAAAAAAAAAAAAAAAAAAAATCAGAAAAAAGAAATTTGCTCAAGCTCACAGAGTTGGGTTTGTTTTGTTTGAGACAGGGTCTCATACTGTCGCTCAGGCTGGAGTACAGTGGCGCTATCACAACTCACTACAGCCTTGACTTCCCAGGCTCAAGCGATCCTCCAGCCTCAGCCTCTCAAGTAGCTGGGACCACAGGTGCAAGCTTTCATGCCTGGCTAATTTTTAATTTTTTTTGTAGAGATGGGGCTATGTTGCCCAGGCTGGTCTCGAACTCTTGGGCTCAAGCAATCCTCCTGCCTCGGCCTCCCAAAGTGCTGGGATTACAGGTGAGCCACTGCCTTACACAGCTTTTAAATGCTGAAGTTGGGATATGGGCCCAGACTTGAGGTCACCAAAGCCAGTTTTCTTTGGGATGCATCAAACCTGTCTGCCTGGAGGGAGATGGTGGTGGGTGCACTAGGCTTGGTGGGTGCGCTAAGCTAGACTTTAAGAAGATGGCCGGGCTCGGTGGCTCACGCCTGTAATCCCAGCACTTTGGGAGGCTGAAGCAGGTGGATCACGAGGTCAGGAGTTCGAGACCAGCCTGGCCTACATAGTGAAACCCCATCTCTACTCAAAAATACAAAAAATTAGCCAGGTGTGGTGGCAGGCACCTGTAATCCCAGCTACTCGGGAGGCTGAAGCAGGAGAATCGCTTGAACCCAGGAGGTGGAGGTTGCAGTGAGCTGAGATTGCACCATTGCACTCTAGCCCAGGCGGCAGAGCGAGACTCCATCTCAAAAAAAAAACCAGAAGAGTCCATACTCCTCCCATTTTTCTCCTCGGTCCCTCTCTCCCACTTCATCCTGGGCCTCTTCTGTTCAGCAATCCACATTTCAGGCAAATAGGAAGAAAGTCCGCTAATAGACAGGTAAGCGTGGTTGTGTGCATTTTATCCAGGAGGAAGAACATTTGAGGCCATTCTGCTGTGCCTTTCAAGTCCGCAGATCTGGCCAAGAGCCTGAGATAGCAGGAAGTGTGAAGAACAGAAACTTCAAGGGAAGAAGTGTGTGAGGGGATGGAAATGCTAGAGGCTTATAGGGCCAGGAAAGTTATCACTCCTATCTGTCTGTACTCACTCACAAAAGTCCCCTCGCTCAGGAAATGGACTCCCGGTTCTATCAAACTCATTATATATTTTCTTCCACTTTCTTGTCCGGTATTTCCAGGCTGCTGGTGTCCTGGTTTGGGTGTGTCTGAGCATCTGTGTGTGTGTGAGCATATGCATGTGTGTGTGCACACGTGTGTGAGTGTCTGCGTGTGAGAGAGAGAAAGAGAGAGAGAGGCTGGGCGCAGTGGCTCACAGTTGTAATCCCAGCACTTTGGGAGGCCGAGGTGAGCAGATCACTTGAGGCCTGCAGTTCAAGACCAGCCTGGCCAAGATGGTGAAAACCCGTCTCTACTAAAAATATGAAAATTAGCTGGATGTGGTGGCGGGCGCCTGTAATCCCAGCTACTCTGGAGGCTGAGGCAAGAGAATTGCTTG
The DNA here is from genome assembly GCF_000001405.40 of Homo sapiens. NCBI lineage: Eukaryota > Metazoa > Chordata > Mammalia > Primates > Hominidae > Homo > Homo sapiens. The sequence continues at coordinate 65,581,846 of NC_000017.11, read as the reverse complement.
AACCCGGAAGGCAGAGGTTGCTGTAAGCCAACATCGTGCCACTGCACTCCAGCCTGGGCGACAGAGTGAAACAACATCAAAAAAAAAAAAAAAAAGAGAGAGAGAGACAGAGAGAGAGCTGAGAGTGTGTGAGGCAGTACAGAATGGGGATCCACCAAACGTTGTCTGAGGATGTGATCAGCACAAGATAGGCAATGCCAAGGTGCCTGTCAAAGGTGACGAGGCCCAGTTTCCCTGGCAGTTTGTTTCCAACAGGCCTGGCTGAGACTGTCTAATGGCAAAGCCCCAGATGGACATCCAGGGGTGCACAATGTCCCAACAGCCTAGAACTCTAGCTCTTCTATAGCCCTGGTTGAAAGACACAAGACCAGGCGAATTTATAGTATGTGACTGGGTATAAGAAGGCATTCCAAAATGGCAGGGTCACCTGACATGCTGTGGATTTCCCTTTTTGGTGGTTCTCTATTTTATTAAAAGTTATATAGGCTGTATGCGGTGGCTCACACCTGTAATCCCAATACTTTGGGAGGGTGAAGAGGGAGGATTGCTTGAGCCCAGGAGTTCAGGATCAGCATGGGCACTGTGGCCAGACTCCATCTCTACAAAAAAATTAAAAAAAAAAAAAAAAATTAGCCAGGGCCAGGCGTGGTGGCTCACACCTGTAATCCCAGCACTTTGGGAGGCCGAGGTGGGTGGATCACCTGAAGTCAAGAGTTCGAGACCAGCCTGGCCAATATGGCGAAACCCCGTCTCTACTAAAAATACAATTAGCCAGGCATGGTGGCAGATGCCTGTAATCCCAGCTGTTCGGGAGGATGAGGCTGGAGTATCCCTTGAACCCAGGAGGCGGAGGTTACAGTGAGCCGAGATCACCCCATTGCACTCCAGCCTGGGCGACAAGAGTGAAATTGTCTCAAAAAAAAATAAAAATAAAAATAAACAAATAAATAAATAAATTAGCCAGGTGTGGTGACACACACTGTAGTCTTAGCTACTCCAAAGGCTGAGGCAGGAGGATCACTTGAGGCCTGGAGTTCAAAGTCACAGTTAGCTGTGATAGCACCGGTGCACTCCAATCTGGGCCACAGAGTGAGAACCTGTCTCAAAAGCAATAATAATAATAATAGTATAGAGCCATAGAAATTTTGGAAGGTGTAAGATAACATTTTTCAGTTGCAAGGACCAGAGACCCTCTCAGTTGACCTGAAGGGAAAATGTGGGTGTGTTGCAAGAATAACGTTGCTTGTGGGGGAATTGGCCAAGGTGGCTGCTGTTGACTTCTCTGTCCCCAGGACTTGGCTTTCTCTGCTGGCCTCTGGCCCCTGCCCCCTCATAGCCTCAACAAGCCCCTCGCCCAAGGTGGCCATTCCTCTAGCAGTGTTCTGGTCCCCTCCACGGCTTCAATCCAGTGGAGCAAAATTTTTTCTTTGTTTCCCAGTTCACATTTCTGAGCTCAAGAAGAAAGCTGAACAAATAACTCAGCTCATCATTCTAGGCCAGATTACTCAAGTCACATGGTGTTGGCCTGCCTATAGCTGGCTACCCACAAGTGACATCCCAGTCAGCGGTGCCTGCGAAGGCGGAAGGGGGAAGTGGGTGGGGGTCACATGGTACAAAAAATAGCCAGCCAGGCCTGGCTTCAGGAAGGGGCTGGGGTGGCCAGCAACAGAAACATACTAATGCAAATACAAAAAGCAAGAAAAAAAACGTTCCACAATCCCATCCTCTGTACTGGTTGTTGTTGTTGCTGTTTTGTTTTGTTTTTTGTTTTTGAGATGGGAATCTCACTCTGCTACCCAGGCCAGAGTGCAGTGGCATGATCTCGGCTCACTGCAACCTCCACCTCCCAGGTTCAAGCAATTCTCCTGCCTCAGCCTCCCAAGTAGCTGGGACTACAGGGGCGTAACACTATACCCGGCTAATTTTTTATTTTTAGTAGAGACAGGTTTTCACCATGTTGGCCAGGCTGGTCTTGCACTCCTGACCTCAGGTGATCCACCTGCCTCGGTCTCCCAAAGTGCTGGGATTACAGACATGAACCACCGCGCCCGACCCTGGTGGTTTTTTTCGATGTATTTTACCTGGTTGAGTACATATTCTATCCAGTTTTGCACCTTGCTCTTCAGAGTTAATATTACATCATAAGCATTTCCAATATCATTACAACGCCATTACCATTTCAATGACTATATAATGTTCCCATGTGGGGCCATGGTTTTCTTAATCCCCTATAGGCATAAATGTTATTTCCTAATTCCTATGATTATACATGACCCCACATGCTTGGAATGGTTTCAGGAATCTACAGGATGACATCTTAGACTCCACTAACTCTAGGAGTGTTTAGGAAACCTGGCTCTTTCGCTTGAAGCGGAGGTATGATGGCTTTTTGGAAGAGGCCACAGGGATAGCGGGAATACATTGGTTGGTCCCAACCTCTTAGCATCTGCCTATATCCTTGCTGTTGTCCTTGAATGCTGTACCTGAGAGCTAGACTCAAGGCCCAGACCAGGATCTCTCCTCTCCCTGCCAGCCTCCAAGGAGGCCAACGACAACCCAGGCTGTGAAAAGGGAGGAAGAGTGAGTGGGTGCCTTCTGAAGTCTTTGCTCCGATGAGTCTGTCCACCTTGGAGGTGAGGCTGAGCTGCCTCCCAGGCTAAGATATGCAGTGAGGAAGAAGAATGGGGATAGGAGAGCTGCTAATATAAGAGTCTTGGAGGCAGAGGCTGATGTTCAAGCCCCTCCTTGGGTAGATGAGGACCTCTGGCAGTCCAGAGTGTCTGAGGTCACAGAAGGAGCTGGAGCCAGCACTGGAATGTAGGCCTCTGAGCCCAACCTGGACTCTCACCACTAACCCTCCTGGCTGTCCATTTAATTGATAAGAACATGTAGTCAACCGGAAAATTAATAAAAATGCCACTTTAGTTTGATGGCTCTGCTCTTAAAAACAGCAGCTCGGACTAGCTGCCTTCAGAGTTGGGGGCCTACGAACACTGATGCTTGTTACTCAGAGAAGGAAAAGCTAACACGGGACCAGGGGTTTAAGGAAACGCCTGTCTGCAAAAGAGGGTACAAGACAGGCAGACCTGTGCCCTGGGCCCAAGGCAGGTGAGTTCCTGGTGGTGGAGTCCACACTTCCATCCTGGAGGACATTTATGCAGCAGCTCCTTCCAGCCCTGGCCACTACCACTGTCCTAGCAGGGTGTCTAAGGGGATGGAAATGCTAGAGGACTGTAGGGCCAGGAAAGTTATCACTCCTATCTGTTCGTGCTCGCTCAGAAAATGAGCTTACAATTCTATACAACTCCATATATATATATATATATATATATATATATATATATATATATATATATGTATTTTTTTGTTGTTGTGATTTTTCTTTGTTTGTTTGTTTTGAGACAGAGTCTCACTCACTCTGTTGCCCAGGCTGGAGTGCAATGGCATGATCTCGGCTCACTGCAACCTCTGCCTCCCGGGTTCAAACAATTCTCCTGCCTCAGCCTCCTGAGTAGCTGTGACTACAGACGTGTGCCCCCAGGCCCTGCTCATTTTTGTATTTTTAGTAGAGACAGAGTTTCGCCCTGTTGGCCAGGCTGGTCTTGAACTCCTGACCTGAAGTGATCCGCCCCCCTTAGTCTCCTGAAGTGTTGGGATTACGGGCGTGAGCCACCATGCCTGGCCTCATTATATATTTTCTTCCACTTTCTTGTCTGGTATTTCCAGGCTGCTGGTGTCCTAGTTTAGGCGTGTTTTGGGTGTGAAAGTGATGGGATTACAGGCATGAGCCACCATGCCTGGCCTCATTATATATTTTCTTCCATTTTCTTGTCTGGCATTTCCAGGCTGCTGGTGTCCTGGTTTGGGTGTGTTTTGGGTGTGTGTTTTGCTTGTCTAAGCAAGTAGAGACTGACATCTTCCAAGACAATGGCCCATCTTGAATTCCCTGCCTTACTGGAAGAACCCACCTCTCAGGGAGCTGTGTGACCCTCAACAGCTCCCTTACCCTTTCTGAGCACTGTCCATCTTGTAGAAAGGATGGGAAGAACTTAAAGACCCACCCGGGGCTTTGTCCTATCCCACTGCACTGTGTTTACATCAGAGCCACCGCTTCTTACTATCATGTGACCTTTGTCAAGCGTCTCAACCCCTCTAGACAGGGCCAGCTTCATGGACATGAGATCCGTGCAGTCACACAGGGCCCCGCGCTCAGAAGGCCGCCCACTAGCTTTAACCTTCTGTGGTTGCCATCTTGAAATTCCTAACAAATTGTGCAAAAGGGGGCCGACATTTGCATTTTGCACTGTACCCTGCACATGATGTAGCAGATCCTGCCTCTAACCTGGGTCTCCTGAAAAATAGGTTGGTAATGGGGGGCCGTCTCACTCTCAGTTGGGTGGGAGAGCGAATGAGGTGATCCCTTCACAGGGGCCTGGCGTGCAGGAAGTGGCCTTCGCCCGAGCCACCCTTTTGGTGTTATTCCACGGCCCCTTCTGTAGCTTGCCTCTTGGCCTTCGTCGGATGCCCCCTCCTGTCCTTTCCTGTCCCCTCTGACGGTTTCTCCTCCTTGATCTTCCCTTTGTGCACTCTGACCCAAGGATTCAAACATCCAGGGCACGTGAGCCCAGATTAGAGAATCACAGCAGGTCTCCTCCAAACCATTGAAGCCCTTATCAGAAAGGAAATTGCTAAGGACTCTGCCTCCAGTTTATGGCGGCTCCTCCCTCCGCCTTTACGGCCTTTTACTGCTCCTTGGCCCTGAGGGTTCAGACAGTGCCGCTCTTTTGTGAGGGAAGATGGCGCCAAGGAGCTGAGCTGTGTTGCTGGTCCACCTTCCCTTTGAGGGCCGGGCAGTGGATTCCCTGTGGCTGGTGCCAGGCCAGTCTGCAAGGGTCTACGGGAGCGCCTGACTTGGCCTAGCAGCCATTCTTACAGGACAGCCTGATTACTCCGGCCAGGTATCCAAGGTGGTCTTTTTGGATTAGAGCACTTCCGAAGAAGATACTAACACCAACCACAACGCCAGCAAAACGTTCTGATCCCTCTGTGCCAGCAACTGTGGTGGGCACCTTGCATATATTGTTTTTGTTTTTTCTTTTTGAGGCGGAGTTTCACTCTTGTTGCCCAACCTGGAGTGCAATGGCGCGATCTCCGCTCACTGCAACCCCCACCTCCCAGGTTCAAACAGTTCTCCTGCCTCAGCCTCCCAAATAGCAGGGATTACAGGTGCCCACCACCATACCCGGCCAATTTTTGTATTTTTAGTAGAGATGGGGTTCACCATGTTAGCCAGGCTGGTCTTGAACTCCTGACCTCAGGTGATCCACCTGCCTCAGCTTCTCAAAGTGCTGGGATTACAGGCGTGAGCCACCATGCCCGGCTTGCATATATTATCTTGATACCCACAATATCCTGGACCTGTTAGGTGGGAAACATATGAAAAAGGATAGCCCGGCTGGGCGCAGTGGCTCATGCCTGTAATCCCAGCACTTTGGGAGACTGAGGTGGGCGGATCACCTGAGGTCGCGATTTTGAGACCAGTCTGACCAACATGGAGAAACCCCATCTCTACTAAAAATACAAAATTAGCTGGGCGTGGTGGCGCATGCCTGTAATCCCAGCTACTGGGGAGGCTGAGGTAGGAGAATTGCTTGAACCCAGGAGGCGGAGGTTGCGGTAAGCCGAGATCACACCATTGCACTCCAGCCTGGGCAACAAGAGTGAAACTCCATCTAAAAAAAAAAAAAAAAGGATAGCTCACAGATGATTTCACCCAGCGGATGAAGGATACCCTCACAAAGTGGGTCTTTATCCTTAGCTCCATGTTATGGATGGTGATATTAAAGCTTAAAAAGGATGTACAACTTACTCAAGGTCTCAGCTAGTCAGTGTGGGGTCAGGATTTGAAATCTGATTTGTCTTTCTGACTCCAAAGTCCATAGTGTGGTGTTACTTCTTGTTCATTAATTTCCTCACTTGTCTCTTTCTTTTTCTTTTTCTTTTTTTTTTTTGAGACGGAGTATTGCTCTGTCACCCAGGCTGTAGTGCAGTGGCACGATCTCGGCTCACTGCAAGCTCTGCCTCCCAGGTTCATGCCATCCTCCTGCCTCAGTCTCCCCAGTAGCTGGGACTACAGGCACCCGCCACCACCCGGCTAATTTTTTTGTATTTTTAGTAAAGACAGAGTTTCACTGTGTTATCCAGGATGGTCTCGATCTCCTGACCTCGTGATCTGCCCGCCTCAGCCTCCCAAAGTGCTGGGATCACAGGTGTGAGCCACCGCGCCCAGCCCACTTGTTTCTTAATATTACATGGTGCTGGATACAAAACAAGTGGAAGGCTTGGCCCTGGCAACTTTCATGGCTTCATGTTGGTTGGGCTGTCTGGACAAGCACCTTTAGAAAACATCCAGCACCCTGTAATCCCAGCACTTTAGGAGGCCGAGGCAGGTGGATCACAAGGTCAGGAGATCGAGACCAGCCTGGCTAACACGGTGCAACCCTGTCTGTACTAAAAAATACAAAAAAATTAGCCAGCCGTGGTGGTGGGCACCTGTAGTCCCAGCTACTGGGGAGGCTGAGGCAGGAGAATGCTATGAACCCGGGAGGCGGAGCTTGCAGTGAGCCGAGATCGCACCACTGCACTCCAGCCTAGGCGACAGTGAGACTCCGTCTCAAAAAAAAAAAAAAAAGAAAGAAAGAAAAACCCAGCACCTCATATATGCAATACAAACAGCCTCGCCCGGGCTGCATGCAGACACGTGGTAGCAAATACTTCGAGAGAGGTTCACTGTGGCTTCCTACCTCTGTGCATCCCCTCCTTTGTCCCCTTTGGACCTGGTCTTGGGTGCCCCCTGGGGCCCATCTTACAGCTCTTGGGAGAAGGAACAAGAATTATAGAACAAGGCCGGGTGTGGTGGTTCATACCTATAATCCCAGCACTTTGGGAGGCTGAGGTAGGTGGATCACCTGAGGTCAGGAGTTCAAGACCAGCCTGGCCAACATGGTGAAACTCCATCTCTACTGAAAATACAAAAATTAGCCAGGCATGGTAGCACAGGCCTGTAATCCCAGCTACTCCGGAGGCTGAGGCAGGAGAATTGCTTGAATCCAGGAGGCAGAGATCACAGTGAGCTGAGATCGCGCCATTGCACTCCAGCCTGGGCAACAAGAGCGAAACTCCATCTCAAAAAAAAAAAAAAAAAAATTATAGAACACATCAATGCAGCGTTTGGCACCAGAGGAAGGCCTGGAGGGTAGTGGTGATGGGGGCACCTAGCAAAGCTGGGGGCTGTGATGCTGTACAGGGTTCAGGGCTCCTGAATTCAAAGAACACGTGACCATTTGCAAGTACCTAGAAGTCCCCACTGTCATCACAGCAAGACTTGAGCATGGGAGTGGGCACATTCTGATGGAGACTCACCAGGGGTCACCTGGCTGCAGCCGCTACCCCTAGCTGAAGACTTGCAATGAGCAGTGAAAAGATTAAATGTGCGCCAAGACCTTTACGGGCCTTGGGAAGCCATTTGTGCCAGAAAGCTGAGCACTTACATCTTTCAGAAACTAAATGTACTGGCTAGACTATTTCCATTCAAACCTCACCTTAAATCTGTCATATTTCATTCCCACTTTATAGGGAAGGGAGGGGCATCTTTAAGAGCCGAATAACTTGTAGGGCCTCCCCAGCCAGGGGAGCAGGGCCCTAGGCCAGGTTGCTCTCTTTGTTTTTTTTCTAAAGATGTCTAACCCTTACCAGGTATTCCCTGGGCATCAGGGGGGTTCTAACTGCTTTACTGCATCACTTCTTTTCTTTTCTTTTCTTTTCTTTTTTTTTTTTGAGACGGGGTCCCACTCTGTCGCCCAGACTGGAGTGCAGTAGCTCACTGCAACCTCCTCCTCCGTTCAAGCGATTTTCCTGCCTCAGCCTCCCGAGTAGCTGGGACTACAGGCACATGCCACCATTCCTGGCTAATTTTTGTATTTTTTGATAGAGTTGAGTTTTCACCATGTTGGCCAGGCTGGTCTTGAACTCTTGACCCCAAGTGATCTGCCCACCTCGGCCTCACAAAATGCTGGGATTACAGGTGTGAGTCACCACGCTCAGCTGCATCACTTCTTCGTCTAATCCTCCCAACAACCCACCAGACAGGCATTGCCATTCCTTCCATTATACACTTGGGGAAACCAAGGCACAGAGGAATGACAGACTCTCCATAGGAGGCGGGGCCGTCCATTTCCAGAGCCTCTGTGTTGAACCATTGAGCCACACTTCCCTGGCTTATCCAGACACTTTGGGATAAAGAAAACACCACTTTCCCGTGGCCCACAGTGCTCTGCCAAGCCGGCCTAGGCCAGTCTGCCCCACCTCACCTTTCTCCCTCCCTGCTCTCCCTGGTTCTCAGTTTTTATGAGTTTCTGGAAAAGGCAGAGCTTCCTCTTGCCTGGGGTCTTTGCAGTTCCTGTTCTCAGCTGCCCACAGCCTCCAACTCTCCTGTGCCCTGTGTCTGTCTCACCTTTCCTGCCGATCATGTGGCACAAAAAAATATCAAAACGGGGATTATCGGTGTCCTCTTCCCACCCTCCCCCAGACTGGGGGCTGCTGAGGGCAGAGACCCTGCTCTTGGGTTCCACTTTGGGGCCCCAGTGCCCGCTGCCTTGGGTGCCTGCTTTCCTCGTGCCACCGTGGCTCCCCAAGAAAAGGCCCAGCCCCATGTTCCCAGGCACAACTGCCTCCCTAGGCGTATGCAAGACCCTCCATTGTCTTGTAGAGTTTGAGGTTGATGCCTTTTCACAGGGAAATTCAGAGCAGGGCATCTCCTGGGGACAGCGAGAGAAAGGAAAGCAGGTGGCCTTTGTTGGGGAGAAAAGGTCAAAGTTCAAGGGATGGGAATGGAGTGGGGGAGGGTCAGGTCTGTTACAGATAAGCCAAGTTCGGCTGGAGCAGCTGCTGGACCTGCACAAAGTGGGTGGCTGCCTGAGCGAGCGGAAATGGGTGAAGTCCCGAGGCCACCCCATGGCGCCCCATACTCCCTTCCTGGGTGGCCCTGGTGCCTTTCTTGGTCTTGACCTCGGGAATCTGTTCTACAGCTGAGGGTGTCCCCAAGGGCATTCTCCGAGTATCCACTCTGCAGACAGCGACCCTACCTCCCCCTCCTTCCCTGGACAGGCCACGTCTGGCACCTGCCTTTCACACCTCTGTGCTCTTACAAATTGCTCTGGCTCTTCTCTGACCTTGGAGTAGAAGAGAAGGTGGGGATGGAGCCCCTTACTCACTGCACTCTGCTCTTTGTGACCGTATTTTTTGACCCCCAAGTCAGGCTGCCAGGTCTTGATCATTTTCTGCTTTGTGAACCAATGGATTCCTGTGAAAAGTTATACAAAGGTAGACAGATGAATGCATTTAACAAATTGAGCGTCTTGAAAACAAGGCAGTTTGCAAAAAGAAAGACTCGTTTCAGTGGGGGTGGTGCCTTGTCACCTAACCTGACTCCGCTTGACCCGTTGAAGCTGGTGGGATGTCTTGCTCCAGTCTTCCTTATCTGAAAAGCTGGGCTAGCTCAATACTTGTTTTTCACTGAATTTTTTCTTTTTTTCTTTCTTTCTTTTGTTTTCTTTATTTTTTTACTTTTCAGGGAGACAAGGTCTCGCTCTGTTTCCTAGGCTGGAGTGCAGTGGTGCGATCTCGGCTCACTGCAGCCTCAAACTCCTGGACTTAAGCGATCCTCCCACCTCAGCCCCCTGACCCGAATAGCTGGGATTACACATGTGCGCCACCACACCTGACTAATTTTTATTTTATTTTAAGTTCCAGGATACATGTGCAGGATGTGCAGGTTTGTTACATAAGTAAACGTGTGCCATGGTGGTTTGCTGCTCCTATCAACCAATCACCTAGGTATTAAGCCCACCATGCATTAGCTATTTATCCTGATGCTCTCTCTCCCCCTGCCCCCCTTAGCTAATTTTTGTATTTTTGTATTTTTATAGAGATGGGGTTTCACCATGTTGCCCAGGCTGGTCTTGAATTCCTGGGCTCAAGCGATCCACCCTGCCTCAGCTTCCCAAAGTGCTGAGATTACAGGCGTGCACCACTGCACCTGACCAATTTTTTTTCCCCCAACATCCCTTAGGTGTTTGGGTGATTCATTGAAGCTATCAAGATAGATTTTCTAGTTTCAATAATTATTGTATCTTTTTCTATACTCAAAAGTTATCAGCAAAAGTATTTACCAAAAGAGCATGATTACCAGGAGGTGAGTCTCAATCTACACTTTTTTTTTTTTTTTTTTTTTTTGAGATGGAGTCTCGCTCTGTCGCCCAGGCTGGAGTGCAGTGGCGAATTCTTGGCTCACTGCAACCTCCGTCTCCCAGGTTCAAGCGATTCTCCTGCCTCAGCCTCCCGATTAGCTGGGACTACAGGCACGTGCCACCATGCCCGGCTAATTTTTTGTATTTTTAGTAGAGACAAGGGTTTCACCGTGTTAGCCAGGATGGTCTCTATCTCCTGACCTGGTGATCTGCCGCCTCAGCCTCCCAAAGTGCTGGGATTACAGGCGTGAGCCACCGCGCCTGGCCAGTCTACACATTTTATTGTTTGTGATAGCAATGTTTTTGCTAAGAAAGCTATTAACATTCAACCATACTGATCTGTAGACCATTTCTCCTTGTTTGTTTAGAGAACATACTCCCAGGGCACACTGTCATTAAAAGGGTCATCAAATACCAAGATTTCTTCAAAGTCTTTCTGAGCCACACCATTCAGGAATCCTCTCCCCCAATCCCCGCCAATCCCCGCCCCCACCAATTCCCATCTAAATTCAATGACAAGGACTCCGAGGTCTGCTTTCTAAAAACCATCATCATGCATAGAATTAGCCCATGTCCCCGCTAATTTTGCTATCACATTTAAGTCACACGATCCTCTTATTAGCCCCTTTCTCCCAGGTTCCTAGTCGCTCCATAGGGAAGATGCATTTCCTCTCCTCTAATTCGAATGCAATAGCTTGCAAGGACTATTCACATTTACCTCCTAGACCAGTGAGTTCTTTCCATTTGGGAAGAAAAAGGTGGCGGCAAAGCAAATATTGCTTTTGAGTGTGACCAAATGTCTCTATCCTGTAACTCAGTAACATCTCAAAATAATTTGATATTTCTTTCTTAATCTATTAGAATTTTGATATATTTCAATAGAAATTTCCAGTAACCTTTGAAGAACTTCAAATATGTGATATTTATTTATTTATTCATTAGATGGAGTCTGGCTTTTCTCACCCAGGCTGGAGTGCGGTGGCACCATCTCGGCTCACTGCAACCTCTGCTTCCCGGGTTCAAGGGATTCTCCTGCCTCAGCCTGCCAAGTAGCTGGGATTACAGGCGCCTGCCACCATTCCCAGCTAATTATTTTGTATTTTTAGCACAGATGGGGTTTTGCCATGTTGGCCAGGCTGGTTTCGAACTTCTGACCTCAGGTGATCCACCTGCCTTGGCCTCTCAAAGTGCTGGGATTATAGGCGCGAGCCACTGGGCTTGGCCCAAATATGTGATAATTATTGCCAATAGCTTATGCTTGTCGTCATTGACCATCAACGTGCTGTCATTTCATAAAGTACAGAAAAGGGCCGGGTATGGTGCCTCACGCCTGTAATCCCAGCACTTTGGGAGGCTGAGGCTGGCCGATCACTCAAGGTCAGGAGTTTGAGACCAACCTGGCCAACACGGTGTAACCCCCGTGTCCACTAGAACTACAAAAATCAGCCAGGCATGGTGGTGCACACCTGTAGTCCCAGCTACTCGGGAGGCTGAGGCAGGAGATTCACCTTAACCTGGGTACAGAGGTTGCACTGAGCTGAGATCACGTCATTGCACTCCAGCCTGGGCAACAGAGCGAGACTCTGTCTCAGAAAAAGAAAACATAAAAAAAATAAAGTATAGAAAAGATTCACAACCTGTATGTCTTGCAACTGGGTTCTTACCATTAGCAATGTTAACTGACAGGGCGAAGTCTCATCAGCAGGTCAGTTTTCACCACTCCCCTCCCCAGAGGATACATCTTCATCTGTGGGTCCAGAATCTGGACATGGCTTAGCCGGGTGCCTCCTCCTTGAGGTTTCCATGAGGCTACCAGCAAGCCAGCAGCTGGACCTGCATCATGTCAAGGCTTGCCTAGGTGGCGTTCGGCTTCTGAGATCACTTGGTTGGTGGCAGGGCTTGTCCCTCGTCACACGGGTCCCTCAACAGGGATGCCTCAAGATTCTAGGGAAAGCACCTAAGGAAGGAATCGCAGCCTTTCGATAGCCTAATGTGGAGTGGATGTGCTGTCACATCAGCCATACTCTATTTATTAGGAGAGAGTCAAATGCTATCCATGCTCAAGGGGAGGGAAGTATGCAGGGTGTGGAACTAGGAAGCAGGGATCATTAGGGCCCAACTTAGAGGATGCCAACCACAGCTCCTCGTGACACAGCGACTACTGGCTTGACTCTGGCAGGGGGTTTCCAAGACCCTGTTCCAGACCCTAGGCTGGTATCAGTTCTGATTGGCCGGTACACAGGTTTCACCAGCTATTAAATATCGCCCAGGTCCCTCCTTCCCACAATCTAGTTCAAGGGATGCAAGTATCACAAAACACGGTCCCTGTCCTCAGAGAGTTCATGGTTGAGTGGGTGGGACAGAGAAGTAGATCAACCACAGTGTTTGCTAGAGGTGAGCCCCAGATGCCACAGAAGTAGGAGGATGGGCTCTAGCCCGGTCTCGGGGGATGAGGTGGGAGAGGACTGAAGAAGTGGCAGAGGGAGGGCAGTCGGCCAGGGAGGAAAAGGAGAGGCAATCCACCATGCATATGGTAGGGACAAGGGGGTGTCAGCAAGAAATACAGCTGGAGGGCCAGGCATGGTGGCTCACGCCTGTAATTCCTGTACTTTGGGAGGCCGAGGTGGGTGGATCACCTGAGGTCAGGAGATCAAGACCAGCCTAGCCAACATGGTGAATCCCCGTCTCTACTAAAAATATGAAAATTAGCCAGACGTGGTGGCATGCGCCTGTAGTCGCAGCTACTCTGGAGGCTGAGGCAGGAGAATCACTTCAACCTGGGAGGCGGAAGTTCCAGTGAGCCAAGATTGGGCCACTGCATTCCAGCCTGGGCAACAAGAGCGAGGCTCCTCCATCTCAAACAAACAAACAAAAAAAGATAGAAAAAGAAATAGAGCTGGAAAAGGGCCTGGGCTTGGGCCGGCTACCTGTGCACCACACATAGGGTTCTGGGCCTTATCCTGAAGGTTATGTGCAGCCGGGGAGGATCTGAAGCAGGAGAATGACATGGGTGGCTCTGCACTGCACAGCGTTTACCATTGCAGCACTGCGTGAGGGGGGTCAGGGGTTAGGGCTATAAACTGTAGGTGTGAAGCATCATTAGAACATTTGGCTGTCCCTGGCAAGGGCCCTGATAGCAGTTGTGGATTTGCAGAGCAGGAGGTGGTGGTGGGAGATTTTTTTAGAGGCAGAATCAACAGGGCTGGGTGAATGAATGGAGGCGTTTGAGGGAGAAGGCGGAGTCTAGATGTGGCCCAGGTTTCTTTTTTTTTTTTTTTGAGACAGAGTCTTGCTCTGTCCCCCAGGCTGGAGTGCAGTGACGCCATCTCGGCTCACTGCAACCTCCACCTCCCGAGTTCAAACTATTCTCCTGCTCACCCTTCCAAGTAGCTGGGATTACAGGCGCGTGCCACCACGCCCGGCTAACTTTTTGTATTTTTTTTAGTAGAGACGGGGTTTCACCATATTAGCCAGGATGGGCTCTATCTGACCTCGTGATCCACCCGCCTCGGCCTCCCAAAGTACTGGGATTACAGGCATGAGCCACTGTGCCCAGAGGTGAATAAGGCAACTTATTTCAAGCTCAGCTAAACTTTGCTTTCCAGAAGTTGTTTAAAATGAGCAAAATAAGATATCAGAAGGTGAGAAAAATGTCTACGGGGGGCGGTTTAGGAACACGCGTCGCAGGTTGGCGTGACGACTTTAGGGGGATTCCTTTCTATTTTCCAGTTCCTTTTCTAAAAATGACCTTTCGGGGCTGTTTTCTCCCCCAACCTCGCCCTTTGTTTTGGTGTCTCTCACTGTGGAGAAGATCACTTAAGAAAACAGAACCTCTGGTCCGGGGGCGGTGGCTCATGCCTGTAATGCCAGCATTTTGGGAGGCCAAGGCAGGCGGATCACAAGGTCAGGATGGGGGAATCACAGGGCCAACATGGGGAAACCCCATCTCTACTGAAAATACAAAAAAAAAAAAAAAATTAGCCGGGTGTGGTAGCGGGTGCCTGTAATCCCAGCTGCTTGGGAGGCTGAGAAAGGAGAATTGCTTGAACCCGGGAGGTGGAGGTTGCAGTGAATCGAGATCATGCCACTGCACTCTAGTCTGGGCGACACAGCGAGACTCCATCTCAAAAAACAAAAATAAATAAATACATACATACATACATAAAATAAAATAATAATAATAAAGAAAAAAGAAAGCAAAACCTCTTTCTGGATTTGTTTTAATATAGGTATATCGGTGCTCTCCTCTGGTTACAAGCTCAGGCCAACTCCTAAAAGCCAAACTTGAAGACCACGAAGGGTGAGATGCTGAAAAAAAATCAGCAGTTTGCAGCTCTATTTACAATCCATAATAAAAGCACTTGAAAGTCAGTCCAATTAGGAAGTTTTAAATTACTGTTTAACTGTGTTTTAAATTTCATATTAAAAAAAGATATTTTATCAACAAATAAATTCCCCCAACACTTCTGAAGATGGGATTTCTTTTCTTTTCTTTTGAGGCAGAGTCTCACTCTGTCGCCCAGGCTGGAGTGCAGTGGCACGATCTCGGCTCACTGCAACCTCTGCCTCCTGGGTTCAAATGATTCTCCTGCCTCAGCCTCCCGAGTAGCTGGGATTACAGGTGTCTGCCACCACACCAGGCTAATTTTTGTATTTTCAGTAGAGATGGGGTTTTGCCATGTTGGCCAGGCTGGTCTTGAACTCCTGACATCAGCTGATCCACCTACTTGGGCTCCCAAAGCGCTGGGATTACAGGTGTGAGTCACTGCACCTGGCCTTGAAGATGGGATTTCTTAGGGAAACCTTACTTTTCCCCTTGTGGCTTCAAAATCTCCACCTTGGCATTCCCAGTCCCTCCTCTGCAAAGGGGAGAGGAAGTAGGTCCATTCCTCCTTAGGTGGATCAACTCCACGGAGATGCCCATGTAAATGGCTGCCACTCTAAAAGACGTGGGTCAAACTGTCCCAGATCAGGCTGTGGGTAGCCCAGCTGGCAGAGCCAAGGCAACCTACCTACAGGTAGGGGCTGGATGAAGCGTGCCTTAGAGGGATTTCAGACAGAAGCCCTGTTGTGATTCTTTCAGGAAAGTATCCCAGATTGTATGTATTAGTCCTGTTGTAAAAGTCAAGACCTCCAGATGGTCTCACCCCCTCCATCTCAGCCAGCCCCTCCCTGGGTCTCCTCACTATGGTGTGGAGGAAAAAGAGGCTGGGCCAGGAGTCAGGACCCCTCAGAAGTTCCAGCTCATCTCTGATATGGGCAAAGTGATCCTGGGGAAATCTCACTTTCTCTTTGCTTAATTTGTCTGATTTCTTTCTTTCTTTCTTTCTTTTTTGGAGACAGAGTTTCGCTCTTGTTGCCCAGGCTGGAGTGCAATGGCGCAGTCTCCGCTCAATGCAACCTCTGCCTCTCGGGTTCAGGCGATTCTCCTGCCTCAGCCTCCCGAGTAGCTGGGATTACAGGCATGCATCACCATGCTCAGCTAATTTTTGTAATTTTAGTAGAGACAGGGTTTCACCATGTTGGACAGGCTGGTCTCGAACTCCTAACCTCAGGTGATCTGCCCACCTCAGCCTCCCAAAGTGCTGGCATTACAGGTGTGAGCCACCACACCCAGCCAATTTGTCTGGTTTCTTAAATGAAGGGTTGGACTAGATAACTCTTGAATGGCCCCTGGGCTTATTTCTTTCTGCATAGGACTATCCTTGAAAGATGGTAGCAGGGCACAGCCTCCTTTATCTCCTTTAGGCCCCCTATGGTCAGCCTCCTGGGGTCATTCTTCCCCAGATCGTCACTCCCAATGGACGGTATCTTTGCTTTGGAGATAGGGAGTTTCTTCCCAGAATAGGTAACAGGCTATTGAGGGAACAGACTTACTCTGTGAAAATAACCGCCATGTTCTATTGTGTGTCCAGCTCTGTGCCAGGCATTTATCGTATTGCTCAGGCTCACAACAGCCTTTGCAGGGGAGGTTTCCTCCAGTCTACAGGTGAACAAATGGAAACTCCGTGTGGTTAGGTAACCTCCAGTCTTAGGAAAGGTTACCTGTGTCTCTCTTCACCTTCCTCCCCAAACAAAGGTACATTGTCTAAGGCAGCACTTTTCCAAAGGAATAAAAGACAAAGTTACTGAATCTGAGAGAGCAGTGTCCTGGGTCTCAGCTCCTCTGAAGTCCCAGCTGGTGTGACTTCCCCTCCACAGTGGTTTTTGTGGGGCTGACTAAAGGTCAGAGATCTGGCCAGATGCCTCCCAGGGAGCCCTTAGTCCTTGTTTTCTGGGATTCTAGGATTTCAGCCCAGTATATAATTCCAGCAAAGAATCACTCTCTGCTTTATTAAACTTGTCTGCACTTAGGCAAAGTGGACTGTTTATCCTCCGTAGGGTTTTTCTTTAAAGGTGGAGCGGGGGGGCGAGTGAGCATGTGCAGAAATCCATCACCTTGCTTTCCAGTTTCCAGGCAACCGTGCAGGATTACAACAAGTCACATGATAGCGCTGCTGCCAGGGACAAGGGGAAAATGGAAAACGTGCTATCTTGAGAAACGGGCTGCTATAAGCACAGGACTTTGGATTCTCCTCTAGAAATATTATCAACAAGTAGTCAGAGACCCAGAGGCTAGAGAGAGGGCTTTCCAGTACTTGGCCCAGCCTCCTGCTGGGAGGGAAGTGTCCCACCAGATATAAAGCTGTAGGAAAGGGGACAGGCCAGGGGTGATGGTGGAGGGAGTCACTGCCCTAAAGTGACCCGAGCACCTGTTCTGGAAACCATGCTCTCAGAGGAGTTATTTTTTATTTATTTATTTTTTGAGACGGAGTTTGCTCTTGTTGCCCAGGCTGGAGTGCAATGGCACGATCTCGGCTCACCACAACCTCCGTCTCCTGGGTTCAAGCGATTCTCCTGCCTCCGCCTCTCAAGTAGCTGGGATTACAGGTATGCGCCACCATGCCTGACTAATTTTGTATTTTTAGTAGAGAAGGAGTTTCTCCATGTCGGTCAGGCTGGTCTCGAACTCCTAACCTCAGGTGATCCACCTGCCTTGGCCTCCCAAAGTGCTGGGATTACAGGCATGAGCCACTGCACCCCGGCCCTCAGAGCAGTTATTATTGACCGAGAAGATCCAAACCAAACCGGGCCTTGCTCCTGGGTCCCCAGTCCCAGTCCCAGTCCCCTCTTGCTACAGTCGCAGCCATGGGATAATGAGGTAGTCCTTTGGTTAAAGTTGAGCCTACAGTGATTAGGGCTGGTTGGGGGAGGCAGTGACGGGTCGGTGGGGACAACTGGGAGGAGAGGAAAACCACCCACAAAGACCAAGTTTCCACTTCCTTTTTGAAAACCTCTTTTTTCTGAACATTGTTTATTTTGATTTTAGATGTTTTGATTTTTCTCTCTCCCCCACCCCCCACATTGTGTGTGTGTGTGTGTGTGTGTGTGTGTGTGTGTGTGTGTGTGTGACTTTACTGTTGTTTATATGGTAGACACTTTTATGGCAATCCATACCCCTCTGTCTACATTTCTGTTCCAGTAATAACACCCTCTGTGGCCCAAAGACTCCCTGGAACCACAGTGACAGTTTTACTCTTGGCACTCCTGGGGTGGCCAAAGGTGGTGGCTGTGTTCTTGGCCCTGGGCCAGCTCAGAGCTGGTGGCTAAGAGGGTCCATGGGCCACTGACCCCCCAGAATACCAGCAGGCCGGGGCTTTTAGAGCCCACTGGTTTCCTCACACCAGCAGTTGTCCTAAGGCAAAGATGAGTCATCGGGCCACACTCTTTCCCTGGCCTTCCTGGCTGGCTTCAGGGCCACATTTCAGGGCTGGTACTGCTGTCTTTATGCCAACCTGGCTGCCTGGGGTCGAGAGCCTGGAGCTGCAGACCATGGGCACCGAAAGGCAGGTTTTGGGGAGGAGCGGCCACCTGTCATGGCACCCACGAGCCAGAGTCCAGAGTCTTAGACTAGAAAGTCTAAGAGCTTTCTAGTCCCTTGTCACAGTCCCTTAGGCTGAGGGCAGGTGGCGCACAGTCCTGCCACCTGCCCCTTTCCAGCAGATCATGGGTGGTGGATCTTCCTCCTCTTTTTTTCTTTTCTTTTTTTTTTTTGAGATGGAGTCTTGCTCTGTCGCCCAGGCTCACTGCAACCTTAACCTCCTGTGTTTAAATGATTCTCCTGCCTCAGCCTCCCGAGTAGCTGGGACTACAGGCGCCCCCCACCACGCCTGGCTAATATTTGTAGTTTTAGTAGGGACAGGGTTTCACTATGTTGGCCAGGCTGGTCTCGAATGCCTGACCTCAGGTGATCCGCCTGCCTTGGCCTCCCGAAGTGCTGGGATTACACGGGTGAGCCACCACACCCAGCCTCTTCCTTCTCTTTTTCTATGGATACCTAGATAGAGCCACAATTCTTGCATGTTTTAAAGTTCTGAAGGCCTAATGACAGGCCATCTCGCATTTAAAAGGGCTCGTCATCCATTAAGTTGGAGAGTAAGAGCCTTGCACAGCTCTGAGGCCAGGACTCTGCCTTTCACTTCTTGGATCTCTTTGGTTCACACCTTTATGTGTGTGTGTGTGTGTGTTTTTTTTTTTTTTTTTTGAGGGAGTCTCGCTTTGTCACCCAGCCTGGCGTGCAGTGGTGCCATCTTGGCTCACTGCAACCCCCCCACCCCCGTCTCCTAGGTTCAAGCGATTCTCCTGCCTCAGCCTCCCGAGTAGCTGGGACTACAGGCACGTGCCACCACACCCGGCTGATTTTTGTATTTTTAGTAGAGACGGGGTTTCGCCATATTAGGCAGGCTGGTCTCGAACTCCTGACCTCAGATGATCCTCCAGCATGGGCCTCCCAAAATGCTGGGATTACAGGCATGAGCCACCGTCCCCGGCCCTTTGTTTTTTAAAAGGAAGAAAAGTTAATTATTCGCTCATAACATAAGGAATCATTCTATAGCAGCAGCAGAATAAATACACAATGCTCTGGGTTTGTGACATATTTTCTCATTTTAACGGAGAAGAGAAGGTTGTGTGTGCCTTATAAACGTTTTTGGGCAAATGTGGGAGAAATTCAAAGGTGACAATGGGGTGAGGAGTTTTCGATACATTAAAACGGCATGCATGCCTTGTCGTTTGGAGTGGGAAAAAAGATATTCCTATCGGTTTAATATGTAACATATGGCAGAAGAGGGGACTTTGGAAGAGTAACGGGTATGCAGTTGTTTGGGAGAGATGGCCAATGTGTGCCGCTACGAGGGTCTTATGGCCAGCAGGTTAGGAAGCTGGACCTAGGTCTTCAGGGCACTGAGGTATGCCTCCTAACTGGTGTTAGCACTCAGGCCTATACTGGCGGATTCACACCCCACTTTCACACATGCACAAACGCAATTCATCCACCAACTGCAGTCCTATATTTACCCGAACTCAGATGCACGTGCACAAGCGCGCACAGGCATGCACACGCCTCCAGCGGCTGGGCCCGAGTCCGCCCTATGACAGCGGGCCAGCCAACCCCAGGGCCGGAACTCCCTTTATAAAGTCCTCCAAGCCCAAATTCCCAGGGAAACTTGAATAGAGGTAGAAAAGCGTTTGATGATAGAAAAAAAAAAATCTGCTTGCTTGCAGTTCTTGCGATGGCCATAATGCTACCAGAAACTGTTGCATTCCAGAGCCGGGGAGAGCGAGGGCAGGCAGGGGGAGGAGGCGGGAGCAAAGAGGCCGGAGAACTTAAAAGAAGAAATCAGAACTCGGGCTGAGAATGCCCTCGGGGCCGCGGGGGGCTGGCAGGGGGCGGAGGAGAGGCCGGGGAAGGGTTAACGCGGGAGCGGAGCGTGCGGCGGGGGCGGGCCGGGGCGGGGCGGGGCGGGCGCGGGGCGCTGTCCCTTTAAGGCGGGCGGCGCGGGCCGGCCGAGCGCGGCTGTGATTGGCGCGGCGGGATCACTGGCTCCGCGAGCCTGGCCCGGGGGAGTCGGCTGGAGCCGGCTGCGCTTTGATAAGGTCCTGGCAACTCAGTAACAGCCCGAGAGCCGGGAAATAAAAATAACCCCTCAGAGCGATGGATTTCGGGGCCGCCCGGCGGCCGAGGCGCCCGCCGAAGGCCCTGCTGTAAAAGGTGGGGGTGGAAGCTCGGCCCCAGCGGAGCCGCTTCAAAGAAAGCCCCCCTCTTACAGGGGGCGAGGTCGCGCCGAGCCGCGGCGTGGGCGCGGGGGGCGGGAGGGGGCCCGGCCAGGCGGAGGCCGGGCCTGGAGGGGGGCGCGGGCGGGGCGGCCCTGCGGAGCGGTGGCGGGGCTGCGGGGGGCGGCCCGGGGCGCGGCCGGCGCGTACCTCCCTTTCAGGACCGTGCGCTCGGCTCGCGCCTTTGAAGTGCACAGTTAAATCCACAGCGCAGTTTTTGTTGGAAGCGCCCGGAGGACATTTGGTGCGCCGAGTGACTGCTGGAAACAGGACCTGCGTTGAAAGCCGGGCCGGGCGGGGGCGGAGGCCCGCTCGGATCTTTTGCATAAAAGGGGCGGCGGGGCGCGCCGTTCCCCCTCCCCGGCCGGTGGCTTTCGCTCTGAACCCGGGATTGTTGTTTCCCGCACCCCCTCCCCCGCCGCACGACTCCCCATGTTCCCCGACGCCGCGGCCGGCCCGGGGGGGCCCGGGGCTGCCGCCGCGAGCCGAGCCGGGGGCCGGGGCCGGGCCCCTGCCAGGGGCGCCTGCGAGGTCTCGCCGCCGAGCGCGCGCGGGGATCAATGGTGAGTGCCGAGGCCGAGGCGGCCGGGCGGACCGCGCGCTTTGATGTGCGGGGCGGCCCTTTGAAGTTGGCAGGCCGGCTATTTCGGGGCGCGCTAGGGGCCGGCGCGGAGGGGAGCGGCGGACCCGGCGCCCAGCGTTCCGGGGGGCTTGGCCGGGCAGCCTTGCGCGCCCTGCGCCGGAGCCCCCTCCCCAGCGCGGTGACCGGGTTGGCGGGGGGCCCAGAGAGGAGACTTATCCGAGTGGCGGCAGTGGCGGGGGCGGAGAGGGGGCAGATACCCCCCGGGGGTCGCGTCGCTGTCGCGGTTATGGATGTGAGTCGGCGTGTGAGTGCGCGCGGGAGTGCCTTTGGGAGGTGGGATGAAAGGGTAGCGGCGCCCCCCGCTTGCCCTCCCCCGCCCCCCGCCTCTCCTCCGCCCCATCCTCTCCTCCTACTTCTCTTCCCCCTCCCCTTTTCCCCTCCCTGCCGCGGGTCCGCGCTAAGGGGCCCACAGCGCTGGCGGAGGCTCAGTCTGCGCGCAGGACCGGCCCAAGTCCGGGGCGCCCGTGTCCCTCGCGTCCCTCCTCCCGGCCCGGGCCCCTCGCCCGTGGCCGCCCCGGCCCCTTTTGCGGAGAGGCAGAGACTCCGCGCGTCGCCATTTCTGGACTAGGCTGCTGCTTTCTGTGCTTTTTCTGCGGGCGCCTCTGCAAACGGCGGCGCCGGGGACCGACCCCCCGCCCGGGCTCGGGGCGCTGCTGGCGTGTCCCGGGGTTCCGGCCTCGAGGTGTGCCCGCCAGGGCTCTGGAGGCGTTCAGTTGCATTTGGGCCGGGGGACCGGGCCGGAGGGGCTCGGAGGACATGAGAGCCTGGCTTCGGCGGCCTTCGTCTTCCAGGTAACGGGGCCGCTCCACCTCCCACCGCCCGGGTAGCGCGGTGCCAACGGCAGCCCCACTTCTCCGTGGGCCGCGCCGCCCAGCCCCGCGGCTCGAGGCTCTGGTCGGGTTCAGCGTGCACCCATCCCAGATCCGGGGTCCCTGGCTTCTCGCCCGGGGTTGCACCCCGTTCAGCCCCTACCCTTCTTAGTTTGATCTTTTCCGTGCTAGGGAAAGCAGCTTGTTTATTGGTTAGATAAGACTTTTTTCTTTGGAAAAAAGACAGGCTTGAAATCAGTAGAGTTTGGGATTCTTGGCACAGGCAGTAGTGGCGTGAGACGGCTGGTGATCCAGTTTTGTAGGTTTCGCGGATCCGGGAGGTGGGTTGGGGGCACGGGGGCGACGGTTCCGAGGCTTCTCAGCTCTCTCTCAAAGTTTGAAGATGAAAGTCTCCCCTGAGTGAGTTGGTTTCTGGTTTGGGGGGAGGTCAGGGAAGACAGAGGTGTTGACTGAGCTGGATTCTTGGTGGGGGTAGGGGGCGCGTAGCGAACACTCAAATCTGAGTTGGGGAGGGGGTGTTTGCGTGCTGAATCTGGGAGTCCGGGAGCCCAATCCGCCTATGCTGGGCGGGCTTCTCTTGGGCCAGGATCTTCTGAATTTTTAAGGAGTGGGAAGAGGGAGCGCAGAGGGAGGGGGTGGGTGGGGAGAATGGGAACCAGATGCCGGGGAAGGGCACGTTTGGAGCTCGAGTTATCTGTGCAGGGCCGAGTGGGGAAATATACCGAAATTGGTTTCACCTGCACACAGCCTAGCGGCTGGGAGTGCGCCTTTTTGGAGTTGATGGTATCGGGGGAGGGGAAGGGAGGGAAGGCGAGGCGCGGGCTGAGCTGCCCTGCGTGCGCCCTGGCCGAGTGGGTTTTTGGAAGGTTGTGTCTTACACCTCCAGTGTCCCCCTGCCGTCCCCAGCTCTTGCCTTCCTCTCACCTTCCCCGCCTCTTTCCCAACAGCTCCCTCCCACCCCCAACCCCGAAAAGTGTGCAGGGAGCTCAGATTTCGCTTTTGAAAAGCAGCGCCTGATACTTTAGATGAGCACCTCGCAGATAGCTGGGTTGCTTGATTTGAATTTGAGGAGTTGAAAAGCCTGTTTACTTTCTTGCTTTGATGTTGGGTAGATCTGGTTTTGATTAGATCAATACCCTTTTCTCTCTCCCCACCTCCCCCCTTCCTTTTCTTTCCAGAGAGGAGGTTCAGATGAGCCCCTGCTGACTTGAGAGAGACAGAGAGACCACGCCGATTGCTGAGAGGAACTGGAAGAAGAAAAATTCCCAGACTCAGTGGGAAGAGCTCCCTCACCATGAGTAGCGCTATGTTGGTGACTTGCCTCCCGGACCCCAGCAGCAGCTTCCGTGAGGATGCCCCGCGGCCCCCAGTGCCAGGGGAAGAAGGGGAGACCCCACCGTGTCAGCCAGGGGTGGGCAAGGGCCAGGTCACCAAACCCATGCCTGTCTCTTCCAACACCAGGCGGAACGAAGATGGGTTGGGGGAGCCGGAGGGGCGGGCATCTCCGGATTCCCCTCTGACCCGGTGGACCAAGTCCTTACACTCCTTATTGGGCGATCAAGACGGTGCTTACCTGTTCCGAACTTTCCTGGAGAGGGAGAAATGCGTGGATACCTTAGACTTCTGGTTTGCCTGCAATGGATTCAGGCAGATGAACCTGAAGGATACCAAAACTTTACGAGTAGCCAAAGCGATCTACAAAAGGTACATTGAGAACAACAGCATTGTCTCCAAGCAGCTGAAGCCTGCCACCAAGACCTACATAAGAGATGGCATCAAGAAGCAGCAGATTGATTCCATCATGTTTGACCAGGCGCAGACCGAGATCCAGTCGGTGATGGAGGAAAATGCCTACCAGATGTTTTTGACTTCTGATATATACCTCGAATATGTGAGGAGTGGGGGAGAAAACACAGCTTACATGAGTAATGGGGGACTCGGGAGCCTAAAGGTCGTGTGTGGCTATCTCCCCACCTTGAATGAAGAAGAGGAGTGGACTTGTGCCGACTTCAAGTGCAAACTTTCGCCAACCGTGGTTGGCTTGTCCAGCAAAACTCTGAGGGCCACGGCGAGTGTGAGGTCCACGGAAACTGTTGACAGTGGATACAGGTAAGACTTTGACGGGGGCGGGTGGGCTGATGCTGTGGACTTTGCAGATGTTTTAAGTATGGTGGATGGGTGGATGGGTGTGCTGCAGAGACTGACAGGTCTGTTGAGTTAGGACTGCTGGCCATGAACCCTTTTTGATCTTGCTTTTTGTTGTTGAAACAGGGGGAAAGCGATGCACATACAGTAAATACCTGCAGTCTTCCAGTGCTGACTTCAAACAGTGGCAAGCAGTATTCACTAATGTGGGTTACTTATTATCCCGGGCTAGTGTCTCAGAAGAGGTTGAGAGAGAGAGAGAGGACAGCAGCTTTTGATGCCTCTGAGTCACCAGATCCACTAAGCGCCGGTTTTGGAAGGGGTCACTTCACCACTAATCAGTAGAGGGTGGAATTAATGTGGCTAGGGAGGCAGCTGGGTTGTGGTGGAGGCACAGGAAATAATATGTGCACCCATTGAGGGGTAAGTGGGATTTTTTTTTGAACTTTTCTGTTAAGATAAGAGCCAGCAATTGGCTTAACTGAGCTTGTGGTTCCCTTTGTAGAATTAGATATTTACCCAGCAAGAAAGGCCTCTAACTAGGGAAGGTCCTGTGACTTTCCCAAATGAAGGACCCTTACCTTTAGAGCTTGCTGGCATATTAATCCAGGTTTTAAATGCTCATGAGTCCGAGGGTCAGACTTCAGTTGATTATTTTGTTAGTGCTGATGGAGAAGAGATCTTGGCCCGGGAGTACTGGGGCCCTGGAGTACTTTCTCTTTGAGGCTTCAAAGACAAATAGTTCTTTGCAGAATGGCCAAGTCTTAAGATTCTTGACCTTTGGAGGCAACTTCAGACCTCTTGTTAGAATGAGTTTTTCTGTTTTCTCCCCTCCTCCCGACTTCCAAATATCCGAAAAGAGAATGAGCCTCTTAATTCCGGGGTGTGGTTTTATGACAGGCAGGGGATGGGGCTGCACTTGACTGCTCTCTGAATGATTTATCTTGCTCTCTGTGTGAATTTCTCTGTGTGTTAGGGGCCCAGGATGCGGTCTGATAGCTGCCTCTGGATTTCCCTTTCTCTGTAGGATGTGGTCTCTAGTGCCCAGCAGCAGGAAGAGAGGTGGGCACCAGATGGTTGATCTTGAGCCTCTCAGGGTGGCCAGGTCTGAGCCTAGCGGGCCATGATTTTAGGGGCGGCAGAGAGAGTTGACTGTTGGCGAGGAGAGGAAGGGCTTGTTCTCCAACCACCAGGGG
The DNA here is from genome assembly GCF_000001405.40 of Homo sapiens. Lineage (NCBI taxonomy): Eukaryota > Metazoa > Chordata > Mammalia > Primates > Hominidae > Homo > Homo sapiens. The sequence continues at coordinate 65,556,573 of NC_000017.11, read as the reverse complement.
GCGCGCTTGTGGCTTGGGAACCAGTTTTACTCAGACATCTGGTCTACACCTAAGTGGAACCAGGTTGACTTTTGCAAGGAAACACAGGTTCCAGGGAGGTGTTTCAGTGTCTTTATGCTTGTGGAGTCAAGTTGTCTGGGAGGAAGATCCTGGGTCTGGCCTCTGCAGTAGGTCAGTCGCCGGGCACCTGCTACGCCTGCCCGCCCCATTATGAGACCATTTGGGTAAGCCTCTGGCGCTGGCCTCCTTGCCCTCTAGCCTGGCAGCCAGAGCTGAGACTACTTAAGAGCCGTGGTAAAGGCTGCTTCTCCAGGGGCCTCCTGACTGGGGCTTCTGTGTCTCCCACTGCCGGGACCAGAGTGTCACCTTCGTAAATAGCACAGTGTGTGGTTTTGGACGCCCTCCCCAGGCAGGGCTCTGCTGTGAACCCTCCCCTTTGTGGGTGGGCAGTTGCGACTCAGCCTGGGCTTGCCTCATCTGGGATATTACCAGGATGCAACTCATGAAGCTTTTGAGATCCAGAAGGCAGGGACAGAAGCTCCTGTTTTCCAGGGCTGCCTTCTTGGCTGTGAACCGTGGACATCACTGATAAAGAGGTGACAGCTTGTCATTGACCTGAGAGTTTCCATACGAGATTCACGTGTGCCTTCTCCCACTGTTGGGTTGAGATGAAGCATCTTAAAGGACTCTCTGAAGCTCATATGTCTTAACTGGGCATATTTAAAGAGAATTTAAGACATAGCCAGATGATCTCACATCATTTTAACGTGCAAGATATTCGAGTGTGTGCACAGTGTATGGAAAGGTCTGCTGACTCCTTATTCAAAGGCTTGCATTCCAGCCCGGTCCACCACTTACTGCTTGGGTGTTGAAGCCTTTCTGAATGGCATGTGCCCATCTGTAAAATGGGTGGGCACCATTCCTTCTGTCTGTGTCATAGGATTGTTATTAGGACCAAAATAATAAACATGAAAGCCTTTTGTAGAGAGAAACGTTTTGAACCGCCGCAAAGTGTTATAATTAGTATAATTAGTAATGATGATGTAAATAGGACAACCAGGTTGGGATGTCACTTTTAAAGGGTGACTCTTGGCTTAGCCCATTTTCCATTGTAAGGTTTTAGAGTGGCCCCCTGACCCCCATGCCTCAACTTTCTTATTGAACTGAAGTCTGTTTTTCCAGCTAGTTCTTGGAATGTAGAGATCCCATCTAAGGTTTAAGTTCCCCCCTTCCCTCTCCCGCACACTCACTCATTCTGCAGAGTACCTGGCATCTGGGATGGGCTTAATAAGTTAGTAAAATGAATGGAACAGAAACGTCAGTGCTGCTGAGGATGGTCTTTCTTCATCAGCTGCTGAGGAGCGGTCTTGGCAGCCGGATGCCTGGGGCACTGGCCAGGCTTGCAAGCCCTGTGTTTACCTCGGGCACTCAAAGGAGCCTCGTTTTTAACGACTTGTTTGTGTCCTTACTGATTTGGTGTCAGGTTTAATATAAATAGTTGGGGCGGAAGAGCAGGAATTATCCTCAGAGGGCAGGACTCTGGTCTGAGTGGTTGAGGGGGATGCCTGGGCTTTTGACAATGGCTATAAATAACCTAGAGCAAAAGCAACTTGTTGGTAGGAGCACGTGTAAAATCCCCGGCACACAGACACACACACGCACAGTGTCGAGGTGTGTGCGAAGGGGGGTTGTGGGATTGGGCACTGGGCCCAGCATTTATTTTGGGGAGGAGAATAAGGTGCTGGGTGCACAGAGCCCTCCCTGTGTCCTCGCCTTTCTGCACGGGCCCTTGTGTGTCCTGCCCAAGGTGGGGCTCATCTGCCTCCCATTGGGCCCTCTGCTCTGGCCTCCCTTAAAAGAAGTCGGGCCCAGCAGATGGCCCTCTGCTGGCTCCGAGTGCTGCTTCCAGTTCTCTGAAAGAACTCGCTGATGAGGCCCGTTTTTGTGCGGAGCCATTGGAATCAAGCTTGGCTTCAATTATCAAAGAAAATGATGCCATAGGAAAGATATGCTGGAAGCAGTAGTCCACAATTAGAGGATGGAAGCTCTGGTGAGGGCAGTTTGCTAAGATCCACTTGTAAAAGTTTGCCTGTTTTCAAAAGGTCCCGTTGCCCAGTGCTGTTGGAGTCCTGGCCCCTTGCCGAGTGTCCCTTGATCTTGCCTTAGAAAATGCTTGTTGAAGAGGGTATTGCCTTTTGGGCAGTGACCTTGTGAGTAAATTTTCAGAGGGCTCTTGGAAAGCCCTGAACGCACAGACTTAGAAGCATATACTTTTGAAGTTGCATTGTTTTGAGAAGGGAACGTGAGGAGGAGGAGGAGGAAGAGGAAGAGGAGGAGAAGGAGGAGGACCCCTATGGTCAGTTCTGTCAGGTCAGTTCTGTGCTCCCTGCCTGGAGGCTCCCCTCTGGTTTATGGGGAGGGGCAGGGCCACAGCATCTCATTAAGAGGAGATAAGAACAGGATAGGGGAAAACAGAAAGCAGCCGGCACCTCCTTTCCCTGAAGGTTCCGGGGGTCTCTGCCACCTGCAGGCTGAAAACCCTTTGCTTACTGAGGTTGCAAACCAGGTCTGTGGATGTGAGGCTGATGCAGAAGCTGCAGCATAGGCCTCTACTCTGTGTAGGAATTTAAAATCCTTGCAGCAACTGGAAGCACAACAGTCCTGAGGAAATAAAGCATCTGGGTACAATTACTGTAGCGTGGTTTGAGTTTCCTCCCCCCCCCCCCGCCTTTTTTTTTAAGTAATCACAAGAAAACAGCCCCACTCCGTTTTCTTAAAATTATGTGGCACTTTTGACAAAGGTCTGGGTTCTGAAATACCGAGTCTCTGCCTCTCCCCACAACCCTGCCTCCTTTCTCTGCCCTGTCTTGTTATGATTGTGGGAAAATCCAAGTACTTTATTGCAGTCAACTGAGTTAAGAGCAGTATATTCCATTTTTAATTACTGGTCACACAGTAGTCCTCTATGTTGGAAGTGAAGGGAGACAAGTTTATTTTGGGATCCATGTGTTAAACAACGAGTGCAAAGCCGTGTGAGCACACATAGGGTTTGAGTTAGGTGTCTTTTTTGCTGGGAGGAAGGAATTTTCTATTGAGTCATTTTCTCCCCACAGAGGTTGAAGTATAGCTCTTACAGTGGAGACATGGTTGATGTGTTAATACCACCAAGATAGCAGGACTGAAGGCATGGAAGAAAGAGTGTTTGAATGCTATTTAAGGCTGTTTTGGCTTTTTTGGTGTTGCACCATGCCTGTTAAACTAAAAAACTTTTCCAGTGACCCATCTAATGGTCTTAGGTCCTTTAAGGAGAGTCAGCAAGGTTTTCAGTCACTGCCACGTGCCACTCACTACTTTCAGCGTCGGAGATTCGTGTGAGGACAGGGCTGTCCCTCATGGAGCTTACAGTCTGGTTTCACAGGACAGGTGTTCAACATGGAAACACCAGTGTCCAGTCATTATAGATCATGATAAAGATGATGAAGGAAATTAGGGCAGTTGAGAAAATGGGAGCTCTCTGGTTTTTTGTTTTTGTTTTTGTTTTTTTTGAGATGGAGTTTCATTCTTGTTGCCTAGGCTGGAGTGCAATGGTGTGATCTCTGCTCACCACAACCTTTGCCTCCCGGGTTCAAGCGATTCTCCTGCCTCAGCCTCCCGAGTAGCTGGGATTACAAGCACGCGCCACCACGCCCGGCTAGTTTTGTATTTTTAGTAGAGACGGGGTTTCTCCATGTTGGTCAGGCTGGTCTTGAACTCCCGACCTCAGGTGATCCACCCATCTCGGCCTCCCAAAGTGCTGGGATTATAGGCGTGGGTCACCGTGCCTGGCTGGGGCTCTCTGTTTTTGTTGGCACTCGGTTTTTTCTTGGAATTTTCCTGTGATTTCCCCCAAATTACTGTGCCTTTGTTGGTTCATTTGGAGGACCTCAGAACTTGGTGCAGAGGCCATGATCCAACTGCCTGCTCTTCAGGTGGGTGCCCACCTCTGGAGGGGTTGTGACTCAGCCCAGCAGTGAGCACTGCAGCCAAGCCGGCAGCAGTGCCCAGCCTCTGACTTCTGGTCCCTACTGAGAGTTTACAGAATGTGGCCTCATCACTGGATTCCTAACAACAGGAAAAGGCCCCAAGGAAGTCATCGTGTGCATCCTGCTTCAAGGCAGTATCCACGCCTTACTTACGCACCCAGATGGCTGGGCACTTTGGCCTGTTTTAAAGACTTGGGTGATTTCACAGCCTGTCCCCACCTACTTTATGGATTTCCTCTGACCATTTAGAAGTATTTTTTTCTCTCTAACTTTTGAAGTCTATTTCCCCTTGTTCTTCCTTTAGTGGGGATGCTGAACAGAGAGTCCCCCTTCTCAACTACGAGGCCTTTTTCACTGAATCAACCTTCTCTTCTCCAGAAGAATGAACTGTTCTTTTTACTCTCACCACTCCTCTCTGCCCTTGGTGTTGGGGAATTCCGGATTGAGGACACATGGACCAGGAGGAAGGCCTGGAAGATCTTACCGTTCTCATTTAATTTTCACCAAAAAAATCCCAGGAGGTCGTGAGACTTCTTGCCCTCTACAGATATGAGAACAGGGTCAGAGTGTCCAAGTGACGGTCACAAGTCACTTGGTCAAAAGTGTTGAGGGGTTCATGTGCAGTGCTCCTGGTCTGCACCTTCTGGTCAGTTCTATGCCTACAGCATATTTCTAAGATCTGACTTGATGCAGTCGGACAGGATCCAGGGCACAGCTGTGGTCCGGCTCCTCTGGCCAAGTCTGACAAGGCCTTTGGCCCACATGGTGCTAAGTTACCTCCTTGGGTGGTTGTGATGATTACAGGGGTCCCTTCTGGCTTAAAAAGTTTATGGCCCTGTAACTTTTTGTGTGTGTTTGGTGACTCCAACAAGCGCAAACTCCTTAAAGGCAGAGACTGCCTCTCCTACCTTCTTTTCCATCCCACCATCCCCTGTTGAGACAGACCCTCACACCAAATTGTGGCGGTGGCTTCCCCCAGGGCTCCCTGCCTGTACCTACCCCTCCTTTCCATCCAGTCTGGTGACAGACCTTGGATCCTATGTGCTGATGGGAATGCTTTCTCCCTGCCGGTCCCCTGGCACCCCTGCTGTCCCCTGGCCTCCTGGCCCCTCCCCATCCAGTTAAGACAGGACTATGACCTTGCACTGAAGACCTACGTCCCTTGCCAGGCCTTCTTAGCCTGGCTAATTAGACCCCTCTCTCTCCCTAGTCTAGGGAGAGCTTTTCGCTACCTTTCCCTTTTTTCCCTTTACCTAGTCCTGGGTTGTCATCTCCTCAAATTCCTGCTCAACCATGAGTCCCATCTGCCATCTGTCCCAGGGAGTCCCGTTAGTCCCATTAGTCCCATCAGTCCCATCTGTCCCAGGGAGCCGTCCCCAACTGTCCCTCCTAGAAATGTTCTATCCGTCATCTGGGTTACCTGTACTAAGGCACTCCTTTCCTGCTTTTTATTCTGTGAGAACTTGGAAACATGTTGAGTCTAGTCTTTGTATTGGGAGGCAGTTTGATTGAGAGCCACGTGACTCAATCCATGCCCACCAGTTCCAGCTGTGTGATCTGGGCAGGCTGCTGGAATTCTGGACTCCAAGGGCCTCATCTGTAGAATGGGCACAGTCCAGTGCTCCTTCTCCCCTCCTCGTGAGCCTGTGATAACACTGAGCGTACCTCCCTCATGACACCCCCACAGTATGGTGACATGCCCCCACCAGGCCATGGGTGCTGGAAGACCAGAGTTCAGCATGTAGCAAGTGAGTAGGAGCTTGGTGAACATGTGCAGACAGCTGACTGTCACCTTTCTGGGTCCTTTTCATTTGCCAACCCCACGGCCATCTTTACAGACCAGCTGCTGTGGACTAATAGAATATATTCTCTTTTCTGAGCCTTTCTTTTCTCCCTCACTTGATTTCTTTGCTGCTGGCATAGACTTGGTGGGACCAGTGGAGGATGCCAGGGTCTTTGTAAATAGGCCTCCTGCGACTTCAGGCCTTAACGTGCAGCCTGCCGACCTATCTGCCCCTCCCCGCTACTTAAGCCCCTCACTGGTGACACAAGAGGAATGCGGCCCAGCAGGAGATGTGCACACTGGTTGTTCTGGAAGGAGATCAGGAGGGTGAAATTAGGAGCCAGAGGCCATTGAAACAAAAGGGCTGGAGATACCGGAGGAGGGGCCTGGGCCTTCCTTTGAAACAGCTGTGTTGCTCATTTCAATCCTGCTGCACTAGCCAGTCCTGGGGAGAGGAAGCTGGGGGTTGGGGGAAGGGGCATGGCAACGGCTCATGGCAGAGCTCACAGGTGGGATTGGAGTCCTGAACGTTGTCTTGAACTTTTCTGTCCCGTCTGTCCAGCTCACTGTGGGCCCAGGGTCAAAGTGAGAAGGCCACACTGGCCTCTAGCTGTTTGCATCTCTGGACTGGGCTAACAGACCCCAGACAAGGAGTTTAGGTACTTAAGATGTCTTGGGGCCCTGAAATTGTATTCTTTGGTGCAGGATTGGATAGGGAGGTGGAGCAGAGAAAGATATTTCATCTTCACTGACTCGTTCCCCTCTTCTATTCCATGGCCTCCTCTCCTAAAGCAGAGTCCAGTTCCTTCCTCTAAGTGCATTTAGAGCTTCACAGGATCCCCTGGGCTGCCTCTGGAATACTCTCTGCCCTGGCAGACCCACCACTGGGGGCAGAGGAACCAGCTTGCTTTCCCCAGGGTGAACCGGTGGCTCAGGAGGCCTCCCTTTTGTGGCCCCTGCTTTCTGCCCAGGTGAGCAACTGGACCTGGGCAGCAGGTTGGCGTTGAGCAGATTGTGGGATAGTGTGCTGGGTTGTCCTGGGGTCACCTGATTACCTGGGTTTCTGGTGAGGGTCAGTGACTGAACCACTTTTGTACTTTGCCCATAGGTCCTTCAAGAGGAGCGATCCTGTTAATCCTTATCACATAGGTTCTGGCTATGTCTTTGCACCAGCCACCAGCGCCAACGACAGTGAGATATCCAGTGATGCGCTGACGGATGATTCCATGTCCATGACGGACAGCAGTGTGTGAGTATCCTGGCCACCCTTCCGTGGGCTTGCTTGGGAGTGGATGCCACCTGAGCACTTAGCCAGAATCGTCTGTCATCCTCAGCTGGCTTTGCAGACCGCACCTGTGCATGTATGGACATCAGTTTGGTGGGAGGGGAGTATGACAAGGGTATGGTGCTGATTAAGGAGGATGACATGGTCATCTGGGTAGGGTAAAGCTTAGAGCTTTGAAAGTTGGGAGGATATTGTAACAGAAGAAAAACTAAAGGACAGTAGAAGATTAGGATGAATGAATATTTATAGATTCCTTGAGTTTAAAAAACCTTCTTCTGGTTGTCATCATCTGGTTGTCCCTGTGGGAACAGTTGCTTGGCTGGTCCAGAAACCCAGGTATCCTGTCTGCAGAACCAACAGCTGGGAGACAAGGTGGCATTAGAAGGGTCTGTGTTTAGGTATTCATTGTTTTTGGAGGAAAAGGCATTGCAAGTGGGGGTGAGAAAGCCAGAAATCTCTAAAGAGCCACAGTGTGTAATGTTCCGCATTGTTTTGTTTTTAAATGGACATCGTTTATTCAGTAAGTGTGGGTGGAGTGTTAGATACTCTGTGTTAGATACTGAGGACCCTAAGTAGGGGCTCTCTCCAAAGTAGTGTCTGATCTGGATCTTTGGCAGACAGCCTTTGATTTTTGAAAGTAACCCAAGACATTGGCGTGGTCCGATGAGGTCAGAAGGCCCTTAGTCAAGGTAACATTTTGAATTTTAGGTCATTTGAAGTCAAGTCATGGCAATCTCTGTGGATGGACAGCAGTGATCCTCAGTGAGTCTCATGAGGAGGGATGTGTAGCTGTGGCCTGGGTATCCCTGTCTCCGGCTGTCCTTTGAGGTTTTGGTTCAGGAGACCCAGAGTGGAGCCTGGGGATAGGGGATGGGTAAAATTCCCCAAAGGCTTCTCACCCAACACCCGGTTGAGATTCATTGTTCCAGAAATGGTCTTGAAAGCTTTTCAATGTTTTGGAGTCAGAATTTCGCCTGCTAAAGGAACAATTTTGAAAGGCAAACCCATTGAACCGTGTAAGTTCTGGCACACTTATTTAGAGTTTGTTCCTTTTAGCTTCCTAAAACTGGACCATCTATTATTCCAGTTTGTTTGAAACTATCTGGTTTTTACTGGCCAATGTCCTGTTGCCTGGCCTGTGGCATGGGACCAGTTGGAGGGAAAGTTGATGAGGTGAGTTTGGGAACCTACTATTTATTTTGCTGGTGGCTTTTATTGTGTTACCTCAAATTCCCTTGTTAGTACAGGGAGAGATATCCTCAAGGTGAAAGTTTGAATTTTAATAAAAATAGCATTTTGGCATTAGTACACGTCTTTCATCCAATATGGAAACAGGAAAGTACACATCTTTCATCCAATATGGAGATATGAGAAGTTTCACAGAAGTGAGTTTTCCATATTGACTGAAATTTCGGTATCCATACTTGAAAAAATTGTGCTTTGATAATTTTTTGGTGGACATATTTCTTAGAATACATTTTGCTCTGTCATTATTGCATAGTATTAGACAGGGCATAATTTATCTCTCAGTTATCCAAATAATATCAAGATCTGTTTGTGTACTTTGTTGTGGTATTTCTCTCATAGGCAATGAGGGTGCATAGGGTTATCTGACCCTTTCCCCTTTGAAAAGTTTCTCTTTTCTCTTTTCATTCTCCCTGCTGTTGTGTTTTGCTGTCTGTGTGCTTGCTTCTAGCAAGCATTCCTCCTGTAGCATATATTACTTTGTGGATTGTGTGGGAATCTTAGCATTATGTGTAAAATAAGAGTAAGTTGAAATTGATTGAAGGCATTGAGTGAATCTCCTAAGTCAAATGCAGTTTACGTCAGACGATAAGACTTCTGTTTAGTTTTCTTAGAGACTATTTTTGGCTTGCTTCCTGGTCCTTGGCTGCATGTCAGTCCCCATCATTGAGGTGTTATTCTGGGTTCATGATGAGATAACTTGGGTGTAGTCCCATACTTATTTCTGTTTGATCCTCCCAAGACCCAATCAGGAAGGCAGGCAGGCAGATACTTGGGACTTTACAGATGAGGAAATAAGGCCTGGTGCTTCCACAGCCATGCACCTCTGAGACAGACTTCAGGTCCAGGCCAGACACAGGCCCTGTACTTTGCCCGCTTTGCCCTTCCCCCAGGCATGAGCGTTCTCAACATGAGATCTGTGAATAGGACCGGTTGGTCATGAGACCTTTGAGCCACTTTGGGTTTCTTTTATTTATATTTCTTAGTAATCAAGACTGCTTTTTAGAAAGACTGGTTCTGGGAGGGGTAGAAGGGAGCAGGTTCTAAGTTCTCCCCTGCAGCCTCCCCATTTACTTCCTCTTCTTTTATCCCCTTCCCAGAAGAAAAACTTTCTTTTATTTAGAGGTGACTTTAAAGCTTTCACCCTTCCCCCTTTAGCTGAAGCACTTTGGATTCCAAGCATGGGGGAGCCACTTTTCAGGGATCAGAAAGGTTACCTTTGCCAGTCCCTATTCTAGGTGGCAAGGGTTAGTGTGTAGTTCAGTGAGGTCCACTTGGATACAGAGACAGAACAGGTCAAGTCCCTCATGTAGCGGCTTTCTCTTTGGGGCACAGTAGATACCTTTGGGTTCCTGGTGGCAGAACCTGTGAGTATTAATAAGCCTATCCTGTGGCAAAGCTGCCTTGGATGGATAGTGAATAAACCAGGAAGCCAGGAGGAAGTGCTGCAAGGCCTAGAGACCCGTGGGCTCATGGTGTTGGCTCTGTTCGTCCTGGTGGTGTTGAGTGGCTCTGTGCCCTCTCCCAATCAAGTGCGCAGGTTATCAGATTAACTGTCACAGTTGTGCCCACCTGGGCATTTATACTAATTAGGAGTGCATTTGGCATCCATGTGGGGTCACTGTCTCTTGGGCATTGTCTCATGCTGCCTCTAGTGGGGCTCACTAGAAAACATCAGAAGGGTCTCCAGACTTGTTGGCACTGACTCAAGCTGCCATTGGGTGCCAGGCATGGGGGTCTCTGGGGCCCTCCCCACTCTGCTGCAAGCAGACTTGGCGATGCAATGTGTTCTCTGGCCGACTGGCCCTGGGTGTGTGTGATCCTGCCCAGCACCGGGCGGTCACCCGGGATTCCCAGGGCTGGGATCAGACCTCCTCTTCAGAACTCTGCCAATTGTAGGCCTCGTGCAGATGAGAGCGCCGGGCGAGAAATAAAGTGTGTGGGGGATGAAAAGCTGAACTGAATCGCTTTCAGCCCATTGTTCATCCCGGGAAGCTTAGAGGGGATAAGAGGGTAGCAGGCCCCTTTGAAATTTCCTTGAACAAGTGAATAGGAGCGCCCCATAAAGCATGAAAAGAGCCCTGGCTGTTTCTCCCGTCACAATGGCCAGTGCGGGCTGTGAGGGGCTGGGGAGGGGGGCTGGCTGCCCTGCTGGGAGCTGGGGAGGGAACAGGGCTGGGGAGGGGGGGAGAGGGAGAGAGGGGGTCACAGGCAGCCTTCAATAGACTCCAGAAGGTTGGAGTTCATTAGACACAAACCCAGGAAAGCAATCGTCTCATTTGCGACAGAACCAATTAAGTCCTGGGGGCCTTTGCAAGAGGCCTGGGTAGAAGTTGGGGCAGTGCTGGCCTGCACTTGGTTGGTTATTCCAGGGAGCCACATGCCGGGGCCTGAGTGTGCAGAGCAGGCAGGGGCTTTAAAGAAATCATTGCCTTCTCCCAAAGCCTACTGCTGACTTCTGTTTTCCTGCTAAGTAAAAAGTCCTGTTAAAGATGGCTGGGCATTTGGGCCTCTGAGAAGGCTGTTTTATGAGCCTGTTACTCTGAAACCTGCATTCTCGGAAGAAATGGCTTAATTTTTTTTTGAGACAGAGTCTCACTCTGTTGCCAGGCTGGAGTGCAGTGGCGCGATCTTGGCTCACTGGAACCTCCGCCTCCTGGGTAGCTGGGACTACAGGCGTGCACCACCACGCCCAGCTAATTTTTCTATTTTTAGTTGAGACGGGGCTTCACCATGTTGGCCAGGATGGTCTCGATCTCTTGACTTCGTGACCCACCCACCTCGGCCTCCTAAAGTGGTGGGATTACAGGCGTGAGCCACCACAACCTGCCAAAAAAAATTTTTTTAACGTTAACTGCCAGACTCCCACCAAAATCCTTGCAGCACTGGAGGCAGAAGGCTTGTGGGCCATTCCAGGGCATCAGGCTTAGAAGGATGGAGTAAAGAGGGTGAAAATGTCAGAAGCAGCAGACTCTTTGCCGCCCAAGTGTAGCCATGGTTAGATGTTGCCAGGAATCATGAAAGCTAAGTCAGTGGTGTGGAGGCCTTTGTCTCTTCTTTCTGCTAGGAGTTGCTCTTGTAATCAGGATCAGCTACGTTTGTATGTTGCTTCAGCTCTGAGTGTCCCCAAATCAGCACAAGATGATTTTTTGGTGTTTCACACAGGGAATGTCGCGAGTTATTTATTTGTATTTCTTTATATCTTATTTATGGGGGTTTACTTTGGACACCAGGAAATGCATCTGAGTGAACTTCAAATACTAACCTTTTCCTACAAACCAGGCTTTTGATGTTGGCTGTGATCAGAGGCTGCCTTCAGAGTGGTTGCCAAATGAAGATGCGAGTGGACGCATGTGTGCATGAGTCTGCTATTTCAAAGTCGCCAGAAAATGACATTCAGGTTAGGTCGGGCACGGTGGAGTCAAAAGGCTAAGCTAATTGGCTCGGCTCAAATGGCAGCTAAGTGGAGTCCACACTTCAAAACCATGCTCCCCAGAAACAGCTGGGCCCGGCAGCAGGCTCGTTAACTAAAATGTTTATAATTAAAGGAGACCGTATAGGGACCACAACTCTGGTGCTCTCCAGCCCACAGGCTTGAGCAGCCAGGAAACTGATCACAGACTTTTAGAGCTTGAATAAAAGAAGAGAGGCCCCCTTTTGGAATGAGGGGCTGTTTTGGAAGAAGATTCTTGGCTGGAGGGAATTAAAGCCACATTTCCTTGAAGGTGCCTGTTAAGCCTTTCTGAGCCTCTACAGGCTGACATCTTCCTTTTCTGCTCTGGTTACAAGTTGCCTTTCCAGCAGTTTAGTCCTTCACCTGCCCTGGGTAATGGAGTGTGTGTGGTGGTGGTGGTGGGGGATGGGGGGCGGGGTATGAGGTGCTTATGAAATCATTTGTTCCTTTTGCCTTCAATATTGCAGTTATCTACTCCCCTCCCCATCCCTACCCCCATCCTGTTTTTTTTTTTTAACCTTATTATATGGAAGAAGAAAAAGAGGCATAAAAGCTCTACCACTGACTTTCATCTGGGAGAAGGAAGAGTGAAAGCTACCAGTGGAAATGTCAAGAGTCTTGGAGGGGGTGGACGGGGGACTCTTCTAGGACTCTTGAAGCCTTATGTCACTTGTGTCATGGTGGGGTCCATGGAGTGCTTGACTCCTGCCCCCAAGACTGTCAGGAACAGGGCTGAAGCAGAGTCATCCACTGTCTAAGTCCCTAGAAGAGAGATGGAGGATAGACATTGTCTTACAGCCCTAGGGCAGCAGAATTTGGTTAGACCAGCATGAGCCCAATCTGTGGGATACCGCCACCCCTACCATACAAGGTATCTTAGGTGAGAGATGGGGATATTCAGCATGGCTTGGGAACCACCTGGCGAGCCCCATAGCTAGTGAGTACTAGGTGGTTGGGGAGGACTTCCCAGAAAATTCCACAAATTTCCCCCTCATGCCTTATCAATGTCAGGTGACTGCGTGGGGCTTAGGAAATGGCATCTCCACATTAAGACCATCAGGAAGCTTGACTGCTGATTGGGGCTGGGAAGGGCATCTTATTGAAATGACCAAGTGTAGGTTGTTACAGATGCCTGTTCTGGAGTCCAGCAGTGGCTTGGGTATGAGTTGTCAATCTGCTACTGACTGTAACACTAGGTGAGCTATTGAGCATTTCTGGTCATCTGTAAAATGTGGCTCATTAAGGTTCTTATGAGAATGAAGTCTGATTATAGGTCCAATGTCTGACGTACAGTAGGGACTCGGTATCTATGAGCTGGCATTCTCAGGTTGGCATCAGTTGCCTTGGGTGCGATTTGGTTTCTGGTCAAGCCAGGCATGCTTATAAGTCCCGTTTTCAGCTACCCAAGGTGAAGACACAGAGTTTTGATAAATAATCTTTAGGTGGGCTTGGTCAGGTGCCGAGCCTCATGAGTAGGAGGCTGTTTCTCAGTCATGAGTAGAAGACGTGTTTCTCCAGCACTGGTCAGCCAGCTGCTGCGAATCCTTCCCACAGTGCTCTGTCTCTGCTCCATACTTACCTTTCTTTGGGGCAGTACTCACACTTGGGGGTAAGTTGTTGCTCTGGATACTGATCTCTCTTCTCTCCCTTCCCTACTCACCTCAGTGCAATTATCGTTTATGCACTCCTTAGCCAGGGTTTGGTTAACATACATTGGTTTGTTGATCTATTGGAATCTTCATTGTCCCTTGTGTTCCTGTTTTCTGACCTAGGTCAGTAGACTTCCTGAAAATGCAGCTATTTAGAATTCTAGGGCATTTCAGATAAGGAGCTAGAGGTTGACTAGTTACTCCTGGCTTGCCCCCTGGGTATTTTTAGACATTGCTAATTATCCTATTTTTCTTCCACCCTATGATGAACCAGACATTGGGGAAAGGGAAGTAGCCAAACACCCAATTTCAATATTTACAGCCTCCAAGTATGATTCATTATGAAAATGTTTGCACCCTGAGGCTTTTGTAAATAAGTGGCCTCCTGAAGGGACATCAATGGGAAAATAGTCACACCTTGACCATTCTGCTTTTAAGAAGGAAATTCTTTCTGGAAAAAATCATGGCAACTCTAGGTCATAGTTGTAGTGAACACTAGCTGGAGTGGCAGCTTTTTAAAAATTCTTCTACTTGTTAATGTTTTGTTTTTAAAAATATAATGGATAGGGGCCCATACTTCTTCAGGTCTTTGCCCAAAGGTCCCTTTCTCAATGAGGACTTGACACCCACATCCAATTTAAATTTGCAGCTTACCCACTCACCAGTGATTCTCCTTTTCCTGCTGTGTATTTATTCATAGTACATATCACTAACATACTATTTTTTATTTTGTTCATTGCCTGTGCCTCCCCATTAGAATGTAAACTTCAAGAGGGCAGTTGTTTGAATTATGTATCCACTTTGTCTACTGCTCTCTTGCCTAGTGCCTAGGAGAAGATCTGGCACATAGTAGGTGCTAATCTTTAAATGGATTGCACAGACCACCACATAGTAGGGGCTTTTCTCTTCATGCCCACATTGGTCATGTGTCTTTGAAAATTCATTGGTTGGGGGTGGTAGGGTTTGGAGCTGAGAGAAGGGGCCTAAATGTTATATATTCTTTTTATTAATCACGCTGTACTGGTTTATAAAAAGAAATACATTTGGAAATGACTAGGAGGTTGACTTGGAGAGTTATGCATGCTTCACTAATGCCTGATTTAGCCCTCTGTAGGTTTGGTTCTTATCCCTACAACTTTCTGCCCTGGCCCTATCCATAAGGCACTGGTTCCTGGTTTGAAGCAGTGGGAACAAGTGGGAGGACCAGTGGGGCCTGAGAATCTCCTACTTAGGGCACCTGTAAAATAGGGGAGCCTTTGCTCTGCCTGGGCTGGCTGGAGTGTAACCCAGTTCTAAGACAACAGTCCGAGAGATTAACTTTCCAGGCTCTTTCCAAGTTGATGCTTCTGCATCCAAGGAAGCCAAGTTTCCATAGATGATTGATGGGCAGGATTTAAATTTGACCTTGGGTGGGTCCTTCCCTGTGGGAGCACCGATGGTATCTGGAGACATGTGACACTCCTATGGAAGCATGTGGCCCTGTCGGCGGGATCTCAAGATGGCATATGACAGTAGCCCATGTGATGTGCTGAAAACATCCTCGTAAGCCTGTGGATTCTGTCTTTTCCTTTCCCTTAGAGATGGAATTCCT
This sequence comes from Homo sapiens, assembly GCF_000001405.40. Classification (NCBI taxonomy): domain Eukaryota; kingdom Metazoa; phylum Chordata; class Mammalia; order Primates; family Hominidae; genus Homo; species Homo sapiens. The sequence goes on along the minus strand of NC_000017.11, from coordinate 65,541,544 downwards.
CCTTATCGTGTGGGCAGTAAGAAACAGCTCCAGAGAGAAATGCATCGCAGTGTGAAGGCCAATGGCCAAGTGTCTCTACCTCATTTCCCGGTGAGTACAGTCTGGAGTGAGGAGACAGCTGTTTTCTGCCATGTTGAGTCCTAAAGAAAAGAAATGGGTGGTGGAATGGGGAGAGGTATAGGGAAGGTAGAAAAGAGCAGTACCTAAGGTCCCCTAGGGCAAAGGGAGAGAAAAGAACTGGACAATAGGCATTACATGGTTTTTTGGGTTGTGATGGTGAGCACAGTGATGTGATTATGAGGTATCAGTCAGTTTTGCTATAAAGGAATACCTGAGGTTGAGTAATTTATAAAAAGAAGAGGTTTACGGCTGGGCACAGTGGCTCATGCCTGTAATCTCAGCACTTTGGGAGTCGGAGGTGGGCAGATCACCTGAGGTCAGGAGTTCGAGACCCAGCCTGGCCAACATGGTGAAGCCCCACCACTACTAAAAATACAAAAATTAGCCTAGCGTGGTGACGTGCGCCTGTAGTCCCAGCTACTTGGGAGCCTGAGGCAGGGGAATCACTTGAACCTGGGAGGTGGAGGTTGTAGTGAGCTAACGCCAGTGCACTCCAGCCTGGGCGACAGAGCGAGACTCCTTCTCAAAAGAAAAAACAAAGAAAAGAGGTTTATTTGGTTCATGGATCTGCAGGCTATTCAAGAACCATGGCGCCAACATCTGCTTCTGGTGAAGGTCTCAGGGAGCTTTCAATCATGATGCGCAAGGGGAAGGAGAGCCAGTTTGTAACATAGCGGGAGAAACAGCAAGCTGAGGTTGGGGGGGTGGTGGGCAATGCCATGTTCTTTCAAACAACCAGATCTCATATGAACTACAGGGAAAACTTGCTCATTACTGCAGGGAGGGCACGAAACACCTCCCACTAGGTGCACTTCCACCATTGGGGATCATATTTCAACATGAGATTTGGAGGGGACAAGCATCCCAACTATGTGAGAGGTTTGATGACCTATTTTTGAACCTTTGCATTTTCTGAATTCAAAAAAAAAATTCCCTATCAGAAAGAAACTGAAGCACTTATTTCCCAGAAACTAAGAAATGCTAGATGATCCATGCTTCTCTACAGCTTGGTGAGCTCACTGTATTTCCACTAGAATGGAAGCCCTCTGATGGGAGGGAGTTTTATCTATTCTGTTAACCTCTGTATGCACAGAGACTAGAACAGTACCTGACACATAATAGGTGCTCAATAAACATTTGAGTGAATGAATAAGGAACCTCTGCCCCCCCTTGGGACATCCTCCTGCTCTCTTCACTGGGACATTCTACTTCTTGTGTCAACCACAGGACTCCAAGTCATTTTAGTCAGTGATTTTAGTCATTTATTTATGTATTCATTGACCATTTCTCCTCCTGGCTCCTGAAGCCCTGGAGGGTAGCTGTTCCTTTCCAACTCCAGAACTTGGCTTGGTACCTGCTGGTGAGTCTGTGCCTATCAAATGCGGAATGAACGAAGTGTTTAGAAGTGAGGATCTCCTGAGCAGCTTCTTCCTGTGACTGAGATGGTGGATGAAGGGCTCTTCTGGGACCTCTGCTTTTATTTCCATGCTTGCTAAAGCAGCCAGCACATGGCTGTACTCAAGAGAACTTCCCCATCTACATTCCCATTTTAGGGCTGTGCTGTTTACAACAGCCTCAGATCCAGGTTGCAAGGAGGGGAGGGGAAGAAAGCACCCAGCTCACAGCAGGTGTTTATGAATCCTTCCTGCCAGCTTCAGAGAATCTAATTGGTCTGGTTATGTTGTGTTTAAAAAATTAACACATTGAATTGCTAAACCCATGTTGCATTAGTGCACAAACTATAGCTCTTCTCTGAAAGCTCCTCACACAGACAAGGGCAGACTTACCTTGTTTTAAAATTAGCATATTAAAATTGCTTTTCTGAGGACCTCTAGCATCCCCTCCCTCTACAGATAACAAGTATTGATGACATACTATCATTGTTTTTTTGACTGGGGGATATGTGAGTTAACAAAGAAAAGTTCTATCGCCCAAGCTTGTAAATTAGATGATTTTGTCCTGGGGTGTGCAAATCGACTTTCTCCATCAGGCAGCGCTTTGATCAGGGGCTGCAAGGAGCCAGCCTGTGTGAGAATGGCCACCTACACAGGAGCCTTTCTCTTCTTCCCCAGTTTCTGCAGCTAAGTGGTTGCCGTGGCAAGGCCCATCTTTTCAGCTGGGGGAGATGCTAGCCTTTGCAAGTTAGCTTTCTGCTACCCCCACCCCAGCCCAAAGAAAGGAGCTAAGCAAGAGGGAGATTAGGAAGAAGGAGGTAGAACAACTGGAGAGGTGGGGGGTTGGGTGGGGGGAGCGAGATGACAGGAAAAGGACAGAAAGCTGGGCAGCAGGGGTTCTCTCTGTTTGCTGCTTTTGGCAGGCGTACTCGGTGCCTTTTTATATTCTGCACTTGATTTGGAGATGTTCCCTTTTCCCTTGATAGATCAGCTTCAGGCAGCCAAGCTCAGCAGTGTTCTGCTACTAGCCTGCAGCAGCTTTCTTCATTTTCTGTACAAAGAGAGAGGGAGGAGGGAAGGAGAAAAACGAGGGAGATCGAGGACAGTGTTGAGACACCACCACCTCAAAGGTGCGCAGTGTGCGGCCAGGAAATAAATTACCACTTCTTCTCTGATCCAGGCCGTTTGACTCCCTTTTCCCCCACTTTCTTTCCTCCCACCTCCTTTCCAATCTTATTTTTTTAAATTTTCAACTCTCTTTCTGTTTAGATTCTACTTTCTATTCCTTGAGTTGGTCTCTCCCCTCCCCACCTCAGAGGGCTGCCTTTTTTTTTTTTTTTTTTTTTTTTTTTTTTTTTTTTTTGATGGTTGACAACAGTCTTTGAAGATTTTCTACTTCAAAGTAACTACTGATGGGCTGGTTGTACTACAGAAAGAACAAGCAGGGCCTCTCGGAGTGCGACCAACTGCTCCTGCCCAAGGCAAACGCTGGTGGGGACCATGGCTCTCCATGAGGCCATGGCGCTAGCGCATAAAAGTCCCGAGCAGCCCAGGCCGCCTTGCCATCCACTCTACACCCGAACATGGGTTTGCGGTGCACAGCGCCTGGTGCGGGAAGCTCCGGCCAAGCCACCGCCCACCTAGCCTGCTGAACGTGCCTCCTCCCTTTCCTTTCCACGTCCTGTAGAGAACCCACCGCCTGCCCAAGGAGATGACCCCCGTGGAACCCGCCACCTTTGCAGCTGAGCTGATCTCGAGGCTGGAAAAGCTGAAGCTGGAGTTGGAGAGCCGCCACAGCCTGGAGGAGCGCCTGCAGCAGATCCGAGAGGTAATGCGGCCTAGGCCTTCTTCCTGCTTCCGTCCACGGCGTGAGCGCTCGTATGTGTATGCGCATGTGCATGGGGTGCGTTAGGGTGTGCGCATGTGCGTGGGTTGCATGCGCATGCGCGTGGGCTGCGTGTGGGTGTGTGCCTGGGCGTGGGCTGTGTGCGCATGTGCATGGGTTGCGTGTGGGTGTGCATATGCGTGTGGATATGTGCTTGTGTAGGCGGGCCTGTGCGTGTGCGCATGGGCGTGGCTGTGGGCGTGCACACGGGTGTGCGTGCTCCTGCGTAGGGAGCCGAATGTTGCAACCCCAGGGCCTCTGGCCCTTCTGCTTCCTGGGTCACTTCTCCTTCTGACGTCTTCCCTTTCAGGATGAAGAGAGAGAGGGCTCCGAGCTCACACTCAATTCGCGGGAGGGGGCGCCCACGCAGCACCCCCTCTCCCTACTGCCCTCCGGCAGCTACGAGGAAGACCCGCAGACGATACTGGACGATCACCTGTCCAGGGTCCTCAAGACCCCTGGCTGCCAGTCTCCAGGCGTAGGCCGCTATAGCCCCCGCTCCCGCTCCCCGGACCACCACCACCACCACCATTCGCAGTACCACTCCCTGCTCCCGCCCGGTGGCAAGCTGCCTCCCGCGGCCGCCTCGCCGGGCGCCTGCCCCCTCCTCGGGGGCAAAGGCTTTGTGACCAAGCAGACGACGAAGCATGTCCACCACCACTACATCCACCACCATGCCGTCCCCAAGACCAAGGAGGAGATCGAGGCGGAGGCCACGCAGCGGGTGCACTGCTTCTGCCCTGGGGGCAGCGAGTATTACTGCTACTCGAAATGCAAAAGCCACTCCAAGGCTCCGGAAACCATGCCCAGCGAGCAGTTTGGGTAAGTGCCGGGCGGACCGCAGTGTCCCGTGTGGGGCTTGTCTCCCAGCCAGGTCCATGGGCAGGTGTGAGGTGGGAGCCGCATTACAGGCATTTAGTTTCTAAGAGGGCGGCAGAGTGCACGGCCGGGTGAGGGTGCGGGGAGCAGGTGCATGGGTCTTTCGTGTCACCAGCCCCCCGACTTGCTGAATTGTCTGATTCTAGGAGTCCCGGAGATTTAACCGGGTCTCTGGGTTGGGTGTGGTTCTTGGTTCCCCACAGCGGCAGCAGAGGCAGTACCTTGCCCAAACGCAATGGGAAAGGCACGGAGCCGGGCCTGGCCCTGCCCGCCAGGGAAGGAGGGGCCCCCGGCGGAGCTGGGGCCCTGCAGCTTCCCCGGGAGGAAGGAGACAGGTCGCAGGATGTCTGGCAGTGGATGCTGGAGAGTGAGCGGCAGAGCAAGCCCAAGCCCCATAGGTAAACACCGCTTGCCGCCGCCGCGGCCGCGAGGGTCATGGGCACTCAGTACGGAGGTATTGTGGGAATGGCTGTTTTTGCAGTCCGCGGAATACAAATGTGACTATTTGCTCCTGCCATCTTAATATTAAACGTTGGACTGAGCAGACCACAAAAATGTCATGTTTTGGCACTGACCCCTGTTCATGTTATGGTAGTTTTTTTTTTAACTCTCTCTCTGAGCAGAATAGACAAGTTTCTATTGAAGTCACATTTTCCAGTTCTTCTAACCCAGTTTCTTTCCTTCTGTTTTCTCTCTGCTCATTCCTTGTTTAGTGCCCAAAGCACAAAAAAGGCCTACCCCTTGGAGTCTGCCCGCTCGTCTCCAGGCGAACGAGCCAGCCGGCACCATCTGTGGGGGGGCAACAGCGGGCACCCCCGCACCACCCCCCGTGCCCACCTGTTCACCCAGGACCCTGCGATGCCTCCCCTGACCCCACCCAACACGCTGGCTCAGCTGGAGGAGGCCTGTCGCAGGCTAGCTGAGGTGTCGAAGCCCCCAAAGCAGCGGTGAGTGGAAGTGAAGGGTCCTAGGTTGAGGCAGGGATTGGGTTTGGGTGGAGACCTGGTCTGTGGCTAATGGGGAGGGCCTCTCTTTCTGCCTGGGTCTCAAACCCTCCCATGAGAAGAAGAATTACTTATGGATGAGTAAGCTGCTGCTTTCCAGCTTCTAGAAATTGTTCCCTTCAGTTATGTTCATTCTACTAGAGTTAAGCCAGGATCTGTGAGGCAAGTCATGCCTAGAATTGGGAGAATGAATTTCAGCAATTGCTTACAAATCCCATTCCTTACAAATGTCTTGATTGTTTAAGGCTGGTTAGTTGAGTATATAAGAAGCTGTGAGATGGAGGATCAAGAGTCCTCAGCCCTTTGCTGGGGCTGAGAATGTCCCATCCTGGGCTCCCAGGGGGGCTTAGAATGGCTGTTCCAAGACGTCTTCCTGGCCTCTTCAGCCACTGTTAACCCAGGGTCTTGGTTGGGTCTCCGTAAGGATGGAAGTCGGGTTCGTGTCTCTTCAGGAGGCCAAATAGTAATTTTCTGTCTGCTTTTCAATTGCTCTGGGGACAACAGTGTACCTCTAAATCCCTCGCCCTGGCTGTGTCCTCAGGTGCTGTGTGGCCAGTCAGCAGAGGGACAGGAATCATTCGGCCACTGTTCAGACGGGAGCCACACCCTTCTCCAATCCAAGCCTGGCTCCAGAAGAGTGAGTGTCTTTACCTGACATTACTGAGATCTGCCGAGTGCTTTATGTTTCAGAATATTCGCTATCTGGAGTTTCATTTTCATGAAACTTTTTTTGGTTTTTAAAATCACTTTGATTTTAGCGCTAGTGATGAGGAACAGTAAACGTAGATGTTGCCATCCATGTCCTGCCGACAAATGCATCATAGCAAAAGTTTTTCTGGTCATACACAAATCAAAAGCTGGGACATGAAGCCATTAGCAGAAGTGTAGAAGGGACCTCAAATTCAGCTGGAAAAGTTGCCCCCATTCAACTTGCAATTTAGTAGTACTGGAAACATTTGTCACCCCTGAGCAGAAAGATCATTCTCCACTGTGGCAGAGGTGGAGGGGACCATCCTTGTGTTTTTGTTTGGAGAAGACAGAATATCTTCCCCCAAATTGGGCAGTGATTCTTTTTGTAAATTTAGTCTCTTTCAAAGTAGGTTGAGGAGCCTGCTCGTTTAATTACTGGATGGTGCAATTAAAAAGAAATCTGCTAAAGAGATCTAAAATGGTCTGTATCAAGTTTTCTTTCTTAGTGTCTTCATCCTGAGCAATGAGCAATGTTTGAAGTCCTCAATAGGCCACTGCCCTGGACCCTTTCATTGTTTCAATTGGTTGACCCTAAGTGTACCAGCTCTCTGGGTCTGGGCCAGCCACTTTTTTTTTTCTTTTTGAGACAGAGTCTCGCCCTGTTGCCCAGGCTGGAGTGCAGTGGCTTAATCTTGGCCCACTGCAGCCTCCGCCTCCTGGGTTCAGGCAGTTCTCCTGCCTCAGCCTCCCGAGTAGCTGGGATTGCAGGCGCCCACCACCACACCCAGCTCCTTTTTTGTATTGTTAGTAGAGACAGGGTTTCGCCATGTTGGCCAAGCTGGTCTCAAACTCCTGACCTCAAGTGATCCGCCCACCTCGGCCTCCCAAAGTGCTGGGATTACAGGCGTGAGCCACCACGCCCGGCCTAGCAGCCTTTTTTTCAAGCCATTCTACAAAATCTCAGAAGAAATGGGGAAATGGACATGACTGTGTGATAACCCCCATTAGTTGTTCTCATTCTGCTGGAATAAGGGGTGGGCTTTAGGCATTCTGAGATCATGCCATCCCAAAGGTGTCCTGCTCTGGGTTTGTCTCTTTAGCACTCTCCAATCCAGGTGAGACCCGGCATCTCTGTGATAATTTCTCTTCTCTCATCTTCTTGAGGAAGCACCCCATTTATGCCAGCCTGAAAGAGGCCGCCGTATACTTTCATTTGGTGGCGGTGGGGGAAATGATACCAATTTGTACAACCAAAAGGAAATCATCCTTTTCTGCATGCTGCATGCAGCACATGTGGGGTTGGACTGTGTGTCCCCCAGAGCTGCCTGACTCTGGGATGTGGGGCTCTGCCCCAGCCCCCACTTTGGGTTTACAATTGCAGCCCTAGTGTTTGGATACCCTGTCACTTATGCACATGTGCGCACGTGTGTGTTTGCTTTAGATGTGTGTCTGCTTTAAAATGCTAAACTTGTTCCATTCCATCTTATTTTCAGTCACAAAGAGCCAAAGAAACTGGCAGGTGTCCACGCGCTCCAGGCCAGTGAGTTGGTTGTCACTTACTTTTTCTGTGGGGAAGAAATTCCATACCGGAGGATGCTGAAGGCTCAGAGCTTGACCCTGGGCCACTTTAAAGAGCAGCTCAGCAAAAAGGGAAATTATAGGTAAGAGTCCTGTGGCTTTTTTCTGCTCTCAGTTTGTTTGCTCAGAACCAAGAGCCAGAGCCTGGAGCAGCTCCCCTGGCTGAGCAGACCTAGGTGGGGCAGGGTGGGAGGGGGCTCAGCAGGCGCTGGGGGAGGCTCCCTTCTCATTTCTTCTCTCCCCTCACCGCTAGCAGCAATAACGAAGCAGCAGCCGCAAGAGGGAGGCTGCGTGGAGGGTTCTCTGGGGGACCTGGCCAGGCTCTTTCCACCAGGTGAACCAGACTGAGGAGAGAAAAGGAGCAGCTGCTTGCACCGACAGGAGAGTGGGGCTCAGGCCACACTGCAGAGGCTTTACCTGCAATTGAGGGGCTTGTGGGCGAGTGGGGAGCAGGGAGCAAAAAGAGGGACAGGCACACTGATTAGGAGGGAGGGTCTGGAAGCGCCGCCCTACTGGCTTGAGTTTAGGAGAGACCCCCACATTGAAGGCTCCAAATAGTCAGGAACCATGCCTAGGAAAAGTCCCCCGTGTTTTTCTTACCCTGCCTTTCCACCTGAACAGCCTCCCTGGATTTTATGGGCCATTAGAAGCAGAGATGCGCCTTTGTCCATAACAAAGAAGGGGCTGGACCTGCGGGTGGGCACAGGGTGAATAGGGCAGTCTACTCCTCCTGTCCAGGCCTGGGCCCCGCTGCCTTCTCCCCTGCAGGGGCTTCAGGAAGGGAACTTCCTGGTCTCCTTACCTTGTCTGCAGAGTGGACGGAGGTGCCCTTGAGAAGGTCCATGCTGACTTTTTAGGGCCCTTGAGAGGGTTCAAGAGCTGAGGAGGATGAGGGCCAGCCCTAGGCCATTCCTTCTCTTGATCATTTCCCTCGTAAGGAGCAGGTGATGACTCTGCCTCAGTTCATCTGGAGTCCTCCCTTGCCCCTCTCCATGGCCTGCAGCCCAAGAGAATGTGTGGATTCTGCTCCAGTTCTGTCCCAGGTTTCCCAGGTTTAGGGCTCCAGGCTGGGACAAGGGTGAGACAGGGGCACCCTAGTTTAAGGAGGTGCTCACTCTGGGGTCTACACCCAAGACAGAGTTCCAACTCCTCAGCTGTGTGCTGTTGTCCCTGTGCCAGGACCACAGTCTATTCCCAGGTGTGAACCCGTTGCCGCCACCAGGGCCAGGGGTGTGAGTGGAAAACTCTGAATAGCACTTGGTAACCTGCCAGGTGGGCATGGGCTCCTGGACGGGGATGAGTCCACCTGCAGGGCTCTGAGACACCCTCCCCTCTAGAGCAGGCCTTGTATAGTTTTACCAGCCACCTTCATCTGGGAGTTAGTTTGGGCGGGGGCTCAAAGTGATTCTCTTTGGAGTGGGGAGGGGATGGAGGTTGGACTGAGCCCCTGGAGGTAACTGGCCAGCAGGGCGTGTTGCTGGGTCTGGATAGTCCCTTTTATACCTGGGCAGAGACAATTGTGAAAAGGTATCAAAGGGGTGGGGGAACAGGCCTGGCTGCTGCTGCTGCTGCTTTTATCTTGAAAAGACACAAGGTGAAACTAATGACACAAGTGTGTCCCTCTGGGGATTCATTTTGATCTTGGCTTTGTCTCGGCTGGACTTCGAGTGGAACTGCAGGTGACCTTGGAGAAGAGCCATGTGGCGCTGGCATAGGCTTGTGGGGAAAGTGCCTCCTTCAGCTGCTGTGGCCACATCTGGCTCTGATTTTTTTTTTTTCTCCCTGAGGCACAGTTAATAAGCCTGGCTTTGAAGCCCTGGCCTCCCCTTTAATGCACAAAGACTTGCACAAATGGTCAACTCTCCGATCCTCTCCAGTTCTTTCCTGAGTGGATCAGGCTGTGGGAAGGCCCTCCCAGCTGCCTTATCTCTGCAGGGCCTGAGCTAGACTCAGTGTCCTCCTGGGGTAGGACAGGGACACAGGGTGTCACGCCTCACCCTCCCAGCAGGGCTGGTGCTTCAACATCTCAATTTGTACAAATACATCCCCCCTTCAAAAAAATAAAAAAGACCCAGTGAGGTTGGGGCCGTGGAGCAGGGGTGGGAGGTGGGGGGGACCTGGGATGCGTTGAGTAATCTCAACATGGCAGGGGTTCAAAAAGCAAACAGTCCCTTCAGACGCGCCAGACGCTGTTGGTGCCAGATGTCAGAAGAAAGCAAAGTTTGCCACATGAAGCATGTTGCAGTGGAAAAGCCTGTTTCTTGGAGAAAATGAGGGCAGTGCAGTGTGTTTGAAGTCCTGGGGGTGGGGCTGAGAGAATGTGGCCTCTCTCCTCTCTGGAGGAGGTTGCAATTATGTAAAAGGTCGCTGCGTGTTTGCTCAGACATGCTGTGAAAGCCCAACTTGGTAAACCCTGGAGGGGTCGGAGCTGGGGCCAAAGGGGTCTGACGGAGGGTGGCGTTGGGATTTGAGCCTCTTATGTGGAGAAGTGACTTTTCCCCCCACTGTCCTGAGTCTCCTGTGCACAGAGCCCCTCCCCATTTTCTCACTGTCTCCTCTCACGCTCCCCCGAGAATTTTGACCCCTTGACATGACGTGTCTTCAGTGCTGCCTAGTCAGAGCCATGCCGTTGTTCACCCCACTGCATTAGCTGGGTCAGGAATGCTAAAAACAAAGAACCTTGACTAAACCCAGCTGTTCACTGTATTTAGCCTTATCTCCTACGAAAGTATTTGGCTTGCCTTTATTAAAGAGGGAAAAAATTGAGCTCTAACCAAGGGGAGTTAATTTTTTTTTTTTTAAAGGGAAAAGACAAAGCCCAACCATAACCCTGAGACACAATTAAATGCTTGAAAGGTTCTCCCATCCCCCCAGGGGACTGTGACCTTCCCTCTGTGAGTGGCCTTTATGGGCTGGAAATGACAGCTTGCAGGGGCAAGTTTAATCCCTCTGAGGGGTCTCCCTTGGCTGGGGACAGGGAAGGAAGAGGCCCTTGCTTAATTTCCTCGGAAGGGGTTTAGGGGTGGGCCTGGCCCAAGAGGACAGCAGTTGTTTCCGAATGTGGCACTCCTGAGAGGCCAGGCATTTGCATCTGTACAATTAAACAGCCTCAGAAGAAAGAACGCTGGGGAGGGATGAAAGGAGCCTTTAATCAACGGGCATAATAGAAGGGCCTTTGGTGTTTGACCCTGGAGGGATGGGATGGGAGAAGAGGCCTGGAAATGGGGAGAAGAGGGGAGGGCATCATGGGGCCAGTGCCGTCTGTTCGGCCCTGGGAAGCTGCGCTGGGCTGGCTTGCCTCCTGTGTGGCTGTGCCAGGGCCATCCAGGAGTGTTGCACTTGGGACCTGGAGGATGGGAAGGCCGAGAGGCCTTTGGACTGCTAAACCATCTGGAAGTCAGCCTTTTACAGACTTCGGCAGGTTCCGGCTCTCCAGGTGTGATGGGTTCAGGATGGCTGAACCTGGAGATAGTCTGGAGTCTCTTTGAAGGACCTGCTTGGCTCCTGCTGCAAAGGAACTGCAGGCATTTGTCCTTCCCTTCCCTCCCCCACCCCACTGCTGAAAAAGGTTGGCGGGGGGAAAGCAGCTCTGCTTTTCACAGTGTATACGTGTCAGGAGACAGCAGAGGTGCTGGGTTGAAGATTGCAGGTGGCAGGCCCAGCCCAGGCTGCTGCTCAGTGGGTGCCTGGCCTTCATCATCTCGGCCCACCTGCTTCTTGTGGTGTGGCCAGTCCCAGCTGCCGTCTTAAAGCAGATGTGCGCAACAGTGTACAGGCACACCTGCCATAGCAAATTCCTAGGATACCTCAGTCCTCCATGTTGGTATGCTTTTCTTTTCAACAATGTGGAAAATGCAGTTTACCAAGAAGCTTTTTTGGTTTTCCTTTTAAGGTATTACTTCAAAAAAGCAAGCGATGAGTTTGCCTGTGGAGCGGTGTTTGAGGAGATCTGGGAGGATGAGACGGTGCTCCCGATGTATGAAGGCCGGATTCTGGGCAAAGTGGAGCGGATCGATTGAGCCCTGGGGTCTGGCTTTGGTGAACTGTTGGAGCCCGAAGCTCTTGTGAACTGTCTTGGCTGTGAGCAACTGCGACAAAACATTTTGAAGGAAAATTAAACCAATGAAGAAGACAAAGTCTAAGGAAGAATCGGCCAGTGGGCCTTCGGGAGGGCGGGGGGAGGTTGATTTTCATGATTCATGAGCTGGGTACTGACTGAGATAAGAAAAGCCTGAACTATTTATTAAAAACATGACCACTCTTGGCTATTGAAGATGCTGCCTGTATTTGAGAGACTGCCATACATAATATATGACTTCCTAGGGATCTGAAATCCATAAACTAAGAGAAACTGTGTATAGCTTACCTGAACAGGAATCCTTACTGATATTTATAGAACAGTTGATTTCCCCCATCCCCAGTTTATGGATATGCTGCTTTAAACTTGGAAGGGGGAGACAGGAAGTTTTAATTGTTCTGACTAAACTTAGGAGTTGAGCTAGGAGTGCGTTCATGGTTTCTTCACTAACAGAGGAATTATGCTTTGCACTACGTCCCTCCAAGTGAAGACAGACTGTTTTAGACAGACTTTTTAAAATGGTGCCCTACCATTGACACATGCAGAAATTGGTGCGTTTTGTTTTTTTTTTTCCTATGCTGCTCTGTTTTGTCTTAAAGGTCTTGAGGGTTGACCATGTTGCGTCATCATCAACATTTTGGGGGTTGTGTTGGATGGGATGATCTGTTGCAGAGGGAGAGGCAGGGAACCCTGCTCCTTCGGGCCCCAGGTTGATCCTGTGACTGAGGCTCCCCCTCATGTAGCCTCCCCAGGCCCAGGGCCCTGAGGCCTGCTAGAATCACTGCCGCTGTGCTTTCGTGGAAATGACAGTTCCTTGTTTTTTTTGTTTCTGTTTTTGTTTTACATTAGTCATTGGACCACAGCCATTCAGGAACTACCCCCTGCCCCACAAAGAAATGAACAGTTGTAGGGAGACCCAGCAGCACCTTTCCTCCACACACCTTCATTTTGATGTTCGGGTTTTTGTGTTAAGTTAATCTGTACATTCTGTTTGCCATTGTTACTTGTACTATACATCTGTATATAGTGTACGGCAAAAGAGTATTAATCCACTATCTCTAGTGCTTGACTTTAAATCAGTACAGTACCTGTACCTGCACGGTCACCCGCTCCGTGTGTCGCCCTATATTGAGGGCTCAAGCTTTCCCTTGTTTTTTGAAAGGGGTTTATGTATAAATATATTTTATGCCTTTTTATTACAAGTCTTGTACTCAATGACTTTTGTCATGACATTTTGTTCTACTTATACTGTAAATTATGCATTATAAAGAGTTCATTTAAGGAAAATTACTTGGTACAATAATTATTGTAATTAAGAGATGTAGCCTTTATTAAAATTTTATATTTTTCAAAACACTGGCCTCGTCTTTGAATCCCCAGGGTGGGAACAGGGCCGAGGGGCCCTTTTGTGTGTAGACATCTGTGCTTGATTTCCTACCTTGCCCAAGCCCGTCTCTGACCTTGAGCCCTGACCTGATCTGGACCCACCTGGAGGTTTTGTAAAGCCATTTATTCAAATCACCTGGCTACTGGCTGAGGCTTTTCTTGCCTTGGAGCAGGCTGTAGATGACATCTCCTTTGGGGGTCCTCTTCCCTGTAACACCTCCATTCAGCCTCTTCCTCCTGGGCAGATTGTCTCCAGTCCGGCCAGGTAGGTGCAGGGGACCAGGGGATGAGAGGAGGCCCTCCCAGGAGTTTCAACAGGTGTCTCCGACATGAAAGCCGTTCAGCAGATGGTTTCATAGACCTGGAATGTCCACGTGGGGCCAATGGACTTAGAGATCAAAGCTAGCCAGGCACCCTCCCCATTCTGGGAGCTGATCAACAAGGCTGACTATTAATCCTATCAGTATTTTATCGTGAGCCATCAGGCTCAGGGCCGGTCAGGTGTCGGGAACATAGCAAGGAGGTGGTTCAGGAGGAGGCGACACAGGCAGCTTCTGCACCGCTCGGTGGACAGGTGTGCTTATGTGGCCAAGGACCTCGGCAGGCAGTTGCCCGCTCAACAAACGTGCCCTCCCTGTATCCTGAGCACTTGGCCTGCATGCCAGGCCATACTTTAGATCTGGGAAAGCAGGTCTTTTTAGTGGAGTCCTAGGAAGAACCCTTTTTAAAAACAGAGGATCTGTAACTGCAGTTGGACTTGACTTCTTGTGTGCTGAGTTTTCATGAAATGAACTCGGTGGTCTGCAGTGGATCTGCTTGGCTTGTTCTTCCTGCTGCCAACTGGCGTCAGGCCGGCAGCATAGAGAAAGGCCAGGGTTCTGGCCATGCGGGGTAGGGATGGACTCGAACCCAGTAGCCTCGGAGTGGTGGCAGTAGTAGGAGTTGTCAAGGCTGCTGGGAGAGTCCTGAGTTACCCTCTGAGAAGGCGAGGATGTGAGGGCATCTGGCAAGAGGCTGGAGGAGCTCTGATGCCTTGAACTTGTCCCTAACCATGCAGGTGCTGTGCCCTCCCCTCCTGGCTGGAATGGGGGTTCATACCAGGGTGTCCAACACTTTCCGAATTGTAAACTTCTTTCCAAGACAAAAGGATGAAGAGATGCAACCTATTGTGTGTGGTGAAGATTGGGGTTTGTGGATGGCTTTTCATCTCTATCTTCAGGCCTCTTGATTGAGGAGAGTGATGAGGTTGGGGCTTGGGCCTCAGACAAACTGGACTGAAGGCCCAGCACCACCACCCTCTGGGTGCCATGAGCGGGTTTCTGGCATCTTCTAAGGTGCATTTGTGAGAGAGAACTGGACTAGTTGATCACTCATGTTTCTATCTCCTGTTTTCATTCTTTTTTTTTTTTTTTTTTTTTTTGAGACAAAGTCTCACTCTGTCATCCAGACTGGAGTGCAATGGCGCAATCTCGGCTCACTGCAACCTCCACCTCCTGGATTCAAGCGATTCTCAGGCCTCGGCCTCCTGATTAGCTGGGATTACAGGCGCCCACCACTACGGCTGGCTAATCTTTGTATTTTTTTAGTAGAGATGGGGTTTTGCTATGTTGCCCAGGCTGGTCTCAAACTCCTGAGACCTCCCAAAAGTGCTAGGATTACAGACATGAGCCACTGCACCTGGCCCCTGTTTTCATCTTTAAACTTTTTTTTTTTTTTTTTTTTTGGAGGCAAGAGTCTTGCTCTGTTGCCCAGGCTGGAATGCAGTGGCACAATCTCAGCTCGCTGCAACCTCCGCTTCCTGGGTTCAAGCGATTCCCGTGCCTCAATCTCCCAAGTAGCTGGGATTACAGGCATGTGCCACCACATCGGCTAATTTTTGTATTTTTAGTAAAGACTGGGTTTCGCCATGTTGGCCAGGCTGGTCTTGAACTCCTGGCCTCAAGTGAATCTTGCCCTCCTCGGCCTCCCAAAGTGCTGGGATTACAGGAGTGAGCCATCGCACCCGGCCCCTCTTAAACTTTTAAGTATACAATACAGTATTGTTAACCATAGGGACAGTGTTGCACAGAAGATTTCTGGAACTTATTTATCTTGCATAATTGAGACTTTACGCACATTGACCAGCAACTCATTACCCCCTCACTCCAGCCCCTGACAACCACCATTTGGCTCTCTAATTCTGCAAAGTTGACTTAGATACCTATATAACTGGAATCCTGCAGTATTTGTCAATCCGTGCCTGGCTTATTTCATTTAGCACAATGTGCTGTAGGTTCATCCGTGTTGTCACAAATGACAGGATTTTACTCTTTTTTTTAAGGCTGAATAGTATTCCATTGTGTATTTATATTACATTTTCTTTATCCACGAATCCATCGATGGACACTTAGGTCATTTCCACATCTTGGCTATTGTGAATAATGCTGCAATAAAAAAGGAAGTGCCAATATCTCTTCAAGACCTTGATCATCTCTATTTTTTTTTTTTTTTGAGATGGAGTCTCACTCTGTCGCCTAGGCTGGAGTGCAATGGACTGCAACCTCCACCTCCTGGGGTCAAGTGATTCTCCTGCCTTAGCCTCCCGAGTAGCTGGGATTACAGGCGCCCGCCACCATGCCCATCTAATTTTTTGTATTTTTAGTAGAGATGGGGTTTTGCCATGTTGGCCAGGCTGTTCTTGAACTCCTGGCCTCAAGTATTTCACCTGCCTTGGCCTCCCAAAGTGCTGGGATTACAGGCGTGAGCCACCACACCTGGCAAGAACTTGATTTCAATGATTTTTGATAAATACCCAGAAGTGGAATTGCTGAATCATATGGCGGCTCTATTTTAAATGTTTTGAGCAATCTCCGAAGTGTTTTCCACAGTGGTTGCACCACTTTGCATTCCCACCAACAGTATACAAGAGTTCCAATCTCTCCACATCCTCATCAACACTCGTTTTTTTGTGATAATAGCCATCCTAATAGGTATGAGATGATACCTCATCATGATTTTGATTTGCATTTCCCTGATGGTTAGTGACACTGAGCATCTTTTCAAATACATGTTGGCCATTTGTGTGTCTTTGGAGAAATGTCTTTTTTTTTTTTTTTTTTTTTTTTTTTTGAGATGGAGTCTTGCTCAGACACCCAGGCTGGAGTCCACTGGTGTGATCTTGGCTCACTGCAACCACTGTCTCCCAGGTTCAAGCGATTCTCCTGTCTCAGCCTCCTGAGTAGCTGGGATTACAGGCATCTGCCATCATGCCCGGCTAATTTTTGTATTTTAGTAGAGACGGGGTTTCACCATGTTGGCCAGGCTGGTCTTGAACTCCTGACCTCAGGTGATTCCCCCACCTCGGCCTCTCAATCCTGTGCTAGGATTACAGGCATGAGCCACCGCCCCCGGCCGAGAAATGTCTATTAAAGTCTTTAACCCGTTTAAAGATTGGGTTATCCTAGCACTTTGGGGGCCAAAGTTGGGGGATCGCTTGAGCCCAGGAGCTCAAGACCAGACTGGGCAACACAGTGAGACTCCATCTCCAATTAAAAAAAAAAAGATTGGGCTATTAGATTTCTTGTTATTGAATTGTAGGAGCTCTTATATATTTTGGAACTGTATATTTCTGCCTGTTCTAAGAGGGGCCCATTTTTGTGCTTCTCTGTCATATTAACACTTAGGGCCTCCTAATCCCATGTGGATGTGCTTCTGGGAGTTGAGAGCCCTTGAAACTGTTCACAGTATCACCTGCGCATGCCTTCCTCTGAGGCAAGGGTCTATATTTTTTATGTGATTCTTAAAGGGATTTGTGCCTCCAGAGAAAATGCTAAAACCCATGGCTTGGGCTGTCAGCTTCTCTATTCCTTGTCCCCAAATAATTTAAGACCCAACTCTTCCAGAAACCTTTCCCTCCCTCCCCCAGGCTCTTGCTAGTGTGGTCTGAGGACCATGGAGTGGACTCACGTGGGAGCCTGAGAGAGGCAGAGGCTCACCCCATTCCATTGGCTAGACGGGACCTGCGTGTTTCCCGCCTCTCCAGGGGACTCATGTGCACACCAGCGTCCTGTTGCCTTAATCCCCCCCGATCTTCCTGTTTTTCATCTCTAGCTTCAAATCACATAACTTCGCCTTCACTTCCTGGGCTTTTCCCTATGTTGCTGCCTTATTTATCTGATTAATTCTTAACCAGATGATCAGAGGTCAAGAGCAGGCTGTGGGTCGGGCAGACCTGGGTTTGAGTCCACTCGCAGCTGGGCCGCGTAGGGAGCCATGGTTTCCTCGTTTGTTCAATGAGGATAATACGTGAGTCCTCTGTCTAGAGTGGCTGTGATAGTGACATGGGTGAGGGTCTCACCCACTTGTTACCATTTGCTCCTCGTGTGGAATCCACCCTCACAGCCTTCCTGCTGTACCACCTGGGGGCTGCCGTCTGCTCTCTTGCCCAAGGCAGTGGGAGAGTGGGTTTGCAGCTTGCTTTATTTGGAAACAGACTTGCTGCTGGAGGCAGCCTTTGGCCACAAAGCATCTGTAAATTTTTCTTTATCAAGCCCAGGGCCTTACAGTACTTGGAAATTCTCTATGGGCTCGCAGCCAGGATGGCAGTTTGTGTGAAAGAGTCTGAAATGTTGGATTTTGGGGGGAAAATCCCATTTTATTCTCCCCACTCTAGAAAATTTTAGGGTCATCATCATGCTGTCAAAAAGAAGGAAATTGGCAATTACCCCCGAGAAAATATTACAGTCTACTTGAATAATCAGGTAAAGTTGTTTTTGTTTTAGGGTTTAGAAAAATGTTCCTCTCCCTTTTTTTTTTTACCTTTAGTAGATAATGTAGTTGTATAGAAACACCCCAAATTACACAGAAGGATCAAAAGAATGCTTTACGTCCTTCTTAGTGGTTATTATCTCACTTTCTCAACTGTATTTCTTAGAAATCTGATATGAGTAGACTCTACTCCATGATTTGTCTCAGGAAGTGGGTAGTGGTGACTTGGTTTAAAAACAAACACAAACAACCACCACCAGCAAAAAAAAAAAAAAAAAAAAAAAAGCTTTTTTTTTTTTTTTTTTTTTTTGAGAGTTTTGCTCTATCTCCCAGGCTGGAGTGCAGTGGCATGATCATGGCTCATTGCAGCCTCAACCTCCTGGGCTCAAGCGATCCTCCCAACTCACCTCAGCCTCCTGAGTAGCTGGGACTACAGATGCACACCTGGCTAATTTTTGGAGAAAAAAAAGAAAGGCATTTTGATAAATGTTGTCTATTACCAGAATTATCCCAGGGAGCAGGCCGCCTGCTTGGTACAGTCTCTGGGCCCAAACAGGGAGAATCGGTATAGGACCTTAGGTCTGGCAGCTCAGGAGACGTGTGTGTAGGGAGTGTTTTAGAAGGGTCTGCCTCAGGTAGAACCACGGCCCCTGAACAGGGCCTCCTCCACCTCATCCAATGCCTAGTTTTGAAAACAAATCCTCTGTGCTCCCTCCAGGCTGACCTTCTTGTTCCCCTAAACCAGGGGTCCCCAGCCCCTGGGCTGCAGACCTGTACTGGGCTGTGGCCTTTTAGGAACCAGGCTACACAGTAGGAGGTGAGCGGCGGGCTAGGGAGCATGACTGTCTGAGCTCTGCCTCCTGTCAGATCAGCGGTGACATTAGATCGCCACAGGAGTGCAAACTGTGTGTGAACTGCGTATGCGAGGGATCTAGGTTGTGTGCTCCTTATGAGAATCTAATGCTTTGATGATCTGAGGTGGAACAGTTTCATCCCCAAACCATCTCTCCCACGCCGCCCTCGTCCATGGAAAAATTGTCTTCCACGAAACCAGTCCCTGGTGCCAAAAAGGTTGGGGTCCACTGCCCTAAAGTGACCTGCTGCTCAGGAGCTTTGTGTATGCAGCCCCTCTGCTGGGCACGCACCCTCCTTTACCCTTTCCTACGTTTGTCTCCTTTTAGCCTTCAGGTTTTGTCTCGAATGTCAGAGGTCTTCTCTGACTATGGGATCCATGTGTGTGACCGTCTGATCCTCTCCATTGCAGAACTTCCTTCATTCATTTCCCTGCATTCTAATTTGTAACGAAATTGTGATTATTTAATTGCATACTTATTTATCCATGAGACAGGGAGTAAATATATTTTGTTTGTTTGTTTGTTTTTTGAGACGGAGTCTCACTCTGTTGCCCAGGCTGGAGTGCAGTGGCGTGATCTTGGCTCACTGCAAGCTCCACCACCCAGGTTCATGCCATTCTCCTGCCTCAGCCTCCCCAGTAGCTGGGACTACAGGCACCTGCCACCATACCCAGCTAATTTTTTGTATTTTTAGTAGAGACGGGGTTTCATCATGTTAGCCAGGATGGTCTCGATCTCCTGACCTTGTGATCCACCCACCTCAGCCTCCCAAAGTGCTGGGATTACAGGCATGAGCCATTGCGCCCGGCCTCTGTCGACTCTTTAAACAAAATTCAAAGTGCCAGGTTCTCTGTATTAATTTACTTTCTGTTTAAAATACTGTATTCATTTCCTAGGGCTGCTGTAGCAAAGTACCACAAATTGGAAGGCTTAGAACAACAGAAATATATTGTCTCACAGTTCTGGAGGCTGGAAATCTGAGGTCAAGGTATCAACAGGGCCATGGTCCCTCTGAAACCTCGGGGAGAAGAAGCCTTCCTTACTTCTTTCAGCTTCTGGTAGCCCCAAACATTTGTTGGCTTGTGGCAGCACAACTCCAGTCTTCACGTGGCCTTCTCCCTGCATCCCTCCACACAGTTGTCTCTCTGGACATGTCTGTGTCCAAATCAAATCAAATTTCCCTCCTTTTTTTTTTTTTTTTTTTTTTTTGAGATGGAGTTTCTCTCTTTCGCCTAGGCTGGAGTGCAATGGCACGATCTTGGCTCACTGCAACCTCCGCCTCCCGGGTTCAAGTGATTCTCCTGCCTCAGCCTCCCTAGTAGTTGGGATTACAGGTGCCTGCCACCACGCCCAGCTAATTTTTTGTCTTTTTAGTAGGGACAGGGTTTCACCATGTTGACCAGGCTGGTCTCAAACTCCTGACCTCAGGCGATCCACCTGCCTCAGCCTCCCAAAGTGCTGGGATTACAGGTGTGAGCGACTGCACCTGGCTTCTTCTTCTTCTTCCTCTTCCTCTTCTTCTTCTTCTTTTTTTTTTTTTTAGACAGAGTTTCACTCTTGTTGCCCAGGCTGGAGAGCAATGGTGCTGCCTTGGCTCACTGCAACCTCCGCCTCCTGGGTTCAAGCGATTCTCCTGCCTCAGCCTTCTGAGTAGCTAGGATTATAGGCATGTGCCACCATGCCCAGCTAATATTGTGTTTTTAGTAGAGATGGGATTTCACCACGTTGGCCAGGCTGGTCTCGAACTCGTGACCTCAGGTAATCCACTTGCCACGGCCTCCCAAAGTGCTGGGATTACAGGTGTGAGCCACCAGGCCTGGCCTCATCTTAACTTGATTACATCTGCAAAGACCTTATTTCCAAATCAGGCCACATTCTGAGGTACCGGGAGTTAGGACCTCACCATATCTTTTTGGGTGGACACAATTCAACCCATAACAGTGATCTAGAGTGCTGTCTATCTCTGGACTGATGAAATTATCACAGCTGTCATTTTCTCCATCCTAACAGAAAAAGAAAAGGACAGCTTTTCAAAAAACAAAACTTTAAGCATCACTTCCAGGAGAAACTTACATTATCACGTGCAAGACATCAGCACTCCTCCCTGCAAATTGTCTCAGTAACTACATTTCCCCTGCCTACCTCCCTTCACAAACCTGAGCGGGCTAAGCCAGATTTTCTTGGACTTACTCTCTCCTGACTACTACACACAGCTCTAGTTTTCATTTCTACCCAGCCTGGGCCAAACTGGAAAATCCAAGTTGCCTGTCTTTGCCCAGCTGAAGATGAAGATAGGATCTGAGCCTTTCCCTCTATGCTCATGGAAGACAAAACAGGATGAAAAGCAGTAGATATGCCGGGCGCAGTGGCTCACGCCTATAATCCCAGCACTTTGGGAGGCCGCGGCGGGTGGATCACGAGGTCAGGAGATCGAGACCATCCTGGCTAACATGGTGAAACCCCGTCTCTACTAAAAATACAAAAAATTAGGCAGAGCTTGCAGTGAGCTGCGATCACGCCACTGCACTCCAGCCTGGGCAACAGAGCGAGACTCCGTCTCAAAAAAAAAAGAAAAAAAAAAAAAGAAAAGCAGGAGATGCAATGGTTCCTCCAAAAACCATCTCAGTTACCAGGATATAAAACTCTGCAGTAGGTCATTGGGAGAAACTATGAAATCTCTGTCTCCAAAGATTTCCAGGGAGATAATATAAAGCACTGAAAGCATTGAATCTTCCGTGGCTTTTGGACCACTGGCCTGGAGGCTGTGTCTTCCACTAGCTGTCAAAATCTCTTTTCCTCTGGGATTCCGAGTCTGGCACAGGCCTGTGAGTGTGAGTCCACCATGTTTTTTCCAAGGGAAGGAATTAACTACTGGGTTGCTTGAGGGTGGGAGTGGTCTTATTGACTCTTGGGGAGGGTTTCCTGTCCTGGCTGGGACCTTTGTTTGTAAATTAAGTCTCAAATCCCATCCCCAATCAGGCAATGGGTGCGTGGGTGTCTAGTTCCACTAGGGTAAAGTCATTTGTGATCATCAATTTATAAATGATTTGTGGATCATTGTTGAGCCCTTGGCGGGCTGAAGACAGCAAGAAGCAATTAGTCTTCTGATCTACATGGTTTGTCAACATAAAAGGTTTGGGCTGACACGTCCTCCAGATGACACCCATTTCTTGGCATGGCTGAGTTGGCCACAAGGCCTTTGTTGTTCATTCATCCTGCCTGAAGAAGCCCAGGAGGTGAGAGGAGGGGGAGGGATCCAAGCTTGGGGAGGGTCACAGCTGCTGGACATCTGAGTCCTATTTCATCAGCAGCAGCCGGGCTCAGTGGGAACCATTGCTAGGGCTTCCTGGCCCAGCCTCAGCTGGGAGAAGCAGGGCCCCCTCCCAACCTCACTTTAGGGAATAGGACTGCTTCAGCCACTGCTTCCAGGCAGCCAGAGGCCAATTATCCAGACTGAGGGATACCCAGGGTGAGAAGCAGAGACACAGCGAGAAAATAAAATAAATGGAAAAGTGGATTATGATCGTGAAAGATTGGCTTATACAGCATTTGATAGGAACAGTTTCAGGATGTTTTCCCCCCTTCAATTTGTATTTTTCCTGATCACAAAAATAAATAGTCATGGTAGAAAATTTGGAAAACACATAGAATTATGAAAAAGACAAAGAAATTCAACTGTAATCCCCACTACCCGGAGATACCATCTGATAACATTTTGGTTTATTTCCTTTCAATAGATGACATCTTCTCTTGACCAAATAAAGCGTTCTGAGCATCTCATAATTTTTCAGGATAAATTTCTCCATGTGTGAAGACTTTCGTTGCTTCAAGCAGAGTTTGTGGACATTTCTGCAAACCACCTCCACCCCCATCTAGAACTGCTTTGATGCCTCGACTTTTTCTAACAAGAGGCATAGCATAGCCTCTCCCACTTGGAGGCAGGAGGTAGGCTGAGCCCAGGATAGGCTACTGACTCCCCAGGAATTGTATCATTGACTTCCGGACTGGGACAGAATTTGGCTTGGAGTTCTTGCCGCCTTGCCCTGCCCCCTTACCTATTGGGAGGTCCTGCTCCTTGGTCACCTGCTCGGCTTGTCTACTACTTGCCTGGTTCCATTGCTCCACACCTTCCACCTTTGTACAAGATCTGATGAGATCTTGTTTCTGATCCTAGTTTGTCTCTACCCTTTCATCCCTAACACACAGTGTCTTCCCAGCCACCTCCCTCTAAGAATCTCCATAAATGGCACCAGTAAGATTTGTTCTTGCAGTGGTTATCTGTTGTTTTAGCTGGCCCAACATCCATGTTTTCACCTCCTGATGTTAACATCTTGGTATTCCTTTGGGGAGCACCCTTCGGCTGCAAAGATGCTCATATGATCTGGCCAATTAGTAGAGCTTATCATTTTGGCTACTGTGATTGGTCCAGGGAGGGACATGTGACTTAAGTTGTTCCAATGAGAGTCACACCTGGGACTTGTGCCATGAATTCAGAGAATGCGGTGCTCTCTCCCTGTTGAAGTTTCTGAAATGGGATAACCAAATCCTTAGGCTTCTGGGGGCCATGGTATGAAAGGCTCCTATTTTGGGATTGAAGCCACTAAGAAGGAAATAGGAGCCACAAGATGGCAGGGTGGGGGTAAAGAAAAAGATCCACTAAGTCCTATGACTTTACTTGGGTCCTTAGATTCAACTGCTCTGAAAGCCCAGCCTTGGGAGTCAATAAATCCTGTCATCTTTTTTTTTCTTCCTCTTCAGTCAATTTGTCTTGGGTTTTTGTCATGGCCAACGCAAATAATTCTGACTAATAATATGGCTCCTGTCCTAGGGGTTGGGGGGGATCTATTCTCAAGGCCAATTTGGATGTCAGGGAGCCCAAGTTCCTGGACATTCAGGTGCATACACCACATGGGGAGAGATGGTTAGAGAGGGGGAATGGGCCACTTTGGAATACAAGACGGGAGTGACGAAGAGATGCTCCAAGTTCCAGTCACAGAGGATGCCATGTTGAGATGCTCATAAACAAAGCATAGGGTATATAGCGGCCATTTTAAAAAGTGCTTCTTGGGACCTAAGCCTCTTTGGTAGTCTTCTGCACATCACTGTCATTGCCAGCATCACCAGCACCTGCTGAGGACTACCATGGGCCTGTGCTGGGTGTGGAGGGGGTGGTAGGGGTGGGGAAACAGGCCATGAAAATGTGGTCCCCAACCCAGAGGAGCACCTGATTGAGAGATCATGATTCATTGGAGAAGTTGCTTGAATAGCCTGGCATGGTGGCTCATGCCTGTAATCCCAATACTTTGGGAGGCTGAGGTGGGTGGATTGTTTGAATCTAGGAGTTAGTGAGTCTAGTCTCTAGGAGTCTAGGAGTCTAGCAAGGAGTCTAGGAGTCTAGTGAGACCTCATCTCAAAAAAAAAAAGTTGGCGGGCTCACTGGTTCACACCTGTAATCGCAGCACTTTGGGAGGCTAAGGCTGGTGGATCACCTGAGGTCAGGAGTTGGAGACCAGCCTGGCCAACATGGTGAAACCTCGTTTCTACTAAAAATACCAAAAATTAGCCGAGTGTGGTGGTGGGTGTCTGTAACCCCAGCCTGAGGAAGGAGAATCTCTTGACCTGGGAGGCGGAGGTTGTAGTGAGCTGAGATTGAGCCACCGCACTCCAGCAACAGAGCGAGACTCCATCTTGGGGAAAAAAAAAAAAGTTGCTTGAATAAAACTTGTCTGAACATCCAGAGGAAGGTCACTGCTGAGCTGAGACTTCGGGGGTCCTGGGGGTGGTCAGGAGGACAGTGGAAGGGTAATTCAGGGAGAGAGAGCAGTTTGGGCAAGGGCAAGAAGGTGGGAAAGAAGTGAGAGTTGAGGCTATAAGGGCAAAGCAGGTGGTGAGGGGCTGCCCTGGACTTTTCCAGGTTGGGGCTTTACCCAGACGAAGGGTGGGAGTCAGATCTGTTCTGGGAGAAGCAGACCCTGGTGGAGGCGTGGAAGACAGAGAGGAAAGAAACCAATAGCCACAGCTGCCACCTTAACAGTTTTTCACTCCCCCTCCTCCCCCATTTTCTCCCTCCTCCCACACCTCTCCCTCACCCCTCTCCCTGCTCCTTCCTTTCTTTCTCTCCCCTTTCCCTGCCCCCCCTTCACCCATTCTCTGCCTTCCGCATCTCTCTTCCTCATTCTTCTTTCCCCTTCTTTCGTCTCCCCCCTGCTCCTTTTACCCTCCCTTCCTCCACCCTCTGCCCTGTCTTCCTGCCCCGCTTCTGCCTCCTTAGGGGCATAATCCCCCTGGGAGGGGAGTAGAACCTGCTCCCTGACCTCCGGCAGCCACAGTCTCTGACAAGCTTATTTTGGCCAAAAGAAGATGCCCCCGCCGCCCCCATCCCCAGCCCTAGGAAGGGAGGCCCTGAGACAGGAGAGCCCGGGGTGGGCCAGGGTTGCTGCCAGCCAAGAAGGGCAGTGAGGATTGAGCTGACTTGCTTGTTATTATTTTTCTCCCCTGGGGGCCATCAGCATAGACTTCTGGGCTTGGAGTCTTTATAGATTCTCACTCCCTTGGCAACACAGCGCTCCTGTCCAACCTGGAGTATTTAATTACCAAGGAAAAGAATGATTTTTTTTTTCCCTGAGAATCCATTTAATTATTTGATTGCACAGTAACCAAAGAGTGTGAGAGGCCTGTAGCCAGAAGGGACTTCAAAGCATTACCTTGATGTTGCTGAGTGGGGCATTAATGGGTTCTGAAGGCAGGAGATTGCTAAAGAGAGGGAAAGTATTCAAAGCGCCTCGCAATCCTGCCAGCAATCTCGAAAAATGCATAAACACTGGAATGCTCCGTCGGAGAGGGAAGGAGAGTTCAAAGGGACTGGGAGAGTTTTCATGTAAAGTTTAGAGTTTAAGGCGTGACTGTTGGCTATGGAGACTCAGCGTTTGAACTCTTGTTTATTAAAAACAGTTTCCCAGCCATTCAGCGGGTTCCCAAAGACAAGAGAAATGCAGACTTTTGCAGGGAAGAAGGTTGAAAGGCTTCATTGATTCCTACCTAGGGTTTTCCCCGCCTGCTCTTTTGTGCTTGTTTGCTGTCTTTTCTTTTCTTTTTTAATTTATTATTATTTTTTTGATCAAGTTTTAAAAGTCCCACTATCAGAGGGAGGAGGCCGCAGAGAGAGGTCTCCTCCCCGAGCCCCACCCAGGAGAGCAGGTTGCCCTGCCCCGCTGTTGGCTGTTGTGCTGGGAGGCTGGGGACTGCGCTGGTGATGCTTCCACCTCCAGGTTCTTTAGAGGCAAAGGCTGTGGGCTGGATTCTGGGCCCAGCTCTGGCTTGCTCAGAGGGTCTCCTGGCTGTGGGGTTCTCCACTTCTCTCTGCTCTTCCTTGTTTGCCTGGGGTAATGGAGGCAGCTTAGGCTCTCCTACATACGCCCTCAGATGGGGCTCAGAGAAGGCCTTCAACTTTCCAGGTCTCATTTCCAAGCCCAGGGACACGGGCTGGTATCTTGTAGTGACCCAACACTGTTCCTAAAATCCCATTTGACAGATGGTTTAGCTGGGCGCAGTGGCTCACGCCTGTAATCCCAGCACTTTGGGAGGCCGAGGTGAGCAGATCACTTGCGGTCAGGAGTTCGAGACCAGCCTGGCCAACATGGTGAAACCCTATCTCTACTAAAAATACAAAAATTAGCCAAGCATGGTGGTGTGCACCTGTAATCCCAGCTACTTGGGAGGCTGAGGTGGGAGAATTGCTTGAACCTGGGAGGTGGAGGTTGCGGTGAGCCGAGATCATACCACTGCACTGCAGTCCAGGTGACAGAGTGAAACTCCATCTCAAAAAAAAAAAAAAAAAAAGGTGGTTTAAATAAAATCCATAGAGGAACCCTCAAGCCACAGAACTGTCTCTGGCTCCCAGCTCTCTCCCAAGCGTCAGCAAAAGCTGAGCCACACTTGGATATCTGGTTGAGCTCCTTGTTCCCCATATCAGGAAGAAGTCAACTTTGCCTCACAGGTCAGTCTGGCCCCCAGAAAATGAGAGACAGTTCAGGGCAGAGCCACTTCTCATGGGCAACTCTGGCCTCTGGGAAATGTTTCTCTCCATCCACCCTGACCTTGCCAGCTTGGAGAAGCAGCCAGGAAGTAAGGGGCAAGAAGCGCTGGGCAGGATGCCTCAGCCCTGCCTGGCACTCACGCTGGGGCCCTTAAGCAAAACGCCTCTGTCTTCTCCAGCTTGTTGCAGGATGACGAATATCTGAAGCACATCACACAGGGACTGTGGCCAAACCCTCCCTGAATTAGGGCTTCTCTGTCCTTCCTTTGAGAACGTGGCTAAGGTCTCACCCAACTCTATACTCTCATTCACCTTTATTCTATGTGAAGAACAGGTTTTTAAACTAAATATTTTGTTTTGTTTAACCAGAAGCCCCCAGGCTACATTACAATTTTTTATTAAAATACTGTATGGAACCTATCCAGGCTCCCCACCCACACCCCCTTGGCTTTTTTTCATGGGAAGATGGATCGTCAGGGCAATTCCAACTGTCTTCATGACATAAGAGGAAAAAAATCACCAATTTCAAACCACAACGTTCATGTTCACACCCACGTGCATTCTCTCTTCCATATGAATTTCACTTCTCTCTGAGTCAGAGGCAGTGATGTGCCGGCAAACACTTCACGCCTGGCTCTCCAGGGGAACAAGCCCTGATGTGTCACATTTGCCAATTTCCATGGTGTAAAGACTTCCACCATGGTCGATTTCCAACTACCAACTTGAGGTCACTAAACTGGGAGTTTGGAAGAGAAGACCACGATCAGCTCTCAGAAGCCAGTGTGAGCTCATTCCAACTCACGACTGAGAAGGACTCCAAAACTGGTGAGTTTCTGAGAGGATTCTGATAGAAGCTGCCTTCTCTTCACAGTACCCTCATTCCAAAAGACTGCATCCTAGCTAAAAGGCTAAATAGTCTTTTGGCTTTATTTATTTATTTATTTTTGAGACAGAGTCTCACTCTGTTGCCCAGGATGGAGGGCAGTGGCATGATCTCAGTTCACTGCAACCTCTGCCTCCCAGGTTCAAGCGATTCTCCTGCCTCAGCCTCCCGAGTAGCTGGGATTACAGGTGCGCACCACCACACCTGGCTAATTTTGTATTTTTAGTGGAGACCTGGTTTCACCATGTTGGCCAGGCTGGTTTTGAACTCCTGATCTCAGGTGATCTGCCCACCTCGGCCTCCCAAGGTGCTGGGTTTACAGGCGTGAGCCACTGTGCCTGGCCTTTTGGCTTTATTAAACCATCAATGGATGTAGAAATAAAAGCATAAAGAATGTGTCATTGAGGCACGGGTTATTAACACTCGTTTTATCCTTTCTTTGTACCAGGCACCATGCAAATAGCACATGTGCAAATGGCTGTGTGTGTCTCCATACACACACATGTGTATGTATGTAATAATATGATACTATAATACTATTGGCTGACAGGGAGGTTTCTTTGTTCTTGCTACTCTGTTGGTTCCACTCTCCTCAAATTCCTATTAGAAAACATGGATTCAATTTTGTGGGATGTGTGGGGTTTCCCAATTTCTGTACCTAAGGTCTCATCCAATAAAGAAAATAGCTTCACTACTGAGATGTTTGCTCAGGCTAATTTACAAGGTAGTTAACTGATGGATGGGAATGACAAAAAAAAAAAAAAGTATTTTGAAGTAGCATTCAGAGTAATTTTTCTTTCTTTTCTTTTTTTTTTTTTTTTTTTTGAGACAGAGTCTCACTCTGTCACCCAGGCTGGAGTGCAGTGGCACAATCTCGGCTCACTGCAAGCTCCGCCTCCCAGGTTCACACCATTCTCCTGTCTCAGCCTCCCGAGTAGCTGGGACTACAGGCACCCGCCACCATGCCCAGCTAATGTTATATTTTTGGTAGAGACAGGGTTTCTCCGTGTTTGTCAGTGTGATCTCGAACTCCTGATCTCAGATGATCCACCTGCCTCGGCCTTCCAAAGTGCTGGGATTACAGGCATGAGCCACCATGCCCGGCCAGGGTCATTTTTCTAAAAGTCAATTTTTCCAAGGTATAATTTGTGTAAAATGAAATGCTTCCCTTTTACCACAACCAAGACCTAAAACATTTTCTCCACTCACATGCCCCTTTGCGATCAACCCTCACTTTCCCACCCCCAGCCAGTGGCAATCACCAACCTTTTTTCTGTCACTATAGATTAGTTTTGTCCAGGGTTTCTCAGCCTTGGCACTATTGACATTTTGGGTCAGTAGTGGATAATTTGGATAATTCTTTGCTGTGGGGGTCTGTCATGTACATTAAAGGATGTTTAGCGCATCCCTGGCCTCCTTTCACCAGATGTCAGTAGCTTATCCCAACTCGTGACAACCAAAAATATTTCTAGACATTTCCAAATGTCCCTCGGAGGCCAAAATCATCCACTGTTAAGAAGTCTAGAATTTCCTATGAATGGATCATTTAGCACCTACTCTCTCATGTCTGGCTTCTTCTTCTTCTTCTTTTCTTTTCTTTTTTTTTTTTTTTTTTTGAGATGGAGTCTCACCCTGTTGCCCAGGCTGGAGTGCAAAGGCGCAATCTCAGCTCACTGCAACCTGCACCTGCTGGGTTCAAGTGATTCTCCTGCCTCAGCCTCCTGAGTAGCTGGGATTACAGGTTCACGCCACCACGCCCGGCTAATTTTTTGTATCTCTAGTAGAAATGAGGTTCACCATGTTGGCCAGGCTGGTCTCAAGCTCCTGACCTCATGATCTGCCCACCTCGGCCTCCCAAAGTGCTGGGATTACAGGCGCGAGCCACCGCCCCCAGCCTCATGTCTGGCTTCTTTTGCTCAGCATAGTTTTGGGATTTATTGTATACGTAAATAGTTTGTTTCTTTTTATTGCTGGTTATTAGTCCCTTGCATGATTATACCATACATAACATGTTTACCTGTTGATGGACATTTGGGTTGTTTCAAATTTGGGGATATTATGAGTAAGTCTACTACTTCAGACTTATTCATCCATTGGGATGTTCAGTGGGGCCAGGTGTGGTGGCTCACACCTGTAGTCCTAGCACTTCGGTAGGTTGAAGTGGGTGGATTGGTTGAGCTCAGGAGTTCAAGACCAGCCTGGGCAACGTGGCAAAGCCCCATCTCTACAAAAAATACAAAAGTTAGCTAGATGTGGTGTGGTCCATGCCTGTAGTCCCAGCTACTCGGGAGGCTGAGGTGGGAGAAAAACTCGGGCCTGGGGAAGTTGAGGCTGCAGTGAGCAGAGCGGAGAGTGTGCCATTGCATTCCAGCCTGGGGGACAGAGTGAGCCCGTCTTAAAAAAAAAAAAGAAGATTCTCAGTAAATGCCCAATAAGCATCTGTTTACAAGTCTGGATGGCCATATGTTTTCACTTCTCTTAAAAGTGAAATCATTGGTTTGTATGTAAGTATATGTCTATAAGAAACTGCCAAACTGTTTCCCAAAGTGATTGTATCATTTTATATTTCCACTAACAATATGTGCAAATGTATGAGATTCCCAGTTGTCCCACATCTGCTCTAAGGTTTGATAAATCTTTTTAATTTTAAACATTCTAGTGTCTATGTAGTGTAGTGCATCTCATTGCAGTTCTGTGATGACTAATGACATTGATCACCTTTTTGTGTGCTGTTGGTTGTTAGTATGTCTTCTTTTGGGAAATGTCTGACCACATCTTTTACTTATTTTAAAAATTGGGTCTTTATTTTATTTTTGAGGTATAAGAGTTCTTTGTATATCTTGGTACGTCTTTTGTCAGATATTTGTATTTCAATTTTTTACCAGTCTTTGTCTTTTATAATTATTTAATGATGTCTTCAAAGAGTGGATATTTTTAATTTTGATGAAGTCTGATTTATCCACCCATTTTTCTTCTTTTCCATAGTGCTTTCTGTATCCTTTCTAAAAAATCTTTGCCTGTGCCAAGATCAAAAAGATGTTTGCCTATTTTTCCTCCAGAATTCTTTGTGGTATTAGATTTTACAAAGTTTAGCTCTATGCTTGAAGTTGGGTTAATTTTTGTCTATGGTGTGAGGTAAGATTCAGGGTTCATTTTTTTCTCATGTGTATGTTCAGTTTTTCCAGGAGCATTTTTGAAAAGGCTATTCTTTCTGTGTGAAATTATTTTAGCACTCTCATTAAAAATCAATTGACCATATATGTGTGGATTTTTTTCTGGATTCTCTGGTCTGTTCCATTTATATATTGATCTGTCTTTATGCCAAATAGCACACTGTCTTGATTACTAGCTTCATAATAAGTTTTGACATCAGTTTAGATGTAAGTCATCCAACTTTATTCTTTAAAAAAATACTTGAAAATTCTGGGGTATCAGTTTATGTCCTTTGCATTTCCATATAAATGTTATCATCATCTTGTCTATTTCTACCAAAAAAAAAAAAAAAAAAAACCCTCTGGGATTTTGATTGGGACTGAGCTGAATCTATAGATCAATTTGGGCAAAACTAACATAGTGACACCACCAAGTGATATAGTTTGGCTCTGTGTCTCCACCCAAATCTCATCTCAAATTGTAGTCCCCACATGTCAAGGGAGGGACCTGGTGGAAAGTGATTGGATCATGGGGGTGGATTTCCCCCATGCTGTTCTCCTGATAGTGGGTTCTCACAAGATCTGATGGTTTAAAAGCATGACACTTTCTCTCTCCTTCTCTCCTGCCACCATGTAAGACATGCCTTGTTTCCCCTTTGCCTTCTGCCATTATTTATGTTTCCTGAGGCCTCCCCAGCCATGTGGAACTGTGAGTCAATTACGTCTCTTTTGTTTATAGATTACTCAGTCTCAGGTAGTGTCTTTATAGCAGTGTGAGAATGGACTAATACACCAAGTCTTGCAACCCATGAACACGACATATCTTACCATTTGGTTAAGTCTTCTTTAATTTCTCTTGGTAATTTTTTTTGTTTACCAAAATTATATTCATGTATATATTTTGGATATAGTTTGTTAAATTTATCCCTAGGTATTTATGGATTTTTAGATGTTATTATAAATGGTATTTTAAACGTTGTTTTTCAATTGTTCTATGCTAGCATACAGAAATATAATTGATTTATTTTGACCTTGTATCATATAACCTTGCTGAATTCACTTATTTCTGTTAGATTGTTAAGTTTCATAAAGATTGGCTATGTCTAAAATCATTTTCTGCACAAATGAGAACCTGTTAAAAATGTTAAATAAAAATTATGAGATTAAATACCCTTGCTCATTTCAGATCTCAGGTGAAAAGTATTCAGTCATTCATCATAAAGTTTGCTGCTGATGGTTTTTTGTAGATACTGTAGGTTAGGTTGAAGATGTGCCTATCTAATTCTAGCTTTCTGAGAATTTTTATTACGAATGCAAGTTGTACTTTATCAAATCCTTTTTATATATCTGTCAGGTTGACCACATGGCTTTTCTCCTTTATTGTTAATAGGATGATTTACATTAGATGATTATTAAATGTTAAATCATCCTGTGTTCCTGGGATGAACCCCACTTTGTCATGATGTATTATCTATTTTAATTTATTCTTGGTTCAAATTGCTAATACTTTGTTAAGGAATTTTCTGTTCATGTTCATGAGAAATATTGGTCTGTAGTTTTCTTTTCTTGTAATAGCTGTCTGGTTTTGGTATCAGGTTATGCTGACCTCATAGAATGAGTTGAGAAGAGATCTCACTTCTGTTTTCTGAAAGAATGCGAGAGAAGCTGGCATTAGATATCCTTAAATGTTTGATTGAACTTGCCAGTGTAGCCACCTGGCCTGGAGTTTTCTTTCAGGGAAAATTTTTAATTAGAAAATCAATTTCTTTAATAGATTAGGCCTGTTTCTGACTTCTTATTTCTTATTGGGCTAGATTTCGTGATTTTTCTCCTTCATGTAATTTGTCCATTTTATCTAAATTGTTGACTTTATTGACATAAAGTTGTTCATGCTATTTGCTTATTATCCTTTCATTATATGTAGGATTTCTAATGAAGTCTCTCTTTCATTCCTTATAATGATAATTTGTGTGTTCTGTCTTTTTTCCCTTGGCTAGTCTAGCTAGAGGTTTATAATTTTATTGATATTTTCTAAGAATTAGCGTTGGGTTCCATTGAGTTTTTAAACTATTAGTCTATGTTTTATTTCTTTGATTTCTGCTCTTATTTTTATTTTTATTTATTTATTTTTTGAGATGGCATTTCGCTCTTGTTGCCCAAGGTGGAGTACAATGGCGCAATCTCTGCACACTGCAACCTCCACCTCCCAGGTTCAAGTGATTCTCCTGCCTTAGTCTCCCAAGTAGCTGGGATTACAGGCGTGTGCACCACACCCGGCTAATTTTTTGTATTTTTAGTAGAAACAGGGTTTCACCATGTTAGCCAGGCTGGTCTCGAACTCCTGATCTCAGGTGATCTGCCCTCCTCAGCCTCCCAAAGTGCTGGGATTACAGGTGTGAGCCCCTGCGCCCAGCCTCTGCTCTTATTTTTATTGTTTCCTTCCTTTTGCTTACTTTGGATTTAATTTGGTTTTCTTTTACTAGTTTCTTACTATTTACTAGCTTAAATGTAGATTTTTTTTTTTTTGAGATGGAGTCTCGCTCTGTCACCCAGGCTGGAGTGCAATGGCGCAATCTCAGCTCACTGCAACGTCCGCCTCTAAGCCATTCTACTGCCTCAGCTTTCCAAGTAGCTGGGATTACAGGCATGTGCCACGATGCTTGTCTAATTTTTGTATTTTTAGTAGAGACAGGGTTTCTCCATGTTGGCCAGACTGGTCTTGAACTCCTGACCTCAGATGATCCACCTGCCTCAGTCTTTCAAAGTATTGGGATTACAGGCGTGAGCCACTGTGCCCGGCTTTAAATGTTGATTTTAGATCTTTCTTCTTTTCTATTATAAGCATCACTGCTTTAGATGCATCCTCCAAATTTTGATATGTTGTATTTTCATTATCATTTAGTTCAAAATATTTTCTGATTTCCCATGTGAGTTCTTTTATGATCTATATGCTATTTAAATGTATTTTGTTTAGTTTCACATTAGTTCAGGGTTTTTCAAACATATTTTTCTCTTTTTAAAATTTTAACTTTTTTGTAGTCAGCAAATATAATCTATGATTTCAACTCATATATATTGGAAGTTGTTTTATGGTATAGCAAACTGTCTGTCTTGAATGTTCCATGTTCATTTGAAAAGAACATGTCTTCTCCTGATGCTCAATGGAGTGTTCTATTCATGTCAATTAGGCCAGTTAGGTTAGCAGGGTGGTTGAAGTCTTCTATATCTTTACTAATTTTCTCTCTGTTTGCTCTATCAGTTCTGAGAAGAGGTTTAAAATCTCTAGGTAGGGCCGGGCGCGGTGGCTCATGCCTGTAATCCCAGCACTTTGGGAGGCCGAGGCGGGTGGATCACGAGGTCAGGAGATCTAGACCATCCTGGCTAACACGGTGAAACCCCATCTCTACTAAAAATACGAAAAATTAGCCGGGCGTGGTGGTGTGCGCCTGTAGTCCCAGCTACTCGGGAGGCTGAGGCAGGAGAATGGCATGAAC
This sequence comes from Homo sapiens, assembly GCF_000001405.40. Lineage (NCBI taxonomy): Eukaryota > Metazoa > Chordata > Mammalia > Primates > Hominidae > Homo > Homo sapiens. The sequence continues at coordinate 65,507,366 of NC_000017.11, read as the reverse complement.
CCGGGAGGCGGAGCTTGCAGTGAGCTGAGATTGCGCCACTGCACTCCAGCCCAGGCGACAGAGCAAGACTCCGTCTCAAAAAAAAAAAAAATCTCTAGGTAGATTTGAAGATTTTTTCATTTTGCCTTTAAATTCTGTCAGTTGATATTTTATGCATTTTGAAGCTCTGTCTTTATGTGCATATACATTTCTGATTGATATATCTTTTTGAAGTTTTATTTTAAAAAATCTTCTAATGGATGTATAATCGGTGTACATATGAATTAACTCTTAAATCATTAAGAAATATCTGCTGGGCGTGGTGGCTCACACCTGTAATCCCAGAACTTTGGGAGGCTGAGTAGGTGTATTGCTTGAGCCTAGGAGGTCAAGATCAACCTGGGCAACATGGTGAAACCCTCTATCTATAAAAAATTATAGAACTATACCAACCCCCCCCCCAATTATGCAAAATTACAAAATTATACAAAAAAAAAATACAAAAATTAGCCAGGCATGGTGACATGTGCCTGTAATCCCAGTTACTAGGGAGACTGAGGTGGGAGAAGTGCTTGAGCCAGGGAGGCCGAGGCTTCAGTGAACTGTGATTGCAGCACTGCACCCCAGCCTGGGTGACAGAGGATGACCCTGTATCAAAAAAAAAAAAAAAAAAAAGAAAAGAAAAGGAAAAAAAGAAGTATCCCTCTTTGTCTCTTATCTTCTTTGTTCTGAAGTTAATTTTGTTCAATTGGCAGCTTTCTCATTCATGTTATATCTTTTTCCATCCTTTTTACTTATCTGTGTCTTATGATGTAAGGTGTGTCTTTGTAGAAAACAAAAAGTTGGCTCTTGCTGTTTTTTTTCCAGGGGGGAAGAAATCTAGGTCTCTGACTTTTAATTAGAGTATTTAGACCACTTACATTTCATGTAATTATCAACGTGATTGGGTTTAAGTCCCTACCATCTTGCTACTTTTTTTCCATTTGCCACTTATTCTTTTTTCTTCTCTAATTTCTCATAGCTTACCTTCAAAGAGTTTTAGGGCCTTGCTGTACAAGTCACCACAGTTGCTGATTTACTAGATGTGAGGGTGAATGGGAAAGCATTGTATCAAGGACGCTTTGGTTCTAAGATTTGAGGGTGGATGACTGGGACAATAACTGGTAGTTGTGTGAGGGCCAACAGTGCTGTGCTGAAGCTGGCTCATTCTGGCTCTGGAGAGCCGATTCTGCGTATCTCTTCCTGTCTGTGTTCAGCAGTGTTATGGCAGAAGCTTTAAATAAGCCATGGTGGAGATTGGTAAATGTTATAAATTGGGGCTTTTTTATTTTTTCTTTAAGAGAGTTGGTTTACCAGCATACCACTGGTATCAGGAAGGTTTGCTTCTAGGAACCCCTTGGAGGAAGGCTCCGTCAGTTTGTTTTCACAGCACAATGCCTAGTAACATGTTTATTGCATTCCACTGAATTAAATGGAAAAATAATGAGTGTCCTTTGAGACCTTGAGTTTCAGGAATCAGAAATGCATGGTTTGAGATTCAGAGAAAAGTTGGAGCTGCAGATTTGGTTCTGCATGCCCTCTGAACTTCGAGGTAGAGATACAATTTCAGGGAGAATGAAGAACTGGAATAAAGGGGATAGGCCTGAGAGGTAGGGAGAAATCAGGACAAAACAGGGCAAAAATTTTATGCTAAACTGTATGGGGTTTGGTCAACAGCATTTAATGGGACAGAAGTCCCCTTTCTTAGAGAGGACTAAGAAAAGACCAATAAGCAGGAATTTTTTTTTTTTTTTGAGATAGAGTTTTGCTCTTATTGCCCAGGCTGGAGTGCACTGGCATGATCTCGGCTCACCGCAACCTCTGCCTCCCAGGTACAAGCGATCCTCCTGTCTCAGCCTCTCAAGTAGCTTGGATTACAGGCATACACCACCACACCTATTTTTTTTTTTTTTTTTTTTTTTTTTTAGTAGAGACTGGGTTTCACCATGTTAGTCAGGCTGGTCGTGAACTCCTGACCTCAGGTGATCCACTCGCCTCAGCCTCTCAAATTGTTGGGATTACAGGTGTGCACCACCACACCCGGCAATAAGCAGGATTTTTAAGAGGTTGTTGGTGACTTTTGAAAATCTGTTCAGCAGGGAGAGAGAGACACACACACACACACACACACACACACACAAACAGAGAGAGAGGAGAGAGACAGAGAGAGAGGTCTGAGACAAAGGCTAATTGCTAGGCTTTTGTAGGAGGGAAATGGTGAGGAAAATGAAGCAGATAATGTCATGAGCCTTTTTTCTTTTTCTTTTTTGAGACGGGATCTCTGACAACTAGGCTGGAGTGCAGTGGTGCAATCACGGCTCATTGCAGCCTCGACCTCCTGGGCTCAGACGATCCTCCCACCTCAGCCTCCCTAGTAGCTGGGACTACAGGCATGTGCCACCATGCCTGACTAATTTTCGTATTTTTTTTTTGCAGAGATGGGGTCTTGCTATGTTGCCCAGGCTGGTCTCAAACTCCAGGGCTCAAGTAATCAGCCTGCCTCAGCCTCCCAAAGTGCTAGGATTACAGGTGTGAACCACCGCGCCTGACTGTCATGAGCCTTTTGAGAACCTGTCAGTGAAAGTGGGTGAGGGAGGCAGTGGAGAAGCTGTGAGCCTGGAGAGAGGGAGGGGCTCCACTTAGAGGGTGGAGCCAGGTAGTGGTGCAAGTGAGAGGGATGCGGGCAGCTTTCATCAAAATGGGGGGTGGGGCATAGAACAGATACAGTAGACCCCCTTTTTCCCCCAAAGTGTGATCCATGGACCAGCAACATCAGGGTCATCTAGGATCTATTTAGCAACACAATCTCAGTCCCTCCCCCGTACATACTGCATCAAGACCTGCAGTTTAACACGATCCTCAGTGCTTCTCAAATGTGCTCATGAACCAGCTGGGGACGTTGCCATGCGGCTGAATCTGGTCCCTGGCAGAGCAGGGGCCTAGACTGTATAGGGCCACGCTTAGGCTTTCAGTTTCTGGCATTCAACGATGGCATGTGCTATGGTTTGGATAGGGTTTGTTTGTCCCCGCCAAAACTCTTGTTGAAATTTGATCTCCAATGTGGTGGTGTTGGAGGTGGGCCTGGCAGGAGGTGCTTGGGTCATGGGGGTGGGTCTCTCATGACTGGCTTGGTGCTGTTCTCCTGGTCGTGAGTGAGATCTTGCTCTGGCGAGACTGGATTAGTTCTTGAGGGGATGGATTATTTCCCACAAGCGTGGGTTGTTATACAGCCAGAAACTCCTGGTACAAAACCCAGTACCCACTGTGCTTTGGCCACAAGTTTGTTGTTGGTTTCAGGCTCTCAGATGGTGGGGTCTGTGGTTCTCCTGGCCTCCATCCCCAGGCTTTCCCTGCATCCTCTCTGCTGGGCCAGCTCCCTAAATGCTTCAGCACACCAGCATCCCAGGTGGGGCTTAGCATAAAAAGCCACCCTGAAGACATGAAGGAATCTACTTCAGGGAGTCCCCTCCGTTTCCTTGGAGCTTCCTCAGACAAAGGGTTCCTGCTCTCCAGGCTCCTGGGCTCTTCATCTTGGCTCCCTCTCCCCGCTTTGCCCTCCAGGGTTTGTACGGAGCTCCGGTCTGGGAGCCTTGGGAGTCTCCTGGTGGACACCCCAGTCTCTGTCTCTGGGCCCCACTCCAGCTCCGCGGGCAGGAGCAGTGGCCCTCCTGCAGTCGCCCGGGCCCTCTGGGTGGGCTCGGAGGTCAGACTGAGACTCTGCTGCAAACAAATAGAATGCTAAACAACAAAATAAATATAAGGAAATGAGCAGTTTTGGATTTCTTCCTATTTCAAAGCTTTTGGGAAATATAGCAAAATTACTTTTTAGGACCCTGCTTTGTAGGTGACTGTAAAGCACATGCTTCGACTGTCATTGAGAATTCCAGTATTGCAGATGCCACCTTCTCAATCTCCCCCTGCCCCCAAGCTCCATCACTACCACCGCCGCCACCACCACAATCAACTTTCTCAATTGCACAGATGACCTATATATTTGTCTATCCTGTGCTCCCTTCCTGGGGAAACCTCCTTGCCGGACTCCAGGTGACTCTGATGAGCTGTCAATCATAGAGCCCTACCTTTCCTGCCAAAGGACTGGACAAAAGATCTACGCAGAGCACTCAAGGACTCTCTTCTCTTGGCCATTTCCTTCAGCCTGTTTTTTATAAACCACATTTCCTTTGTTTCCCAGCTTCCTTCCACAATATTATATTGTGAATATTTCTGTGTATTCATATTCTTTGAAATTTTATATATATACATATATATATATATATATATATTTTTTTTTTTTTGAGACGGAGTCTCACTCTGTCATCCAGTCTGGAGTGCAGTGGCATGATCTTGGCTCACTGCAACCTCTGCCTCCCAGGTTCAAGCTATTCTCCTGCCTCAGCCTCCCGCGTAGCTGGGATTACAGGCACCCGCCACCGTGCCCAGCTATTTTTTCTATTTTTTAGTAGAGACGGGGTTTCACCATATTGGCCAGGCTGGTCTTGAACTCCTAACTTAGTAATCCACCCGCCTCGGCCTCCCAAACTGTTGGGATTACAGGTGTGAGCCACTGCACCTGGTGAAATTATGATTTTTATTGCTGTACAGCATTCTATCTATTTATGCCAAACTATATTAAACCAAGTCCCTATTTGCAGACATTTAGGCTGTTCTTTTTTTTCTTTCCTTTTTTTTTTTTTTTTTTTTGAGACAGAGTCTTGCTCTGTCACCCAGGCTGGAGTGCAGTGGCACCATCTTGGCTCACTGCCATCTCTGCCTCCCAGGTTCAAGCGATTATCCTGCCTCAGCATTTAGGTTGTTTTTTTTTTTTTTTTTTTTTTTGAGACGGAGTCTTGCTCTGTCACCCAGGCTGGAGTGCAGTGATGTGATCTTGGCTCACTGGAACCTCTGTCTCCCGGGTTCAAGCGATTCTCCTGCCTCAGCCTCCTGAGTAGCTGGGATTATAGGCGCACACCACCACGCCCAGCTGATTTTTGTAATTTTAGTAGAGACAGAGTTTCACCATGTTGGTCAGGCTGGTCTCGAACTCCTGACCTTGTGATCCACCCACCTCGGCCTCCCAAAGTGCTGGGATTACAGGTGTGAGCCACCACGCCCGGCCTAGGTTGTTCTTAATTTAAAAATTATTATGAAGAACGCTTTGACTAACATCTTTATATGCAATTCTTTGTATACACTTCTAGTTATTTTTTTTTGAGATGGAGTCTCGCTCTGTCGCCAGGCTAGAGTGCTATGGCGCAATCTCGGCTCACTGCCACCTCCAACTGCCTGGTTCAGGGGATTCTCCTGCCTCCGCCTCCTGAGTAGCTGGGATTACAGCCACGTGCCACCATGCCTGGCTAATTTTTGCATTTTTAGTAGACATGGGGTTTCACCATGTTGGCCAGGATGGTCCCGATCTCCTGACCTCGTGATCCGCCTGCCTCGGCCTCCCAAAGTGCTGGGATTACAGGAGTGAGCCACCGCGCCCAGCCACTTCTAGTTATTTTCTTAAGAGACATTCCTAAGAGTGAACGTGAGTAAATCATATAAAAGTTTTAATTCATACTGGCAAACTGCCCCCAGAAATGTTACATAGCTTTATGTTTTCAGTAGGTTTGAATCAGAGTTTCTGTTTCCCGTAATCTTACCAACATTAAGCATTTATTTTTAATCATTGACAATAAGCTAAGTGGGAAAAAAAAGGAATTTTACTGTTATTTTAGTTTGTATTTATTTTATTACTCAAAGGATATACTTTTTATATCTGTATGTCTTTATTTGTAAATTGCATATTTACGTGCATTGAACTTTTTAGCTGGGATTTTCCTTTTTTATTAATTTGTAAAAGCTGTTTATATATTAAAGATATTAATTTTGTTATATATATTTCAAATACTTTGTTTTTTAACCTATAAAATTATATATAGTTTCTTTTTAATCTATAGAAATTGTTTTTCAGCTGGGCACTGTGGCTCATGCCTGCCACCACTTTGGGAGGCCAAGGCAGGTGAATCACCAGCCTGGCCAACATAGTGAAACCCTGTCTCTACTAAAGATAGGAAAATTAGCCAGGTGTGGTGGTGGGCGCCTGTAATCCCAGCTACTAGGGAGGCTGAGGCAAGAGAATTGCCAGAACTCAGGAAGTGGAGGTTGCAGTCAGCCAAGATTGCGCCACTGCACTCCAGCCTGGGTGACAGAGCAAGACTCCATCACAAAAAAAAAAAAAAAAAAGTTTTTTTAACATAGAGAAATACATTTTTTAAATGTATTCAAATCTATCACTCTTTCCATTATATGTTCTTAATATGTGTGTGCTTAGAAGTGCTTCCCTACTTAAGCTCATAACTATTTTCTTCTGTTTCTCATAATTTTAAAAAAATTATGAATTTAGCCATTTCTTTTATTCCCTTATCTGCCTTTTTCTAGGTGCTCCATTTTCTCAGTTGGTGTCTGCCTCCAGGACTATACATTCTTAAAACAACTGGGATACTAGCTCCTTTGCAAATTGGACCAAAATCTTCAAAGGAAAGAGAAAGGAAGACTGTCTGCTTATCAAAGCAGTCACTGGGAAAAGTGGGGTATCTCAAATCTCTTCCATCTCAAGGCCGACTCATCCCAACTTCTGGTTGTACTTCCTCTATGGAAAGATAAAGGAAAAATCTCTGAACCATCTCTGTTCACCTTAGGGATGGTGGTCTTCAAAGATGGCAGCCCAAGAAGGTCGGGGATGGCCACTGTTACCAGGTCTCAAACCAGTAACCAGAAGTGGATTTGTTCTCCACAGGCACCTCCTTGTTTCCAGCCCTCCTCAGTCATTGCTGAATGACCCAGAGCCAGGGCCCAGGGTACACTCAACACCATACATACACTCTTGAGAGTACGCAGGGAAGAGAGAGCTAACATGTTTTAAACACTGTGTGCCAGACCTCAATATATACATGTAGCTTTATTTTCACCCTACCACCACCCTACACCCCCCTACCACTATCTTTCCACCACCCTACACCACCCTACCGTCACCCTACACCACCTTACCACCACTCTACCACCACTGTACCACCACCCTGCCACCCTAAAACTACCTTACCACCACCCTACCACCCTACAACCACCCTACACCACAGTACCACCACCCTACACCACCATACCACCACCATAACACCACCCTACCACTCTAAAACTACCCTACCACCCCCATACCACCCTACAACCACCCTTCCACCACCCTACCACCACCCTACATCACCCTACAACCACCCTTCCACCACCCTATCACACTATCCTTCCACCACCCTACCACTCTACACCACCCTATACCATCTTACCACCACCTGACCACCACTGTACACCACCCTACAACCACCTTACCACCACCCTACACCATCCTACCACCACCCTACCACCACCCTACAACCATAGTGGTCAGCAGTATTCAAGGCTCCTGAGATATTGGACAAGAAGAGTGGACATGTCCATGAGACTCAGGTTTGGGAAGCCATTAGACAGAACTCCATGGGAAGGAGCCCCTGTGAACAACTGATGTGGGAGAAGATGTAGGGTCCTGGCATGTTGACCGTAAAGAAGAATGGAGATGGATGAAGGCAAATGCAGAGGGCACAGTTAGGAGCAAACCATTCAAACCGCTGGAGTGAGGAGGGGTGGTGGCCAGTTGCCTATGGTAAAGCTTGGAGAGGTGAACTTTTTCTTGACTGCTGCCCAACATCTCCTACCTCTGAGACTGGAGAAAGCAAAAAAAAAAAAAAAAAAAAAAAAAAAATGGAACAAAATCCCCCTTCCACTGCCCTTCCCACTCCCATATTCCCAATTCTAGTCCAAGTGCCACCTATCCTCCCAACCCCTACTATGAGGAGATTCATCACCACTTCAGGCAAGCTATGTTTCCACCTGCTTGGAAGAGCACTCCCGGAGGAGCCGGGTTAGGGAGCAGGAGGCTGGGGATATCTTGGCACTGACCAGATGAGGGATTCCTACTAACCAGTCAAATTTAAGCTGGTTTCCCTCCAGGGGAGAGAGGGCTGGGCTGGGGGCTGGGGCTCACTGTCTGTGATCCTGACACAGTGGAGGGACGCTGAGGGGGTGCTGGTGGTTTTTATTCCCTGCGGCATCTCATCTCACTGCAAGCACCCTCCTGAGGGTTGGGAGGAGGGTGGGCAGGAGGTGAGATACTGCCTTTGGAGGGCACCAGCTGGCAGCCCTGATCCGAGGCTCCGTCCCTTACACATGTGGCAGTCCAGGCTCCCAATCTAGATCTTAGTAGCCCAGGGGCCAGAGAGCTGAGCAGCCTCTTGTTAAACCTCAAAGACTTCTTTGTTCTATAGCTGAGGACCAAAAATTCAGGGCAGCGTCTCTTGACTGGTTGCTTGGAGGTTGCTGGGAGAATCCTTCAGTGAGAGGAAAAAGAGGTTTGGACCAAGATCACAAAAAGAAGCCAGTTCTTTTCTGCTTTCTGTTCCTCGCCTGGAGAGAGGCTCTGGCCACTTCCATTTTCTTTCTTTCTTTTTGAAATGAAGGAACAGAGCTTCAAGTTTTCCTTTGCACAACAGCCCCCAGGAGCTTTAAAACCTACTGATGCCTCAGCCCCACCTTCAGAGATTCGGACTTAATTGGGATGGAGTGGGACTTCCCAGGGTATTCTAATATGCCACCGAAGTTGAGGACCACTGGCTTGTCACTGTGCTATCTTTTCCATGTTTACCTCTAACAATGATCATGGATCCTTTCCTCCCTGGCTGAGTGTATACAGCCTCACTCAGAGACTGGAAACCTACACCGAGGCCTTTTTTGTTTGTGTTTTCAATGTGTTCATTTTATTTATTTATTTGAAGATACTGCTTTTTATTACAAAATCAACAGTTAAAGCACAGTTTGGGAAAGCTAACTGGTAACGGTGGGTGAGAATCTCCATAAGTATTACAAACAAAGTATGAACAAACGTCATTAAAAATAATCCCAGCACTTTGGGAGGCCAAGGGGGAAGGATCGCTTGAGCCAGGAGTTTAAGATCAGCCTGAGCAAAATAGCAAGACCCCCATCTCTAAAAAAATTTTTTTTTGTTATTAGTCATTTCAACTTTCTTTTTTATTTTTAATTTTTACTTTAGGTTCAAGGGTACTGGGACAGGTGCAGGTAAACTGCATGTCACAGGGGTTTGGTGTGCAGATTATTTTGCCACCCAGGTAATAAACATAGTTGTTTTTCATTCCTCACTTTCCTTCCATTCTCTACCCTCAATAGGCCTCGGTGCCTGTTCCCTTCTTGGTGCCCATATGTACTCATACATTTGAGGCTTTTAATCCGTGGGTCTCTTGACCCACTCTGAAGCAGATCATTTTTTTTTTTTCTGTAATCAGGACCAGCCAATGCAGAGCCTGAGGAGAGAGGATACAAATACTATGAAAACCTCTTCTGCCTCTGAGTTGATGGTTTTCTCTCCCCACCCCATCACAAACCCTGATTATCCTGGAGCTTAGTTCCTCTAGCAAAGCTTCCTCTAACCAGCCCAAATCCCCTTCCTCTCCCACTTTCCTTCCCCTGGGATCTCTCTGCCCTTTGAAAGCAGAAAAACTTTACTGGGGTTTGCAATCACCACCCCACTAGAAACATAAACCTCTCTGGGACAGAATGGCCTATTAGCCTCCTCTGAATTTCCTGCCTTTCCCGTGACAGTTGCTAAATAAACATTCTTTGTGTAGTGGATTCTGTGAGGCCACTTCTCCTGGGGCCCTCTGAGCCTCAGTTTCCTCATCTACAAAATGGGGATAATATTCACCTTGGGCCAGGTACACTGGCTCACGCCTGTAATCCCAGCACTTTGGGAGGCTGAGGGGGGTGGATCACTTGAGGTCAGGAGTTCAAGACCAGCCTGGCCAACATAGTGGAACCCCATCTCTACCAAAAATACAAAAATTAATTGGGCGCAGTGGCACACGCCTGTAGTCCCAGCTACTCAGGAGGCTGAGGCAGGAGAATAGCTCGAACCTGTAAGGCAAAGGTTGCAGTGAGCCGAGATTGCACTACTGCACTCCAGCCTGGATGATAGAGTGAGACTCCGTCTCGGGAAAAAAAAAAAAAAAAAAAATTACCTCCATGAGTTAATGTGTTGATGAAATAAAATGAATAGAACACTTTTCCTGTATCTGGCCATGCTCTAAGTGTGTTATTTGTCTTAACCCGTTGGGTCCTCACAGAACCCTAAGAGGCAGGTCCCCATGTGACGGCCAGGAAGCAGAAACACAGCAGGGTTTGGTAACTAGTCTAGGGTCCCAGGACTGAACCTGGCCAGTGGGACACGGAGCCTGCCCTGCCTTTCTGGGTGGGCTTGATGGAATAGACGAAGCCCCCAATGCACCCGCCATGCCCTCCTCAACATCGCTGGAGCTCCCCCCCGCTCCCCAGGGGCCCACCCTGCACGGTGTTTTCCCAGTGGCTGGCTGCTAACCATTGCCTCCCCCTCATTCCTGCCTTTCTGGAAGGTCCAGCGAGCCTTGCTTTTCTCTTCTGAGAAGGTCCCTCAAGGCATCTCTCAGCAACTCACCTCTGAGAGGAATCCTGCCTCCCGCCTGGAAGGCAGGTGTTGCCATCAATGTTGGGTCTGAAAACCATTGTCCTCTTCCTGCTAAGCATGGAAGGTCCCCCACAGAAAGTTGACAATAATTGCAATTTTCCTTCCTTAGGAATGGGGTTTGTCTCTGGGGGAGGGCCCAGTCCTCCCTCCTCCTGCGCCCCTCCCACCCCCACCCCACTTTTTGCCTTCTCTCTTCCATTTAGAAATGTTGATGGAAAAACTTTGATTAGTAGGACTCCAGCCACAGGATAAACAGGCCCTGGAGGACTCATAACCTGGTCTCCATAGAACAGCCACACCTAGGGTGATCAGTGGGGAACAGAGGCGCTTGCAATCTGCAACAGTTACACATGAGAAATTCAGGGAGGAGGCAGGGCGTGGTGGCTCACGCCTGTAATCCCAGCACTTTGGGAGGCCAAGGCAGGCGGATCACTTGAGGTCAGGAGTTCGAGACCAACTTGGCCAGTATGGTGAAAACCTGTCTCTAAAAATACAAAAATTAGCCAGGTGTGGTGGCATGTGTCTGTAATCCCAGCTACTCGGGAGGCTGAGGCAGGAGAATTGCTTGAACCTGGGAGGTGGAGGTTGCAGTGAGCCAAGATCGCGCCACTGCACTCCAGCCTGGGCGACAGCGGGAGACTCTGTCTAAAACAAAACAAACAAAAAACCCCAGCAGAAACAAACAAACAAACAAACAAAAAAGGGAAGAAGTAAAAAATAAAATTAAAAAAAAAAAGAAATTCAGAGACATAGAGGTAGGTGGTCACAACTGTAGGAAGAACAGGGGGGCAGGAGAATGGGCATCAGGCTTAGCAAGGTGTATGGCCCAGGCCTGGAGGTGCGGAGTTGCTAAAGACATTCCAGAGCTGCAAGTTTGCTGGAGCGGGGACCTGGGCTGGGTAGAGCTAATGAGGCAAGGAAGGAGAGTAGGTCAGGCTCTGCCTGACTTGGAGGACATTAATGCCTCCATCCAGCAGACTGCGTTTTCAAAATGAGTTTGGAAACCTTCAGTGAATCGTGACGCTAATATAAAAGGCTGCAATCAGCATTAAAAAAAAAAAAAAAAAAAGAGTAGAAAATGTGAATGCATCGCACATAACAGCGGCAAGAGTTGTTTTGTGAGTTTTTTTTGAGCTTGATATGTATGGATGTCTGTAGGTGTTGGCTGGGTCCCCACGGAAGATGCCTGTCTTACCGAGGGTTGCCGCAGTTGGAGGCTCGCTGCCGAGAATCACGGCCCAGTGGAGAAGGGTTCAGGGAATGCTCTTGCGGCTCCTTGGTCCATCTTGTGGCTGCTCGGCCTGGGTGCGGAGAAGGGGAGGGGCCCCGCCTCGCCCCGCACCTGTGGGCTGCTGGCATTTCCTGAGGCTGCTGGTTGTTTGAAGGCTTAACTGCAACCTGCTGTGAAGCAGCTCTTGCTGAGTGCAAAGCATTTTTGAGGGAGTGGGGGTGGGGGTGTGGACTCTGCTTAATTAAAACAGGGAGAGGTTGACATGAGGGACCTTTAGTGGTTTTTGATCTCTCTCTCTTGCTCTGCCCGCTTTCTAACTTGAGGGGGAAAGAAAGCTTTTTCCTACTCTTTCTTCTTCAACCTCTCCTCTTTCACAGACCTGGCAGGTGCGCTGGGCGTTCTGCCCTCCCTGAGGCCCCTCCTTCTCCATCTTGAAAGGGCTGCATTCTGGGGGCAGTTTATACACACGGTGTTGTTGCTTGGGGGGATTAACCATTCACCCGTGAAATGACCTTGACCTTCTGAAGAGTCTTGACCTTCTAAAGGGTTTCAAAAATACATATATAACATATAAAATATAACATAGAAAAATATATATTATATACTATATGTCATATATATAACATATAATTATAAACGTATTATATGTAATTTTATATATAATTATATATGTATATGTAATTTTATGTATAATTATAAATGTATATGTAATTTTATATATATTATTATATATATCTGGTTTCCCTACCAAACAACATAAAAATATCTCATTGCAAATCTGGAAAACCTCTGTCCCTTGGCAAAAGCACTGTGTCTTGGAAGATACATAGGTGTTGGGACAAGCAGGTCCTGGGACAAGCAGGTCCAGGTTCAAGTCCTGGCCCAGTCATTTATTAGCTATGTGGCCTTAGAAGTTGAACTTCCCTGAGCCTCTCTTTTCTCACTGGCAAGATAATTTGTTGTGAGGAAGTATGAGATGAAACCTATCCAAAGTCAAGCATGTGCTTGCTGAGATAATTCAGTTGTGCTCAAACAGACTGTGTTGGGATGGTAGACATTATGGTTCATATCTCTCAAAATCTAATGCCTATCAATAGTCACAGAAGGTTGGAGCCAAGGAGCAAACCATCCACCCAAGTCCCTTTATTTTGCACATGGGGAAACTAAGGTCTTGAGACATTAAGCAATTTGCCAGCACCATGTGACAAACAGGTCAAGTATATTACAGTTGTATTAAGGCCTCTGTGTTGCATTTATAACTACTCTCTCTAGAGAGTGGCTTTTAGAATATCAGAAAGATGCATTCTTCCCCACACCCCCTTAATTCTCAGGAACACACTTACTGTGTTTTCACAATAAGTTGTGTGGGATCAGCTGACCAACTGGTAATGAGGGCTTGAGACAGAGCCTGTTCTCCAAGCCCTTCCATTTCTATACTTTTTTTTGCGAGCCAGAGTCTTGCTCTGTTGCCCAGGCTGGAGTGCAGTGGCGACAGAGCGAGACTCTGGCTCAAAAAAAAAAAAAGTATAGAAATGGAAGGGATTGGGGAACAGGCTCTTCCTCCCAGGTTCAAGTGACCTTCCTGCCACAGCCTCCTGAGTAGCTGGGACTACAGGTTTGTGCTACCATGCCCAGCTAATTTTTGTATTTTTAGTAGAGATGGGGTTTCACCATGTTGGCCAGCCTGGTCTTGAATTCTTGACCTCAGGTGATCCACCTGCCTTGACCTCCCAAGGTCCATTTCTATACCTTTGATTTTATTCCAGCAAACCAGTGGCAGGCAGAGTAGCTTGTGTCAGCGCCATACCTATTTTTCAGAGCGGGAAACTGAAGCTCAGAGGATTAAGTGACCAGTGCCAAGTTCATAGAGCTAGAAGTGGTAGTTATGCGGGTTCCATCTGAGTGCCTCCCACTGATAGCTATCAATGGGGCAGATACCCTATTACCAGGGAGAGAGCAGCCATCAGTTCAACACTTAAGAACAGACATACAAGCAGTGGTTCAACCTTGGAATCTGCTGGCTGGTGATGAGTATCAAAGTATCCAGTGAAAAGCACCTGTTAGTGATGCATATCTTCCATTAACCCCAGCACAAGTCAACTAAACAAGGAACCTCTGAGAGGCACCAACTTGGATAGAATGAAACCAGCAAGTTCACCTGACTTTTTGTCATATCTTTTTTTTTTTTTGAGATGGAGTTTTGCTCTCGTTGCCCAGGCTGGAGTGCAATGGTGTGATCTCAGCTCACTGCAACCTCTGCCTCCCGGGTTCCAGCGATTCTCCTGCTCAGCCTCCCGAGTAGCTGAGATTACAGGTGTGTGCCACCACGCCCAGCTAATTTTTTTGTATTATTAGTAGAAATGGGGTTTCGCCATGTTGGCCAGGCTAGTCTTGAACTCCTGACCTCAAGTGATCCACCCGCTTTGGCCTCCCAAAGTGCTGGGATTAAAGGCGTGAGACACTGCGCCCGGACTTGTCACATCCTTTTAGGCTGCAATGAGATGCATGAAGTTAAACTCATCAATCACTCCTGTCTACATGCGGCCCAGAGCTAGGTCCTCAGCCCTTTCTTCACGCAGTGAATGTGTGTTCAGGAATTGCCCCTGTGTGGAACTGGGCTTACTCCCTTGCTCAGGGGCTGAGGACAATGCCTGGAGCCATTCCTTCATGCCTGCGTGAACTCTAAGGTGCATTTAAGGATTCAAGAAAATAGATCCTAATGTGAATCAGGCCTAGGTGCTCTGGGCACACTAGGCCTGTCTGTTCTCCAGCCTTTAGGTCTGGTTTCCATGGTAACCCATAATGAACCACAACCCGAGCTTGGTTTCCCAAAGTCTTCTAGAGCCAACTACCTTGTAATTATTGAGAATTCCTCAAGGGCCAGGCACCTTGGTATGTGCGATCATAAATTATCTCATGTATAATTCTCACAACACTGTCACCCCATTTGGTACATGAGGACCTGAGGTTCAGAGAGGTTAAGCCACCTGATCAAGTTTCACACAGCTGACAGGTGATCACGCAAGGTAGTTGAGGGGGGTGACTCTGGCAACCTCATGACAAAGGGTCATGAGAAAGGCATCCTCCTATAGTTGATAGGCTGGCAGTGGCTCAGAGGCAACTAGGGATGTGTGATGGGGAAGGGAATGGGGCTTTGTTGGTTGGATCTACAAGGCCCATCAGGAGCCATTGTCTAAGGAAGGCATTTGCGGGAGAATAGAGTGAAGGTCCACCCTTACACTTTCCCTCACCCCACCCCCTCTCACACCCAACCCTCTCCATTCTCCATTGTTAGTCAACATGATTCTTGCTCTTATCCTGGAAGACCCCTTGCTGTCCTGTGGGCACCTGGTCATGCTCACTCCATCCCATCTTTGTCCTCACCCAGAGCCCCTCTCCTCTTCCTCTCCAAATTCTAACCATCCCTCCCAACGCCTGCCCCATCTTTTGCAGCCATTCTTGATTTCTCCTCACCTTGATCTTGTACTGGAAATAGCAAGTGTCTTTTAAACATTTTTTAAGCCACAGATCCCTTTGTTACAAGGAAATCGTACCCAGAAATAAACACAAGTAAGACTGATAAAGGCAGACCTGCTCAGATGAAATCTAGGGTAGGGGAGGAGGCTGTCTGGGACCCTCCCCACTGGGGCCTTTTCCGTTGTACACACTCCTGGCTTCCCTCCTACCTCCATCTGCCTCTGGGAAGTCCTTGTGGCTTCAAAACCCCTGGCCCGGACAGTAGAACTTAGCATTTAACAAGATACGTGTATCATTCTTGCCTTAAACTTCTTGGGTTCTCTTCCCTGTCTCTCTTGCCCAGACAGCAACAGTTCTTTCTCAGAGAGCTTTTGTCTTACTCACCCTAAGCTCCTATCTTTCCATCCTCCTGATAGCAAGAGCAAAATTCTTGGGTTGCTGGATGCCAGGGAATATGAACAGCAAGTCACTTACATTTGGGAGCCTCCAAGGCTAGTGGGTGAGGCTGGAGCTAGGCGTCTGGGGGCTCCTATTCCAGGGCTGACTCTCTTGATAAATACCTGGGTGGCCCTGCCTCAGTTTACCCCCATCTATAATGAGGAGAGGCTTTGCTTAGTGTATTTATAAACTGTCTGGATGTATCTCATTTCATGTTAACAGATGTATGTTGGGTGCCTGCGGGGGTACAGAGCCCTGTCCTAGTTTTGGGATGTGAGTAGGAAGACACGAAGGAGGCATGGTTCTTGCCCCAGAAGCTTATTGGAGGAGAGAGAAAGGTGGACAAAGGAATGAAGCAGGGTGAAGGGGCAGGACTGTGCACCATGGGCTGAAGATGGCAGCTGCCTGACTCAAAGTCCAAGGCAGAACATGGTGACACCATGATCCAATGATCTCATTCACTCTACGTCCATAGGGGGCGGGGCTCATCTTCCTAACCCTAAGGTAAGTCCATGGATGGTAGAGACTCTAGTTCTCACTTTTCCTTGCCTTCACAGCTCTGCCTTTATTGGTCTTATTTGTGTTTATTTCTGTGTGCAATTTCCTTGTAAGAAAGGGATCTGTGGCTTAAAAAAATGTTTAAAAGACACTTACTATTTCCAGTACAAGATCAAGGCAAGGAGAAATCGGGAATGGCTGGAAAAAATGGGGCAGCAGTTGGGAGGGATGGTTAGAATTTGGACAGGAAGAGAGAAGAGGAGAGGGGCTCTGGGTGAGGACAAAGATGGGATGGAGTGAGCATAATCAGGTGCCCATGGGAGAGCAAGGGGTCTTCCAGGATAAGAGCAAGAATCATGTTGACTAACAATGGAGCATGCTGACACTAACTGTGCTTTATTTATTTATTTATTTATTTATTTATTTATTTATTTAAGACAGAGTCTCACTCTATTGCCCAGGCTGGAGTGCAGTGGCATGATCTTGGCTCACTGCAACCTCTGCCTCCTGGGTTGGAGCAATTCTCCTGCCTCAGCATCCTGAGTAGCTGGGATTACAGGTGTGCACCACCATGCCCGGCTAATTTTTGTATTTTTAGTAGAGATGGGGTTTCACCATGTTGGCCAGGCTGGTCTTGAACTCCTGACCTCAGGTGATCCACCTGCCTCAGCCTCCCAGAGTGCTGGGATTACAGGTGTGGGCCACCATGCCCAGCCATCCGTTTATTAAGGTCTTACTCTGTGTTAAACAGTTGACATTCATTCTTGATGTTCACAACAACCCAATGGGGAAGATACTATTATTAACCCATTTTCAGAGGAGAAAACTGAGGCTCAGCATTGTTAAGCAACTTAATGGAGGTCCCACCCTACTGGGTGGCAGTTGGAGTTTAAGCATCCTGAGCTTTTGGGCCTAAAACTCACTCTTCACTCCTATGCTAGACCCACTGGTTATTTGAGTTTTTTTAATTGGTGGCCAGGTTGATGGGCTAAGAGAAAGAACCCTCCCCTTTTAACCACCATTCATTCCTGGCAAAGCTTGGGCCTCTCTGCCTCCTTCTGATCTCAGCAGAGGGTGAACAACCCCAATGGGGTGTTTTCAGCAGCTACCATATGACTAAGAACATGTGTTCCTGCTCAGGGGAGAGGCGAGTATTTACATCTGTCCCATGATAAATCAGCAGCCGGCTGTTTGTCATGTGGCAGGGAGTTCCTGCATGATCACCCCCAGCCTCATTAGCCTGATGATTATTTATGATTGCTTTACATTTGTGGGGAACTCAGCCTGGCTCCCAGACAGCTGGAAGAAAAGAGGCCCAAAGGAGTTGAGGAAGGAGGCAAGAGATGTGAAGAGGTGTTTTGACTCTCACACAGGAGCCTTGGTTCAGACTCAAAACCAGAGAGACAATGCCAGCATCAGCTCCACGTCTGTCCCATTGCTTGCCAGCTCTGCAGATGGCCTGGCTACAGGTAACAGAGACAATGAGGAGGGGACGAGCTCTGAGACAGGATAACTGTGTCTGTTCCTTAGGTCACTTCCGCAGCCCTCAGTTGAGGCCCTGTGGGCCTTTCCAAGGTGGGAAGAAACAGATGATAAACAAAATAAGAGCAATTACATAGTGTGTTGAAGGGTGCGAAATCCCCTAGAACACAGAACAAGTGGAGCAGCGGGCATGGTGGGGCTTTGTGTGGGTGACCCTATTGAATAAGGTGGTCAGTAATAAGGTGATTGCTGTGGTCTGAATATTGGTGTCCCCCCCACCCCAAATTCATATGTTGGAACCTAATACCCAATGTGATAGTATGAAGAGGTGGGGCCTTTGGGAAGTGACTAAGTCATGAGATCCCCACCCTCCAGAATGGGATCAGTGCCTGATATGGTTTGGATGTTTTTTTCCCTCCAAATCTCATGTTGAAATGGGACCTCCAATGTTGGTGGGCCTAGTGGGAGGTGTTCGGGTCATGGGGGTGGATCTCTCATGAATGGCCTGGTGCTGTCCTTGTGATAATGAGTGAGTTCCCCCTCTGAGTTCACACAAGATCTGGTTGTTTAAAAGAGTGTGGCACCTCCTTCCTCTCTCTTCCTCTCCCTCTCTCTCTCCCTCCCTCCTTCCCTCCCTCGCTCCCTCTCTTCCTCTCTCTCCCTCTCTCTCCCCCATCCCTTTCTGTCTCTCCCCCTCCCTCTCTCTCCCTCCTTCCCTCTCTCTCCCTCCTTCCTTCTCTCTCCCTCTCTTTCTCTCTCCCTCTCTCTCCCACTCCCTCTTCCTCCCTCCATCTCCCTCTCTCTCTCCCTCCCTCTCTCTCTTTCCATTTCCTCTCCCTCCCTCTCTCACTCCCTCTCTCCCTCCCTCTCTCTCTTTCTCACTCCCTCCCTCTCTCTCTCCTTCTGACTCTCCTTCTCCCTCTCTTTCCCTCTCCCTCCCTCTGTCCCTCCCTCCCTCTCTCTCCCTCTCCCTCTCCTTCTCCCTTTCTCTCTCCCTCTCCCTCCTTCCCCCTCTCCCTCTCTCTCTCCCTCTCCCTCCCTCTCTCTCCCTCTCCCCCTCCCTCTCTCTCTCCCTCCCAATCTGTATCTGAGAATCTCCCCCTCCCTCTGTGTAGGGGGGGGGCTACCTCTCTCTCCCCCTCCCCCTCCTTCTCTCTCCCCCTCCCCCTCCTTCTCTCTCCCCCTCCCCCTCTCTCTGCCTCCCTCTCCCTCTCCCTCCTTCCCTTTCTCTCCCTCCCTCCCTCTCTCTCTCCTTCTCTTTCTCTCTCCCTCTCCCTCTTCCTCCCTCCCTCTCCCTCTCTCTCTCCCTGTCTCTCTCCCTCTCTCTCTACCTCTCTCTCTCCCTCTGCCTCCCTCCCTCTCCCTCTCTCTCTTCCTCTCTCTCTCTCTCTCTTTCCCTCTCCCTCCCTCTCTCTCTCCCTCTCCCTCTCTCCCTCCCTCTCTCTCTTTGTCCCTCCCTCCCTCTCTCTCTCCTTGCCACTCTCCCTCTCCCTCTCTTTCCCTCTCCTTCCCTCCCTCTCTCTTTCCTTCTCCCTCTCCTTCCCTCCCTCTCTCTCCCTCTCCCTCTCCTTCTCCCTTTCTCTGTCCCTCTCCCTCCCTCTCCCTCCCTCCCTCTCTCTCTCCCTCTCCCTCTCTCTCTCCCTCTCTCCCTGTCCTTCCCTCTGTCTCTCCCTCTCTTCCTCTCTCTCTCTCTTCCTCTCCCTCCCTCTCTCTCTTTCTCCCTCTCCCTCCCTCCGTCTCTCTCTCTCCCTCTCTTCCTCCCTCCCTCTCCCTCTCTCTCCCTGTCTCCCTCCCTCCCTCTCCCTCACTCTCCCTCTCCCTCTCTCTCTTTCCCTCTCCCTCCCTCCCTCTCTCCCTCTCCCTCTCCCTCTCTTTCTCCCTCTACTCCTCCCCCTCTCCCGGTCCCTCTCCCCCTCCCACTGTCCGCCTCCTCCTCCCCGTCTACCTCTCTCTCTCTCTCTCCCTCCCCCTCTCTCACCATGGGATGCACTGGGTCTGGCCTCACCTTCCCTGAGGCCTCACCAGAGGCAGATGCTGGGGCCATGCTTCCTGTAGAGCCTGCAGAACCGTAAGCCAATTAAACTTTTCTTTATAAATTATTCAGTCTCAGGTATTTCTTTATAGCAATGCAAAACTGACTAATTCAGTGCCCTTATAAGAGAGGCTGGAAGGAGCTCCCCAGCCCCTTCCGCCACGTGAGGCACAGCCGCAAGGTGCCATCTTTGAAGCAGAAAGCAAGCTCCTCACCAGACGTGGCACCTGCTGGCCCCGTGACTTTGGTCTTCCCGGCCCTCAGAACTGTGAGCAATACATCTCTGTGGTTTCTAAACTACCCAGTCTAAGGCATTTTGTTCTAGCAGCCTGAACAGAGTAAGACAGTTTCCATAATAAATAGGGTTGGCCCCATGGAGTAGGGGTTTTCTGAATAAAACTTGACCAAGTTGAGGGAGGTGGCCATATGAATACCTGGTGGAAGAACGTTCTAGGCAGATGGCATGGCTAAGGCAGAGGACTCAGGGGCTGCTTCTTCCTGGTAGAATATAAGCTGTCTGAGAGTAGAGACACTGTTTTCGTCACTCAGCAACCTCGAACCTGGCACTGTGCTTGGCCTGCAGTGGGCATGGAAGTGTTTGCTGAAGGAATGAATGAGACTTCAGTCTCCTGCTGTCAAAGCCAGGAGCCACTAGTGTGAAGGAGGTTGTTTAAAATCTCTGGCAGTGGTCTCCGATTCTGACCTCGCTATGGAAAGATGCCCTTGAGCTCCAGAAACTATTTTTTTTTTTTAGGCGGAGTTTTACTCTTGTGGCCCAGGCTGGAGTGCAGTGGTGTGATCTCAGCTCACTGCAACCTCCGCCTCCCGGGTTCAAGCAATTCTCTTGCCTCAGCCTCTGGAGTAGCTGGGATTACAGGCGCCCACTGCCACCCCCGGGTAATTTTTTGTATTTTTAGTAGAGATGGGGTTTCACCATGTTGGCCAGGCTGGTCTCGAACTCCTGACCTCAGGTGATCTGCCCGCCTTGGCCTCCCAAAGTGCTGGGATTACAGGCATGAGCCATCACGCCCAGCCGAAGATTTCAATCCTAATTCCTTGTTCACATATTTGTCTTCGTTGTCTTTGAGTTCCCAGAACTTGGGCAATGCCTGGCACAGAGTAGGAGGCAATGCCTGGCCAGTGGGGAGGAGGTTGTTTAAAATCTCTGGCAGTGGTCCCCAACTCTGATCTCTTTATGGAAAGATGCCCTTGAGCTCCAGAAACTCTTTTTCCTCCAACTCGATGCCCCATTTTATTCCCCTCCATCTCATTTTCATTTTCCCTTGGGTCCCTCCCAGTCAGCAGGCTCTGCACAATTCTCCCGCCTTTATGTTGCCTCCCTTTAGCTTGGAGCCCTTATCACATCCCCCCTTTGTGATGGGGCCAAGCTAAACATATTTGGGGACTATTGTGTTTTTTTCATATTTCCCCATGAGTCAGTCTCTCCAGTGTTTTAATCATTTCTCCCCTGTGAATGGTTGGCAAGGAGCAGGGACCCAGTTCTCAGCTTGGAGACACAAAGATCTTCAGCACTCAGGCGCAGGCTGGGCCAGATGGGCCACTCAGCCACGGTCTCCTGGAGGGTGGGGCTCCCTGACGATCTGGGCTGGGGGCCACCTGTTGGGTTAGAGAGCCTCCCGCCCTGGCCAGTGACCAAGTACTGTGCCTGGCTGCCACTTCAGGCTTACGTAGCTTATCTGAAGGGGTCTCCTGCTGACTTAAAAATAAAGTACAATTAATCTCAGACTGAGTTGATAGATGGGGGCCCAGCTCAGTAAGGCGCAAGAGAAACTCTGTCACTCAAACATTTGTTAAGCACCTACTCTGTTCCAGGCATTGCCCAAATGCTGGGAACTCAAAGACACCAAAGACAAATATGTGAACAAGGAATTAGGATTGAAATGTTAACAGTGCTTGAAAGAAGTCCTTGCTATGGGTAACCAAGGAGGGGACATCTTGTCTGCTTTGATGACAAGAGGGGTGGGGCATTACTATTGGTTTAAGAGCCAAAAATGTAGACACAGGTAGATCTGGGTACAAATCTTGGCTCTGCTGCTACTTACTAGTGGTATGACCTTGGACCGTTTACTTTCACTGCCCAAACCTGTTTTGTTGTCGTTGTTTCCTTAATCCATAAAGGGGGCATGATAATGCCAGTCTTGTAGGGTTGCTGGAGGGATTAAATAAGATGATATAATAATGAGTACAATTATTATGATGGAAGGAGTCTTGATTATACATGTACTAATTTGCATTATTATGCATGCTACTCAAAGTGTGGTGTGCAGTAGGTGCTTATGTACATTTTTCTGAAGCAGAGGGTTTATTACTTTCTTTTTTTTTAATTTTTTTTATTTTTTTATTTTATTTTTTTTTATTGATCATTCTTGGGTGTTTCTCGCAGAGGGGGATTTGGCAGGGTCATAGGACAATAGTGGAGGGAAGGTCAGCAGATAAACAAGTGAACAAAGGTCTCTGGTTTTCCTAGGCAGAGGACCCTGCGGCCTTCCGCAGTGTTTGTGTCCCTGGGTACTTGAGATTAGGGAGTGGTGATGACTCTTAACGAGCATGCTGCCTTCAAGCATCTGTTTAACAAAGCACATCTTGCACTGCCCTTAATCCATTTAACCCTGAGTGGACACAGCACATGTTTCAGAGAGCACAGCGTTGGGGGTAAGGTCATAGATCAACAGGATCCCAAGGCAGAAGAATTTTTCTTAGTACAGAACAAAATGAAAGGTCTCCCATGTCTACTTCTTTCTACACAGACACAGCAACCATCCGATTTCCCAATCTTTTCCCCACCTTTCCCCCTTTTCTATCCCACAAAACCGCCATTGTCATCTTGGCCCCTTCTCAATGAGCTGTTGGGTACACCCCCCAGACGGGGTGGTGGCCGGGCAGAGGGGCTCCTCACTTCCCAGTAGGGGCGGCCGGGCAGAGGTGCCCCTCACCTCCCGGACCGGGCGGCTGGCCGGGCAGGGGGCTGAGCCCCCCACCTCCCTCCCGGACGGGGCGGCTGCCAGGTGGAGATGCTCCTCACTTCCCAGACGGGGTGGCTGCCGGGCGGAGGGGCTCCTCACTTCTCAGACGGGGCAGCTGCCAGGCGGAGGGGCTCCTCACTTCTCAGACGGGGCGGCCGGGCAGAGACGCTCCTCACATCCCAGACGGGGCGGCAGGGCAGAGGCGCTCCCCACATCTCAGACGATGGGCGGCCGGGCAGAGACGCTCCTCACTTCCTAGATGGGATGGCGGCAGGGCAGAGACGCTCCTCACTTTCCAGACTGGGCAGCCAGGCAGAGGGGCTCCTCACATCCCAGACGATGGGCGGCCAGGTAGAGACGCTCCTCACTTCCCAGATGGGGTGGCGGCCGGGCAGAGGCTGCAATCTCGGCACTTCGGGAGGCCAAGGCAGGCGGCTGGGAGGTGTAGGTTGTAGCGAGCTGAGATCATGCCACTGCACTCCAGCCTGGGCACCGTTGAGCACTGAGTGAACGAGACTCCATCTGCAATCCCGGCACCTTGGGAGGCCGAAGCTGGCGGATCACTCGTGATTAGGAGCTGGAGACCAGCCCGGCCAACACAGCGAAACCCCGTCTCCACCAAAAAAAATACGAAAACCAGTCAGGTGTGGCAGCGCGCGCCTGCAATCGCAGGCACTCGGCAGGCTGAGGCAGGAGAATCAGGCAGGGAGGTTGCAGTGAGCCGAGATGGCAGCAGCACAGTCCAGCTTCGGCTCGGCATCAGAGGGAGACCGTGAAGAGAGGGAGAGGGAGACCGTGGAAAAAAGAGGGATAGGGAGACCGTGGGGAGAGGGAGAGGGAGAGGGAGAGGGAGGTGGAGAGGGAGAGGGAGAGGGAGAGGGAGAGGGAGAGGGAGAGGCGGGTTTATTTCAAGTGATTCCTAAAGGGGCTTGTGGAGTGTGTGACTAGTCTTGCATTTGAGATCAATGAAGTGCAGAGTGGACGGGGACACGGCGTTTTCATGGCAGTCCAGGTGAACGGCAATAAAGACATAAAGCAGGAATGAGAGAGGAGGGGAATAACAGAAATGGGAATAATCACACAGGGATTTGTGTGAGTTTTAGGATCGGTGGTGGCGGAAGTGAGTGAGCATGAGCTATTGAGACTGACCTGCAAGTTTTTAGCGTGAGTAGTTCCTGAACATGTGGTTGCTCTATTTGGAACACAGGGAATGTAGGAGAAGGGGGACCTCTAAAGAAGGAAGATGGAGAGTTCAGAAGATGGATTGAAGAGAGAATATTCTGGGGGAACTAGAAGCAGCAGATTCTGCTTATAGAAAGCTTGCCTTCTCCTTAGCTGGAGTCAGTACTGGATAAACCAATAAGTTATTGATCTATAATACCAATGAATGCAATGCATAGTGAGTTTAATAGTGTCCACCCCCCACCAAAGTTCATGTCCATCTAGAACCTCTGAATGTGACTTTATTTGGAAATAGGGTCTTTGCAGATGTAATTAGTTAGGATAAGGTCATACTGGATTAGGGTGGGCCCTTAAATCTAATGACTGTAGTCTTTATATTATAAGAATAGGAGTGCACGCAGAGACACACAGATGGGCGAAGGCCATGTGAAGGCAGAGGCAGAGACTGGGGTGATGAGCTACAAACCGAGGAACGCCAAGGACAGCCTGGAGCCCCCAGAATCTGGAAGAGACAAGGAGCACTCTTCCTTGGAGCCTTCAGAGGAAGTGTGGTCCTGCCAACACCTTGACTTCAGACTTCTAGCCTCCAGAACTGTGAAAGAGCAACTCTTTTTGTTGTTTTAAACCACCCAGTTTGTTTAATACACCATGGAAGCTGAACACAGTTGATAAGCCTGAAGAACATTCTCTCAAAGCCTGGCAAATAATTCCTAAAACACACCTGATGTGCAGAACCTCACCAGCTTGCTCTCCCTCCAGACTCACTGAGACTCAGATGTTTGCTTGCCCTGGGGGATCAACAAGGTTACTGTCAGGTACCCTCATGAACAGCACAGATTTGGGAGGTGGTGTCCTCTCCACATCTCTCTTGGGTGAAGTCTTTCTTCTTTCTTACCCTGAACTCCAAAACCTATCCCCAGCAGACCTTTCAGATTCTTCCTCTTTTCCTGTTCTTCCCATTCCTTCCTCTGCCATCTCACCTACCCCCAGCCTCCCTCCTCAGACATTCCTGGCCCAGGGTTCTAATCTTCACATCTGCTGGGGGTGTTGGGTGATGTGATAACATCTCCTCGGCAGGCCAAGAGTAGCTTAAGATGCTGTTTTTCAAACTGGATTCCACAGAGGTGCCTGGGAAACTAGAAAATATTTGACTTGAGTTTAACGGGCCCTGGGGTCTGATGGAAGACAAAGGTCATGCATAAGTAGGGTCATTTGATCCTGGTCATCCGGGGACAGTTCCTGTCATCCCATTTAATTAATATCGCCCAGGTTGGGCAATATGTTCACTGTATCTATAATCCATATTCCAGATTTTTGCATTTATTTGAATAGCCAAACTGTATTAGTCTGTTCTCATGCTGCTAAAAAAAACATATCTGAGCCTGGGTGATTTATAAAGGCGAGAGGTTTAATGGACTCACAGTTCCACATGGCTGGGGAGACCTCATAATCATGGCAGAAGACAAAGGAGAAGCAAAGGCGTGTCTTACATGGCAGCAGGCAAGAGAGCATGTGCAGGGGAACTTCCCTTTAGAAACCCATCAGATCTAATAAGACCTATTCACTATCATGAGAATCGCACAGAAAATCTGCTCCCACGATTCAGTTATCTCCACCTGGCCTAGTCCTTGACATGTGGGGATTGTTACAATTCAAGGTGAGATTTGGGTGGGGACACAGCCGAACTGTATCACTAACTATTCTCAATGAATAGCTTCGATAACTAGTAAATGTCAATTTGAACTTATAAAATGCATTTATAGGCCGGGTGCGGTGGCTCACACCTGTAATCCCAGCACTTTGGGAGGCCGAGGTGGGCAGATCATGAGGTCAGTAGTTCAAGACCAGCCTGGCCAACATGGTGAAGCTCCGTCTCTACTAAGAATACAAAAATTAGCTGGGTGTGGTGTCACATACCTGTAATCCCAGTTATTTGGGAGGCTGAGGCAGGAGAATCACTTGAACCTGAAAGACAGAGGTTGCAGTGAGCTGAGATCATACCACTGCACTCCAGCCTGGGCAACAGAGCAAGACTGTGTCTCAAAAAACCAAAACCAAAACCAAAACCAAAACAAAACAAAACAAAAACACTCATCATTGGATTTAGGGTTACCTGGTTAATCCAAGATGATCTCATCTTCAGATCCTTAATAGCAACTTCAAAGACTCTCCAAATAAGGTGACATTCACAGGGACCAGGGGTTAGGACTCAGACATCCTTTTTTGGGGCCACAATTCAACCCAATATAAAGTCCTAAACTAAGCAGCATCTAATGGTGCAGTTTTCAGACCCCATGGAAAAATGGCTCTGGGGTTTGTTGGTGGCGACCTTGGGGCTAGGCTTGCCTTTGTGTGGAACCTACCCACACACAGGGGCTGCCTTCTACTGGGTGCCTGTCTTAGACCATTCGGGCCACTATAACAAAATACCATAAACTGGGTGGCTTCTAAACATCAGACATTTATTTCTCACAGTGCTGGAGGCTGGGAAGCCCAATGTCAAGACATCAGCAGATCCGGTGTCTGGTGAGGACCTGCTTCCTGGTTCATAGACAGCCATCATTTTGCTGTGTCCTCATGTGATGAAAGGAGTGAATGAGCTCTCTTGGGCCTCTTTCTTTTTCTTTTTCTTTCTTTTTGAGACAGAGTTTCACTCTTGTTGCCCTGGCTGGAGTGCAATGGTGGAATCTCGGCTCGCCGCAACCTGTGCCACCTGGGTTCAAGTGATTCTCCTGCCTCAGCCTCCCGAGTAGCTAGGATTACAGGCATGCGCCACCACGCCCGGCTAATTTTGTATTTTTAGTAGAGACGTTGTTTCTCCATGTCGGTTAGGCTGGTCTCAAACTTCTGACCTCAGGTGATCCGCCCGCCTTGGCCTCCCAAAGTGCTGCAATTATAGGCATGAGCCACCGCGCCCGGCCCGCTTGGGCCTCTTTCATAAGGGCACTAACCCCATGAAGCAGAGCCCTCATGACCTAATCACTTCCCAAAGGTGAATACCATCACATTGCGGCTTGGGATTTCAACATATCTGTCTCAGGGTAGTGGGACACAAACACTCAGACCATAGCAGTCTGACATAGCTGCTGGACAGCACCACCTTCACTTTCCAAAGAACCTCTCACCCATTCTCATCTGCTATCCCAGCAGCCCAGGGAGTTAGGTAGGAAAATGTGATCATTGGCTAGGCGTGGTGGCTCATGCCTATAATCCCAGCACTTTGGGAGGCCAAGGTGGGTGGATTGCTTGAGGTCAGGAGTTCAAGACCAGCCTGGCCAACATGGCAAAAACCCGTTTCTACTTAAAAAAATATAAAAGTTAGCCAGGCGTGGTAGCACATGCCTGTAATCCCAGCTGCTTGGTGGGGTGGGTGGGGGTGGTGGGGGTGGTGCTGAAGCAGGAGAATTGCTTGAACCTGGGAGGTGGAGGTTGCAGTGAGCCTGGATCACACCACCACACTCCAGCCTAGGAGGCAGAGTGAGACTCCATCTCAAAAAAAAAAAAAAAAAGTAATCACCAACCCTGTTTGACAGGTGAGGGCTTAAAGATGTTCAGGGACTTGCTGGAGGCCACGTCCTTGAGCTGGAAGCACCATCCACATCTTCCAGTGTTGGCTTTTGGATCCCTCCATTGCTCCTGAAGGAGGTCTGAAGTCCAGGGCAAAGATAAGCAAAGGCAACTAATTCATTAATTCTTTCACTGTGGCTGCTCATGGCTAATATGGTCAGAGAAACTCACCCTCTTCTTCTTTGAAAAGTTTCCAGCCTTCTAGAGGGGAAGAAAGAACCAGGATTAGAACATGTAGAAGCTTAAATATGGCACCAAGGACCTTACTGCAGCCCCATGCCATACACATCCCACAGCGGAGGACTGTTTTGTTAGGCCAATTGCTTCCCAATGATTGGGAATTGGGTGGGTGTGTGTTGTCAGTAAATGTTGCTGACTAATGTCCACAACAGGTCAAGGACAAGGTCTCAGCAACTGGGCATATGGCCCTGGAGGACAGTGCCTGGCACCAAAACCTACGCAATAACTGTTGTTGAATGAATGGACTGCAGAGCCAATGAATCCTGATGCTCAATACCACCAAGGCTGCTGGATGGGAAGCACCAGAACCTTTTTGAAAGGCCAGTGGTTTAATTGCCTCCTATTCAACCAATGGGTGAGAAGGGGACTCCCACACTAAGGTTACTGCAATGGCCAAATACATAGCACCTGACCCTGGGCAGATGATCCCAACAGCAGCTGAGTGCAGGGGTTATGCTGAGGCAGGTACAGAAGTAACAAACAGGGCTGTGGGCGTCAGGTTTTGTAGTATCAAGAGGGTGAGGTGTCCCCTTGTTTCCATGAGGGGATGTGATTGGTTTGTTTGAATAAGTCCATAGTTGGCAGAGAAATGAAACCCACTACTCAAGGATAAGCAGGAACTGCACCTGGTCCCTTTGCCAAGGAGGGTTGTCTGGCTGGGGGATCTTTCCCATAGGAGTGGGGAGAGGAACTTGTGGTTAGGCCATGCAACATCTTCCCAGTCTCACCAGATATCAAGGCGGCATATTAATATTGGCCTTCATTTTAGTCCTTACTCCATGGCCAGGTCAGGAGAGTGGTATAGCAATGGCTTTTTGCTCTGCCATTTCTTCAGCCTTGGAGAGGATACTGGGTCGAGTCTCATTGCCATATATGCCAAGGCTGTTGCAATGTATTGATTTCCCTGGAACTCATTTCCAACATTTCTTCAACCCTGGAGATGACACTGGGTCAAATCTCATTGCCATATATACCAAGACTCTGTTGAAATGTATTGATTTCCCTGGAACTCAGTATATTGGTTCTTGCCAGGGCTTGGAAATCTTTATATGACATAGAGTTTTTGTTATGATGGGGTTTGTGGTAACCATGTGTGGTGGATACATCCTGACTGGCTGAAACTTCTTGATGGGCCACAACTGTTTCCAGTTCCTTCTTACCTCTTTCCTGATGGTGGATCCATCCTGACTGGCTGAAACTTCTTGATGGGCCACAACTGTTTCCAGTTCCTTCTTACCTCTTTCCTGATGGTGGATCCTTAGTCCCTTTGGCTGAAGGCTCGGCTCAACCTAAAGGTACTCAGGAGTCCTGGGTGTCCCTGGCAGTGGCTCAGACTCTGACTTTTAGGGGGCAACATCCAGGTCACCCAGACTTTGTATCTTTGTTTTTTCTTCTGCACAAGATAATGAATTACTGAAGTATGTACATCTGGTGATGTGGTGTTATGTGGTATGTGTGATGTGACATACGTTATGTGTTATACGTTATGTGATACATATGTTGCAGTTATGTGATGTTATAGGATACCATGTTATGTGATATATGTTATGTGATGTATGGTATGCGGTATGTTATATGTTGCAGTGTTATGTGATATATATGATGCTGTGCTATGTAATATATGTAATGTGATGATGTATGGTATGTGATGTGGTATTATGTGATGTATATTTTGCAGTGTTATATGATGTGATGTATGTTATGTGATATGTTATATGTTGCAGTGTTATATGATATATAATATGATGCAGTGTTATGTGATATGTGTTATATGATGATGTAAGGTATGTGATGTGGTGTTATATCATGCATGTTATATGATGCAGTGTTATGTGGTGTGTATGTTGTTATGTGGTATTATGTGTTGTATATGATGCAGCATTACATGATGTATGTTCTATGATGCAGTGCTACGTTAAGTGTTATGTGATATGTTATATGACAAAGTTATGTAATGTACGTTATGTGATGCATGTTATGTGATCTATGTCATGTGATACATGTTATGTGACGGGGGCTGGGCAGAGCAGCCTGTGCCAGGAAGGATCACTGTTCTTTTTTTTTTGAGATGGAGTCTTGCTCTGTAGCCCAGGCTAAGTGCAGTGGTGTGATCTTGGCTCACCTCAACCTCCATCTCCCGGGTTCCAGTGTTTCTCCTGCCTCAGCCTCCAGAGTAGCTAGGATTACAGGCGCATGCCAATGCACCTGGCTAATTTTTGTATTTTTTAGTAGAGACAAGGTTTCACCATATTGGCCAGGCTGGTCTTAAACTCCGGACCTCAGGTAATCCACCTGCCTTAGCCTCCCAAAGTGATAGGATTACAGGCGTAAGCCACCGTGCCCAGCTTTTTTTTTTTTTTTGAGATGGAATCTCACTCTTGTCGCCCAGGCTGGAGTGCAATGGCATGATCTTAGCTCACTGCAACCTTTGCCTCCCAGGTTCAAGCGATTCTCCCACCTCAGCCTCCCGAATAGCTGGGATTACAGGCACCCACCACCACGCCTGGCTAATTTATTGTATTTTTAGTAGAGATGGGTTTCATCATGTTGGCTAGACTGGTCTCAAACTCCTGACCTCAGGTGATCCGCCTGCCTCAGCCTCCCAATGTGCTGGGATTACAGGTGTGAGCCACCGTGCCTGGCCAGGATCATTGTTCTTAATGGAAAGAGTCTTTTGGTTTTGTTAACACTCTGTGGCTGACAGTCGTCTTTGGGGTTAAGTGTCCACAGTGAGCAAAACCTCATAACTAATGCTTAAGGGAGTAAAAAAGCTTAAGGTTCCAGCTATGCAAATATACACATACATGTGGAAAAGACTAAGGACCCTTACCTGAGTACCTGAACGCATGTGGTGGGCTGCAGATTAGAAAGAGAGCCTTAATTTCCTTTTCCTCCTCTCACTCCTATTTAAAGTGGGAAAAGAAGCCTTCAATAGCTTTCATTCTTTAGTTGTAGGTCAAATAAACCCAAGTGAACTAGCTTAAGCCAGAATGGGGGCTTTGCTCTAAGGATATAGGGCTGTCTTTTGTAAATTGAAGACAGAGACATCATTGTTCTAGTGATTTATTGCTGCTTCACAAACCAACCTCAAATTTAGCAGTTTTAAGTGACAATCATATATTGCTCCTGAATCTGCAATTTACATGGAGCTCAGTGGGGAAGTCTCACCTCTGCTTCATGTGGTGTTACCTGGGCTGGTTTCACTGGGACTGGAGGATCTGCTTTCAAGATGGCACACTCACCTGGTGGCAGGTTGGTGCTGGCTGTCTGCTGGTTGCTCAGCCAGCACTGAGGGCTGGGGGGCCTCCATTTGTCTCCAAGTGGGGCGCTCCATGTGACCTGTGCTTCCTCAGAGCATGGTGGCTGCCATTCCAAGGATGAGTGTCCAAAGAGATAGAGCTGTGTGCAAGCTGTGTTGCCTTTTATGATCTAGCCTCAGCAATCACACAGCGTCACTTCTGCCACATCCTAGAAGTGTGAGCAGTCACAAAGGCTCACCGTTTCAGGCGGAAGGGATATAGACACCATCTTTTGATGCAGTGGCAAGGTTCTGGAAGAGCGTATGGGATGGAAAATATTGGAAAATACATTCTGCCACATTGTCATGCCTCAGAAAGGGCCTGGAAGTGTGAATGGGTTGGCTCATTTTCTCTCTGGTGTCTTGAATCCAGTTTTCTTGGACATCAATTTCATTCTCTTCTTTCTTTGTAGACTAGCCTTTTCTGTTCTTTAGCCCCCATGGCACTGCCAGCAGGCCCCTGGCTTATGACTGTTTATGTTACATTTCCAGTTTCTGCTGAGACAGACTCTTTTGGTCACCATTCCCAAGAGAGGGGGCCAGATTGGCCCAGACTGGGTCAGGTGCCTATTCCTGGACCAACTGGCTGTAACCAAGGTCATTGTCATAAAGCAGAAACAAGGCACATTAGGAGCGTCTCTGTGGAGATGGGCAGACATTTTGATAAGTGTCAGTCTTATAGCAGTGACTTGTGAGGAGGACGTGGTACCAGACTCTTCGGAGATTGCTGTTGACCTTCCCGGGATGACCAGTGAATGAATGGTTTGAGATGATTAGAGCAGGAATGATGATTTTTTTAAATGGTCAGAGCTTACATTGTTATTCTCTGCCCTTAGAAGATCAAACAGGAAGCAATGGGCTTAATTAAAATGGAAGAATCTTTGACTAGAATTTGATGGATCTTGGTGAAACCATCTGGTATACCCCTTCTGTCTTCAGTCAGGTAAAATAGTTATATCCTCAGATGTGAAGATTGAGGAATAATAATTACCAAGTGACTGAGAGGGGGTCAGAAAACAGGCTCTCTTGCTTCTTGGTATAATTTTTTCCCTCTGTGGACAACTTCCTCGGTATCTAGAATAGGCTAATCATATAATGCAAAAAATAATAAATTCAACAAATAAATACAAACATAGCTAACAGAGTATGTGTGCTTGCTGCCAACAGGCTCTCTGCTAACCAATCTAGTGAGATAAGTATTATTACCCCCATTTTAGAGATAAGAGTTGAAATAACTCGCCCAAGGTCACAGTTAACCAACAGAAGAACTACATTTGAGCCCAGTCTGGCCTCACAGTCTGTACATTTAACCTTGATCCCATTGATACTTTTCTAACACCGTATATTTAGAACCATTGCTCCATCTACCAACTCTGCTGAGAGATCAGACCTGTGATTGTCGAGAGATCAGACCTGTGATTGTCCTGATATCATGTAACCTTCCACCTCAGCTGATTGGACCAGAGGAAAGCACCTGACCCAAGAGCAACCAGTTCATTGGCTGGCTGGTAGCCTATGGGGAGCTCTTGTCTGGAACTTTCTTAGCAGGGGTAAGGGGAAATAAATTAGGTTCCTCAGAGTATCTTTCTTTAAAATTTGAGCTGAAGGTATAGAAATTGAGAGTCTAGCAGTTAGTAGTGGGGATAGAGTCACATTAATAATCAGGTGCTACAGAAGATGCAAGAGAACAGTGTCTTGATTCCTGGTCTTCCTGTCATTTTCTGCATCTCATTTAACCTTTGGAAAGCCTGAGTTTGGAGCTGTTCTGGGATTTTTGTGAGAATTCTCTTTCTTACTGACCCAAGTTCCTTAATTTAAATTTGAGGTAGCCCTCAAATTTAAGGGGGTCCAATTAAGCCTCAGATCCTTGCTTCTCAAAGGCCGGAGGTTTTCATTGTGCAAATAGGAACAACTTGGATATCAGATCAGAATGGAGGCAATTAAGTGAAGAAAGGTGTAAGATTACTGTGCCAGGTGAGTGAGTGATGCTCTATCTATCTATCTATCTATCTATCTATCTATCTATCTATCAAACAATCATCTATCTGGAATCATCAATAGCTGGAATAAAGGGTGAGATATTTGCCTGGTCAAAGTTGAGAAGATAAACTGGTATTCTGTGATCCACTGATAAGGGCTTGTCTGGAAACTGAATAACTCTGTGGGTGTTAAATGATCTCATCTGGATGAACTTCAGCATCTGTGAGTGCTTGATGAACTATAATTAGTCCTATCTATCTTGGTCAAGACTATTTGGGTTCTATATAATAGAAACTCAACTCAAACAAACTTAATATAAAAAGAAGAAGAAGAGGAAAAAGAGGAGGAAGAGGAAGGGGAAGGGGCAGGAGAAGGAGAGAGAAGAGAAGAGGAAGGGAGGGACGGAGGGAGGGAGGGAGGAAGGAAGGAAGGAAGATCGATCGATCAAGAAATCTTTTGGGATTGGGTTCAGAAACGGCAATTTCTGTGCTGTCCGACAGAACTTTCTATCATAATAGAACTCTCCTATATCTGTGCTGTATAGTGCAGTAACCACTAGCCATGCATGGCTATTAAACACTTGAAATATGAATAATGTGATTGAGGAGCTGAATTTTTTATTTTATTTTAGTTAATTTTTAGCTTTAGTTAATTCAAATTTAGATCTAAATAGCTACACACGGCTAGTGGCTACTGTATTAGACAGCACAGATCTAGATCCCAAACTGTGCTGTACCTCACTCTCCTGCGGGTGCTCTCATCAGCTTTTCTTAGCTCGTGGGTCCGTGTCTGAACCAACTGTGTTCACGGAGATTGGGAACTGTGGCCAGGTCTGGGTCACATGTCTGACCCCGTGAACAAGGTTCACCTTGTCTGAACCACATGAAATGGGTCCCTAGTGGAAATCCTAGTGGAAAGGGGATTTCTGTATGAAAAGTAGAGGAAAGAGAATTAGCTGGACCAGCAAAATCTCTATCCCTCAGAGACCACCCTCAAGGTGCCGTATGTCTTGCTGAAGAGAAAGAAGGAATGGGGACAGGAAGGATGGGCATTCGCCTGACAAATATTCATGGAAATCCTTGGTGCCAGACACTGCGTTGGATGCTGGTGACGCTAATGAAGAAATCATGTCAACAGCAAGAGAAACAGACTCTATGCTTATTCTCAGTCTGGTAGAGGAAGCTGACTCCTAAAGAAACAGTCACAAAACAGGCAAAACATCCCAAATATAGAGGAATGAACACAGCCTTATCAGGACAGCTAATTTTGTGTAAATTTAGCAAACTGCTGATGTGCTGAGAAGTGATTTCTGTATTACCCCCTCCTTAAAGGAGCATTAAGAAAATTGCTTCACTTCTCGCTCTCATTTTTTTTTTTTTTTTTTTTACATCAGAAAATAAAGTCCAGTCTCAGAGAGGGGCCAGAGTCTGGTGGATGGCTAGGCATGACTTGTCTAAAAATAGAGTGGAGGCTGATTAATGAATGTCTTTAAAACAGAGATCAAACCCAGAAGCTGTACCAACACAGCCGACATGCATTCCTCTGGGGCTTAACACTCCTTTAGAGAATTGCTCAAAACTGGGTTACTCAAGAACTTGGCCCGCATGCCCGACACTCCACTCAGCTAGAGAGGGAACAATTCTCGGGTAGTACTGCCTGAAGGTGGCATGGGGTAGAGGCCTCCAGTCCTCTTGGCCTTCCTTCCCAGTCCCAGTCCTGCCAGGGCAGTGCCTCTCCTCATCCCACCAAGCCCTCTGTGGGGTCAGGATGGTCTGCAGCCAGCTTCACCATCTCCCAGAAACCTGCCCCAGCCTTGGTTAGCCTAGACCTCTGGGTGTGGGAACCACAGGCAGCGGGGTTTTAGATTATTGAGGGATGTTTACTGACTATTAGCCCAAGTTATTCCTCCAACAAGCCTGTGAGCTAGATCCATATTAGCTCCAGTTTACAGATGGGAGAGATGAGGCACCCAGATGTCGATAACTTACACAAAGTCACAAAGTTCGTAGATGGAGAACTGGGATTTGAACCCAGGAACTTGGTACCAGAGTCCACATGCCTGACCACCTCCCACACTGTCCTTCCAGCTATCCTACAAATAGGTACTATCCCTATCCCCATTTTACAGATGGGAATGAAAATGTCTGTCTGATTGAGAGAAACAAACGGCAAGGTGGTTGGAGACCTGGAGCCCCAGGTCCTGGTTTGGGCTCTGCACCCAATATATCTGTGACCTTGGGATTGTTACTCACCCTCTCTGAGCTTCAGTTGTGTCATCTGTGAAAAGTGGTAGCATCCTTACCTTGACTTGTGGTAGCCATTCCTTTGAGCTTCTAGAACATGCTGGGCCTCGCACTGGTCACTCCACATGGTTTATCCCATTTAATCTTCCAAGAGCACTCAGAGGCTGAGGACACCGGGAACATATCCCAGGTCACCCACAAAGAGATAGAGTTAAGAATTTGCCAAGAATTTCCCAAGTCTGTTTGCTTCCAAAGCCCCTCAGTTTCTCTCTATTTGACAATAGGAGGCTTACATGAAGTAACAGGTTAAAAACCTCCAGGGAGAAAAACACTGTGCCTTCTGCCAGTGAAAGGTGGCTGGATTCTACTGATCAGCCCCAGGATTTCTCTGGGGAGTTGTGGGGTGTGCAGAATGTCAGCAACCTAACCTCTGCTTCTTCCCCCTCCGCAAATGCAAGGGAAAGGTCTCGATAAATGGAAGGCAGAGCAGGGGGCTGTGGGGGCAAGTGACCACAGACAGACTGTGGCCACCAACGCTGAAGGAGGGAAGACTGCGGGACCCACTGACTTCTGCACACCCCATTCTCACCTCCTCTCCAGAGTCAGGTGCATAAGTCAGGCTGTGATGAAACCTGCAGCCACCAAAGAGGTTTACGGTCCCTGCTTCCCCGCTGGTTGATAAATGATTGCTTTTTGGCCGTCACCTACCCCACCCTCCGATTTT
Organism: Homo sapiens; assembly: GCF_000001405.40. Taxonomy (NCBI): domain Eukaryota; kingdom Metazoa; phylum Chordata; class Mammalia; order Primates; family Hominidae; genus Homo; species Homo sapiens. The sequence goes on along the minus strand of NC_000017.11, from coordinate 65,471,390 downwards.
CTATTTTGAAGCTTACTCAACTGCAGAGAGAATTCTCTTTGTCTCTTGAGGACACTAAAATATGGTACAAACAGTCTCTGATAATAAATGCCTTTTTTTTTCAGGGGATCAAAAACTCCCCAGACACTTTCAAAGCAAGCCAGGGTGCTTTGGCTATATCGTGGGGATAGCCTGGAATTCAGAGCGGCACAGGGGAAGGGGAGTTTGAGGACTGGATCGAGGTGGTTTCCAAGCTCCTCTTGTCAAACAGAGGGCAACTGGGAACAGAGTGGGGGAGGGTTGAATTCCAGACCCCAGGGCTAAGGGGTAGGAGAGGACCTCTGCTTCTCCCCAGTGGAGCTCCTAGGGGAGGCTCCAGCAGCTGTGGGAGGCTCTGCCTGGAGGAAGGTGGCAGACTGGGCCGTGGTGGGTACATACGAGGGTGGCAGCTGGTACTCTGGGCAGTTCCAGGCTTGGAGGAGTAGCTCTGAATGGTGAGGGTTGCCATGGCCACTGGCCTGAGTGGGCAGCTTCCAAACAAGGTGAATACCCCTTCCTCTCCGCAGGGCCTCCCAAAACAAGGAGGGAGGCAGACAGCCAGCTGCCTCCAGCCCCTGGGCAGCCCCACCTCTCCTCTTGAGCCAGGTCTGGACTGGCTCTAGCCTTCAGCATGGTGTCTTCGTGTGCCATTATTCCCCAGCCAGCTGGACTCTGGTTAAAGGGGCTAGGGGAGGAAGGCGTATGGCACAACCCGAATATCCTTCTCCTTCTTTTTCATGATGTAGGGTTTATGGGCATGGACTTGGAGCCAGGCACACCTGCATCTCAATCTTACTCTCATGCATATTGTCCATCCTCTGTATTCACTGTCATTTTCTCTGTAACACGTTACCCAACCCTTAGAGACTTAAAAACAAAAAAACTACTTAGGATGCTCAGGTAGGAGGATCGCTTGAGCCCAGGAGTTTGAGGATGCAGTCAGCTATGATTGCCCCATGGCACTCCAGCCTGGGCAACAGGGCAAGACCCCATCACTGAAAAGAGAGGGAGAGAGAGAGAGAGGGAGAGAGAGAGAGAGAGAGGGAGGGGGGGAGAGAGAGAGGAAGGAAGAGAGAGAGAGGCTTAATTTTTTTTTTTAATCTCTCAGTTTCTATGGTGAGGAATTTAAGAGTGGCTTTCCTGGGTGGTTCTGGCTACAGGTCTTGCATGAGGCTGTGGTAAACACGTCAGCTGAAGTTGGAGAATCTACTACCTTGGCAGCTCACTTACTTGGCAAATTGGTGCTGGCCATTGACAAGAGGCCTCAGTTTCTCCCCATGCCAGCCTCCACACAGGGCTGCTTGAGTGTCCTCATGACATGGCGGCTGGCCTCCCCAAAGTTAGCCATCTAAGAAAGTGATGGGAGCTTCCATGTCTTCTATGATGTAGCCTCAGAAGTCACGCACCCTTGTTTCCACCACATCCTATTGGTTACATGGATCCGCCCTATTTGATGTGGGAGAAGGTCACAGCAGGACATGAATACCAGAGGAGCACCGTGGAGGCTGGCTACCATATTCTTCTTGGGTTTTGGTTTTCTCTATCTGGGGATAATAACCACACTTACTTTGTAGTATTATAATGTGGAGTGGTGATAATAGAAATACCCTCAGTCATGGTACCTGGCACAGAATAGATGCTCAACAAATTATGATCTTCCTTCAATAGTCATATAGTGGGAATAATATTATTACTTTTCAATGATAGAATAGTGCCTGGGCTACTGTGTTTCAAACATTATTCTAGTGCTTTATCTTCATTTGCTTATTTAATTTTCACAACAATCCCCAAGAAGTAGTTGCTATTATCACCTTTTTTTTACAAGAGGAAACTGAGGTCTGGAAGCTAGTGAATGTGGAGATAGGACTCAAACCCAGGCAGCCTGACTTCCAAACCCATTCTGTTTACCCCTAAGCCCAAGAAGCCCCTCCTCTTAGAAGTCTTTTTGGAAGCATCTTTTACAAGCATCTATTACAAGCCTGATTAATGGCTTCCTTCTCCCTGCTCTGTAGATCTAGATGGAAATGAACTGGAATGGGACATCTGGCTTGCCCACTTCCTCACTGTGTGATCCTAGGCAAGTTTCTTCACTTTCTGATCTTCAGATTCCTTGTCTATGAAATAGGGACACCAATCACATCCCAGAACTGTTGAGAGGATGAAATGAGAGCCTGTGATATCACCAGTTAAGTGAAGATGCCCAAGAAGTTCACTCTGTATTTGCAATGACCTGCCCTTTTCTTGATCTTTGTTTTGTTTTGCTTTGGTTTTGAGACAGGTTCTCACCAGGTTGCCCAGGCTCATCTTGAACTCCTGGACTAAATGATCCTCTTGCCTCAGCCACCTGAGTGCCTGAGACTGCAGTCATGCACCACTGCACCCAGCTCCTTTTCTCCGTCTTGTTCCTTTCCTTGTAACAAAACTGGTACTGGTTGCCTTCCGACGCTCAGTGATAGGACCCAATAATAAAGACTGTCAGTCACTCCTAAGCCTAGCACCTGCAGCTTGACCTTGCATCAGAATGATTGGCCTGGACAAGTGGCTGAGTGTAGGGGAGGGGAGAAGGAGACCCTGCACCCCGTGATTCTAGAATCCTGGGGTAGTTTGTGGGTGGTGGTTCCAAAACTGAGCATAGGAACAAGGAGGAGATAGGATGTGGGGTCCTGTAAGCCCTGTGTGTGACCCTCTTTCTGTTAGGCCTTTGCCCACTTCATGGACTATGACCCAGGCACTTTGCAGGATCATTTCTATCTCCTCAGTGCTTCACTGATACACCCTGACCTATAGTAAGCACTTATGTAGGACGTCACTTGGGTGATGAGCAGTTACATAAGATGACATGCGGGTGATGAGTACTTACTTATGTAGGATGGCATGCAGGTAATGAGGACTTACATAAGATGTTATGCGGGTGATGAGCACTCATATAGGATGACATGTGGGTGGTGAGCACGTACATAGGATGGCACACAGGTAATGAGCCACACTTACATAGGATGGCACACAGGTAATGAGCCACACTTACGTAGGATGGAACATGGGTTGTGAGCACTTATACAGGTTGGCATACAGGTGATGAGCCACACTTACATAGGATGGCATATGGGTGGTGAGCACTTACATAGGATGGCACACAGGTGATGAGCACTCACATAGGATGGCATGCAGGTGATGAGCAAGCACTTATGTAGGATGGCACGCAGGTAATGGGTAAGCATTTACATAGGATGGCACATTGGTGGTGAGCATTTACATAGGATGGCACATTGGTGATGAGCACCTACATAGGATGGCACATTGGTGATAGACAACTACATAGGATGGCACACTGGTGATGGGCAATTACATAGGGTGGCACATTGGTGGTGAGCATTTACATAGGATGGCACATTGGTGATGAGCACCTACATAGGATGGCACATTGGTGATAGACAACTACATAGGATGGCACACTGGTGATGGGCAATTACATAGGGTGGCACATTGGTGGTGAGCATTTACATAGGATGGCACATTGGTGATGAGCACCTACATAGGATGGCACATTGGTGATGGACAACTAATAGGATGGCACACTGGTGGTGAGCACTTACATAGGATGGCACATTGGTGGTGAGCATTTACATAGGATGCCACATACCTGGAGTCAGGCAGGGAAGTGCCTCTAACTTCAGTTGCCAGATCAGCCAAATGAGGAGCTTAATTAATGTATATCAACCTTGCACTGGGCAGTCATGAAGGTTCAATGAGACAGTGCTTATCTAGCACCATGCTGGGCCCTAGATAGTGTTCAGTAGGTATTAACTAATAATAGCAATGATGGCCGCCATTAAATGAGCCACTGGATTCTGCTCAGTTAGTGAGGAAGCAAGGGGGAGACTCTGGGAGCCTCAGTCTCGCCACTCTCCTCCTTCTCTTTATTCTTCCCTAGAATCCTGAATACAAAGTGTCCTTTTATTTGGTTGGAAAACCAGTCGCTCTGGGCCTGCAAGGGCGGCCAGCCCCCAGGCCTCCCAGCAGGAATCCTCCTGGTAGACAAGGCCTTGCTGTGACCTTTCACCTTTTGGCCTGTGGGTGAAGGACCATTAACCAAACTGCCTTCCCTAGTCTTTTGTGGAGGAGAGTCCTTTGTCCAGCTGTCCTCTAAAAATAAAACATGTGGAGTGATGGCTTCTATCCCCACGCTACATCTGAGAGCTGTGCCACCATCTTTGTTTGACCAGCCCTTTATCATTTATAAAATTCTTTCAGTGTGCAATCTCCAGGTCTCCAGAGAGGTTATATTTCTTGCCCAAGGTCACCCAGCTGGCAAGTGGCCGAGACAGGACTGGCTCGTGGGCCTTCCAATTCTCTAACTCATCTCTATCCACTCTCCCAGGATGCCATGCAAGAGGCAGAAAGGGCTTGAGGGTGGTTTGGAGGGACCAGTTAGATTTGCCCCATGTGTTCCCGCGTATTTCTTACTAGGCAGAATTTCTAGAAAAAACCAAGGGGAAGAGAGTTACTAGTTATACTTATTGAACTCGGATGTGGTTTGGCTATGTCCCCACCCAAAGTTTCATCTTGAATTGTAATAATCCCAGGTGGTGGGACCACAGGGAGATAATTGAATCATGGGGGTGATTCCCCCCATACTATTCTCATGACAGTGAGTGAGTTCTCATGAGATCTGACGGTTTTAAAAGGGGCCTTTCCCTGCCTCGCTCTGCACTTCTCCTTGCTGCCACCATATGAAGAAGGACGTGTTTGCCTCCCCTTCCACCATGATTGTCAGTTTCCTGAGGCCTCCCCAGCCCTGTGGAACTGTGAGTCAATGAAACCTCTTTCCTTTATATATTACCCAGTCTTGGATATGTCCTTATAGCAGCGTGAGAATGGACTAATACAAGCTCCTTCTTTTGCCAGACACTTTATATAAGTTATCACATTGGTTAAAACTTAGCCTTCATGGAAAACCCTTGAGATGGGTGTTCTTACTGCTTGCAGATGAAGAAATGAATATGGAGAGGCCGAGGAATGTACCCAAAGTCACACAAATGCTGAGCCGGAGAGCAGGGATTTGTACTTTGATATCCCAGCATTTGGAAGCCCATCCTCTCCGCCACCTTGTGTGTCCTGGATTGTGGTGGGCTCCTGCTGTCACAGCAACTCAGAACAACTTGATTGCAGGCCTGGGATTACAAGTTTTTCCAAACAGCAAGATGGATAGGTTTTGGGGGAGATGTATAATATGTGGGTTTGAGGAGAGCTCAGGTTTTGAAGCCCAGCAGACGTGGACTCCAATCCTGGCTCTGTGGTTCCATAGCTGTGAGCCTTGAGCAAACCGTAGAACACTGTGTACAAAGCAGGGTAAATGTTCTCTGGCCTGCAGGATTGGTAATCATGGATATAAACTGTATTCAAGAAATAGCAACTCTGCACCAGGCATGGTGGAGCATGCCTGTAGTCCCAGCTACTTGGGAGGCTGAGGCAGGAGGATCACTTGAACCCGGGAGTTTGAATCTAGTCTGGGCAACCTAGTGAGACCCTGTATTTCTACAAAAAAAAAGCACTATATTAAAAAAAGAAATAGTATCCCTATTCCTGGGAGATTGGGAGAGAAAGTGGAATGGCACAGAGAACTGCTTTGCTTTTTCTCTACTTCTTTCTCTTCGTCCCTCTTACCCACCCTCATTCTACTGCAAATAGAACAAACTACCGCACAGGCCTTCAGTAACAGGCTCCGTTGTGCTCAAAGGGCTAGAGGGGTTTTTATTCTGAGTCACAAACTCACCACTACTTGCACAGGGACATGGATTGAAGGAGAGGCACCTGCCCCTCTGCTCTTCAGAGACAGAACGCCTAACCCTGAAGTCCAACTATGGAAACTTGTGAAATTGGATGCAACACCACAGGCATAATCCAATTCAACACACATTTAAGGATCACTTGGTATGAGCCAGGGAAAGGACCCAACTGTATCAGTCAGGATTAGGTTCAGCTGCCAAGTAATAGTGGCCGCCCCTGCCCAAGTAACAGCAGCTTAAATAAGATGCTAATTTGTTTCTTTCTCCCATAAAACCTCAGAGGCAGGTGGTCCAGGATGGGTGTGGGGCTCTGCTCTAGGAAGCATTATGGACCTGGATTCCTTCTGTCTTGTTGGTCCACCATACATGTCTCCATTCCCAGTGTCACCTCATGGTCTAAGGTGGCAGCTCCAGCTCCAGCCATCATGTCCATCAACAACAGACAGGTGGAAGAGATAATGAAGAAAGTCAGAGTGTGCACAGCGTTCGCTTTAGTGAAGATTCCTAGAAGCTGCCACTTGACGCGTGTACTTCAATGCCATTGGCTGAACTTGGCCACAGGATCACACTTAGCAGCATGGAGAAGTTGGGTAGTCATATACCACTAAAAATTGGGGTCTCTATTGCTACGAGAAAAGGCGGCAATTAGCATTCTCCCACACTGATGCATCTAAGCTTTTATTATGGATTAGTAATACATGTTACCTTCTTTGCCCCAACAACTCTGCAATTTGATTATTAGTGTTGATGCAAAAGTAATTGTGGGTTTTGCAATTACTTTTGCACCAACCCAATATTTTTATCTTCTGTATATAAATGAGAAATCTGATCCTTAGAGAGGTTAAGTAACACATTCTAGGTCATCCAGGAAGGAAATGGTGAGGCCGGGCTTCAAGGCAAAGCCTGTTTGACTCTGAAACCTGTGTTGTTACCTTTTCTATAAGGCCTGTGCTAGGGGGTAGGGATTCCCCAAATGAAAAGAAACCTTCTGCAAACATTATTTGGGAAATATTATCATTGCTATTTTGTGGCTTTTCCGAATGAAAAGAGGTGACAGATATAGATTTCATTTTTAAATTTTCTTTTACTTAAAAAAATTGTTTGTGGGTACATAATAGGTGTATATATTTAGGGGTACGTAAGATGTTTTGATACAGGCTGAAATAGATTTTGGATGCTGTTATGGGTTGAATCGTGTCCCCCAAAATTCATATGTTGAAGTCTTAACCCCTAGTCCTGCAGAAGGTGACCTAATTTGGGAACAGGGTAATTGCAGATGTAATTAAGTTGAGATGAGGCTGTACTGGAGAAGGACAGGCCACTTGTCCAGTATGACTGGCGTCATATAGGAAGATGACTATGGAAAGTCACAGAAGCACAGGGAGAATACCACGTGAAGGTGAAGCCAGGATTGAGGTGAAGCAGTAGAAGCCGAAGAACACCAAAGAATACAAACCACCGGAAGTCAGGTGAGCGGCACGGAACAGATTTCCCCTGGCAGCCCTCAGAACAAACCACCCATGCCAACACCTTGAGCTTGATTTCTAGGCTCCAGAACTTTTTCTGGTGTTTCAGCCACCCCGCCTGTGGTATTTTGTTATGGCAGCCCTAGAAAATTAATATGAATATAATGTGTTGTTCATTGCTTTGCCATGGAAACGATTTCAGATGGCTGTGAGGATGTCAGATTTTCAGGAAGGCGGGTGCCTTGATTTTCATTACAAAGGGGGAGAGTCACTTTTCTGTGGGCTCTCCCCAGGTTTCACCCAGGGCCATAAAGTTCTATGCAACTTTTGTTAAACCCCTTCTAATGTTCCAGGCTCTGGGCTAGATGCATGGCCCAAAGAAACCGGACCAGACTTTTAGAAGACATCAGGGTGCTTCTACTTACTCCAAAGGAAAGCCTTCATTTTGGCACAGGGCATCTCTATTTTAAGCTCAGACATTCCTGGTCACTGGCTACCTCATCGCCTTGGCATCAGGTAGGGTGAGAAGAGCAGGCCCGGGTTTGTTCAGCTTCTCAGCAAGGTGAGATTGACGAGCCCAGTACAGAAGCTGGAGTGAAAAGACCACGTCCTCTCCCAGCGGGTGCTGAGCCAAGTTGTCTTGGTATTTGAGTTGCTTCATCTGTAGCCTCTTATCTCACTGGGTTAGAGTGTGCTGCACTCATGAAACCAATGTCCCAGTGTGCTCAGAGGCTGGCTGGAGTATCCCGCTTATGAGTACAGCCTGTACCCCTGACTCATGGGGCTGATTTCCAGGCAAGTCCGTGCACTGCTGCAGCACTTCCTTGCTTTGTGTTTCAGGGTTCTGTCCCATTGGCTCGACTCTATGGCCATCGCCTGGAGTGTGTGTATGAGTGTTTGTTGGGAGGACACAGAGTGGCTTTCCTCCTCTTAAGAAGAGCTAGTAGTGCCCGGCGCGGTGGCTCACGCCTGTAATCCCAGGACTTTGGGAGGTCGAGACGGGCGGATCACAAGGTCAGGAGATCAAGACCATCCTGGCTACCAGGTGAAACTCCGTCTCTACTAAAAATACAAAAAATTAGCCGGGCGTGTTGGTGGGCGCCTGTAGTCCCAGCTACTCGGGAGGCTGAGGCAGGAGAATGGTGTGAACCCGGGAGGTGGAGCTTGCAGTGAGCTGAGATTGCAGCACTGCACTCCAGCCTGGGTGACAGAGCAGCCTGGGTGACAGAGCGAGACTCCGTCTCAATTAAAAAAAAAAAAAAAAGAAGAGCTAGTAGTCCTACCCCTCAACATCAACAAAATACAAACAACCCAATGAGAGTCATGGGCAAAGAGCTGGAGTAGACATTTCTCCAAAGAAGATATGCAAATGGCTAACAGACATGTGAAAAGATGCTCGCTATCACTAATCATTAGGAAAATGCAAATAATGCAAATAAAAACCATGATGAGATACCAGTTTGCACCAATTAGGATGCCTGTTATAAAAAAACAAAAAACAGAAAATAATAACAAGTGTTGATGAGGACGTGGGAAAGTTAACATTCTTGTGCGTCGCTAGCAGGAATGTGAAATAATGCAGTCATTATGGAAAGCAGTATGGATGCTTCTCAAATAATTAAATATAGAATTACTATCCAATCCAGTTATTCCATTTCTAGGTATATGCCAAAAAGAATCAAAAGAAGATACTTGAACAGATATTTGTGTCCCTGTGTTCGTAGCAGCATTAGCCACAATAGCCAAAAGGTAGAAACAACCCAAATGTTGGTTGATGGAGGAATTGGATAAACACAAAGTGATATACAGGCATACAATGGAATATTTTCAGCCTTAAAAGGAATGAAATTCTGATACTGCTACAACATCATTGAGGACATCATGCTAAGTGAAAAAAGCCAGACACAACAGGACAAATAGTGTATGATTCCACTTATAAGATGTACCCAGAGTAGCCAAATTCATAGAGGCAGAGAGTGGAATAGTGAATACCCAGGACTGGAGGGAGAGGGGAATGGAGAGTTAGTGTTTAATGGGCACAAAGGATCAGTTTGGAAAGGTGAATACATTCTGGAGATGGGTGGTGGTCATGGTTGTACCACAATGTGAATGGACTTAATTCCACTGAACTGTACACTTGAAAATGATTAAAATGGTGAATTTTGTCATACATTTTACCACAATAAAAATAGAGAATGGTTATTGATAATATCTGCCATTCATTGAATATAGTATTCCCTAGACAAAGCATTTTATGGGCATTAGTTCCTCAAGGCACTCATTGTTACTAGCCTTATTTTAAGGATATGAAAACTGAGGCTTAGACAGGCTCAATCATTTGTTCGGGATCACATGGCTAACAGTGAGCAGTGAGGTTTGAGCCCAGCTTTGACTGGCCCTAGGGTCTCAGCTGCAACACACCTGTAGAGCCTCTTGGCTTCATCCTTGCATCTGGGACAACGCCTGGATCATAGTAGGCACGTGTCTACCTCTGATCACATCTAGAGTGAGGTACAGACCCTGACAAATCACCAGAGCTCACCAGAGGGTGGCTGCATCAACACCGTTTCTAGAGGAGGCACTCACAGATGTCAAAGTTGAAAACATGTCTCGGTGCAGTGGCTCATACCTGGAATCCCAGCACTCTGGGAGGCCAAGGTGGGAGGATCACTTGAGTGCAGGAGTTCGAGACCAGCCTGGGCAACACTGCAAGACCCAATCTCTACTAAAAATTAAAAAAAAATTAGCCAGGTGTGGTGGTATATGCCTGTGGCCCCAGCTACTCAGGAGGCTAAGGTGGGAGGATTGCTTGAGCCTGGGAAGCCAAGGCTGCAGTGAGCTATAATCACAACACTCCAGCCTGGGCAATGGAGCAAGGCCCTGTCTCGAAAAAAAAAAAATGTTGAAAACATGACTCAGGCAAATATAGGGAACATGGGGGCTGGGGCCAGGACTAGGGTGAGGCAAGAGAGTAGGAAACCAGCAGGATGGTAACATTGGTCCCAGGAGTATATGACAGACTCACGTAGATGTAGCCATTGAAAGAGGGAGTACTGAAAATGGTTTTGCTAAATCAAATTCAAAACTGGTTTATGTCCTATATATAGGACAATGAAACTATAACCTTCGGGGCTATCTTTTTTTTTTTTTTTTTTTTTTTTGAGATGGAGTTGCACTCTTGTGGCCCAGGCTGGAGTGCAGTGGCGCGATCTTGGCTCACTGCAGCCTCCGCTTCCCTGGCTTAAGCAATTCTCCTGCCTCAGCCTTCAGAGTAGCTAGGATCACAGGTGCCTGCCACCACGCCCGGCTAATTGTTTTGTATTTTTAGTACAGTCGGGGTTTCGCAATGTTCGCCAGGCTTGTCTGGAACTCCTGGCCTCAGGTGATCCCCCTGCCTCGGCCTCCCAAAGTGGCTCACAGGCATGAGCCACCGTGCCCAGCCCGGGGCTATCTTTTCTATCAGACAGGAATTGTTTGCATCTCTACCAGACAAACATTATTTGCAACTTAGCAATTTCCTTTAAGTTAGCATCTAGAATCTGGGCCTTAATCAGCAATAAGTACTAAGTCAAAGTGCCCATCCCTTCACATTGACGGACCCTCGGGTATTACCCAGATCCCCTCTTTGGGGTTCAGCCCTGTCCCCACAGCTGCTGGGAGTATCAGCTGCTGATATGGGTAGATGGCTTACAGCTCTGTTCTTACCTGGAAATCACCTGAGATGGAAGGAAACTTCCTCCCCCACGTGTATACCTTCCCTCCCTTACTTCTGGTTGGTCTTGAACAGGTGATACAAAGCCTGGTGCTCTTGCCTTAATTTGCAACAACACCGATGGCCACCTGGGCTCCAGAGCTTTCCATGGGACAGGCTGAGGCCTCAGCGGCAGCCTCACTGCGGGTGAGCTTCACCCTCACCCATGCCTCCCTTTCCACAAGAGTTCCTCCCCAGAGCAGCCCCAGTACACCCTGGTCTTGCACCTGCCTGTCTCAGAGTCGGTATCAAGGGAACCCAATCTAACACAGGACTTATTACACAATGCTAGGGTGGCTTTGGGGAAAGGGCATGAAGGTGTCTTTTTGCCTCATTTATGAGTTTTTAGATACTTTCTCTTAAGGAAGGTAGTAAAAAAATCTGTGGAATGAACAGACAGGAGTGGGCGGAGAAGGCTCAGGGGAAGCCCTCCCCCACACCTGGAAAAACAACTCTGGGTCCGCTGACAGAGGCCACAACCAGCCTGCAGACCCCACGAGGCGCTGGGAACTCGAAGGCATGGCTCCCTGGCAGAGGTGAGAAATTTGACCGGACAGCAGTTGGTGCTTAAGATCAAGTGAGTTTTTCCACCTTCAGGGAGGAGCTGGAGAAAGCGCGAGAAGGCGTGCTTAAATCCTCGGGGGGTTGTTTTCAGTTGAATAAAACAGCCTGATTGAAAAAAAACGGCAAGGCTGAGTGCAAAGCCAGTGCCCCCCACCTCTGCTGGAAGCCCATCACCCCCCACCCCGCCGACCCCCAGGAGAGCCAATCCTAAGCTCACAGTAAATCGGTGAATTGGAAGAATCCAGGTTCTGCTCTGCCTCTTTCTTTCAGAGACAAAAATAAAGTTCTGGAAGGTGCAACTTAAAATAGACCTTTCATAAAAGATTCATTCCTGAGCAAGAATGTCACAAAAGCATGAAACGTGAAATAGACTGCTATCTGAATTCCATTTGAAGTATTTGGTGGCAATTATTTTAAAAATTCCCCCACAAAAGTTCTTTTCAATCACAGGACAGCAAGTAAGAGAGATCAGGGCCAGATAATTTCTTCAATGGGGGAAAAACTAGTTTCAAGTTTTAGGTACTGATTTAAGGCATTTTGGAGAATATGCATGAGTATTCAATGGATTTAGTTTCTTTTTTTTTTTTTAGAAAAAAGCCTACAGCCATTTGCAGAAAAATGCCTGAAAAGCAGAGGCTCAAACGAGATGTAAATTACCTCCAAGAACAGCCTAATAAGCCATTAATAACCACCGAGTCACTCCCTGTGAACAATGTGTGTACCTAAGGATTGAGAACTATTGTATCCTCAGAACCTCTTGGGAGATTGGGGTTGGAGTGATCGTGGTTCGGTCAGTAGATCTGTCTGCATCTGGGGACTAGCTCCAGAGCTTGCTCTTTGATAGGAGATCCTGGGGATCCCCTCTGGAAATAGACTTGCTTTCTATCAACACTGCACTCACCTGCAAACAAATCTAGGTTGACAAAAGCAGCAATTTCTGGGCAGTCTCTCTGCTCCATCTGGTGTTTCTCACCTCATTTTTTTTGTTTTTTTTCCTCCCCAGATCATTTTACCTCACTCACTAGCAAGGAGGAGGCGGTGTAGGTTCTTCTCTTTCCTTTTCCTTGGGTGCTTGGCATGGTGTCAATAGCATAAGTTAAAATTCTAGGCTCATAACAGCTTTCTGCAGAAGGGTCTCAATCTCCTTCCTTGCCTCTATAGGGTCTGCTTGGGGTTTCATTCCACCTGTTGTCCTCACCCCAGGTCAGTTTCCGGGGTGAATTTCAGATCCGTATGATTTCCCATAGGGTCCAGTTCTCCCCATCTAGAACAAAGGTCTGGAGTGGTAAATTTGAAGTGGGCTGGGTACAGTGGCTCACACCTGGAATTCCAGCACTTTGGGAAGCCAAGGTGGGTAGATCACTTGAGGTCAGGAGTTCGAGTCTAGTCTGCCCAACATGGCGAAACACCATCTCTACTAAAAATACAAAAAATTAGCCGGGCATTATGGGGTGTACCTGTAGTCCCAGCCACTCGGGAGGCTGAGGCATGAGAATTGCTTGAACCCAGGAGGCAGAGGTTGCAGTGAGCTGAGATTGCGTCACTGCGCTCCAGCTTGGGTGACGGAAGGAGACTCTGTCTCAAAAAGAGAAAACTGGCTTTGTCTTATATATGGCCCCTCTCCACACCCCTCCAGGCCAGAGAAAATAAAACAAAACCCCAAATGCTTGAAGTGGTTATGGCACTCACAATTCCCAACGGCCACTGGGTTTTCCTTCTGATCCTTCACGACTGATAACGTTAATTGCGCCTCTCATCCACAGGTGTGCTTTCTGGAGGGTTTGGAAGGAGTGGCGTGAATGCTGACAAGTCACTGGGGTTTGGTTCCAGCAACTCTTTTTAAGGTGAAAAGAGAACCAGTGTTAGAGTGGCCCCCAAGCAGAGATAGAGCCGAAGTGAGCACAGGTGGCCCTGGGACAGGTGGGGTGGGAGGGGTTGTGCTGGCAGTGGGGCTGGGGCGGCAGCTCTTCAGGGACAGGACCTGGGCTCAGCTAGAGGATGCCAAGGCCAGTGCCAAGGAGTGAGGAAGGAGCAGAGAGGAGCCTGGCAAGGTGTTCACATCCCCGTGAAAGCCAGAGGGACCAAGCTTGCCTTGAATGGAGCTGGGCACCGCAGGGCAGAGGACGCTCAGTTTCCACTGCATGTCTCCTTCTGGGAATGAGGTTTCTGACAATAAAGGACCACCCTCGCAGTGGCGCTGCACTCTAGACAGGAGTCCTCATAGAATCCCAAACTCTCAGGGAGGGTGATCAACTTATCCTGGTTGGGCCAGCACATTCTGGGTTTTAGCACTGAAAGTCCCACCTCCCTGAAACCCCCTCGGTCCTGGTGAGCCGCTTGCTCACCCTATGATCAGGTGTCCCCACCCCACTCCCCACCCCAGGAAGGAGCTGCAGAAGCAGGTGTGTCACAGAGCAGAATTATAGGAGCCCAAACTTACCTTTGCAACATCTAGAGCAGGTGGAGTTGGGCATTTTATCACAGAACCCAGCTGTGCCCTCATTTATAAGCGAGAGAGGGAAGAGAAAGAAAAATCCCATGTTGTTCTTTGGAATCCAGTGCCAAGTTTCTAGTCCTAAACACACACACAGTGTCCATGCAATGTAGGTGCATTTTTTGTTCAAACACCTGTCAGGCAATGTTGGGTGGTAAAAACAATACCTCTTCATTAGGCCCTGAGCACCTACTGTGTGCAAGCCACTGTTGCAGGTGCCTGTCATACAGGAACACATTTAATTATCAAAACAATTCCATGAGATGAATAAGATGTTCTGTTTTCAGCTGAGAAACTCAGAGAAGTGAAGACATTTGCCCTGGTAGCAAGTGGCAGAGCTATAAATAGAGGCAAAAGCAAAAAATAGAGGTGGAGGTGCTGTAGAGACACAGAGAAGCGCATGGAATGATTGCTATGTAGGGTGAGTGGGGCGCTCCTGCTGGCATGTGGGCTGGGTGGGGGTAGTGGGGTGCAATCTTTTCATTTATTTAACAAATACTTATATAGTGCTTAACTTGTTAGGTACTGTCCTAAGAGGATGAACCATTCTAAACTCATTTGATTCCCATAATCAACATTCATGTAGACGATCTTTTATGCCGTAAACAAGGTCTTCTCAACTGAAAGCAATTTTGCACCCCAGGGGACATGTGACAAAGTCTGGAGACAGTTTTGGATTGTCACAATGTGTGGGAGAGTGGGGGAAGTGGTACTGGCCTCTCTGGGCAGAGGGCAGGGACACTGCTAAACATTCTTCAGTGCACAGGACAGCTCCCACAACAAAGCGTGATCCAGCCCAAAAGTCAGTAGCACTGGGGTTGGGAAAGTCTGTTGTAACTAATGGGAATGACTGGGGCTCTGGGAGGTGCAACCTGAAAACGGTCAGTGTCCACGGCCCCTTCCCTTCTCCAGAATAAACCTGGAGTGGTTTTTCTATTGGTTTACTTCTTGCTGTCTTTTCTAGGGTTCGCCCCAGAGTTTAAGATCGACTTTTTAGTTGCAGTGCAAGCAGCTGCAGTTCTCTGGCAATGCCACCCGGCTTTGTTCTGGTTTGTTAAGACAGTGAGCTGGATTTTACAGTTATTGCCCTTGAAAGCCCCATAAATGGCATTCGCAGCATTAGTGGGGCTGGGGGTTGCCAGATTGGTAAGTTTAACTTTGAGGGATGGCTAACACTCCAGTGCCCTCTAGGGTTCATCTGGCTGCTGAGTTGCCCAAGCCTTTACCAGGTTGCAGAAAAGTTGGCCACGGATGAAATCAGAGTTCAAACAGGCGTGAGGTGGAACCTGAGCAGCACCTCTGAGCTTGTGTTGGCAGGCTCCTCACAGCAGGCCGGTATCTGCTCTGAGTGGGCAGGGAGGACGCCTGGGGACCCCAGCCTCCATCCTTTCCTTCATCATGGACTGTTATTTTTAACTCCAGGGGATCTGAACTAGCTGATGTTAAAACTGAAACTTTCTCCTTGGGGAAGCTTAGCTGCCTAGGCCTGGAATGGGTTTCAGAGGTCATGCCATCTGGTCTCGCTGCCCAGTAGGATTCTCCCTAAGCAGGATCGGTTACATCATTTGCAGGGCCTAGCACAAAATGAAAACGTGAGGCCCCATATTGAAAAATTATTAAGAATTTCAAGACGGCATTTCAAGAGCAATTTTTCACGCTCTGAAGTATCAGAGCATGAAACCAAGCACACGGCCCTCTGAGTGTGAGGCCGTGTGTGACTGTACAGGTTGACACCCATGAAGCCAGCCTTAACGCCATGTTACCCTGTGGTCCCTGACACTATGTACAGGCTTGCCCAGGATGGGCTTGGTTTACTCCTGTTATGCCAATGTCATTATTGGGTGCCCCTTCCACTCTCAACACTGTCCTGGTTTAGACAACAAATTATATTATGTGGTAACCTTATAATTACATGACAACCTTCTAGGTAATTTCCTCTCATCCTATCTATGTTGTAATGTCACACAATGTCCAGCCGTTGCATCATTTTATGTAGGGGACCAAGTGATAATGACCTTTTTTTTTTTTGTTTGCCATCATGGTTTACTGAACACACATGCATGCACTAACTCACTTCATACTCACGGTGATATCAGAACAGGGGAGTATATATTTGCAGTTGAAGTAAGTGCAGCTTAGACAGGGTAAATGGTGTCAAGTGGCTGGTGAGTAGCAGATCTAGGACCTAAGCCACGATAGTATACGATTTCCCGCTGGAGTGATCAGTGGCCCCAGTTTGCCTGGGAGTGATGAGGTTCTCTGGGCATGGGACTTTTTAGTTTTAAAACTGGATAAGTCTTGGGCAAGCTTGGACAAACTAGTTACCTGATTCCAAGTCCACCCCATCTTGCAGCTTTCATGAATCATTTTAAATAACTTTATATTAAACATTTTATGAGAATTCTAAGGTTGGACTTCCCTTTAGTATTCAGAGGATTCTGTCATGACTGGCGGGTGGAGTATAAAGGCAAGATGTTCAAATCCACAATGATTCCTAGAAAATGTTTTACTGTATACCTATACCCTCCTGCACTTTCGACTCTGTGTGTGTGTGTGTGTGTGTGTGTGTGTGTGTGTGTTGTGTATGCACATAAAATGCATTTTTGGAGTCCTGCTTTGTAATAGTTTTTCATTTATAGCAGAAGTCAGTAAACATTAACATTAAAGAACCAGATAGTAAATATTCTTTGCTTTGCAGGCCATAAGGCCTCTGTTGCAACTTCTCAACCTTGCTGCTATAGTACAAAACCAATATGAAGAGAAATGGACGTGTCTGTGTTCCAATAAAATTTTATTTACAAAAATAGTTGGCAGGCCAGATTTGCCTGGCAACCCATAGTTTTCCAGTCCTTGGTCTGTAGCATTTATATTATATAAATAATATAATTTATATTATATTATATTATAAATTATAATATTTATAATGCTCATGCCCGGCAGGCATGAGCCACTGCGCCTGGCCTGAGGCTGGTTAATTTATAAAGAACAGAAATTTACTTTCTCTCAGTTTTAGAGGCTGGGGAGTCCAAGATGAAGGCTGGTGAGGGCCTAGTCTCTGTTTCTAAGATGGTACCGCGTTGCTGTATCCTCTGGAGGGAAGGAACGCTGTATCCTCATGTGGGGAAGGTGGAGGGCAAGAGAGCTGACTGCTATATAAAGCTTCTTTTATAAGGGTCTTAATTTCATTCACGAGCAAGAGACCCTCAAGACCTAATCACCTCTTAAAGGCTCATACCTGTTAACGCTAGCATACTTGCCATTAATTTTTAACACCAGAATTTTGGAGGGGACACATTGAAACTGTAGCCTGTAGGCCATCAGAAATATCCAAAATGATTTGTTAACAGATGCAAAGCGGGTTACTATCTCCACGGCCATAAAATGTTACATTTGGAATCATATTTTCTGCAGGGTGGACAACAATTAGCAACAATTAGGGCAAAATTCATTTGTATTTCTATGAATAAGATTGATTTGAATGACTGCCTTTTTTTTTTTTTTCAACTTGGAGAGTTGCAAAACAGCCTCATCAAAGACAATGCAAGGTGGAGACACCTATAGAATCAGATTACCTCAAAGGGCCCACTAGATGCCACGAAGCATTCCATGCAAATGACATTCCATACCCCTTTGCTCATTTCAAAATCTTTCGTTATTGTCTCTGACACAATAGTAAAATTTTACCACATCATTTTTTTAATGGCTGTGTGGTACTCCATTGTACTGAACTACTCTATTTCTCAATATTTAAAGAAAGCTACCATGAGCATACAGATGGATAGACATATTTGTGCACATTCCACATCCCCCCCTCCCCACCAAATCCCTAGAACTGTAGTTGCTGGGTTTAAGGATATATTGACTTTTAAGGCATTAAATACACATTGCTCTGTTGCTCACTTGGTAGCCGTGTTTGAAAGAGTGTCCATTTTGCCACATCTTTGCCAAAACTGAGAAACAGAGTCTTTTCCATTCTTTTTCATTTTAGCTAATTTGAAAGGGGGAAAAAACTGTCTTTTTTTTTTTTGAGACAGAGTATCACCCTGTCACCAGGCTGGAGTGCAATGGCATGATCTCGGCTCACTGCAATCTCTGCCTCCCAGGTTCAAGTGATTCTCCTGCCTTAGCCTCCTGAGTAGCTGGGACTACAGGCACGTGTCACCACCCCCAGCTAATTTTTGTGTTTTTAGCAGAGACGGGGTTTCACCATATTGGCTAGGCTGGCCTTGATCTCTTGACCTCATGATCCACCCGCCTTGGCCTCCCAAAGTGCTGGGATTATAGGCATGAGCCACCGCGCCCGGCCTGGAAAAAACTGTCTTGTTAAAAAAACCTTGTTTTTAAATCAATGGCTTTCTCTCTCTACACTCTCTGCATGGTGTCATATGGGCCCATAACTCCCAATCCACCCAAGTGGGTAGACGTCTCCATTTAGATGTTCAATGGACATCTCAACTCAACCAGTCCTAAATGGAACTCTGCATATCTCCCCAAGGAGCACCCTCCTCAGCATGGTCCCCATCAGCCCTTACCCATCTCATGCTATGGCATTGCCATCCATCCAGTTCTTAGCTAGGAACATGCCAGCCGTTCTTGATCTATTCTCTTCCTTTCCAGTTTGTTTGAACATTTCAGCAAGATGGGTCCACTCCTTTTCCAAGGTACGTTCAATAGATCTCCATTTCTTCATCTCCGAAATGAGGGCGATAATAACAGTAAGCAGGTCATAAGCCTGCCCACTTCTCTGCTCCCCAGGGCCACCATTTGCAGTGGTGGAAGCCACTGTCCTCTCTCATCAGTCCCCTTATGTTGTCTCCTCATTTCTATTTTTGCCCCTTCACAACCCTGACACAAGAGTGACTTTCAAGTAAGTAAGTCAGATGACATCATTTATTCACCCCTGTTATCTTCTCAAGTTCCTTGCCATTTACACCATCTGGTTCCTGCTAGCATCAGGACTTCACCTTACACGCCCCCCCGCTTTGAACACTACTGTACCCACATGGACTGTTTGCTGTCCCTCTGTGTGCCTAAATGGATTTCCATCTTTGAGAGTGTCTTAGTTTGGGTTGCTATAATGAAAATGCCATAGACTGAATGTCTGAAACAGTAAACATTTATTTCTCACAGTTCTGGAGGCTGGGAAGTCCAAGATCAAGGCATTGGCAGATTTGGTGTCTGTGAGCATTTTCCTCCTTGTGTGTAGACAGCCACCTTCTTATAACCTCACACAGCCAAGAAAGAAATCAGCTCTTGCATGTCTCTTCTTACAAGGACACTAGGTCCAATTCATAAGGGATCTACCCTCATGACCTAACTATCTCTCAAAGGCCCCACCTCCAAATACCATTACATAGGGGATTAGGTCTCAACATAGAATCCTGGGGTGACACAACATTCAGCTCACAGCAGAGACCATGTTTGCTGTTCACCCTGACTGGGATGCACTTTTACTATCTCTTCATATAACTGGCTACTGCTTATCATCTTATTCTAGCTCCAACAGCAGCCTCTTCTTCTGCCAGATCTTCTCTGACCACATGCTCATTGCCCCCTACCCAATTACTCTCCCCTACTGAATCCTGATTCGCTTCCTTCATAGCATTTTTAAAATTTTGTATTTACTTTCTTTGCTTGCCTGTATGACACCTGTCTTTCCCAAGTAGAATGTGAACTTCCCAAGAGCAGGGTGTCTTGGCTCTTTTGATTGTGGCTTTATTCCCGATGATTATAGTGCTGAGCCCAAAGAAAAGAGTCAACAACTGTTTGTGGATGGAATGGATGGATGGATGAACTGAGTAAAACCTCTCTTCTGCCTCACCGTTGGTATCTTAGTTTTATCTTCTCCCACTTCTTTCAGTCTTTGTTTAGTCAGTCAGTAATATTTATTGAGTGTCTGTGGCAGACAGAGTTGAGGCCTAGGATATGGCAATGACCAAAATAGATAAAACCCTGCTTCTGTGGCATTTATGTTATGGTGCTCCATTTGCTTCTGCATATTCTTGTTGATCTTTCTGGGAATCTTTTGCATTGGGCAACATTGTCCTCTTCCTTCTTTGCCCTCTGTGTCTCTACTTGTTTTCTCTCTTGCCCTGCTCTTTGCCTATTCCTTTGTCCCAGAGGCAGGCACATCTATCCCCGTGTCCTTTTGACACCCAGACCCTCCTCTCTGCTGTTTCCTTCTCATACCCATAGTTCATTTCAAGCATCTGGCTGCATTTTCCCTTAACTGTTTTCATTCCAAGCACTCCCTGAAATCCAGCATCCGCATTGCCCTGGTTTCTTCCAGAGCCTCTTTTCTATCCCTTCTGCTTTCAAAACCCAAGGTAACTGGCCAGGTGCTGTGGCTCACGCCTATAATCCTAGCACTTTGGGAGGCCGAGGAGGGCAGATTGCCTAAGCTCAGGAGTTTGAGACCAGCCTGGGCAACATGGTGAAACCCTGACTCTGCTAAAAAAAAATACAAAAATTAGTCAGGCGTGGTGGCGTGCACTTGTAGTCCCAGCTACTTGGGAGGCTGAGGCACGAGAATCGCTTGAACCCGGGAGGTGGAGGTTGCAGTGAGCCGAGATCGAGCCACTGCACTCCAGCCTGGGCAATAGAGTGAGAATCTTGTCTCAAAAAAAAGTAACTTCTTGGGAAACTCTCACCATCTAACTTGTTGCATTTTCTCTTTCCCTCTGGGTTGGCCAACTAGGCTTGCCTCCTGTACGCTTAGGCATGACTGTGGCCACTTGGCAAGAATAGCCTCTCTTTCCTTAGAAATCATGTCGAACTGGCCTGTAGTTTAGACAGAATGCCATTTGCTTGAGCCAGCAAACTTTCTTACCTGAACATTGTACTCAGTTTCCGAAACTGCAACTTTAGTACATTTGTGGCTTTCCCCAGTGTCAGAAAAAGGAAAGGTGAAATTGTATTTTCCAAACCCCAAATGAAGAAACATAGGCTGATAAAAATTGTTTTCCTGAATTGCGAGGGTTTTTTTCCCACCAAAATGTATTACACTGGTATACAAATTAGGACATGAATGATGTATTTTCTATTAAATTTTATTGTACATAGAAGGAATCACTTTTATTTAGAAAATAGGAATAGCACATAAAACCTGGGCTGTTTCGAAAAACCCGAGAAGAGGAATCACCCTAGAGGATAGACTAGTCTTTCTGTGAAAGGTAGAGCCAAATGGCTAAAGTTTGGGAAAGAAAGACATTAAGATTCCATCTTCTAGGAAGGTCCCTTTGGCCCCCATATTAATTATCTATCGGTGCGTGACAATATTATCACAAATATGGCTGCTTAAAACAACAGGCATTCTTTATCTTAAAGTTTCTGTGGGTCAAGAGTTTGAGCACAGTTTATCTGGGTTCTCTGCTTAGGGTCTCACAAGGCTACAATAGAGGTGTCATCTGGGGCTGCAGTCTCCTCTGAGGCTAAACTGGGGAAGGATCTTCTTCTAGGCTCATGTGTTTCTTGGCGGCATTCAGTTCCTTGCAGGCTGCTGAATTAAAGCCTTCAGTTGTTTTGTTTTGTTTTTGTTAGCTGTCAGCTGGAGGCTGCCCTCAGCTCTTTGTCATGTGGCCTTCTCTGGATGGTAGCTCACAACTGGCAGCAGGCTTCTTTCAAGCTAGCAAAGAAGAGGAAGTCTCTTCACAAGACGGGCTTTGTAAACTTAGTCACATACACGTGGTCATGCACATCTCTTCACCTTTGCCACATTCTGTAGACCAGAGGTGATTAACAGGTTATGCCCACACTCAAGGGGAAGGGACCCACAAGGGCATAGATACAAACAGGTGGGGCTCACGGAACCCCCTTAAAATCTGTCCATCCCTAACCCTCACCCCCAAGCTGAATTTCCCACTCTTTCTTTATACTCTATGCCCCAGGTGTCCTTGGCCATGGCATCTTCATACTTTATTGTAAGGGTGCCGTCCTTGCTGGTCTAGACTGTGGTTCTCTGAGGTCAGGCACAGTCTCCACCCCCTCCCCTCAATCATTTCATTGCCTAGAAAAGAATCTGGCACCTGTTAGGAACTGCATAAGTTCCTTCTGCAGTTAAGAATGTTAGGAACTCAAATGTTAGGAACTGCATACATGTTTGTAGAAAGAAGAAACCTGCTATCTCAAGCTCAGTAGCCAGGAATCTTTCTTACCTCCTCCCCTCCTGCCAAAGTTGCTTCTCTTTTCTCACCTCTACGACATAACTGAGTGCCTTCCTTGTGCTGGGCACACAATCTTGTTGACTCTCCCTCTCTCACATCTTACAGCACCCCAGCTATAAGATATCATGCTTGGAAAAGAGCAACCACCTTTTCCATTGAAAGTTCCTGTCACTAAGTGGCCCCCACACAGTTATGTTAATATTTATGCTCGGAACTCAGTGCCTGCTTCAAAGCCCATGGGCTTGTCTGTAGGTGCTTGGGCCTCTCTGAGACGGCCAGAAATGTGGGCAGTGGTGACTTCATGTAAGGTTAGAAGCAGTAAGGCACCGTGGTTTAGAACTCTGGCCTTGAAAACGATAAATCTGGGCTTCTGTCCTGGCTCTGCCCCCTCCTGACTGTGAAACCTTAGATGTACCCTACACCTCAATAGATCGCCATTTTTTCATCTCCAAAATGAGGACCATAAGTAGATCATAAGCTGTTGTTTGAATCACCTAAGATAGCCCAGTGTAAATTCTTTAGCACAAAGTCAAACTAGAGGGGATCCTCAATAAACATGGACTCTTGCTTTTGTCACCAACCAGGGTGCCTGCTAATTAACAGCAGCTCCTTTCAGTGGTCTCTATCAGGGAGGTTGGGTCTCTTTCCTACCCCCACCCTCATTCTTATCTTACAGAATACAGTGCTCCTAAGGGCTGGGAGGATGGGCCTTTGCTCACCCTCCCTAGTCCTTCCCTGTAGTGACTCTGTTTTGGGTTGAGGGGTACGTTGACTGTTGCTCCGAGTCTAAAGCACATATCCAGAGTGCTGCCTGCATACCTTACGTGACTTTAACTTTCCAGTATGCTGGTATTTCAGTTCTTAGCATTAATTTGTTAAAATGTAAAATTCTATTAAATTTTAAGATAGGCATTTTTAGTAATTCCCATTGCCCCATCTGAATTATTGAAAAGTATAAATTAGGGTACATTTGGGAAGATTTTACTTCCAAAAGCATTTAGTAAAGCAATCCAGGTTAAGAGGTGTTGTCAAGTAGAAATTCTGCAGACCTACCTCAATGAATGGATGAGTGTCTTTTTATATAATCCTATCACTTGGACTGTAGACAGGTCCTGCCAAAATGCTGAAAAGTTTGTTCCCTCGAGTAGATTAAACATTTCTCTTTAATTTAATTTTATTGTCTTTATTGGTTTAGCTCATTCTTTCTTCATAAGCAAGATATTTCGGCCCAGTCCCTACTGATCTTGCCATGAATTCCAGATCAAAAGATTGGAAAACCATACAACTGGGCTGCTCTGGTCCACTAGGAACCTCAGAGCCTTTAAGCTCCATGGTTCTGGCACTGCTCAGCTGCCTCTCTTGTTCCCCTCTGGTGCTGCTCAGAATCTTTACCACTGTCTCAGAGCTAGCCTGGTCACCCCATGCTTGTCCCCTCACTTTTGGCAAACACTTCTGCCCCCTAATTCTTTGAGAAAATCCAGCTTATCAGGCTGACCTCTCTCGACATCTTGTCTTCACACGGCCACATTTATCTAAATCTTGATGCTCCCTTCTCTTCCTTCCTCCAGCCTCAGAAGAGGAGGTGCATCCTGCCTTCTAAACTCAGAATCAATCCTCTTCCCACCTGCTGAGGGTCCTTAGGCATCCTATAAACATGTCCAAGCCTTTCACTCTCTTAAAATGACAACAGCCTAAACCTCTAAGCCTTAAACCCTCTCTCCATCCTGTGGCCCTATCTCTCTCCGTCCCTTCCCTGCCAAGCTTCCTGAAAGAGTTGTCCTCAGCCACAAGGCCATGTCATCACCTACCATCTTCCTATCCATCAACTGCGTGCTGGCTGCCAGTCCCACCATTTCCCTGACATGCTTGCCAGCAAAGCTAGGGACTTCTTTATTGCAAAATCCAGTAAGCACTGTTTAGTCCTTATCTGACCAATTTTCCCGCAGGCTTTGACTATTACCCTCTCCTTAAGAAGCTTTCCCTTCTTGGGCTCCTAGGTCACCCCTCTCTCCAGGTTTTCTTCATACCCCTTTATTTGTCTCCTGGGACTTTATACTTGGCCTGTTTCTTGTTCTGTAA
The DNA here is from genome assembly GCF_000001405.40 of Homo sapiens. Lineage (NCBI taxonomy): Eukaryota > Metazoa > Chordata > Mammalia > Primates > Hominidae > Homo > Homo sapiens. The sequence goes on along the minus strand of NC_000017.11, from coordinate 65,447,070 downwards.
ACTCTCCCCTGAGTGATACATTCAATCTAGTGCTCTAGTCACCACTCACATTCGTGGCTGTGGACATCCTGGGATGACTCCCAGCTGTCTTTCCAGCCCAGGTTGGAAGCCCCACTCCTCTGTATTCCACAGCGCACTGGACTTGTCCCGTTTCTTTCCTGTGGGCACCACAATCTCAAAACATCATAAAATATCTCATATCTTCCTCTCTCTTGCCCTCCACCCCTCTCACAAAAGCGCCACTTGTGCTGGGACCCTGGTTGCCACATCTGAATCTCCACTCTCCTGCTCCCCCATAGCAGCCCTCCTGGCCTTGTCTGAACTTGCCCTGGAATCCTTCTCCAACCTGAGTATTTCTCCCCATGGCCCCAGCACTGCTTAGCTTCGGTGGCCATTAGTTCTCACCTGGATAACTTTGACAGCTTCCTAACAGCTCTCTCCACCTGCACACGTGCCCATGTCCAACCCACCTACTGCACTGCATCTGGAAGGAACCCAAAACAATAAAAGCCTCTGTCCTCTTTGGAGCTGCCGATGGCCTTCAAGGGTCAGTCAGGCCATCTCCTTTGTGCCCATTTAAGCTTTGCCAGAATCACCAGCCTCATCTCCCTGACCCCTGTTCCTACTCTTCACTTCAGTTCACACGGACCTTCTTTCCCATGTCCAACCCTGCTACCTGACAGACTCCCACCTTCTCCCTCTTCCTGCAGCCTTCCCAGTCTGAGCAGGTATATTCCTCCCAGCTCCCTGAGCTGCCTGGGCACTTCTTAACCATTGCCTTCATCACATGGCTTTGTCAAGAGTCCTTCTCTTCCACTTCCCAAGAACGTGTATTCCTGGAGGACAGGGACTCATTGCGTCTGGGTAATCCCAGGGCTTGGCCCAGAGCCTGGCATCCAGTAGACAGGCCAACCAAACAAAGAAATAAAGGCTGTTGTTTCCTTGTTCCATTTTAGGAAGGTTTACAGTTTTTTTTTAAATTTTATCTTAAGTTCTTGGATACATGTGCAGAATGTGCAGGTTTGTTACATAGGTATACATGTGCCATGGTGGTTTGCTGCACCTGTCAACCCGTCATCTAGGTTTTAAGCCCTGTATGCATTAGGCGTTTGTCCTAATGCTCTCCCTCCCTTTGCCCCCAACCCTCTGACAGGCCCCATTGTGTGATGTTCCCCTCCCTGTGTCCGTGTCTTCTCATTGTTCTCCTCCCACTTATGAGTGAGAACATGCAGTGTTTGGTTTTCTGTTTCCGTGTTAGCTTGCTGAGAATGATGGAGGAAAGCTTGTGTTTTTATCCATGTGACTTGAGTAGTACAGAATGCAAAATAACAGCATGGACCTCAGATGGCTTCTGAGCTCTTCTGTCTTGGGACAGCCTCTTGGTGGACCTCTGGCTTCCTCTGTATCCAGCGTTAGTGACAATGTTTTTGACTTCAGGTAGTTTCACATGACTAGGGGTAGGAATGAGGGAGCGGATGTCAAGTTTGGGTATAATCACTTTTTAGTTGTGTGACTCCATGCAAGTCACTCAACCTGTCTGAACTTTTCTCTCCTTTATCCATAAAATGCCAATTAAAAATAGAATCAACCCTCCTAGAGATATTGGGAGTCTCAGATACAAAAATAAATGTAAAAATATGTTATTAACTGTCAAGCCATTGGTTAAAATTTGAGGGATGGAAGGGTGCCAGGACAGGTCTCTTTCTGAGAGACTTAATTAAAAAACTGAAAAAGTGTAATGAGAAACTTCAGGTTGATATTTTGCCGTTAAGGCCAATGTTCCCCTAAACCTTATTAGAGTGTGGGCTTCTCAGCAACAGGAACTGGGTTCTTGTATCCCTTTTGTATCCCCTAGTGCTTAAGACACTGCATGGTCAAAAGCAGATGTCAACGAGTGGTTCTTATGTGGATGATATATATCCCAGGCTTGAGTGCAGTGAGTGGTGATCATGGCTCACTGCAGCCTCGACCTCCCGGGCTCAATCAATCCTCCCATCTCAGCCTCCCAAGTGGCTGGGACTACAGGTGCATGCCACCACACCCAGCTAATTTTTAAAATTTTTTGTAAAGATAGGATTTCACCATGTTGCCCAGGCTGGTCTCAAACTCCTGAACTCCAGGGATCTGCCTGCCTCGGCCTCCCAAAGTGCTGGGATTACAGGCATGAGCCACTGTGCCCTGCCGCTGCTGGTATATTTTTATTTGTTTATTTATGTACTGTACATAAAGACTTAAAGGCATCCAATTTAATACATTTTGGAAAAGCAAATGTAAAATGACTTGGGCTTTAGATTTTTAATTGACAAGGAGAAATTGTATATGCCATTGATATTTCAGGACCAGATGATAATGCTGTTACTTCTTATTTTCTTGTGAGGAGAGAAAATTGCAAAAGAGAGTCACATGCAGGAGACAGAGGTGGGATGGGAAATAGTAGACACCCATTATTTTTTGATTCCCAGCATTCATTTACCAACTCCTAATGATGCAATTCACTTTTTCTCGGGGAAACACTTGTCTTCCACTCTCCGTTCTCAGGCTGGGGATGGAGTTGACTTTGCTACTAGTTCTAGGTACAGGCCTGGCCAATCAGAGCATCATATTCCTCTAGCCACTGGGATGGGCATAAGACCCTATTAGAGCCAACGGGTCTTGATGAGCCTAGTGCTTAGACTTTTGGGAGAAAGGCATATTCTCTTTCTGTTGGACTCAAACATGGGAGAATACAAATATGAAATTTGCCATTTTGTCACCACGTGGAGCTTGAGACAAAAGCAAATATGGAGTGAAATGGAGATACTGAGCCCTGTGACATCTTTTGAACTCCTGGATCAAACCATACCTGAAGCTAGTTAGACCTCTCTCAACTGTTCGGTTTTCTGAGTCAATTCATTTCCTTTTTTGTTTGTCAGTGTAAATTAGGTTCTCTATTACCTGAACCGAGAAACTGGGAGTTTTCTGACATTTGGAGCAAAGAGACTCTTATGGGATTGTGGCCGGGGGGATTGTACAACCTTAGCTTCAATTCCTCCTATACCTTGCTGCTCTCCCTGGTATTGATGGACGAGCTGAATATGACAAGGTCTATGAAGATTCAGGCACTGAACACCTCCAGGATGATTTAAAGGAAGAGGTGGATTTAGGAGATTCTCAGGGAAGTCTTTTAACCCTGAGGTCCCCAAAGTCTACAAAAGAGCTCAAGGATTGTAACTTCATACTGCCAATAATGCTACAAAATTCTCATCTGGCTGTGGGTCAACTTCCAGAAAAACCTTAAACACTGGCTCCCCTTCAGTGTCAAATTATAATTCTCCTCTTTCATCTTCCCCTGCAGTTCCTTCTGTTTTTCATTTCTCTTGATTTCTTTCTTTGGGCTTTTGATCTGTTTTCTATTGTTATCATTCAGGCATCTCATGCCTGAACTTTCCAAGTCCGTGTAATCCAACCATAACAACATCTGGGATCTGTGGCCGTGTATTAATGTTAGTTCCTCCTGATGCATCGGGGCTGGGTGCTTTGCTGGATTATTTTATGCCTTTGTTCCACAAAGCTGACTTTCCTCCAAATCTGAGCCCCAGGATTTTCCAAGGAACTTTCCAAAGTGGGCAGGAAGTAAGGAGAGCTCTCGGGGAATTTCCTCTGCTATCTTGTCTGGTTCACTTGCCCCCACCAGTGGCTTTCACATTCCTTTGCCCCTGATGACTGGCTCCTTGGAGTCTTGCTTCCAAAACCTTGGGATATTCACCATCACCCAGCCTTGGGTGGTGTCTGCTAGAGCTGGCTTGAAGGACAGCTCTGTTCTTTATTGGCTGTTTGCTTGACAGCAAGTCACCCAACCTCTTTGAATCCCAGTTTCTCTGGAGTAAAGCTGGTGATTTTAAAGTATAGGATTGTGGTGAGGATCACATGGAATTTGGTACAATACTTTATATAAAACTCCTGGCACAACATAGTAATAGCTACCTTTTGTGGACTTAAGAAACTTCATTAGATAGCTTGCTTCTGTTATGCCATTTGGCCCTAGGATGTCCATTCATAGGAGATATTGTTATTCCCACTCTGCAGAGGAGGAAACCGAGGCTGAGGATAGTCATTGCCAAAATTGGCCTCTCTTCTCTCCCCCATGCTGCCTGAGACAGAGTCATCACTTTCAGCATGGAAGCTGTGATGTCTGTCCTTTCTCTCCACTGAAGTCATTGTGGCTTTTTAAACTGGGTGTCACCACCTGGTACTAGAAAGTAGCAATTCTTCACTAAATCCTAAGACTGCATTGCCTACCTGTGTTCATCAAAACTATTAGCAAGGGACAAAAAACAAATTCAAACTAGAGTCAGTGGAAAGCACAGAGAAAACTGTGTTGCCTTAGGTAAGGGAAAACCCCGGGGGTATGTAATGCCAGCTCCACTGGCTCTGAGGTTAGATGGCATGTTCACAGGCCCTCCTCTCCCTCTTCCAGCCTTTAAAGGTGTCTCTGCCTTGCCTCTGTCCTCTCTGGGTGGTGGCAGATGCCCTTGGCAGCACCAGGCTTTCCTGATTGGCCCAGCAAAAGTCCCCAGGGGGCCTCACTTGTCCTCTTGAATCACGTGTCCTTCCCCAGGACAATCACTGTGGCCGGCTTGGGTCATAAATGCACCTTGGCGTGCAGGAATGGAGTCATCCCCACTGAAACCATGTTGACTCAGGCAGTGCAGGTACATGTGAACGTCAAGGGCCACGTTTCCCATTGTACGATACTGTTTCCTGAACTCACTTCTAAACTATGATGTTACTACCCACTCTGGTTTCATCTCAAGCAATACTATTTGTGATACCACAGGTTTGGGGATATCTATATGTATGTAAAATCTATCTATCTATCTATCTATCTACCCATCCATCTATCATCTATTATGTGTCCTTTCTAATATACATGAAGATAAATATATAGCTATGAAAAAAAATTATAATCTCTCATCCCACCAGTATCTACACCACACCACACTTTGGAAAACACTGATGTAATCCACCCTTGTCTTTTACAGCTGAGGAAACTGGGCGCAGCAAAGCTAAGCAATTTACGCGAGGGCAAATCGAAAGTGACAGAAATGGGACGAGAAGCCCGATTCCAGCTTTGGATGTGCTGATATTTTATTTTATTTTATTTTGAGAAGAAGTCTCTCTCTATTGCCCAGGCTGGAGTGTAGTGGTGCGATCTTGACTCACTGCAACTTCCACCTCCCAGGTTCAAGTGATTCTCCTGCCTCAGCCTCTTGAGTAGCTGGGATTACAGGTGCCCGCCACCACGCCCAACTAATTTTTGTATTTTTAGTAGAGACAAGGTTTCACTATGTTGACCAGGCTGGTCTCAAACTTCTGACCTTAGATGATCCACACGCCACGGCTTCCTAAAGTGCTGGGATTACAGGCATGAGCCACTGCTCCTGGCCTGTGCTTATTTTTAATTCCCCAAGCAACATGGTTAGTAGCTCTGCCCCTTACCAGCTGTGTGTCTTTGGGCAAGTTACTTAACTTCTCTGTACCTCTGTGTGCCCATCTGTAAAATGAGGGACAATGATAGTATCTACTTCATAAAACTTTTATGAGGATTCAATGAATTTGTATTTATGAACCACTTAGGACAGTGCCTGGTACATAGTAAGCATTATATGTGTTTGCTAGATAAACAGGATGTGACTTGGAGTCACAGGAAATGTAAGCTTGTAGTTCATTTTCCAAATTCCCAGAGGAGGGAATTTGCATGGTTTCAGGTTGGGTCAGATGCCCACCCCCTGAACCAACCAACTGTGGCCAGGAGGATGCGATCACATGATTAGGAGACGGCTATACCCACTGCAACCCCCAGAAAAGGATCTGCCAGGCACAGGAAAGAGGGGAGGAAAAAGTGAGAAGGTTGAAGTTACTGCTTATTCAGGCTCTGGTGATCAGCAGTGTTCCCTGGGATCCAGCAGGGGTATGCAGAGACTCTCTGCTGATCCATGCCTGACTCAAAGCCCCCTTTTCCAGGAAGTCTACTTTGATTTACTTCACCTGTTTGGAAGAATGTTCTTCTCAGTGCCAACCATAAAAGGAGAGTTCACTTGTTGTCTGACTCGTTTTCCATAGTTGGTTAAAAAGTGCATGTTCTGCTTCTCCAAACAGATCACGTGCACCTTGAACATGGGTAACTAATACTTTACTCTTTTGTCATTACTACCGAGTGTCTAGGTTAGGCCCAGACAGTGTTCAAAGGGTGAATCCCTGTAAAATGAGCAATACTTTCAGAGACCTGATCCTTTGTTTTGAACCCCAGTTTGGCCAATAGATGTTAGCTGAAAAAGGCAGGGGTAAAACCATTAGAGAGATATCACTTTACACAAAATTGATGTGAATAAGAATTTTATAAATGCTTTCTTCATTTCTATTAATATTCGCAGCTTCTCTGCAGCCTAGACAGTCTGTCAAGTTAATAACACCCAACACTAAGAACTAGAAAAGTTCTAAGGGGGCTCATTTCAAGGAGCCATAAGATGAATCTTTTTTCGTAAAAGAAATGTCCTTACTTTGTCTGCTGTGTAAGTTTGTAAGCAAACCTGCCCAAACAGGGGTCATTTAAAAAGCAGGGACATTTCAGATGTGCCTATACAACCAACGTTAACAGCTTTGCCTTTTCCAGTGAATGCTTTTCCTCTGGAGATTACAGCATTAGAAACTTTGCCTTTCTAGTCAAACTCCAATATAAAGCACCACAATATCCCATTCATAAAAATCTGTCTCTTTATAAAGAAGTGATGATCTTATGCAGGAGCTAGGTTGAATTTTACTTTGAATTAGCAAACTTTCTCCTCCTTAACTTCTTCTTCCTCCTAAATCAATGGTTCTCAAAGGAGGAGGGGGCAGTTTTATTGCCCAGGGGACATTTGGGAACGTCTAGAGACATACTTGCTCATCACAACCGAGGGGGTGTTAACATGATCAGGTGAGGGGAGGCCAGGGATATTGCTAAACATTCCTGACAGCACAGGACTGTCCCTCACAACAAAGAATGATCCAGCCTCTAATGTCAATTGTGCCCAGGTTGAGAAATGCTGCCTTAAATTAACAAAAACCACCACCACCAAATGCTGCAAAGTATAAGAAGAGTTCAAATGGAATATGTAAAAGTGCTTTTTGGGGCTGGGCGTGTTGGCTCACACCTGTAATCCCTGCAGTTTGGGAGGCCAAGGCGGGCGGATCACCTGAGGTCAGGAGTTCAAGACCAGCCTGGCCAACATGGTAAAACCCCATCTCTACAAAAAAATACAAAAATTAGCCCAGTGTGGTGGCACACACCTGCAGTCCCAGCTACTTGGGAGGCAGAGGCAGGAGAATCACTTGAGCCCGGGAGGTGGAGGTTGCAGTGAGCTGAGATCATGCCACTGCATTCCAGCCTGGGTGACAGAGTGAGACTCCGTCTCAAAACAAACAAACAAACAAAGTGCTTTTCATTTTTTAAATGCCCTTGAGAACTTAGGTGGACCTACCGATCTATAAACGATAGGCAGAAACGCCTCATTTTTCTGATATCCTTGAAGCAGTTTCTTTCCTAGTCTCTCCTGGATTTGCCTGATTTAATTTATCTTTGGGCGTGAAAGTAATGAGTGCATTTCTTAAGCAAATGTTTATAACAACATCTTCTCGTTAATTAATTCTGGCCTCTTCTCCACAAGTTTCTCGGTAAGTGGGACCTGTCCATCTTCTTGTGGACGCAGAGGACACGTGCCAAGAGAGGGAAGAGCTAAGAGGAATCATGGTGATTCTGAGCTACCCACTTTCCAACTCCTTTGAGTCCAGTGCCAGCCTTGGCAAAAACACTGTCTCCTGAACAAATGCTGTTTAAAAATCCAAAGGCAGCTGTGTGGGAGCAAAGTCCAGGGTGGCAGAGAGGGACAATGGACCCCTGCTGGCTTCCTGCCCACTGTTTTGATCAGCCAAAGCCTGGATTCTCCATCCCTTCTGTGTGCAGCCAGATGAAAGCCAGTGTCGGCACGCATCCTGTTTGTGACGAAGGGGTGTTTACTCACAGGATGGCGCTGGGGAGAGCCTCGACCATGCCTCCAGCAAATGGCCAGATCTGGAATTGCTCAGCAGGGACATGATGGATGAATGTAACACTGCATCTGCAAGGACTGCTCCTAATGAGTCACTCATCACTCAGCATTGGGTCCCACTGAGGGACTATGCTGTGTCCTTAAGTGTGTGTCATTCACAGGTCTGGGGTCAAGGAGGGCTGAAAAGAGGAGGATAAAATGGAGGGAGAGGCATGCAAGAGGGAAGAGGGCCCTGCCGTGTGGGACGGCTGAGTGGGCTCAGCTGAGGAGCAGATTGGCTGGGCACTAGGTTGGCACTGCCGCTCGATCACCCCCTGATGGGGCAGTGGGCAGTGAGGCCAGGCTCAAGGCTTTTTGGGGTTTGAATCCTTTCTGTGGGAGCTTTGCCGCATCTCTCTGATCTTCCACTGGCCCTCACCGGGATCCTTATCTGGGGTTCCTCACCTTGGCTGGGAGGCCTGACCGCGCTTCTGCTTGCTGTTTGGAACTTGGACAGGCTTTATCCTAAGGGGAGGGTCCGTATCCAGTCCCCGACCTTGGTAAAATGAGAGCCTCAGGTTGCTCTCACAGACCCAGAAGCCAGGGAGACAAGGAGTTGATTCTGTCGCTACTCTGCTAAACCAACATCCCAGCCCAAGACGGGAAAAGCCTCTGAGGGTTCTGCCGGCTGTGCCTACCGTAGAGCAGTCATGGTCTTGTCTGCGGGGCTGGCCAACCTCCCTACACGTGGCACAGAAAGCAGCAGGAAGCCCCTTCCCTCCCCAGGTCTGGGGCTGGGGTCGCTTCTCATGGTCACCACCACTCCCTTCATTAGGGAGCTTCCAAAAGGCTTTATAACATTTTCATCCAACTCTAAAGCATCAAAGAAGCCGTGTCTGTAATCCCGCTAATCAATCATATGCATTGTTTACATTCCTCCATGACCCCTTTCATGTTTCATCTGTAAAAATATATGTTTTTATGTAGTTATAATTACAGAACATATATATTTCATTCGGCATTATTTCCTGTGTATTTTTCCTAGGTTCTACCTAGTGCCCATATTTATTATTTTTGCAACTGCCTAATATACCATTGAGTTAACTACACTGAAATTGGCTCCACTATTCCACTATAATTCTACATTTATTTTGCTTTTAGATTCTTACGATTACAAAGAGGTAACCAACATCTGTACACAACTAGCTCTTTTTTCTTCTTCTTATTTTGAATGATTTCCCTCGGATAAATTCCTGGGAGTGGGATTACCGGGTCAAAGGGGATGAACATTTTTATGGCTCTTGATATATATGGCCAAATTATTTTTCAAAAAGGTTGTATCAATTTTCATAGCCACAAGAGATGTGGGGGTATTTTTCAATGAGAGTAGGAGTAAGACTTAAAAATTTCAAAATATAATTTATTGTGTTTTTTTTTCCCCTCCTGCCTGTAATGGGGAAAGTTAAACCTGTAGTTATGTTTCAAGTGGTTTTCACATACAAATGCTCTTTTTTTTTTTTTTTTTGAGATGGAGTTTCTCTCTTGTTGCCCAGGCTGGAGTGCAGTGGCGTGATCTTGGCTCACCGCAGCCTCCACCTCCTGGGTTCAAGTGATTCTCCTGCCTCAGCCTCCTGAGTAGCTGGGACTACAGGGACGTGCCACCACACTGACTAATTTTTTATTTTTAGTAGAGATGGGGTTTCACCACGTTGGCCAGGTTGGTCTCGAACTCCTGACCTCAAGTGATCCACCTGCCTCAGCCTCCCAAAGTGCTGAGACTACAGGCGTGAGCCACCATGCCTGACCATAAATGCTCTTTTATCATTCCTAACGCCCTCATGGTGGTGGTGATTTCTTTCCATTCCTGTAGTCTGCTGGTAAAGGATCCAAACAGGAGGGGACACTTTTGACTGATAATGGAATTAGAGTCGATAGTATACGTTGACTGATTAGATGTGGGCGCTACCAAATGTGAAGACAAGACAAGACTCTCAGGTTTCTGGGTAGGAAGTCCGGATTGTGGTGCCTTGCTCGAAACGGGGCAGGAGAAACTGATTGGGATAGAAGCAGGTCATAACAGGAACTGCAGCTGTAGTTGGAGAGAGGAAACGTTTTGGAACAATGCAGGTTCAAATCCCAACTCTACCGCTTAGTAGCTGTATGAAATTGGCAAATTATTTCACATCTTGGATGCTTTGTTTCCTTATCTGAAAAATGAGATGAAAGGAAGTACTTACCTATGGAATTGTTGTGAGTTAGATAGACAGCATGAGATATTTCAAATGCCTATCACTGTGCCTGCCTTTTAGCAAGAGCACGATACATGGTAACTACATTATCTTAGCCTATCATTATTATTGGGTAACATTAAATCCCAATATGTTTTACTGTGAATGCTTTTCCAAGATGCAAAGAAGCCAGTACACCCTGGGAGGGTAAACTTTTTGTTGTTGTTGTTGTTGTTTGAGACAAAGTCTCACTCTGTTGCCCAGGCTGGAGTGCAGTGGCACGATCTCGGCTCACTGCAACCTCTGCCTCTCGGGTTCAAGCAATTCTGCTGCCTCAGCCTCACGAGTAGCTGTGATTGTATGTGTGTGCCATCACGCCCAGCTAATTTTTGTATTTTCATAGAGAAGGTGTTTCACCATGTTGGCCAGGCTGGTCTCGAACTCCTGACCTCAAATGATCTGCCTGCCTCGGCCTCCCAAAGTGCTGGGATTACAAGGCATAAGCCACTGTGCCTCGCCTCGTTTTGTTTAAAATTTGGACTGTTATTTGCTGCTAAGTTAGAAATGCTGCTTTCCTCAGTAGTTCATTCTACTGTAGGTTGACCAACTAAAGTATGGGGGTGGGGTGGCTACTTTTCTTCAGAGAAGTTTCATTTTCAAGGGCTAAATGGGATCATCTGCTCTAGAATCATCTGTCAATTCTGCCCCCCTCTCTGCTGATTTGATCATTACAATCTCTATTGCTGGAAACCTGATGAACTTCCTCTTGAGAGGCAGGGTGGGGAGCCAGCTGAGAGCATTGACGAGTATTAGAGGCAGGAAAGTGGTCAGATAGACTGGGATTCAAATCTTGGCCCTCCCACTCACTGTCTGATTAGGCACATTGATATACAATGATTTAGTCCCTCCAAGTCTCAGTTTCCTCATCTTTAAAATGGGGATAGTAAATTACTTTATTCAATAGGTTGTTAGAAGATTTAAATGGCATATTATACACACAGTACCCTTTGTAGCTAAGCAAATTCTAGTTGTTAATAATATTATTATTTCCATTAAAGAGGTGGTGAAGAAGCAGGGATGTTATGCTTTAAAATATGTTTTTAGTATGTATATGTATATGTATGTATATGTATATATATGTATATTTGAGACAGGGTCTTGTGCTGTCACCCAGGTTAGAGTGCACTGGCGTGATCATAGCTCATTGCAGCCTCGAACTCCTGGGCTCAAACGATCCTCCCGCCTCAGCCTCCCAAGTAGCTGGGACTACAGTTGTGCACCACCATGCCTGGCTATTTAAAAAAAAAATTGTAAAGGTGGGATGTTGCTATATTGCCCAGATTGGTCTCAAATTCCTGGCCTCAAATGATCCTCCCACCTTGGCTTCCCAAAGAGCTGGGATTACATGCATGAGCCACTGTGCCTGGCCCTCTTTTTGAAATTAATTCACCTTCCTGATTACACTTGAATTAAGCTAATACTAATGTCATTTGGTTTCTGTGGAATCTACTTCAACTGATTGTCAGAAGTTGCATCCCTGAGTGCATATTTTCATTTGCAATGACTGGTTTAGGATAAAAATGGTTGGCTAGGCTTTTCAACTTCCTGTGCCCTTTAAATTGGCATGGACTAAGGAGTATAGGATTAGGACAGCAGTGTGGAATGTTCACATCTCTACTATTTAATACAGAGACTCAGTTCTTAATAGCAGCACTAGATTTATGTAGTCGTTGATAGCATTTGCAAGGACTACCCAGGTGGGTTTTTCCCAAACATTCCCACCTGATTTGTCATACCTCCCCAACAGCCTAAACACTGGATAGTCAGGTATTGGGTATGGCAGCCCCACCCACCGGTGGGTGAAGGGGGCTGGAAAACCACTGGAATACTCATTTTAAGTGGAAAGCAATAAGAATTCAGTCAAAGCTGGCTAAGTGGCTATGCACAGTTATACACAATTATTCAGCCTCTCTGAATCTCAGTTTTCTCATCTGTAAAATGGGGCTAATGAAATACCAAAATGTTGGTACTTTAATATAATATAAACCCAAAACGTTTTTGGTTCCTTTCTTGCCACTATATTTCCAAATTTATTTGTTTTTCCCAATCTCTCACCCCAGACTTAATGTAACTGGGCCTAGGCCAGTTACATTTTCAGGGCAGAAGAACTCTCCTTTGGAAGTGGGAGTCACCACCATCCATTTTTCCTACGAACGGTACTGATATCCAGGGCTTGAAGTGTTCACTGAGGGAAGCGTATCAGCTAACTGTGTGTGCAGCTGCTGTAACATTATGAGCTATACTCCTAATTAATCCCTTGGAATTTCAGGCATTTTTCTTTCTGTCCTCAGCTCTGATGAAGGTGCGTCAACAACTCCTTGCCTCCAAGTTCCTAAATGAGCCCACACCCTCTGCCAGCGCTGCTATAATTTTATTGGAATGGGCCCCATTCCCTTTGATCTCCTCTGGTTCTTAAACCCAGCAGTTGTGTGTTCGAACATCAATGGAAACGGGGTTTCAAGCTTCCTCTTTCATTATCTTTCTCAAAGATAAAAAACAGCAAAAGGGAAAAAAATGTCCTGAGCTTTGTAGATGAGGCAATCTTTTTACAGTAATTTCTTTATCTGAATTTATCAGATCAACAAAGTTGTTTAGAAATGTATGTCCACTCACATCTTCCCATCTTAAAGGTGGTTTTTCTTAGAAATAAATAAAAATGAAATACATCCAAGACATCCCTCACCTCCCTCTACCACAAGCACTAGCGGCTTCTTGTTTTGTCCATTATTGTGGGCGAGGGATAGTGTCTGTGGGTTTCTGGGCTTTGGAAATCTTGAGGTGGGTCTGAGAGCTCTGCAGATCAAAGATGAGATTCAGCCCTTCCAAGGAACTACCCTCTTTTTCCAAAATGAACTTTCTGTTCTTGGCAGTGTGGGGAAAATAGACTTCTAGATTAGAATAATTAAATATCTGACCCACAACTCCCCCAAATGCCTGTGGCTTCTTGGGCTTTGATGTGGGCAGCTTACTGTAGAACGGAAAAGTACAGCGTCTTCTCAAGGCTGTCAGCATCTGAAAGCGAGGAAGGCTAACAGTGAAGAACTCCAGGGTCTCTTTCTTGAAAACAGACAGGACCTCATCCAGAGTCTCTGGGCAGTGGGAATGTGAACAGGCATGAATCTTGCAGGTGCTATGCCTTCGCTTGGCCAATACGTGGGCTGCACAGTCTTGTCTCTGCCAACCACTGCAGCCTTATCTTGAATCCACCATCTCTCACTCTGTTCACCTTCCTTGGCCTTTCCCAATTTTTCCTTCTTGCTTTTCTCGCTCCCACCACAAAGCCTTTGCATTGGGCCATTCTCTCTGCTAGAATGCTTTCACTTCCTCTCTCATATATTTAGGTCCTATTCATTATTCAGCTCTCTGCTCAACTGTGTATTAGTTAGGGTAGGATGAGCTAAGCTGCAGTAACAAATAGACCTTGAAAGCTCAATGACTTAACACAATTAGTCTATTTTTTGCTACTTTTTTTTTTTTTTTTGAGATGGAGTTTCACTCTTGTTGCCCAGGCTGGAGTGTAATGACATGATCTCAGCTCACCACAACCTCTGCCTCCTGGGTTCAAGCAATTCTCCTGCCTCAGCCTCCCAGGTAGCTGGGATTACAGGCACATGCCACCATGCCTGGCTAATTTTTGTATTTTTAGTAGAGATGGGGTTTCTCCATGTTGGTCGGGTTGGTCTTGAACTCCTGACCTCAGGTGATCCCGCCACCTTGGTCTCCCAAAATGCTGAGATTACAGGTGTGAGCCACCGCACCTGGCCTTTTTGGTACTATTAAAGGCTGATGTGTCTCTTTGAAGCAAACACTCAAGGATCCAGGATCTTCCCATTGCACAGCTCTGTCATCTTGGAATGGAGGATGCCAATTTCAAAGAGAAATTGGAATGCGGTGGTGAGTGGCTATGGAAGACTGAATGAAGGATATTTGATGGCCAAGCCTATAAATGGCTTACCTCACTCTGCCTTTACTCCACTGGCCTAAACTTAGTCACATGGGCCCAGCTATGTGTAAGGAAGGTTGAGAAATGTGGTCTTCCTATGTGTCCAGGAGGAAAATGGAAGTTTGATGACTACATAGCCTTGTTTCCATCACAAGTGCCATATCCTCAAGTGAGTCTTTCTTTACCTTCTGCATAGGGTGAAATCTCCCATGTGTAGGCACCTGTTACTTTGTTTTTCTCTCCTTCAGCGCTCTGTCACAACTGCAGCTTTGCAGTAGTGTGTGTGGCTTTTTGGTTAAAGTCGGTCTCCCTGACCACACTATGAGCCACATGAGTGCAGGTTTTATCCAGTTGTCTGTCTTTGGGATGCCCATATCTCCCTGCTCTGTATCTTAGGTGGTCAAGTTCAGTGTTCAGGGATTGAGTGCCCACAATTTCTTTACACCACAACATGAACTTAGGGAGAAGCCCAATAAGGATTTTTGAAAGGATCAACTTAGCATCCTGGGTATCATCATGTCCTGCCTGAAACACAGCAGGTGCTCAGTGACTATCTTTTGAATGAAGGAATTAGTCTGCTCATTGTATTAGTCTGTTCTCATGCTGCTGATAAAGACATACCCGAGACTGAGTAATGTATAAAGAAAAAGAGGTTGAATGGACTCACAGTTCCATGTGGCTGGGGAGGTCTCACCATCATGGCAGAAGGTGAAAGGCACATCTTACACGGTGGCAGGCAAGAGAGAGAATGAGAATCAAGTGAAAGGGGTTTCCCCTTATAAAGCCAACAAATCTTGTGAGACTTATTCACTACCACGAGAACAGTATGGGGGAAACCACCCCCATGATTCGATTATCTGGGGGTACTGGGTCCCTCCCATAACAGGTGGGAATTATAGAGCTACAGTTCAAGATGAGATTTGGGTGGGGACATAGCCAAACCACATCAGCCATGAATAAAGTTTCTAAAGCCTCCTAATTCAGATGCTTCTCTGGACCACACCAGGATGGGAGGGGATAGAAGAGCCTTGAGAAAATATCTTTCTCTTTGTTATGAGGCCGGCTACGTAAGAGGGAACATACATTTCGGATAACAGGTGTGCTGTGTTAACTATCATATTAGTCAACATTCATAACTGCAAACAACAGAACTCACTCTAGAGAGTATAAACAGAGAAGAAATTTACGTAAAAATATTAACGAAAACCAGAGAACCAGGCCTGGAAACTTTGCAGCCTGACACAATGTCCAAATGACCCTAAAACCCTGGTCATTTTCCTTGGGAAAGGCAGGCAGAGCCTGGGACTTAACTGCCCCCACAGCCTCTGCTCTGGAAGCTCCACGTCTACGCTGGAAGCTGGATGTTTGTTTACATAGCCATCCTTTACTAAATGAATCCTGTGCTGTGCCCACTTCTTGGAGGCGTTCCTGAATCCATATCCCATGAAGGTGCTTCTGATTGGCTAAGCCTAAGTCACATGACCATGCCCCTGCTGCAGAGGAGGATGGGAAAGTAAGTTTCTGGCTTCTGTCTTGGTGAGATGCAGACCATGAAGGGGAAAATAACTAATGTGGGGAATGCGGTGGTGGGTGGCTACTGTTCACACAGGACGCTTCAGGGTATGTTTCCAACCTGGAGTGGTTTGGAGATGATGTTATGAGGGTGCGAGGATACCGAACAGAGACTCCTAGAGTGACCCCAAGTGCACTAAAGGCACGCCATAATTTGTTGTTGTTGTTGTTCTCCTTTACAAAGTTTGATGAAAAAGATAGGACTATAGAGCAAAAGATCGGGAGATACATTTTTTGGGTCAGACTCTAAATGTAAATTATTTCAACACTTCACATTGTTTTTCACAAGTTTGCTTTGTTTTCCATTTGAACTTATTTTTAAAAATCAGACAGCAATAGAAACCCAGAGAGGCAGATGGTGAGGTGGGGGGGTTAGGGTAGCTCCAGCCCACCCTCTGCCATCCAGGCTTGGATCCCAGCTGCTTCTGCTGGAACTCGGGCCCTCTATGTCCATCAAGTAAGACAATGGTCTGAACCAGGCCCCTTGGTCGCTGGTGCAGTGCTGGGAGCTGAGAACCCAGCAGCACAAAGCTGCCCCTTTTTCCTGCCTGGCAGGACATACTTTCAGGAATGCCATGAATGCCGGCTGCTGCAGCCCTGGGCATCTTCCAAAGGATGCTCAGTAAGTAGGTGGCGGGAGAAATATTGCAGGAACAGCATCGACAAAGCCTTGGCACCTTCACCAACCTGCAGAAGACAGAGTATGTTGCTGAGCAAGCTCTGTTAGGACCCAGAACTGGGGTTCAGTGAGGGGCGGGAGTCACAGGATCTCAGCCTTGAATCTGGCTACAGGATGTCTTATTGAAGTTACACTTCAGAGGGCATCTGTCTTCTGAAGGTTTAGCTTTCGTTTAACATGGTTAAAGCTAAGTGATGCAGTGGAGAATGACAGGAAGTGCAGGTCCAAATGTCCTTAGATGCCCTTGTAAAATCTGGAAGAGACGTACGAGTCTTACTGTAAGAAGGTCATCAATCTCACAGAGGCCAGGGCATGATACAAAGGATTTATTTGCTTTTCCTAATCAGTCTTACTTTGGTGTCTTCATAATGCTCCTTGGAGAGACACCTGGATGTTCCTTCTCTCTCTTCTCCTGTATCAGTTAGAATAGGCTAGCTATGCTGCCATAACAAATACTCCCTCAAACCTAGGAGTTTAAAATATGCAAATGTTAGTTTCTCACTCACTTCATGTGTGCATCGTGGGTTGGCAGGTGTTCTGCCCCAGGCTGATCTAGCTGCCATAGTCATGAACATCACCAGCTACCATGCTAACAGAAAAAGAGAGCTCTGAAGGGTCTCTCACTGGCAATCAATTACCCCAGCATGGAAGCAATGCCCATCACTTCTTCTTGGCTTAGTTGGCATGAACTAGCCACCTGATCCCACCCAACAGGAAGTGGGCCAGGACATGCGATCTTACCTATACAAGATCTGGAAACAATGGATGTTAAGCACGTACAATTACTTAATATCCCTTCCTCTTCAAGATTCTCTCTTCTTTTTTGCCCCTCTCCTTTCTCTTCATGGAGTCCCATTCCGTGAAGAATGCTAATAGTCACATTACATCTTATCTCAATCTTAAGCATTAGCGTAAGAGGACATCTTTGGTTTTTCAGAGTGAAGCCCTAAATGAGATCCTCCTTGCTTTTGCTATTATTGATGGCCTCTCAGAGAATACCTTTGGTAGGTTACCATGCTGATAAAGTCTGTGTTCTTTTATGCTGTTTTACTGAAGAACTCCAAGGGTGAGTGGAAGAGGGAGAGAGAGAAGTGGCTAAGGAATAATGAAAATCTTATCTTGCTACATATGTTTTCTCTTAGAATTAAAGACATGATGGCCAGGCACAGTGGCTCACGCCTGTAATTCCAGCACCTTGGGAGGCCGAGGCGGGCAGATCACGAGGTCAGGAGATCGAGACCATCCTGGCTAACTCGGTGAAACCCCGTCTCTACTAAAAATACAAAAAATTAGCCGGGCGTGGTGGTGGGTGCCTGTAGTCCCAGCTACTCCGGAGGAGAATGGCGTGAAATGGGGAGGCGGAGCTTGCAGTGAGCCGAGATTGCACCACTGCACTCCAGCCTGGGTGACAGAGCGAGACTCCATCTCAACAAAAAAAAAAAAAAAAAAAAAAAAAAAATTAAAGACATGATGGCCGTGAGTCATTCTTCTGTTTCTCTGGTCCTGGGTGAGGAATACCAGTGCTCTCCTATACAAGCATAATGAGGCAGAAGTTCACCCAGGTATGGCTTCAAAAACTGTATACCAGCAGTTCTCCAGCTGTGGTCACTGGGCCGGCATCATCAGCATCACGCGAGAACTTGTTGGAGATGCAGATTCTTGAGGCCCACTCTAGACTGATTGAATCTAAATCCCTGGGGGTGGTATCCCACAATCTGTGTCTGAATAAGCCCCTCAGATGATTCTGCTACTCAGTAAAGTTTGAGTACCACTGGTGTATGCTGTCACTTTCTGTGTGATCTTGGGCAAGAACCCGAACTTCTCTTTTTTTTATTTATTTTTAAATATTTTTTATTTCTATAGGTTTTTGGGGGAACAGGTGGTGTTTGGTTACATGAGTAAGTTCTTCAGTGGTGATTTGTGAGATTTTGGTGCACCCATCACCTGAGCAGTGTACACTAAACCCAATTTGTAGTCTTTTATCCCTCACCCCTTTCCCAACCTTTCCCCGAGTCCCCAAAGTCCATTGTGTCATTCTTATGCTTTTGCATCCTCGTAGCTTAGCTCCCACTTATGAGTGAGAACATACAATGTTGGTTTTCCATTCCTGAATTATTTCACTTAGAATAATAGTCCCCAATCCCAACCAGGTTGCTGCGAATGCCATTAATTCATTCCTTTTTATGGCTGAGTAGTATTCCATCATATATATACATATATATATATACACACACACACACACACACACACACACACACACATCATATATATGTACATACGTGTGTGTGTGTATATATATGATGGAATACTACTCAGTATATATATAAAATAAATATATATGTTGGAATACTACTCAGCCATGAAAAGGAATGAATTAATGGTATATAAAGGGTGTATATATGTGTGTGTGTGTGTGTGTGTATGCATATATATATGCATCAGACATTGTGGAACAGAGACCATATATATGCATACACACACACACACACACACACACATGTGCACACACACACACCACAGTTTCTTTATCCACTCATTGATTGATGGACATATGGGTTGGTTCCACATTTTTTCAGTTGCGAATTGTGCTGCTATAAACATGTGTGAGCAAGTATCTTTTCTGTATAATGACTTCTTTTCCTCTGGGTAGATACCCAGTAGTGGGATTGCTGAATCAAATGGTAGTTCTACTTTTAATTCTTTAAGGAATCTCCACACTGTTTTCCATAGTGGTTGTACTAGTTGACATTCCCACCAGCAGTGTAGGAGTGAAGAACCTGAACTATTCTGAGCCTTCGTTTCCTCACCTGCAAATTCAGAATAAGGACCCCCACATGGCATGGTCAATGGAGTTGTTAGTACAGAGAATCGAATACAGTCTCAAGCACCATTTCCATCCTTTCTTTTCTTCCCTGTGTAAAATAATATTTTCCCAAAATGACCACAACAGGATCTCCCATGCCATGCTCTTCTTACACTGTGACAATTCTCCCATTGAGTGGGGGCCCACATCCCCTCCCTTAAACCTGGGAAAACCTTTGTTCACTTCCTCTGCCAGTAGAGTATGACTGAAGTGATGCTGTGTGACTTCTAGGGTTAGAGCAGAGAAATACCACATACTTCCACCTTGCCCTCTAGGAATGCTCACTCTTTAGGCTCTTGAAATCCAGCCACCATGCTGTAAGGAAGACAAACTAGCCCATATGGAAAGACCACATAGAGAGGCCAGTGTAGGCCAACAACCACCCTGAGGTCTCAACTGAACTGATATCAACTATCAGATGTGTGAATAGTGATATCTTTAGATGATTCCAGTCACCTCTAGTCATCAAGTCTTCCCACCTGAAGCATCAGACATTGTGGAACAGAGACCAGCCTGCTTCACACTGCCATGTTCACACTGCTGCTCATATAACATCAGGATGATAGAATGGCTGCCTTATGCCAGTCTGTTTTGGGATAGTTTGTTTTGCAGCAATAGAAAACTGAGGTGCTACCCACATGTTGACCTGGGAATGAATTCAACCCAGCTGGCCTTCAGCACCCAAGAGTGAAGGGGCAGAAGGTGGTGACAGTTAAATGGAAATGTGAATAAGAGGCAAAACCCCCTTTGTGGGAAATAGGAGACTAGAACTCTAAAGAGTAAGCAGTAGGAGGCTGAGATGGAGAGGAATGTGTAGCTGTTGTTCACCAAGAGATAGCCCCTCTGAAGATGTCCCACCAGGCTCACCCCTAACATTTATGGGGCTCAGGATGGGAGTACAAATAGAGGCCAATGCACCACATAGCTAAACAATTGAAAGGAACAAATCAAGCCCACAAACTATTAAATATGTTCCATCCTCCCATTGTGACATATGTAAGTTCAGAACAACCTGGAAGGTCCAATTCTTGAACTCTTCAGAATGCCTCGCTGGAAGGTGGTGACATATGATAATGATCAGATCTTAGTCCCTTCCCTTCCCACCCCCAGCTCTGTCTCAGTATCCTCATTTGTAAAATAAGGCTCCAGATGCCATCTACCTCTCAGCATGTGATGAAGATTAAACGTGATAACCATGTGCTGGCATGTAGTAATTACTCAATAAATGGGAATAGTAATAATAGTATTTTGACTTTAAATATTTAAAGGGCTATCACGTGAAGGAAATCTTTGATCTATTTTGTATAGCTCCAGGGCATATAATTAAGACCAGTGGTTCAAAGTTACAGGGAAGCAGATTTTGGTTCAACCTAGACGAATATTTTTGTCATGAGAACGCACTGAAAATAGATTGAAATCCTTCAGGAAGTCGAAATTTAGAGCCATTTCATATGTCAGATAGACGCTGGATTTGGTGGCCTTAAAGTTCACTTCTAATTCTCATGTTGTGTGAAATTACCTTTATTGTTTTTTGTTTGTACTTGGGTTTTATCCAATTGTCTGTCTTTGGGATGCGTATATCCCCCTGCTGTATATCTAGGTGGTCAACTTCAGTGTTCAGGGATTGGATGCCCACCATTTCTTTATACCACACCAAGAACTTGGAGAGAAGCCCAGTGAAGATTTTTGAAAGAATCAACTTAGCATCCTTGGTAGTTATAATAGTTAGGACAATTCTAATTGAAGTTTCTGAAACCCAGCTAGCTTAGCAAAAGAGGGGAACTTGCTGGAAAAATACTGGGTGTATTAGTCCGTTTTCACACTGCTGATAAAGACATATGTAAGACTGGGTAATTTATAAAGAAAAAGGGGTTCAATGGACTCACAATTCCACGGGGCTGAGGAGGCCTCACAATCATGACAAAAGATGAAAGGCACGTCTTACATGGTGGCAGGCAAGAGAGGATAGGAACCAAGTGAAAGGGGTTTCCCCTTATAAAACCATTAGATCTCGTGAGATTTATTCACTACCATGAGAATAGTATGGGGGAAACCGCCGCCATGATTGAATTATCTTTCACCAGGTCCCTCTCACAACATGTGGGTATTATGGGAGATACAGTTCAAGATACAATTTGGGTGAGAACACAGCCAAACCATATCACTGGGGCATAATGTAGAATCCAAAGAAGAGTTGAACTCCAAGTAGCAAGAAGGTCAGGAAAGCACTGAGTTCAGGGCCACCTGGAATCTAGGGACCAACACATTGCCAAGATATCTTATATTAGTTCATTTTCTTGCTGCTAATAAAGACATACCTGAGACTGAGTAATTTATTAAGGAAAGAGGTTTAATAGACTTACAGTTACACATGGCTGGGGAGGCCTCACAATCATGGCAGAACGCAAATGAGGGGCAAAGTCACGTCTTACATGGCAGCAGGCAACAGAGCTTGTGCAGGGGAACCCCCATTTATAAAACCATCAGATCCTGTGAGCCTTATTCACTCCCACGAGAACAGTATGGGGGAAAACCCCCCACAACACACACACACCATGGTTCAATTATCTCTACCTGGCCCTGCCCTTGGCACATGGGGATTATTACAATTCAAGGTGAGATTTGAGTAGGGACACAGCCAAACTGTATCGTGTCTCTCCCCTGAATCTTTCTGCTGTGGCTGCCTTCTTTCTGCTCTCCCCTGATTGGCTTTATCGGTAAGGTGGATTCCATGTGACCTGGCTACTGCAGCTTCGTAGATTGATATTTTACAGCTTCAGCTACCAGAAGGCCTGGCTGTCTTTCTCAGTGCCAGTCCCACATTTCTCAGGAAGAGACCAGGAGCCTGCCTTTGACCAATCAAATGTGGCCAGGAAGGCAGCAGGGTTTTGTTATATAAAATGGTTGTTTCTATGATAGTCACACGGTGGTGGGGGCTAGGGGGTGGCAGGATGGGAAACTGGACTGGGCAGACACATCTACTGTCCAGGTCCCAGATCTTGGGCCTCTCTGCTGGGTGAGGGACCATGCTTGGCTTTTGGCTCTCTTGATGGAGACTGGTGGGATATCTTCCTTGCTCTGGAGTAAGATGGAAGTGAAACAACGAGGATGTATGTAGGAACGTCACTCATTTGTCTAGGACGTTGTGAGTGATTTCTTTGCTGAATTGGATAATGGCTTTTGAAGCATGGAAGTCTTTCCTCAATCTTTTGTGTGTGCCATTCACAATGTAATGGCTATAGAAATGACATGCTTTTAATATTAACCTGCATTTTTAACATTTTCTCCATCACTTTTTAAAGTCTGGAAGTCCAGAGGACAGTAAGTCAAGCCCTGGTCTGTAGCATCTGCCAATTTCCATGGTGTAAACACTCTCACCGTGGTCAATTTCAAGGGACCACTGGGACGTCACTGAACAGGGATCTGGGAAGGAGTGCACAGCAGCACAGCTTTCTGCACTATTTCCACCCCGCAGATATTCCACAGGTGAATAACCCCAAGTGTGCAGATAACAGTAGAAAGTTGTAAAATAATTTGGAGTGATACATTTTGAGCTTTCATTACCTGTGTTTCCAATACAATTTATTTAATTATACATTTATGTAATTTAACTTTGAAGAATGGCTTTGTTTCATAACTGGTTTGCAAAATTCTTGAAAATTTGACAGCTGGAGATTGCGAGCTGGCACTGACCAGCTCTGGCACCCCCTGGGGTTTCCCCAGAGCTTGGCATGAGACCTGCCACAGAGGAGACACTGAATGCATGCCTGCCTGATGAACGCGTATTGTCCACCTGGTCTCTAACTCTCTGAGGGCCTGGCCAAGTCACTCACCTCCTCTTTCTGTCCCTCTAATGTAAGAGGCTATTAATGCTTACTTCATAGAGGTGCTGTGAGAGTTAATTAAGGTTTGCTAAATGCTTTGAAATCCGTGGATGAAAGGCCCAGTTGGGGAGAACTTTATGATTATTCTCATGCATCATCTTAAGAAGTGTATGGTGATGATACCCACCTGGTACTTTTCATCTTCAAAGTGTTCTCCAGACATTAGCCAATTAAACGTCACAGTTCCCTGCCCAGTCAGTGGGTGTCCTCCAGGGAGGGAACCACGCAGCAAGTGGGTGACTCCTTCCCCTCTTGGCCACCAGGGAGTGGTGGTCAGAGCCAGGATTCCAGCTCCTCCAGCTGCAATCTTCCGCTGGGCTCTGTTTTGACCCTCCCAGCCCTCCATCTTTTCTGCTTCTAGGTATGGTGAGGACTGCTTAGGCTCCGGGACTCTGAAATCACGTTGCTTCTTATATAGTGTGTGTGATGCTACTCACTGAATGTTTTCAGTGGTGAGATGCATTTTTTCCCTACAATTGAACATCTCTGAAATCAGTATGCATCTTATAACTGATGAAGGGTTATAGTTCAATTAAAAGTGTTTTTCTTCTTACTAGTAAATAATATAATAGTGCATCATACAATTGTTGTCGTATGTCAACAATTGTTGAAATATATTACCACGATTTCTATTTGTAGTTTATTGTAGATTTGTAGTTTTTTTCCTGCTGATTTTCTAGAAGAACGTTTCTTCTCTCCACCCCCATGATAACAGTAACATATGGTCATTATAGTACATGGAAAATGCAGATAATTAAAATGAAGGACAGGCAACAATAATCCCAAGTTTCACAACCCAGAGGTCAATGCCAGTAACACATTACTATATTTTCTTTCAGCCTTTTCTCTTTTCTTTATTAGGAACAGTTCCCTCCTCTGGTTATAAAAGGAACTTATGTCCCCTGTAGAAAAATCTGAAAATACAGAAACTGGTGTAATACTAACTACAAAACACTGATAATCACATCGCCCAGAATGACCACTATTAAAATTGTAGTAACTATTACATTTCTATATGACATAAGTGAGCCATGTTAGTTATTTTTAAAAAGACAAAAAAAGTCTATAGTTAACTTTCAGATAAATTTCCTTCTATCTTATATCTATTTGTCTATATTTCTATCTGGATATATATGTGTCTATATTTATATCTATGTACACACATACAATTGGAAACATAAAGCATGTATAATTTCCCCTGATTTTTAAATTTAACTTGTGTGCTGTTCAGTGGTATCTATCAGAGCTTATGATTATATGATTGATATAAATACTCTATGACTCAGCAACTCTATTCTTAGGTGTATGCCTATATTTGTTTGCTAGGACTGCCGTAACAAAGTACTACAGACAGGGTAACTTTTTTTTTTTTTTTTTGAGACGGAGTCTTGCTCTGTTCCCCAGGCTGGAGTGCAATGGTGTGATCTTGGCTCACTGCAACCTCTGCCTCCTGGGTTCAAGCGATTCTCCTGCCTCAGCCTCCCAAGTAGCTGGGATTACAGGCACGCACCACCACACCCAGCTAATTTTTGTATTTTTGGTAGAAACGGGGTTTTACCATGTTGGTCAGGCTGTTCTCAAACTCCTGACCTCGTGATCCACCCTCCTCTGCCTCCCAAAGTGCTGGGATTACAGGCATGAGCCACCACACCCAGCCCAGACTGGGTAACTTAAAACAACAGAAGCTTACTTCTGTATGGTTCTGGACTAGAAGTCCAAAATTAAGGTGTCAGGGCTGGTTCCTCCTGAGGGATGTGAGGGAAGGATCTCTTCCTCGCCTCTCTCCTTGGTTTGTGGATGGCCGCCTCTACCTGTATGTTTGCATGGACTTCTTTCTATACGTGTGTGTATTCAAATTACCTCTTCTTATTAAGATATCAGTCATATTGGATTAGGGCTGACCCCAATCACCTCATTTTTAACTTAATTACTTCTGTAAAGTCTCTGTCTTCAAATATGGTCACATTCTGAGGTACTAGGGGTTAAGACTTCAACATATGGGGCCAGGCGCAGTGGTTCCTGCCTGTAATCCCAGCACTTTGGGAGGCTGAGGTGGGCTGATCTCTGAGGTATGGAGTTTGAGACCAGCCTGGCCAAGTCTACTAAAAATACAAAAATTAGCCAGGCACGGTGGTGTGCGCCTGTAATCCCAGCTACTCAGGAGGCTGAGGCATGAGAATCGCTTGAACCCATGAGGTGGAGGTTGTGGTGAGCTGAGATCCCACCACTACACTCCAGGCTGGGCAACAGAGCGAGACTCTGTCTCAAAAAAAAAAAAAAAAAGACTTCAACATATGAATGAGGGGGCACAACTTATTCCCTAGTAATACCCAAGTGCTTATGTTCACCAAAGAATGTACAAAAATGTTCATAGCAGCTTTATTCATAATAACCAAAAATCAGAAGTAACCCAATGCCCAGCAGCAGTAGAAAAGATTTAAAAACGTGATACATTCATACAATGAAATACTATACAGCACTAAAAAATCAACTTCCGCTACACATAACAACATGCATGAATCTCACAGATATGAAGTTGAGCAGAAGAAGCCAAACACAAGTCTCCAGACAGTTTGAGTCCATTTACATGATATTCAAGAATATGCAAAATAAATGTATGATGATAAAGTCAGAATAGTGGTTAGCTCTTGGGTGGGTGTGCAGTGGAGATTACATAGGACTACCTATGTGTCCAGACTCAGTGACTGTAAGCTTAAGATTTATGTACTTATGTTAGACCTCAATGTTTATGAATGCTCTTACAGAGATTCCCTGTATTACTAGAGATTTTTCTAAAACATGCTGTCCAGTGACTACAAAATGTCCCATTTTTCATAAAATGGCCAATGATGGCTGATCACTTATCACATGCCAGGGACTGTTCTAAGGACTGCTGGTACTAAGTGAATTAATCCTCACCAAACCTTATGAGGTTAGTTACCAACATTATCCCCAATTTGCAGATGAGGAAAACCAAACACAAAAAGCTAACTTCCTTAGGTTAACATCATGAGGGGTCACCAGCAATCTGATTAAGAGGTCACATGCTCAACCACTCTGCCACACTGTCCTTCTGGTCAGGCATCATGACACCTGCCCCTCCCTCTCCCCATGCAAACAAATTGCAATTGATTGGCTATTAGGTTGGTGCAAAAGTAATTGCGGTTTTTGCCATTACTTTCAGTGGCAAAACCTGCAATTACTTGTTGTCTCCTTGTTGGACATTCAGATCAATACCTTTTTTCTCTATTATAAATAAAGCAGCAACCAACAGTCTTGTATCTTTTTCTGATTTTTTTTAAAAAAGTACATCTTTTTCTGCATCCTGATTCTTCCTGTAGCATAGAGCCCTAGGTTCCTACTACAGCATCCAAGTCTTTGAATTTGAGAGCACTTGATCCAAATTGCTAATTTGTTCTCCAGATAAAGTAGCTCATATACCTGCAATTAGCTGCTCATTTACGTATCTTCATAACACATCTCACTTCTATTAGGCCACCCAGAAAGGTCCCGGTCACTGGCCGTCAGTTGATTTGTGCTCAGAAAAGTTAGAATGAAAATGCTATTTATGTGTATATGTGTGTGTGTGTATTATATAGATAATGTTGATGAAATAAATACCCACACATACACACATGCTTCCAAATTAGCCTTCTAACTCTGTTTGGTTCTAGTGAGTCTTAGAATGAAAGACCAGAAGGAATAGCTCTTTGAACAATGTTCACTTCAGTTCCCATGCATTCTGGTGGATTCTGAGAGCTTTAATGAATTGACTCCAAGTGAAGAATGACCCTTTGGTTACAGGGGAGAGCATGATGTCAAAGGAGCATGTAGATTTTTTGAAAAAAAATTTTTTTTTTGAGATGGAGTCTCGCTCTGTTGCCCAGGCTGGAGTGCAGTGGCATGATCTTGTCTCACCGCAAACTCTGCTTCCCGGGTTCAAGCGATTCTCCTGCCTCAGCCTCCAGAGTAGCTGGGACTACAGGTGCCCGCCACCACGCCTGGCAAATTTTTGTATTTTTAGTAGGGACAGGGTTTCACCGTATTGGCCAGGCTGGTCTCGAACTCCTGACCTTGTGATCCACTCGCCTCAGCCTCCCAAAGTGCTGGGATTACAGGCGTGAGCCACTGTGCCTGGCCAGGAGCATATAGATTTTTTAAAGTATTTTTTATTTTCTAGTTGTTTATCTACATGCCTGTCCTTTGAAGCAACGTGATTTTACTTCTTGGTTGATGAGACCCGAGAAGCTGTTCCTTTCCTCCCAAAGAACTTTTATTTACATACTTATTTGATGAAAGAAAGCGTGTATCAGTAGCTATATCAGGGTTTAAATCACAGACAGAAAATGCCTGATAAATATCTATTTGATTTGAGATTATATGTATATATATAAACCTGTACTCTATGATGTTCCAAATTATTTTCTGATATTTTATTCAATACTTTATTTAATATATTAAACAACACTTATTGATTATCTACTAACTGATCATCAACTAACTTATTGACCATCTACTAACTATTGGATAGATGATAAACATCTTGTGGGCTGGGCTTCTTATCCTGCATTGATAGCTTCTAGATCAGCAATAGGGCCCTTGGCATTTGAGTGGGGAGCATAAAAATCTCCAAGTCTGTGACTTCAGCCGTAGAAGATAATTCCCCTACAAAATGCACTGTGAAATAGTAACACTGCTACCTTATAAACAGTCGTGTCTAATAAATAACACCTCTTTCCTTTTTTCCAAGTTCCAAATCAAGACAGGAGTCAGATGGCTGGAGATAGTGATTGAAGCTGGATTGGAGGCATGGCTTAGGCATATGGCCCCAATGGGCTTTCTAATATTTCATCCCTGAGCTAGATGTTCCTACCCACCCAGACCCTGGCAGAGGCAAAGGCCCCCTCTGCCAGGGCGAGAGCCTTCCATGTGTCAGAGAAGCATTGAGAATGCACTGCCACTCTGTGGCCAACGTGAGCCCAGGAGGGACTGAGCTGAGTATGCCCGGTTTCTCCTGCCAACCTCACCAATCAGACCAGCAAGCCCTGCTCCCAGGAGCAGGGCAGAGGTGGGTGGGGAGAAAGGCTTGGACACCACCCTGGTGGAAGCCTGAAGCCAGGGGGATGAAGTGCCCCTGACAGAAGCCCTTCCTGAGATCATGTTTCCTGCAAGAGGTGGGAGTCCTGGCTGAGTCTCACTTGGTTTAGCAACTTTTTCATCCACATCAATGCTGTCTCGTTCATTGGCTGCACATAATTTTTATGCAGCTTGGAGCAGTCTCTGAAATTGCTTCACAAATCACATTTTCTTGTTTCCAGAGGGGTGTGCGTACGCGTGTCTTTGCTGTTCACTGCCATGACCAAATTCTACTATTTATCTAAAATTTCTATTTACTTATAAGAGACTTTATATGGGAGGCTGAGACAGGAGAATCACTTGAACCTGGGAGGCGGAGGTTGCGGTGAGCCGAGGTCCCACACCGTTGCACTCCAGCCTCTTAATTCTTTTTTTCTTTCAGGGTTATTGAGAGAAGTTTTTCTGTTGTTGCCATCGTTGATGGTGGTGGTGATAGCAGTGGTTTTCTTTTCATCATCTCATGGGAATAACTTGCATAGGATAAGCTTCAGCTGCCTGGCTCAATCACTGTTCCTTCCTGGGACCTGCAACCCAGACCTGCCACATTGCAAGTAGCATTCAGTTGGGTTATTAAATAATATCCTCAGACCATTGAGACATCTCATGAGTAGCTGAAACAAAAATTACGACATCTAAAAATATCAAGAATCTAGAACAAGGATTGGCAAGCTTTTTCTGTTCAGGGTCTGACAGTAAGTATTTTCAAGATTTGTGGGCCATGTGATCTCTGTTCCAGTGACTCAATCCCACTGTTGTATTGGGAAAACAGCCATGGATAATATGTAAACAAATGTGTGTGGCAGTGTTCCAATAAAACTTTATTTACAAAAACAGACTGCCAGCCAGAATTGGCCCCAGGGGTTCTAGTTTGCCATCCTTAGTTTGGGCACTGAGTGGATCTTTCCTAAGCACAGTTGATCAGCAATTATAACAAACCACAATGGCGAGACAACGGTTCTAGTCCCAGCTCTGCCACTGACCAGCTGCGTGACTTTGGGTAAGTCACTGAGTGTCTCTGGAACCGTTCCGTTTTCCCTTCTGTAAAATTAAGGGGTGGATCTGCATCAGAGGCTGCAAACTGGCAATCCAAGATTGCGTCTGGCTCACAGATGTGTGTCATTTGGCCCATGAAGTATCCAAAACATTTTGAATTCATTTCCAACATTTCAGATGGGGAGATTTCATTTAAAAAATCCAGATTTCTGGCTACTCTTGAAATATCAGAGAATCTGGCACCCCTGGGCCCACATTCTCACGTGGCAGCCATTGGCCAGGGCTAAGTGCAGGGTCTAGTTATTCTGCCTGGGTGTGAGCACCTACAGAACACAGCAGCCTCCTGCTGGCCCACTTTGACCATTTGCATTATTGCCTGACACTGGAGCATTTTGGTCTATGACCACACAGGAGACCTCTGGTGCCTTTGAGTTTAATAATCTAGTGTTTGTTAAGTAGTCCAGACCATTACTTAATTATTGTGTAGTAGATGCCTGTATCCTCTTTTCCCTTCCCCTTTTCTAAAGTCCTCAGTCCGTGCTGGAAAGCCATGTAGTGGTTGGGGAAAGACAGCACTACTATGCACTAAGCCAATCAGCACATCCTGTCCCCTCCCTTGCCATACAGTTAGTTCAGCATTGATTGGGTGTACAATTCATCAATGCGTCAGAGTGGCTCTCAGTCTTGGTGTGGAAAGCTGGGAGAGAGCTGTACTCTCCTTCTGCGGGGGGTGAGGAGTGAGGCCTTTGACTGCTTTGGAATCGCTGTTACTATAAGGGAACTCTACCCTAAACCAATAACTACTGACTGGGATGGGCAGATAAATGCCCTGCTCCCTTGCTCTTTGGGCAGGGTAATTTGAAGATGCACGCTCTACACTGTCTCCTTGCGTTGCTCCATGGGTTATGCTCCTGTTGCCGTTAGTGGTCACTTGCTTGACAACACACCTGTTTTCACCATCTTCCTTGTTCCTGTCTCATCTCCCCACTTCCTACTGGAGTTTTATGGGAATCCCAAATAAACCACTTGCCTCTGAGAATCCTGCTGTCAGACTCTACCTCTCTAGGCACCCAACCAAAGATAGTGACATATTATAAAGGGCAGAGAAAATACATTCGTGAAAAAAATCAGTCGAGTCCTTATGATAGTTTGAATGTCTGGATCAAACCACTCCTGAAGCTCACACAACCTTTGTGCTTTTCATTATAAGAACCAACAAATTCCCTTTGTATTTAGGCTAGCTCGATATGAGTTTTCTGTTGTTTGTAGCCAAAAACATCCTCACTGCTACACGGGGATTTATCTATCCATTTATTTAGATAAATAACATTTTTTGTATTAAATACCAGACTAATGAATGAAGTCATGCATGCAAGCTTCAGGACCGGCAACACCTTCTTTATATGGAATTTCCTTGAGTTGCTTAACCAAAATGACCTTGGGCTGGTTCAGCTGAGATGTCACGTGTCATGAAAGTTCCACACACAGGCTGGGTGTGGTGGCTCACACCTATAATTCCAGCACTTTGGGAGGCCAAGGTGGGTGGATCACTTGAGGTCGGAAGTTTGAGACTAGCCTGGACAACATGGTGAAACCCCATCTCTACTAATAATATAAACAATTAGCTGGGCGTGGTGGTGCCTGCCTATAATCCCTGTGTCCTGGGAGGCTGAGACAGGAGAATTGTTTGAACCCAGGAGGCAGAGGTTACAGTGAGCCAAGATCGCACCATTGAATTCCAGCCTGGGCGACAAAGCGAGACTTCATCTAAAAAAAAAAAAAAAAAGAAAAAGAAAAAAGAAAAGAAAGAAAGAAAAGAAAAAGAAAAAAAGAAAGAAAAGTTCCACACACAGGAGCATGCTTGTGTGTATCAGCAACCTTTAATCGTATACTGCCTGTTATAAAGATGCACATTTCAACTCATACTCGTTATAAAGATGCCCATCTCGGCCGGGTGCAGTGGCTCACACCTGTAATCCCAGCACTTTGGGAGGCTGAGGCGGGCGGATCACGAGGTCAGGAGATTGAGACCATCCTGGCTAACATGGTGAAACCCCGTCTCTACTAAAAATACAAAAAATAAGCCGGGCGTGGTGGCGGGCGCCTGTAGTCCCAGCTACTCCAGAGGCTGAGGCAGGAGAATGGCGTGAACCCGGGAGGTGGAGCTTGCAGTGAGCCGAGATCACACCACTGCGCTCCAGCCTGGGCGACAGAGCAAGACTCTGTCTCAAAAAAATAAATAAATAAAATAAAATAAAATAAAAAATAAAGATGCCCACCTCAATTCATACTCTGATGAATAAAATATAAAGTGGTTATTAATATCTAGATTGTTATTTGCCAGTTTGGAGACAGTGCTGTGGAAAATGCTTGCACAGAAACCCCATAGTAATGCCTAGGGTGGGTGTGGTCCATATAGTGGGGTTGGGATGGGAGAAGCCCCCACCTTCCTCCAGTTCATAGTGGTGTGGAAGCCACGCTCTTGGTGATCGCTCTGCCTGTGGCTCCCCTGGCTCCAGGGCCTGCCAGGGCAGAGAAGAGTGACTCAACAAACAGAGCAAGAAGGCTCAGAGAAGCCAGCCTTCCTGTCCCCTTTACCCGGTGATTGTCCAGAGAGGGGCTTGCCCATGCTCACCCAGCTTGTCTGTGGTGCCTCATGGTTTGCTCTTCCCTGGACTGGCATCCTCCAGAGAGCATGTCTAGGAACCCCCAGTTAGGGCCAAACTCAGATTTTCTAGGGTCTGTAGCTTACAGACCCTCTCTTCTGTAAGGGTTTTGGGGTCTCTCTTTAAGGGAAAGAATACAAATTTTTCACACCAACATGGCACATGTATACATATGTAACAAACCTGCACATTGTGCACATGTACCCTAAAACTTAAAGTATAATAATAATAAAATAAAAAAATAAAAAGAAAGAACACAAATTTTTACTGAAGTATCAGAAATGCTTACAGAGAAGTGTGTCTTCATCGCCACCTGGCTTCTCCTCCCCACTAGAACATTCTAGAACTCCTAGCACCTGCCAGCACTCAGAGGGGCCCATGTGAGTGAGGGGTCCTGAAACTTAGACATCATCAGTATTGGTAAGGCCCTCCCTCCTCACAAGAGGAAAAGGGGAAGGTTCTGTGTGTTCCACAGACCTTGTTCTTTCAAGCATGCCAGCCCCACTAGGAAAACATTTGCCACACAGCTCAGCTGCAGCCAGAGATGATTCAGAATGGGAGGCCGGCATCCTGGAGTCTCTCTCACAGGTTGCCTTGGTTACCTGGAGTCTTTGATCTCATTTTTGAGAGCAGGCATCTTTACCATGAAGCTTTCAGTTGATGCACAAAGGATGCCCCTGTAAGCTCAGTGACAAGAGCATTAGGGGGAGAGGATGATGCAGGGACAACTGCACAGAACACTAGACTGTCATCAGATCCTAAGCCTGCCTCAAGTTACAGACTAAAATGATGTCACTCTGAAGACCAGCAGTAATCTAAGTGCTTTTCATCAGATCGTCTGTGGCTGTCATAGCTAAATAACAGCATGTGACTCCGCGAGGACAGGGAGTTTCCTCAGGCTTTTTTTTTTTTTTTTTTTTTTGTGAGACCGAGTCTCGCTCTGTCGCCCAGGCTGGAGTGCAGTGGCGCGATCTCGGCTCACTGCAAGCTCCACCTCCTGGGTTCACGCCATTCTCCTGCCTCTAGCTGGGCTACAGGTGCCCGCCGCCACACCCGGCTAATTTTTTGTATTTTTAGTAGAGATGGGGTTTCACTGTGTTAGCCAGGATGGTCTCGATCTCTTGACCTGGTGATCCGCCCGCCTCGGCCTCCCAAAGTGCTGGGATTACAGGCATGAGCCACAATCCCCAATGCCCAGAGCTGTGCTCAGCACATTTCAGGTAGCCACAAAATATTTGTTGAATAAATGAATGCATTTGTTGCACACATACTATGTGATGGGAGCTGTGTTTAAAAACTTCAATGCTGGCACTGTCGCTCTGAAGTAGAGGCTGTTATTGTCCTTGTCCAGAAGGGACCAGGAAGGCACAGTAACTGTAAGAACTTGTCAGGGACACAGAGCTCAGGAGTGGCAGCAGCAGTCCTGGAGCCTTGCCCTCTGTGCTCGCAACTACAGGCACACCTCACTTTATTGCATTTTGCAATAAAGTGTTATTTACAAATTGAAGGTTTGTGGCAACCCTGTGTAGAGCAAAATATATCAGCACCACTTTTCTTTTCTTTTTTCTTCTTTCTTTCTCTGTCTTTGTCTTTCTTTCTTTCTTCTTTCTTTCTCTCTTCTTTCTTTCTCTCTCTCTCTCTTTCTTTCTTTTTCTTTTTTTGATGGAGTCTTGCTCTGTCATCCAGGCTGGAGTGCAGTGGCACTATCTCAGCTCACTGCAACCTCTGCCTCTGGGGTTCAAGTGATTCTCCTCCCTCAGCCTCCCAAGTAGCTGGGACTACAGGTGTGCATGACCATGCCTGGATAATTTTTTGTATTTTTAGTAGACACAGGGTTTCGCCATGTTGGCCAGGCTGGTCTTGAACTCCTGACCTCAGGTGATCTGCCCGCCTTGGCCTCCCAAAGTGCTGGGATTACAGGTGTGAGCCACCACGCCCAGCCAGCACCACTTTTCTAACAGCATATGCTCACTTCATGTCCCTGTGTCACATTTTGCTAATTCTTGCAATTTTTAAACTTTTTCATTATTTATCTGTTATGATCTGTAATCAGTGATTGGTAATCTTTGATGTTTCTATCGTAATTGTTTTGGGGTGCCATGAACTGGACCCATATAAGACGGCAAACTTAATAAATGTGTGTGTTCTGACCTCCACTGACCAGCTGTTCTTCCACCTCTCTCCCTCTCCTTGGACCTCCCTGTTCCCTGAGAAACAGCTATAATGAAATTAGGCCAGTTAATAACCCTACAATGACCCCTAAGTGTCCATATGAAAGGAATAGTCACACATCTCTTACTTTAAATCAAAAGCTAGAAATAATTAAACTTAATGAAGAAGACATGTTGAAAGCTGACATAGGTTGAAAGCTAGGCCTGTTGTGCCAACCAGTTAGCCAAGTTGCGAATGCAAATGAAAAGTTCTTGAGGGAAACTAAAAGTGCTACTCCAGTGAACACACAAATGACAAGAAAGTGAGACAGCCTTATTGCTGATATAGAGAAAGTTTAAGTGGTCTGGATAAAAGATCAAACCAGCCACAAAATTCTCTTCAGCTGAAGCCTAATCCAGAGGAAGGCCCTAACTCTCTTCAATTCTATGAAGGCTGAGAGAGGGGAGGAAGCTACAGAAGGAAAGTTGGAACCTAGGAGAGGTTGGTTCATAAGGTTTAAAGAAAGATGCCATCTCTTTAACATAAAAATATAAGGCGAAGCAGCAAGTGCTGTGGAGACACTGCAGCAAGCTATCCAGAAGCTCTAGCTCAGATCATTGATGTACTTGGCTACACCAAACAAATAGATTTTCAATGTAGATGAAATAGCCTTTTATTGGAAGAAGATGCCATCTAGGACTTTCGTAGCTAGAGAGAAGTCAATGCCTGGCTTCAAAACTGCTAGGAACAGGCTGACTCTCCTGTTAGGGGCTAAAGCAGCTGGTGAGTTTAAGTTCAAGCCAACGTTAGTTTACCGTTCTGAACACCCTGGACCCTATAAGAATGATGCTGAATCGACTCTGCCTGTGCTCTATAAATGGAACAACAAAGCCTGGATAACAGCACATCTCTTTACAGCATGGGTCATTGAATATTTCAAGCCCATTATTGAGACCTACTCCTCAGGAAAAAAAAAAAAAGATTCCTTTCAAAATATTACTGCTCATTGACAATGCACCTGGTCACCCAAGTGCTCTGATGGACATATGTAAAGGTATTAATGTTTTCATGTCTGCTAACACAACATCCATTCTGCAGCCCATGGATCAAGGAGTCATTCTGACTTTCAAGTCTTATAATTTAAGAAATACATTTCATAAGGCTGTAGCTGCCATAGATAGTGATTCCTCTGATGGATTTGGGCAAAGTAAATTGGAAAGGCTTCACCATTGTAGATGTCATTAGGAACATTCATGATTCATGAGAGGAGGTCAAAACATCAGCATGAACAGAAGTTTGGAAGAAGTTGATTCCAACCCCCATGGATGACTTTGAGAGATTCAGGATGTCAGTGGAGAAAGTTACAGCAGAGGTAGGAAAAATAGCAAGAGAATTAGAAGCGGAGCCTGGAGATGTGACTGAATTGCTGCAATCTCATGATAAAACTTCTTTTCCTTTTAGTTGATATGGAATAATTGTACATATTTATGGGATACAGAGTGATATTTTGATACATGTATACAATATGTAAAAATAAAATCAGGGTAATTAGTATATCCATCACCTCAAACATTTATCATTTTTTGTATTGTGAACATTTAAAAATCTCTCTTCTGAGCCGGGTGCAGTGGCTCACGGCTGTAATCCCAGCACCCTGGGAAACTGAGTCAGGTGGATTACCTGAGGTCGGGAGTTCAAGACCAGCCTGGCCAACATGGCAAAACCCCGTCTCTACTAAAAATACAAAAATTAGCCTGGTATGGTGGTGGGTGCCTGTGGTCCCAGCTACTCAGGAGGCAGAGGCACAAGAATTACTTTAACCTGGGAGGCGGAGCTTGCAGTGAGCCAATATCGCAACCACTGCACTCTAGCCTGGGCGACAGAGCAAGGCTTTGTCTCAAAAAAAATAAAAAAATAAAAAAATAAAAAAATTCTATCATTTTGAAAATATACAATAAATGATTGTTAACCATGTATACCCTATAGTGCTATACAACAGGGGTCCCCAACCTCTGGGCAGTGGATTGATAGCGGTCCAGCCTGTTAGGAACAGGGCCACACAGCAGGAGGTGAGCAGCAGGCCAGCAAGCATTACCGTCTGAGCTCTACCTCCTTTCAGATCAGTGATAGCATTAGACTCTTATAGAAGCATGAACCCTATTGTGAACTGCACATTTGAGGGATCTAGGGTGTACACTGCTTAAGAGAATCTAACTGATGCCTGATGATCTGAAATGGAACAGTTTCATCCTGAAACCATCCCACCCCAAATCTGGTCAGTGGGAAAATTGTCTTCTGTAAAACTGGTCCCTGGTGCCATAAAGGTTGGTGACTGCTGTGTTAGAAGACTAGAACTTATTCTTCTTATCTAGCTATAATTTTGCATCCATTAACCAGCCTCTCCTTATCCTCCCCTCACCCACCCTTCCCAGCCTCTAATAACTAGTATTCTACTCTACTCCTGTAAGCTCAAGTTTTTTTTTTAGCTCCCACATGTGAGAGAGAACAAGAGATATTTATCTTTCTGTGCCTGGCATATTTCACTTAACCTCATGTCCTCCAGGCTCACCCATGTTGCTGTGGATGACAGGATTTCATGTTTTTTTATGGTTGCATAGTATTCCATTGTGTATACATACCACATTTTCTGTATCCATTAATCTGCTGATGGACAATTAGGTTGATTCCACATCTTCTCTCTTGTGAATAGTGCACGATAAACATGAGGATGCAGGTAACTCTTTGGTATTCTGATTTTTTTTTCCTTTGGATAAATACCCAGTAGTGGGATTGCTGGATCTTATGGTAGTTCTCTCTTTCGTTTTTTGAGGAACCTCCATACTGTTTTCCATAATGACTACACCAATTCACATTTCCACCAACAATGCACGAGTGTTTCCCTTTCTCTGAATCCTCACCAGCATTTATTATTTTTTGTCTTTTTTTATAATAGCCATTCTAACTGGGGTAAGATGATATCTCATTATGGTTTTGATATGCATGTCCCTGATGATTAGTAGTATTGAGCATTTTTATATACCTGTTGGCCATTTGTATGTCTTTTGAGAGGTGTCTATTCAGATCTTTTGCCCATTTTAAAATTGAATTATTTACCTTTATGCTGTTCTTTGTAAATTCTAGATAATTAGTCTCTTGTCAGATGAATAGTTTGCAAATGTTTTCTCCCATTTCGTGTGTTGTCTCTTCCCTCTGCTGATTGTTTCCTTTGCTATGCAGAAGGCTTTTAGTTGATGTAGTCCCATTTGTTTATTTTTGGTTTTGTTGCCTGTGCCTTTAGTCTTACTCATAAAATCTTTGCCTAGAAGATGTCCTGAAGCATTTCCTTTATGTTTTCTTCTAGCAGTTTCATAGTTTCAGGTCTTACATTTATGTCTTTAATCCATTTTGAGTTGATTTTTGTGTATGGTGTGAGATGGGGGTCTACTTCCCCCCTTTTGTGTATGGTCATCCAGTTTTCCCAGCACCATTTTTTGAAGAGGTTGTCCTTTCCCCAAAGTGTGTTCTTGATATTTCTGTCAAAATCAGTGGGCTGCAAATATGTGGATTTATTTCTGGGTTCTCTATTCTGCTCCATTGACAGAACAGTGGTTTTTTGAGATGGAACCTACTCCTGGTGTAGATATTGTGAACATTGTTGACAAGACAACAAAGGATTTGAAAGATTACATAAACTTAATTGATAAAGCAGCAACAGGGTTTGAGAGGATTGACTCCAATCTTGAAAGAAGTTCTACAGTGAGTAAAATGCTCTCAGACAGCATCTTATGCTGCAGAGAAATCTTTTGTGAAAGAATCAATTGATGTGACAAACTTCATTGTTGTCTTATTATAAGAAATTGTCACAACCACTCCAGCCTTCAGCAACCACCACCTGATGAGTCAGTAGCCATCAACATCGAGGCAAAAAGATGATGGCGGGCTGAAGGCTCAGATAATTGTTAGCATTTTTAGGCAATAAAGTGTTTTTTAATTATGGCCTTTTTTTCCCCCAGAAGTGATGATATTGCACCCTTAATAGGCCACAGTATGGTGTAAACATAACTTTTATAGGCACTGAGAAAACAGAAAAATTTATGTGGCTCACTTTATTGCTGTGGTCTGAACTGAACCTGCAATATCCGAGGTATGCCTGTGTGTTGCTTCCCAATCTATGGGATGTGTGTGACTCCTAGGAAGGAGAGATGATTTTAGACTGTAAAGGAATACAGCCTAAATAGTGTCGAATCACAGAGCAAGACAGTTACCCCTCCTTGCAACTTTCTTTAAATCCTCTTGATCTCAGGCAAGAAGAAAGGCTCAGCCTGGGATGAGAGTGGCTTTAACACCCCTCTAACCTGTTAATCTCCCCCACCTTTAAACGGCAGAGAACAAGATCCAGGCTTAGAACCCTCAGCTGAAGTAGGACCCATGTAGAATCTAATTTAATGTTGCTTTGTTCCCACTGCATTGATTTTTATGAGGTATCTTTTATGCACGGCAGTCCTGCTTCTTTTCCATCAAAGGGATGAATATAACATTTCCTTTTAAAATAAGTATTTTAATAATATTGAACTGATTTTAAAATTTAAATAATATTTTAAAATAAATATGTCAATTAATAGTATTTTAATCATTAAAAATATAATGAGAATCTTTGAGTACCATTCATGAGTCTTATATACGGCAGAAGGTATGAAGCTAGCACAAGGATGCATACTGAATCAGTCCATGGAAATGTAGTTTTGGAGTGGGACAGAGCAAGAACTGATGGTCTTGGGCCAGTTTCAGTTGTTAGGCATCACCTGGTACAGGATAGGGGCCTCTGGAATCAGTCTGCAGATGACATGGTGCAGCTGGGCCTGGCACTGAGAGAGGAAAGAGCAGCAGGAGGTCAGGAAAGTTGTGGTCCATAGGACAGTGGAGTTGTGGGGCTGGAGAACAGAACCGAGAAAAAGACTGGGAAAAGATAGTTGGCTGAGTGAAGGAGTGTTAGGAGCCGTTCTAGAAGGTGCTGGGAAGGTGATGGAGCCATTGCCGTGGGCTAATTGATTCCTCTCTTCACAAAGCATGCTAATGACAGCTCAGCTCTGTCCCAGGGCAGAGCTCATTAACTTTTTACAACATAGGCCCCAAGAAGAAGGCTTTGTTGGACTTGACTCTGTGCGGTCTGTGTTATGAATATAACATCTCCTTCCCCAATTCTGATATGCAGAGTCATCTCCATCTTTGGACTCTGAAAATTACTACTTTAGAATCATCAACAACAAATCCCAACTTTTTCTCTCATCCTGGGAACATTCCAGTGGAACATGTGTGAGTAACTGGGGGTTCCCCAACCACTGCATTCAATTTCTATTTTAAAAAATCAAGACTTTCAAAAACTGTTATCAAAAACAACAGGTCTACACATGAGTGTTATCTACCAAATGGTAACACATCAGAAACCACCAATGTCTTTCGTAACTTATTGTCTCTGTAGGTCAATTTAAATCCTTGTCAATGTGTCATTGATTAGAAAGAATGAATTGCTTTTTTCCTAAGTTCAGGCTTTGCAGGTTTGCTCACATGAAATTTTGTACTGCCACAGCTGACGTGGGCTCGACTCCATTCACTGGCAGACAGAACTCAGGCACATCTGCTCAGTGCATGTTCTTGGCATTGTCTTGTCAGTTGCACAATAATGAGTAAACATAATATGTGTCCTGATAATATGGTATTATAGATGTTTTCTGCACTTATCCTAGGTTAAAGATGCTTCCTCTTTCACTTCTATATCTCCGATAAAGAATGTAAGCCAAGGTAAGATATTGTGTGTATTTCAACTTGGAAATAAAGTTTCAGGCTACTCTTTTGAGTCTTCAGATCCTCTTAAAATTGAAGAGTATTTTAAGATTGCAAGGTGAGGTGTGTAACAAACAAACCATTCTCAACCTCTAGTCTGTGTGAATCAAAAGTTTTTTATTACTGTATAGCCAAAATGAAAATGTAGAAATAATTTATACATTGGATGTTGAGGCTGGTTTAAGAATGAGTTATCATCTAGAAGAGGGATAGGCGAACTTTTTCTATAAAGAGCCAGGTGATAAATTGCATGTGGGACATGCAGTTTATGTCCTGATTACTCAACTCTGCCCTGGCAGCAGAAAAGCAGCTACGTACAATATGTAAAAGAATGATTATGGCTTTGTTTCAATAAAGCATTGTTTGTGGACCTTGAAATTTGAATTTCATATATTTTCATGTGTCATGAAATGTTCTTTTGATTTTTTTTTGCAACCACGTAAAAAGTTAAAGCCTTTTTTTTTTTTCTTTTGGGACAGAGTCTCGCTCTGTCACCCAGGCTGGAGTACAGTGGCGAGATCAGGGCTAACTGCAGCCTTGACCTCCCAGACTCAAGCAATCTTCCCACTTTAGCCTCCTGAGTAGCTGGGACTGCAGGTGTGTTCCACTATACCTGAATAATTTTGTTATTTTTTGTAGAGACGGGGTTTCACTATGTTGCCTAGGCTGGTCTCGAACTCCTGAACTCAAAGGACCCTCCCACCTCAGCCTCTCAAAGTGCTGGGATTACAAGTGTGAGCCACTGTAGCCCTAGAAATCGTTCTTAACTCACAAGCTGTTTGCTGATTTTGCATCTATAACCCTAAATTTAACATTGTTTTCATCAACTGAAACAGCTTCATGATGGCAGAAAACTCTGGCGGGTGGAAGGGGATGTGATTGGAAAGGGGCAGGGAGCGGGGTGGAAAGGAAATTGAGACTCAATTACAGGCAATGTTCAATTTCTTCACATGGATGGTGGCTACCTGGGCATCGACATTGTAATTATTCGTTAAGCTCCACATTTATTTTCTATGCATTTTCATATGCATATGTAATATTTCACAATAAAAATTGTTTAAAAATAAGTAGTATATAAATTACCATATATAAAAATCATGTTTATCACCGACTTTGTAATTAGTAAATGTTATTAATTTGACCTTATTTTTAAAATTATTACTTTTTTCAGACAGAGTCTTACTCTGGCTGAAGTGCAGTGGAGACTGGAGTGCAGTGGCGCAATCTCGGCTCACTGCAACCTCTGCTTCCTGAGTTTAAGTGATTCTCGTGCCTCAGCCAACCGAGTAGCTGGGCTTACAGGCACATGCCACCATGCCCAGCTATAAATTTTGTATTTTTAGTAGAGATGGGGTTTCACCACGTTGGCCAGGATGGTCTCGAATTCCTGGCCTCAAGTGATCCACCCGCCTAGGCCTCCCAAAGTGTTGGGATTACAAGCGTGAAACACTGTGCCTGGTCTAATTTGACTTTAGAAAATTAATAAATGCTAATTGATGTGGCACTTTTGTTTATGGAATACACTGAGGTTTCATGTAATATATATATATATATATATATATTTTTTTTTTTTTTTTTTTTTTTTTTTGAGATGGAGTCTTGCTCTGTCACCTAGGCTGGAGTGCAGTGGCACTATCTTGGCTCACTGCAACCTCCACCTCCCAGGTTCAAGCGATTCTCCTCCATCAGCCTCCTGAATCACTGGGACTACAGGTGCCTGCCACCCTACCCGGCTAATTTTTGTATTTTTAGTAGAGACAGGGTTTCGCCAAGTTGGCCAGGCTGCTCTTGAACTCCTGACCTCAGGTGATCTGCCTGCCTTGGCCTCCCAAAGTGCTGGGATTATAGGCATGAGCCACTGTGCCTGGCCCCCAGTAGAACCTTCTGTGATGGTGGACATGTTCTGTCTGTGCTGTCTTCATGTATCAGATAGCACAGGTCCATCTTTTTTTCACTTGTTCTCCACATTGTAATTTTATGTTCATGCATGTTTGTCTGGGTTCAAATCTCAACTACACCATTAGGTAGCTGTGTGATCTTGTGCACCTTGCTTGACCTCTCTGTTCCTGTTTCATTTTTGAAATATAAATAATGGTAATACCTATCTCATAGTGTAGTTGAGATTAAATAAGAAAGGTTTATGTGCCTAGCACCATGCCTAGTCCATACTAAGAATTCAATGAATTTGCCATTATAATTATTGACAATTTCATCCTCACAACAGTCCTATAAGGTTTATAGAAGAGGAGATCAAGGCTCTCACAGATAATGAATTGCAGTGCTGGATTGAAATCCAGGTCTATCCAAGTTCTAGTTCTCATGTGTCGCTTGGACTCCCCAAAGAAACTCTCATGGCAGTATAGCAATTAGAGTGACCCACTGCTGTAACGGCCCTCTGAGGAGTGGAATATTATATTCACATAAAACAGAGTGGGTTCTGAACTCTAGTAGGTGTCCTTCTGAGCTTATGTAAAAAGAAACCCTGGCTGGGCTCAGTGGCTCATGCCTGTAATACCAGTGCTTTGGGGAGGCCAAGGCAGGAGGATTGTTTGAGCTCAGGAGTTTGAGACTGGCCAACATGGTGAGACCACATCTCTACAAAATATTAAAAAATTAGCCAGACATGGTGGCTCACGCCTGTAGTCCCCGCTACTTGGAGGACTGAGGCGGGAGGATGGCTTGAGCTCGGGAGGCCTAGGCTGCAGTGAGCTGAGATTGCGCCACTGCACTTCATCCTGGGGAACAGAGTGAGACCTTGTCTTAAAAAAAAAAGAAACCCCTCCAGAAATACTTAATGAGTGAATAAAATTAAAAATGATAGTAATAGGTAGTTTCCTGTAGCCCCAACTGACACAAACTTACCTATTAGCCAGGCAACTTCCCTATTGGCTAAAAGTTAAGTTATAAGGAAGGAAAAAACTAAAAGCTTCACTCCAGTTACAAGCAAGCCTTTAAAAATTGACTTTGACAAGCTTATTTTCCCTAGAACTTTTCCCCTGGCCAGCTTGCACAGAAAGTAAAGACACTTGTCCTGAAACTCATCCCAGAGCCTCCAGACCACATTTGTACGTTTGTAATGGGTGGGGTGGAGATCCAGGGATAAAGCTCTTGGGGGATTGAGATTGATGTTTATGACTCTGTCTGTCCTTGGTGCCTTTGATCTGTTACCCTGAATGGATGGGGCAGCAGGCATTGTTTGTGGGAGTGATTGAGTTTTTGTTTTATCAGATTCCTACACACAGAATATAAGGGTGGAGAAATTACAGTACAGGTTTGGAATTCGGATGGGTTGGGTCGCTTGTGCTGTGGGAATTTGTCAAACTTGAGTTTTGCTCGTGGGGGCTAGATTCTGGGCCTGGGTGGGAGTGGGGGGTGTGGACCATTGACTCCACTCTGCGACCCTGGCCGCATCAACATTGCCCTCACGTAGCCCCGGCTCGTAGCCAATTGGTGCGCTTGGGCTGAACATAGTTAGGCCTCTGTTGGGGGCCAGAGGTCTAGGGAAGAGATGAAAAAGGCAGACTATCTCTCAACAAAGCATAAAATGTCCCGCCCCCCAGCTGCTTCAACAATGAGCTGGAGGGGTCCCAGTGGGCGACTGTTGGTGGATAGAGCCCGGAGCCGCGGGCCTTGGCATATGGCATTGCCCCAGCCACGGCGTTGACCCTCCGTGCCCTGGCCACCAGTGTCTGGGCTGCCTGGATCTCCACTGCACAGAGGCCTGTCATGGCAACAGCTGGGGGGTGGGAGTGGTGGGGAGATGCAGCTCAGCCCTGCCTGCCTGATGGGCTGAGATGGATGGGCTGCAGGCCATGTGCCTGAGGGCCCCCTTCTCCCCCTCCCTGGGGTCTGTGGAGGGGCTCGGAGGCACAGCCTAGGGAAAAGCAGGAAGGCCTTGTTTTCTGGAGAGGCTTACAGCTGGGACATTGGTGGGGGTGGGGGGACCCAAAAGTGTAGATGTCCCCAGCCAGAAACTCCCCTACCCACTCTACCCCCGACATCCCCCATGGAACAGAATAAGCCCAGAGACTGGCCATAGCCTACTCAGTTTTCCTGGGAATGCCTGGAGGGGAGGACTCAGCAGACTGACTTACTTGGACCCCAGCTGAGCCAGGACCTCCTCTAAGCAGATGACATTTTCCCTCCTGACTGTCTCTCCCCTGATGAGATTTTTTGACAGGTGGCCCATCTGTCCTCCAGCATCTCCATGGTCATCAACTGGGAGGAGCTGAATGAGGCATTTGATTTGCAAATGTTAGGGGTATTCTCTGCCCAGCTAGGAAGCGGGGCCGAGTCCCGGCTGGACTGCAGAGTGGTTGCATGGGGGCGAAGGTGTGGTGCTGTGTCACCCAAGACACGGGATGGCTCCCA
Source organism: Homo sapiens (assembly GCF_000001405.40). Lineage (NCBI taxonomy): Eukaryota > Metazoa > Chordata > Mammalia > Primates > Hominidae > Homo > Homo sapiens. The sequence continues at coordinate 65,402,638 of NC_000017.11, read as the reverse complement.
GCTCAGGGCTGAGCCCGATGTTGAAGCATCTGCCTTCTGCTCTCTGTCTGCAGATCTCAGGTTTACGATTGTCAAGGCGTTTATGGTCAGTATGGAGCAGAGAGAAAATTGGATTCGTTTTCTTGGTCATTCACTGACACGGGTATACCAAGACACGTTTTTGGTACCTAAATCAGAACCTTGAAGGCTGAACTACTTAATGACACTTCCTCTACCTAACTGATAAGTAGAAGAAGGACTGTTTCATGTGGTTGCTCTCAAGTTCAGGCTCTGGTGAAAGCCATGAGTTGATGCTGTGCTGGACTTAAATTCAGTGCCGTATTGGAGGCACCAAGTATTTCTATGGAAAAACTTGCCTGATAACTTGCCTTTGCTTGGCTGTGGATCTGGATATAATTGCTTGGTGCCTTTCCAGATACTCTTCTCTTGGTGCTCACACTCTGTTCCAGTTTTGATTCTTTTGTTCATATATATAATATATATATACATACACAGAAAAAAAATTATATATATATATATATATTTTAAATCAAGGCCTGCAAGAAAGTAAGTCAAATTCTGTTAAGCTGATCACCTCAAAATTAGAATCAACTAAAAATTAGGAGATCTAGATAGGCTTGCAACCATTCAAGGGAGTCGTGTTGGAAAGGAGGTGCTGGGACTCAGCGGGAGTCTTAAGACATTGTTAGGATCTCTTTGATAGGGCACCTTAAATGGAAATTATCAAATGGCTCTTTAAAACATGCACCCTTTTGTTTGATTAGCCTACTATAGATAACCTTTATTAAACCTGATCTGAAATTACAGCCATGGCCTGGCGCTTCTTTGATGCTGTGGCTGTTTCATTTCCTGTTTATACTATGATACACGTTGCACTAGGAGATAAAGCACTTCTGAGGGATATTAAGACATAAAAGTCCCTTGGCTATTTGCTGGCACTGTTTTGATGTTTTCTTGCTCCCTAGAAATTAGCATATCCTTTTCAAAGGCTGCCTCTGATGAGAGTAATCCTTTGCCATGATGTATTTGCTAAAAGTCGTCAATGATAGTATATTGTGTAAAGAAATGACACATAAAAGGCATAATGCTAGATTATTGATAATGAGGCAACTTGTGTAACGGTTGCTTTTGGCTTTTCTAAAACATATTTTGACACCGTAAATACACTGGGTTTATATTAATGAGGATTTAATGCTTCTGAGGTTTTAAAGAAACTTGCACAGAGCAAGTTTTCAAAGGAAAGTGTTAGTAGGGGGCAATGTTTTTACTAATTTTAGTAAGTTATGTTCTATAATATCAAAACATTTTATTGTCTTGGAAATAAGAAGTGATTGTAAGCTTTTTGCTTTTGTTTTCGCAGCTTGGAGCTGATGAATAAGTACTGCATGGAACCAATTTGGAGAAAGTGTTTTGCCCACACATCTAGAATTAAAAAAAAATTAAGCAAGGAGAAAGGAAAAGGCTATGAAAGAAAAGCAGGAAAGAATAAAGAGAAAGACGTAATAGAAGAAAGCAAAGAGAAAGAAAATAAAGGAAGCTGACAAAGAAAGATAAAAAAGGAAAAGCACGAAGGAGAGAAATAAAGCAGAAAAAAGAAAGAATAATGCAAAGAAAGAAGGAAGAAGGGAAGGAAGGAAGGGAGGGAGGGAAGGAGGGAGGGAGACAGATGAAGAGAGGGAGGAAGGGAGGCAGGAAGGAAGGAAGGAAGGGTTAAAGAAAAGGACAAAAAAATAGGCAGGAAAGACAGAAAAAAAGGATGAAAAGAGGAAAGGGTGAAGAGAAGAAAGGCAAGAAAGGTAAAAGTAAGAGAAAGAAGGATTAAGAATGAAGGAAAGAAGAAAAAAGAAAAAAGAAGAAAGGACAAAAAGAAGGAAGAAAAAAGGAAAAGAAAAGGTAAGAAAGGAAACAGGAGGGAGGGAAGGAGAAACAAAAGAAGGAAGGCAGGAAGAAGGAAGGGAAGGAAGATTCTGTTGGCTGCCTGTTGATAAGGTATTCAAGAGAAGGGCTCTGTAAAAACTCAAGTTCAAAGTACATTTAGGAAAAGCATTTTTAATTAAGCTTATCTGAATCAATCAATAGACTTATCCTTAGTTTCAAGTTAGTTATCCTGGGAGTTTAAACTTGGAAGGAAGCTGAGCTCTCATTTCTGGGTCATGCCCATTTCTAGGCAGAACTGTATCCAACTTATTCCTGTTAAGATCATTCTTGAATTTTAGTTCTTTCTGTTGTGATTCAATACTAAGAGATACTTAACCATTCTTTCCTGATTGCTGAAAAGTATGAAAGAACAAAGCAGTATGTAACACTCTGGCCGAAGAAATTTTCTTCAAACCACTGTTTTCACACTGATGTGACTGTCAATTAATATTAAGCCAAAATTTAAGATGCCCTCAGCAGGAACATTTTCTTAGAAATCTGCATATTTAAAAAAATGAAACGTTTCAAGTTTTCAGCTTTTTTTTTTTTTTTTTTTTTTTTGGTCTGGTTCTCTGTGCATTTAACATGTGTTGGTTTGCCTGTTTAAAGATTAAAATCTTCTCTTAATTACAGACATACTGTTTTTGGACGGTAGTTTAAAATATTTTTCTCTTGGGTGTTTGATTCCAACTTGGCTATTAGAAGATCTGGGAGTAGGCTGGGCGCGGTGGCTCATGCCTGTAATCCCAGCGCTTTGGGAGGCGAGACAGGCAGATGACCTGAGGTCAGGAGTTCAAAACCAGCCTGGCCAACATAGTGAAGCCCCATCTCTACTAAAAATACAAAAATTAGCCAGTGTGGTGGTGCGCACCTGTAGTCCTAGCTACTCAGGAGGCTGAGGCAGAAGAATCACTTGAACTGGGGAGGTAGAGGTTGCAGTGAGCCGATATTGTGCCACTGCACTCCAGCTTGGGCAACAGAGCAAGACTGCATCTCAAAAAAAGAAAAAACAAAAAAGAAGATCTGGGGATCTGGAGATGACAAAGGGGATTGGCAGGTGGTGTGAAGAAGAATGACACTGGATACCATGCCTCCAGCTGCTGGAAGTTTCTAAACACCCTTTTGAGGCATGTCCCCTGAGTGAACATATTGGTGCAAACTCACCTTTACAAATTTAAACCTAGGAAATGATCAAGGAAATTCATTGACGAAGATGGGGACCAGGAAGAACTGTTCTTGTGCTCGCCATCACCACACCGTCATGAAGCACCTCTGATACCTGTCCTCGATGAGCAAACCTGTTATATTCTTGAGCTACTCAATCACAAAACAACTGACTTAAACTTCTCTCTGATCAAATATTATGTCTGTAAACAGATGTATAAAGGGGGAGGTTTTGAGCCTTGCACTACAATTTCCAGTAAGTGGAAATTTGGGGATCTGGATGTACCTGGGAAATTAGATTTGTTGGGCTTAGGGTTTGATCCACATAATGGACTCAATTCATGTTCCATTTACTGTCCTGGCAATCTCCAGAACAAGAGAGTTATGTCCTTCCCCTTTAAATCAATTCCATTCTCTCCCAAATGCCCGCTTCTTAGCTTGGAGGGACATGTTTACCCAAAGGGGTTTACTTATTAGAAATTCAGATCTCAGCTGGGCACCATGGTTCATGTCTGTAATCCCAACACTTTGGGAGGCCAAGGCGGGCGGATCACTTGGAGTTCAAGACCAGCCTGGCCAACATGGTGAAACCCTGTCCTTACTAAAAATACAAAAATTAGCTGGGTGTGATGGTGCACCCCTGTAATCCCAGCTACTTCAGGAGGCTGAGGCATGAGAATTGCTTGAACCTGGGAGGCGGAAGTTGCAGTGAGCCAAGATCGCGTCACTGCACTCCAGTCTGGGTGATAAACCAAGACTCTGTCTCAAAAAGAAAGAAATTCAAATCTCTATATTCAACTCTGTCCAGCAGCAAGACACTCACCTCTGCAGAGAATATTGGTTCCATGACTAAAATGGGCTACAATGGTGCTTCTTAACCTCACTGTGGTTACTTATTTTATTTTAGTTTGCATTCATTTTCAGCAAATTACAGACCAACATGCAGTTCTACTGCACAAGACTGGTGTCAGGCATCACCAAAATGACTCACCAAGGGAGTCAGACAGCTCCAGAAATGATCTATACACTGTTCAATGAGACAAGTCCACTGATCATTTGGGATCATCTAAGATGTTGTGGCAAAGTCAAATCAGTTCATGGGCCAACATCAGTTTGTGGACCACGCTTTGAGTGCCTTGGCCTAGAGGAGGCATTCTCAGTAGGTCCAATTTTTACTTCAAGTGTTGCAGGTTACTTTGTTACTCATAATACAATGGATGCATAATTCTGTTGGTGATGGACATCGTAATAATGGGAAGGAATGCAAGAGGTTATCCTCTTGGTCTCTATGTTAATCAACGGATTAGGATGGATTCCAATGTAGCTCTGTAAGAGTGCCAAGCCAGTCATGAATTACAAATACTGATGTATCATTGAGAGTTGTGCCAGTTGTGACTTATTATGGCCCTTAAGAGCTGTGATTTTGATAGAGATAGGTATTTTTTATTTTTCCCATGAAAAAATTCTTAGCAAGGAAGAAGGCAAGGAGAGATGAAGAAAGTATGAGCAAGAATAATATTATTTGCATTATCACATAGAAAATGAGTAAATTCTATGTGTTATCCTAAGCCATAATATTATATTCATCTTTGCTCATTCATCAATAATACATTCTTGCCTTGCTGAAATTATCTGTGGAGTAGAGATATGGGGAAAAAATCAACACATATTTTTTTAAAGTTCATTCTTCTGAAAAATTATGGTAACCTATTTTATTCATTTTCCCTTGTAATATGACCAATTATGTTATCTGTAACTTGACTATTTAATTCCTTATAGACTTATAAAGTGCTTCGGGGAATACCATGCCCACCCCCAGAAGGCTGCACTATTTCCATTTCTTCCTTCCCTCACTAAAAAATTAAATTTCATGCCCTATGGCATTGGAGCTTGCACAATTTATGGCAGTATGTTGCATGCTGTAAGTACCATGTCATGTTTTACAGCAGGATCCACTACCAGATTTTTTGGCAGTCATTTTCTCAACCACTTATAGCCATTAGAGGAGTATCAATAGCTTGATGGTTTTTCCTTTCCCTAGTCTATTTTAAACCCACTGAAATATACCTTCAGAGAAGTTGGGAGGGACCACTGAATGGTCTTAGTACTTCTTCAATAAGGGTGCTTCCAGTAGAATGCAGGTGAAGCTGGAGGCTTGCTGGGCCTCACAGCAATGTTTCATGGATCTGTATTTAAGACACACTCATGGGGAGCTAGCTGTAGTAGGTCCTACCCTGAATATAACTGGTATCGGACTCTGAGAGAGGAGCTCATAGTAGAAGTAGAGAGAGTCCCAGATGGGCATTCTAATGATCTGGACAACAGGTTGATATTTAACCATCTTGTGATCTTGCTTCAGGCATGACCCGACCACTTCATTCATTCCTTTTTAACCCGGGGGGTTGCAGCTTCCTTCCTCCACATACCTACTCCTCTTTCTTCCAGATACTCCACAAGCTTCAGAGGATGTTGGAAGATTACTAATGAGTTCCGGATTCATAAAGGATATAGGAGTGCTTGGATGTGAGGACAAAGTACACTTATGTACCTGACAGGCTTATTGAGAGGATGTGCTAATTAATGAACAGGGAAGCTTTGAAAATGGTAAGCATGATATTATAATAATAGCCAAGCTCCTTCATGTTCTGGCTTCCTCATCTGCAGAATGGGGATAACCACACTCATCTCGCAGGGGTGTTGGGAAGATCAATGTTAACTCTGTGCTGTGTTGTGCTTTTAAATTCAGGAACGATGTTTAGAATGTGGTGCAACTGCACATCAAGTGAACCCCATGGCTCAGAATTTCCATGTAGAGCTCCCCTCATTATGTAGGAAAAGTGAACATGATATTTTTATTATTATTTATTTATTTATTATTTTAAGTTCTGGGATACATGTGCAGGACGTGCAGGTTTGTTACATAGGTAAATGTGTGCCATAGTGGTTTGGTGTACCTATCCACCCATCACCTAAGTACTAAGCCTCGCATGCATTAGCTATTTATCATGATGCTCTCCCTCCCCTCGCACTCCCTGAGAGTCCCCTGTTTGTATTGTTCCCCTCTCTGTGTTCTTATTGTTCAGCTCCCACTCATAAGCGAGGCCATTTGGTGTTTGGCTTTCTGTTCCTGTGTTAGCTTGCTGAGGATAATGGCTTCCAGCTCCATCTATGTCTCTGCGAATTACGTGACCTTTTTCCTTTTTATGGATGCATAGTATTCCATGGTGTATATGTATCCCATTTTCTTTATCCACTCTATCATTGATGGGCATTTGGGTTGATTCCATGTCTTTGCTATTGTGAATAGTGCTGCAGTGAACATATGTATGCATGTAAGAAGGTATTTTATCTTAAAAGCTGACAAAAGAGAAAAAGGAATGCCTTCCTGAAAATTTTTGTCTTTTAAAAATTTGCTCAAATTGCGTAAGAATGCATGTGTTATTTTTAGCCTCTGGGGAGACAAAAAAATCACAGAAATAGGGCCACTGTGTATATCCCACTAACCCTCCCCTCAAAGAGCAGATGATTTAGGTTTATGTTTTTCCACAAAGGACAAAAGGCCCCAAATAGCAGCCTCTTCAACTACAAAGAAGCTTCATTTACTTTTCTCCCATGAGGAATCTGGATTCTGGCTGTCTATGACAGATGGTGACTTTTCACTGCGTCCTCACAGGGAAGGGCGGGGCTAGCCCTCTAGGCTCTTTTTAATAAGGGCACCCTGGATCCCATTCATGAGGACTCCACCCTCATGACCAGATCACCTCCCAAATACTATCACTTTGGGGGGCATGACTTCAACGTAGCAATTCTGGGGGGATACAGACATTCAGACCATAACAAGTGTGTCCTAAGAGCAAAAAATCTGAAGACCTAGGGTAAGACCCTTGTCCTCATAGAATGAAAGTGTTACTCTAGTTCAGGCCATCATGTCTGCATTGCAGCCAGCAGGAAGGAGGAAAGAGGGAGGATAAGAGCACACTCCCTTCCCTTTGAGGATGTTCCCAGCATGGCACCTACAGCTTCCTGTACCTCATTGGCTAGTGCTTAGTCGCTGCAAGAAAGGATGGTCAATATAGTCATCAGGCCACATGCCCAACTCGAAAGAGCTAAGTAGAGTGCCATTCCTGAGAAAGTAGGCAAGAAAGGCTACTAGCAGCATTTGCTACTAGTGAAAAGTGCAAAAACAATATTCCTGCTCATGAGAAGTGGCCCTGCCATCTGCAGGCTTTCCTTCTGCAGTCCAGGCAGATGGCTCTGAGGACTCTCGTGTGTCCCAAAGTCCTCACCCCCACATACTTGGCTGCACAGGTTGTTCTAATTTTCATTCACCCTCAAAACTTGGCTTGACCTGTGAAGTAGTCTTGCAAGCTGAGCCCAAAGGATCTCTGTGACTTGGTCCAATCTCTGAGTCTCTCCAGCTAAGGGCTGAAGGGGAGTCATTATTTTCCAAAGAGAATCACAATGGAGTTTAGTGAGGAAGAACTGGGGTGAAAATTCTTTCATGTGTTAAGAAACCTAGAAGAAAAAGGAAGTGAGCAAATTAGAGCATGAACTGGTTGACAAGTGAGAACAGCATTAATGCGGCCAAGACTTGAGGGGTTGCCTTGGGCCAGATGGATCAAATAGTTTTGCTCAGATCAAATCTTTAACCTTGATCTTCCACCTGGCAAATATCTGCAGTTTGTCACAAGACACACTCAGTGGAGAAGCACAGATGGTTCAACACAACTTACCCCATCTAGTGTTGGAAAATCACCTTCCAGTCTGTGCTCTTTTGATGACAGGTCCACAGAATGATCTTTATCTTGACTTTTCTGGCTTATTTCAGAGAGTACATGGGGCTACAGGGATGCAGCCCTCACATCAACTGTCACAAACTTTTATGCATAGAATTCTGTTTCTCCTAACTGATTCCATTCAAAATCTATGGTTCTGGTTGGGTGCGGTGGCTCATGCCTGTAATCCCAGCACTTTGGGAGGCCAAGGCAGGTGGATCACCTGAGGTCAGGAGTTCAAGACCAGCCTGGCCAACATGGTGAAATGCTGTCTCTACTACAAATACAAAAATTAGCCAGGTGTGGTGGCGGGCGCCTATAATCCCAGCTACTTGGGAGGCTGAGGCTTGAGAATCGCTTTAACCTGGGAGGTGGAGGCTACAGTGAGCCAAGATTGCACCACTGCACTCCAGCCTGGGCGATAGAGTGAGACTCCATCTCAAAAAAAAAAAAAAAAAAAAATCTATGGTTCTTTGGCCTGGAAAGAAAACCCAGTTTGCTCATTTGTTTTCTTACCTTTTGCTAAGATTGTTTCTTGAGGTTCTCATGAAAACTGGCTAAAATGCATTTGGTTCTTTGCTTTATTTAGTACATTTTCTGGCCTTCAAAGAATATATGTGGATGTGAATTGATGTTTCCTATTTTGCAGTCCCACCCACCACCTTCCTCTACCTTCTTTTTACCAAAGACGAATTACCTCCCTTGAAAGATGTGATAATGTCTTGACTGATCTCTACTGGAAGACAGTTTCTCCAAGAATATTTCCCAGGGTCCCAGAGCAGGTCATGCTTCACCGGGCATCCAGGCAAAGTGGCTTCCTTCCCACCCACCTGTCCTAGCATTGTCAGTCCCTCTCTGATGATTTTGAGACGGTTCTTTGCAAGATGGGAGCCTCAGCATCAGTGAAAGTTGACTGTGGGTTGTGTGAAGTTTGGCATTATAAAAGCAAAAACCCTAAACTCTTTCAGAAAAATCCAGGCTCAAAGTCAGACTTGCAGAACAGCGGGTACAAGCTGCAAGTAACAACAAAGAAGACAAAAGAAAATGGTTTCCTTTAAGCTTTCAGAAGGCATGATAATTATGTAACCTTTCCTCTCTCTCAACCACAACTAAACAATGTTGGGCATCTTGCTTGGATAGTAGACATTTCACACTGCAAACCAACCCCCGACTGGATGCTTCTAACCTGTTTCAAAAGTTTCCTTTCAACCTAGACCATTCAATTCTGTCTTTATTCCTCGGCTTTTATCCATGTAACTATGGCAGTGCTCTCTGGAGAAGAGAGGAAAATCAATGATTCACCTGCCTACAAACCAGACTTGGTTAACCTGGCTTGAAAGGGAAGAGTATATTTCCCTCAGCCTCTCTTTGCCTGTCACTAACACTTTACTTCTCTCCTAAAGAAAACACACCAGGATTTTGCAGCACAGAGGGAAAAACCTGGGACCCATTTGATAAAAGAACATTCCCAAGGGTCTTGGATGTTTTAGTAAGCATGCTTTTCAGAACAATGTGGAAAATGAGGCCACATCAATTTTCTGGGTGGCTGAAAACTTCCTAGCCATATTTTGGCATCTTGATTGGCAAACACGTCCTACAGTTGCTGGCTGGGCCTAGCTAAAGTAAACTCAATGTCTGTTGTGTCTTTTTTTTTTTTTTTCAAGACAGTTTCACTCTTGTTGCCCAGGCTGGAGTGCAATGGCCCGATCTCGGCTCCCTGCAACCTCCACCTCCCAGGTTCAAGTGATTCTCCTGCCTCAGCCTCCCTAGTAGCTGAGATTATAAGTGTGTGCCACCACACCCAGCTAATTTTTTGGACTTTTAGGAGAGACAGGGTTTCACCATGTTGGCCAGGCTGGTCTCGAACTCCTGACCTCAGGTGATCCACCTGCCTTGGCCTCCCAAAGTGTTGGGATTACAGGCGTGAGCCACCATGCCCGGCCTGGTCTGTTGTGTCTTTTAAGCAAGTGAAGCCTCTTAGGGTTTGTATTATACAGTGGTTAAGGATGTGGGTTCTAAATTCAGATGGCCTGGGTTCAACTCCTAGCACTAGCATTCTCTAACCACATGACTTTGGAAGCCTCAGTTTCCTCATATGTAGAAAGGGATGATAATAGTACTTACTTCACAGTTTTGTGGTAATATATAAAGTACTTCCCACAGAGCCTGGCCTAATGGATCCACACAATTAGGATGGGATACAGGCGGGTTAGATTTGGTTTGGTGTCCTTGTGGGTGGGGGTTATGCAGACCTGGTGACCTCCTCCCTTTTTAATTCCCTTTTCTAAGATGTCCGATTGGGAGGTAACAAGTCTTCCTGTCAACCTTTTTGTTTTGTACTCAGCATTGTAATTTTTTTTTAAACAGGCAGCTAAACTTTTCTTATAGGGAAATCCTTACAGCCCTTCTTTTATTTATTTATTTATTTATTTATTTATTTTTTACATTATTTTGAGACAAGGTCTCACTCAGGCGCCCAAGCTGTAGTGCAGTGGCACGATCATGGCTTACTGCAGTCTCGACTTCCTGGGCTCAAGCGTTTTCTCCCATCTCAGTCTCCCAAGTAGCTGGGACTACAGGTCCATGCCACCATGCCTGACTGACTTTTGTATTTTTTGTAGAGACACGGTTTTGCCATGTTGGCCAGGCTGGTCTTGAACTCCCAGCCTCAAGCAATCCCTCTGCCTTGCCCTCTGAAAGTGCTGGTTCTACAGGTGTAAGCCACCATGCCCAGCCCCTTACAACCCTTCTAAAGCCTCCTTGTCAGACCAGTGCAAAGCTCTTGACCATCATTTGAGCAGCACATGACTGAGCTCATGATCCAGCCCCTTCCCTCCACTCTCTTCTCTCCAGATCCATAGTAAATGTCCTCTCTCCCCACCCCTCACCTCTACTTCCTTGTCCTCTGTTAAGTCACATCCTTGTTCGGGTTGCGCAGCACTCCCGTAAGGAGTTTCTGAATGCCCATTTTTCCCAGTAGCCTGCTGGGTTCGATCCCTGCTTTTCCTTCTCTACAGCTGGAACTCCCTTTGCCGCCTGTCTGCCTCACATCATCTTGGTTCTTTGTTTATATTTTACTCCTTAGAGTTGCTGCTTGTGTTTCCATCTCAGATTGTGAAGTCCTGGAGGGCAGGACATTGGCTCTGTAATTTTCTAGATTAACCCTTGATGACGGTCACCATCATCAGAGATGTTGTGGCCTGAAGGGATGCTTTCCTTTTGATGAGTGAAAATGAAAAGCCCTTCGGGCGCGGCCCAGCAAGGGTTTCCAAGCTCTGGGTTGCTCTGTCCTAAACCGCCATCACTTCTGCTCTTGTTCCTTCACTCTCTTGTTTCTTCCAAATCACACACCCTGAAGCTTGAGCACCCTGAATCCACCTGGCCCTCTCACTTATTTACGTGGACCCATTTCCTAGAGCAAACACCTGTTTCAGATCCAGCTTAATTATTATTCACCAGGTTCACCAGCTGGACTTTATAAAGAGCCACTCTATCCCTCATCCTGGGCTCTGAAGTTCAGCCTTCCCTGTTATTTCCCTTCCTAGGCCAAGAGGTTGATTGGCTGTCTAGGGAAGGTGGGTTTAATGACAGCTTTATAGGAGCACCAGCCAAGCAGGGAACATCACACCAAATGTGGTTTGATACTTCTCCTGCCCCTTTGCCTACGGCACAGATGCTGTGGCAGCTCCAAGTCTTGCTCCCTTTTCTTTTTGAGACAGGGCCTCACTCTGTCACCCAGGCTGGAGTGCAGTGGCACCATCATAGCTCCCTGCAGCCTTGACTTCCTGGGCTCAAGCAATCCTCCCACCTCAGTCTCCCAAGTAGCTGGGAATACAGGTTTGTGCCACCATGCCCAATTTTTTTATTTTTGCAGAGATGGGGTCTCACTATGTTGCCCAGGCTGGAATCAAACTCCTGGGCTCAAATGATCCTCCTGCCTTGCCCTCACAAAATGCAAAGATTATAGGCATAAGCCACCATGCCCAGCCTTTCTCACAATTCTTCACCCTGGCCTTTATGTTGGAGTGAGAGGGCATCCTTTCCACCCCTTGATTTTGGGCTCGGCTGCATCACTTGCTTTGGTCAATGAGACGTTAGTGGATGCGACATAAGCAAAGACTGAAAATGTGCTCGTGTGGCTGGGCTTGCCCTCTTGTGCCTCTTCTCTTGCCATGAGAAGAATGGCCCCTGGCTGGCTGCAACCTTTCAGCACAGACTCCAGAATGGATACATATTGAGCAGACTCAAGTCCAACTCACAGCAAGAAGACAAGCCCAGCTGGACGGCAGCTCGAAGCAGAGCACTCTTGGCCTGTCAGCCTCGATTAGCCAAAGCACAGCTCCCATAGAGATAGGAGAATAAACATAAATGATTCCTGTCTTCAGCCACTGAGTTGTGGGGTAATTTGTTATGGAGCATTATTGTGGCAAGAGCTAGCTGGGGCAGATGGCAGATAGGTGTTCTCTTGAATGCCAACTCTATTTAATTGGTAGTGATTGAGCAGAGTGCTCCACTGAGTGGAAAAGGATTGTGACGAATTTGGGCTATGAAAGAATTCCAGGACTTATGAGTCACATCTGCTGTAGCAGTCGTGGCACAAGTGCCATGTAGTGGTTATCCTGCATCTAAAGCCTCTCTAGATGACTTATCTTGGGGCTGAGTGTGGCTCATTGAGCAGTACTAATATACACAGGACTAGATGACACATCCTCTGCAGTTTGCATATTTATTCATATCTCAGGCTGTCACCAGTATGCAAGATACCACTAGCACATGCTGCTTCTTAGAAAAGTGCACTGCTGCAAAGATGTACGCACACGGTTGCCAACTTGGTGAGCAGTTAATATTTTGGCGGGGAGGCGTTTCATGGGGGGTGCTTCTTCTTCCAAGAAGATGTATCACTTTCTGGGGTACATGTCTTGATAAGTGTAGCATGGACTGCATTTCAGCCCCTAATTGCTCCCTTGGCAGTAAGCATTTTTGTGCAGTGCACAAACTGTACCGCTGTACATGGCAGGCCTGCCAGCACAAGTTGGGATGAAAGTTTGTTTGTTTGTTTGTTTGTTTGTTTAGGAAAAGAAGAACCAAGATGAAAGGAGTAAAGCCTGACCTTCTCTGATGTCAGTCCTGCCCACTCCTTGGCTTTGGAGTTTTGAATGAGTCACTTTAGCACTATCTGATCTTGAGTTCCAGGCCCAAAGTGCTTGTGCATTCTGGGAAGTTGGAAGAATGATTGAATTAAAGGTGGGGATGTCTACTACTGAACAGGCATGTTCCATTATTCCAAAAGAGGATACAGTCTGTCCCACTGAATCTCTAGGCCTGGAAATGTTGGAAAGTGCTAAGCTGAGAACAAATTCCCTAAAATCTTTTGCCTACTTCTGCTTGTCAGGGACCTTGGAAAAGCAAACGCTGTAGTGTAAAAGGATCCTCTTCTGCAAGGTAACCGAAAACCCGTGTAAAGGCTGACCCTGGAATTAGAATGCTTGAGCTTGAAGAGCCAAATAAAAAGGAGTCACATCTGGTTCCATTTTTCTTGTGAAATCATCTCACACTGACCAAGTAGGTCCTTTCCTGAGTATATAAATATAGAAGACACACACGTGGTTGTTATCAAACAGTATTGTGCAAAATTAAGTTGGCTACTTTATGGTGAAATGGAGAAGAATGGCAGGCATTTCAAACACATGAGTTTCTCTTCATTGGGTCTGGAAGCAATCACTCATGAAGACAGCTACTTTATCTCCTAGAGTGAGGACCATGCTAGAAAGGACATCATGTTGGGTTAAAACCAGTGACATGGTCAGTCCTGCAATGAATCAGAGTACACAGAGCTCTGATTGCCCATTGACTTGGGGGAAGATGTGGCTGTGTTAACGACAGAAATCATCTCCACCCCATGTCCCAAGCTGGTCTTTTGGACAAGGTCTCTAATGTGGTGACCATATGTGAACTCAAGGCCAAAGGGAATGGACTTACTGGGATTTTTCAATTATCTTTTGGTCTCAGAGACTCACTGCATTGTTGCTACCTGACTCTTATCACCAGACTGTTCCTGGGGAATGTACAACAGATGAGAAGCAGAAATCAAGGAAACAACCCAAGCCTTAGCTGTGGCGAGCCTTGAAATTGCTCCATAGTAAGCCAGATGGAGGGAATGTTGAAAGTGGCAGGGATATTCCTAGCTGGGCCTTTGGTTGAGCCTATTCTCATCCAGTGGCTATTCCAAAGGAACATGAATCCCCCTCCAGATTAAGTGTCCCATAGGACCTGTGTGAACAGAAGGATAGTGGTGAGAGGTGGGGGAAAGAGCGAGATCATGAACTGTGAAGCAATAAAAACTTACGAGGTTGGGAGAGGGAGAGGAACCATGAAATTGTTTCCCCTATCACCCTGCCTTCGAATTCCCAGCTGCTCTCATTTTTATAGGCTAGGTTGAAGGATAAGAAGCTTGCACAAAATTGGGACCCATGAATGGTACATAAGTAGGCCAAAAATGAAGAGCACTGTGAATGTCCCAGGGATGGGAGTGGGGTCCTTGTCCAGAATTCATTCTTTTCTTTAACTTTGGTGTTTCCAAACTTACTATACTGTCGAGACCTTGTTATAGCACAAACTGCCCAAACCAACTCTCCATGCAATCAAAACAGTCTCAAGCTCTTGCTAATTGTCTCCTGATGCATTATTCAATGAAGATTGCAGCTGTGGATGCCAGCAGTCTCTTGGCGTATATGGAATCAACATTTGAAATCAGTTCCTGGAAAGATATTTCTGGTCTGTATCTTTTCTTTGTAACATTCAAAAGAACTGTGTCTAACAGGGAAAATAATTGGAGAATAAGGTCTTTTCTTCTGTCTCTGCCCAGAGGATTAAGATGACCAAAAGGGTCCTTCCTTTAAATGGAAAGTGAAAAATAGAAATATGTCTTATATAAGCCCTGGGGAAATCATAATGTGGTCCACTCCTTCATAACTGGGGTGTGGAAAATATGGGAAATTTTGATTCATGATAGTTCAGACTTCTCTTGAAGGGTCCTGGTGGGGCACTTGAAAGAAGAAACCTGTTTTATGGAATGGAGTTTTCCATTTTCAAGGGCAAGTTGTAGGTGTGGTCGTAGGAACAGCATGGGGTTTTTAAGGCAATGTGATGTGAACTTGAAACCTAATAGTGCGGTTCTCTTAGCAATCTTGGTTGGGATGGTTTGAAAGTCACTGTCCAAGGAGCCTGCAGAGAGTTGTGCAACCAGCTTTCGTCGCCAGTGTTCCACAGACAAGCGTCACTTAGCCTAGAAATCCTAGACTCACTCAGCAAGTGTTCCCTGCAATGGGCCAAGGTCATGAGTCTAGGACTGGTCCTTCTTGAGACCAGTAAGTGCATTCCCCTTCCACATCTTCTTAGGGACAGCCTTAAGATTCTCAGCATTTGTGTTTGCCCATCTGAAAAAATGGAAATGAGAAGCCAGCTTATGCTTTTTCTGAGTGTGAATTTATTAACACTCAAATGTTTTATTAACACTCAAATGTTTGCTAATTGTCAAGAGCTTGCAGCCTTCCTCAGCCCTGAATGCCCTCTGCAGAGCCACTGGCACCCCACAGGTAGTAAATTAAAGAAAAGGAATATGCAGAGACCCGGCGCGGCAGCTCACGCCTGTAATTCCAGCACTTTGGGAGGCCGAGGCAGGTGGATCACTTGAGGTCAGGAGTTGGAGACCAGCCTGGGCAACATAGTGAAACCTTGTCTCTACTAAAAATACAAAAAAATTAGCCAGGCATGGTGTTACGGGCCTGTCGTCCCAGCTACTTGGGAGGCTTAGGCAGGAGAATCGCTTGAACCCTGGAGGCAAAGGTTGCAGTGAGCCAAGATCATGCCACTGCACTCCAGCCTGGGTGACAACGCAAGACTCTGGAAAGAAAAGAAGAAAAGAAAAGAGAGGAGAAGAGAAGAGAAAAGAAAAGAAAAAAGAGGCAGGGAGGGAGGAAGGAAAGAAGGAAGAAAGAAAAGAAAAGAAAGAAGAAAGAAAGGGTGAGAAAGAAAGAAAAAGAAAGAAAGAAAGAAAGAAAGAAAGAAAGAAAGAAAAGAAAGAGAAAGAGGAAGGAGGATGGAAGGGAGGAAAGAAGGAAGGAAGGGAGAGAGAAAAAGAGGAAGGAAGGGAGAGAGAGAAAAAACAGAGAGAGAGAAAGAAGAGGAATAGGCAGAGAAGGACGGACAGAAGCAGGGTCTGGCAAGAGAGTCTACACCGTGGTGTGGGGAAGGCAGCGTCTAGTAGACATGCCGAGTGCCAGCCCCTAACCAGGGCCAGGCCAATGTTCCAAGCCTCAGTAGTGGCTGCTGTCCTTGCCCTTCCTCCCCTGGCACTTATACCCACGAGGAGTGACCAGGAGGCTCCCAGGACTACCTCTAGCCCCAGGAAAGCAGGGAGCTCTATCTGACAAGCTTCCCAACTGCCCTGAGAATTTGAAGCTACTCGAAGAATGAGAGGAAATAAAGTCTGGAAAACCTCAGCAAGAAAATGGCCAGGTTATTCCACCTCATTTCTTCAGCCTTTTCTTGGCGTGTATTATCGAGAAAACTAACTGGGTGGAACTGCAGGTGTCTAAGAAGAACTTTGATTTTTCTAAACATTTACAATTCTCTTTTATGTATGCAGTCAGAAAATGGGCGACGAGGAAATCGAAAATGTAAATCTTTCAGCAAACGTGTTTGTCAGGGAGATGCCAGACTCCCTTCAGAGGAGCAAATTATCATGAAATAAGCCCAGAGAGGAAAAACCGTAGAGAGAATTTCCAGAGAACACTGGCTCCTCCGAACCGGAAGTGGAGCCTCAGCAGGAAGGGGCTGGGCTTTCACTGAGAGCCAACGGGATGCCCGGCGTGGTCGGGCAAAGATGGCGGGCGCCTGTGGGAAGGGCCAGGTTGTTTCGCTCCGGGCCTCTCCTTAGCTGAGAAATAGTCTGTTATTATAGAATTATGTGGGAGAATTGTATCTGGTTCTTCTGACTCTCCAGTTTTTAAAATGGTGTCCTCAAACATACCATCTTTCCTTTAATGGGTGTCACCATCATGAATTGAACCTTCCCTAGAATTTCTTGGGAAGATAAAGGCAACACTCTGAGGTTGACCAAATTTGCTTTTATCTCTCTTTCCCTCTTTGCTACTCCTGTCTTCTTCCCATTAATAAAACTACTCATGCCAGCTGTGGTGGCTCACACCTGTAATCCCAGCCCTTTGGGAGGCCAAGTTGGGAGGATTGCTGTTCAAGACCAGCCTGGGCAACATAGCAAGACCCTATCTCTACAAAAAATAAAAACGTTAGCCAGGCACGGTGGCACATGCCTGTGGTCCCAGCTACTCTGAAAGCTGAGGCGGGAAAATCCCTTGGGCCCAGGATTTTGAAGCTTCACACCATTGTACTCCAGCCTGGGCAACAGAATGAGAACCTATCAAAAAAAAAAGAGAGAGAGAGGAAAGAGAAAGGAAGAAAGAAAAAGAAAGGGAGAGAGAAAGAAGGGAGGGAAGGAAGAAGAGAGAAAGAAAAGGGAGAGAGATGGAGAGAGGGAAAGAGAAAGAAAGGGAAAGAGAGAGAAAAGATAAACACCTTGTGCAAAAATAAATAGAATATATCAATGAAATATCAAATGCTAAGAATAAATTTAATAAGAATGTGTAGAACTTACATGAAGAAAATGCTGCTAACATAAAGAGGAAACTAAACGGAGAGATATCCTTTGTTTTTGGATAGGCACATACGGTATTGTTAAGAGGTCCTTTCTCTCTCAACTATTCTGAAAATTCGACCCAACATTAATCAAAACCTCAACAAGTGTTTTGGGTACTTGATAAAAATAATTCAAAAATTAATCTGGAAGAATATAAAGGTGAGGATAAACAGGAAATCCTTAGAAGGAAAACAAGGAAGAAGTAGCCCCCTCCCCCCACCCCAGATAATAAAACATGCTATACAATTGCAGTTATTTTAATAGTGTCACTGAGAAAGGAAAAGACAAAGTAGTGGAACAGATTAGAGGTTCCAGAAATATCAACATGTAAATCTCAGAATTCAGTCTATGATAAAGGGTATTTTCAAACAAGCAAGGGAAAAGATAATTTATTGAACACTATTGGAACAACTGGCTAGCCATTTGGGGGGAAGCGCCATCATCCCCCCAAATAAATTCCAGATGCTTTCGATGTAAAAAATCAGGTTGTAAAAGAAAGCACTCAAAGAAAGCACTGATGAATACTTGTACAATATTTGGGTGGAAACGTGTAGGCATGACACAAATGCCATAAGCCATAAAGAAAAAGATTGGGACTTGTGGCAACATAAAAAATTAAAAACTTCTGTACAACAAACACCGAAAACAAAGTAAAAAATGAAACACAACTAGAGAAAATGTTTAGGACACATGTCAGGAGGTTAATATCCCTAATACTGAAAAATTTCTTGCTAGTAAGCCAAACAACCCAATAAAACTCTAAATGATACTTTGTGAGTTGATAAAATGATTTCCAACTTGAGTTGTCAGACAAAACATTTGAGATAGACTAACAAAATTATTGTTTATCTAAAACTCTAATTGGGCATGTTGTATTTTTATTTGTGGAAGGTGGCAACACTATTTCAGACACTTGTTCTCATTTGGCCCTGCAGTAACTCAATGAGATGGGGAAAGAGGTTAATTAACCTCTCCAACAGCAGTTTCCTCATCTGTCAAATACAGTGTGAGAATTAAATTGGATAATATAGGTACTGCACCTCAGGCAGGGCCTGCCACATAGGGAGTATTTAACGTATGTTGGTTTCCCCTTCCTCTACACAGGGCTCATTTTACAGAAGAGAAAATGGAGGTTCAGAAAAAGGAAGTTACTGGCCCAAGTTCATTCAGCTAGTAGGACAGATTCATTCCTTGCATTCCAAGCCAAAACTACCTCATTCCCTGCTCACCCCTACGTGATGTCCATTGTCTTCTCTGGGTCTGGGTCCCATGTCTCAATATGACTGAGTCTATTGAACATTTGGTCTGTCCCAGGTGTCTGATTTTTGTCCTCTACCCAACTAAAAGTGCTTTCCCAAGTGAGTAGAGTCAACCTAATTAACAAATTTGTGCTACGACACTGTTTCTCAACCTTGGCTGTATGTTAGAATCACTTGGGGAATTTTAAAACTCTGCATGCTCAAGCCACATCAGACCAATTAAATGAGAATTTTGGAAGTAGGACCCAAGCATCAGTATTTGTTTGTTTGTTGTTTGAAAAAAACTCGCCAGGAGAGTTCCATGTGCAGCCAGGATTGGGAATCACAGTGCTAGGGTATTGATGGCTGATCCTGAAGTTGTAAAATGGTTGCCCATGAGATTATCTAGTCTAACTCTCCCATTTTATAGATGAGCAAACCGAGGCCCAGAGAGATGAAAAGACTTGACTTAGATGGCCCAGCAGATTAGGGAGGCAAAAGGGAAATTAGAACCCAGTTCATTGTTTCTTCTTTTGTAAATGTGTTCAGAAAAATTTCGGTTCTTCCCCAAACACATACAATCTTTGTTTTTTCAAGTGCCTTCAGCCACAGAAAGAACGAAGAGGTTGGGTTGCAGTGATTGAGGCATTTGACTTCAGCCTCCCCACCCCCACCCTACAAACTTTGTTCCCATGAATTTCATTCCATCTGCCTTGACTTCCCACCACCACCACCCCACCTTTTTTTCTCTTTCCTCAGTTATCACCTTAATTTCTGAAGAACATTTTGAACATTTCCTTCCAGTGGCCAGGCCTGAAGCCTAGTGGCAGATATTTCTTCCTTTGGTCTGGTGGCACTTCCAGTGTGTCCCTGCTCCTGAAGATAGCCCTGCAGGCAGTGGCTGTTCCACCCCAGTGAGCCCACGCTCATGTTTTCTGATTTAGCATCCTCTACAGACACCAAGTTCTTGTTAAGACTTACCTCTTCTGTTCATACTCAAGTCTCTAGAGGGTGACAAGAACTAAGCTGATCAACTAATACTGCCTTAGGTGTCACTCATTGTTTAGTGTTTATTGCTTAGCCTTACAGTAATAAATAATTTCTGTTTCCTCTTCATCAACTGTTTTCCTGCTCAGAAAATCTATTTGAGCTTTGTCTGGGGCTTTGTGGCCAGAGATGCTCAATCTGTGGTTTATGGATGGCCAACGGGTCATAGAATTCAAGGGGTCCATGAACATGGCTGGGAAAATATGTTTTTATTTTCACTAACAACAAAATATGTATTTTTTTTTTTTACTAAATAATAAAATACATCATTCCATTCACAAACCTTTAATGGAAATTTGGCATACGTTTTCATTATAGATGCAGGCAACAAACCATAGTAAAATGGTTTTTACTGTTTTACATAGTAAAATAACACATAATAAACACTTACAGAATAAACATTTACATAGTAAAAGTGTCTGTGATTTTGTTGATTTTGTTACCATCAAAACAAATAAATATTTTCATATGAAGTTACAGTCGTTGCAAATATCTTGACGTTATTTATTCTCAGTGTTACTGAAATTATGATAGGTATAAACCTGTCACTAGAGTTTCTAAATGCAATACTAACAAGTGCACATAATACTATGTCTCAATTTTAAAATATTTTAACTGCTTTTCAGTGTAATTGGTTTCCTTTGTAATCCTACGTATTTTATTTTTTGCATTTAAAAATATTTAAATGATTTAAAAGCATCATTCTGAGAAGGGCACCATGGCACAAAGCAGGCCAAAAGCCCAGCATCTTTTGGATGTGGGGGTGGCACTGGGACATAGGGATTGTCCTTCTGAGCCTCTTAAGTTGCCTCAGGGGCCGCTACCTGCCTGGGCTCAGTTGGCTGTGTTAGGCTGGGGCTGTTGGAAAGTTGGGCTCTTCTGAAAAGCTCACCCCAGGAGTTTCGTCATCTTTGGGCAGTTCCATTAGTGTGAGAGTCCAGCTTCCTTCCACAACCCAACAATCTTAACAGGGAATTACATATTAAAGAAGGACAAATGGCAAGCATGGGTCAAAGCTGTTTTGGTAGCAAGGAAGAGAAATCTATTCATGCTGGCTCAGAGCAAGGTGTTGGTGTACTGACCTAGAGTTTTCATGAAACAGAGCATAGCAGGCTACTTGGAGAGCAGGAAGCTGCCCAAGACTGAAGCATCTACTTTCTGGATCTCTCAGGAGCCTCCTGCTCTCTGATTCTCCCTGCACACCTGCCTCATTTTCTCTTTTCTGACCAGCCTCTTCTGTTTTCTCCTGAGGTCTGCTCTCCTGTAACCTCAGTTCTGGCTCCTTCTAATGTCCACTCAAGCCCTGGTACTACAGGCCTTGCAGCCCACTTTCTCACAGCTCACTGGCTCCTCACTTCTCTTGGGTCTTGGGAAGACTGCACATCTCTACGCCATTGCAAGCAGGTGGGGCCATGTGACTAGCTCTGGCCAATGGGCTGTGAGAGGAAGGAAGCATGTGTCACTTACCAGTCAAAGATTTTAAAGCCAGCATGAACCCCTTCCGTGGTTTCTTCCTCTGCTAAGGTGAACCCTGAAGCTTCATGTAGAGATGACAGTGTCATAAGATGGGTGAACCTCGGTCATCCTGGGGCCTGAGTGATTATGTGGAAGAGAGAAAGTCTCCCACCCCCACCCCACACTTGGCAACCTACCTTTGCATGTAATGCCAGGAATAAACAGGTGAGCAAGGAATAAATTATTTTTTAATCCACTAAGATCTGAGGGTTGTTTACTGCTGCAGCATATCCTATCCTTTCCTAATTAATAGACCCTGTGTGAATATAAATTATTGGTGGAAGAATTTGAGTGGCATAGCCTGGGTCAGTTGTCCATCTCAGTTCAATAAGATGTAGTTGGGGCTGAGATAAATCATGATTAAAATGTGCCTGGCTTCATCATTTCCAAAAGGAGACTTTGTAAGAAAAATATCTTACTCTTCAGAGAGGAGGCATCCAAGGTCTTTAGTGAGAAATGCACTCATAATTTAGGGAAGATGAATATACTGCCTAGGGGTTAAAACGGTCTTGTATGGTGTATTAGTCTGTTTTCACACTGCTGATAACAGTGTGAAATAACCCAAGACTGGGTAATTTATAAAGAAAAAGAGGTTTAATGGACTCAAAATTGCACATAGCTGGGGATGCCTCATAATCATGGTGGAAGGCAAAAGACATGTCTTACATGGTGGCAGGCAAGAGAGAATGAGAGCCAAGCAAAAGGGAAAACAAACCATCAGATCTCGTGAGACTTATTCACTACCACAAGAACAGTATTGGGGAAACCGCCTCCACAATTCAATTATCTCCCACCAGGTCCCTCCCACAATACATGGGAATTATGGGAGCTACAATTCAAGATGAGATTTGGGTGGGGACACAGCCAAACCATATCAGATGGCTCTGATGGGTTTGCCAATTATACAACCTGTACTCAGGATTTTTCAACAGTGGCACATTTGACATTAAGACAGAATAATTCTTTGTTGTTGGAGCCTGTTCTGTGCCTAGGAGGATGTTGAGCAGTATCCCTGGCTTCTATGCAAGAGATTCCAATACTACACACACACCCTATCCTCCCAGTCATGACAATCAAAATTGTCTCCAGACATCACCAAAACTGCCCCTAGTTGAGAACTACTACTCTATAATTTCAGGGGCAGTCAAATTTTAAAAATTCTATTACATGAATTCCATGTATACTCCTAGTCATAAGACCATTTGTCTTCATTTTTGGTTCGGAAATTAAGGTCACATTTATAACGAATTTATTAACAGCCTGGGACTGAATGCCACCAACTTTTTGGTCTTCACTATTTTTTCCCTATTGCTTATCTTGTAAAGGCCTGATTTGGTAAACGGAATGACCCCTGACACTTTTCTATTTTCCTAGCACCCACTCTAAGCTACCTTAGGTGAATAGGATCCAAACGTCCAGACCTATACACAACTCCCTTGGGAACTCTACAGGTGGCCATGAACAGGTTGGAAATCTAGTGGTTATACCTAAAGGACACCAATGGCTCACACCCCTATTCCACACACTCTCTTCCTTTGATTTAGTTTTTCCTTTAAGTGGATTATAGCAGCCAAATTTAGTTTCTCTGTGACCCCCTTTTCTGTTGAGCCTTGTCAGAAGACCATGTGCCCCAGCCTTCCTCCATTTCTTTGTCCCTGCTTTAATTGGAGGGGCTTCCTCTCTGCTCTGCCTCAAGTGAGAGAGAAAGGCCCTTTGCCACGTGAAGATATAATAGGCACTGTATGAAAACAGTCACCTAGCAAACAAGATCCTTGGAGGGCGTCTGGTGTGTGACTAGTTCAAAGTGACTGCCGGCTGACCAGTAATTAGCTTGGCTGAAGCCTGCACAGCAGACCTGGTGAACTACAAAAGGCAACTTTTAGGAAGAAGCTTCTTGAAGGAGAAGCCAGGAACCTTTCTAAGAGGTACTGTCCAAGTCTTTCTTGTGATCTTGCACAGTGGAGCTGAAAAGTGGATTAAGGCAGGAAATAATAAGCTATGTGTGTGCTCACATGCACACACATGTTCACGCACGGCTTCGCTTGCTCATTTACTTTCTATATTAAAGGGCCTGCTGACCTCTGTAATCCACCCCCTCAAATTCAGAAGTGATGAATAGGATGCATTCTGATTTTAAATGCAATGGAGAGCTTTGAAAAGATGAAAAATTAGCAATGTATGGGCTGAGTAACCCAAAGAGACTTGAACAGGGAAGGAAATGGCTAAATGAAGTTTCAGATGTCACTGCGATCCTGAGGCTGGTGTTTGGATGTATAGGTAGCTTCGTGCGGTTATGAAAAGGGGAATCAGGACCTCTCTGCCCACGCCTGACTTGACTCCCCGTCTGAATCTTTTCATTTCCTTCTCTTTTCCATGCTCTGCCAAATGAGAATGAACCTGCTTCTGCTTGGAAATGGTCCCCATTCCGTCTTTAGGACATTCTGCCTGATGCTATCAAGATAAAGGAGACTGATTTTCTCAAGCATGTTTCTCATTTCTTTTCTTCACCACATCTTTTCTTCACCGCTAGCTCTCGATCTTATCCTCAGAACTTCTCTGAAATGGATGAGATGCAAATGGTGCAGTAAAGTTTATCCTCAGATCCCTCTGTTTTGCCTGGAGAAAACAGCAATTGCTTTAAGTCCCTTGTGTTAGTCCAGGCTCTGATGGTTGCAAGGTCAGGAAGCTAACTTAAGGTAGCCTAAGCCAAAACATTGTTTCACTTAAGAGCGAAACATTCTTTCACACTTAATAATGGGTGTGTACTATGTTACAGGTGCTCCGAAAACTTAGACACTATCAGGATTCCCTCACGCTCTAACTCCACGGCTCATTTCTGTCTCCGTTTGCACATTGGCCTCATTCCTGCCTACTGTACATGGATGGGCTTTCTCCATATAGAAAAACATGCCCTTCAGTGGTGCATCAACTTAACAATTCCAAAGGGAAGAGAAGTATAACTCTCACAGCTCACTTCTACAAAAATCTAGAGAAAGACTCTGATTGGCCCAGCCTGGGTCATGAGCCACCCCTGGACCAATCACTGTAGCTGAAGAGATGGGGTTCTCTGACTGGCCAGTTTTGGACGAATGGCACTTCGTGTGTCTAGAATGGGCCACCAGAATCACATGCAGGAGGTTTTGGGAAACAGGTGTCTAGGGAAAGGGAGGAGTTATAACCAGAGAAAATGAAAAAGGGTTGCTAGGCAGACTTAAACAGCAGTGTCCACTAAATCAGTTATCAGGCCAGGCGGGCGTGGTGGCTCATGCCTGTAATCCCAGCACTTTGGGAGGCCAAGGCAGACGGATTGCTTGAGGTCAGGAGTTCGAGACCAGCTTGGCCAACATGATGAAACCCCCATCTCTACCAAAAAATACAAAAGTTAGCCGGGCGTGGTGGCACACTCCTGTAATCCCAGCTACTTGGGAGGCTGAGGCAAGAGAATCACTTGAACCTGACAGGCTAAGTTGCAGTAAGCTGAGATCGCACCACCGCACTCCAGCCTGGGTGACAGAGTAAGACTCGGTCTCAAAAAAAAAAAAAATTATATATATATATATATATATATATATATATCAGTTATCAATGGAACATTGCTCAGTGTGTAGTTTTTTGGGGCTGCTATATCGTGTATCAGATGACCAGAATCTGGTGGCTTAACACAACATGAGGCCAGAAGTTCAACATCAAAATGTTGTTAGGGCCACACTCCCTCCAGAGGCTCCAGAGGAGTTTCCTTTCGTCTCTTCCAGCTTCTGGGGTGGTCAGCATTTCTTGGCTTGTGACTGCTTACTCCAGTCTCTGCTTCCATCTTCACATGATCTTCTCCTCCTCTCTGTGTCTTCTCCTCTTATGAGGACACTTGTTATTGGATTTAGAGTCCATTCAGATAATCCAGGATAATTTCAAAAATCAAGATCTTTAATTATATTTGCAAAGACCCCTTTCCCATAGACTGTCACATTCATACGTTCTGAGGGTTAGAACATGGACATAGAGTTTGGAGTCACCATTCAAACCACTTTAGCCAATGTGGGGGGTGCCCCCCGCCAAGTGGCAGGGAAGCATTTGGACTGGCTTTGCCATCCACACACCATGAATGTTTTTACAGGTACCCAAGTCCCATTCTCAAACTTGCCAAGTCCACAGGTGGGTTTCTGAAGACTTAGATTGGGACCTGGACACAGCTTTGCTTCATGCTAGCTTTCCATGGTGCCTCTTTTCTTGCCCTTTCTCCTTTCTCATTATCTTGGCTCACTTTCCTCTCTACAGGTGTATCAAGGTGGTTAAGATTCTCTCTCACTGGCCAGGTGCAATGACTCACGATGCTGGATAATCCCAGCACTTTGGGAGGCCGAGGCGGGTGGATCACTTGAGGTCAGGAGTTCGAGACCAGCCTGGCCAACATAGTGAAAACTTGTCTCTACTAAAAATAGAAAAACTAGCCAGCTGTGGTGGTGCATGCCTGTAGTCCCAGCACTTGGGAGGCTGAGTCAGGAGAATGGCTTTAACCCAGGAGGTGGAGGTTGCAGTGAGCCGAGATTGTACCACTGCACTCCAGCCTGGATGACAGAGTGAAACTCTATCTCAAAAAAAAAAAAAATTATCTCCTGTCTTTCTTT
Organism: Homo sapiens; assembly: GCF_000001405.40. Taxonomy (NCBI): domain Eukaryota; kingdom Metazoa; phylum Chordata; class Mammalia; order Primates; family Hominidae; genus Homo; species Homo sapiens. Next base: position 65,376,645 of record NC_000017.11, on the reverse strand, counting down.
ACTGGCTATGTGACTTTGGGCAAATAACTTATCACTTCTCTGAACCTCAATTCTCTCATCTGTAAAATGGGGCTAATAATAGCACCTATGTCATAGGGTGACTCTGAGACTCAACTAAGTTCATATAAGACTTACAAAGCACTTACCACCATACCCTGCACCTGGTAAAAACTGTGTAAAAGCTGTAATATATAAGCAGGTTGTATCTTCTAGATTCTTTCTTTACCCTTTAGTTTTTCTGGTTACTTCTTTCTTTTTCCTTTAGGTTTTCTCTTGCCTAGTTCTTCTTGTTAGTGCAGAGACTGACTATAGTGTGCACGTGAATCTCCTGAGGAAGATTTAAAAATGCAGGTGGCTGGGCCCCACTCTGGGGATTTGAATTCCATAGGTCTGGGGTAGGTCTTGGGCCTCTTTGTTTTTGACAGGTGCCCACATGGTTCAGACGTAAGTGAACTTTGAGACCCCTGGTGATGGGAGGGGCACTCGGTGAGGTGGTTTTAATTCCATGATTCCTTAGTTTTCTGTATAGCCACGGGTTGGTTACTTGATCTCAGTTTTGTCATCTGTAAGAAGGAGATAATATATCGATAATATGTCTTCCAGCCAGGACCAAATGAAAGCATGCCTACAGTATCTAAATATCTTGTAAAATGATAAGACCCAAGATTTCTGATGCATTAAGAGTGGTGGAAAATTTCACATATATTACCTTACTTAACTCTTTCAAATAACTTGCAGGCTTGAGGCCTGGTTTTCACTATACAGAGGAGGAAACTGAAGCTTAATTATCATAGGATAATTAAGAGGCTCAAATGAGTTCATGTCTACAAAGCACAGTGCCTAGCACATAGTGAGTGGTTTTCCTCTTGATTCTAACCTTGGCCTTCTCTGCCCCATAGCAGCAAACTTTGTGCAAAGGTTTTGTGTGTGGAAGTGACATTGAATCAGTCTCCTGTTTTCTCTAATGGAAAATAGGGAATCTCAAGATCGGCTCCTTGCCTGGTACAAAGAACTTCTTGTCCCTGGCTTGCAATTTAGTTCAAGGACTAAAATGTCCCAAAGTACAGGGATCAACATCCATAAAGCAAACCCTCACAAAACTCTATGCAGGTGATCTGACTGCTGCCCCTTCCCTTTTGCGTGTTGGCCTTCCAGGGAGAAGGGAACCCACCCAGGGCACCAAGAAACTAGGGCACAGAGCATGACCCCAGAGCAAAAAAGCCCCTGGGCAAAGCAAGTCCAGGTGAAAAAACATGGGCCAGCATGGCTCCAGGGAACTGCACTGCTTTTCATGAGAAAAGAATCCAGCCCCTCTTGCAACCTCTGGTTTCTTCTGAGCAGTTGCTCCTCTCCCACCTCTTACTGGTGCACCTGACTTAGGGGTTTCCAGGATGTCTGCAAAGCCCTCCCATGCCTGCTCTGACTTCTTGGCACATCTCTCTGGCCTCCTGGATCCTAAGCCGGATGTTTGCTTTCTGCATGGATTGTTGATCTGGCCGCCCAGGAGCTGGGCTCAACCTTGACTTTCTCCCTGGCCCTGCCTCAGAGCTGCTACACAACCTGCATGCAAGTGTGCGCATGTGATTTATTTGTGAATAAACTAGCTAAGCTTTTTAAAAATAAGTCAAGTTATAATCCCCTACCATATAATTTACCCATTGAAAGTGTACATCTCAATGCTTTTTAGTATATTTGCAGAGTTGTGCAACCAACACGATCAATTTGAGAATATGTTCATCAATGATGACAAAGAAACTTCCAGTCCCTTGAATTATTACTCCCTACTTCCCTCAACCACTTAATCCCTCCCTGGAAGCCACTAGTCTACTTTCTGTCTCTGTAGATCGATTTCCCTTTTCTGGACATTTCATAAGAACGGAATTATATATGATGTGGCCTTTTGTGACTGGCTTCTTTTACTTAGCATAATGTTTTCAAGGTTCATCCATGTTCTAACACGCGTCAGTATAGTCATCCCTTGGTATCCAGGAGGAGGATTGGTTCCAGGACTCCCTTCACAAACCCAAATCCACAGAGGCCCAAGTCCCTAATATAAAATGGCATAATATTTGCATCCAACCTATGCACATCGTCTCATGTATGTCTAGATCACTTATAAATACCCCGAAACAAGGCTACACATCACTTCATTCACTTGGATTCAGTGTAGTACTTAGGGTATGGCAAATTCAGTTTTGCATTTTAGAGCTTCATGGTTTTTTTCATTTTCTGGTTTTTTTTTTTCTATTTTTGATCCACTGTTGGCTGAATTCACAAATGTGGAACCCACAGATAAGGAGGACAGACTGTACTTCATTCCTTTTGGTGGCTGAGTAATGTTCCTTTGTGAGGATATGCAACCTTTTTGTTTATTCATTTAACAGTTGGTGGAGATTTATGTAGTTTCCACATTTCAGCTCTGATAAATAATGGTGCTACAGATAGATATTCACATGCAAGCTTTCATGTGGAGGTATGTTTCCAACTCTCTTAATTATATACCTAGGAGTAGAATTGCTCCAGAAATCCCCTGGTAAGTCTATGTTTAAAGTAGCTAAAGCTTTTAATGTGTTAAAGAATTTAAGATCAGAGCTCGTGCAGGACATTAAAGGTTAAAATTATTTACTGCATTGGAGCTACCTGAAGAGATATTTATTTCTTTTCTGAGGATATTTATACCTGATGGGGGAGAGAAGCAAGCCAGAGAAAGACTTAGAAGCAGTTGTTGAAACTTCATAGTAAAACACGGGTGCCTGCACCAGTCTCTGTTTTCTCACCGTTTAGCTGAGCAGGATAACGAGATTTGTCTTTCCCCATATGGCCCTGTCTCTGTGAGGTCAGGAGGGAATGAGAAGCTCTTGAAGGATGTGAACCTCTTTAAGCATGCTTAAACTGAGCTTTTCACAGAAGGCACTGGGGATATAGTTCAGGACCTGCTTTCCTTCGGGGAAGAACTTTCCCTCTCGAGACCCTGTCTGCATGGAGATAGCTCACTGTATTCTTGTTACATGGACGACAGTGCTAATTAGTGTTGCTAAAAATTTTAGTTTATATTTTATAGCATAAAGGTATTATATATTCATTATAGCCCATTTAGAAATTGAAAAAAGTAGATGGGAAAAAATTAGGCTTTATCCCACCAACCAAAGAAAGAAAATCACCATTAATATTTAGAGTATTTCCCTCTAGGTGGGGTTTTGTTTTTTTTTTTTCTGCACAAGATTTTTTACTCTCCAGGGAAATAACTGCTAGGTTTATATGACGGCTCCCAGATTTACATATGAGAGAGTTTGGGGGCATCGTTCTGGTAGAAGGGGAGGCGGGAGGATAAGTCTTAAAGCTGTGTTTGCAAAACAAGCATGTGTTTACTGGGCGGCATAATAGCTTGGGCAGCTTTTGGGAAGAGCTGCTACAATTTGGGAGGGATGTCAGTTTCACACCTCCCATCAAAGGAAGGTGAGGAAATCCACTAAACTTACAACCTCCAGGCCAAAAGCTAGAAAGTGTCCTTTTCCCTGCATGCTTCCAACTCCGTGTCCCTGCCGTCCTGGCTTCATGGTGCTCCTGTCCCTAGTTTAAGGTGACTCACCCCGCTTGCTCAGGAACGAAAGAGGTCAGTGAGCAGCTTGCTCTTCACCCCAGCTTCTCTAGAACTTAACTCAGGGCTGATAAGTCACCTAAGCAGGCCCCCTGGCTACTCAGTGTGGCCTCTTAGAAACCAGAAAGGGGGCCGGGCGCGGTAGCTCACGCCTGTAATCCCAGCACTTTGGGAGGCCGAGGAGGGCAGATCACGAGGTCAGGAGATCGAGACCATCTTGGCTAACATAGTGAAACCCCGCCTCAACTAAAAATACAAAAAAATTGGCCGGGCATGGTGGTGGGCGCCTTTGGTCCCAGCTACTCGGGAGGCTGAGGCAGGAGAATGGCGTGAACCTGGGAGGTGGGGCTTGCAGTGAGCAGAGATCGCGCCACTGCACTCCAGCCTGGGCGACAGAGCGAGAATCCGTCTCAAAAAAAAAAAAAAAAAAAAAAAAAAGAAAGAAACCAGAAAGGGAAGGAGCCACAGGCAAAACTCAAGGACACTATTTTTTGCCTTAGGTTTGTTTTAAATAGGGGTCTATCCTTTCAAGTCCCTTCTAACCCTGAAGCTCTAGCCATGTTGCCGAGACAACCTGCTTGGAAGACTGAACAGGTAGGATACAGCTTACCATTCTGCTAAAGTACAGCGTGCAGCAAGTCCATCTGACATGCTTGAGGACGTGTACAGTTATGGAGCCACACGGCAGTCAGACCCAGGGAACAGCATTCTGCTTCATCACCTGTAATTTGTGGTGGTGTTAAAGAACCGATACAGTTTTTTTGTTTGTTTGTTTTTATTTTCTTTTCTCATTTTATTAGTTCTTCTGGACTGAACCAATAATCAGCATAAATGGTGAGGGATTTTGCCAAAGTCTCATGTCCCTGATGACTGCAATTTTTGTCCTTTTTCCTATCTCTCTCACCTCACGCTTTCTTCCCCTTCTGTTCCCTGGACCCCAGGAGTCCCCCAGGCTTTCTCCCTGCTTCCTGCCCCCTTCAGAGAGTACCAGCACCAACAAGCACCATGCAGAAGGACTTGTGGGCCAGGAGGCCAAGGACTGCCTGGCAAACCTGCTGACCTTGCCAGGGAGGAAGGGGAGGAGAGGGTTCAGAGTGAAAGGGCTTTGGATCCTGGCATCAGGGAGCTGGGAGGTCTGGCATGAGGCCGAGTTGGGGACTGGCCCAACCACTTCATCTGAACTTGGCCACCAACTCATTACATAACCTTGGAAGCCACTTCTCTCTCTGGGGCTTAGTTTCACCATGAGCATGGGAGACAAGGATACACTCTGAAGTCTTTCCCAGCCCTAGCAGTCTATGATGTGAATAGAGACATGGACTAGGACCGAAATCTAGTGACATGTGCCCAAAATGGTAATAGAATTGAAAAAGCCTTAGGTTAGGCGTCAAAGGTGTTGAGTTCTCTCTCAGTCAGCAACGCGTAATGACCTTAGACAAATCGTGCCTTAGTCTCTTTATCCATAAAACACTTATCTATTTATATCTCAGGTTGGTGAATAAAATACAGGTGAAATAGCAGGTGGGAATTGTAAAGAAAAGATTAGGAAGTTACTCAGCGGAGATCAGGGCCCTGGTGGGGGAGTTTGGAGGCCTACTTTGGAGACCTACTGAGGTACCGTAAATGCCTGAAGGGTCTGGGGAAACCACACCTCATGGGAGAGAGGACTAGATGTCTTGGCATTTACAGGCAATTGTGTGGCTCAGGCAAGGCAGAGGAAAATGGAACCATTTCCTAACTCCTAGGGCTGTGGTCTTGGTGGACAGAGGATTCGACTTGAGCAGGGGGCAAGTGAGGGGCAGGGTGTGACATGTTGCACTGGACATTGTCTTTAGCCCAGTTCAGGAAGGGGGTGGTAAGAAATGAAATAGCACAGTTACTCTAGAGCTGTGACACTAGGAGTATTCTAAGAAATAAAAGGAGAAGTCTAGGCCACTCATCAGTCTGTTTTAGGAGAGGTGTAACACTTAAGATAGGATGTGGGTAACACCACAAGCCCGAGAGCACACATGGCCACCAGGGCCGCCTGTCTACCAGGGAGGATACCTGACCCCGCCAGGCACGGGGCCGGGGAAGGGAGGCACTGAGACCCTGGGGTTCCCGTGACTCTGCTGGTGCAGGCTCGGCTCTACAGATGGTCATTGTTCTCAACACCCCTTTGTTGTCCTTTCCCAGGCGCCAGGCGGGTGGGAACTGAAGAGTCATGGCTTACCCAGAGATAAGGTCTTTTTATGAGCTTCCTGATTTCGCTGAGGGAGGAACTTGGCCAACTGGCACGGATGATGGACAGTCCCCTCTACCTGGTTCCTTCTGGGAGAGTGGAGCTCTTTCCAGTGCAGACGGGAGGGCACCGACCCGCTCTGGGGAGACTCGTGCTGAGGTGCTCAGGTGCAGAGGTCCAACCCAGCAGGACATCAGCAAGAGAGAGGAGAAAGCTTTTGTTTATCCTGCTGCGGTTCACCGCAACAAACGCTCAGAACAAGTCCAGCCATCACTTCTGGATGTGGGCACACTAGCAGATCATTTCCCAAGATTCTTCTGGAAATGTCTCCTTTCTCCTCCAGGGAAAAAGGCAGTGAAGGAGATTAAAAGAAAATCCAAGAAACACCCATATATTTTATCTAAATTCGAAAACGCAGGAAAGACTTGAAGGTGAACCCTTGAAACATCATTAGTCAGGTCCAAGAGACTTTAAATGAGGTAGTTTGAAATGTTCATTCTGGTGAATTCATAAAGAAACAGGGACAGAGGCAGAGGAAAAGACACAGAGGGAGGGAGAGTTAAGAGAAAGAGATTTTAATTAAGGTAAACTTTTAGTATGGAAATACATGTGCTTGGTAAAATAGTCAATTAAAAAAGTATGTAGTGGCCGGGCACAGTGGCTTATGCCTATAATTCCAGCATTTTGGGAGGCTGAGGCAGGTGGATCACTTGAGGTCAAGAGTTTGAGATCAGCTTGGCCAACATGGGGAAACCCCATCTCTACTAAAAATACAAAAATTAGTCAGGCGCGGTGGCCTGCCCCTGTAATCCCAGCTACTTGGGAGGCTGAGGCACGAGAATCGCTTGAACCGGGGAAGCGGAGGTTGCATTGAGCCAAGATCTCGCCACTGCACTCCAGCCTGGGCGATAGAGTGAGACTCAGTCTCAAAAAAAAATAAAAAATAAAAAAAATAAAAAAAACAGTATATAGTGAAAAGTTGATCTTTAAATCCCTACTCTTCAATTCCTTGGCTTGTTTTCCCAGAAACAATTACTGTTACCAGTATGTTGGGTATTCTTATTTTCTTATTCTTACTTGGTAATTTTTAAAAATGTTTCTTGAAGATCTGTGTGAGATGAAAGTTGTTGGATATCTGAATATTATCCTAATGCAGAGAGCCTTCAAGGGATGCCACTCGGATTAACTCAAACCTGCACAAGTAGCCCTGAACCTAAAATAAAAGTTAAAATATTTTTAAAAGAGTATAAATTTTAAAAATAACAATTTCATTGTACATTTAAAAATAACCAAAAGAGTATAATGGGATTGTTTGTAACACAAAGAAAGGATAAATGGCCAGGCGTGGTGGCTCAAGCCTGTAATCCCAGCATTTTGGGAGGCGGACGTGGGCAGAACACTTGAGAGTTCAAGACGAACCTGGCCAACATAGTGAAACCCCATCTCTACTAAACAATACAAAAATTAGCCAGGCGTGGTGGCAGATGCCTGTAATCCCAGCTACTCGGGAGGCTGAGACAGGAGAATTGCTTGAACCTGGGAGGCAGAGGTTGCAGTGAGCCAAGATCATGCCACTGCACTCCAGCCTGGGTGGCAGAGCGAGACTCCATCCCAAAAAAAAAAAAAAAAAAGAAAAGAAAGAAAAGATAAATGCTTGAGGTGACAGATACCCTATTTACCCTGATGTGATTATTACGTGTTGCATTCCTGTGTCAAAATAACTCATGTACTGTGTAAATATATATACTTACTATGTAACCACAAAAATTAAAAATGAAAAATAAATAAATAAATAAATAACAAAAACAAAAGTACAAAAAATTAGCTGGGTGTGGTGGTGTGTGCCTGTAGCCCCAGCTACCTGGGAGGCAAAAAAAAAAAAAAAAGAAAAATGAAAAAAAGATATGTACATTTTTTAAAAACAGAATAAAAAGAGAACAAAACTTCTTTCCTGACGGTGGGAATAGTGGCAGGCAACGACGTTCAAGGTTCGGAGAATCCAACCGTAAACAAACACACAAACAGATCATAAAATGTGAGGTACTGATAAGTGTTAAGTAGTAGGCAGAGGATTAAAATAGACTGATATGCTGGTAAGTAATTGGGTGGTCACTCCCAGTCTCTCTATAAGCAGATGGCTTTTAAGGTGAATAATATGAATAACTGGTACATCTCTTCCTTCTTTGTTAGCTTTATAATCTCTAACAGTACTTAATGTTGAGAGTCGCTCCGATGCCATGTGTATGTCATCTCTCACTTATACAGACTCACACTGACATTCACACATTAACAGTCAAAGGGGCAGCCTCAGACCATCCACCATCTGGGGCCGCCTATTGTTCCCTCCACCCCCTTTCTTGTATCGGAACTAAGACCCCATTCTCCCCTGTCCTTATACACTCCACATGTCCCCCACCCCATCTGAGGAGTTCATGAGCAGCATGTTGAATATATAAAGTGTGTGATGCAAGTTGGAGATTGTGGAAGTGTGGGAGGCCATCCTGAACATCTGCTAGCCCTAGACCGTCTTCTAGATGCTCTTTGTTTTTAATACATCTCTGGAGTGAACCACCTTAGTCCTCTTTTGTTTCTCCAAAGGACTGAAGAAGAAAATAAGCCAATTATGTAAGCATTCTGGCTAGTAAACTCTTGGTACCTACTAACTATAGATCTAAATGTTGTGTAGTAATGCTAAGGACTCCACGTTCCTAGGAAATCCTCATTATTTTTACTCTCATTCCCAACACACTAACTCTCTGAGTTAGGAGAGGACACCACTTCTCCCCAGAAATGAGAACACTTCTCGCTTCCTTCCCTCCCTTCCCTTCCCCTCTCCCTTTCTGCCTTCCTTTCTTTCCTTCCTTTTTCTTTCCTTCCTTTGTTCCTTCCTTGCTTCCTTCCTTCCTTTCTCTCTTCCTCTTTCCATGTTTCCTTTCTTCTTCCTTCTCACAGTTTCACTCTTTACATATGTATCCATCATCAATTTATTGTTTACTGTTGCCATTTTTGCACTTTGTATTAATGAAATCATACACATATGCTATGGCTTCCTCTATGACATGTGTTTCTTTGTTCATCATTTTTTCATGTTTTTGAAATTTATTCATGTTCATATCCACAGCTGTTAGATATTTTCTCTAAATAATAGTTTTTCTTTGTATTAAAATGCCACAATTTGTCCCTTCTGCTGATGGGCATATAGGCAGTTTCTGGTTTTCACTATTGCATGTGATGCTGTAATGAACACTCCCTGTCCTGCCTCCTGGTGCACATGGACATACACTGGGGAACAGAATTGCTGGTTCAAAGTGTTATGAGCAGATTCAACTTTGCCAGACAAAGCAGAGCGTTTTTTTTGTTTTTGTTTTTGTTTGGTTGTTTTTTGTTGTTTTTTTGTTTTTGTTTTGTTTTGTTTTGTTTTCCAGAAAAGCTGTCATTTGAAGAAAGCTCTCTGTAGTTAGGAAAGGGGAACATAGGTCCGGGTGGGTTCAAAAGTAGCTTCTCTAACCATTACAAGAAATTTATTAGTTTTTCTTAAAAAGTAAGTCTGCAATTTTAATAAATAAGAATCCACATAAACAAAGTACTTTGGCGTACGTGGAAGGAGCCCAAGCCGTGGGATGCATCGATGAATACAGGGTGCTTCTCCTGTTAGATAGTGGACTGCCCTAAGTAGGCAAAAGTGTGATGCACATAATTGTGATGTGTTTGAGGTAAAGCCAAAGGAGAAAGAGTCAGGGAATGCTGGCACTGCCCATGGCACTAACTAGTTGGGGCCTGGATCCCAGTTTTCAGATGGAACTGTCCCCTCTGGCTCCTCAGTCAACGCGAATTTGCTTGAAGGACCATCAGTTCCTTAAAGCCTCATCTCCCCCAATGGGTGTTGTTTTATCAGCCTCCTCTCTGTGTGGGGAAGCCCGCCTCACTCAACCTCACTGTTTTACGTAAAACTGGCCGATTCCCTCATTTAATTCATAATAATGAAAACTGAACATATGACTGCAATTTTAAATTGTTTTGGGTTTTGTTCACAATGATGCAAACAGGAACGCATAGATTCATAGATACACACAAAAGAAAATCAAGACCATTGTTTAACCCCAAATGGATTTTATGCACAACATAGACCAAAGTGAATTTCAGTGAAAATACTGCTGGAGATTCAAATCTGTCATGGGTGCCCACAGTGGTGATTCCATGACAGGCTTCCTCCACCCACACCAGCGAAGCGTGGGCGTGGGAAATGACTTCATCCTGTGCTTCCATTTTCTGATTGATTTGCATAATGCTTAGGAATTTGTGAAATATTTCCACCGGCGTTGTTTAATTAGATTTTCATAACCTAGTGAGTGAGGAAGAAGGGATGATCTCCAATTATGCAGAATGAAGAAACCGAGGCCCAGGGAGGTTGACAGACTTGTCCTGAGTCACCTTTGCTCCTCTCCCAACTGGGTAGGGTCCAAGAGGGCTGGGTTGCGCCACAGTCGATGGAAACGTGTGCATCTCAGGGTGCATCTTGGGATTATGGTGGTATTTCTCCATGTCCAGGGCTAACCGAGCTTAAAATCACTAAGGAGAAATGGGCACCCACTGAGCGAGGTGGCCATCCATTCCAACATCTCATCACGGCCCTGGCCCCAGCAGCATCTTCCAGAGCGACTCGAGCCCATCCAGGGAGAAACCATTAGCAACACAGTGATGATAATTGCATAGTAGGCAGGAATGAATTTCAGATTCCCACCTTGCTCTGATTTTCAGGCCTCTCTTCTGTGGTGGAAGGTAAATATCCCAAGAAAAACAAACCTTGGCTGCAGCTGTCTTCAGGGATCTGTGTACTTTCAAGATAAGGTGAGTTGCCCCAATCATTTTATGATCCTAATTGTTGGGGAACAGGATATTCGTCCTCAAACACATCACTGTGACCCTCCCAGCTTCCTTCTGTGCTGATTAAGATGAAGCCATTTGCTTATGAAGCCCCCCAGACCTGTGGCTTTGATAGTCATTTTTTTCCTGTCCCTAGAAAACCTAATTTCCAGAGGGTATGCCTCACCACAGCAGGCCTCCACGTGGCTTACACAAATAATGCAAAAATCTCCAACAACCCCTACAAAGAACTTGCTCCTGGTGCATGGGCTGCATTTTATTTTGTTTTGTTTTATTTTATTAAATTTTTTTAAATCTAACTAATAACACTTGAGCTGTTGTTTTCCTTACCCCTGTTCCCCCAACACCTTCAATTGTACATAGAGTAATTTCAAACTGTAAGCTACTCCTGACTTAGCTACTTATTAAAAACACTAATATCCTTGGCTGCTTTGATGTCTATGGAACAACAAAGGAAGAGAGTTACTCTGGGCCACTGTAATCCTTGATTTGTCACTAAGTTATGACACCCAGCAGAGCCGTGTGACAGTGCAAATCAATCATCCCATGTGCTCCGCGGGGCCTTCCGTGCCTCCCGCCGAGCCGCTGCAGTTTAATTAGCTTTTTTCACACTACCACAATGTACATCTGCAGCTTCAGCAAGAGAAAGAGATGGAGGCGAGTTCACCGGGAAGCGGGAGCCTTAAAAAAAGTTCATATCGTGGAAAAAAAAAAGTCTGAAAGAAGAAACATCAGAGACCTTTGTAGTTTTTGCTTCAGAGGCATTAAGACTGAGATACACAGGCCTGGGGTACACCAGATTGTTAAATGTAGACTTTAAAAACAGCTCCACCAAACCCTGTGCGGAGGAGCTATCAGATGGTGTTTAAAGGACCTTTTCTTCTTTTGGGGGCAGTCTGTGTCTTCTGTTTTCCTCCTGCCTCTATACCCCACCTTTGGTTGATTGTGCAGAAATTCTTTGAGCCCAGACCTTCTCGAGTCCACCAAGATGAAGGAGGTGAGACCTTGATTCTGCCCAAGTTTTGCAAAACTTTGGATAAGTTCCTCCTGAAAGGTGGTGTCCTTGAGTGAAAATCATGTTCCTCTGTTCACTTTGCAGTGATAAATAATGGCAGCCAAAGACTAAAGGTAGGAATGAGGCCTCGAAAGTTGGGAGTCATTGACGGGGACAGCAGGGGTGAGAGCAAATCAGGCCTCGGTGTCAGGCACAGAGTGACACTTTTGTCCTGGCCCGGGAGGGAGTTAGACAGATGAGATCAAGCTGACTCTGCCTATGCTGGGGGGTGTTCAGGACACTGTCTGGTTCCTCTGGAAAACCACCTACCAGAGGAGGGGCTGGGAGACAGCCAATCTGCTCTTTTCCCGGCCAGTTTCTGGGCAGCTGTTATGGCTCATGGGCGGGTGAGCTCAGACCCTGATGACAGTGATTTAATGTGGGTTGGAAGTTGGGTTTTCTCCTCCCAGAATTCTCTTTCCCCAGTTAGGGGGAAGGGAGCAGGACGGACCATGGAGGTGCTGAGGGGTCCCCTTGTCACAAGTCATCATCCTCTATTCAGGTGATGGCTTCTGCATCACTTGCAGGGAGGATGCCAAGAACCTATCTCAAAAGCTCTCCCTGGAGCTCTTTCTACCCATTTTGTTTGGGCTTTAGCAACAGCCTGGGCCCGTTTCTTCTGTTTCTGTCCCTCACATGTTGGCACATCTCAGCTGATGGAGGCAGGCTCTGCTGTGTGCAGCTGTTCTGAGACTGCACTGCCAGACACTGGAGGGTCTCCCATGAAGATCCTGGCCCAACCTGCAGAACCTTCAGCCCCATATCAAAAGATGAAAGGGTCAGTACTAAAAAGAAATGAGCTAACAAGCCACAAAAGGATGTGGAAAGAACTGAAATGCATATTGCTAAGTGAAAGAAGCCAATCGGAAAAGGCCATGTACTGTAAAAATCCAACTGTATGACATCTGGAAAAAGGCAAAACTATAGGGGCAATAAAAAGGTGAGTGGTTGCCGGGGTGGTGGGGGAGAGGGAGGAGGGTGAATAGGTGGAGCACAGGGCATTTTTAAGGCAGTAAGACTCTTCTCTATGATATTGTCATGGATACATATCATCGTATGTTTGTCAAAACTCATGAAATATACAACACAAAAAGGAAACCCTCATGGAAGCTATAGACTTTAGTTAACAATAGTGTATCAGTATTGTCTTATCAATTGTACCAAATCTACCACACTAATGAGTTATTAACAAGATGTTAATAATAGGAGAAATTTGGTGGTGGTGTAATATGGAAACTCTGTTATTTTCACTTATTTTTTGTAAATCTAAAACCACTCTAAAGAAGAAAGTCTTGTGCAGGATTTGGATTAAAATGAAAAGAAAAAAAAAGGATAAAGTCTGACTGGACGAGGTGGTTCACGCCTGTAATCTCAGCACTTTGGAAGCCCAAGGAGGGAGGATTGCTTGAGTTCAGAAGTTCAAGACCAGCCTGGGGAATATGGTGAAACCTCATCTCTGCTAAGAATAGAAAAATTAGCCAGGCGTGGTGGCACGCACCCATAGTCCCAGCTACTCAGGAGGCCAAGGTGGGAGGATCGTCTAAGCCCAAGAGGCAGATGTTGCAGTGAGCTATGATCGCACCATTGCACTCCAGCCTGGGTGACAGAGCCAGACCCTGAAAAAAAAAAGGAATAAAGTTTATTCATTAAATTTTTTTTAAAAGTCACAGGGACAAAAGCAACAAAAACAGGAGGGAGAGGAGAGGTGAGCAAGGGGAGGCTTCCCTCCAACGTGGAATGTTTATTTTGTAGTTAATGGCCAGCGGGCATTCACTGAGACCTGTGGTTACCTGGGAAGCATCCTTTTCTTCTGAGACAGACTTCCTCCTGACCTTGCTTTGAGCACTGAGCAACAGTCACCTCCCTGTTAGTGACACATGAAACCTGAGTCTAACTCTCCTTCCCTGTTGACCTCCAGGGACATCCAAGTGCCATGTTTTATGTAATGGGTGGATGTAAACAGCATTTTGATATGTTGAATCACCTTTTGAAATATACAAAGGAAATATTCTCTAGTGAACTCCTCTGGAGAGGAAAGAGGCACATAATTTCAGGGCAGAAATTATTCTTCTAGGTCATGTGGTCCCACCCCCAGAGAGGTTAATTGACCTGATCAAGGTTATCCAGCCAAGCCTGGACCAAACTGAGACCAATTTGAGGTTTCCTGACTCTCCATCCTATCCAGCATCCTTCCACTGGGGTGGCTGATAAATGGTCACCAGGGTGGTGGAAAGTTGGCCTGCTGACCTTCCAGGAGACCTGAGTCCCAGTCCTGTATCTGTTTGTCGGGGGTGTGTGGCTTCATTAAATCTCATAACCTCCCTCTACACAAGCCCAGATGAATTTCTTTGTCTCCAAAATGGAAACACTCGTCATATTAGAACTCTTGGCTGGCTGTGGTGGCTCATGCCTGTAGTCCCAGTACTTTGGGAATCTGAGATGGGCAGATCACTTGAGGTCAAATGTTTGAGACCAGCCCTGCCAACATGGTGAAACCCTGTCTCTATTAAAAGTCCAAAAATTAGCCGGGCATGGTGGTGTGTGTCTGTAATCCCAGCTACTTGGGAGGCTGAGGCAGGAGAATCACTTGAACCCGGGAGTTGGAGGTTACAGTGAGCCGGGATCATGCCACTGCACTCCAGCCTGGGCGACAGAGTGACACTCTGTCTCAAAAATAAAATAAAATAAATAAAATAAAACAAAATAAAGTAACTCTCACCAGCAGTTACCAGGATTGAGGCATTTTTGCAGAATAGAAAGCTTGTCCTGTGCCAGTTAATGCTGCGTTGGGTTACTTTCCTCTCTACTGCATTTTTATTCCAGACAGGGATTATATCTTCTTCCCAGAGAGAGGCAAAGGGTTTATTTACTCCAGTGGAGCGGTGCTTCTCAAACTTCCACGTGCACCTGAATTCTGGTGGGGGGATCTTGTTAAGATGTCCATTCCAATTCTGCAGGTCTGGGGTGGGGCTCCAGGTGCTGCCTTTCTTCCCAGCACCCAGATGGAGCTGATAAAGCTGGTTCCTGGCCCACACCCTGAGTGGCAGGGCCCTGGAGGACAGGGGGGCCAGGGGAGGGGCCCACAGGGTGAGAATCCCTTCAGTGGGTGTCTCTGGCTGCTTTTGTCAGGGATAGGGGGCCTGGGGGGCACGTCCCCATCTTTGACTTCAGGAGCGTCAGAATCAGAAGCTCCTGGGGCCCGGGGCCTCCCCAGCATCTGGGGGATCAGCTGCCAGGGTTGACAACCTAGCAGGGAGGGGACAAGGACCTCGAAGGGCCCACTGGCCCCTTGTTCATTTTGGCTCCTGTTCAACTTCAGACAAGGCTCAGCGCCTTTCTCCATCCCCTGCCTTTCCCCACCTGAGGAGTCCACACCAGCCTCCTGCCTGAGTGTCTGATGCAGAACTTTCAGCTGCTCAGAAGCTCAGCCTCACCAGACACTTCAAATACTTTCCCACCAAGGGTCTGGGACATCCCATGAAGCCCTCGCAGCCCCAGCACCGGGAGGTCAGCTTCAAAGATAATGTGTGACTGGGGGCCAGCTCCCGCTCAGAGAAGGCTTAGCACTTTGGGGGTGACTCCCCGGAAGAAAGGCCTTCTCATCGCAGAGGGGAAGGACGTCCCTTTTGAAAGACAGACCTTGTTTTCCTCCTCCTCCCACCGCCTGTTTCATCTGTTTCATGTCAACTCAGTCTGGGTCCAGGAAGATGTACGTGGGTGGGGCTGGGAGGGGTGGGAATTTGGCACGCGCGGACTCTCCTGGTGTGTGATTGCCTCAGGTGCTTTTGTTTGCACCTTGGCAATGCTCGTGGCGCTGGGTAGGTTCACTGGAGACTGTTTTCGCACCAGTGTCTTGTTTTGCATTTAATTGACATTCCCCAGAGGCAGGGCCCAGCAAGCATAGAGTGAGGGCTCTGGGAAGACAGCAGGCACGAAGCCCCCAGCTGCCACCAAGCCCCCCTAGCTGCCACAGGCCCATTGCACTATGAGGGGCATTTAGCATTCTTGGCCTCTTTCTACTAAATCAGAGTCCTCCCTAGACATGTGACAATCAAGAAATGTCCCCCTACAGTTCCAAATGTCCCCTGAGGGGGCTGGTCCCTCTCTCCTGGTTGAGAAGTAATGAGGGCCTCAGTGACAGTGGAGACCTGCCTCTTTGGCCAGCCATGCAGACCTCCTGGCTGGGGGTTATGCACCTGAAAATTCATGGGTATAACCTGGACAGAGCAGGGCGCTGAGACTGGTCTCCTTCCGTGGCTCTTGGGTTCTGTGACCGTAGTTCATCCAGGACACTGGAGTGCAGGTGTCTGTGCCTCCTCCTGCCTTCCACCCTTCTCCCCCTGCCTGCTGACCCCAAAACACCCACACACATAGTCACTCCCACTTACATACATGTATGCACACACACTCATGTACACACATACTAACAAATGCACACACACGTGTGCACTCATACATATACATATTTTCTGACACACACTTACACACTGTGATGTCTGGTCACACACTCATATACACATACCTACACAGCTGTACACACTCACACACTCATGTACAGGCACTCACACAGTCGCGCTTACACACAGCCCTGCGAAAGCCCAGGTTTCCTTACAGGCTCCTCAGAAGAAACACCCCAGTGTCCTCTAAGGGAGTCCCTTTTTCTCAGAGTGCCCGGGCAAGGAAGGAGAAGGTATTGCTATCCTTGGGTCAGCCTGGCCCTTGGGGACAGAGAAGACAGTGAGGGCTGGACAGGGACATAGTGTTACCTGTGTCACCTGCCACCAGCCCAGACAGGAGCAGAACTCTAGAGGGCAGCTGCTTAGCTATTTAATGGTTTTGTCCCTCTGAACACCAAAAATGATGATTTATTCTAGTTCCTCCTCCATGCCCATCAGAAAAGCAATTCATGATTATACAAAAAATGTAGAAATGACAGAAAAGAAAAGAAAATACTCCACAACACAATCTCACTGCTCACTGAGAGATAACCATTGTTAACAATTCTGTTTACGCTTTCTAGTCATTTTTCTAATTGCCTATTATCATGCTTAGTTTAATTAATCACGCCTTTTCTTTACTCTAATGCTTTAACATCTTGAGGACTTGCTAACCCTGGAGGCACGGGCTCTTCCAAGTTTAGTCAATTTCTAGAGATAGCAAGAGATTCACTTAGAGTGCCTTGCACAGGCAAACCAACGAATCTAGAGCCCACACCCCAAGCACCTCCTTTATTGATAATATGGTTGGGCTGTGTTCCCACCCAAATCTCATCTTCAATTGTAGTTCCCATAATCCCCATGTGTTATGGGAGGGACCTGGTGGGAGGTAATTGAATCATGGGGGTGATGATTTTATAAGAGGTTTTTCCCCCTTTGCTCAGCTCATTCTCCTGTCACCTTGTGAAGAGGTGCCTTCCGCCATGATTGTAAGTTTCTCGAGGTCTCCCCAACCATCCAGAACAGTGAATCAATTAAACCTCTTCTTTATAAATTACCCAGTCTCTGGTATTTCTCCACAGCAGCGTGACAATGGACGAATAAAACTGGGCTCTTACACTCAGGGCTACTTACTACTGCCCTTCTCCAGTCACTCCAGAGCCAGCTGTCAGCAACTAGGGACAGCCCCCATGCCCCAGAGCCCAGTGAAATTATTTAGGTGAGTCAATCCTAAGCCTGCCTACCCTGACTCACCCATTCCTTCCTGCAGAAACCACAAAAAAGTCTCTTGTCTGCATTTTCCCCTCACTCTCTCTGCTTCCTGACAGATCCTGGTGCTCCCATGTGTGCCTTCCCATGGTCCCCACTGTGGCATGGTGCACCCCTCCTCATGAGATGTGTGAGCATAACCATTGGTTCAATGGCAGTCGCCTCCTGATCTGAATACCATACCTGAATAATAATAAAACCTGCATTTTAAGACACTGTAGTATCCAATTATTGAATCAAACACTGATCTGGATGTTGCAGGGAAGGTATTTTGCAGCTGTGGTTAACATCAGCAATCAGTTGACTTTGGATAGAAAAGATTCTCCTCCATAATCTGGCTGGCCCCTGACATGGTTTGGATCTGTGTCTCCACCTAAATCTCATGTCGAATTGTAATTCCCAGTGTTGAAGGTGGGGCCTGATGGGGGGTAATTGGATCATGGGGGCAGTTTCCAATGTTTTAACACCATCCTCCTAGTGCTGTTTCATGATAAGAGTTCTCATGAGATCTGGTGGTTTAAAAGTGTGTGCCACCCTACTCCCAGCCTCCTTCATTCTCTTCCTCCTGCTGTGGCCTTGGATGAGCCTGTTTCCCCATCACCTTCCATCATGATTGTAAGTTTCTGAGGCCTCCCCAGAAGCCAAGCAGATGGCCAGCATCATGCTTCCTGTACAGCCGGCAGAACTGTGAGCCAATTAAACCTCTTGTCTTTACAAATTACCCAGTCTCAGGTATTTCTTTATAGCAATGCAAGAATGGACTAATACAGCCTTTATCCAAACAGTTGAAAGGCCTTAAGAACATAACTGAGGTTTCCCAGAAAAGAAGAAATTCTGCTGCAAGACTGCAATATCAATTCCTTTATATGTACATACATACATATATTTCCTATTGGTTCTGTTTCTCTGGAGAATGCTGACTGATACACACCTATCTATTTATGCATTCATCTATTAATCCACCCATCAATCAATCTGAATCATATGCAATTTGCACCCTACTTTATTCACTTAACATTTCTTCCATATCACCATTTTATTCTCTTTTGTGTGTGTTTGTTTTTTTGAGACAGAGTCTCACTCTGTTGCCCAGGCTGGAGTGCAGTGGCACCATCTTGGCTCACTGCAACCTCCACTTCCCAGGTTGAAGTGATGCTCATGCCTTAGCCTCCTGAGTAGCTGGGACTACATGCACTGACCACCACATCCGGTGAATTTTTGTATTTTTAGTAGAGATGGGATTTCTCTGTGATGCCCAGGCTGGATACCCAGAACTGCTGACCTCAAGTGAACTACCCGCCCTGGCCTCCCAAAGTGCTGGGATTACAGGCATGAACCACAGTGTCTGGCCCATATCACCATTTTAATGACCATGTAGTAGCTCATAACATGGTTACACCACAGCTCACCCGAATTCCCTATTATTGCACCTAATTTTTGGCCATTATAAATGTTACTATGAAAATTTTGTATATTAATTATGCATCTTTGATCAGTTCTTACGACAAATTTCCAAAAAGGGGACTACTACGCTGATGGGAATGAAAACATCCATTTCTCTGTTGAGAAATATTAATATTTCCAAAATGCCCTTCAGAGCCTCCACCTCTAAGTTTAACCTGTGCTTCTGCATTCAGCCACAGAAGCCTCTGAGTACTATCAATTTTGTTTCCTTTTAAAACAAAAAAACTGTAATTTCAAAATTACTGCAAGAATGTGTGATTATAGACTTACTGTAAACATTTCAAACATTTCAGACATTGCAGAAGTATTAGATTGGTGAAAAGCAATTGCGGTTTTGCCATTAAAAGTAATTGCAAAGCCGCAATTACTTTAGCACCAACCTAACATATAAGATAAAAAATGAAGTCTCTCTCTCTCTCCCTGCCTGCACCTTGCTCCAGCTCACTTCTGTTCTTATAATAACCCCCAAGAGTGGGTCACTGGGCTTCCTTCCAGATCTTCCCCCCAACAGCCACAGCCACACACAGGTGGCAGGATGATATCACATAATAGGGACAAATGTCGATTTCTTTCTTCTTCACGTTTTCTTCCTACCTCTTGTTGCCCTGAGGGAGAGTTGTGACCACAAATGCAGAGAACAAAGGCATCAAAATATTTTCGCATTTATGTATTAAAAAACCAGAGTCCAGGAGACCAACTTCCTTGCTGAGGAGTTTTTCCCCACCAGCCTGGGGCATGCACTGTCTGGACAGAGGAATAGGAGGAGTCAGAGAGTCAGGGGCTGGTGGATGTGAACCCTACACAGACCCCTACTCACGTGCTGCTCTCACTCCCAGCAAGCTGCAAGAGCGAGAAGGTGGCAAAAGAACCCTCCCTTGGAAATGTCTGGAAATCCACCAACACAGTGGAACTGTGCCCCTGGGTCCCTGGCTGGGAAGTGGCTGCCACTGAGGAGCTCTCGGTCTCCATGGTGTGGAAACAATAGAGCCAGCCACAAGGTCTGCCAGGGCCAGAGAGGACATGAGGCAGTGCCACTGGGTGTCCCATGGTCCTAGAGGAGAGCTTGAGGGAGAGCCAACCTCACACGCCTCTGCTGTTGTGAATAAAAGGACCGCTGCAGTAGCTAGAAGGGAGGCTCAGGAGACCTGGGAGGTAGGGAGAGAGCAGTGGAGATCCCTCCAGTGAAGCAGGTGTGGTGTGAGCCTCTCCTGGGGGCCAGACTGGAGCATCCATCAACAGGGAATCTGGCGTGGACAGACACAGCCCCCAGACGAGACCCTTCTTCTAGCAGCAGGACACTGTCTGAGCACTCTTCCTTCCAAGATCAGAGGCCACCTGGGGGAATAAAAAGAGGAAAAAATCTTATGGAGTGAGTTTCCTTAGAATCGACTATGACTCTATTTCCTACCACTAAGTTGTATTTCAAAGTAGTCAATTATTTTGAACACCTGGACATGAGTTTCAAAATTTGTAATACTTATATATATATATAATTTTTATTGCTAAATCATCAGATTATCCTATATATACATAATTGTATATCATTCTGTGACTTCCTTTTTGAACTTGGCTATCTACCTATCTACCTATCTATCTGATTTCTATTTCAGTTCATGTCTTCTGCCTCATTCTTTTTTTTTTTTTTTTTTAATAGAGATGAGGTCTCACTATGTTACCCAGGCTGGTCCCGAGTTCCTGGGCTCAACTGACCCTCCCACCTCAGTCTCCCAAAGTGCTGAGATTATAGGCATGAGCCACCATGCCCTGCTCACCTCATTCTTTTTTAACACTGTCATCATCTCTTTCTCTCTTTTTCTCTCCTCAGACTGGATGCAGTGTCTCACTCCTGTAATCTCAGCATTTCAGGAGGCCAAGGCCGGAGGATTTCTTGAGGCCAGGAGTTTGAGACCAGCCTGGGAAACAAAGCAAGATCCCATCTCTACAAAAAATTAGGTGGGTGCCTGGCACATGCCTGTAGTCCCAGCTACTCAGGAGGCTGAGGAAGGAGGATCACTTGAGCCCAGAAGTTTGAGGCTGCAGTGAGCTTAAGATCAACCCACTGCAATCCAGCCTGGGTGACAGAAAAAGACCATGTCTAAAAAAATTTTTTTCAATGACTGTAATATATGCTTATAGTAAGAAACCACCAGGAAAGTCAGTCTCCCCAGCCCGGGTTCCTCATTCCCCTCTCCTCCTTAGGGGTAGCCACTGAAGCAAATGATGATGGTTTTGTTGACTGGAAGAGTCCGTTTTCTTCCGAGGTCTGGAGATGGGCCAGGGTTTCAAGCCTTGTTTGGTGAAAAGAGTCACTTCCTCCTTGGAGAGGCTGAGAGTGGATCCCTCATGGGGCATAAGAATGGACTCATATATTGCTTCCTGTTCCATAGTATTTGCACCCATCGCTCTTCCACAGAGGTTCAGCAGGAGCTGCTGAACATAAACCCAAGATTGACAACATCCATACAGAAAAGTGTACAAAGCAAAAATGTATGGCTCAGTATATTACTACAGATTTATTTTGAATACCCATGTAGCCAGAACAAAAAAACACACTCTAATATCCCCTCCCCGTCACTGATCCCTCATATCCCCTCATATCCCCTCCCTATTACTAATCTTTCCCTCTCCACCACGAGTAAATTTTATAACCTCTTCCTTATTTTATTTATAGCTATATCACCTAAGTGTGCATTCCTAAACACTATAGCAGTTTGCCTGCTTTTTTGAGTTGTATATAAATTGAATCATACAGGACACAAAGGAACGCATCTTCTTGCATTTGATGTCTTTTGTGCAGCATCGTGAGACGGATCCACTCTGTTGTGTTACTTTGGTTCGTTCAATTTCATTGCCAGATAGCATTCCATTATGTGAATATTCCACAATTTATTATTCATTCTGCTGTTGATAGACATGTGGTTTGTCTCCAATTTTTGGCCAACATGAATGATGTTGCTAGGGACACTTGTGTGTCAGCCTTGTGGTACACAGGTACATATATTTCTGTTAGGCATATACTTAAGAGTAAAATTGCTCACAGGATAAGCCTATCTTCAACCTCAGTAAAGAATGCCAGATAGTTTTCCTGAGTGATTGTAATAATTTACACTTCCATAAGCTACGCATGAGAGGTCTAGTTACTTCACATCCTTACCAATTATTAGTACTAGTGGTTTTTGCTTTTTAAATATTAGCCATTGTGATGGGTATATAGAGGTAAGTCATTGCGGTTATAATGTGCCTTTCTTGATGACTAATGAAATTAATCACCTTTTCTTGTTTAGAGGACATTTGAATATCCAATGTGTAAACTACCCACTAATATCTTTTGACCATGTTTCTACTGGGACTTCTGGCTTTTTCTTATTGATTTGTAAGAGTTCTTTATATATTTTACATTGAGTTCTTTGTTGTTATATTTACTGCAAATATCTTCTCCCATCATGTGGCTTGCCTTCTCGCTTTATGATGGTGTCTGTGGCGGGGGGGGAAGGATGTTACTAATTTTGATGTAGTCCAATTTGCTAAACTTTTACTTTATGGTAAGTGCTTTCTGAATTCTGTTTAGGAAATCTTTGCTTACTCTGAGATCGTGAAGATGTTTTTCTGCATTGTAGCTTTACTATTTACATCTAAAATCTACACAGAATTGATTTTCATAGATGATATAAAAAAGAATCAGTATTAATTTTATTCTATATGCATATCCAATTGACCCAGTACTATTTATTGTAAAGATGTTTTCTGCTTTTTTCATTGTCCAGTAGTGCCAACTTTATAATATATCAAGTTTTTATATATGTATTGGTAGGTTTCTGAATTCTCCATTTTATTATTTTGGCTCATTTATCTAACATGTCACCATTACCACAATGTCTTAAATATAGCAATTAATGTCTTCATATCAGGTAGAGCTGGTACTTGTATTTTATCATTCTTTCTCAATATTTTCTTGGCTATTCGTGGCTATATGCATTTCAGTATAAATTTTAGGATCAACTTGTTAATATATGCACGCATAAAATATCTATTGAGATTTTGATTGGGATTGCATTGAATCTACAGATCAGTTTAGGGAGAATTAACATCTTTCAATATATGAATATGATACAATTATCTATTTTTTAAAATTATCTTCAATTTTCCTCAATAATCTTTTGTAAATTTTCTAATAGTGGTCCTGAATAGCTTAACTAGTTTCCAGCTTACCTATATGTTTAATGGCTTTGTATGTATGTAAAAATAAAATTTCATTTTCTAATTGTTGCTGGTATATAGAAATATATTAGATTTTTAATATTAAATTTATATTCAAATAATTTTCTAAATCTCTTATTTATTTCAGTTGATCAGAGATTCTTTTACATTTTCTACAAGCACAATTGTGCTGTTCGTGAATAATATTTCTTATACCTTTATTTCTTTTCCTTGCCTTACTGCACTGGCTAGGTCTTTCAGTATAATGCTAAATAGAAGTGGTTGTAGTGAGCAACCACGTGTCTTTCCTGATCTCAAGGGGAGACTGTATAAATATAATGTTTGTAGTAAGTTGTTTTGGGTAAATACCCTTTATCAGGTTAAGAAAGTTCTCTTCTATTCCTAATTTATAAAGGCTTTTATTTTTGATCATAAATGGTTGTAAAATTTTATAAAGCAAATTTTCCACATTTATAGAGATAATACAATTTTGCTTATTTATTTTGCTAGTATGGTGAATTGCAGTGGTTAATTTTCTAGTGTTAAGCAAAGTTGAATTTATTACTGAAATAAAAGTCTACCCAGAATTACTGCAATAAACTCAACTTGGTTATAATATATTATCTTTTTTTAGTATCTCAGGATTTGGTTTTCCAATCTTGTGTTCAGAATTTGTGTCTTTATTTATATGATACATCAGCCTGTAATTTTCCTTTCTTATAAATGCCTCATCAGATTTTGATGTCAACGTTACACTGTCTTCATAAATTGAACTGAAAAACTTTTCATCTTTTTTTATTTTCTCGAAGAGTCCATACAAAATTGGTGTTGTTTTTTTCTTAAGTGTTTGAAATAATTTACTGGTGAAGCCGTCTGGACCTGAATCTTTCAATGTTGGAAAACTTTATAATCACAGATTTATTGTTTCTATTAGATTTAGAATTATTCACATTTTTCAATTCTTCTAGTGTCAGTTTTGGTAAACTAAACTTTCCTAAATATTTATTACATTTAAATTTTCAAACGTATTAGTGTAAAGTTATTTATAATATCTTCTTTTGTTATCATTTTCATGCCTTTAAGAATCGCAGTAATGTCTCCTTTTAAACTTAATTCTTGATAATGGTTATTTGTGTCTTCTTTCCTTTTTATTTGATTAACCTTATGAGGGAATTATCAGTTTTATTAATTATTTTAAAGAATCAGCTTTTGGCATTATTTAATTTCTATATTTTTGTTTGTTTTCTATTCTATTAATTTCTGCTATTAGCTTTATTTCTTATTACCTTCTACTTTGTGGGGGAGGGAGGTTAATTTACTGTTCTTTTTTTCTAACTTCTCAAGTTTGGTACTTAGGTTGCTGAGCTTCAGGCTTTTTTTTTTTAGTCTAATGTATGAAACTAAGGATATGTAGCTTACTCTAAGCATTACTTTAGCTGTATCCCACAAATTTTGATGTGCCACATTTCATCATTATTCAGTTAAAAATATTTTCTAATTTCCATTATGATTTATTCTTTTACATGTGTATGTTTTAGAAGTATATCACTTAATAAACATATGGGAATTTTCTACTTATTGTTTGATTACTGATTTCTAGCTTAATTGCATTGTGTTCAGAGAATTTATTAAGTATGATTTCAATATTTGAAATTTATTGATACTTGCTTTATGATCCAGCATATATTCATTTATAGATCATGTTTTTAAGGAATGCTTAAAAAGAATGTGTATTTGGAGTTGTTGATTCCAGCATTCTATATATATCAATTAAGTCAAGTTTGCCAATTATGTTATTCCAATCTACTATATTCTTACTGATTGTTTGTCTGTTTTATTAGTAACTTAAGAACTGTATTAAAATATTTCTCTACGACTGTGGACTTATTCATTCTCCTTACACTTCTGAAAATTGTTGCTTTATATATTTTAAAGTGGTCTTGTTTGCTGCATACAATTCAGAACTACTATCTGACTTGCTTATGAATTTTAACTTTTCGCATTTTAAACTTTCTTGTCATTAGCAATTATTTTTTCCCTTAAAATCTACATTGTCTGATCGAATATAGTTATACAGGCCTTCTTTTGTTTTATGTTTACATGGTAAACCTTGTTCCATGCTTTTACTTTGAACCTTTTTATATCCTTATATTTCATATGAATCTCTGGGGAAAGTCAAATAGTTAGGTGTTATTAAAAAATAGTCTAAGTTGGTGGCCAGACACAGTGGCTCATGCCTGTAATTCCAGCACTTTGGGAGGCCTAGGCAGGTGGATCACCTGAGTCAGGAGGTCAAGACCAGCCTGGCCAATATGGTGGAACCCCATCTCTACTGAAAATACAAAAATTAGCTGGGCATGGTGGCAGACGCCTGTAGTCCCAGCTACTCGGGAGGCTGAGGCAGGAGAATAGCTTGAACCTGGGAGGCAGACGTTGCAGTGAGCCGAGACTGCACCATTGCACTCCAGCCTGGGCAACAGAGTGAGACTCTGTCTCAAAAAATGTATATACATAATAATAATAATCTAAGTTGTCAATCTTTGCCTTTTAATTGGCACATTTAATCCATTTATATTTGATGCAATTACTGAAGCATTTGGGTTGACATGTATGATTTTACTCAGAACTGCCTATTGTTTCACTGTCCTATTGTCTTTATTTTTTTCCTTTTGAGACAGTGAGGGTTCATTTGGATTAAGTATATTTTATCATCCTATTTTATTTATCTAGTAACTTGCAAGTTACACACTCTTTTGCTCTTTCTCTACTGGTTACTCTGGAACAATTTTTCTCAACAGGGGGCTATTTATCTATCTCTTTATTATTACTGTTTTAGACAATCCATTTAGATTTATCCACATATTTTCATGTTTTTGGTCTTCATTCTTTCTTGCATTTCCTACTTTTTATCTGAGAAAACTTTTCCTCTGTCTGAAATACACTTCAGTATTTCCTTTAGTGTAAGTGTGCTTGTGATGAATACTTAGTTTTTGTTCATCTGAAATGTTTTTATTTAACTTACTTTTTCTTTTTTTTTTTTTTTGAGATGGAGTTTTGCTCTTGTTGCGCAGGTTGAAGTGCAATGGCATGATCTGGGCTCACTGCAACCTCTGCCTCCCAGGTTCAAGCAATTCTCCTGCCTCAGTCTCCCAAGTAGCTGGGATTACAGGCATGTGCCACCACGCCCTGAAAATTTTGTATTTTTAGTAGAGATGGGGTTTGTCTACGTTGGTCAGGCTGGTCTCAAACTCCTGACCTCAGGGGATCCACCTGCCTCAGCCTCCCAAAGTGCTGGGATTACAGGTGTGAGTCACCACACCTGGCTCCAATTTGTTTTTATAACATCACTTTAGTCTTTCCTTCTCTTTCTCTCTCCTTCATTGTGATTATGTTTGACCTACCTTCCATTTCACCAATTCTCTCTTCAGTTTTGTCTAATTTTATACAAAAATCTATTCATTGAGTTCTAATTTTTGTTATTATGTATTTTAGTTCTATGTTTTCTTTTTGGTTTCTTTTAAAATATGCTATCTTCTCTCTTTTTTAAAAAAAGTATTTTAGAGTTACTTGCCAAAAATTCTCTCTTATCTTCTTCTTCATGATCATAGTAAGCATAGTTATTTTAAAGTCTGTGTCTAATAACTTCAGTATCTGGAGTCCCTGTAGATCTGTTTCTATTATCTTTACCTCACTAGTTCTCATTCATGTTTTCTTGTCTTTTTTTTTATTTGATGATGATGGTGATGATCATAATGATGATGATGACTGTGAGCTAGGCTTTGTATTTGAAAAATGATTTTTGGGAATAATTTGTGAACTAAGATGATGACTATCTTCTAGAAAGAATTTTCTTTTGCTTCTATAGGGAACATTAGCAATATGGCATTGCCTTAATCCCATTTCCATTGAGATTACTGAAACCTGGACTGTAGTCTTTGCCATAGATCTTTCTAAGTGCAGAAGTCTTACCAGGTGCCATTCAACCTTGGAAGACAATGGACAACAACTTTATTCTCTTACTGCTGGGAGTCTGCAGAAGGTACTGTTCAGCCTTTCAGCTTCTCAGTGTCTCTTCTAGAATTGCCAAAAGCTCCCAGAGGAAAAGCAGTCCTGAAATCCAGGCTCATCTCTCTGGGTTGCCAAACTCTCCTAGATCTTGGCCCAATAATTCTTCAGTACCTTGTTAATACTCTCCTGCCTTAGAGTGATTTTAAGACTGCTTTATCCAACTTATCTCATGGTACATAGTTTGGGAGATTAGTCTAAGTTACCTTGTTCTTCATTCCTGGAAGTGAAGTTTGAGATGGCATTATTTAATCATCACATACTCAGTATTGCATGAATTGCACTCATCTTGTAAGGAGACTTTCCTATATCCCCTCAATATATAGTTTAAACCACTGGATTTGGTATGTAGATTTAGAAGTAGTAAGATCTCCTGGACCAATCATTGGACTGCCTGTTAGAATACAAGCTTTTTTCTCTCCCTATCACTGACTGCACATGGCTCAAGCTGCAGTGGCCTTAGAGTTATAACATTTCAGTTTTACCATTTGTTCCCACCTATTTTTTTACTTAAGGGAGAAAACTCAGTAAAGCCTATGACAAGCCTAGAATTCGTGGCAGAGGAATTCTGTGCCTGATATAATTTATGGAAGAAGCCCTCTCTTTCCTTACTTTTGAAGACGTGCTCTGGATTGAGGCAAACAAACCTTGATTCTGTACCCTCCTTCTACTTCCAGAGTGCTGACAGGCATGATTAAGAATTTTATTAGCTAAAGTGGAGAAAAAGTGGAATTTCAAAGCTTCTACCTAGGCTTCATGTAGCTAGGATGGACATAAAGAGTGCATGACTGTTTGTGAAGGTAATGGAACAGCTCCCATTTCTTAGGTCTGGTGGACATGTTCTATAAGCAGAAGAATTCGTAAAAAAGAAAAATAGAAATTTCTCTGCCTATATTTCTGTATTAGGGACTGGGAAACTCTTGATCAATATGTCATTTTAAGAAAATATTTCTTACTCTGAATATGAGTTTAGGTTCCACTATCTTTGAGAACTGTATGATATCCATGGAAGTTATATGTATTCTGTCCAAGTCTAAAGTCTCACTGGTGCCAAGACTTTGAAAGAGACTAAACCTGCAGCACCAGTGCCTACCCTGGCTTTCCCCACAGAAGACCCCTACAGTGTTACTGCAGGATGTGTCACTCAGGTGGTCGGATTCTAGTTCAGAGATTATTGTATCCCATGAATTGCACTGGTGGGTGGCAAAACAGCTCCCAGACAAAACAAACATTTTGTTTCATGTTTCAAACACTTTTTTTTTCTTTTGAGACTTAATTTCGCTCTTATTGCCCAGGCTGGAGTGCAATGGCATGATCTTGGCTCACTGCAACGTCTGCCCCCCAGGTTTAAGCGATTCTCTTGCCTCAGCCTCCCAAGAAGTTGGGATTACAGGCTTGTGCCACCACGCCCAGCTAATTTTGTATTTTTAGTAGAGACGGGGTTTCTCCATGTTGGTCAGGCTGGTCTGGAACGCCTGACCTCAGGTGATCCACCCGCCTTTGCCTGCCAAAGTGTTGGGATTGCAGGTGTGAGCCACCATGCCCGGCCTCAAACACTTTTAGGAAAAACAAAATGTTTTTCCTAAAGAGAAACAGAGATAAAAGGATTGAGGTGAGTCTATGTCTAAAGAAAGAAGGAAAGAAAAATCCCTTAAGGCAAGGAAGCTCAGCTTGGAAGAGTTTATCCTATTTTCTCTTTTCCTGATTCCCTTCAGTTCTGGAAACCTTCATATTTCATATTCAGTTTGAAACACTTTTCCTTACATTATTTCTTTTCTATTTATCTCTATACTTTCAGTAACATCCACTATATAAACGACAGCCTTATTGTTGGCAATGTATGTGTGCTGAGGGGAATTAAAGAGGTCAAGGGAAGTGGGGTCTGCCCCGGGACTATCCCTCCTCTGAGGGCACCATAACAGCAGCAGCAGCAGCACTGTGTCAAATGGGGACAGCATGACGATCAGCAGAAAAACTAACAAGCCCTGACCTCCTTCTACCCCCACTGTCCCCCATAGACTAGAGGAAGATGCTCTTTGAAAAGAGAGAACAGATGCTGTGTTACACTGAAGGCTTGCTCAGAAATACCCACGTTTATTGAACCTTCATGTTTGGGCTGGATAAAGGGTGGGAGGATCTGACAGAGCCAGGATTAGGGAGAGGCAACTAAGGTGAGTTGTGCAAGCACGTGGCCCAGTCCTGCCTCTATTTAAAATTTTGTCACTGTTTTCACCATCAATTTTTTTGCATTAATTTTGAGTTTTTAAAATCTTGCATGGACATTTTATTTATCTTGATGACTGAGGTTGTTCTTCTGTTGTCTACTTAAATTTGGGGCACTAGGCAAAGGCCTCACTTGCTTCACTCTAGTCATGGCCCTGCCTCTCTCTCACACACACACACACACAACTGGTACCCCATTCTCCATCTCTACAAAACACATCCCAGTTTTTTTGAGCTCCTCATACTTTGCTACCAAGAGTGTCTGCTGCTTACAATGCCATTTTCTCTTCTCCACTCATTCGCTTATCAAACTCCTCAGTTAACTTTCAAGACTTGAACATCAGCATCAATGATCTCCCTAGAAAGAAAGAATCCCTGTTTCCCCTGTGTTATTTCTTCGCCCTGAATATACCTCTTTCACTGTACTCATCCCGCCAGACTTTAATGATCAATTTATGTGTCCACCTCTCCTACTAGAGTGATTGGTCTTTGAGGGCAGGCATCTTGCCATCTTGATGTCTTTCTATTTCCAGTAGCTGGCATGGAGTAGGTGCTCAAGAAAACACACAGTCAACGCAGAATAAAGACAAGGCATTGTCCCCATTTTATGGAAAAGGAAATAAAGTTCAGAGGGTTGGGATGGTTTGTTCAAGGTCACACTGGGTCAGCCGAGGCTTGAAGCCAGGTCTTCAGTTGCCTGCAGCCAGTGCTGCTTGCACTATGCAGAATAAATGGTGCTCTTTGTAGAGGGCCAAGCCTCTCCATTTTGGGGAAAGCCAACATCCCTGCCAACCACTGTAGCTGTCTGCCCAGGTCTTGCACCCAGCCCTGGCCCACCCTGGGCAGTGCTCCAAGGCCTCTCTCTTCATCCTCCTCCCTCCAAGGAGACTGACTCATCTGGATTCCAAGCAAAGTTCCTGGACTCTGGTCCTACTGGAGCTGGCCACCAACACACCCTCTGATTACCGTGGCAGAGTTTCCTGGGATAAAAGGCATCTCCTCATCTCCAGAGTGGAGAGCCAAGCCTGGCCCACAGCCTGGGAATGAATGCCCAATGTACCAAGGTGTTGCCCTCTGATGGAAGAGTGTGCAGCTTGAAATGGTTGCTCTTCACAAGACATTTTTCTGGAAAGCCTCAGGTCGTGAAAGGGAGCCGCTGAGGCAGTCAGAAAGAATTTTTTTTTTTTTTTTTTTGTTTTTTTCTCCCCCTTTTCTTTTTTTAACCTTCTGCTTCTGACTCTGCCAGTCTGTGTCTCTCTCTCACCCCTGGAGCTTTCTTTTCAATACTGGTCATTCGTGGAGTCGGCTCTGCCCTCTCCGCTTGTGACTGGTGGGAGAGCTGAGCCGCCTCCCTCTAATGAGGGGCCCTCCAGGCCGTGCTGCCCTCATTTTTGATACCTGTGGAGAGGATGTACAGGCAAGGGCCAACTGGATCAGAAAGGCCCCACTGAACAGACATCACAGCCAAGCTCAAAGAGTGCAGGAAGTAGAACAAAGAACAAAAACATTTACAGAAGTGCTACAGTGTAAGGGGAAAAAGTACTAGCAACTCTAACAAGGTCAATGGTGAGGGAAAAATTTTTTTTGAAAGGAATTGCTGAGGGAAAAAAAAAAAGAGAAACCTCAAAAAGGGGCCGAGGATTCCGAGTAGGTCCTGCTGGTTGGCTCCTGGGACGCCTTCCTTGATATCTTCCCATGAAGCACTGTTTCTACAAGACTTCAATACATTGGAAAAGTTTATGCAACGGGCCAGGAGGAGGGTTAGAAGTTGTGAGTCACCGTCACCAGCCCTGCGTGTGTTTGCTTCCTGTGGGACCACATAAATGGAGCTTTTCTGGTTCTTTGGCATGCGTCGAGGTGGGTTGGGGTGGGGGTGTCTGGCCAGCCTATTTTAAGGGAGCGTGGGGTACTAGGCCCCCATGGCTCCTAAGAATGGAACAAATGAGCTGACCTCGCCTTGTACTTGGTCCTCAACGTCAAAGACTAACAGGAGGAATTTAGGTACTAAGGCTTAAATTCCACGACTTGGGGCGTTTTCTTTTATTCTTTTTTTTTTTTGTGAGATGGAGTCTCCCTTTGTCGCCCAGGCTGGAGTGCGGTGGCGTGATCTTGGCTCACTGCAACCTCCGCCTCCCGGATTCAAGCTATTCTCCCACCTCAGCCTACTGAGTAGCTGGGACTACAGGCGCCCGCCACCCCACCTGGCTAGTTTTTGTATTTTTAGTAGAGACGGGGTTTCACCATGTTGGCCAGGCTGGTCTCGAACTCCTGACCTCAGGTGATCTGCCCGCCTTGATCTCCCAAAGTGCTGTGATTACTGGCATGAGCCACCGCACCTGGTTACTGGCTTTGCTTGGGGCAAGTTTTCTAAACACACGGTACTTCAGTTTTTTTACCTGTAAAATGGATGAAATATGATCTCCTTTGCAGGGTTATTATGACACCCAGTTGGCATGCCAAAGAGCATATTTAAACATAGAAAACATATCTAAACCTAGAAAAGGTGCAGTAAAAATACAATATAAAAGATACAAAATGGTGCACTTGTACAGGGCACTTAGCAGGAATGCAGCTTGCAGGACTAAAAGTTGCTCTGGGAGAGTCAGTGAATGAGTGGTGAGTGAACATGAAGGCCTAGGATGTTACTGCCCACTACTGTAGACTTTATAATACTCTACACTTAGGATACATGGCTATAATTATTTTCATAGCTCCATACATACATAGCTCCATACATCCCAGCACTTTGGGAGGCCAAGGCTGGTAGATCACCTGAGGTCAGGAGTTCGAGACCAGCCTGACCAACATGGAGAAACCTCTTAACTCGTTTTTGTTATCATTATTTATCACCAATAATGGGAATTTTAAAATAGAACTTTCCAAATCTTGGGCTTGTTACCTAAAAGAATGGGCTCTTATAAAACCTCTTTCCCAGGAGATTTTTTTTTTTAATTTTATTTTAAGCTCTGGCATACATGTGTAGATCATGCAGGTTTGTTATATAGATACACATGTGCCATGGTGGTTTGCTGCATCTATCAACCCATCATTTAGGTTGTTTTTTTTTTTTTTTTGAGATGGAGTTTCGCTCTTGTTGCCCAGGCTGGAGTGCAATGGTGCGATCTCGGCTCACTGCAACCTCCTCCTCCCGAGTTCAAGCAATTCTCCTGCCTCAGCCTCCCGAGTAGCTGGGATTACAGGCATGTGCCACCACACCTGGCTAATTTTGTATTTTTAGTAGAGATGCGGTTTCTCCATGTTGGTCAGGCTAGTCTCGAACTCCTGACCTCAGGTGATCCACCAGCCTTGGCCTCCCAAAGTGCTGGGATAACAGGCATGAGCCACCGTGCCCGGCCCCATCATCTAGGTTTTAAGCCCCTCATACATTAGGTATCTGTCTTAATGCTCTCCCTCCCCTTGACCCCCATCCCCCGACAGGCCCCGGTGTGTGATGTTCCCCTCCCTTCCCAGGAGATTTTTAATGAAATAGACAGCCATCAGTTCTCAGGTGTGTTGCTATATTTCATCTCATTTTGTGGATCACCTGTAGGCAAATGTTTAAATCTTTCTTCCTCTTGTGAACCAGCGAGTTTTAGGGTTGTTTCTCCTTGCCCTCTGTTATGTGGACTTTATCATGCAATTCATTTGAACATCATCCTACCAAAATATTTGGAAAGCAGGGCTGCCACATGAATAATTAAATAGAGTATGTATTTCCTTCACACATACTATATAATGTACTGAATTTAAACTTACTTATTGTTTATTGTTGGTTGTCCCTGTCCACCTACCAGAATATAAGTCCACAAGGGCAGGAAGTTTTTTAAAATACAGTTTTTTATTTTCGAAGAGTTTTAGATTTACAGAAAAGTTGCAAAGATAATAGAGTTTCCATGCACCCCACATCCAGTTTCTCCCATTGTTAATTTCTTACATTATTATGGTACATTTGTCACAGCTAAAGAAATGACAGCGGGGCCAGGCGCCATGGCTCCCGCCTGTAATCCCAGCACCTTGGGAGGCCGAGGCAGGTGGATTATTTGAGGTCAGGAGTTCAAGACCAGCCTGGCCAACATGGTGAAACCCTGTCTCTACTAAAAATGTAAAAATTAGCCAGGCCTGATGGTGCATGCCTGTAATCTCAGCTACTCGGGAGGCTGACGCATGAGAATCACTTGAACCAGGGAGGCGGAGGTTGCAGTGAGCTGAGATCACACTACTGCACTCCAGCCTGGGCAACAGAGGAAGACTCTGTCAAAAAAAAAAAAAAAAAAAAAAAAAAAAGGAGAAGAAAGAAAGAAAAGGAAATGATATGAGTGCATTACTATTAACTAACCTGCAGACGTTATTCGGACTTCGCTAATTCTTCCTCATGTCCTTTTTCTCTTTCAGGGTCCCTTCCAGGATCTTACATTGCTTTTAATTGTCATATGTCCTTGGGTTCCTGTGATATGTGAGAGTTTCTCAGACTTTCCTTGTTTTTGGTAATGACAGTTTTCAGGAGCACTGGCCAGGTATTTTGAAGAATGTCCTTCAGGAGGGAGTTTATCTGATGTTTTTCTCATGGTTAGGAGTTACGGGTTTTTGGAAGGAAGAGCATAGAGGTAAAGTGTTACTCTCATCCTTTATAGCAAAGATCATATTATCAACACAACTTATCACTGAGGATGTTAACCTTGATCCACTGGCTGAGGTAATGTTTGCCAGGTTTTGCCACCGTAAAGTTACATTTCCCCTCCCGCTTTTCTATAGCTTACTCTTTGGAAGCAAGTCAGTAAGCACAGCCAATGTAGGCTGAATGTGTTCTCCCAAAATTTATATTTTGAAGTCCTCACCTCCAGTATCTCAGAATGTGACCATATTTGAGATAAAGTTTACAAAGAGGTAATTAAGTTAAAGGACGTCTTTAAGATGTGTGCTAATCCAATATGACTGGTGTTATTTTAAGAAGAAATTTGAACCTGATATGCATGTGCACAGAGAAAAGACCACGTGAAGACACAAGAAGACGATGGCAATCTGCAAGTCAAGGTGAGGGGCCTCAGAAGAAACCAAACCTACTGACATTTTGATATTGGACTTCCAGACTCCAGAACTATGAGAAAAGAAATCTCTGTTGTTTAAGCCATTCAGATTATGGGATTTTGTTGTGGCAGCCCCAGAAATACAATAGCCCATACTCACTGATGGTGGAGCACCTACATAAATTATTAAAATTATTATTATTTATTTATAGGATCAGGGATACATGTGCAGGTTGGTTACACAGGTAAATTGCATGTCACAGGGGTTTGATGTGCAGATTATTTCATCACCCGGGTAATAAGCATAACACCTGATAGGCAGTTGTTTTATCCTCTCCCTTCTCCCACCCTCCACCCTCAAGTAGGCTCCCATGTCTATTGTTAACTTATTTGTGTCACTGTGTACTCAATGTTTAGTTCCCACTTACAAGTGACAACTCATGTGGTATTTGGTTTTCTGTTCCTGCATTATTTTGCTTAGGGTAATGGCCTCCGGGTCCATCCTCATTGCTGCAAAGGACGTGATCTCATCCTTTTTTATGGCTGCACAGTATTCCACAGTGTATATGTACCACATTTTCTTTATTCAGTCTACCATTGATGGGCATGTAGGTTGATTCCATGTCTTTGCTATTGTGAATAGTGCTATGATGAACATATGTATGATTGTGTCTTTATGGTCGAACAATTTATATTCCTTTGGGGTATATACCCCACAATGAGATTACTGGGTTGAATAGTAATTCTGTTTTAAGTTCTTTGAAAAATCCCCACATTGCTTTCCACAGTGGCTGAACTAATTTATATTCTCACCAGCAGTGTGTAAGCATTCCTTTTTCTCTGTAATGTTGCCAGCATTTGTTAGTTTTTGGCTTTTTATAATAGCCATTCTGACTGGTGTGAGATGATATCTCACTGTGGTCTTGATTTGCATTTCTCTAATGATTAGAGATGTTGAGCATTTTTCGTATGCTTGTTAGTCACATATATGTCTTATTTTGAAAGGTGCCTGTTCACGTCCTTTACCCACTTTTTGATGGGATTGTTTTTTGCTTGTTAATTTGTTTAAGTTCCTTATAGAGTCTGGATATTAGACCTTTGTCAGATGCATCATTTGCAAATATTTCCTCCCATTCTGTAGGTGTCTGTTTATTGATAGTTTTTTTTTGGTTTATTTGTTTTGTTTTTGTTTTTTGCTGTGCAGAGACTCTTTAATTAGGTCCACTTTTTCAATTTTAGTCAATTGCTTTTGGCATCTTTGTCATGAAATCTTTGTCAGGGTCTATGTCCAGAATGATATTTCCTAAGTTGTCTTCCAGAATTTTTATAGTTTTAGGTTTTATATTTAAGTCTTTAAGCCATCTTGAGTTGCTTTTTGTATTTGGTGTAAGGAAGGGGTCCAGTTTCAATCTTCTGCATATGGCTAGTGAGTTATCCCAGCACCACTTATTGAATAGGGAGAACTTTTCCCATTGCTTGTTTGTTTTTTGTTTTTTATTTATTTTGTTGATGGTTGCAGATGTGCAACTTTATTTCTGGGCTCATTATGCTGTTCCATTGGTGTATGTCTCTGTTTTTATACCAGTACCATGCAGTTTTGGTTACTGTAGCTTTGTAGTATAGTTTGAGGTCAAGTAACATGATGCCTCCAGTTTTGTTCCTTTTATTTAGGATTGCTTTGGTTATTCAGGTTCTTTTTTGGTTTCATATGAATTTTAAAATAATTTTTTTCTAACTCTGTGAATAAAGTCATGGTAGCTTAATAGGAATATTATTGAATTTATAAATTGCTCTGGGCAATATAGCCATTTTAACAATATTGGTTTTTCCTGTCTATGAGCAGGGACTCTTTCTTCATTTGTTTGTATCGTCTCTGATTTCTTTGAGCAGTGCCCCCATTCAATTATTTATGCAATCATTTTTATATCAGTATTGACTCATGAATATTTATTTTATACCCTAGATTATAACCCAATACTGTTATTTATCTTGTTACTCAGTTCTGGCTATTGGGATCCCTTTTTGGTTGGCACCTATGTTATTGATATGCCCCCATGGTTTTGTTCCTTGAGCACTTTCCTACTTTCTAACACTATAAGATGCTACAAGCTCATCTTGTATATTCTGTGCCCAAAGCCCAGAAACAGCCATTTCTCCAAGGAGTCCTGGTTCTTTGTATTAGAGAATGGTATTAGAAACCATGATCTGGGCTCCAGATGTGATTATTGACACTGAGTTGTTATTGCTCACAGGCCCATTGAGACAGAATTTTTTTCTGTTCTGTGTATCTCAAGCACTACAATACCAGTCACATAGCAGTTGCTCAACATGTATTTGCTGAATAAATTAATGACTAAATAATGTTCAAAACAACTCTGTAAAACTGGCATTTTATTATTATCATTTTATAAATAAAGTAACAGGGTCAGGGGGAAACTTGCTAGTCATACAGGTAGAAATGGCAGAGCAGGGATTTAAAACTTGTCGGACTTCAAAGCCATTGATGTTTTATTATCTGCCAATTTGAACTACCTGCTTGACTGTTCTGTTTGTTTAATATGGTCATCTGAAGATATTTTTACAACAGTGTAACTCTTCATCTTTTCGGAGTGGTGTAGCCTAGCAGGATGAAAGAGCTTGGATGGTAAGATCAGACAGACCTGGATGAAATCTGAACCCTATCTCTTAGTAGCTGTGTGATCCTAAGCAAGTTGACTTATTAGTATCTTCTTTTTGCCTCAATTTCCTTAACTATAATATGTAGACAGTAACAGTATCTGCCTTAAATAATTGTTGAAATATGAAAAATAATATCTATGATCTAAAGACTCTCCCTTTCCCCACCAAAGATATTTGCTACTCATCACATACTTCTAAGAGGCAAACACTGTGACTTCCCTAAGTCTAAAGAAAGCTTTTGTTTCCCACTACTGGATACAAGGAAAGAAGACACATGCATAAACAGGACAAAAAAATTTAAGGAAATAGGGTTTAGCCTAACTAACTCCAAAGGCTATAATTCTCCATGGCAGTGGATCCCAACCTGTTAGTTGCAGACATCTAGGGGTGGTGGGGTTACTTCAACTTATGCATATTTGCAGGAGCACCAGGCACTATGGATAGGCTATATAAATACTATGTCTTGTACATACATTCCATCCTGTGTTTTCAATTATAGGTAGATGATATTATGGTTAATCAAATGTAATTCTCTTTTAAAAAAAAGTGTAGAATTTGTGGTATAGCAGACTGTTAATAAGTAGTAGTTATTGTTATTTTACTTAGTGGCAGGAAGTTAACTAGATTTATTTATCACAGTCCCTTATAGCCCTGGATGCCCGACTCTGGCTCAACATGCAATTTGTACCCAAGTAATCAGCTTTAAAAATTATACTAATAGTTTGAATAGGTTTTATGTAGAGTCTTTAAGAATTTTCTACATGGAAAATTGTATCTTTGCCAATACTATTTGTTCTCTTTCAACCTTACCTCTCATTTGTTTTTCTTGTCTTATTTCATTGGCTAGGATCTCCTGTGCAATGTTGAGTAGACACAGTGATAGGGACCGTATTTATATCATTTCTGACTTTAAAGGGAAGCTTGTAATGTTTCTACATTAGGTATGAAATTTATTAAAGTTATTGGATGAGGGAGTTCCCTTATATTACTGATTTGTTGGGTGGTAAATTTATTGAATATTTTATGTTACATTTGCTAAGATGATAATATGGTTGTCATTTAAAAATCTGTTAATGTGCTAAATCACATACCTAGATTTTCTTTTCTTTTTTTCTTTTTTTATTTGTTTGTTTGAGACAGAGTCTCACTCTGTTGCCCAGGCTGGAGTGCAATGGCACAGTCTCAGCTTGCTGCAACTTCTGTCTCCCATGTTCAAGTAATTCTCATGCCTTGGCCTCCCAAGTAGCTAGGACTACAGGTGCACACCACCACACCCGGCTAATATTTTGTATTTTTAGTAAAGACAGGATTTCACCATGTTGGCCAGGCTGGTCTTGAACTCCTGATCTCAAGAGATCTGCCCACCTTGGCCTCCCAAAGTGCTGGGATTATAGGTGTGAGCCACCATGCCCGGCCACACATACCTACATTTTGTAATGTTAATTAGAAACATATTCCTAGGATACTTTCTATGGAAGTTAGGCT
This sequence comes from Homo sapiens, assembly GCF_000001405.40. Lineage (NCBI taxonomy): Eukaryota > Metazoa > Chordata > Mammalia > Primates > Hominidae > Homo > Homo sapiens. Next base: position 65,338,046 of record NC_000017.11, on the reverse strand, counting down.
TACAGCTTGGTCATATACATATATGAATATATATATATATATATATCTGAATTTGATATGCAGTATTTTTTTACTCTCCACAGCAATTCTTCTTTCCTCTTTTACATTTTAAGAAATGTCTTCCTAGAATCTTTTGAGGTATAGATGACATACAATAAATTGCACATATCAAAAATGTACAATATTTTAAGTCTTGCCATATGTATGCATCTGGAAAATCATCACTACAATCAAGATAATGAGTATATCCATCACTCTCAAAAGTTTTCTCACGCTTCTTCATATTTCATCCTTTCTTCCTCTCTGCCCCTTCCCCTCTTCTCGATGGTCCCCAGGCAATCATGATCAGCTTTCTGTCACCATAAATTAGTTTGCATTTTCTACAATTTTAGACACATAAGATAATTTAGTACTCTTTTTTGTTTGAATTTTCACTCCGCATAATGTAGGTATGTTGTAATGTGTATCAATGGTCCATTTCTTTTTATTGTTGAGTAGTATTCCACTCATTATGAGTTATGAGAACTACATAAATGTAGTTCAAGGACATTTATGTTGTTTTCAGCTTTGGGCTATTACAAATAAAGTTGCTTGGCATTTTGGGCTGGATGATTAAAAAAACAAATAAATTAAAATTAAAATTAAAAAAACAAATAAAGTTGCTGTAGACATTCATGCAAAAGCCATGCAGAACATATGGTGCCATTTCTTTTCAATAAATACCTAGGAGTAAAATGGTAGGATGACATGGTAGCTAAGTATTTAATTTTTTTAAAAAATGGAAGCCAAGCATGGTGGCTCATGCCTGTGATCCCAACACTTTGGGAGGCCAAGATGGGAGGATCGCTTGACTCCAGGAGTTTGAGATCAGCCTGGGCAACGTAATGAGACCCCATCTCTATTTAAAAAATTTTTTTTAAATAGCTGGGCATGGTGACACACACCTGTAGTCCCAGCTACTCAGGAGGCTGAGGTGGGAGGATCAATTGAGCCCAGAGGGTCAAGGCTGCAGGAAGCCTTTGTCTGCCACTGCATTCCAGCCTGGGTGACAGAGTGAGACACGCAAGGAAAGAAAGAAAAGAGAAAAGAAAAGAACGAAAGAGAGAGAGAGAAAGAGAGAAGAAAGGAAGGAAGGAGGGAGGGAAGGAAGGAAGGAAGGAAGGAAGGAAGGAAGGAAGGAAGGAAGGAAAGAAGGAAGGAAGGAAGGGCAAACTACTTTCCAAGGTACCATAGTGTGACATTTTACATTTTACACTTCCATCAGAAGTATATGAGAGTTACAGTTCCTCCACATCCTTGCCAATACTTGACATGGTCAGACATTTCCAATTTTAAACATTCCAATAGGTATGTTGTTGTATCTCTCTCTGCTTTTAATTTAAATTAATTGATGTTGAGGATCTTTTTATGTGCTTATTTGCCATCCATATATCCTCTTTGATAAAGCTTCTTTTCAAATCTTTTGACTATTTTTAATTAGGTTTTTTGTTTTTGTTTTCTTATTATTGAATTTTGAGCATTCTTTGCCTATTCTAGACATAAGTCTTTTATTAGATATATGCTTTACAAATATTTTATTTTAGTCTGTAGTTTGTCTTTTCATTCTCTTAAGTCTTTTTTAAAGAGCAGAAGTTTTAAATTTTGATGAAGTCCAATTTAATAATTTGTTCTTGTATGAATTATGATTTTGGTGTCATTTCTAAGAAACTTTTGCCTAACCCTCAGGTCACAAAAGTTCAGTTCCATTCAGACACTTTATAGTTTTAGGTATTAGCATTTAGGTCAATGATCCATTTAAAGTTAATTTGTTTTCACATGATATAAAGTATGGCTCAACATTTCTTTATTCATTTTTGATGTCCAAAGTTCACTTTTATTGATGACCAACTTTATTTCTTTTTATTGTCCATTTTTATTCATGTTCAATATTTTCCAGTATGTCCAATTCATTTTATCGATACTCAATTGTTCCAGCACCATATGTTGAGAAGACTCTTCTCTCTCCACTGAAGTGTGTTTACACTTTTGTTAAAAGTCAGTTGTTTAGATTCCAGGTATGCATGGGTCTATTTATGGACTCTCTATTCTGTTCTGTAGATCTGTTTGTCTTTATACCAATATCACACTGTCTTGATTACTGTAGCTTTACAGTAAGTTTTGAGGATGAGCTGTGAGTCCTGTGGGAGGCTGTGTGTATCTGTGAAGAAGAAATTCAAGTGCTAACTTAGAGAGGTGCCAAATGAGGCACTCTAACTAATGTAAGAAACATCACAGGGCCATGGTTAAGTGAGAGCTAGTAGGATCCTTACAATGTACAATTATTTCACTCCATTATTAACTAAGTGTTTACTACATTTTAGATTCTATGCTAGGCACTGGGGATAAAGTGAGTGTATAAAATCAGACAATACCCTTCTTCTCATTGTGTTTATACTTTAGGAAGAAAAAGAGGGGCTAATCAAATAATCCCACTAAAATGTGTAACTACAACCTAAAATAAATGTTGTAAAGGAAATGAATAGGCTTTTAGGATGGAAATAATACTTCCTTGTGAAAGTAATTGTTCACCTAATTCATGAATGGGAGTTTACTAGGAGAAGGAGGGGAAGGTAAGAGGATACTGTATCACAGACTGCTAGCTATACCTCAATACTTGGTATACCTATTGTTTCCTCGATGGTACTAGAGGATTTTTAACATATTTCAGTTTGAACTAAACTTTTGACACATTTTCAACAAATTTTAGTTGTGTATATGGTTGTTCAGAATGAAAACGATATTTCCCAGCCTCCTTTGAGGGAAGTGAGGCCATGTGATTAAATTCTGACAAATAGGATATAGGTGGAAGTCTGCGTGCAACTTCCGGGAAATGTCTTTATAAGGAGCCGACGTGCCTTTTGCCTTAACTTTTCAACTGTCTGCTAGCTGAACGTAGACATGATTGCCCAAACTGAGTAGCTATATTAGCCACAAGGTAGAAACTATGTGTTGAGAATAGTACAACAACAAGATAGAAGGAGCTTAGGTCCTTGATTGTTTTGAAACTGGTAGATCAGCTTTAGACTACCTATCTGGAGAGAAATTAACTCCTATATCATTTTACACACTGGTTGTTTTTTTTCTTTAAAGATTTTTCTCTCTATGCAGCTGAATTTAATCCTAACTATGCTAACTAAGTAATTTAATATTAACTAATTCCGTGCCCCAACTATGAGCACAAAGTCCCAATGGTGAGAAGGAATGAGATACACACAGGGAATGGAGGGATCAGTACAGCTGAAGTGCAGAGCCTAGCCCTTTCCTCTCTCATTTCATGGGCAAAGCAATCAGAGCCAGAGAAATAATTAACTTAGCTCCGACTGGAGTCATGGGGGCTGCTATCCAACCATAGCAGTCATTATTCAGAGCCTTTACAGTGTCTCCCACAGCGCTATACGCCTGACAGTTATTTGCTCCTTGAGTCCTCCCAGCAACATTGAGACATCATGTGCCACTTAACAATGATGACACATTATGAGAAATGCATCGTTAGGTGATTTCCTCATTATGTAAGCATCATAGAGTACTCTCACACAAATGTAGATGGTATAGCCTACCACACACCGAAGCTATATGGTATAGCGTATGGCTCCTAAGTTATAAATCTGTGTAACATGAGACTGTATGGAATACTGTAGGCAACAGTAACACAATGGTAAGTATTTGTATATCTAAACATCCAAAAGGTACAACAAAAATACAGTATGAAAGATTAAAAATGGTACACTTGGATAGGACATTTACCATGAGTGGAGCTGGCAGGACCGAAAGTTGCTCTGGGTGTCAGTGAGTGGTGAGTGAATGTGAGGGCCTAGGAGGTTACTGTACATGACTGTAGACTTATAAACACTGTACTCTTAGGCGACACTAAATATTTAAAAATTTCTTTCTTCAGTAATAAATTGACCTTAGCTTACTGTAGCTTGTGTTTAGCAGGTCTGAGAAGGAAAGAGACAATCTGAAGGATGATTATTCCTCATTTTATTATTGGTGAATCCAACCCCGAAGAGTAGCAATAGACAAAGGTAGCCTTTTTTTGATTTTGTTTTCTGGATTTTTTTCTTAAAATTAGTTGTAATGCTATGCATTTGAGGCCACCATGCTGCCAGCCTCCTGGACCTAAGGGATACATGTTTGGGATATAGATGTGAAGTGGGTAGGGAGGTTTGGGTACAAATTAAAATAATGCATTTCTGTGCATAATATACACAGAAGTAGGAAGACAGCACGAACACTTAACCATGAGCAGTGGCTTGCCCCTGCTTGCAGCTTTGCCTAGCATGGGAAAATGCTGGGATGTCAGAATGACCTGAACTCTCTGGGACATGCTGCTCTGAACATCAAGCAAAGCCAGGCAGGCTCAAGCATCTAGCCACTGAAGATTATTCCGGGTGGGGTAGAAATCTATCATCTAGGCAAGCAGCGTATCTTCTTTCTAGAATTATTTGCTCACTCACCTATGTACAATGTGGGAGCATGGATACCATATCAGACACTCTGTAGGCACTGAGGACATAAAACAAATAAGAAGAGTCTCAATAGGGCTTTGGGGAAGACAGACAGGTAAATGACATCATCACCATGCAGGGTGGTGAGAGTCATGAGGGCAACTCAGGGCCCTAAGGGACCTCTTGGAAAAGAAAAGCCTGTAAGATTTGCCAGATTGGGGAACTTCTATCGGATGCCATTGCAACAGCAAGTTTAGAGGCTTGTCTTTAAGGCCTTCTTGCTTGTCACTCCTTCCCCTGCTTGTTCAAGGGGGATGAGAAAGTGTGTGTATTATCATGTGGTCCACTCTTGGCTATCTGTGCCCAGATGAGGGGAGCAGAATTATAACCAGGGAATGTGACCCTCTGATATGGTCTAGCTCTATGTCCCCATCCAAATCTCATCTCAAATCGTAATCACCATTGTGTCAACAACCCACGTGTAGAGGGAGAGACCTGGTGATTGTATCATGGGGGCAGTTTCCCCCATGCTGTTCTCATGAAAATGAGTGAGTTATCATGGTTTTATAAGTGTTGGACAGTTCCTCCTTCACACACTCTCTCACCTGCCACCTTGTAAGATGTGCCTGCTTCCCCATCTGCCACGATTGTAAGTTTCCTGAGGCCTCCCCAGCCATGGGGAACTGTGAGTCAATTAAACCTCTTTGCTTTATAAATTTTCCAGTCTCAGGCATTTCTTTATAGCAGTGTGAAAACAGACTAATACACCCTCCAAATCTGCTGTATTTGACTATGGCAGGTATTTTGGAATTCAGGAAGTCTGATCTGCTCCCCTTACTCCTGCTGTCTACCTTATCTCAGGTGGAGGCTGTAACCTGATACAAAGTTCCTCACACATAACAACAGAAACTCTCTGACTTGGAAAATGGGCTGGAACCAGGGCCACTCTTGCAGTGGGAATGCAGTGGGTGGAGAGAAGTAGCAGGCAGTTATGAAAATGCCTCTGTTGGAAAGAATTTGCTGCAACCACTGTGTCTTTAGGTGACTCAGCTCAAGAGTCACATCCTAGGATTGGCCTGGTTTATGTCATGTGGCCACACATTGGCCTCGATGAGAGAAATAATCTGCCACAAAGAAATGGGGCTGCTTTCCCAAAAGTAGGGGGCAAAGATTATGGACAGCTAAAGCAATCATCACCAGGAGGCTCTGGGCAAGTCACTCCCTTTCCTCAGTTTCCTACCCATATAATAAGGACAATAATATCGTTTATTTCATGGGGTAGGAAGAGGTTAACGGTAACAAATGAGTGACATGCTTAGAACAAGTTTGGTATGCAGTCAGTGTGTTCATTTCTATTGTTGTAATACATCACTATAGACATAATGGCTTGAAAACCCACACATTTATTAACTTACTGTTCCGGAGGTCAAATGCCCTAAAATAAAAGCACAACAGGTCTGTGTTCTTTCTGGAAGCTCTGCAGGAAAATCCATTTTTGTGTCTTTTTCAGCATCTAGAGGCCACCTGCATTCCTTGGTGCATGGGCTCTTCCTTGCATTTCTCTGACCTCTGTTTCTATTATCATATCACCTCCTTTGATTCTGACCCTCCCGTCTCCCTCTTATAAAGATTCTTGATTACAGTGCATCCCCCAAGATTATCCAGGAAAATCTCTGCATCTTAAAATCCTTAACTCAAACACATCTGCAAAGTTCTTTTTGCCGTATAAGGTAACATATTCACTAGTTCCAAGTATTAGGATGTGAACATATTTGGAGGGCATTATTCCACCTAACTTGTAAGTATTCAGTGAAGACAAAAACTGTATTGATTGCTTTTGTGGTTTAGATTGATGCAAGGTGCAGCCCTAGGATTTCCCCTTTCTGAAAACTTCTCTTGCACAAGAGACAAGAAGGTTTCCAATGGCCTCTTTTAGAAAAGCAGTATGGAAAGTAGAATTAAATATAAAATTCTAACATCAGTAAAGCTAGTGATTGAGCTAATAGTGTTGCTGGATGTCAGCACAGTCCAAGGTAAGATTTGCTGCAGTCAAAATGTAACCCAGTTGTACACCCATGTCATGGCAACCTTATCCACAATAGCCAAAACCTGGAAGTAACCCAAGTGTCCATCAACAGACAGATGAATGGATAAACAAAATATGGTACATACATAGAGTGGAATATGATGCATCCTTAGAAAGGAAGGAGATTCTGACACATGCTACAACATGGCTGAACCTTGAGGACATTATGCTAAGTGAATAAGCCAGACCCAAAAGGACAAACATTGTATAATCCCAATTATGTGAGGTCCCTAGAATAGTCAAATTCATATAGAGAGTGAATGGTGGTTGCCTGGGGCTGGGGGAGTAGGGAATGGGAAATTAGTGTGTTTTGGTTACAGAGTTTTAGTTTAGGAAGATGAAGGGTTCTGGAGATGGACAGGGGTGATGGCTGCTTAATGATGTGAATTTATTAAACACCTCTCTATAATTAAACATGGTTAAAATAGTAAATTTTGTGTTGTGTGCATTGTACCACAATTTCTAAAAATTAACTAAAGGAAAGAAAGAAAACAAACATGGATAATTCTGCTCTGGATAATGGAGAGCCGAACTCACTCTTAAAGGAGGGTTGTTCACCAAGCAGAGCTGAGGAGAGTGGTCCAGGCAGAGGGATCAGCAGAGGCAAAGGTGGGTGTCTGATTGAGACCTCATTCGGAGGTTGGTGTGGTCACCAGAAGTGGGAATGGAGCTGTGGGGTGGCCAGTCGGGGAGTAAGAGAGTGGAGGGAGGCTGGGGGTGGCTCCTGGGCTCTGTCCCCTTCCCAGATGCGCAGCTCTAAGGCTCTCACTGTGTCAGCCTACGGTGGGCTGAGGATGTCAGAGTCACTTGGTCACTCTTCCCAGAGTCAGTCCGTCCCATTCCCACCCAGGATCAAAGCGAGCTTCCCTCCACAGGAACCCTTTGTTTATTTCCTCGATTTCCTGGTGACCTAGTTTCCAGTCCCTGCTCTGTATTCCTACTCTCCCAATACCCCTTCATCCCACTCCTGCTGGGCTGGAAGGAAAAGACTCTGACCTTCCAGCCCAGATGGTGGCCCCTAGGCTGCTCCCAGCTCCCCGTGCCTGTGGGAGCCTGGCGAGGCCTCCGGTCCCTATCAGGTCTTGCCCTGTGACTGCAGGAGATTCTCCAAGGACCAGTAGGCACGACTGTCCCTTTGTTCTTCCAGCCCCCAGGAGCAGAATTTCTCCCAGAGCCTGAGGAGTCAGCCACAAGCCCTGTCTTCAGCCTTTCAAAAAAAAAAAAAAAACCTCATTTTTTTCTAATTATAAGCACTGTACACATGTTCATTGTAGAAATCTGGACATTACAGAACATCAAAAAATTATTTTAAAAATTATTCATCATACTCTCCTGGGGAGGTGAACTCTTAGCATTTTATGTATACTCTCCCTCTCTCAATCGACTTACCTCTAAGTTTATGTGAGGATGTATTTTATTTTATTTTTTACATAAGACTTAATACCTGGAAGGATTTATTTTGTTATCCATACATTTATACATACAACTATATCATACTTATTAATAATATAAGTAACAACAAATATTACGTGATGTAATATTTGTTCAAGTGTGCATGTTTTTCTTTTTCAGTTAACAGTATCTAACAAACATTTTTCTTATCATGGACTCTTCTAAAATATCCATTTAAATGACTATAATATTCCATCATATTGTTCAGTTTCTTAAACTGGGGTCCACAGTCCCTGGAGGATTTATAGGGATTCATAAGTTCACTCTGGACATTTTTTTAATTCTTATTTTTTTGGGAGGTCAAGGCAGGTGGATCACCTGAGGTCAGGAGCTCAATACCAGCCTGGCAAACATGGTGAAGCTCCATCTCTACTAAAAATACAAAATTAGCCAGGCATGGTGGTGCATGCCTGTAATCCCAGCTACTTGGGAGGCTGAGGCAGGAGAATCACTTGAACCCGGGAGGCAGAGGTTGCAGTGAGCCGAGATCACACCGCTGCACTCCAGCCTGGGCAACAAGAGTGAAACTCCATTTCAAAAAAAATAAATAAAAATAACTTCTCATTTTTTAAAGATATAAGTAGGAATTACCAGGAGAAAGAATTAGGGAAGAGCCTCCAGAGAAGGTAGAGAGCCCATGCAATAGTGTTGATGTATGAAGGAACAGGTATCAGATATTTAGGATGGTCTGTTGGGGGCACAGGGGAAAGGACCTTGCCTGATGGGGACTGGTGGAAAATGAGTTTATTTTGGTAGAACGGGAGCCATGTCAGGCTTTCCACTTCCTTCCTGCTGCATTGACAGGTATTGAGGCATTTTGTGGCAGGACATGGGCCATTTGCCTCTTTTCAATAGCACTGACCAGTAAGTCTTGTAAGACCTTGTCATATTTATTCATTCATTTTTTATTCATTCATTCATTCACCAAGAATTTGTGGAGAATGTATCAGCTGTTACTGTGCGATAGATTACCCCCAAAATTTAGCAACAACGATAAACTTGTATTATCTTTTATAATTTCTACAGCTCAGGAATTCAAGAGCAGCTTAGCTGGGTGGTCCCAGCTCAGGGTCCTCCCTGAGACTGTAGTCAAGAGGTCAGCTGGGGTTACAGTTGTCTGAAGGCTTGATTCAGCCTGGAGGATCTGCTTCCAAGTGGCTCATTCACTCACATGTTGGCAGGAGACTTTGGTTCCTTGTCATGTGACCTCTCCATAGGGTTCCTTGAGCACCCTCACACCATGGCAACTGGCTTCTCCTACAGCAAGTGATTTAAGAAAGAGCAATGAGGAAGCTGCAATATGTTTTACAACCTTGGCTAAGTAGTCACTATCATTTCTGCAATATCATGTTCACTCATGGGCCAGCCTTATTCAGGTTGGCCCTACTCAGTGTGGGAGGGGTTTGCACTGGGTGTGAGCCTCAGAAAACAAGAATGATTGGGGACCATCTTGGAGGCTGGCTATCACAGAGTGGTGAGCAAGGCCAAGTACTAAGGACAGAAATTGAATTAGATGTTCTTGCACTCAGGAAAATTACTGTGCCATTGATGTGCACAATTGGAGCTCCAGTTGGAGGTCCAGTTGGAGATCACCTTAAAGGTACAGACAAATGCTCCAATTGGAGGTCACCTTAAAGGTACAGACAAAAAGGGTTGGTCTCAGCCTAAAGGCCTTCTCTGCTCACTGTGAGCCAGCATCACTGCACTGCCAACAAAGGCTCATGAGCAGAACCCTCTTGAGCAAAACCAAGGACCAGACTCATGGTCTGCAACAAATTTGGTTCCATTTTGTTCAACCACAGGACAGTCAGTATGAAGTGATATGAAGTAAAAGAGGACCAGGAGGTCAGGCCCTAGCTCAGATTCCCTGCCTAACCTAGAGGTCATCTCACTTCCTGTTCTGACAGGTGCTTTTAACACTTCCTAGAGCAGCCTTAGGCCTACATGAGCATAGGAAAAGACTCTGGACTCCAAAGATTCTCTTCCTTCTTTGGCAACAGTAACATGTACGTTTCCTCCCATCATTGGAAGACAATTGATCTCCCGTGCTTTGTTTTGAGTTAGGCTTAAGGGCGCAGGTTCTTTCCTTGGTTCCTTGGTTCTTTCCTTCCTTCCTTCCTTCCTTCCTTTGTTCCTTGGTTTCTTGGTTTCTTTCTTTCTTTCTTGGTTTCTCTCTCTCTCTCTCTCTTTCTTTCTTTCACAGGGTCTTACTCTGTTGCCAAGGCTGGAATGCAGTGGCATGATCACAGCTTACTGCATCCTTGACCCCCTGGGCTCAAGCGATCCTCCCACCTCTACTTCCCTAATAGCTGGGACTACAGGCATAAGACACTACATCCAATTAATTTTTATTCTTTTTTTTTTTTAGAGATGGGGTCTCCCTATGTTGCCCGGGCTGGTCTAAAACTACTGGCCTCAAGCCATCCTCCAACCTTGGCCTCCCAAAGTGCTGGGATTACTGGCATAAGCTACCACACCTGGCCCAGGTTTCTCCTGTTTCAGAACTTGGGAGTGGAAAAAGGTCGCATAACTTTTGAGAAAATCACGACTATCAAAGTATGAAATCACTGAACTTCAGTAAGACAGAAGGGAAAGGCAACAGAGAGAACCAAGGTCTCTGCTGATGTGCAAGGAGCCAAACCCTGTGGATGCCACCTCAGCTCTATTACCAGGAAGCCTTGCCCCAACAGAATAACATCCAAACCTCCAAGAGAAAGCTTCTACCTGGTGGACCTTGGTGTGATGACACATGGACTCTCCAGTTAGCATTGCTCCATCACCCTTTCTGGCCACTGGTGGGTGGAAGGTGAAGGGGGCTCACTGAACTGTGATGGTGCCCCAGCATGGAGTGACCCCATCCTTGTGGGCAGTTGCTGTCTTCATCTCCACACAGTAGTGTCTCAGCAATATTTCCCAGGAGATCAAGGGATGAGATTGGCATGGCAATGAGTTCAGGCAGAGTCTGTGCCCATGGAATGAGTTCAGGTCCAATCTGGCAGATGGGTGGAACTTGGCAGCCTCTACCTCCCTCATCATGCCAGTTGGACTTCAGAGAAGAGAAACAACTATGAAGGGGATTTGGAAATTGGCTTCCACAGATGAACTGAGAAGGCTCCAGTTTCTCCCCAGGGACCCTACTAGACCTGCATTTTGGCAAGAAAATGCCAAAGGAACCACAGAAAGTAGAGGTCTATAATACGGAAAGAATATATATGAAACGTGAGTCTCAAAACCAATCCACCTGGAGGGAAAATACATGGAAACCAGAATGAATGTATTTGAAGACCCATCTCTGAGGCTCTTGAGGGTTCTGTGTCTGAAAACCATTATCATGACCACCAAGACCATTTTTAATGCCACCACAACGGGGATAATTTTGAGCATGAATGTGATTGCAAGGTCAAGTTTTCTATGGAATGTCCAAACTGAGTCATGAGGATTATGAAAAAAGCTTGGGTCAGGAGACCTGGTTCAGGTTCTGTTTCTGTCACTTACCAGCTATCTGACCCTAGACAAGACACTTTTCCTTCCTGAGAATCAAATTCCTAATTTATGCTACAAAGAGGTTGAACCGTTCATCCATGAGGTTTCTGGTTTAAGGACTCAAGGAGACATTGTTCTAGAACTGTAGCTCAATTGGTGATATACAATTAAGCTAATTGGAAGACAATTATAAGGGGACCCAGAAATTCCACAACCTTACTGAAAATTCAGTGGAACATTCAGTCCCCTTATCCTCCCGCAGGACTGATGTGTCGTCTTCAGCTGATTCTAATTTGCATGATTTATTCTTTTGAGACTATGGTTTGCAATGATGCTCATACTTAGATTTCTTCTAAATCCACACTGTCATTGCCCTTCCCTCTCCCATAAGTTTCTTGTCTCTTATTTTATTTTATTTTATTTTATTTTATTTTATTTTATTTTATTTTATTTTATTTTTGAGACAGGGTTTCACTCTGTCATCCAGGCTGCAGTGGCATGATCAACCTCTTTCTCCCAGGTCCAAACAGTCCTACCACCTCAGCCTCCCAAGTAGCTGGGACTATATGAACACATCATCACACCTGGCTAATTTTTGTATTTTTGTAAAGATAGGGTTTCACCATGTTGCCCAGTCTGGTCTCAAACTCCTGGACCCAAACCATCCACCTGTCTCGGCCTCCCAAAGTGCTGGGATTACAGGCATGAGCCACCATGCCCGGCCTCCCTCCCCCATAAGTTTCTTTGATGTGCTATTCCCTACCAGCCCTGTCTGTCACAGGTCTATTGTGTGGCTGTTTATTTTCAGCAATTACTAGGAAAGCCCTCCACCCCACCTGGACTCTTTCTGCATTCCATCTCAGGTGTGTCCATCATTGCTGTGATGGCCACCCATTCCCTCCACCCTATCCCTGGCCAAAGGTTACCCATCGACTGCTTTCACATTTCTAACTTTAGGGGTGGGGTTAGGGAGCTAACTTCATCCGGGGCAGCCCTTCCCCTAACCAGACACATGTTTGAAGGGTATGGGAACACTGAACTGAGCTCTGGTTCTCTGTACCATTTCTGCCTTGGCACTTGGGTCCTCATCCATAAGACAATTCTCCAAAATGTTGAAACCCAGCATTTATGTATCTCTGAGGCTTCCCTTCTCCAAGGGAAGGAGACTTGGCATCTTTAGCTGTCCTTCATTTGAATACTTTTTAATCTCTTCACCCTCCTGGTTGAAATGCTCCAAATGTGTTCCAGTTTCTCCATGTTCCTCCTCAAATGTTTCCCAGAACTGAAGGCAGAGCTCCAGATACAGTTGGCCTGAGCAGTGCAAGATTCACTCCTCTTGCTGCAGCCTAAGATCGCCTTTGCTTTTTGGCAACCACATCACACTGTTGCCTCATATTGATTTGCAGGCAACTAAAACTTGACAGCATTTGTTTTTTCTTAACATGTGCCCTTGTTAAGTCATTCTGTACTTGTACTGCTAAATTTTTTTTGACATAAGTACATGATCTAACATTTGACTATCCAAGAGTTCCTTCTCGTGCAGCTCAGCCCATTCCCTAGTCTGTCAAGGTTATTCAAAATCCCGAGCCGGTCATCCAGCTGTCCTTCTGGCTTTGGGTCAACAGCCAATTTGATTCGCATGCTTTCTAGAACTTAATCCAAGCCATTGATAAAAATGTTGAATAGAACCTGACCAATGACAACAGCCCTGTGCTACTAGAAATCTTTCTTGGGGTCAGAAGCCACACACTGATGGTCTGATTGCCAAATGTGGCCTGCAGATGTGTTTTGTTTGGCCTGCATAATGTTTTCTTTTTTTTGAACTTTGAATTAGTGGCCAACATCTGGACTTCTAGCTTTCCCTGGAAGATCAAAGATGTTCAACACTGACTCCACAGTTCAACAACAAGAGCAGCTATGTGTGATTGTATAGGTTGTAGACTGCGCATTCCACCCGGATGTGTGTAGTGACCGCAGCCACTAGGCAAGACATGGGCTCTCTATGTTGCCTCTGTCCCCACACTATTCCCTGTTCCAAGCACCTGACCACTCGCACTCATTGATGATACCTGTCTCACTCCTAAAGGTATTGAGTTAGTAGCCTCTACTCCCGATTTATCAGCACCTTTTGGGTATGATTTCTCAACCAGTTATGAATCCACCTAATTGTAACATCTGCCAGGCCATATAGTCTCCCCTGGATTTTATAAGAGACTTTGTTAAGTGATGCATAAAACTCAGTTATCAGGGTTCACTGCATCTCCTTGACTTACAGATTATTATGACCATAGAAGATAAAACTGCAACTAGCCTGGCCTGTCTTGATTTGGAGAACGATGCTGACTCCTTTTTTTTTTTGAGATGGAGTCTCACTCAGTTGCCCAGGCTGGAGTGCAGTGGTACGATCTTGGCTCACTGCAACCTCTGCCTCCCAAGTTCAAGCAATTCTCTGCCTCAGCCTCCCGAGTAGCTGGGATTACAGTCACGCCCACAACCACGCCCGGCTAATTTTCGTATTTTTAGTAGAGACGGGTTTTCGCCATCTTGGCCAGGCTGATCTTGAACTCCTGACCTCTCGATCCACCCGCCTTGGCCTCCCAAAGTGCTGGGATTACAGGCATGAGCCTCCACACCCGTCCTATGCTGACTCTTAACTATCACTATTTACCTTTCTAAGATCATACAAACTACCCTTTAAAATATTGTTTTTAGGACTTTCTAGGGCTTAACCTGGGATTGGTCATTAATACACCAGCAAGCATGCATGAAAACACCGTCTTCTCTTTTATAACAATTAGGAGTGCATTTTACCCATCTTTGGTTGTCAGATGTGTTTATTGTTATTTGTGATGTTTGATTTGGCACTATTTTATCAAGTTTTCTTGAGATCTCTAGGGTAGAACCATCCAGTCAAGAGAGTAGATCCAACTGGAGTCAGTAAGTATTTCAGGTTGGCTTTAATTCCTTCTTACCAGTGTCAACTCTACTCTAGTCAGTCTGATTATTCTCTTTCCAGACAGAGAATCAAAGCAAGAGGAGATGAAGAACTTCCTATTCTTTTTTCCATTATAAATTCTCTAACATTAGATGCAAAAGGTAGGTCTACCCCTTTCTTGGTCATCTTCTTGCTTTAACTATCACTTTAAAAAAGAAAAGTCTTTCATATTGCTGTAACAGAGACAGCTGGATATCCACCAGCAATGTATCCTTTCCCTTTCATGGTGTAGGGTTTTACCTGCGAAGGACTGCTTGCCAAGGACTACATTTCCCAGCCTTCTTTGCACCTAGAGAGGCCATGTGACTAGTTCTCTCCAGTGAAATGCTAGAAGTGATAAGTGTCACTTCTGGGCTAAACAGCTTAGGATGTAAGTGATATTTTCCTCTTCCTCTACTCCTGCTCCTGTGGGATGACAGCAAAGGGCTCTGAGGCCCTGGAGGAAAGTGGAAACACAAGGTGGAAAGAGCATGGATCCGTGCATCACCACATGGAAGGCCTCCTGCTGATAAGGACACCCTCATTGAACTGTTACGTGAATGAGAAAGAAACTTTAATTATGATATACCCATCAAACTGTGCTTTGTTGATTTCAGTGGCTAGTGTTTCCCTAATTAATAGAGTCATCCTAAGTATTTTTCAGAAGTCTCACCTGCCTGATGTTATTCTTCTAATTCTAAACTACTTGTCCACAATTAGAATCTTTGTTCTTGGTTATGTTACCTTTTCACCTTTTGTTATATGTGTCCTTTAGAATGTAAGCTTTCTGGGCATTCCCTTTACACTTAGTTTCTTCAGGCATATCCCCTTGTGCATCTTCATTGGGACCATTTGAAACTGCATAGTCACAGCTACATTTTTACAAGCTTCTAACTCTCTTGAGGCTTATTTCCATGCTAGTCACTGCCACAGAATTGGGTCCAACATTCCAGAACCACCCCCTTGCCAACATCCCATAGCCTCTAGAAACCTCACAGTGCAATGATGTGAATTATATCAGAGACTGTATGTTAGTTAAGATAGCACTAGATGCTCATTAACCTCCAAGATGTATAAGGGATCATGCAAAATAGATGTTTGTTACTTATTTACATAAAATCAAAAGAAGTCGGCCTAATTGGTGACTTGGTGGCAGGCTTTCCTCAAATGGACATTCAGAGATGCAGTCTCCTTTCATCTCATGGCTGAGCTGTGTCCAATGCCTTGCTTCCCAGGTATTTTCATGGCCAGGTTTCGTGCTACCACACTGCCACACCAGCAAAAGAGTCTAGGAAGCTGGGCACGATGACTCACGCATGTAATCTCAGCACTTTGGGAGGCCAAGGCGGGCGGATCACGAGGTCAGGAGATCGAGACCATCCTGGCCAACATGGTGAAACTCCATCTCTACTAAAAGTACCAAAAAAAAAATTAGCCGAGTATGGTGGTGTGCGCCTGTAATCCCAGCTACTTGGGAGGCTGAGGCAGGAGAATTGCTTGAACCCGGGAGGCAGAGGTTGCAGTGAGCCAAGATCGCACCATTGTACTCCAGCCTGGCGACAGAGCAAGACTCCGTTTCAACAACAACAACAACAAAAAGTCTAGGAAAGGGAGAAGATGACTAGCTACTCAGCCTCTGCCACAAAGTCTAAGGTTCCTTATACTTTGAAGACCACTTTCATAGGTATTAACTCATGTTTTTCTTTTCTTATCCAGTGCCTCAAGATATATTTGTTAAGCACCCATTGTGTGCTCAAGAAGACATGAGTGGTCTTCTGCACTTCCTCTTTGTCCCTAGAAACATATGTGGGTGCTTCTCTGCTCACAGGTTTGTCTCCCCCTTAGGTATCCTCCTGGCTGGGCTGATGAGAGCTCACTCTTGCTCTGCTACCTGCACAGTGACTTGACCCCAGCCCTTGGGCTAAGCAGTTTCAACTTCCAAATCACCACGGAATCTTTCCCTACAGCTTTGTCCTGTTGCCAGGCACTGCACAAGCCATAAGGGATATAACGGTAAACAAGAGGGACTCTATGTTCAATATAATCCTGTAAGGTAGGCAGGCACATATTTTTATTCCAGTTTGAAAGCTGAGTCAATGGAGACCAGAGAGGCAAATGGGTTGCCCAGAGTTACACCTGCAGTCAGCAGTAGAGGAGGACTAGGGTGCAGGTCTCCTGGCTGAGTCCATACTTTGCATTGCAGTGATAGCTGCAACAGTGCATATCTGAGTTCACTTTTATGCTTCCTGCTCATCTGTGCAAATTAGTCCAAGTCTGCAGGCCTGACCTCAGAAAGAGACTGAACTTTGGGGAAGAAACACTTGAACGAATGTCAAAGCCTGGATCTTGTCCTTGATATGTTTTCTAGGTTGGTAGGATAGTGATCCTTTTGGCTTCTCTGCTTGAGAATGGTGGAATTTGTAAGTGGAGACTCCCTGTCTATGGCCTCCCACGTGGTAATTGAACCTCATGGTTTGGCCCCAAAGCTGAGTCTGTTCCAGTCTGCTGAATTTCTCCTCCCAGACATTCAGGCTGTGGATTTGTTGGCACCCTCCTGAACAAAGCCCCAAATATTTGTCTCTCAAGTTACCACCTTGCCTAATGCGCTTTGGTTCCGCTTCTAAGTAGCATGGCTACAAAAAGGGTGCTATCTACAAAAGTCCCAGCCACTGTGCGGCCCTTGCCACGTTCTACTTGGCCCAACAATGTCAGCCACACACAGGGCCTGCTTGGGAACCAGCCTCAGGAGATGCTCTGATCTGGGCACTTCTCAGGCTACTTCAGAGCAGAGAAAGGCAGTGCTCCATGTTATAAAATAACCCTAGGCCGGGAGTGGTGGCTCACGCCTGTAATCCCAGCACTTTGGGAGGCCAAGGTGGGCAGATCACCTGAAGTCAGGGGTTTGAGACCAGCCTGGCCAACATGGTGAGACTCCATCTCTACTAAAACTACAAAAAATTAGCCATGTGTGGTGGTGGGCACCTGTAATCCTAGCTACTCCGGAGGCTGAGGCAGGAGAATCGCTTAAACCCGGGGGGCGAAGGTTGCAGTGAGCCGAGATTGCGCCACTGCACTCCAGCCTGGGTGACAGAGTGAGACTCTGTCTCAAAACATAAAATAAAATAAAATAACCCTAGATGTGGAGGGATGGGGCCAAAGGATTTGCTAAAAGTGAGGCCTGCAGGATTCATATGTATTATGAATTAAAATTCATAATACATGGATTAAAATCACTTGGACCAAAAGTCTGAAGCTTATAAACACTTTTTTTTTTACTTATTACACCAAGTAAATTATGTTTATTGTAAAAAAAAAATTGGGTGGAAATAAAGGAACTAAAAACCTATCATCAGCATCATTTGCATACAATTACTCAACATTTTCTTCTCTGCTATGGATTGAACTGTGTCCTTCCATACTTCATATGTTGAAGCCTTAACCCTAATGTGACTGTATTTGAAGACAGAGCTTTTAGAGGTAATTAAGGTTAAATGAGGTCATAAGAATGGGGTCCTAATCTTATAGGATTGGGGGCCTTACAAGAAGAGGAGGAGAAAGAGATCTCTCGATTAAATATACACATGCACTGAGGAAAGACCATGTCACCCCAGAGAGAAAAGGTGGCTATAAACCAGGACGAAAGCCCTCAACAGGAAACCAACTTCACTTTGATCTCGGACTTCGCAACTTCTGAAGCCATGGGAAAATTGATTTCTGTTGTTTAAGCCATCCAGTCTATGGCACTTGGTCATAGCAGCCTGAGCAGACTAATACTATCTCTACACCCTTCTTTCTCTGTGAATGTGTTTCTTTCCTATATATGAAATCTTACTATATATTACTTTGTAAGTTGCTTTTTATCTTAATTGTATGGTATGCATTGTGTACTATGTCATTAATTACTCTTTCATATGTCATATGGAATGGCTGCAACATGTTTAATATTGAATATTCTTTGTTGTAGACCTACTTCAAATTATATATGCAATATTCTATTTTTTGGACATTTAGATGGCTTCAAATTTATCACTCTTATAAAAAGTACTGCAAGGAACATCCAGCTAAATCGTTGTGTGTATGTAGGCTTCTTTTAGAATAAATTGCTAGGTGTATTGAAAAGTGTGCACATTTTTAGGGCTGTTTATGTTGGTTTAATTGCCCTCCAGATAGGTAGCACCAGTTTACTCTCCCACCCTGAGAGTATGAGAGTGACTATTTCCCCACATCTGTGCCCGCTTTGAGTTTTATCATTTTTTAATCAGAAAGGTAGAATAGCATTCATGAGCACTTGTCTGCTCATATGTTTGTCTTACCTTGGAGATCCCACTGGCTGGACTGATAAGAGCTTGCTCCTGCTCTGCTACCCACACAGTGACCTGGCCCATCTCTTGGCAGTGGGTCCTGAGTAACCATGGAGGATTCTTTCTCCAAAAACTTATCCTGCTGTCCTTATCTGAGGCCTCTTGGGAGACTTTCTGGAGCATTCTCCTGTACACCTGCCATGGCTTCCTTCTAAGGTTCAGAGTCCTGTGCAAAGGAGCACAGACAGGTGAACTGTAAGTTTAGAGAAGTTCTTGTGTTTCTGGAAAAGTTTTTAAAATAAGATCTAAGATGAATTCATAATCTCCAAACAAAAGTGGGTCATGGTATAATACTGCCCTATTAGGCTGGGCACGGTGGCTCACGCCTGTAATCCCAAGCACTTTGGGAGGCCGAGGTGGGTGGATCACCTGAGTTCAGGAGTTTGAGACCAGCCTAGCCAACATGGAGAAACCCTGTCTCTACTAAAAATACAAAAATTAGCTGGGCATGGTGGCATGTGCCTGTAATCCCAGCTACTTGGGAGGCTGAGGCAGGAGAATCGCTTGAACCCAGGAGGTGGTGGTTGCAGGGAGCTGAGATTGTGCCATTGCATTCCAGCCTGGGCAACAAAAGTGACACTCCTTCTCAAAAAAAAAAAAAAAAGCATAAATACTGCTCTAATATAGATATAGATAGTTATAGACAGACACCGATAAAGACATATAGACATAGACATATAGATACAGATGATATAGATATAGATATAGATATATAGATATATAGATATATAGATATAATCTTGATTCTACTACTTACTAGCTATATGGCCTTAACTATGTAACCTAACTTTGCTATGCCTCAGTTTTCCCATTATAATAATTGCAAAATCTCATACACTTGACATGGGATTAAATGCACTGATATATATTAAATGTTTAAAACAGAACTTGATACATAGTAAGCACTTGGTAAATGGAATCTGTTGTTGCTGTTATAAAACATAGGGGCCATTTCTTCCTGGATGTTACATCAAAACAATGGGAGTCTTTGTGATATATATAATAACTTCTAAGAAAAAATAAAAAGCAACACTCGATGGGAAATACTATCCTGGCATTCACTTAGACAACAAAGCATTTAAATAGGACAGTTTTTGCAGGAGATAAAGTATAAGGTATCCAAGCACGAACGAGTGGTTTGGCATAAAGGAATTTATGAACAGGCAGAATCTCATTATCCCAAATACCAAGTAGTCTGATGATGGAACTAAGCCATTGATGCTCAATGTCACTTCATCTTTAAAGGCAAGGCCACGGACCTCCTGTCTAGGGCCATCTTCCCAGTGGAAGAGTTGGTTGCTCTGAGTGCTTTATCTCATCTCACTTCCTATCTCTGGTCATGTTCATTGTCAAGGGCTGGTTGAGCCAGGGAGAAGGGTCAGTTTCATGGCCCTGGAAAACAGCAAAGTTAATTGTATTTATAAAAACTCTAGGCTTGGCAACCAACTCCGCTACCTGGACTTGATCAATGAGAACAACATCCAGACATCCAGAACATGGACTCTGGAGTCTGAGTGCCTAGGTTCAAATCCTCATTCTGCAACTCGCTAGCTCTGAGTCTCAGCCTTTTCACCTATAAAATGGAGCCAATCAAAGAACCTGCCACTCAGAGCTGATGTAATGATTAAATATGTTAATCTGTGTAAAGTGCTTGGAACAGGGGTCAGCACAGAGTAAATGCTCGATAAATATGGAGTGGATTAAGAGCTGTCTCAAGGCCATGGGATGAATTTGGTGGCCCCCCAAGGTTCTTCTGATCCAGGTCACCTATGCCATATTTTCTACAAGGAGGTTGCAGCAAGGTCTCTTCCAAGCCCCTTCCCCTTCCTCATCTTCTGCCCAGAGTAAGTGCAGCTCCTACTCCAACATGCACAAAGCAGCTGATGCCCTGAGACTAGGCTGAGAGCTACGCAGCTATGGGTAGCAAGCTCCTGTGCCCTTCTGTGCTCCCAAATACTAGGGTCTTGAGAAAGAAAACCAGACTGTCCCCAAAGAGGAGGTAAAAACAAAAACCATTTTGTGGTTTGTGGTGGAAGAAACTTAACCTGAGAGTGTGAGTAAATGAGTGAGTTTCTTGTCCTAGACTCCCCAGTTGAAGAGAGTGGAATCCCAGTTAAACATCTCTGCTCCCCATCTTATTAATAGCAGTCCCATCTCAGCCAAAAGAAAGGGAGAGAGAGGAGAAAAGAGACCAGCAGCCTCACTCCCTCAAAAAGAAAGGAATCCAGATTTCAAACGCTCAGACTTATTTTTCTTTCAAAAGGCAACTTCAGAAACCTGTCCACCCCTCCATCAAAGAGTGGAGCTGTTTGAAGCAGCCCCCTCCCCAAGCCTACCTGCTGATTATTCAGGAAAATATTATATTGACATGACTCTTTAGAATATCAAGGATTTGCAGTGTTTGGGCCCAACCCCGTGATTATCTTGCATCCACACATGATTAAAAATTTAGATGGCTAACTTTGAAACAATCAAATGCATTAGAAGCTTCATAATGAGCCGCTATCTGAACTAAAACACAGCAAACTTCAGAAAAGTGCTTCTGTGGAAATTCCATCGTCTTTGATCCGGTAAAGTCACGGCAGGGTGGATTTATTTCAAGTTTATTTTTTGGCATACTGGTCCTCCCGAAATATTGGGAGATATCTTTCTTAGCAAGATGTGGGAGAAAACAATGGTGCTGTCTCTTTCATTTATCTGCAATTTGACAGGAGTGCAGTTTATTAACTTGAAAAGAGGCAGAGACATTATCTGAAGCCCGGAGACTCTAGTGGGGATCGCCTCCCTTTTGTACCAGTGGGAGCTGGCGACATTTTGAACCTGCTCACCATTAAATGCCTTCCTGAGTGGTGGAAGAGCCTTTAAAAAGAAAGCCGACGCATTTATGATGTAAATTCGTTATTTTGACAGTCTTTGAAATCTGTCATATTCACATCTGATTTAATGCCTTGCAAAAAAAAGTCCCTTTTCTTTTAAAACACTTTTAAGATTTTCAAAGCCATTTTCATGTAGCAAACTATTGTTATACCTAACACATCCTGAAAGTATTTTCGCAAAGGAACTTAGAGGATTCTGTTTTAAGTCGTGTCGAGTTTTAAAACATGGCAGTCTTCAAATAAGCTTTGACCAGGATATCTCTTTTTGATTAGTGAAAAGCTGTTCTTGATTTTCATGTACACAATTAGCCAGCACAGATGCACTTATCAGCTTAGGCAATCATTTCGTATACAAGAAGTTGGTCTTATGAACAGCTGCGTATGTTGTTGTATATTTTGGGTAACTGAATCTTCTAGTCCATAGAATATAGAGGTCTCCTATCAACCATCTATCTGTCCAGAACATAGCTGAAATCCTAGAGCAGAGTTAGTCAACCAGGGTCAATTTTGCCTCCAGGGGAAATGTAGCAATGTCTAGAGACAGACTTGGTTGTCACAGTGAGAGAGAGGTGCTATGGTATCCAGAGTGTAGAAGGAGTTTAGGGATGCCGCTTAACTCCTCAGGATGCATAGGTCAGCCTCTTACAACAAAGAATTGCCACTCTCAAAATGTCAGTAGTGGCAAGCCACAGAGGCAGTCGGTAAAGGTCTCTCCCTGCAGCCTGTGCACCAGCTAGCAGTTACCAAAAAGCATGCGAACACCTTGGGCTGCTTTTTTATTTATTTATTTATCTATTTATCATTTATTTATTTATTTTTCACTAGTTTTGGGGGAACATGTGGTGTTTGCTTACATGGATAAATTATTTAGTGGTAATTTCTGAGATTTTGGTGCACCTGTTACCTGAGCAGTGTACTGTACCCAATGTACAGTCTGTTATCCCTCACTCCCCTCCCACCTTTCCCCTGAGTCCCTAAAATCCATTATATCATTCGTATGCCTTTGCATCCTCATAGCTCAGCGCCCGCTTATAAGTGAGAACATACAATATTTGGTTTTTCCATTCCTGAGTTACTTCACTTAGACTAATGGTCTCCAACTCCACCCAGGTTGCTGCAAATGCCATTATTTTGTTCCTTCTAATGGCTGAGTAGTATTCCATGGTGTGTTTATATATATATATGTATCTCACAATTTCCTCATCCATTCGTTGGTTGATGGACATTTAGGCTGGTTGCATATTTTTGCAGTTGTGAATTGTGCTGCTGTAAAAGTGTTCACTTATCACCACATCCAAACCAACATCTATTATTTTTTGATTTTTAAATTATGGCCATTCTTGTGGGAGTAAGGTGGTAGCTCCTTGTGGTTTTAATTTGCATACCCCTGATAATTAGTGATATGCATTTGAGCATTTTTCCATGTTTCTTGGCCATTTGTGTATCTTCTTTTGAGAATTGTCTATTCATATCCTTTGCCTAGGCTGCTTTTGAACAAGCAGAGATTCTCAGAACCTATTCCACACCTACTGAAACCGGTCCTCTAGGGAAGGAGTTGAATGAATCCTCATCGTTTAGATATTCCTGGGTAATTCTGCTATGGTTAATCCACAAATGAGTGTCTGGGGACCATCACAATAAACCATAGGCATCTTTTCTTTTTGAGAAAGAGTATCTGCCTTCCTCAGAATTATTAACTTTTACTTTTTACACAAGTCTGATAAGCTTGTCTATTGCCTTCTGAGTTCAGGACATATAGATGGTGCTTAAAGTAATCACTTAGGGCTAGACAGGAGAAGGGGACTAGGACAGGGCACCAATATGGAACAACAACAAAAAAAGGGAACTGCAAAAGAGAAGCAGCAGACAGAGGGCAAGGGTAGTAGGAAACCAGGAAAATGGCAGGGAGGTGTTGCAGGCGGGAGCAAGTGGTTAACCACGTCCCCGATGTCAACCACGGCTGGGTATGCTTCTGTCATACAATCGCATGTGAAGGGGAATAGTGAAAACACTTAGCCAGTGATAAGACACAGGCCAATCAGAGCAGATGCGGGCCCTAGCAGCAGGTTCAGGGACCCAGAGACCCTCTGCTGTGTCAGTCATTCACTGTTAGGTGTCTGAAATGTGGGGAAGTCCAGGAGGTCCTGGGAGAGGGGGCAAGTAGTTGGGACAGCAGATGGCACTCAGGAAACTAGAAGCTATGGCTGTTTATCAACCATTAGCTCAGTATTTCAATATTTTCTACCCGGTGCTAGGATGTCCCACTGGATCACAGCCCTGCATATGTGGTATTGGGGCCACTGGTCAGCTGGTTCTGGAACAGTATTTTAAAAAATCTAGTCTTGCCTTGGGTGCAGTGGCCCATGCCTGTAATCCCGGCACTTTGGGAGGCCTAGGTGGGCGGATCACCTGAAGTCAGGAGTTCTGGCCAACGTGGAGAAACCCTGTCTCTACTAAAAATACAAAAATTAGCCGGGCGTGGTGGCGTGCCTCTAGTCCCAGCCAATAGTTGGGAGGCTGAGGCACAGGAGGTGCTTGAACCCAGGAGGTGGAGGTTGCAATGAGCTGAGATGGCGCCACTGCATTCCAGCCTGGGCGATAGAGTGATACTCCTTCTCAAAAAAAAAAAAAAAAAAAAAAAAATCTAGTCTTGATCACTTTAGAAGCCCCTGGAGTCTTATTAAAAATCCAGTTCACTAGGTCTCAACCTAGACTATGCAAATAAGATCCTGCGGCAGGATAGCCCCAAGAATCTGCATTTTAACAAGCTCTTTGGGCAATTTGAACACCTGATGAAATTTGAGAACCACAACATAGAGGAAAAGTGATAACCATTTCTGAAATTGAAGGACTTTCTGAATGTGAAGGTAGGGGCACTCACAGTGTCTGCAGAGTGGGGCTGGCGGGGGTGGGAGACTGGGGTTTGGGTTCATTTTGATGGAATCCAAATCTCACATTTTTTTTTTCAACACAGTCTTCAATCCAAACAAACCTTCTCAGGTTCACTAATCCCTATTTCCGAGTGGATTTTAGCTGGATCCGCACTTCTTTATCAGTTGGCAAGACATTTTCATCTCATACAGAGGTCTTCCTGCAGTTTTACTTCAAAGTGGCAAACCCAAGAACGCTGGGGAAGGAGCTTCAGAGAGTGTTTACAGATGCCTTATCGCTCTGGGGGTGGGGAGGGAGAGTCAGGGAGTTGGGTAAAGGAACAAAATTCTCCAAAGCAGTTCAGAGCTGGCTAATCTGGTAAGGCTATCAAACAGTAGCTTAAACGATCTCTCCTACAAAGAGGGAAAATTAAGTTTTCTGGCTTGTCAATCACCCAGGATCTAGGCTGGTGTCTTCAGGTACACAGAATTGTTCTTTATGGGGTGTTAATTACAGGATCTGGAAGCAGATGCATGAGGGTGTAGACACACACACACAAGCACACGTATCATCTCATATGTGGATATTTATGTATGTGAGTGGGTGTCCATATAATTAGGGGAATAAAATGGCTTTCCTCCAACTACACTGGAGAGGGAAAATGGAAACCATTATCTCTATTTCTGAGTTGAATTGGGGGTGGGAGGAGAGGGAAGGGGATTGGTTTTACCAAGTCACCCTCTAATTCCTTTAATTGCCTGATATGAGAAAGGGACAAACATATATGTTTTTCTTTTGTCACCTAGAAATACACTGTTCTTCCCAATGTTTCCCCATGGAGAAGGGAAGCTGAATGTTTCAGAGACTCAGAAAAACGAACTGGAAGGTCAGCAGGTGGAGCTCAGAGTCACAGAGAGGAACCATCTGGGGATATTTGGTGTTTACCCTTCCCCAGTCTCAAGGGGAGAGTGGGGCTCAGGGATGGAGCTCCCGTGGTCTGACCCGTTTGGCGTCTAAGTGAGGCCTGACTGCTAGAAAAAAAAAATAGTTTGGAACTTGGCCTAATAGACTTGAGCCCTGTTCAGAATATAGCGTGCCACGTAAACCACCGGAACAGTGCATGGGAGAGAGAGGGTGACCCCGTGTTTGGATAAACTATAGGGTATTTCCTTTGCAGAAAGCATATTTAATCATATTTAAGTATAGGTTTGTTGTGGCAGGAAAACAGTCACTGCCATCATTGATTTTCCCACAGAAGGGCTTGGTTCTCCCAGCATCAGCAACCAAGCACCAGAGGGTTTCCCTAGCCCTCTGCCTTCCCAGGGAAGCAAGGCTGTGGGCTCAGCCACAACAGGGACCTTTCTCCTCTGATAATCCTCTGTTTCTTTAACTATTTTTGCACATTAGGGTTTCTCAGAATGCTCATCCTTTTCGTTTCTCTTTGAAGTTTCCTCATTTTTCTGATGGCATTATTTTGGAAGATGAATTGCTCCTGGTTAAAGAAGGCTGAGGCTGCCTAGACCTTGAAGGATCTGAGCGTTCTTAACCCCTGGGAGAGACTTTCTGAGAGGGCAGTCGGCATAAGACAACGGCAGGAACTCCACAGCCAGACAGCTTGGGTTGGAATGCTGGCTGCTCCCTGACTCTCTCTCTGTGACCTTCGGGAAGTTGCTTAACTGCTTTGTGCCTCAGTTTCCTGTAAAGTGGGATAATCGTAGTGTCTGCCTCATAGGGTTATTTGAGGACAAGACCAGAGTCAATACATAAGTGCTTAGCAGAGTGCCTGGTACAGGGAAACATCCACAGACTGCCAGCTACCATGATTTTTCTGCTCCTTGCCTCATGCCCCCGATAGCTCCATGTAAGGGGTTTAATCACCTGAGCTGGCCCATTGTGTAGTGTGGGACAAGAACTCACAGCTAGGGGCTAAAACAGAGGCTGAAACTGCAGCTGCTGATGGGAAGGGGGAATGTTTGGGGATTCGTCTACCCAGAGCAGCATGTGTGCCAGTGGAGCAGCTGCTTCAAGAGGGAGCTCTGAGAGGGTGAAGTCGGTGCTGAGCCCTCTGGATGGTGCCTACAATGGGCCTTATCATTGTGCTATGTCTAAGCAGGCTGAGCCCCATCCCAATGGGCTCCATGTGGTCTATTTGTGCCCTGCATCGGCCGCCTCCCAGGCTCAGCAAAGTATCAGTACAGGTGCTAGGGTTTTGCTTACTGATTTTGTTCTTCTCTGCACAGTGTAAGATGCATAGGCCTCCTCCCTGACACTCCTGATGGGTCTCCAGCTTCTATTCCAACCCATCCCTCAACACCAGAGCCATCTATTTAGATCATGAATCAGAACATTCTGCTCCCTGCTAGAATCTCACCAATAAAATAAAACTCTAACACCTTCCTATGACTTGCGAAGGCCCCCTTGATGCGGCCTTTTTGGCCTTAGCTCATTTCTCTGCAGCCACACTGGGCCAGTTTGGGGTCCTTCGACTTGCCAGACTCAGTCCTGCCTCTAGACCTTTGTCCTTGCAGTAATCTCCAACAGGATTTTGCTTCTCCTAGCTCCTTCTCCTCCTTCAGATCTCAGCCCAAATGTCACCTCCTGACCCAAAGTGGACCCTTTCCTGCCAAGTACTGCCCCCTTCGCTCTGTGAATTTACCACAATCTTTAAGGACCCAACACACGCCAGACCCTCCAAGCACTTGGTCTGCATTTGATACACCCCTTTTCCCCAATGCCTAGGATAAGACATGGCACATCTTGGCAATGGAAATATACATTTTTTTTAATCAATGGATAAAATGCTGCCCTTTGTCTATTTCCTGGGAGCTCTTTGAAGTGCCTTTGACTTAAGATGAAGACTTTGGGCAGATTTGAGGAACAGCTTGGCTACTTACCAGCACTAGGACTTTCTATAAGTTACATAAATATGTTGGGCCTCAATGTCTTCATCTACAAAATGGGGACAATCTCAGCCTATCTTTTTTTTTTTTTTTTTAGACAGAGTCTCACTCTGCCACCCAGGCTATAGTACAGTGGCGTGATCTCGGCTCACTGCAACCTCCATCTCCCAGGTTTAAGAGATGCTACTGCCTCAGCTTCCTGAGTAGCTGGGATTACACATGGGTGCCACCACACCCAGCTGATTTTTGTGTGTTTTTTTTTTAGTAGAAAAGGGGTTTCACCATGTTGTTCAGGCTGGTCTTGAACTCCTGACCTCAGGTGATCCACCTGCCTCAGCCTCCCAAAGTGCTGGGATTACAGGTGTGAGCCACCGCGCCAGGCCAGTCTGGTTTGGGACAAAATGAGCATGGCGCCCAGCCTAGAATAAATGCTTAGTAAATCCTCTGGCGGCTCTGGTGGTAAGTGCTTGGGTGGTCATTGTCACTGTTGTAATTAAAGGGCAGGGGAGGCAGATTGCCCAATGCATCTTTTCAACCCAAATGCCAATTGTCATCCACTTAGCCCTTGACACAAGGTCTGAATAATTAATAAGAACATTTTCCCAGAAGGGGAACCCCAGTCACCCATCTGCCTACATCACCCTCAATATACGTTGATTTGTAGGCTGACAGCAGGAGGGCTCCAAGAAAAATAAAAGCAAACTCATTTAAGAGTAAGAGAGGGGGCTGGGTGTGTTGGCTCACACCTGTAATCCCAGCACTTTGGGAGGCCAAGGCGGGCAGATTGCCTGAGCTCAGGAGCTCGAGACTAGCCTGACCAATATAGTGAAACCCCGTCTCTACTAAAAGTACAAAAATTAGCTGGGTGCAGTGGTGCACACTTGTAATCCCAGCTACTCGGGAGGCCTAGGCAGGAGAATTGCTTGAACCCAGGAGGCAGAGATTGCAGTGAGCCGAGATCATGCCATTGCACTAGCCTGGGTGACAAGAGCAAAATTCTGTCTCAAAAAAACAAACAGGCCGGGCGCGGTGGCTCATGCCTGTAATCCCAGCACTTTGGGAGGCCAAGACGGGCAGATCACGAGGTCAGGAGATCGAGACCATCCTAGCTAACACGGTGAAACCCCGTTTCTACTAAAAATACAAAAAAATTAGCCGGGCGTGGTGGCGGGCGCCTGTAGTCCCAGCTACTCGGGAGGCTGAGGCAGGAGAATGGTGTGAACCCAGGAGGTGGAACTTGCAGTGAGCCGAGATTGCGCCACTGGACTCCAGCCTGGGCGGCAGAGCGAGACTCTGTCTCAAAAACAAACAAACAAACAAAACGAGAGTAAGAGAGGGATGAGATTGTCCGGGTCAAGTACAGAACACCTCAAGAAAGTCAGACACCTTGACTCCCCAGAGACACCAAAATATGCTCAAGTTCCAACCTACCAATTGGCATCTGTAGGATGGGCAGTTTGAGAGTATGAGGGACCCAGGGACAGAGTGGAGGGTTGAGGCGGAGCAGGGGCTGAGCAGTGAGGTTGTGCAGATTCTAGATGAAGGGCATCTACTTTTCAGTCTTGACCTTGGCCTTCAGCCATCGTTGCCCCTGGCTGGAGAGACCCAGGAACCCCAGGTCAGCCCACTCTCCCCACCTACAATGCCTCTACCTGTCCCTGGAGTCCTTCTCCAGCCCAGCCTCCCAGAAGCAGCCTGTGGGGTGCCAAGGTCAACTCGACCGTGTCCCAGGCTAAATCCTCTTGTTCTGCCTGGCCTTGGTTCCTCCCTCTCCCAGTCTAATCACTGTCATCATCTGCTGTGTCAGGCAGTTATTGCTGGGATTAAAGAGCTCTGAGATGGAAAAACACTTTGAACTGTGTGCATGAAAGGGTTCGAAGAAGAGTGTTGGAAAAGAGTGAGATAATGGACTATGGGGATAAAGTGCCACTTCTAGGTATTGCAAGGAAAGTCGCTTTGCTTCTCTGAACTCCCCATCACCCTTTTTTTTTTTTTTTTTTTGAGATGGAGTCTTGCTGTGTCACCCAGGCTGGAGTGCAGTGGCATGATCTCATCTCACTGCAGCCTCCGCCTCCCAGGTTCAAGCAATTCTCCTGCCTCAGCCTCCTGAGTAGCTGGGATTACAGGTGTGCGTCGCCACACTCAGCTAATTTTTGTATTTTTAGTA
This sequence comes from Homo sapiens, assembly GCF_000001405.40. Taxonomy (NCBI): domain Eukaryota; kingdom Metazoa; phylum Chordata; class Mammalia; order Primates; family Hominidae; genus Homo; species Homo sapiens. Next base: position 65,308,389 of record NC_000017.11, on the reverse strand, counting down.
GAGATGGGGTTTCACCATGTTGGCCAGGATGGTCTTGATCTCCCGACCTCATGATCCACCCACCTCAGCCTCCCAAAGTGATGGGATTACAGGAGTGAGCCACCGTGCCGGCCCACCTTTTAATTCAGTAAAAGCCTCTCTGCCATTACCATCTTTTCTTCCCTCCCTCTCCCTGCCCACCCCCATACATAGAATGGGATAACTCCTACTGACCCCCAGTCACCTGGAATTGCTTTGGGCTAAAGAAGTGCATTTCAATAGCCTTTTCCATGACTTGCAGAAAGGGACCATCAGAGAGTCAAAGATCAGTTTATCATTCACTTAAGTGCAGATGAGCCGAACACCCACAGAAGGTTAAGGATCACTGGAAAGAGGAAGGTGAACAAATAAGAAGGCCACTGAGGTTTCACTAAGTAGAGAGGCAGGTGTGATCAATTTTCTCTTGCTGGGTACAAACCAAAGTCCTTTCAACTGGGCTTGAGCCAGCCCAGAAGACACTGGGGTGTTTGCCCTGTGGTCTGAAGACAGCGGCTCGTCTGGAGAGAGGGAGCATTGGCCAGAACTGAAGACTTGGCCAGGTAGCCTAGGGACTGGAATGTGTATATGCGCCACCCTCTTAGAAGGGTGTTTCCTTAGTTTGACTTCTTGATGCCTCGGGAATAAAAGTACAGAGTGGGGAGAAGTCTGGAGCACACTGGGTTTTCTTGAACAACAGGTACAGGTTTGAGCTCACAGTTCCCTTGCAGAGCTCTGGCCAAGCCCACCTTAACTGGGGTGCAGAGTGAGATGTGAGAGAGAGAGGGAGGGAGGGGCATAGGGCTGGAAGGGACTCAACAGCTGCAGCGGAGCTGGTGGAAAGTGCTTATTTCTGATTCTAGAGAATCTGTGACTACCCTTACTGGCAGTGTTCTCTTTCTTTTCTTCTGAAGCCCAAAGCAGTTGGATTGCAAATGACAAGAACTTGGGGCTTGGGGAGAGACTTTGAGGGTGTTTCTTCGTGGATTAATAAAAACCTCCAAAAGAAAATGCTTAAAAGCTTAAACACTTGCTGATGACCTAGATGGGATTTTTATATCTACACCAGTGCCGGAGGCAAATGTGGACCATGCCTAATTGTCTGAAAGCAATTCTTCCTGGAATCGCTCTAAAATTCGGTCTTCTTTTAGCATTCCAGTGGGGGTGGGAGTCTTGGGAGAGAGGATAGAAGAAGGCAGTAAGAAAAGGGAGTGTGGAAAGCAAGACAAAATCATTTTTTTGAGATTCCCTTTTAAAGGGGCACCCTCTGTAATTAAAACTGTGAAGCAAATTCATTTGGACATACAAGTGCTCTCATTTTTCAAGTATGAGATTGCAACTATTACTATTTTCCTGTTCTGCTTTCTAGATAGATAGTAGGTACATAGGTAGATAAGTAGATAGATAGATAGATATAGATAGATAGATAGATTTTCCCCTTACTTTTGGACCATTTGAGTAGGTGGCATACATTGCAGCCCTTGACCTCTTAATATTCTGATGTGCATTTCCTAAGAGCAAGGACATTCTCTTTTATAACCACAGTAAATTACTGAATTTAAGAAATTTCCATTAAGACAATGCTTTATCTAATCCACAGTTCTGTTCCAATTTCATCAGCTATCCCCAAAACGTGTCCATTATAGCAATTCTTGTTTTCCGGTTCATGATCTATCCAGAATCACATAAAGTAAGGATGATCTTTAGGTCTTCATTGAACCCCATCAATGTCCATGCTGTTTGGTTTATGAACTCTCCACTGGGTTTCAGAAAGAATTTCAAACAGCATACAAAAAAGACATAAATATTTAATAAGATAAAATACAAACAACAAATATCAGATGAAAGAAAAAGAAACAGATGAGAGAAAAGAGAAGCTGAAGCTGGGGATGAGATCATTTCACAAGGATGTACCTTGAAGTCCTTTATGTTTATTGCTTAAGTAAGCCATGCTTTTGCCTCTAAGCTTTCTAGTGGCCAAGGCAAGGAAGGAAACAAGAATGCATAGACAGGAAAATGGGATGGTCCCATGTTGGGAGTTCTATCTTGTGAGATAGCTTTTGTTTTAATGTTAATGTCTATAGTTCATAACTGCAATACAAACTCTCTTCTCAGCTTCTCCAAACTCATGTGTCCCCAACCTCTGGGCTGAAGGGAGACAGAAGCTAGAAGAAACCTCTTGGTAAACAGTAGTTCACACACACTTGAGTGTGCATTGGATGATTGCTTCTCTCCCTCACTGGAGGGCTGGACCTCATTTGTTTTGCTCCTCACTGTCTCTCTAGGGCCTGGAAAAGGGGTCCCCAACCTCTGTGGCCTGTTTCTGCACAGCAGGAGGTAATTAGCTGGTGAGCAAACCAAGCTTCATCTGTATTTACAGCCGCTCCCCATGGCTTGCATTACCACCTGAGCTCCACCTCCTGTCAGATCATCAGCAGCATTAAATTCTCATAGGAGCACAAACCCTATTGTGAATTGTGCATGTGAGGGATCTAAGTTGTGTGCTCCTTATGAGAATCTAATGCCTGATGATCTGTCACTGTCTCCCATCATCCCCAGATGAGACCATCCAGTTGCAGGAAAACAAGTTCAGGGCTCCCACTGATTCTACATTCTGGTGAGTTGTATAATTATTTCATTATATATTACAATGTAATAATAACAGATATAAAGTGCACAATAAATGTAATGCACTTGAATCATCCTGAAACCACCCCTCCCCCCACCCAGCCCATGGAAAAAATTGTCTTTCATGAAATAAATGACTGGTACCAAAAAGGCTGGGGACTGCTGGCCTAGAGTAATCTCAAGCATGGAGTGAGAGCCCAAGAGGTTTTCTTCTGAATAAATGAATGTCTCCAGGAACCAGCCTCTCCCCTTCCACACATGTCCCATTGTGTGTCAGCCCTTTCTCCCAGAGAAGTCTAGAAACCCCAAAGGAGCCAAATAGTTTCTTTGCTCGAATGTGGAATCTCAACTCTCAGAGGACAGCCGGGCAGTCAGTGGACACTCGATAGCACTTGGGGTGGGAACAGAGTCTGGCATTGGCCAGGGAGGTGAGTACACCCAACCACCTCCACTGTGTGTTGCAGTTGCCCAAAAGAGCCATCTGGGCCACAGCCTGCTGGAAGGGGGTCCCGGCGGCACCAGCATTCCTTGGGAGCACTGTGCAGCCCTTCGTCTGGCCCCACCACCCTCCTTCCCTGCAGTGCTCACAACCTCCAGAAGCGCCACATGGCATTAGGGCTCCAGTTCCTGGCCACATGCTGGCGTCCCAAGGGTGCACCACCAACGCATTGTCCCCTGGCACCTTGGGGTCGCTTGGAGAGAATTCAGCTTAGACCCATGTGCCTGGTCTTCCTCTACTGCCCCCTCTTCCTGCCCCAGCCCTCTTCTGACACCTCTACCTCCCCTTCCCCCATCCCACACTTGAGGCTGGCCCTAGTTCCTTGGGATTCAGTCAGAGCCTCCAACACATCTTTTATTAATATTAATTCTAAAAAGAATTTTTTCAGTGCTATTTACCATCTGTTTTCTCCCTTGGCTGAAAATAATTGGAGATGAAACGCCTGCTGCTTGGTCCCCCGCACAGTCTCAGAAGAAACAATGGAGGCAGACAGTGACTGCATTTCTTTTTCCCCAAGCAAAACATGCTGGAATAAACTTTCCATGCTGGGTTGCAGAAGTTGCACTCAATCAAGCGGGTCTCCAGTCCCCGAGTTCCTTATCTTCTGCACATTCACAGCCCTTTGCATTTTGGGACCAGAAAGCCTTCTCTGGGGGGGGGGGGGGGGGTGGGAGGGGAAGCTCTTTGATTTCGATTAGCCAAGTTCACTAATTTTCCTCTATCCTAATGACATCTGGCACATTTGATGTTCCACTCAAGTTTGCACCATCTGTAAATATAAATAGCCTGGTCTTGATTCCATTAGAGTCCCATGAATGGAACAAAAATATTCCAAACTGACTCTGTCATGTCATGGATTCAACAAGATTGGGCTCCTGCTTTGGAGAAGGGAAGGGGATGTGGTGTGGTTTCCTCCCTCCCATGGAGCCAGACCTTTTCACTTCCTGGGCCAATAGGCTCTAAGCCTCCCTAGGTGCCCTCACGATCATGTAAAGCCATGTTGTCACTATTGGAAGGGAACTTACAGAGGGGCACTGGGCAGATAAAAAGCCGAGGCCAGAGTGGACCACCGCAGGTCAACCCAACTGGGTCAGCAGCAGAGGCAGGAGGAGAACCTGAGTGCTCTTTCTGAGGGGGGCATCATGGGGCCACCCCCTCCCCAGGAAGAAGCAGCCCCTAGCCAGAGCTCCCCTGGGGATGCCACAGCCTGAGTCACTCAGGGCACCAGTGGGTACTTTGCCGACGTGATGCTGAGCCCTCATCCTGCCAACTCGTCCAGCCCCACTGCCCTTGCACCCACTGGTGGGCATGAAGGATTCAAATTTTGCAGCAGAGCAAGCTGCTATCAACCCATGGACTCAGCATGGGTCTGTGGCACTGGATTCAGTGCTTACAGGCACTCACTGACTTTGCCTCCATCCTACTATATGTTTTGCCTCCTGCTGGGTCATTTTGTGTCTACCCCTAGGTGTCCAGGCTGTGCTTATTCAGTCTTCAATCTCTCCCTCTCCATCTTTCTTTCCCTCTCCCTCCCTCCCTCCCTCCCACCCCCTACTCCTTCTCTCTCTCTCTCTTTCTCTCTTTCAATCTCTCTTCAATTTCTCTTCCCTGTCAATTTCCAAGAAAAATAGTAGGATCCTTTTCCTAGATGTTATGGTCTAAATGTTTATGCCCGCCCCCACCCCCCACCAAATCCATATGTTGAAATCCTAACTCCACAGTAAAGGCTTTAGGAGGTGGGGCCTTTGGGAGGTGATTGGGCTGTGAGAGTGGAGCTCTTGTGATGAGGTTAGCGCCCTTACAAGAAGAGGCACAGAGAGACGCGTCCTCCGCCTCCACCCCATGTGAGGACACAGCCAGGAGAAGACTGTCTGTGAAGCAGGAAGGGCACTCTTGTCGGACACCAGATCTGCGGAAGACTTGATCTTGGACTTTCCAGCCTCCAGAATCATGAGAAATAAATGTCTGTGGTTTCAGCCACCCAGCCTGTGGGATTTTTGTTGTTGTTGTTACAGCAGCCCAACAGACTAAGACACTAGGTCTCCTGCATACCTCTCAGCTCCAGGGAAAATCTGCTCTTTGTAGAGTGACCTGAAGTTTGACACAAGAATGGCCCTGAATTCTGCCTGCCTCACCGCAGCTGAGCTTGGTCTTATGTCTCCTGTTTTCCTCTGTTCACCATAGCCTCAGACGGCATCTGGACACGACCGAATTTCCTCCCTAAACCTCAAGCTCATTCACCACTCTGCCTCTAGTTTCTCTACCGAGAGACTTTGAAAAACCTGGCCCTGCGGGAATTCCCACCCCAGCACAGCTATCTGGGGGTGCCTTGCCAGGCAGCCCTAACGCAGGCCAGCCTTTCTATAAGAATGGCTTCCAGAACACAATGTTCTGGGGATACACACCAGCCAAAGGGAGATTTGCTAGATAAATAAGTTTGAGATACTGGGTGCTATGGATTGAATATGTGTGTCTCACCCCAAATTAATATGTTGAGTGTGTCTGTATTTGGAGATGGGGCCTCCAAGAAAGTAATTGAGGTGGAGCTCTGATTCAATGAGATTAGTGTGCTTATAAGAAGAGACACCAGAGTGTGCTTTCTCTCTCTGTCTCTCTCTCCCTCTCTCTCTCCTTCTCTCTTTCTCTGTGTGTAATAAGGAAAGGTGATGTGAGGATACAGTGAGAAGACAGCTGCCTGCAACCTGAGAGGAGAGCCCTCACCAGACACCAATCCTACTAGACCTTGATCTTGGATGTCCAGCCTCCAGAACTGTGAGAAAATAAATTTCTGGGGCCAGGCGTGGTGGCTCACACCTGTAATTCCAACACTTTGGGAGGCTGGATGGCCTGAGGTCAGGAGTTCAAGACCAGTCTGGCCAACATGGTGAAACCCCGTCTCTACTAAAAATACAAAAAAAAAAAAAAATTGCCAGGCGTGATGGCACATGCCTATATTCCCAGCTACTCAGGAGGCTGAGGCAGGAGAATCACTTGAAACTGGGAGGTGGAGGTTGCAGTGAGCCAAGATTGCACCACTGCACGCCAGCCTGGGCAGCAAAGCAAGACTCTGTCTCAAAAAAAAAAAAAAAAAAGAAAAGAAAAGAAAAAGAAATTTCTGTTGTTGAGGCCACCAGGTCTAACGTATTTTGTTATGGCAGCCTGAGCAGGCTAATACACTCAGGTAAGCCAAATGAACATGTTTCAACACGGTCATTCATTCATTCACTTGTTTGGTCAATAAATATTTGCTGAGCTCCTCCTGAAGTCAAAGGCTGGGCTGGGCTGGGCTGAGTTCATCCGGCATCCTCTGCTCCTTCCACACTCTGTTGTGCTTTCTGGTTCTCAGAGAAGGGGCTGTAATATGCATGGCTCCCACTTTTATCTGACCATAGAACACTTTTGGTGAGGAACAATGCATCCCAAGGGGCACTTTGAGAAACACTCAAATAATGCTTTGGTCCAATGGAGAGATGGATTCTTTGGGTTGTGTTTTACCATAGCTGTTATTTGATTCAGCAGAACTGGGCACCCATACTGGGTATAGCGTCAGGCTGAACACTGGGAAGGTTGAAAAGCAAAGAAAAGATAGGGAGTCAGGAGAAAACACGGCATATTTTAGAGGGCAGGAAGCTTAGAATAAAGCGGACTTGGTTTCAAGGCTTGGGTCTGCCCTTTTTTATGATTGCTGTGGCTTCTGTTCAGTTACCTCTCTGTGCTTCTGTTTCTTCCCATGTAAAATAAGAATATCTTGAAATGTTACCAAGCCTTGAAATAAAATAGATATAAAGGACTTGGTACTCACAGCACCTGACATAAGTGGTAGTCATCACTGTGGTATGCAAAGACTGTTCCCTTCATGGGCAGAAATCAGAGGACATTGGATCTCCTGCGATCCAAGATCTATGAGCAAATCCCACAACCCCCTCCCGATGCCACTTCCCCATCCAGAAACCTGCTTCCTCCAGGGAAGCCAGATCCTGATGATCTCTGGGGGCCCCTTAGAGCCCTTAGCACCTAGGACTGCCTTCTTCTGTAGACTCCATCTCCTACCTTGACCTGTAGAGCTGCAGCTGGGCTGTGGAACTTCATCATCTTTTACTATTAATTCAGTGGTGATCATGCCCCTGTACTGAAGTGGAGGTCTGATTATGAAGGCCTAAATCCACATTTTTCCTAGCATGGTGATGGCCAGCATGTTCTTCTTTCATCTGAAGGAATTTTCTTATAGTTCAAGATGCACTGACGCATTGCATTATCCCCCTGAGGAACCAGTAAGGCTTTTTCAGACTTGCATTTATTTTATTTTTAAATTTTTATTTCTTTTTGAGGCAGGGTCTCTCTCGGTCATCCAGGCTGGAGTGCCATGGTGTGATTTCAGCTCACTGCAACCTCCACCTCCTGGGTTTAAGCAATTCTCGTGCCTCAGCCTCCCAAGTAGCTGGGATTACAGTCATGCACCACCATGCCCAGCTAATTTTTGTATTTTTAGTAGAGACGGGGTTTTGCCATGTTGGCCAGGCTGGTCTTGAACTCCTGACCTCAAGTGATCCACCCTACTCAGCCTCCCAAAGTGCTGGGATTACAGGCATGAGCCACTTCACCTGGCCCCAGACTTGCATTTTAAGAGCACCTTGCCAAGCCTTTCTGCCCCTGTTTGCTTTGCAATTGACAGGGTCTTCCTGCCCATGTTTGGGTTCCCTATTAAATAAAACTCTGTGTCTCCACATTAGGGGATGGGAAGGTCTGCTGAGCTGCAGGATGGAAACACAGCCTATGTCAGCAAGGGTTTGACCTTCCAGGCAAATGTTGCCCACTGTTTGTGTTTCTTTGTCTCCACTATGTTCTGGAGGGACGTTAAAGGAGCACGGGACTCTGAATGACAAGAAAGGGATGTGAATCTATTTCTGCCACCAGCTCTCTGTGTGACAGTGGGCAAGTGACTAAGACCCTCCAAGTCTCTGTTTCTTCTTTTTTAAAAGGGGGTTAATAAGAGGTTATTTTGAGGATTGCCCAGTGTATTGTTTGTAAGGGACTGCCATAATAAAGTACCACAGTCTGGGTGGCTTCAACAACAGAAATTTATTATCTTGCAGTTCTGGAAGCTGGAAGTCCAAGATCAAGGTGTCAGCAGGGTTGGTTTCTTCTGAGGTCTCTCTCCGTGGCTCAGCCAGCTGTCTTCTCCCTGTCTTTTCTTTTTTTTTTTTTTTTTTTGAGACAGGGTCTTGCTCTGTCACCCAGGCTGGAGTGCAGTGGCATGATCTTGGCTTACTGCAACCTCCACTTCCCAGGCTCAAGCAATTCTCCAGCCTCAGCCTCTCGAGTAGCTGGGACTACAGGCATGAGCCACCAATGCCTGGCTAATTTTTGTATTTTTAGTAGAGATGGGGTTTCGCCATGTTGGCCAGGCTGATCTCAAACTCCTGACCTCAAGTGATCTACCCGCCAAGGCCTCCCAAAGTGCTGGGATTACAGGCGTGAGCCACTGCGCCTGGCTGCCTCCCTCTGCTTTCATATGATCTTTACTCTGAGGGTATCTGTGTCCCAACCTCCTTTTCTTATAAAGACATCAGTCATAGTAAATTAGGACCTGCTCTAATGACCTCATTTTAACTTAATTACCTCTTCAGTGACTGTATCTCCAAATGCAGTCACAACTTGAAGTACTGGAGGTTAGGACTTCAACACAAAAATTTGGGGGTGGGGGGAGGAGACACACAATTGAGCCCACAACACCTGAGGTAACAGGGGGAGTGATGATATTACATTGTATAGGGCACATTGCTGAACCCAAACCTGGTGACAGCTCAATGCCTTCAGTCATTTAAGGAGTTTTTGTTGTTAACAATCACCTGCAAATTTCATGCTGTACTGTATGACATGAGGCTACATTTTTAAAGGGTACTTGTAGGCTGGGCATGGCAGCTCATGCCTGTAATCCCAGCACTTTGGGAGGCTGAAGTAGGAGGATGGCTTGAAGTCAGAAGTTCGAGATTAGCCTGGCCAACATAGCAAGACTCCAACTCTACAAAAAATAAATTTTAAAAAATTAGCCAAGTGTGGTGGCAAGCACCTGTGTTCTCAGCTGCTTGGGAGGCCTAGGTGGGAGGATTGCTTGAGCCCAGGAGTTCAAGACTGCAGTGAGCCATGATCGTCACTACACTCCAGCTTTGGTGACAGAATGAAACTCTAAGATCCTGTCTAAAAAAAAAAAAAAAAAAGGACACCCATAAAAACACTTGCTGTTGGAGATGTAGTCTGAAGCATCTTCTGCACCCATCACTCCCTAGTGTGCACCCTAGCCTGCACCCATCACTCCCTAGTGTCCCTAGCCTAGAGTCTGTAGCCTGCACCCATCACTCCCTAGTGGAATGAACTCAAGCTAGTTACATAACTTCTCTTCTGGGCCTCCGCTTCTTCATCTGAAAGGCAGGGACAGTCATAGGACGGTCATGACAATGAAATGAGATAACCACGCCAAGTACTGAGAAAGCTGGGAGCATCATAAGTTCACGATCAAAGTGAACGATTGGTTATTGCTTCCATTTGACCCTGCAAATGAAAGCTGCAAGTGGCAGGAAAACCGAGGCTAACGTGAGGTTTGTGTGGTTCATCTCTGAATTTGGGTGCTTCAGACTCTCCCTCGCTTTTTCCAGGCAAACCACTTCCAATTCCTTTAACCTTTCTTTACAGGGCCCAGTTTCCAGCTCTTTGATCATTTTTGTGTCTCCTGCCTGGACATCCTCCAGCCTCTCCAAGCCCTTTTAGGAGGGAGTGACACAGACTCGACTCAGCAGTCTAATAAGGGGCTGACTGATGTGAGACTTGAGAAGGGGGATGACTTGGGGGCCACAGCATGTCATGGGCCTTTTATGTGTGCGGAATCCAGGGAGCTTTGAAGAAGGCAAGGCGCTCTGTTGACTGCGACCAGATGCCCTGGATTTTCCAAAACGAGTTCTTCAGAGATGGCTCAGATTTCAAATATTCTATTTGATTGTCCCCATAAAACAGTAAAATGTCACAGAACTTCTAACTTTTCTGCTTCCCACTGCGGACTCCAGAGTGCCTCTAACACATGGACGTGACACCAAAGTGTTCCCCTAGCCTGGCAGGGGGCAGATGACATCCTGATGTGGTGAGGTCACACGATGGCAGTCCTGGAATGGGAAGGTTGTTCTGATTTCAGAGATCCTTCCATTATGCAAACCAGAAGTTGTAGCTCATGCCAGACCACTTTGTTAGGATTCTGTATTCAGACAATGGGATCCTGGGGACGATCTTGCTCATGTGTCCCTGGTCCATGGACTTTGATCCTTACCAGGTCTTTTTTTCCTAAACCTATGCCTGGCACCAAGCCTTATCTCGAGGTCGGTTACCTGGTAGGGGTTCACCTGGTAGTTGCTGACCAACTGGAAGCTGGTCCTGCCTTCATTCTAAACATATGGTGGCTGTTTTTAGCCCTAAATATATCACCTTATAATTGCACTATTGAATTTCATCTTGTTTTTGTAGGGCCATGTTTTCAATTTGTCATGGTTGTTTTGAATTTTATTCTTGGCTCTCTGAGCGTGAGCCACCCCACCACATTTAGTATCATGTGAATATCTGATGAACACAGCCCCATCCTTTTGTTGTTAAGTCATTAGTAAGATAGGTCCCAACAGTTAATCCCCAGAGGAGTGGCTTTCTTTCAAGTAGATGCCTCATCACTGATTATGCAATAAAGACCCAGCTTTCTTTTGGGCTCTAGACACATATGTTCATTGTAGAACATTCACAAAGTACAGATAAGCATAAGAAGGAAACAAAAACAATTTGTAATCCTACCACGAAGACACTAATGCTGTCATTTGGTATGGATCCTTCTTGTTAAATATATACATTCATCAGTATAGATTAAGTGGCATAGATTGTACTGTGACATGCTTATTTGCAGACCTGATAATATAGCATGATCCCAGAGCTAGTTATTCACACTTGACTGCCATAAAGACATTCTGAAATCAAAAGTTCTTATATGTAATAAGAACTTTTAGATTGATTCTTAAGGTTCTGCATCCTTAGATTCAACCAACCACAGACTGAAAATGTCTTTTAAAAATTCAAAATAACAATACAATAATAAAACAATTTTTTAAAATAATACACCAGGTGCAGTGGCTCACGCCTGTAATCCTAGTACTTTGGGAGGCCGAGGCAGGCAGATCACGAGGTCAGGAGTTTGACACCAGCCTGACCAACATGGTAAAACCCCATCTCCACTAAAAATATAAAAATTAGTCAGGTGTGGTGGCGCACGTCTGTAATCCCAGCTACTCAGGAGGCTGAGGCAGGAGAATCTCTTAAACCCTGGAGGCGAAGGTTGCAGTGAGCCGAGATCGTGCCGCTAGAGATGATTTAAAGTATATGGGAGAATGTGTGTAGGTTACATGCAAATACTACATCATTTTATATAAGTGACTTGAGCATCCACATATTTTAGTATCCATGGGAAGACCTGGAACCTATTCCCTATGGATACTGAGGAACAATTGTATTGGTAATCCCAACTATATTCCATGAATACTAGCTCCATGAGATATTCCAGGAAAACAAGAGTAGCATGGTTTATTCCTTTGAGAAATGCTTTTCCCTATACTGGTGTCTAGGAAAGTCACAATGTGTGTAGACATATTAAATGCTCTGAGAAGTCCTGCAACTTAAAAATCTATTAATTTTTAAAGTCACAATGTGTTTAGACATATTAAAGACTCTGAGAAGGCCGAGTGTGGTGGCTCACGCCTGTAACCCTAGCACTTTGGGAGTCCGAGGTGGGCAGATCACTTGAGGTCAAGAGTTCGAGACCAGCCTGGCCAACATGGTAAAACCCTGTCTCTACTAAAAATACAAAAATGAGCCAGAGATCACTTGACTTGGGAGATGGAGGTTGCAGTGAGCCGAGATCGTGTCACTGTACTCCAACCTGGGCAACAGAGCAAGACTCCTCTAAAAAAAATAAAATAAAATAAAAAAATTTAAAAAAAGGCTCTGAGAAGTCCTACAATTTAAAAAAATCTATGTAAATTTTTTTCTAATTCAGCATTCCCCAAATGTAATAATCCATAAGATCCTGTTTCTAGAAGAACCTATGACTATTCCTTTAAGAAACATTTGGGGAAATACTGTCATAGATTATATCTTGACATCAGGATGAAGAGTAATAGTAATTTCTTAAAGTATTTAAACTCAGGAGACCCGGTCCCTCCTTCGCTCTTAATGAGCTTATGACCTTGATAATTTTCTTTTTTCTGGGTTTTGGTTCAGCAAAGTGATCAGATTCCCCTTGTAGCCCCAACCTTCCACGTTTTCTCCTTAAGCAAAAATGAATGTAAATGATTTGGCTGGGACAGTGTGGTCTTTACAACATCATTTGGTTATTCCCTCCTGTCTCACAGTAATAGTCCTCATTTATTTAGCCCTTCACACATACTAACTCATTGGATCCTTACAACACCCTCATGGGGGGTAGTAGGCACTGTAGTGGTTGAAGTCACTTGCCCTACAGCCACATAACCAGTTATAGCCTTAGTATTTATTTAGCTTAGGGACAAAGAGCTGAGGCCTTTACTATAGCAGAGCTCCTGCTCTTTGTCCCTAAGCTACATCACCCCTGTGTCCCTTAGATAGTTGGTGTTCAATTCTAGCATCTTCTCAAAGAAGGCTAAGCCTGCTGGCCATTGGCTAACAGGCTGGTCTGCTCTCATTTCCTTCTTCAAAGCTGAGCAGTCATTTGCTGCTTTCCATCATTGGGGATCCCCTTGTCATCTATGATGCCACTAAAATAATAGCTCCACCCTGACTTGTGCCAGTCCCTTAGGGACCCCTTGAGTAACATCACCACAGGTCCTGCTGGTTTGAATAGATCTGGCTTCCAAGTTTTCCAGCTGCTGCTTTTTTTTTTTTTTTTTTTTTCTGAGACAGAGTCTCGCTCTGTTTCCCAGGCTGGAGTGAAGTGGCATGAACTCGGCTCACTGCAACCTCCGCTTCCCAGGTTCAAGAGGTTTTCCTGCCTCAGCCTCCTGAGTAGCTGGGATTACAGGTGCCTGCCACCAAGCCCAGCTAATTTTTGTATTTTTAGTAGAGACGGGCTTTCACCATGTTGGCCAGGCTAGTCTTGAACTCCTGACCTCAAGTGATGTGCCCGCTTCAGCCTCCCAAAGTGCTGGGATTACAGGCATGAGCCACCGCACCCAGCCTCCTCTTGCTTCTTTAAGGGGGGGTGAGGAGCGGGCAAGTGGGGCAGGAGCCACGCAAGTTTGCACCAGCTTCTCCTGAACATCTTGTCGAATTAATAAGAAATAACTCAGATGTACTGAGTGCTTACTAGGCGGCAGGCACTATTCATGTGGACTCTCACTTAAATAGCCCAACACCTCTATGTGGTAGTAGGGTCTTCAATTATAGATGAGTGAGTGGCAGCAGAGAGGTTGAATCACTTTCCTAAAGCCCCACAGCCAGTAAGAGCTAGAACTTCAGTGCAAACCCAGCCCCAGCCCTTCCTCCAGGGGCTGTGTACTGAACTCCTCTGTAAATCCTGCCTGCCCTCAGCCTTTTCCTCCCTCCCCACTTCTCCCCACCTTTCCCCAGCGGGAATTGCTCCACCTTCCAGCTCCTCTTCCACTGTGCAAACCTGCACTTGCCCTTCCCTCCATCCCTTCACACTTGGTCCTGCCTGCCTAGTCTTCGCTCCTCTCCCAATCCCTAAAATGCCCTCTCCTGCTTCCTCCCAAGAAGACAGTGCCTGAGGAACCCCCAGAGCCTCCCTGAGCAACCTGGGTAAGAGCTGAAGGCCTTATCTACGTCTGCTCTGGTGCGAGTCCTCGAATAGTGTGTGATGGAGACACCTACTGGCTGCTCTGAGCACAGGCCCCTGGAAACCCAGGAACGTGGCTCAGGGCCCCCATTCCACCGAGAGCCTGGTGAGCAGAACCATTTGGTAGAGTTTCCTGTGGGTTCTTCGCTGCTTTTAGGCCAAGCTGGACGGGTCCCTAAAAAAGGCCTGGGAGGACCTTCGTCTTCCTCCTGTCCTGCCCTGAACACAGAAGCAAAAGGGAAGGGGTAATTTTGACGGCAAAGCACCAGCCCCCTGCACGAGGCTGATCCCAGCTTGGCAAAGTTGCCAGGAAGGCTGGAGGCAGGGCCATTCACAGCCAAATAAACGGAGGGTGGCTTTTCTGTAATGCAAATAGAGAGAAATAACCGCTTAGGGCAGGTTGATTTGTTATTTGATGTGGGGCGTGTGATTCTGGAAGGCCCACCCTCCTGGGCACGCTGTCTCTCCTCCCTCCCTTTGAATCAGGTTTACAACTCCTCATCCAAGGCTGGCACCACTTGATGCAGAGAAATGAGGCCCCCATTCTGGTTAATTGCCATCATTTGCCGGTTCAAATAATGAGCGACAAGTTGGATGCAGAAGAGGGGACAGCCGCTTCGTAGGAAATCACTAACCTAAAAGACAGCAAAGGAGATTGTTCCTCAGATGTGCTGCCAAAGACTGGGGGCCACCATGGCCAGCAAGACCCCTATCAGCGGAGGGAAGGACATTTGGGCTGGGCCCGGCCATGCATAGTTGTGGTGGACAGCTGTCTCTACCAGAACCAACTCCCATTGGATTTGTTCTTCTGAATGGGGGCCGCATTCCCCATTAAACTAACTAAGAAATATTTCTGAATCCACAGATGTGGCATGTACAGTGTGGAGGTTTTAGGGAATAGCAAGAAGCTTAAATAGATCACCATCTCTCTCCAATGTGGGAGGATGATCCCTCACTTTAAAATACGCTCTCTAGTTATTCCAGTGAGTATATTCACATAAGGCAAGTACTTTACAAACTTAATAAGCAGTGTTTACAGAAGATCTAAAACACACAGAAGTCTTTCAGACATTTGAAGAGTGAAGAAGAGCTAAAGAAATGAAAAACATTAGCCAGGCATGGTGGCTCAGGCCTGCAATCCCAGAGCTTTGAGAGGCTGAAATGGGAGGATCACTTGAGCCCAGGAGTTTGAGGCCGGCCTGGACAACACAGTGAGACCCCATCTCTACAGAAACATTTTTAAAATAGCTGGGCATGGTTGCTCACACCTACAGTCCCCGCTACTTGGAAGGCTAAGGAGGGAGGATTGCTTGAGCCCAGGAATTCAACAACAGTGCACCCTGATCACTCCACTGCGCTCCAGCCTGGGCAACAGATTGAGACCTTATCTCTTTAAAAAAATTAACTGAACAAAGATGCAAAGCTAAGGAGTGATACAGTCTATTAAGATCAGTTTGATACCAGAGTGTCCTCAAGACAATTGGATGAACGTTCCCAATTAATTGGTGCCGACATGTCCTAAAGATAAGAAAGGTCACCATGGAAACCCTGAAGGCTTCTGGGAAGAAGAGGGATTTAAAAGGGTCCTAACAGGTAAATAGGTTTTGATGGGCAGAAATAAGGAGGGCAGGATGCCAAGTGAGGAAGAGGCGAACAGTGCAAGGAAGTGTACCCATTTGGTTGGAACAGGAAGTAAAGCCCGTGATGATGATGGCCTCCTGAAGGGGGATTGTGGCCAGTTTGCAATGGGCTTTGAAGCTCCAGCGAATGAGTCAGGGCTTCCTCCTCCGGGTGTCACGAGAGAGCCATCGAAAATTGTTAAAGAGGGGTGAATAGGATTAGAGCAATGCGTCTGGTAGTTTGCAGAAAAGATGAGAGTCAGGAACAGTGGTTGAGAAACTGATGGAGCGGTACCAGGGTGGCAAAAACAACAGGACCGCGTGACCGGGTGGCACAAAATGCAGATGCCCATGGGACAGGGGTGTGACCAGTTAGTGTGGAGGAGCAGGCTGATTGAATCCTTCCTCCTTAGTGCTTTTGATGGGGTGAAATTTCAAAGACCATCTTTCCAAAGACCATCTTTTTAAAGATCATCTGAGGATGATCAGTAAAAATCTCAATTTAGGGGCTGGGCACAGTGGCTCACGCCTGCAATCCCAACACTTTGGGAGACCCAGATGGTTGAATCACTTGAGATCAGGAGTTCCAGACCAGCCTCACCAACACGGCGAAACCCCGTCTCTAGTAAAAATATGAAAAGTAGCCAGGCTTGTTGGTACACGCCTGTAATTCCAGCTACTCGGGAGGCTGAGGCAGGAGAATTGCTTGAACCTGGGAGGCGGAGGTTGTAGTGAGCCAAGATTGTGCCACTGCACTCCAGCCTGGGTGACAAGAGTGAAACACTGTCTCAAAAAAATAAATAAGTAAATAAAATGAAAAAATCTCAACTTAGAGTGCCAAGATGCAGCAGAAGTTTCTCTAGGAATTGGGGAGGGGAAAGGCTAGGGTAAGAGAGAGGCAGCCCCAGGAAACTGACTTCACAATGTTGCCTAAAGGACTAATACAAGTGGAGGAGAGCTAAATCAGCACTGCCCAGTAGAGATCTAATGCAAGGAATGCATGTAATATTTAGCCTTCTTGGAGCCACATTTTAAAAAGTTTTAAAAAGAAACAGTTGAAGTAACATATTTTAATTAGCACAATGTATCCTGAATATTCTTTTTGACGTGTAATCAATGTTTAAAGATTATTATTGAGATCTTTTACATTTTTGTGCACTAACTCTTTGAAATCTGGTGTATAATTTACACTTAGAGTACATCTCAGTTTGGACCAGACACGTTTCAAGTGCTCCAAAGTTGCATGTGGGCCGGGAGTGGTGGTTCATGCCTGTAATCCCAGCACTTTGGGAGATGGGCGGATCAGCCGAAGTCAGGAGCTCGAGACCAGCCTGGCCAACATGGTGAAACATGGTGAAACCCTGTCTCTATTGAAAATACAAAAATTAACCAGGCATGGTGGTGGGCACCTGTAATCCCAGCTATTCAGGAGGCTGAGGCAGGAGAATCGCTTAAACCTGGGAGATGGTGGTTGCAGTGAGCCGAGATCTCACCACTGCATTCCAACCTGGAGGACAGAGTGAGACTCTGTCTCAAAAAAAAAAAAAAAAAAAGTCACATGTGGCTAGTGGTGACTGTATGAGAGAACACTGAGCTAACCTCTACAGTGTTGTTTCTCAAACCCAGGTGATTTGGCTCCTCTCAAGGACATTTGGCAATGTTTAGGGACAGTTTTGGTTGCACAACTTGGGATGAGGGGTGCTACTGGCATCTTGGGGGTAGGGAGCAGGGATGCTGCTGAACATCCTACAATGCACAGGACAGACCCCTACAACAAAGGATGATCTGGCCCCAAATGTCCATAGAGGCAAGTCAGAGCTCCACATAATGCTAGAGGAAGCGAGTGCCCCATGCCGTGTGGTCAGGGAGATGCCACTCAGACACTCCCACTGGAACCCAGGTCTCGCCTCAGACAGGGCAAGTTTCCAGGCGCCAGTGTCAGAACTTCCTGGTGCTTTGTGATATGGCACGGACTACACCCTGATAAGACAGATTGTGTTTGTAATGATTTTAGTCCTGCAATTACTCTCACTCCACCCCACCCAAACCTCAGCATTGCAATTGCCACACAGTGTAGTTCCCATGCAGGGCAAGTGTTCAATGAAAACGATGTGAACAGTACCCGCTACAGTTGTGCGGTATACAACCTATGCAACTGTACCTGGCAGCTTCACTCCCAGAAACCAGGGGATCATGCCTCATCATCACAGCAGACCTTCCTAGTTTTCTTCTTGGCAATGCCCATGTTTAGAAGCCACAAAGAAGTAGAGCAACTGATGGCCGTGCATGTACTAGAAGAAGGCTTTCACTGTCAACTTGAGGGCTGGGCCTTAACCAGAAATTGAAAATGCTACTGAATTTCTACCCAGGGTTTCTTCTTTTAAGACAGGGGCCCTGGTCTTTTTATAAGGACAACCTTTCCTTCCTTTGTTCCTTCCTTCCCTTCCTCAGAGTGTTTATTGTAGTGCAAAGTTATGCGCTAATCAGGGGGTTGGGCTAGGCCTCTGTGCAGATAAGGGCAGAAAGATCATTGCTGGTTGCATGACATCTGTGCAGGAAATCAAGATAAACTCCTACTGTAAACAGCAAACTTTTCAGTAGAACCAGTTCAGTTGATGTTAACAGGTGAATCCAATTAAAAACAATCCATCATCAAAAAATAAGAGATGAAGCAAAGTATGTATATAGCATGGTGATTATGAGCACTCACTCTGGAGCCAGCCTTCCTGGATTAGAACCCAGGCTTTTCTACTTGTTAACTGTATTACCTTAGACAAGTTACTTAACAGCTCCATGCCTCAGTTTCCCTATTTGTGAAATGGGATAATAATTCCTAGCTCAGAGGGTTGTAGTAGGAATGTTAACAAATTAATACATGTAAAGTTCTTAGAATCCTGTTTGTCATTGAGTAAGTGTCCAGTAAACATTACCTTATAAGTTAAACAGGTGTTTGGGTTTTTTTTCCACCGCAGAACTTCTCAGGGCCTTTGACGTGCTTATGGGCATTGCAACCTGCCCTCTAGGTGAGGAGCAGGGTAAAGTATGTACGATTCCTAATCTTTTTTTTTCTTTTCTTTTCTTTTTTGAGAAGGAGTCTTGCTCTGTCGCCCAGGCCGGAGTGCAGTGGTGCAATCTCGGCTTGCTGCAAGCTCTGCCTCCCGGGTTCATGCCATTCTCCTGCCTCAGCCTCCCAAGTAGCTGGGACTACAGGCGACCGCCACCACGCCCAGGTAATTTTTTTTGTATTTTTGGTAGAGACGGAGTTTCACCATGTTAGCCAGGATCTTGATCTCCTGACCTCTTGATCCGCCTGCCTCGGCCTCCCAAAGTGCTGGATGATTCCTAATCTTATTTGACCACTGTTTTGGACTGGGCCCTCTAGAAAGCAAAGCCTGAAAAAAAAAAAGAGATGAAAGCCTGGCACTTTATTTGCAAGATACAAGCCCAGAGCAGCGAGGTGAAGAAAGGGAAAAGAGAGCAAACTGAAATGGGAAGCAGTATCACAGTGCCGTCTTTACAACGAGGCTGCTCAGCAGGTATGCTGGCTGAGCCTACAGGATTTCTCCCGAATGTCTACGAGGAGGCAAAGCACTCCAGAGTTTCCCCACTAAAGAAAGAGGGAAAATATATGTGTCCAGCTCCTTCCCAGGTCCCATTGGTCAAATTTCCCTCCACAAGAAACTGACTCCATCTGGTTGTGTCATCTGGTTCCTTTGTAGCCACTCCAAATTCTATATCTGAAGGTATGAGCTTCCATTGAAGTCTAAAAGAGAAAGAGTGTCCCAGCAAGGTGGGACACCAGCCTAGAGGGAGGAAGAAAAGGATAGTGAAGGGAATCTGAGCAGACACACGGGTTCATGTTCATGTCTACTACAACCATGGAACTATTCAGAGGAAATCTCTTAGTAGGTGCCCTGAAAAATATGCTTAGATCTGCCTGGAATGGCTCAGAGGGCCATACTCCTGACCCCTCACCTTCCAGGAACTTACAGCTGGGGATGGGAGTGAGAGGGACGGATGGCAAGCAAACAGAGCATTGCTTCAATAAGAAAAAAGGTGATGTATTTCTGGGGAATCCGACCTAGTCTGGGGAGGTCAGGAGGTGATGTCTGATGTGGCGAGGATGGGAGACACGATATGTTTTGGGAGAATCTGACCTGGTTTGGAGAGGTCAGGAGGTGATGTCTGATGTGGTGAGGCTGGGAGATCAGTAGAATGTAGGCGCTAGAGTGAAGGCAGGGTGGATACAGGATAGGGCGGTGGCAAGGGCATGTCCATGCTGGGGCTGTGGGATTAGTGTCTTAGTTTCCTATGAGTTTTCTAGGACTGCCATAACAAAGGATCACAAACTAGCTGGCTTCCAGCAACAAAAAGTTTTTCTTTCTCAGGTCTGGAGGTTAGAAATCTGAAATCAAGGTTTTGGCAGTGGCCGTCTCTCTTTGAAGGCTTCAGGAAAGGAGACCACCTTGCTTCGCCCTAAGCTCTCATGATTGTGGACAACCCTTGGCATTCCTTGGCTTGTGGCTGCATCACTCCAATCTCTGCCTCCATCTTCACATGGCCTTCTCCTCCCCATGTGTCTCTTCTTATAAGGACACTGGTCATATTGGTTCAAGGGCCTACCCTTCTCCAGCAGGATCTCATCTTAGCCAATTATGTCTGCAAGGACCCTATTTCCAAATGAGGTCACATTCTGAGTTTTCTGGGAAGGACATGAATTCTGGGGGGACACTATTCCACCCAGTACATGGGGGGATAGCTGGCACAAAGGCCTGGAAGAAGAAAGAGAAAGTGGGACCAAAGAAGGGGGTCAGTGAGGCTGGAGCACCTCTTGAGAGCAGAAGCAGCAAAAATGAGGCTGGAGAGGAAGCCAGCGTGGTCTCCAAGAGCTTTGAAAGCCACTGGATTCTCTTGAGCAGGGTGATTGCTCTCACCAGATCTGTGCCACCACGTGGAGTATGGTTTGGAGGAATCCAAGTTGGGTGAGCTAACCTGGGAAGCCTTCAGGATGCATCTGAGATAACGGCTAAGTTTCGACCAAGCAATGGATTGGCAGGGAAAGTGGGATGGACATTCCATGTGAGCATGAAGGATCCAGAGCCAGAAACAAGTTGTATGTTGACTCCATAAACAAGCTTTCAACTTCACTCTAATGGAGGTGTCATGGTGGAGATGGGAGCAATGCAAGATGGACTCGGAGATCCAGGATGGGGGCAGCTTCCCATTGTCTGAGCACAGAGCCAGCCACAGCAGGCAGATGACTCTGCTTGCCTGTGGGGTGGGTCAGTTGCCTCTGAAGTTGGACCCAGCATGCACTGAGTCACAATCCTGGGTTCTTGATTCTAGACATCCCTTGAAGAGCCCCCAATATCTCATGACAACTTCTGGAACCGTTCCTAGAGATGGATTTTCTGAGACAAAGCCACGGAGGAACTGCTGCTTCTTGTCCCTGGTGAGTGGCTGAAGCCTCCCAGCCCATCCTGCCCTCTGCCCCTCCTTCTCTGGTGCTCCACTAACCACAGAGGTGGGAATGCTTAAGATAGCTCTGCTGGAGAATGCTGGGGTCAGGAACTCCGGGAAAGAATGTCAAATATGAGAGGGTTCTGCTGACACGATTTAAGATGTGGGTGGCTGGAAGCTGCAGGGGATTTTTGATTAAAAGAGTTTCCAGAGATACTTCTTCAAGGTCAGTGACAGGAGGGTCCAGGCACATCTCATGCCTCCTGCCAAGAATTCCAGAGGCCAAGACCCTCTTCTGGGAGCTGAGGTTGGAGAGTTTCCCATGGAGCCCCCTGATGGGACAAATTCCATCTTTACCCATATTTTCCTCCTCTAGAAGTCAAAGCTGAGGGAGACCCCAGCTTGGGGTGATAGAAAACAGGCAGGCGCTGAGACAAGCAGACATGGGTTTGAATTCCAGCTCCTGCCACTTACTAACTGTGTGATCCTGGGCAACTGACTTAACCTCTCTGAGCATGTTTCTTCAGCTATGAAAGTAGATTTGAAGATAAAATCAAGGAACTGTATACAGTGCATGGCATATATGCTAGGCACACATGGTCATTTCCCTTGTGGTCTCAGCTGGCCAGGCATCCAGCAAAGCTACCCTCTGCTGTAGTTCACTGTCTTACCAATCAACTGTTGAGCCATTTCTTCAAAAGACAGCTACTGGGGCAGGATTATACACATGGATCTCACTACCAACTGGAACAGACCAGTCAGATTTCATTCATTCATTCATTCATTCATGTAACAACGAGTTATTGGAAACTACTATCTGCCAGTCACTGTCATGGGCGCTAGGGATGTGGCAATGAGCCAAACAGATTCCCACTGAGCTTGCACTCTGGTGGAGACAAAAATAAATAATCATATATATATATATGTGTGTGTGTGTGTGTGTGTGTACGTATATATATGTGTATATATGTCAATTAATGATAAGTGCTAAATAAATAAATAAAGCAGTGCATGGGGCCAGAAGTGCTGGGAAGGGACACACGGAAGGCAGGAGGTGGTATTTTAAATAAAAATATCAGTGAAGGTCTCGAATAAGATGACTTTTAAAGAGAGTCCAGAACACAGTGAGTAGCAAATGCAGGGAAGAGCAGGCCATGCAGAAAGAACTGCAAACACAAAGGTCTTGGGCAGGAAACACCATGAGGTTAGAGCAGCTAAAATGCAGAGAAAAGATGAGTGAGGGTAGGATGAGATCAGAAAGATGGGTGGGGGTAGGATGAGACCATAAATGGAAGGTCTTGTTGACCATGGCAAGGACTTTGGGTTTTATTCACAGTGAGATGGAAGCCATCATATCAATAATATTTTTTCATGACTAATATTAATTGGACTAGGTGCCAGGCATGGGGCTAAGCCCTTTACAAACATTTACCTCTTACAAGAAACCCCACAAGGTGCACATCATTACTGTCCTCATTTTATAGATGAGGAAGCTCAAGTGTAGAAAGCTGGAGTTGATTGCCCCAAGACTCAGCCCAGAAGCCCCTGACTCTAAATCCTCTTTTAACTTAGGTTACCTTTCCTACAGTGCTTCCAACTGTCCAACTTACTTCACTATTATCAAAAGAAGGCCACGCACAGCAATTATATGAAATAAAAGCTCAACATCACTGATCACTAGAGAAATGCTAATCAAAACCACAATGAGATACCATCTCACACCAGTCAGAATGGCAATTACTACAAAGTGAAAAAATAGCAGATGCTGGCAAGGTTGTAGAGAAAAAGGAACACTTATACGCTGTTGGTGGGAGTGTAAATTAGCTCAACCATTGTGGAAGACAATGTGGCAATTCTTAAAAAAACCTAAAGGCAGAAATAACCCAGCAATCCCTCTATTGGCTGTATGTCCAAAGGAATATAAATCGTTCTGTCATAAAGACACATGTATGCTTATGTTCATTACAGCACTATTCACATTAGCAAAGACATGGAATCAACCTAAATGCCCATCAATGGTAAATTGGATAAAAAAAAAAAAAAAACGTGGTACATATACACCATGGAATACCATGCAGCCATAAAAAAGGAATGAGATTATATCCTTTGCAGGAACATGGATGGATCTGGAGACCATTATCCTTAGCAAACTAACACAGGAACAAAAAACCAAATACTGTATGTTCTCACCTGTAAGTGGAAGCTAAATTATGAGAACACATGGACACATAGAAGGGAACAACCCACACTGGGGCCTACTGGAGGAAGAGTAGAAGGAAGAAGATAATCAGGAAAAATAACTAATGGGTACTAGGCTTAATACCTGGGTGGTGAAATAATCTGTACAAGAATCCCCCATGACACAAGTTTACCCGTGTAACAAACCTGTACATGTATACCAAACTTGATATAAAAGTTAATTTTTTTCTTTTTTGAGATGGAGTCTCCCTCTGTTACCCAGGCTGCAGTGCAGTGGTGCGATCTCCGCTCACTGCAACCTCTGCCTCCTGGGTTCAAGCGATTCTCCTGCCTCAGCCTCCCAAGTAGCTGGGATTACAGGTGCACACCACCATGCCCAGCTAATTTTTGTATTTTTAGTAGAGACAGGGTTTCACCATGTTGGTCAAGAAGGTGGCCTGGCCACCTCCTGACCTCGTGATCCACCGGCATCGGCCTCCCAAAATGCTGGGATTACAGGCACGAGCCACCGTGCCCGGCCAAAAGTTAACATTTTTTAAAAAAACAGTCATGTAAAAACCCATGTGAAGACTGAGGCAGAGACTAGTGATGCATCTACAAGCCAACGAATGCCAAGGGTTCCCAGCAGCCACCAGACGCTTGCAGAGAGTCATGGAACAGCTTCTCTCACAGACTCTCCAGAAGGAACCTACCTTGCCAACACCTTGACTTTGGACTTCTGGCCTCCAGAACTGTGAGCAAGTAAATTCCTATTGCCTTGAGCTTCCAACTTGGTAGTAATGTCTTATGGTGGCCCGAGGAAACTAATACAGATTTGTGTAGAGTAATGGGACCAGTTCTGTATTTACAGTCAGTTAACTGGCTCTGTACCTCCTAGCTGGGTATCTTTGCACAACTTTGTTACCATCACCGAGGCCCTCAATGTTCTCTCTATAAAATGGGCACACTATCACCTGGCTCCGAGGGTTGCAGTAAGAATGAAATGAAGTCTAGACAATGCACCTAAAGCATCTGGCAGAGCTGGCAGAGCTCCTACTATGTAGAGGCTGCGTTCGTGGGGATAAGATGATAAGCTGCAAGTTTCAGTGCTTGGGACAGCATTTAAGACAGAGGTTGGAAGTAGTGATTCCTGGGCATTTGCTTCTAAAGCCTCCAGTGGGTTGCTGGCAAAGCGGCTTCTCTCTGACATCATCTCCTGAAGAGGGAGAGTCCAGGTCTTGGGCCAGGCAGAAGTCACCGTTTGGAGAGTGAGTCAAGGAGTCCTGGCACTTGGATATTCAGTCATTACTTCCTGCCAGGAGTCTGGGTATACGGGGAGGAAACCCTGTGCCAAGGGAGTCTTCGGGCTTCAAAGCCAAAGAAAAGGCAATTAAGTTTATGATGGAATTAGTCAGGAAACTGTAAACCTAGGATGTCGCCCCTGTACAGTAGATTCTTTTAACACCACCTCAGAACACACTGAACAGTCTGGTCTCTGGTTCCAAAATTGTCTTAAAAATAAATGTAGAGTCTAGACAAAGTCACTTTGACCTTTCTGCCACTTCTGGGTCTTCATATGTCACCACGTTGAGGTGCATGCCCAGTAATAAGCCAAGATATTCCATGTCCTGTACCTCTAACCCGAATCCTTCCCCATCTGGGATCTGGCTTCCATTAAGCCCCTCCGAAGTGGGGAAACAGGAAGGAAACTAGATATGGTGTAGTGCACAGCCCATCAAGGTGAGCCAGGCATGAGTGTGGCTTGGCCTCCTACAATGCATTGAATTCACTTGAGTCCCCAGTCTTAATTGGTGAAATTAAACTTAAGCAATAAGAATGTTGCCTTGTGGGCCATGAATTAGGCATAAACAAGAACATTTCTTAAGGACAAAGGGATCTACTAATCAGGAGGACATAACAATTCTAAACATATGTGCTCCTAATAACAGAGCTTCAAAATAGATGAAGCAAAATCTGACAGAACTGCAAAGAGAAATAGACAAATTACAACTGTTGCCAGAGACTTTAATACTTCTCTTTCAATAATTGATAAATCATGTAGACAGAAAATCAGAAAAGATACAGTAAACTTGAACTATTACCCCAACTTGATCAAATTAACCAGAAATAAACCAAGTGTCTATCAACAGAAGAATGACTATACAAATTGTGGCATATACAAACAGCAGACTACTATTCAGCAATAAAAAGAAATAAGCTATTGATCATTCAATGACATAGATGAATCTCAAAATGTTTAGCGAAAAAAGTGAACCAAAAAAGAGTACGTATTATATGAATCCATTTACACAAAACTCCAAACAATGCAAACTAATAGAAAGTGGATCAGTGGTTACCTGGGGAGAAGGGTGTTGGAGAGATAGGGAGGGATTACCAAGGAGTATGAGGAAACTTTGCAGGAGATGGATCTGTTCACTATCTTGGTTGTAGTGATGGTTTTATTGCTATAGACCTATGTCAAAATTCATCAAATTATATGCTTTATGTGCAGCTTATTATATGTCAGTTATACCTAGATAATTTTTTAAAATATCTTAAGACTGTCCAGAAGACAGGGGAGAAAGCCTCCACTTGGAAACCTTGTTTTGGAGGTTATACAACCTACCTGGTTCCCAAACTCACGTATTCTCCTCCTGAGATATTGGTGGAGGCATCAGATACATCGTTTGGCATTCTCGGTTTAGAGTCAGAATCTCTGGGAGGCCAAGATAAAGTGCCAACTGTCCCCAGTAAAAATCCCTTCCATGATGGGAATAGACACTTTGCAAACAACTACAAAGATTTTACTGTAACAGAGTGATGCAGAGTTTTTATTTGGGCCAGGACTGGCCTTTGGGTACTCTTAGCATCTGCAGTAGCGACACTCAATTCCCCAAGTGTCTGTACCCATCTGGGCCTATGTCAGGACTGAAGACGTGCTGCAGGGAAAACTTGGTATTAGTCCATTCTCACATTGCTATAAGGAAATACTTGAGATTGGGTAATTTATAAAGAAAAGAGGTTTAGTTGATGCACAGTTCAGCATGGCTAGGGAAGTCTCAGGAAACTTACAATCATGGCGGAAGGCAAAGGGGAAGGAAGGCACCTTCTTCACAAGGTGGCAGGAAGGAGAATGAATACAGGAGGAACTCCAAACACAAAACCATCCGATCTCTTGAGAATTCACTATCATGAGAACAGTATGGGGGAAATCGTCCCCAGGATTCAATTACCTCCACCTGGTCTCTCCCCTGATACGTGGGGATTACAGGAATTGAAATTCAAGATGAGATTTTGAGTGGGGACATAGCCAAACCATATCAACCTTCTTGTACACAATCATCACTCAGTCACTCGCAGGCATATGTGTTCAACTTTGGGTGGTCATGTTGGGGAGGACCTGTGAGTCATCCAAGAAAAAAAAAATCAATCATTTGGGGAGGAGTTTGACCAGAGTGTGTCAGATTCAGTCGCAGGACCTGAAGATCAGGGGTGAGGGCAGTTCTGGGCAGAGTAATCCAGTTGGGTACCCTGGGACATATGTGAACCCTGAAGAAGAAAAAGGTTTTTTTGTGTGAATTGAAAAACTCATTCCATTGACACCAAAGCCTACGTTCTTAATGATACACCAGATTGACTTCCTAGACCAGGGGTCTGAAAACCACTCACCACAGGCCAAATCTGTCACACTGCCTGTTTTTGTAAACAAAGTTTTATTGGAATACAGCTCCATCCATTCATTTACATGTGGTCTGTCGTGGCTTTAGTGCTGCAACAGAAGAATTTCACAGTTGTGTGATTGCAATGGAGGCCTTACGGCCTGTAAAGCCTGAAATATTTATTATCTGCTCCTTTAAGAAAAAGTTTGCTAGGGCCTGGCCTTACATGTCAGGCCTTATTATAATGTGAATACCTCATTTAACTGGTGAGTAATGTAAGACATTTTATTTAAAAGACACAGATACAGAAACAAAATGTGGTACAAATGTACAATGGGATATTAGTCTTAAAAAAGAAAGAAATTCCGACTTAAAAAAGAAGGAAATTCCTACAACTTAGATGAACCTTGAGAACATTACACTGAGTGAAATATCACCAAAAAGACAAATACTGTATGATTCCACTCATATGAGGTATTTAGAGCAGTCAAATTCATAGAGACAGAAAAAATTGTGTTGCAAGGGGTTGAGGAGCAGGGAGTGGGGATGAATCTTTTTCATTTTTATTTTATTTTATTTTAGTTTTATTATTTTTGAGACGAAGTCTCTCTGTGTCACCCAGGCTTAAGTGCAGTGGTGCAATCTCAACTCACGGGAACCTCCACCTCCTGGGTTCAAGCGATTCTCCTGCCTCAGCCTCCCGAGTAGCTGGGATTACAGGCATGTGGCACCACACCCAGCTACTTTTTGTATTTTTAGTAGAGACAAGGTTTCACCATGCTGGCCAAGCTGGTCTCGAACTCCTGGCCTCAAGCGATTCGCCCACCTCAGCCTCCCAAAGTGCTGGAATCATGGGCTTGAGCCACCGTGCCTGGCAGGAAATGAATGTTTAATGGGTATAAAGTTTCAGTTTGTAATGTGAAAAAGAATCCGGTCTCTCTTCATCTCTCCCCTTCAACCTTGCATCCCTACCATACCCCATCCCAGCTCCACCAGGAAGGGGGTCTGATCACAGCCAGATCTTTTAGGATTTATAGGCCATACGGATGGATGGCAGCATGGTTGCACAACAACGCGAATGTACTTAACGCCACTGAACTGTACACTTAAAAATGGTTAAGATTGCAAATTTTATGGTATGCATATTTTACTATAATTTTTTAGAAAAAAGAAGTAGAAAGAAACAGATATGTGATGAAGTAGAATGTAATTTTCCACAAACTTTTTTTTTTTTTTTTTTTTTTGAGACAGAGTTTCGCTCTGTTGCCCAGGCTGGAGTACAGTGGTGCGATTTTGGCTCACTGCAACCTCCACCTTCCAGGCTCAAGTGACGCATCTGCCTCAGCCTCCTGAGTAGCTGGGATTACAAGCGCCCGCCACAGCGCCGGGCTAATTTCTGTATTTCTACCTGAGGCAGGGTTTCGCCATTTTGGCCAGGCTGGTCTTGAACTCCTGGCCTCAAGCGATCCACCCACCCCAGCCTCCCGAAGTGCTGGGATTACAGGCATGAGCCATTGCACCTGGCCTCACAAACTTTTTTTTTTTTTTAGATAAAATATAACACTTCAAAGAATTTTCAGACATCCTCCCTCGCCTCCGCTGTTAAGGACACACAGGTGGACGTTGCTGGGAAGCACTGCAAATATGGCACTAAGTGGTGGCCTTTCCAGGTGCTTGGAGGATGTCACTCAATTGCATTCCTCTCTGGTACAGGTGAGTCCCATCAGTTCACAGTGCAAATAAAGGCCATTAAGCCCAGGAGGTATCAAGGTGGGAGGGTGGCTGCCTGCACCTTCCTGGGCTGTAAGGTTGCCCGACACAGTTGCAGGATCTCTTGAGGGAAGATATCAGCTCCAAGTCTGGCATCCCCCACCAATCACACCAGCAGGGGGTCTGTTGGGAGAAGCAAAAAAGATACCAGAAGTAGATGTGAAAAGGCTTTTTTTTTTTTTTCTGAGACAGTGTCTCACTCTGTCACCCAGGTTGGAGTGCAGTGGCGGGATCTTGGCTCACTGCAAGTTCCAACTCCCCGGTTCACACCACTCTCCTGCCTCAGCCTCCTGAGTAGCTGGGACTACAGGCGCCCGCCACGACGCCCGGCTAATGTTTTGTATTTTTAGTAGAGACGAGGTTTCACCGTGTTAGCCAGGATGGTCTCGATCTCCTGACCTCATGATCCACCTGCCTCGGCCTCCCAAAGTGCTGGGATTACAGGCGTGAGCCACTGCGCCTGGCTGTGAAAAGGCTTCTATAAGTTTAAAGAATCTGATGGTGGCTGGCTATTTCTTCAGCCTCCAAGGGGCCGATCTGTTTTTACAGGTGGTGCAGCAGTCCAAGCATGGGCAAAAGGCTGCTGATCAGGACCCGGGTCTGTGACCTACTGGTTTTGTGACCTCTGGCAGGGCACGCCATTGATCGGAGCCTGTTTCCTCGTGGCTAAATGGGCATATAATACCACTTGGGGCGGCCAGGACTAATCAATGCAGTGTTGCATGAAGCACCCACGTGCTCTGCCAAAGCTGGACCCTGTGTTATCATCCTCCCACGTGGACACAAGTCCTCACCCACCAGCCAAACCGTGGACAATAGGCAGGAAGCAGATCCCTTCCCCCAAGGCCACTCCAGAGACTGGTCTCTCATATCTCAAACCCGAGAGGGGCTCTTTACTGTGAGGGTGGTCTGAGGGAGGTTAGCAGACACCTGCTAGGGTGCCAGAGAGGCTAGCATCTGTGTAAACCTACCCCCGTCCTGTGCCCACAGGCCTGCTGGAGTGCTGAATGAAGCCATCATGAGGAATCCCACTGTTCCACCGACTTCTAAGTAAAACGGAGCTGGGTGGCACAGCCTGAGGCGTCATTGATTATTGTGACAAGCAGATCTGCAGGCTGAGTCGTGGAGCCAATTCCACACATTCATCAGGACAGAGCCTTCCGTGCTAGGGGGACCGCGGCCCATAACAGGACTTCTGAAGGACAAGACACCCTCCTCCTGGCCTCTCAAGGGACTGCACCCATCACAACTGGGCTCCCTGCCTGCGGGATGACCTGAGACTCCAAGGGGGCCTTTGGAAGCCACTATTCACCATTGCTTGGGGGCAAAGAACAGAGTCCCCGGAAGTCTTGTAGCATTTATGGGGTATTGCCCTCTGACAAAATCTACACCTGGGAGATTTGGCTGTGATTAGATCCCCTTCCTGTTGGAGCTAGGATGGGGAAGGTAGGGAGGCTGGGTTGGATGCAAGACATGGAGACAGACAGGGAAAACCACTTGGCTTAATGCTTTTGCATCAGGAAATGCAGATTCCCTGGTCTTCTTAGGAAGCCTCATGTTGACCCTCGTAACCAAAACAGAAGTTAAGACCTAGAAATGAAAATGATTGTGTTTCTGTGGAGATTTTAAAAAATTAAATAACGGGTGAAAGCAAAAGATAAAATAAAGTCGATGGCTCTGGGCTAAGTCTTCTCATCTGACTCTCAATCCAGTCGGCACGTGTATGAGAGGACATTCACTTTTCTCTTCTTTCTAAATGTGGTTGAATTGTCAAATGACACTTTGTTGAAAATATTAAAACCTAGAGGTCATGCCAAACCCAGCTTGAAAGCGAACAGACATTCTTTCGTCTTAGCACGAGTGCATATTTGGAATTGTAAATGCAAATTCTTTGGAGACAGACTCGCCTTCCTGGCCGGCGAGTACAGACAGAACATTTGAAAGCAGGTCTCGCTTTAATTTTTGACAAGTGTTAGGAAGAGATACTCTTCGCAGCTTGAGAGAGAGGGGAAATGAAAGCCAGCTTGTGGGTTAGAGGAGGTTGGGGGGAGGGCGATGAGAGAAGGACTGGCTTCTGGAAGAAGCGTCTGACTCAGTTTCTGCCCCTGCTGAGGGCTCTCTCTGATGATAAGGATGGGGTGCCAGGGAGGTCACTAAGGGAAGTCAGGTGACACCTTGCAATGGTTCAGATACCTACAAGTCTGGCAAGCTATCCAAATTATTCTAGGGGAGGTGAGGAAGCAGCAGAAGCTTGGGTACCTGGAAACTCATTGTAGTTACCTGGCTTAGAAAATTCAACCAGCTCTGATTCTTACTGCTCAGCTGCATTCTTGTACGGCTCATGGAAGTTGCCCTCAGACAAAATCTACACCTGAGAGATTTGGCTGTGATCAGTTTCCCCTCCTGTTATTTAACTTGAGTGAAGGAGTGAAGGAGTGAAGGGGATGCAATTTGCCCCTTTAACCAGACTTCCTCTACCTATGCTGTCTTGTGTATAAACACCGAGCTCTCACCACCCTGGGAAGATAAGGAAAAGGAAAAAGCAAGGCACTAACATGGACTGGGTGTGCACCATGTGCCTGAAACTTGACATTGAGTCTTCCCACCAACCAATGTTATAAATGAGGAAATTGAGGTCCAGGGGGCTGGGTAACTTGCCTGAGGTCTCCCAATGAGCAAAGGACAGAACCAAAATTCAACACAACACTGCTGGCCTCTGAAGCTCATATCCTTTCTTCTGTACTAAGCCACCTACACGTATAGGAGAATATAAGATATCCATTGACTGCTTGAAAGTTTTGTAGCAAGGAAAGAAATGACACCAGTTTGGGCCAATGATGTGATGGACAAGTAACCTCTTGCCTGTACCACCTACATTTGATGATTAAGAAAAATCCTAGAGTGAACCAAGAGAAATGAGCCTCGATGCCTCCTAAGCTCTCATTAGTCCCCGTTAGCATGCTTAAACTATCCCCCAAATTAATTTCCATGGTCTTTCCTAAAAATTGACATAATTTACATACCATCGAATTCACCCGTTAAAAGTGTGTGACTCAGTGGTTTTTAGTATACTCACAAAGTTGTGCAACCATCACCACTATATAATTTCAGAATATTTGTGTCATCCCTAAAAGAAATCCCATACCCATTAGCAGTCACTCTCAACCCCATCCCCAATCCCCAGTCCTTGGAAACCACCAGTCTACTTTCTGTCCCCACGGATTTGCCTATTCTGGATATTTTCTATAAATGGAATCATACAATATGTGGCCTGAATATGTCTGGCTTCTTTCACTTAGCATAATGTACGATATACTACATTTTGTTTATTCATAAAAATGAATAATGTTTGATGAATGTTTTGGTTGTTTCTAGCTTTGGGGCATTAAGAATAATGCTGCTATAGGCCGGGTGCGGTGGCTCATGCCGGTAATCCCAGCACTTTGGGAGGCCGAGGCGGGCGGATCATGAGGTCAGGAGATTGAGACCATCCTGGCTAACATGGTGAAACCCCATCTCTACTAAAAATACAAAAAAATTAGCCGGGCGGGGTGGCAGGCGCCTGCAGTCCCAGCTACTCGGGAGGCTGAGGCAGGAGAATGGCGTGCATCCGGGAGGCGGAGCTTACCGTGAGCCGAGATTGCGCCACTGCACTCCAGCCTCGGCGACAGAGTGAGACTCCATCTCAAAAAAAAAAAAAAACAAAAAGAATAATGCTGCTATAGGCCAGGTGCGGTGGCTCATGCCGGTAATCCCAGCACTTTGGGAGGCCGAGGCAGGCGGATCACGGGTCAAGAGATCAAGACAATTCTGGCCAACGTGGTGAAATCTCATCTCTACTAAAAATACAAAAATTAGCTGGGTGTGGTGGCGCATGCCTGTAGTCCCAGCTGCTTGGGAGGCTGAAGCAGGAGAATCACTTGAACCTGGGAGGCAGAGCTTGCAGTGAGCCGAGATCGCACCACTGCACTCCGGCCTGGTGACACAACGAGACTCTGTCTCAAAAGTAAAAAAAAAAAAGAATAATGCTGCTATAAACATTTGTGTACAAGTGGTTGTTCAGTCATTTGTTTTCCATTCTCTTGGGTATATACTTATGAAAGTATATAATAAGTATATATATATAAAATAAAATAAGAAAGTATATATAAGAAAATGCTGGGTCTTCGAGTAACTCCATGTTTACCTTTTTGAGGAATTGACAAATCGTTTTCCAAAGTTCGTACACCATTTTACAGTCCCACCAGCAATGCGTGAGAGTTTCAATTTCTCCACCATCTTTGCCAATACTTATTATTATCGATCTTTTTGAGTAGAGTCACCCTAGTGGATGCAAAGAGGACTCTCATTGTGGTTTTTGTTTGAATTTCTCTAATGACGAATGATATTGAGCCGCTTTTCATGTCCTCATTAGCCATTTGTACATCTTCTCTGGAGAAATAGCTATTCAAATACTTTGCCAATTTTTTAAATTGAGTTTTTGGTTTTCTTTTGTTTTTTTTTAAGTTGTAAGAGTTCTGGATACTAGACATTTATTAGAAATACACAGTTCCTTCCATTCTGTAGATAGTGTCCTCTGAAGCACTTAATTTTGATAAAGTCCAATTTAACTTTTTTTGGGGTTGTTTCTACCTTTGATGTCATATCTAAGAAACCATTGCCTAATACAAGGTCATGAAGATTTATATCTATGTTTATTTTCTAAAAGTTTTAGCTCTTATATTTAGGGTTTTAATCCACTTTGAGTTAATTTTTGTATATGGTGTGTGAGGTCAGAGTCCATCCTCATTCTTTTGCATATGGAAATCCAGTTGACCCCACCATTTGTTTAAAAGACTATTCCTTCCCCCATTGAATTGTCTTGGCGTCTTTGTCTAAAATCAGTTGAATTGGGTTTATTTCTGGGTTCTCAATTCTATTCCAACGATCCATAGATCTGTCCTTGTGCCCGTATCACACAGTCTTGATTACTACAGCTTTGAAATTGGGAAAGTGTGAGCCTTCCACATTTGTTTTTCTTTTTCAAAATTGTTTTGGCCATTCTGGGTCCCTCGCATTTCCATAGGAATTATTGGACCAGCTTGTCAATTCCTGTAAAAAGGAAAGCAGGGATTTTGACCCCATGGCATTTTGTCTTTGAAAAGGGAAGGGAAGAAAAGCTGTGGGCAGATAAGGGAACTGTCTTAGCACACTGATAATGGGAACAGGACAACGGTCTGTTCTTCAGGCCAATTGTCTTATACTGACTGATAAAAGCCAATATGGCTGTGACCTTACAATGACAGCAAAATGACACAGTTTTCTATCCAAATCTGTGCAATAAAGGAGCATTTTATATTTGCCTATCTTATTCCATAGCCACTTGCAAAGGAATGAGCTGATTTGCATCAAATTTAATCTATGACTAAGAGTGTCAAGATGCACAGTAAGTTTGATTAGGGGTTAAGCATACCATCTTGAAATTAAATGGCATGGCTTTTGTGATTTTTTTTTTTTTTTGAGATGGAGTCTTGCTCTGTCGCCCAGGCCGGAGTGCAGTGGCACGATCTCGGCTCACTGCAACCTCCGCCTCCCAGGTTCAAGCAATTCTCCTGTCTCAGCCTCCTGAGTTGTTGGGATTACAGGTGCCCACCACCACGCCTGGCTATTTTTTGTCTTTTTAGGAGAGACAGTGTTTCTCCATGTTGGCCAGGCTGGTCTCGAACTCCTGACCTCAAGTGATCCACCTGCCTCGGCCTCCCAAAGTGCTAGGATTACAGGCATGAGCCACCGCGCCCAACCTCTTTTGTGATTTTTAACCAAAGTCACTGAAAATTGATGAAGGTTATGAAGGTACAAGTATGCCAAATTAGATCACTAAATAATGAAGTAATTAATTATGTATGAATATTCATAGATGTGGGCCTCAGTTTTCTCATCTGTAAAAGGAGATGATTCTTAGGTCCCTTTTAGTTCTGAAGGTCTATGGTTTCAGTAAGTAGCCAAGTTTTAGTGAATGAAGGGCTCCGTCGCATCTCGGGTCTTTGCTCGTGCATGAGCCATCACCTTCCCTTGGTGTTCCTCTTGAAAGGGGTGTCTTGTAACTGTACCATGGGTTCACTTTGCCCGCTGCCTAGACAGAGCCGATTTATCAAGACAGGGCAATTGCAACAGAGAAAGAGTAATTCACACATAGCCGGCTGTGTGGGAAACCAGAGTTTTATTATTACTCAAATCAGTCTTCCCAAGCATCTCCTGATGAGGGGATCAGGGTTTTAAGGACAACCTGGTGTGTGGGGGGAAGCCAGTGAGCGAGGAGTGCTGATTGGTTAGGTAGGAGATAAAAATCACCGAGAATTGAAGCTGTCCTGTTGCGCTGAGTCCATTCCTGGGTGGGGGCCACAAGAGCAGATGAGCCAGTTTATCCATCTGGGTGGTGCCACCTGATCCATCAAGTGCAAGGTCTGCAAAATGTCTCAGGCACTGATCTTAGGAGCAGTTTAGGGAGAGTCCAGATCTTGTAGCCTCCAGCTGCATGACTCCTAAACCATAATTTCTAACCTTGTAGCTAAATTTGTTAGTCCTGCAAAGGCAGTTGAGTCCCCAGGCAAGAAGGAGGTTTATTTTTTTATTTTTTATTTTTTTAAAACTATAAGTGTAAATTAAGTTCCTCCCGAAGTTAGTTCAACCTACACCCAGGAAGGAGCAAGGACAGCTTAAAGGTTAGAAGCAAGATGGAGTCAGTTAGGTTAAATCTCTTTCACTGTCTCAGTTACTAGTTATAATTTTGCAAAGGCAGTTTCAGTCTCAGAGCTACTTCTTGGCTGAACATAGTGATGAAAGGGGATGCACCTTGCTTGACTATATCCTGCTGCTTTATGAGGCTCTCTAAGATAAAAGAGTAAATGTCTATGAGGGAGGGGAGATTTCACCATCAGCAACTCTTGAGCTGCACTTCTTGTACATCTTCAGGTTATTTCAATTCAGAGGGGGCTCATATTATAGCGTCACCAATACTGAGTTTTCTTGGGGTTTCATAAGTCCTAAGTCACTCACCAGTCTGCTAGATCCAGGCCCATGTGAATCCTTCTCAAGTTCTAGTGTCCTGACGACATGGTTTTCCCAGCAGCCAGGCTGGAATGCAATGGCACAATCTCAGCTCACTGCAACCTCTGCCTCCTGGATTCAAGCAATTTTCCCGCCTCAGCCTCCCGAGTAGCTGGGATTACAGGCATGCACCACCATGCCTGGCTAATTTTTATATTTTTAGTAGAGACGGAGTTTCACCATGTTGACCAGGCTGGTCTCGAACTCCTGACCTCAGGTGATCCATTCACCTTGGCCTCCCAAAGTGCTGGATTTCAGGCCTGAGCCACTGGGCCCGGCCAGGAAGGAAGACCTTTTTTTTTTTTTTTTTTTTTTTTTTGAGACAGAGTTTCGCTCTTGTTGCCCTTGTTGCCCAGGCTGGAGTGCAATAGTGTGATCTTGGCTCACCACAACCTCTGCCTCTTGGGTTCAAGCAATTCTCCTGCCTCAGCCTCCCGAGTAGCTGGTATTACTGGCATGTGCCACCATGCCCAGCTATTTTTGTATTTTTAGTAGAGATGGGGTTTCTCCATGTTGGTCAGGCTGGTCTTGAACTCCTCACCTCAGGTGATTTGCCCGCCAAGGCCTCTTAAAGTGCTGGGATTACAGGCATGAGCCACCACGCCCGGCCAGGAAGGAGGTCTTAATGTAGCAAATTAACTCTATCCCATGGTAATGGGTCCTCAGGGATGGAGGAACGACCCTCACTACAATCTCTCCCCAATTTTGATCTCGTAGAATGTCAGAACCATGGATCTTTTGAAATGTCTACTTAAGTGCTTCTAAACAATGCTGCTAGTGGCAGATTTCTTTTTGCCACAAAATTTTACCCAGAACTCAAAACGTAAAACAAATCAAAGAGTAGTCATTACAGCTGAGTGGAGGATGAAAGTCCAGCCTCCTCCTCTTGGGCACCCCCAGAGTACACCACGGCAATGCTTGCCGATTTCCAGTCCTGGGTACCAACAGTATCTCAAACCCTTGACCTTATGGCTGCCTTTATCGAGTGGGGTAAGGAAACTAAGACCCACACCCTCAGCCCCAAACCTCAAGGCAAATCTTACCCAGCAGCCCTGACAAAGGCCAGGCAGGTCAAACATTGTTGTCCTCTTTCCAAACTGGGAAGCTAAAAACTGTTGCGATGATGCATGCACGTTTGAATCGTCATGAGACCAAAGAGGGTGACAGCCAAAATCTTGAAGGCTCACTGCAATCCTGATCATGAATCCTTTCAGGCTTTGAGAGTTTGTCTCTATCTTAAACATATTAAAGTTTTTTTTTTTAGAAAACATGCCAAAATGCAGACATCTTGTGTCTCATTTATATCTTGTATCTTTAGTGTAAAAACTGCCCAGAGAGTCCACCTCTGTCCCCTTTCTGTCCCTCCTCTTTCCCCTCTCCCCTCTTTTCCCACCACTTTGTTTTTCCCTCGTGCTGGGTTTCAGTCAGCCTCGCCTGGGTCCCGCCCCTGTGGTCTGGGCCCGCCGCAGCCCGCAGAGCAGTGAGGGCCTGACTCCGTTCCATGCCACCCCCTGGGCAGTTCCTTGGCAGAGATTTGAAACGTTTCTATTTAAATGACATTTGAACAAACGCGGAGGGGTTCAGTTGCACTTCAATCAAATTCCGTGGGATCCAGTTGGGAGCCGGGTCCCCGTGGACAGGGCGCATGGAGTTCCCCCTGTTTTCTGATTTGAATTGCTTTGTTCTCGTTCCAGGAAGGGGGAAAGAGGGGGATGCATTTGGCCTAAAATGAAACATTTCCCTTTTAAGTCAAAAACTTGAACATGGCTTGGAGGAGAGAGTTTAAGCTCCATAATCCCCGGTCCTGAGCAAAGCAGTAACATGCCTGCAATTTCCTTTTTGGAAGAGAGAAGTCAAGGAAACAGCCATTGGGCAGAGCATCCTGGCGCCCTCCGTGAGCCTGGTGGGAGCAGACGTTTCACAGGCTCCTGGGGCCACTGCTAGGCAGCTGGGCCTGTTTTCTCTCAATGCCCACACAGTTATGTGCTGGGTTTCAATCGTTGAGAAAAGAAAGAAAGAAAGAAAACCACGGGGCAGCTTTTCTGTCCCTATACCCCAATCTTTTCCACTTTCCGTGCCTGGGTTGAGCCAGCCCTTTGAGGTAGCCACCATACCAGCTACCGCTGGTCTTTGCTGAACCTGCTGTCCTGGAATCTATGCGTTCTGCCTACAGCCTCTTCTGTCCTTGTCCACCAGTCATCACAGCATCACTGAGTCATCATCACCAGGAGAGTGAAGTGGACTTCAGATCAAATCCCTCAAGCTCCCCAGGTTTAGATTTTCTCATCCCAGACATGAGAAAATTGAACCAGATAACACTCTAAGGTATCAGCCCTTTTGAAAATTGCTTTTTGTTTTATTTTGAGACAGAGTCTTGCTCTGTTGCCAGGCTGGAGTGCAGTGGTGTGATCTCGGCTCACTGCAGTGTCCACCTCTGTGTTCCAGCGATTCTCTTGCCTCAGCCTCCCGAGTAGCTGGGACTACAGGCACGTGCCACCACACCCAGCTAATTTTTGTATTTTTAGTAGAGAGGGGGTTTCACCGTGTTGGCCAGGATGGTCTCCATCTCTTGACCTCGTGATCCGCCCACCTTGACCTCCTAAAGTGCTGGGATTACAGGTGTGAGCCACCATGCCAGGCCTTGAAAATTGTTTGAATCATCAAGTAATAGCACTGGGAGAGACATGAGCAAGTATCTAGGTTAGATCTTCTTATTTTGCAGATGAAAAAGAGGACATCTGGCTGAACCCTGGCCTCCAGGAGAGGAAGTGTCTTGCTAGTTTGACCTTGACCTAGTGCTTCAAATCTTCTCTCTCAGAAGTCCTGTATCTGGCGCTTATTTAAACTCAACAGATATTTGTTTAATTAGTGGGCAAAGATAGAGACAGACAGATGGATGGTTGGATAGATGGATGGATGGAAACTCTACCGGACTAACAAATGTTTTCTACCCTGCCCAGAATTCTATATCTGCTATAATCTAAATGTTTATGTCTCCCCCAGAATTCATATGTTGAAACCTAATCACCAATGTGTATTAGTAAGTGGAGCCTTAGGGGTTATTAGCTCATAAGGGAAGAGCTGTTGTGAATAGAATTAGTGTCTATATATTAGTGAATAGAATTAGTGTCTATATGTATACATATGTAGACACTAATTCTATTCACTATTCATATATATAGGCACTAATTCTATATATATAGGCCCTAGAAAGCTGCCTTCCCCCTTCCAACACGTGAGAACACAGCTAGAAGGTGCTATCTATGAACCAGAAAGTAGACCATCCCCAGACACCAATTCCGTCAGTGCCTTGATCTTGAACTTCCCAGGCTCCAGGATTGTGAGAAATAAATTGTTGTTTATAAGCTACCTACTTTATGGTGTTCTGTCACAGCAGAATGAATGGACTTAGACACTATCATAATAAAAATGACCAGAAGCGAGTGTCACAGCAGAAGCAAAAATGTGTCCCTTCTTTCCTGACCCACACAAGTCTCACTTAGCTATAGGTCATTTCTTTCAGGCCCAGCCTTGCTTCAGATTCATCTCTTCTGAAGGAGGAACAGCTATTTTACATGATGATTTCATATCCTTGGAACCTTGAAATCTTTTTCCAAGGAGAACATTGCAAACTTCTGATTCAATTTCTCCATGTTAATATTTATGTAGGAAGTTGACTACATGAATCAGAACATTTTTTAATTGCAAGGGCAAGAAACTAACTCAATCTGACTTCAGCCCCATAGGAGATGTGTTGGTACGTATACATCAAAAATCCAAAGGTAAATTTGCCACTATATGTAGCTGAAATCAGGTCCATAAACAATGCGGTCAAAAATCTTACTCTCTCTTCATTTTTCAGTTTTGCTTTCCTTAGTTTGGCTTCATTCTCCAAGGTTCTTAAACATGGAGCCTTAAAAGATACTGCACACCAAGTAGCTCCAAGTTTACTTGTCTTTACAGGCAATGATCATCGTGAAAAAAGTAAGAGTCTTTCCCAGTAGTTCTAGCTAAAGTCCCAAGGCTAACTCTTACAGGCCTGGCTTGGATCAGGTGCCTATTCCCGAACCAATCACAGTGACTAGAAAATTAGAATAAATACTCTGATTGGTCAGGCCAGATTTGTGGTGGTGGCTGAATGGAAAGGGAGGGCTGTATTTCCACAAGGAGAGACATAAAGAACGTAAAGATTCTACCTGACCACCACCCTGACCTGCATATTCTGCCACAGGCTACAACTATGTTTTTCTCCACATCTCCTTAGGACACATTTACCTTCATAAAAGCCATAACTACTTAAAAGTAAATTAAACCAAGGACATGAAAGATCTGTTCACTGAAAACTATATACATCGATGAAATAAACTGAAGAAGACACAAATAAATGGAAAATAGTCTGTGCCAATGAACTGGGAGACTTAAAATTGGTAAAATGTGCATACTACCCAAAGTGATCTACAGATTCAGTGCAATCTCTATCAAAATTCTAATGATATTTTTCTCAGAAATAGAAAAAAAATCCTAAACTCCATATGGAATCACAAAAGAGCTCAAGTAGCCAAAGTAATCTTGGGCAAAAAACTCCAAAACAAAACAAAATTTAAAAAAACTGGAGGCACCATACTATATGATTTTGAAATCTACTATAAAGCTACAGTAATCAAAACAGCATGATACTGGCATGAAAAGAGACACATAGACCAATAGAACAGAATAGAGAGCCCAGAAATAAATCCATACATATGTTGTCATTTGATTTTTGACAAAGGTGTCAAGAACACACAACAGCGAAAGGACAATGTCTTCAATAAATGTCACTGGGAAACTAGATATCTACATGCAGAAGAAGAAAGTTAGACTTTTATCTCATACCATATACAAAAATCAACTCAAAATGAATTAAAGACTTAAACAAAAGACTTCAAATAGTAAAATGACTAAAAGAAAGCACAAGGGAAAGGTTCATAACATGGGTCTAGACGATGATTTTTTTGATGTGACCCCAAAGCACTGGCAACAAATGCAAAAATAGACAAATGGGGTTACATCAGACTAAAAAATTTCTGCACGGCCAAGGAAACAATCAATAGAGTGTAGAGACAACCTGCAGAATGGGAGAAAATTGCAAACTATACATCTGATAAGGGGTTAATATTCAAAATCTATAAGGAATGCAAACGACTCAATAACAAGAAAATAAATAACCCAACTAAAAAATATAGAGGGCCTGAATAAATATTTATCAAAAGAAGACATCCAAATGGCCAACAGGTATTTGAAAAATGCTCAACATCACTAATAATCAGAGAAATACAATGAGATACTGCCTCATATTTGTTAAAATGGCTATTATCAAAAAGACAAAAGATAACAAGTGTTGGTGAAAATGTGGAGAAAAGGGAAGCAATGTAAGTTAGCTCAGTCATTATGGAAAACAGTATGGAAGTCCCAAAAGAAATTAAGAATAGAACTACTATATGATCCAGCAATCCCCCTACTGGGTATACCTACAAAGGAAATCAGATCAGTGTGTCAAAAATATGTCTGCTCTCCCATATTCACTGCAGCATTAGTCACAATAGCCAAGATATGGAATCAACGTAAGTGTTCATCAATGGATGAATGGACAAAGAAAATGTCCATTTTCACAATGAGATACTATTCAGCCTTTAAAAAGAAGGGAATTCTGCCATTTGTAACAACATGAAAGAACCTGGAGGACATTATGCTTAGTGAAATAAGTCAGGCACAGAAAGACAAATAGTGCATGATCTCACTTGTATATGGAATCTGAAAAATCAAATTCATAGAAACAAAGAAAAGAATTGTAATTTACAGGGGCTGGGGATTAAGGGGAATTTGGGAGATATTGGTCAAAGGGTACAAAATTTCAGTTGGATAGGAGGAATAATTTCAGGAGATCTATTGTATAACATGGTGATGATAGTTAATAAAAATATATTGTAGGTTTTAGGTGTTCTCACTATAGAAAAAATGCGTGAAATAATATGTTAATTAACTCAATTCAGCCATTCCACAATGTATACGTGTTTCAAAATATAATTTTATACACCAAAAATATGTATAGTTTTATTTGTCAACTAAAAATAAATAAAATAATTTATGGCATGAATGAATAAATGAATAAAATAGGGATGAGTTCAAATCCCAGCTCTACCATTTATAGAATATAAATTACAGAAGCCACTGAAATGTTCTGGCATTCAATATTCTCCTCTCTAAAATGAAATGAACAAAATATTAGTCCATTTTGTGTGCTATAAAGGAGTACCTGAAACCGAGTAATTCATAAAGAAAAGCTGTTTATTTGGCTTGTGATTCTGATGGCTGTAAAGTTCAAAAGTGGGCATCTGCCTCTAGTGAATGCCTCAGGCTACTTCTACTAATGACAAAAGGCAAATGGGACCTGGTGTATGAACAGATCATATGGTGAGAGAGGAAGCAAGAGAGAGGGGAGAGTTGTCAGCTTTTTAACAACCAGCTCTCATGGGAACTAAAAGAGCAAGGACTCACTCCCCCTCCCCCAGGGAGGGCATTAATCTATGTATGAGGGATCTGCACCCATGACCCAAACACCTCCTACTCAGCCCTACCTTTAACACTGGGGATCAAATTTCAACATGAGGTTTGGAGAGGACAGACATGCAATCCATAGCACATGTGAAGCTGACACAGCTGGCTGACATGAAGCAACCATCTTGGCTGGCCAGTGGCCCTCTAAGTGGTTTGGTGCAAGAGCTCTGTTCATAAAGTGTCCTACAATGGCTGTCCAATCAGATTCTTCACTCAAAAGTGAGGCCTGCAGAGAAAGAGAGATATTAGTGGAGTAGGAGAAGCCATGGAAAGACACATGGAGAGAAGATATTATGCAGATGCTATAGAAACTCTGAGACTATGGAAGCCTTAATGTGGCAGAATCTGGGAAGTGGGAAGAAAGAAAATCTAGTACTCCTTTGTCAATAACAGCAGGAGTCCACTGGCCATGCAGCTGATAAATGACACCTTCTTCTCAGAAGGCAAGCATATGGCCAGGTCACTCTGTTAGGTGACTGAAGTTGCTGTTAAAATACCAGTACTCATGTTATGAGATGTTCCAGTTCTTTGTGGAGCTTGACTATGAGGCTACTGAGACATTTCCTGTCTCTCTGGGTTTCCTGTATACCCATATCATAATATGCCCTTGTTCCACACAACTTAAAAGAACCTATCATACACTACACTCTGTTCTCTCTCTAACATCTACACTTTTTTGGGTAGGCAGCTAATGTCTTAATCAATAGAAACTGTGACATAGACATTTTATGCATCAGTGAAAAGTCTAATGGGTACATGTACTTTTGAGCAAGAAAACATCAAAAACTACATCACACGAACCACAATGTCCAACAAGACCAACAGTAAGGAGCAGA
Source organism: Homo sapiens (assembly GCF_000001405.40). NCBI lineage: Eukaryota > Metazoa > Chordata > Mammalia > Primates > Hominidae > Homo > Homo sapiens. The sequence goes on along the minus strand of NC_000017.11, from coordinate 65,265,196 downwards.
ATTCTACCATTTACAAAGGACTATAGTAATTATTCTTTAATTACTCTATACAGAAGATGTGAACAGGACTTCAGAAAATGAATATCCAATTGGCAAATAAACCCATGAAAAAGTATTCAAGTACTTAACTTTACGAAGGCAATGACATGCCATAGTACACCCACCAAAATAGAAAACCAAGTGTTGGCAAAAGTGTAAAGAAACTGGAAATTCTTACACACTTGTAGCTGGATGTAACTTGATACAATTATTTTGGAAATCTTTTTTTTGGCATCTACCAAAGTAAAACATACATATACCCTGTGACAGAGCGATTCTGCCCTTAGGTATATGCCCAAAAGAAATGCATATGTAAGTTTACCAAACAACACAAAAAAATAAAAAAGAAACAATGAATGCCAATCAGCATTGATTGTTGATGACTGGGTAAATGATGAATAGGTAAATAATGAATGGGTTGAAGAATGGGCAAATTCTACTGTATATACTCACACAGGATAAATATGTGAAAAGCTATATGTCAATGGGCATGAACAAACTTCACATAAACATCAGGGATAAATCTCATTAACATACCATAGTTTTTACCTTTATTGAGGGGAAAGTAACTGGCCCAGGGCATGAGAGAACTTCTGGGTTTCTTGGAATGCCGGTTTCTTGATTGGGAGCTGGTTACATGAGTGTGTTCACTTTGTGAAAATTCATTACGCTGTATCCTGGTTTTCTGTGTGCTCTTCTCTGTCAAACTTCAATGGAAATGTACCTTGAAAAAATACTACTGCCAGACATGATGGCTCAGGCCTATAATCCCAGCACTTTGGGAGGCCGAGGCAGGAGGATCACTTGTGCTCATGAGTTCAAAACCAGCCTGGGCAACAAAGTGAGATCCTTTCCCTGCAAAAAATCAAGAAACGATCCCAGTGTGGTGGCACACACCTGTAGTCGCAACTACTCGGGAGGTTGAGGTGGGATGATCGCTTGAGCACCAGAGGTTGAGGCTGCAGTGAGCTGTGATCACATCGTTGCACTCTAGCCTGGGTGACAGAGTGAGACCATGTCTCAAAAACAAAAAAAAAATACTGCCTAGTTCAGAAGTAATACTAAGTAGATCAATGTTGATGTGATTCATGTGCCTTTGTCTCTTAATAACAGTTCAGTTCTTCCAAAAATTATCCTTTCATTATTGCATCAACATAATTCATCATGGCAAATGTTTCTTTTTCACTATACAGAGAGTTGTGTCCCAGGCCCCATGCTGGCCCTTTTTATGGGCTCTTCTGTTTATCGGCAAGGCTAGCACTGCTCAGCACCTGGGCTCTCTTGCAGTCTCTAACCCCATCCCCAGATGCCTTGGCTAATTTTGCGTATAGCAGAAAAAGTTCCCCAGATGGACAATAGAGAGAGCTGGAAAGGGCATAGGATTTGAATTCAGATAGACCTGGACTATTACCACATTTCTGCCACTTTGGGTAAGCTGCTTGACTTCTCCGAGCCTCAAATTTCCTATCTGTAAAATGCAAGAATGATAGTACCTACCCCATAGGGGAGTTGGGAGGAATGAATGGGGTAATATGAAGTGGCCAGCCCCATGCTTGACATATTAAGCTTCCTTAATAAATATAAGCTGGTATTGTTGTTGTTCTTCTTCTTGTTGTTGGAGGAGAAGGAGGAGAAAGATTTTTTTTTAATAATTTCAACCTTTGTTTTAGATTCAGAGCATGTGCTAATTTGTTACATGGTTATATTGTGTGATGCAGAGGTTAGTGAGCATAGTCCACAATAGGTAGTTTTTCAGCTCTTTTTTCCCTCCCTCTCTCCCCCATCTAGTGGTTCCCAGTGTCTATTGTTCCTATTTTATGTCCATATGTACCCAATGCTTAACTCCCACTTACAAGTGAGAACATGTGGTATTTGGTTTTCTGTTCCCGTGTTAATTCACTTAGGATAATGGCCTCCAGCTGCATCCATGTTGCTGCAAAGGACATGATTTCATTCTTTTTTATGGCTACATAGTATTCTGTGGTGTGTATGTACCACATTTTCTTTACCCAATCCACTGCTGATGGGCATCTGGGTTGACTCCATGTCTTTGCTGTGATGAATAGTGCTGTGATGAACATATGAGTGTGCGTGTCTTTCTGGTAAAACGATTTATTTTCCTTTGGGTATATATCCAGTAATGGGATTGCTGAGTTGAATGGTAGTTCTGTTTTAAGTTCTCTGAGAAATCTCCAAACTGTTTTCCACAGTAGCTGAATGCATTTACATTCCCAACTGTGTATGAGTATTCCCTTTAAGAGAAAGATTTTAAATATAACTTTTTCCTAAGCTGTTGCTGCTATTAATGCATAACATACTGCTATTATTGGTCTACATATAATTTGAATTTTTGGAAACTTTAGCTGTGCTATCCACTTTGGAAAAATATTCCAGTTTACCATGTTGAGGTGGCATTGTACAGAAATTAACAACCATATTGCTCTAGAAAAGTTAAACTTATTTTTTTTCCATTTGTACAAGGGTAACACACTGTATTAAATATGTAAAGTCTTATCTACATGAGTTTGATCACAGAAACTAATAAAGTACTCTCTAAATTTTTTGAAAAAACTTTTTTCTGACTTCAAAATTAATGTTTTACTGAAAAAAAAAAAACACGAAACACACAGGAAAGCACCAAGAAGGAAATACAAATCACTCAGTGATAACCACTGAATCATCATTTTGTGGTATTTCCTTTTACTCTTTTCCTGTTCACAAGCAGTGGGTGTAAATCCCCATCCAAAGCTTTATGTAGGCAAGAAATAGATCTTTATTTCCTCTAGCTCAGCTTGATTTCTGTTGTGATTCTTGATTCCTGCAGGCAGAAATTCAAAATCTCCAGTTCAATCTCCCCTCTTGGAATAGGATTGGGAGAAAATGGGGGGCAAGGGGATGTGGTCCATGGATGGATGCTAGATCCCAGGACCAGGTCGTCTCGCCTTGCTTCCAGCTCCTCCCCCTCTTCTTACTCCTCCAACTTTTCCACTGCCTACTATTTTATTTCCCTTCCCTGAGGCAAACAGCACCAAAGAGCTGAACTTTAATACAGAGGATGGGGGTAGGGAGGAGGTTCCACAAAGGGTAAAAGGAAATGTGGACACAAAAATATCCCTTAATATTTAAAACATATTGTCTACACACACACACACACACACACACACACATACACACACATACACACACACACGCACGCACCGGTATAATGCAGCTTTGTGGCCTAATTTTTCCACTTAGCAGTGTATTGTGGACTCACCTCTGTATTATTATAGCATTTTTATGGTCTACGCATTATGCCATTCTACAGAGGTAAGTAATTTACCTCTCTGCACCCAGTGTTGGAGAAATGGATTCTTTCCAAATCTTTATTACTGTAAATTATATTGCAATGAATATCCCCTGAACATGCCACTGTCAAGCCCTGCATTCGAAGGCAAGAGTAATTCTCTCTCTAAACCTCACAGAATGGTTGAAAGGATTAAATGAGACAGTATCTGTAAAGTGCTCTGCAAATACACGCTCAACAGAGGATGATGACGGTGGTTATGTTGATGATGACAACAACAAAACTTCTCACAAATTCGTGATATAATCCTCAGGATAAAGACCTAAACACAAAGCGGCTAGATTAAACGACAAGAACATTTTCTACAGTCTTCTGGTAAATCACTGGATTGACCCTCCATAGTGACCTGCCCAAAGCCCCTATGACAGGATGATGCCTCCGTCTCCCAGCTGCTGTCAGTGTTGATGCAAAAGCCACCTGGCTGCTACCCGGAGAACTGCCCTTGGCCTGTTGCAGGAGCCACTGAGGCAGGAAGTGTCTGGAATGTCAGCCTACTACCCTGAGGCAGCTGCAGCTAACAGGTGACTGATACAGGGTACAAAGGCCAGAAGTGGGGACCACCTTGTGTTGCCTTTCATACTTTCCAGCTCCCCCTGGGAACAGGCTAAGATGAGACTTCAGCTGAGCCACATCTTCTCTTCTTCCTCTTCCCTACCCTGTTTCCATCGCTTCCTTAAAGGATTTTCTTCCAAGAGCCTCCCTCCATAAATCACTTGTATGAGAATCCCTGCTTCTAGCGAATCCATTCTAAGAATGCTTCCAAGAGCAGTGTGTGAGGATGGTCAGGAAGAAGCCTTATGTGCTTTATGCAGTGTCACTCTTTAAAACTGGTGGAATGGAGTTTCGATCTCAGAAAACCCCTGTTCAAATGGTTGCATCTCCACCTCTTCCAGCAAGCCAGTGGAGTCTCAGAGGCAAAATACAGACAAGCCAATGCTGAGGGGTGGGAGATGTGGAGCTCTACTGCTCTTCACAAAGAGAGGTCGTGGAAGGCACCAAAACAGAACCCCTGGAGGCTAAGGGAGGCCAGGGGTGGGGTGGCAAGAGGGGTGGTCAAGCTGAAAGTGAACATAAAGGTAGTTAAGGACAAAGTTCAGAATGGGGCCAAGGTGGAAAGGGAACAGTCTGTGACCTGGTTCATGTACATCCACTTAACAAGGACACTCACTGATGAGCTAGCCACCTGATGCTTATTACATTGTTGAAAAAAATAATAATAAAACACCTGGTACTGCCTTTGGGTTGATAAGCCAATATCTTTAATCTTTCTCTTTCTTTCTCTTTTTTTTTTCCTTGATGACTGAAGTGCCCTCTCTGTGCGGCCTTCTGCTCAATCCACACTGGTAATAGTGACAAGACTTTGATGTCCTCCTCCTTCAACAGAATGTTGTTTAGTTCAAAGTGAAGAACAGAGGCAATTCTTTGCTTTTAAATTATTAGCTCCCTAAGTCTTCTGTAATGATATAGTTTGACTGGTGTGTGCAGTTTATTAACTACATAAAGACGACATTATCAGAGCAGAGAAAGGCCGCTGTGAGTTTTGCCTTTCAGCCTAGCAGCAGGGATCCCTGATACTTTGATCTCAATCAATGCTAAATGTCTTTGTGAGATAGAGAGAGCGCTGAAATTATCTTTGGCATGGCGGCAGCATCAATTATTCAAGCCCTTTTCCTTATGAATTAAAGTGTTCTTCAACTTTTACCCCACTTGTGGGTTTGGATTTTTTTTTTTCTTTCTTTCTTTTATTGTTGTTTTTCCAGCCAGGAAAGGCACTTGGAATAAGTCTAAGAGTTCACTAATTGTACTCTGCCTGACCTTTGAAAATCCACATCCACTTCTCCTCCTCCTTCCTAATTGCTCTCTCCACCCTCAATTCCGAGCCCTGGTCTTCTCTGAGGTGACCCGAAGAACTATTCAGAGAAAAGGGGGACATTGTTTCTACTGGGCTTTGTGCCAAAATGGTCAGCAAAGCCAATAAAGTAGCCCCTTGACAAGAAGCATCAGTTTGAAATGCAATGAAATGGAGGCATCCATGAGCCACTAGAAACCCTCCCAGCTGACCTCAGGGCTCGCAGTGCCTCCCAAGGAGCAGTTTGACTATTAAATTAGGCTTATGATCAAGACCCAGTTCTCCTTAATACACCCACCCTCTGGAATGGTGATCTCCAAACTACAGGCTGAGACTCATGAGGGGGTCATCAAATTAGTTCAGTAGGTCTCGTACAGCAGAAAAGGGAAAGGAAGGGAAGGGAAGGGAAGGGAAGGGAAGGGAAGGGAAGGGAAGGGAAGGGAAGGGAAGGGAAGGGAAAAGATCAGCGCATTTGATATATTAGGATAAGCATTCTCGAAACTTTTGTTTCACTTACGAGTATGCAGCCAGGCACAGTGGCTCACGTTTGTAATCCCAGCTACTCTGGAGGGAGATGGGGGAGGATTGCTTGAGGTCAGGAGTTGAGACCAGCCTGGGCAGCACAGAGAGACCTCATCTCCAAAAAGAAAACAAACAAACAAACAAAAAACAGATATGAGTACATTGGATCACCAAATGTCTTCACTGCCCCTTTACCCACAAAGAGACCCTGAGATAAAGAGTTTATTTTTTAAAATTTGTGTGGGTACATAGTAGGTGTGTATATTTATGGGGTACATGAGATGTTTTGATACAGGCATGCAATGTGAAATAAGCACATCATGGAGAATGGGGTATCCATCCCCTCAAGCATTTATCTGTTGAGTTACAAACAATCCAATTACATTCTTTTTTTTTCTTTTTTGAGACGGAGTCTCACTCTGTAGCCCAGGTTGGAGTCCTGTGGTGCAATCTCAGCTCACTGCAACCTCCACCTCCTGGGTCCCTATTCAAGCGATTCTGCTGCCTTAGCCTCCTGAGTAGCTGGAATTGCAGGTGTGCACCACCATGCCCAGCTAATTTTTGTATTTTTAGTAGAGACAGGGTTTCACCATGTTGGCCAGATGGTCTTGAACTCCTGACCTTGTGATCCACCAGCCTCGGCCTCCCAAAGTGCTGGGATTACAGGTGTGAGCCACCATGCCCGACCTCCAATTACATTCTTTAAGTTATTTTTAAATAAACAATTAAGTTATCATTGACTGTAGTCATCCTATTGTTTGAGATAAAGGTTTGAGGGCAAATGGGTTATTGTGGGGGAGGTCATTCTAGAATGTACTGCGAGGGAATGGAAGAAAGGAGGCAACGAAAGAGAAAAGTCAGTGAAGCACTTGTTTATGACCGGGCTCCTGCTTTGGGACCCTGGAGCTCAATCTCATGGAGACTCTTGGAGGGACCCTGTGGACCGTGCCTCAGAGCTGTCCCTACCTAAGATGAGGAAGTGGAGCATCAGCCATAACACCCGTCCTCTGTTGGTTGGAGTCTCAGCTGGGCATTAGTTCCTAGGATGCGCCTCATAGGGACCAAGTGTGCCCCCATGGCCAGAGAATGTCCTTGAGAGGGCTGGGTCATCCATAGGAGTGCAAAGGAGCTGCCTACAGTGACTTCGGGGTAGACCCAGGGCATACAGATGGAGCACCAACAGCGTGGGCTCTGCCCTGTAAAATGTATTCCTTACCATGCACGGCAGTCAGAAAAGTTCAAATACCCATGCCCTGGCAGATAAAAGTAGGAGAGGCACCATCCACACCACTAAAATATTCTATAAACTTCTAGGCTTTTTAACAACTCCATATTAACTCCATGTTAATACTTACTAGGTGTACCCTACAAATCAATGACATTGGCACAACATAAAATTCTGTAGGTCAATGAGGAGCCTAGCATGGTGTTTGGTGCTACTTCTTTTCTTTTCTTTTCTTTTTTTTAAATTGAGACAAGGTCTCACTCTGTCACCCAGGCTGGAGTGCAGTGGCAAAATCATGGCTTGTGGCAGCCTCAACCTCCCAGGTTCAAGTAATTATCCTACTTCAGCCCCCATCCCCACTCTCACCCCCCAAGTAGCTGGGACTACAGGTGTGTGCCACCACACTCGGCTAATTTTTGTAATTTTTGTAGAGACGGGGTTTCACTATGTTGCCCAGGCTGGTCTCAAACTCCTGAGCTTAAGCAGTTGGCCCACCCCAGCCTCTCAAAGTGCCAGGATTATAGGCATGAGCCACTGCACTGCCCTGGAGCTACTTCTGAGTTGAATTTAAAGCCACGGTGTGTATGAGCCACAGGGGATCACTGAGGACCTATTGAATATTTAACACTGTGCTTAGTGCTTTGGGAAATTAAGATCTTGGGGTGTTGGTGATCTGATGGGAAGACAAAAAACAATGGTGCTAGGAAACCATTATGCATCGTCAATCACCAACAGGAACCAGGACTCTTCCTACAGCCTTCCTTTCACTCACTCTCACTCCTCTCACCTTGGGCACCCAAGCCCTGTGATTTCATCTCCTTCATATGTCCAGAATCAATCCCTCTTCTCTCATCCCATCCACAACAGTTTGTTGCCGGGATCATTGCAGTAGACACATAACTGGATACCTGTCCTCCCCTTAGTTACCACCTTAGGGACCTATGGCACATTTTTAAAATGTCAGTTAACTGGAGAATGAGACTCGACCTTGACTAAGTTGGCCTCCAGAGTTAGGCACAAAAGGGAAAGCCGTTAGGCCAGGTAGGAGGCTGGGGAAGGAGGGAAAAAGAGTCCGTAAAGGCTTCCTAGAGAAGGTAATGCTTGAAGTGAGTCTTAAAAAACTGGGTAAGACACTTCTTAATAATGTCACACAGGGCCAGGCACAGTGGTTCACGCCTATAATCCAGCACTTTGAGAGGCCAAGGCGGGTGGATCATCTGAGGTCAGGAGTTCAAGACCAGCCTGGTCAACATGCAAAACCCCATGTCTACTAAAAATACAAAAATTATCCGGGTATGGTGGCATGCACCTGTAATCCCAGCTACTTGGGAGACTGAGGCAAGAGAATCTCTTGAACCTGGGAGGCAGAGGTTGCAGTGAGCTGAGATCGCACCACTATACTCAAGCCTGAGTGACAGAGTGAGATTCTGTCTCAAAAAAAAAAAAAGAAAAAAAAAATATATATGTCAGGCAGGCAGGATGGAAGAAGAGCATGAGAAACTTCTGGAAAAAGAAAGCAGCATGATGAGTTTAGGGAATGCAAGCAGCTGTGTGTCCCCTAAATAGCAGGAAACCTGTAGGAGGGATACAGGAAGAGCAAAGCCTGGAGGAACCCACTTGGGGACAACCTTAGATGTCATTCCAGGAAGTTTGGTCACCATTCTGAAGTCAGTGTGGGACCACAGAAGGATCTTAAGCAGGGTGCTTGCATGCTCATGTCTGTGTTATTAAACACTCACACTGGAGGCATTGTGCAGAATAGGTAGCAAGGATTAGAGATAGGGAGCCCAGAGAGGAGGAGGTGGGCTCTGCCAGAGATGGCCGTGATTTAGACAAAGATCATAGCAGTGGGATGAAAGGGATGGTACTTCTTAAATTATAATACCCAGAGTGCTGGTATTAGTCTGTTCTCATGCTGCTGATAAAGACATACCCAAGACTGGGTAATTTATAAGGAAAAAGAGATTTCATAAATTCACAGTTACACGTGGCTGGGAGGCCTCACCATCATGGCAGAAGGTGAAAGGCACATCTTACATGGTGGCAGGCAAGAAAGAATGAGAGCCAAGCAAAAGGGGAAACCCCTTAAAAAACCAACAGATCTTGTGAGACTCATTCAATACCATGAGAACAGTATGGGGGAACCACCCCCATGATTCAATTATCTCCCACCAGGTCCCTCCCATAACTCATGGGAATTATTAGAGCTACAATTCAGGATGAGATTTGGGTAGGGACACAGCCAAATGATATCAGTTGGTATACCAGCTGGTGCTTAGAGAAAGTCCTGATTGGCCACATGACTCATGTTATCCATGGGATTAAAAGAATAGTAAAATTTAAGTGGGTGAAATGAAAACTCTCATATTCTGCAAAGCATGTTCTCCTGGAAGGCAATGATCAACTGGTATTAGGGGCCTTAAGGATTTTTTTTGCATTTGACCAAGCAATTCTACCCCTAGAAACTTTTGGTGAGAAACACCTATAAAAGTAAAAAATTTTCTCAGGAGAATTAATTCACACACAAAAAATATTAAAAATTACAAATTAAAAAATTTTAATAGTACAAAATTAGAAATATTCCAAATATCCAACAAAATGAGATTATGCTATATCTCTACAATTGAATACCCATTATTAAAAATGGTGTGGAGATGAATATTTATTGGCATGGGAAAGTGTGCATGACAACTTAAATGAAATGAAATGAAATGAATGAATTGAATAAATGAATGATGAATGAATAAATGAATGAAATGAAAAAAAGGCATGTATTAAACTGGGTGAGAGGCATACAGAAACTCTCTGTACTATCTTTCCAACTTTTCTGTAAATATAAAACTATTCTAAAATTTAAAAGTTAATTTAATTTTTTTTTTTTTGAGATGGTCTCTCTTTGTCACCCAGGCTGTAGTGCAGTGGCGCGATCTTGGCTCACTGCAACCTTTACCTCCTGGGTTCAAGTGATTCTCATGCCTCAGCCTCCCGAGTAGTTGGGACGACAGCCATGTGCCACCACACCCAGCTAATTTTTGTATTTTTAGTAGAGACGGGGTTTCACCATGTTGGTTAGACTGGTCTCAAACTTCTGACCTCAAGTAATCTGCCTGCCTCAGCCTTCCAAAGTGCTGGGATTACAGGCATAAGCGACCGCGCACAGCCTTATTTAAATATTTTTAAAAGCAAGTATTTATAGTACTATCTCATTTTTATTTGACGCACACACCTAGAACTATATACTTGAAGGTGATTACAGTGGTTATCTCTGTGTGGTGGGATTCGAGGGTTTTATTTTTTACTTTTTACTCATCTGTACTTTCTCTTTTCTACAATAAATATGTATTGCTTTTAGAATGAGACAGTAAATTAAATTTATCTTGAATGTTCTTTTAAGGGAAGCTTAGCAAATAAGAACAGAAGAAAGAGTTGTGCCTAGAGGAAGATACATGGTCAAGGGATGGTTTATCTTTTTAGTCTTTATTCTAGTTACAAAATCATATTTCAAGTGTATAGAAAAAATATGAACATTACAAAAATGTAACAAAAAGTATAATAATCACATGTAATCTTGCTGCTCAGAAATAATCACTGGGTAGTGGACATTGGTCCTCTCTTTAGAGTCCTGGATCGCTTTTTCCATTTCTGGAGCTCCTCTATAGACTTCAGTGTGGTTTTGCTTCTAACCCCCAGCATCTGGGATTCTGGAAGACTGCCCACTAGTTATCAGAGCTGCTTTGTGCAAATGTGCAGAGAGGTGGAAGTAACTGGGCAGATAATACTCAAAGGAGTACAAAATCCTGGCAGGTGCACCTCCCACTCCAGGGTTGTCCTGTGAGAGGAGACTGAAGCTACTCTCCATGGTACTGACATGCCACCCTTTCTTGGCTTCTCCCCTTGCCTGTCCTGCTTCCCCGATCCCTGACTAATTTTTCCAGGAACCACTTATCTAGTTAATCCCTTGCACATGAATTCTCATCTCAGGGTCTGCTTTTGGGAAACAAACCTAAGATGTTGCTGATAAAACATTAACACATTTCTTTCCATTCTCTTTCCTATACATTAAATATGTGTTTCATTCTTTTTTCTATACATTTAACACATGTACAGCTCTGACACACACTACTTATGGAAGATTTGGCTCTGATCTTCCCAGAGCTGGTGCTTAGAGAGAGTCCTGATGGGCCACATGATTCATAGCACCCATGGAAATTGGGCGGTCTAAGGGAGTCACTATTCAGCTTCAATCAGGAATTGCCATATGGGAACATTATTGCCAGATCTTTCAGTTTTCAAGAGGACCTGGGAACCTGAATTTATATAAAAAAAAGCTCAGTTTTAATATATTGAAAATAAATTCTTCTTATTTTCAAAACACTGAGCCAAAGAAATATGACCATGAGCCAAATCCAAAGCATGACTGATAATTTGCGACCAGTCCTAAAGGGGGAAAAGAATGCATGATCTTCAGAGAAGCCAACAAAGTAAACTGTTTAAGAAAATATTGTATGTGCAATAAATATGACCTGAAGAAAATATACCAAAATGAACTTTGTTTATACTTTTATTATAATAGACTGTATTGATGTTTGTTTCTTTACATCTGGTTCCCTAAGGAGTCAGTTTCTCAAAGGAAGGGATGGTTTCTCTTATAGCTAGCATCTGATCAATGTCAGTGGCATTGATATTTGAATAAATGAATTTATGCCCTGGCTTATACATTTCCCTGCAGATGTATATGCCCTGTGTCCTATGGTGCTAGCCTCTTCTCTGTGATAGACTGCTTCTTTGGAACCCATTATGACCTTACTTCGCTATGTTCCTGCCCTAAATCTGATGCCACCAAACACTATTCTCTTGTCCTCAACCCTCATTCTCTCACTCAAATGATTCCCTAAGTCTTATTCAATCTATGATCTACATATCTTTCAAATCTGTTTCTTTCCATCTTCATTGCCACTTTCTTGGTTCAGCCAATGTATTTTTTACATTGCTCCTAGAGAGAGCTTCAATCATAGAAATCTTATTGTGTCTTTCCTGATTTAAAATCTTTTGGTGACTTTCCACTGTCTTATAGAATAATTCCCTATTTAGAAAGTGCTTATAACCTGGCTCACTCCTCTAGCTTTGTCCCTGGTCCCTCCATTCCTCACACTTGTTTCTGGCCATATGAATGACTTACAACATCCTGAAACTATCAGAAAAGCTACAGATCAGAAGAGCTGATTGAGAATTACGTAATTTTTAATTAATATAATGGGAAAACATATAAATGCTAAATAAACTCCATTTCTTAATTCCTTTTAAACTTGGTATATGTGAGTGGAATACAGTAATAATTTTTTTAAAAGCTGCAGGCCGGGCACAGTGACTCACGCCTGTAATCCCAGCACTTTGGGAGGCTGAGGCGGGTCGATTACCTGATGTCAGAAGTTCAGGACCAGCCTGGCCAACATGGTGAAACCCCATCTCTATTAAAAATACAAAAATTAGCCAGGCATGGTGGCAGACACCTGTAATCCCAGCTACTCAGGAGGCTGAGGCAGGAGAATCGCTTGAACCCAGGAGGCGGAGGTTGCAATAAGCCAAGATGGCACCATTGCACACCAGTCTGGGCGACAAGAGCAAAACTGTGTCTTAAAAAAAAAATGCTGCTAAGTTTTAGGAATCACTGAGATGGGATATAAGTGACCACTAACATGTATGAGGAAAGGAAAAATAATACTATTACTTTTATGCTCATTGTATTAGTCTGTTTTTGCACTGCTATAAAGAAATACCCAAGACTGGATATTTTCTAAACAAAGGAGGTTTAATTGACTCACAGTTCTGCATGGCTGGGAAAGCCTCAGGAAACTTTCAATCATGATGGAAGGCGAAGGGGGAGCAGGCATCTTCTTCACAAGGCAGCAGGAAAGAGAAGAGTGAGGAGCGAAGAAGAAAGAGGTCCTTATAAAACCATCAGCTCTCATGAGAACTCACTCACTATCACAAGAACAGCATGGGGGAAGCTGCCCCCATGATCCAATCACCTCCCACTGGGTTCCTCCCTCGACATGTGGAGACTGTGGGGATTACAATTCGAGATGAGATTTGGGTGGGGACACAGAGCCAAATCATATCCTCACCCATGGTGGGTCAAAGAGGTATGGAGAAATGTGAAAGAAAAAGTTGCTTAAGGATAAAGCATTTTTTTCCTACCTACTATGTAAAGGTGAGTAGGGAATGTTAGAAGGGAATTTTAATTATGCCTTGGGAAAAGGAGAAGTTGAAAGTTACCAGAAGCATTACTTATGAGGTCAAATATTTAGAGTCAGCCTGCACAAAGAGTGGAGTAAAGGACGTATATTTGGACCTATAAGTTAGTAGTGGGGCTGAGGCATTTGCCTATGAAAACTTGTAGCATAAAGCAAAATGCAAGCTCATGCAATTCTGCATTCTACAATGCAGAATGCCAGCTCGTGCTCTCTCACCACAAATGGGTCCTTAACGCTGCCAGGCAACCCTCTGCACTCACCTCACTCATTCTCACTCCCACTCTCCTCCATGACTATCTGGAATCCCCACTCTCCACACACTACCGGTAACTCCTCTTCCATGTCCCTTTGCTCTCTCTCTGAGAAATCAAAGCCACTGGAAGAGAGCTCTCCCCTGCTCCCATTACCACATCCATCCACCTCCCTGCATCTGTTCCTGTGTACCCGGCCTCTCCTCTGATCTTCTGTGCTCCCAGCAGAAGCTCATCCCTCCCCTTGCACGTTCTCCTCATCCGCTTTCTCCCTGGCAGGAACATCACTCCAGAACCCCTCCCACTCCCTCCTGGATCTTCATTTTCCCCCTCACTATTGAATCTTTCTCATCAACTGCGAAGCATGCTGTTATTTCTTCCGTCTTAAAATTAAAAACTCTTTGGCCCTACTCCTCGTGCTAGCTAGTGTCCCATTTTCATCCTCCCTTTGTAAGAAAACTTTTTGAAAGAAAGTTTTCATTCCATACTGTCTCCTATTTTTCTCTGTACCTACTCTCTTGAACCCAAAAGTCCACTGGACCACTGTATGCCCCCCACCCCACCGAAAATTGATGATCAAGGCCATCAATGCTCTCCACATCATTAAAGCCATGGTGAATAAGCCCACACTTTATTAGACCTATCAGCAGCATTTGACACCACTGATCACTCTCTCCTTCTTGAAACATGTTCTTCCCTTTCTCCAGGACACGATACTTGTCTAGTTCTCTTCCTTCATCTGTTGCTACTTTGCCATACTCTTTGCTGGCTTTTCCTCATCTACATGACCTGCAGTTGTAGACCACCCTCAAGACCATCCTTGGGCCTTTACTTTTTTCCATTAACACTCACTCCTTGGGTGATCTCATCTATAAGTTGGAGAAATCCCATGTTTATAACTTCAGTCCCAGGTAACCCTCTGAGCTCTGGACTTACATATTGACTTCCTACTTGAGTATCCAGTAAACAGCCACACTTAACCTGTCCATAAGGAAACTCTTCCCAATAACTGCTCTCCCCCAAGGCAATAAAGTCCGTGTCATCTTCTCCATTTCTGTGGCCAAAGAAAATCTAGAGTCACTCTTGACTCTTCCTCTGCTCATATTCCATGTCCCAGCCATCAGGAAACCCCTCAGCTTTCATGTCAAAATATAAGCAGAACCCAAATCCCTCTCACACTTCCACTCTCACCACTGCGTTCTAACACACCATGCTTTCTCGCCCTGGTATCTGAGAGCCTCTTATATGCACGGTCCTCCTGCTTTCACCCTTGCCTCCACCATCTGTCCTCAGCCCAGAGACACTGGGCACACACAAGCACAGAGAGATGAGCATGTGAACACACAGTGAGAAGGTGGCCGTCTGCAAGCTAAGGAGAGAGGCCTCAGGAGAAAGCAAACCTGCCAACACCTTGGTCTCAGACTTTCAGACTTCAGAACTTTGATAAAATAAATTTCTGTTGTTTAAACCCCCCAGCCTGTGGTATTTTGTCATGGCAGCCTATCAAAAGAATACGGGGATGTATTTGCTTTACACGACTGTGAAGAGTCAATGAGAGTGTGTGTGTAAGTGCATGTGTGTGTGTGTGTGTGTGTGTGTGTGTTTAGGGGTGGGTGAGAGAGAGAGAGAGATGTAATGCTTGGCTCACACAGTCAGCCTTTAAAACAGAACCCAGCAACTGGAAGGTAGTAGTAACAGTAAAAATTCATGAGGCATCTCCTATGGGGAAAAAAAAGCAAATAAGAAACTTACATTCCAAGGCTGGGCGCGGTGGCTCACACCTATAATCCCAGCACTTTGGGAGGCCAAGGCAGGCAGACTACTAGAGGTCAGGAATTTGGGACCAGCCTGGCCAATGTGGTAAAACCTTGTCTCTACTAAAAAAAAAAAAAAAAAAATTGACCAGGCATGGTGGTGCATGTAGTCCCAGCTACTCAGAAAGCTGAGGCAGGAGAATCGCTTGAACCCAGGAGGCAGAAGTTGCAGTGAGCCAAGATCATGCCACTGCACTCCAGCCTGAGTGACACAGCGAGACTTCATCTTAAAAAAAAAAAAAAAAAAGAAAGAAAGAAACTTACATTGCAGTAAAAAGATGCAGACCTTTGAAAAGTAAAAGCCATGATGTTTTTCTTCAAGAATTTGCAAAGTCTGGATGTGCCAGGTAAGCCAATGACTATGGAGGATACCAAGGATGCCACATCCTAAGCTCAGAGGTGAGGAGGAGATGGGTCCCTGCCACAGTCGACAGGTTGGGTCCCCAGCCGTGGGGATCAGCAAAGACCGAAATCTAGCCTTTGCTCCTCTTCACAAGCTGAATGGTAGAAGAAAGGGTGCCTTTTGGAATTTGCACAAAGGGGTAGAGTGCTTGCCAAGCCACTGCCTGAAGGACTAAGATTATCTGGAGAAGATAGCTTTATTCTGATTTGCACAAAGGCATTGAAAGGACCAGCAGGGGCACAGGGAGAGGGAATAGGAAATTAAGTGACAAGGAGAGTGAGCTGACATTATCCATATAACCCCTAGTAGTCTTGGGATCTAGGGACCAGCTCATAAGAAACATAGCAAACCTGAAGTCTTCCGAAAGAGTGCAAATTGCCTATATGTCATCAACATTGTGCTTGCGGTTTGGGTGCTGGAGGAAAAAGGCTACAATCTTCTATAATAATGCATAGTATGTGAATACAGTTGACCCTTGAACAGCACCGGGGTTAGGGGCACCAACCCCTACCTAGTCAAAAATTCACATATAACTTTTAACTCCTCCCAAAACTTAACTACCAATAGCCAACAGTGACCAGGCGCTTTACCAATAACATAAACTGTCAATTGACATACAAATAGACCAGCGTCTACATCTATTTTATGAACTCATGACGTACCTTTTTCTTAATTATTTTCCATATTTCTAGGCTGTGAGGTTTGCCTGTCCATTTTTTCAAATTGTCACAAATCCCCTCTCCCTAATTTTTCAGTATATTTATTGAAAAAAATCCGTGTATCAGTGGACCCGTGCAGTTCAAATCTGTGTTGTTCAAAGGTCAATGGGGCTGTGAATAGCAAACGATGTTTGAGGATTGCCTGAGAGAAAGTCCGTGAACGTGCTCAGAAAAGCCAAAACCTCATTGAAATCAGGTGTTTCTTCCTTCCAGCTCCCACTGCTGGCCTTCCTTGTGCCTTTCTTAAAAGACAGTGTGTCCCCTCCATATCTCACTCTTCCTTCTCGGACTGCATCCAGGACCTCACTATGACTTTTATGGGCCCTGGGCACTTATGTGAATTTTTTTTTTTTAAGAGACAAGGTCTCACTCTGTCACCCAAGCTGGAGTGCAGTGACATGATCTCAGCTCATTGCAACCCTCACCTCCTGGGGTCAGGTGATCCTTCCACCTCAGCCTCCCAAGTACCTGGGACTACAGGTGCACTCTACCACACCCAGCTAATTTTTTATATTTTTTGTAGAGACAGGGCCTCACCATGTTGCTCAGGCTGGTCTTGAACTCCTGGACTCAAGCGATCCACCTGCCTCAGCTCCCAAAGTGCTAGGATTGGAGGGGTGAGTCACCACGCCCAGCCCTTGATGTAAACTTTTTAATTCACAGAATTTAAAAAAATACAAAATTATGTACATTACAACTGTGTTGGTATAAAGATGAATATAATCCAAGTTGAATTGCATTGATCTTTTTTTTTCTTAAGTTTAAAAGAAAATAAAACATTTCTGTGGACCCCTAAGTGTGGCACGGGCCCTGGCCACAGTGCCTGCTGTGTTGGTGGAGCAGGTGGCTGCTGCGTCTCTTTCTTTGCTCTGATCCCTGGGAAGGAAGGAACATCCCCCTCCTAGATTCCATTGTTTTACCTTTGGCCATGATCACTTCCCCCATCTTCCTTGCTCTGCCACTTATCCTCTCCAATATTCAACCCATAAGCTTTTCATCTAAAGAGAGTATTTGATCTACCTCTTCTTTTTTTTAATGCAAACCATTAAATTGTTTTTTAGTATACTCACAGAGTGGTGCAAACATCACCACTGTGTAATTCCAGCACATTCTCATCACCCCAAAAGGAAATCCCATCAGCAGCCGCTCCTCCTTCTCCCCTCTCCCAGCCCCTGGCAACCACCCATCTAATTTCTGTCTCCATGGGTTGCCTTTTCTGGGCATTTTGTGTAAATGGACTCACAATGTGTGGTCTTCTGTGTCTGGGTTATTTCACTCAGTATAATGTTTCTAAGTTTCATCAGTGCTGGAGCATGTATTGGAACTTCATTTCTTTTAATGGCAGAATAATATTCCATTATACAGATAGACCACATTTTGTTTATCCATTCATCTGCTGATGGACATTTGGATTGTTTCCGCTTTTCAGTTATTATGAATGAATCGTGCTGCTGTGAGCATGTGTGTATAAGTTTTTTGTAAACATACGTTTTCAGTTCTTTTGGGTATACACTTAGGAGTGGAGTGGCTGGGTCATATAACGACTCTAGATGGTCTACTCATTCTAAAAAGAAATTTCAGTTTGCAAGAGAATAAAAGCACAAAAAAAAAATCTTCCCTTGACCCTGTTAGCATCATCTCTCATTCTCTTCACTGCCAAATTTCTCAGGCCTATAGCATTCATTACTTAACTCTTTTTTCCCTTTTCCTTTCTTTCCTTTTCTTTTTTTTTTTTTTTTTTGACAGGGTCTCATTCAAGTACAGTGGCAGAATCACATCTCAGTGCAGGCTGGACCTCCCAGACACAAGTGATCCTCCTACCTCAGCCTCCATAGTAGCTGGAGGCTACAGGCACACGCCACCACACCCAGCTTTTTTTTTTTTTTTTGTAGAGATGAGGTTTCACCACGTTGCCCAGGTTGGTCTCAAATTCCTGGGCTCAAGCGATCTGCCAGCCTCAGCCTCCCAAAGAGTTGGGATTATAGACATGAGCCACCACTCTTGCCCATTCCTTAACTCTTGAACTTGGTTTCCAGAAGGCAGTGGCTTTTTCTCAGTCTCAGTTCCCTGGAATGCTCCACTGGAAATGACGGTGTATGCAGCAAGTACTTAGCATGTGGCAGATGCTTCCTGAATCTTCACCATGCACTTCCACCACCAGGCCCTCCTTCATCTTCTCTGGCCTCCCTCCCTACCTTCCCTCCCTAAGGCCAGCTTTCCTCCAGGTTCTGTCCTAATACTTCCTCTCCCACACCCCCAATTCTGTCCCTCAATGCCTCCTCCCTTCCTGGACCCCAATATTTCCATTATGTCAAGAGGATGATGTCACCAAAGGCTACATCTCCAGTCCTGTTTCCTCTCCCAGGTACAAGCTAGTCGTTTTCAAACTCACCGTCATGAGCTCGTCTCCCCCACACTGCTTCCTCCTCCTGATTTCCTGGCCCCGTGGACTGGCAGTGCCTTCCTCTATTGCACTGGTGATATAGTTTGGATATCTGTGCCCCTGCCACCTCAGCCCAAATCTAGTGTTGAAATGTAATCCCCAATCTTCCAGGTGCGGTCTGGTGGGAGGTGTTTGGATCATGGAGGAGTGGATCCCTCATGAATGGCTTCAGCCAATTCATGGTGATATGTGAGCTCTTGCTCTGAGTTCATATGAGATCTGGTTGTAAAAAGTGTGTGACGTGGCCAGATGCAGTGGCTTACACCTGTAATCCCAGCACTTTGGGAGGCAGAGGCAGGCGGATCACTTTAAGTCAGGAGTTTGAGACCGGGTCAATGTGGCAAAACCCCATCTCTACTAAAAATACAAAGACTATCCGGGCATGGTGGTGGGCACCTGTAATTCCAGCTACTTGAGAGGCTGAGGCAGGAGAATCACTTGAACCCTGGAGGCGGAGGTTGCAGTGAGCCAAGATCACGCCATTACACTCCAGGCTGGACAACAGAGCAAGACTCCATCTCAAAAAAAGAAAAGGAAGAAAGAAAAGAAAAATGAAAAAAGAGTGTGTGGCTTCTCTCTCTCTCTCTGTCTCTTTCTCTTTCTTGCTTGATCTCATTCTCACTATCTCGCTATGTGATGTGCCTGCTCCCACTTTGCCTTCTGCCCTGATTGGGAGCTTCCTGAGGCCTCCCCAGAAGCTAATGTTGCTATGCTTCCTATACAGCCTACAGAACCACGAGCCAATTAAACCTCTTTTCTTATAATTTGCCCAGTCTCCAGTATTTCTTTATAGCAGTGCCAGAATACAACTAGGTTTTGCATCTCAGCCTCCACTGACTCCATTTCTCCTTCCCACCTCCACCAGGTCGCATTCCAGGTCCTGTTCATCCCTATCAGGCTGTTCTTTCGTTTTCCATCCCAGAGCCATCATGTCACCCTAACACAGTCTCCTTACCTCTTCAGCCCCATGGAGATTTCAAAAACTTATAGCCGCTTAACTTCTCAGTCCATTCTACAGCTGCACCCAGATTCATTTTTTCAAAGTGCAGCTCCAATCAGCCACTGCCAGGCCCAAAATCCTCCTGTGGCTCCCCAAGGCCTGTCAAATTAAGTCTAAAGTCAGTTCAGCTCTGGGATCAACCTACCTTTACAATATTATCTCCTTCCATCCCTTTAATGAACCAAACTCCTTGTGGTTCTCACATTTGCCCCCATCCCCTCGCCACACTGTTGTTCTTGCCCTACCCTCCAACTAGATGCTTCCTGTTTCTCTCTCTGTCATTTGAGGTCCAACCCAAATTCATCTAGGGATACCCTGATTGCACCGGTGGGGTGATTCTTTCCCTCTGAAATGTCATCATCTCCAGACAATTGAACACATTCTGCTTTGCATTATTTTATTTTTTATTTTTATCATTTTTTTACTTTTTTGAGACAGAGTCTCGCTCTGTCACCCAGGCTGGAGTGCAGTGGTACGATCTCGGCTCACTGCAACCTCCGCCTCTCAGGTTCGAGTGATTCTCCTGCCTCAGCCTCCCGAGTAGCTGGGACTACAGGCGCGTGCCACCACACCCGGCTAATTTTTGCAGTTTTAGTAGAGACAGGGTTTCACCATGTTGGCCAGGCTGGTCTCAAACCCCTGACCTCAAGTGATCCTCCCACCTTGGCCTCCCAAAGTGCTGGGATTATAGGTGTGAGCCACCACGTCCAGCCTGCTTTGTATTATTTTAGTGCATTTTCATGCCCTGACAGCTGGGAAAGTCCTCAGGGACTGAAGCCATGTGAGCCATTCACATCCTCCGGCACCACCAACATAGTATATCCTCAATCAATGGGTGTTGAATGAATGCGTAAGTTACAAACAATGCTGAGACATGCTGAGCCAGCCCATTTATAAGCCACCCTCTTCTTAGCTCTGCTACTAAAAACACACACAGACCATCTCATTTGCACTTTTCTCTCAAGTCAAGCAGTGCATATACATCCCCTCATTACAGATCTATCTGACTGCACTCTCTTCAGACCCAGATCTCTTGCCCTTAGGGTTTCCAGCCAAGTCCCTCCGACTGGAATCGCAGTCTCGGGGCTTAGTCCACTTCTGAGGGTCTTGTTCTCTGTCTTGCTGTCCCCAGTTCTCTGCTTCTAGGACAATCCCCAGGCCCAGGAGCAAAGCCAAAGCTTGGTCCCAAGGCAGTCCCCTTAGAACCAGCTAGAGAGCAAAAGAAACTCTGCCTTCTCCGAGATCAAAGCTTTGTGCAGCAGGATCACCGGTGGCCTAATGCCATGCTACCATGGCAACATGAATTTTAAGCAGTCATCGGCAGAACCTGGCTGCTCTATTTCAACAACCCTGGAGTCAGCCTCTCCGGGGTGAGACTTCCCACAACAAGGGACAAGGGTGTGCCTGGGGAATCTGAGTCACTTTCTGGGGTCAGGCCAACCTGCCCTGGTAACTGACATCCTGAAGCCTGACTCCATAGGGGAGTGGGATGTCACACTTATGTTTCCAGGACAGAATGTGTTACTGGGGAAGACATGAGGGCACCAGCAGCCTCAAGGGCGGAACCCCAACAAGGAGGCTAAAACAGTTTCCCACTTCCGTCCCTTCCAGGAACAGGCTCTTCTATGTCTAGGGATGCAAAGAGGACTGCATAGTCCCCAATCCCAACGACTTCACAAACTTTCAGAAAGATAAATCACATATTAAAATAATACAGGGTGGGTGTGGTGGCTCATGCCTGTAATCCCAGCAATTTGAGAGGCCGAGACAGGTGGATCACTGAGGTCAGGAGTTCGAGACCAGCCTGGCCAACATGGTGAAACCCTGTCTCTACTAAAAATATAAAAATTAGCCAGGTGTGGTGGCATGCACCTGTAATCCTAGGTACTCAGGAGGCTGAGGCAGGAGAATCACTTGAACCTGGGAGGTGGAGGTTGCAGTGAGCCAAGATCAGGCCACTGCACTCCAGCCTGGGCGACAGAGTAAGACTTCATCTCAAAAAACAAACAAACAAATAAATAAATAAATAAAATAATACAGGCTTGGTGCAGTGGCTCACACCTGTAATCCTAGTACTTTTGGGAGGCCAAGGCAGTCAGATCGCTTGAGCCTAGGAGTTTGAGACCAGCCTGAGCAACATGGAAAAATCCTGTCTCTACCAAAAAAAAAAAAAAAAATTAGCCTGGCATAGTGGTGCATGCCTATATTCTCAGCTACACTGGAGACCGAGGTGGAAGGATCACCTGAGCCCAGGAGTTTAAGTGCAGTGAACCCTGATCACACCGCTGCACTCCAGCCTGGGCAACCAATGAGATCCGGTTTCAAAAAAAAAAAAAGATACAGAGTGAAATGTAACAGATTCTCTGATTTCCTGTTAAGCTTTACACTGGGACCACTGATGCTGGTGGCACAAGACAAGCACCAAAAGCCCCACTGAGGCTGAATCACCTGGCACAGGCTAGGATACACCAGAGGACAGGCAGGGAGGCTCATGCCCTGCAGTCTCTCTGGTCATCCTTATCATCTCTGTCCTCCCAGGGTTAGGAGTTTGCAGGAGGACCAGAGCCCCTAACATTCTTGGCCTCCAGAAGAATGTGGTGCTCAGCCCCACGTGGTCTCACTGCTGCAGTAAATGCTAGCACCAACAATGTGAAAGTGTTCCTAACAGTTCCAGCTAGGATGTAAGGGCATGATTATCCTCATACATGCATTATTGGTAGCAATCTAAATTAGTACAGACTTTAAAAAGGTGATTTGGTGGCCAGGCATGGTGGCTCATGCCTGTAATCCCAGCACTTTGAGAGGCCAAGGTGGGAGGATTGCTTGAGCCCAGGAGTTTGAGACCATCCTGGCCAACATAGGGAGACCCCTGTCTCTACAAACAAATATAATAAAATAAATTTTTTAAAAAGACTATTTGGCATGGAAGATTGGTCTTAAAATATGCATACTCTAACCCAGCGATTCCTCTTTTTAGTTTCTTTTCTTTTCCTTTTTTTTTTTTTTTTTTTTTGAGACAAGCTCTCACTCTGTCATTCAGGCTGGAACTGGAGCACAATGGTGCAATCAAAGCTTACTGCAGCCTCGACCTCCCAGGCTCAAGCAATCCTCCCACCTCAGCCTGCCAAGTAGCTGGGGCTATAGGCATGCACCACCACACAGCTAATTTTTGAAAAATTTTGTGTAGAGACAGGGTCCCCTATGTTGCCCAAGCTTATCTTCAACTCCTGGGCTCAAGCAATCCTCCCACTTTGGCCTCCCAAAGTGCTGGGATTACAGGCATAAGCCACCATACCTGGCCTTTGGTTTCCATCCCAGGGAGATACTTATAGATGCGCACAGAGGAATGTACAAGGATGTTCATTACAACAGCATTTGTTTTGATGAAAAGTTGGAAACAATGTTCATCTGTAGGAGAATAATCGAACTATGATACAAGCCTACCTTATGAATTCCCCAGAGCTGCTGTAACAAAGGACCGCAAACAAGGTGGCTTAAAACAACGGAAATTAATTCTCTATTAGTTCTGGAGGCTACAAGTCCAAAGTCAAGGTTTTGGCAGGGCTGTGCTCCCTCTGAGGCTAGGGGAGGGTCCTTTGTTGCCTCTTCCAGCCTCTGATGGCTCCAAGCAATCCCTGGGGTTCCACAGCTTACAGCTGCCTCACTCCAATCTCTGCCTCCATCTTCACATGAACTTCTTACCTTTGTGTGCCTCTGTGTTGTCCTCCCACTACATATGAAGACTCTGGTCATTGGGCTTATGGCCCACCCTAATCCAGCACGACTAGTGTTTCAGTAAAATCACCTTTAGAAATTTTTTTTTTTTGAGATGGAGTCTCACTCTGTTGCCCAGGCTGGAGGGTAATGGCGTGATCTCTGCTCACTGCAACCTCCGCCTCCCAGGTTCAAGCAATTCTCCTGCCTCAGCCTCCTGAGTAGCTGGGATTACAGGCGCACACCACCACACCCGGCTAATTTTTGTATTTTTTAGTAGAAACGGGGTGTCACCATGTTGGTCAGGCTGGTCTTGAACTTGTGATCTCGTGATCCGCCCGCCTCGGCCTCCCAAAGTGCTGGGATTACAGGCGTGAGCCACCATGCCCAGCTAGAAATCTTTTTAAAAAGACAAAATTCCAGGCCACTGACTGCTGTGAAGTCATGGACTTTATCTGTTTTAACAAGAATGCTAGAGATTAAATGGGAGATATAAATGTGAAATAATAAAAGGGCCACTCATTCACAATATTGGCCTCCATTGATAAAGTGATATATCTGGACATTTTCTATATAATCAGGAGATTTTTAACTCAATAACTGACAACTCAACATCTTCAACACCCTAAACCCCAAACTGATAGTGGTGCTGCTTTGGGCTCTGTACATAGACGAGGCTGTGGACATGAGTTGTGCCCCGCAGAAGTTCCCATTGTTGAAATATATTGAGATGAAGGTAATGAGCCATACACACAAAATTCAAGAACCATGACACAGGGACAAAGGCCTACCCAGAAGACTGGCCAGAAGTCCCAAGAGTACTGTGTTACTGCAATCCTTCAAATTCCCTTTGCCTAGAAGCCCAAGAATAGGGAGAAAAGACTAAGGTTTAGCAGAGGGAAGGACCAGGACTGCGCATTCTACAAAAAAAGCAGAGACCTCTGCCATCTAGGTCTTTCTAATGTCTAACTAATCCCATATGCAATGGAAGCCTGCGACTTGGGTCAAGTATGTCAAGTATGTGGATGCTGCTGGATAAAAAGCTTGTTGTGTTCCTGTATTAGTCCATTCTTACACTGCTATAAAGAACTACCCGAGACTGGGTAATTTATAAAGAAAAGAGGTTTAATTGATTCATGGTTCTGCAGGCTGTACCGGAGGCTTCAGGAAACTTACAATCATGGTGGAAAGCAAAGGGAAAGCCAGCACATCTTACATGGTGGGAGCAGGAGAAAGAAAATGAAGCTGGAGGTGCTACACACTTTTAAACAACCAGATGTTGTGAGAGCTCACTCACTATCACAAGAACAGCAAGGGAAAAATCCACCACCATGATCCAATCACCTCCCATCAGGTCCCTCCCCTGACATTGGAAATTACAATCCAACATGAGATTTGGGTGGAGACACAGAGCCAGCCATAACAGTTCCTGAATAGGTGCCCAGATTTCCCTACAGCTTGAAATAGGCACTGCTCTTTCTTTGTCCCTGAACACTGACTCCTAGTCTTCCAAGGACACGATCATCCCAGAAAATACTTTATTTCAGCTCCTTACTGAAGTAGTTGTCTCCTTCATTCAGTGCCTTCTCATTTTATATGGGATCATATTTTAACATGTTATTTTTCATTTATCAAATGTAAGTGTTCTGTGATTATTTTCTTATGTTTCTGACCTTTTCTGCTACATGTTCATCAAAGGAACGAATGCTTTCTACACACTAGCCCAATACACACACACAGAGCCACATTCTGGGGCCAGCAAGACTCTCTCAAGGTTCCTCTTTGCTTCAACACTACCTTGGAGGAAATATTCATCAAGCATTCACCAGGTCCCAGCCACTGATCTGAGCTGTTTACATAAGTTAGCTGGTGATCCTCACACCCTGACCCCCAAGGAGGCTGTGTTATTCTGATGTCAAGTTTATGGATGAGAGAACTGAGGTTTGGAGAGCTTTAGTGAAATGCTCAAGGCCACTTGGCTAGGAAAGGGTAGAACCTGGATCTGACCGGAAGCAGTGTGACACCAGAGTGTGTACCCTCAGCTGTCAAGTTTTGCAGCCACTCCTAACACAGTGTATTGTAATTCTTAGTTTAAAAGTATGCTCCCCATCTAACCTATGCATTATTGAGATCAAGGCCTAATTTTATTCACGATAGCATACCAAATGCCTAGTGGACCCTCCATGAAACTTAGAGGAGTGCATAGATGGATGGCTATGGTGTGAGGGGAAGAAAAATGTTTCCCTCTACCAACTTAGGTTCAGTGGTTGGGGGCCTGCAAATTAACTGACAAAAAAACAGGTTGGGAAAAGACAAAGTTTATTTGCAT
Source organism: Homo sapiens (assembly GCF_000001405.40). NCBI lineage: Eukaryota > Metazoa > Chordata > Mammalia > Primates > Hominidae > Homo > Homo sapiens. The sequence goes on along the minus strand of NC_000017.11, from coordinate 65,239,288 downwards.
ACCTAAGAGTTCCCAAAAATCTATCTCTCTGAATAGTGAGAGGTAAGGATTTATACATCATCTTAATAAGAAGGGGGTTTAAGACTTTCCAGGAGAGCAAATGATGGGGAGCTAATGAGAAACAAGCAGAAAGCATGGAAAGTTTTGATTTTTTTTGTTTATATAATTTCTTATCCAAGTGTGAGTGGTCCATCTCCTTTCTGTCTGTAAACCTCCTGGAGAGAGTATTTATGGTAGCTATATTTTCAGGAGACTTTTATTAAGTCATCAAAAAAAAAAAAGAAAAAAGTTTAGATAAGGTATTTTGGGTCTTTTTTTCCCTGCTTTGGCTGCTGTTTGTTCAGATGTTTTCGGCTTTAGATAACCCTCATATGACATTGGTGGGTCCAAGGGGATCTTATGAGATAGACGGACAGATAGATGGGTGGATGGGTGGAGGAGTGGATGGAGGGGTGGATGGATGAATGGATGGATGGATGAATGGATAAATGGATGGATGGATAAATGAATGGATGGATGGACGGATGGATGGATAGAGGAATTGACAGATGGATGGAATGATGAGGGTAGATGGTGTGGACACATTTGTGTGTTTAGGATGGAAATCAAAGAGGCACTTCACAGCAGGGCCAAAGCCAGAGCCAGCCTCATAAAGCATCCCCAAAGAAGTGTGAATCTCCCTGTCCCCAAGTTACAGCTTGTTGTGGTGCCTACAATTCCAAGTTTGGAGATGCATTTTCTTAAGCCAGAGGTCCCTGTTAAAATGGAGCTACAATGGAGAAGGAAATACTATAATTTGATAACTTAGAGCAGAGTGTGTATATATAAATAAAATATACATATGAATTTATATGAAATATATTCATTTAAGTATATGAAATATATGTGTATAACAATATATGACACATATGCAGCAGCTATGTTGTTGTGGAAAAGAAAGTCCTTGGTGGACACCCAGCTCTAACAATAGGACAACTGAGCTAACATGAACTCCCTCCTATCAGAAAACTTGGAATTAATACTGAATGAAGAGAACAACTACTTTGGCCCCAGGGAAGAGTGACAGGAAATGGCCTGTGGTCCAAAGGCTTGGAAAACCAGACCTAAGACCCCTCCATCAGGTGAAATTCCTGAAGGGCTGCCCAGGGCAGGAAAAGGGGACTCGAGAAAAGAGACACTTCTCCCTAAGGTATAACAAACATGCAGTAGGAGCTGCCAAAAGAGAGAGAGCAAAGAAAATGGAGAGGAGGAGGAAGCATTATCCAGCGACAATAAATGAGAATTTTCGGAGTAGAAACAAGATATGAGTCCTCAGATGGAAGAAGCATCACCCCCAGAAGGATAAACACAAACACCTCTGTACCTAGACATGCTATAGGGAAACTGCAGAACACTCAAGACAAAGACCAGTACTTAGAGGCAAAATAGAGAAGAAAATCTATTAAGCAACTATCAGGGAATCAGCCCCCAATAGTCACGTAGGTTCTTTTCTATTTTCCCTAAGCGTCGGCCGGGTTGAGAAATAAAGGGACAGAGTACAAAAGAGAGAAATTTTAAAGCTGGGCGTCCAGGGGAGACATCACATGTCAGTAGATTCCTGATGCCCCACAAGCCACAAAACCAGCAAGTTTTTATTAGTGATTTTCAAAGGGGAGGGAGTGTACTAATAGGGTGTGGGTCACAGAGATCACGTGCTTCACAAGGTAATAGAATATCACAAGGCAAATGGAGGCAGTGCGAGATCACAGGACCACAGGACCAGGAGGAAATTAAAATTGTTAATGAAGTTTTGGGCACACATTGTCATAGGTAACATCTCATCAGGAGACAGGGTTTGAGAGCAGACAACCGGTCTGACCAAAAATTTATTAGGCAGGAATTTCCTCGTCCTAATAAGCCTGGGAGTGCTATGGGAGACTGGGGCTTATTTCATCCCTACAGCTTGACCATAAAAGACGGCCACACCCAAGGGGGCCATTTTAGAGGCCCACCCTCAGGGACGCATTCTCTTTCTCAGGGATGTTTCTTGCTGAGAAAAAGAATTCAGCGATATTTCTCCCATTTGCTTTTGAAAGAAGAGAAATATGGCTCTGTTCCACCCAGCTCACCAGCGGTCAGAGTTTAAGGTTATCTCTCTTGTTCCCTGAACATTGCTGTTATCCGGTTCTGTTTTCAAGGTGCCCAGGTTTCACATTGTTCAAACACACATGCTCTACAATTTGTGCAGTTAATACAATCATCACAGGGTCCTGAGGTGACATACATCCTCCTCAGCTTACAAGATGACAGGATTAAGAGATTAAAGTAAAGACAGGCATAGGAAATCACAAGGGTATTGATTGGGGAAGTGATAAGTGTCCATGAAATCTTCCCAATTTATGTTCAGAGATTACAGTAAAGACAGGCATAAGAAATTATAAAAGTACTAATTTGGGGATCTAATAAATGTCCATGAAATCTTCACAATTTATGTTCTTCCACCATGGCTTCAGCCGGTCCCTCCATTTGGGGTTCCTGGCTTCCCACAACAAGCAACAGTAATTGAACCTCTCATCAGCAACAAGACAGGACAAAAGATGATGAAATACTATCTGAATTCCCAAGGAGAAATTACTCTCAACCTATCTTTTTCAATTCACCTAAATGATTATTTAATAGTAAATGATTAAAATAATAATAGGGTAAAATAGTGTTGAGGATAAAATAAAGACATTTTTAAAACAAAAAAATAGACTTTTCTCTCAAGGCCATCAGTGAGAGAATCACTAAAGGATGCACTTCAGTACAAAGAAAACTGGACCAGGAAAAAGAAGTGGTATCCAAAGAGGAGTGATGAGCACAAATTTGGGTAAACTTGTAGCTGATGCTAAAAAAGAATTGACTATAATACACAATAATAACACCGCTAATGAGTTATTTTGTTTAAAAACATAATGAAATTAATAATAATATGGCACAAAGTTTAACAGACTTTGACCTTGAGCTAAATCCAGCCAGTAGCTTATTTTTGTAGTCTTCTGATAAGAATGACTTTAGTTTTGTTTATTGTGTTAAGATATTCATACCATCAAATTTATGATTTTAACCATCTTTAAGTGTACAGTTCAGTGGTATTAAGTACATTGTTGTGCAACCATCACCACCATCCGTTTCCAAAATTGTTTTTGTCTTCCTGAACTGAAACTGTGTGCCCATTAAACACTGATTCCCCAGTCCCACCATCCCTATCCCAGCCCCTGGCAACTACCATTCTACTTTCTGTCTCTGTGAATTTGACTACTCTAGGTATCTTATATAAGTAGAATTGTTACCAGAAAGGGGTCCTGATCCAGACCCCAAAAGAGGGTTCTTGGATCTTGAGCAAGAAAGAATTCAGGGCAAGTCCACAGAGGAAAGTGAAAGCAAGTTTATTAAGAAAGCAAAAGAATAAGGAATGGCTACTCCATAGGCAGAGCAGCAGCTTGGGCTGCTGGACTAGGATACTTATAGTTATTTCTTGATTTATATGCTAAAGAGGGGTTTAATTATTTATGAGTTCTCTGGGAAAGGCATGGGCAGTTCCCGGAACTGAGGGTTCCTCCCCCTTTTAGGCCATATAGGGTAACTTCCTGACAATGCCATGGCATTTGTAAACTGTCATGGCACTGGTGGGAGTGTCTTTTAGCATACTAATGCATTATAATTACCACATAATGAGCAGTGAAGGTGACCAGAGGTCACTTTCGTCACCATCTTGGTTTTGGTAGGATTTGGCTGGCTTCTTTACAGCAGGCTGTTTTATCAGCAAGGTCTTTATGACTTGTATCTTGTGCTGATCTCCTATCTCATCCTGTGACTAAGAATGCCTTCACCTCATGGGTGCAGCCCAGTATGTCTCAGACATATTTTACCCAGCCTCTATTCAAGATGGAGTTGCTCGAGATTGAACACCTCCAACAGAATCATACAGTATTTGTCCTTTTATTACTGGCTTATTTCACTTAGCATAACATCTTCAAGGTTCTTCCATGTTGTGGCATGTGTCAGAATATCCTTCCTTTTTAGGTTGAACAATATTCCTTTATATGTATAGACAACATTTTGTTTATCCATTCCTCCACTGATGAACATTTGAATTGTTTCCAAAGTTTAGCTATTATGATTAATGCTGCTATGACCACAGGTATACAAATATCTGTTTGAGTCCCTGCTTTCAATTCTTTTGGATATCTAACCAGAAATGGAATTACCGCATCGCATGGCAACTCTGTTTTCAATTTTTAAAGGAAACACTATACTGTTTTTCATAGTGGCTACACCATTTTTCTGTTTTATTTTGTTTGGTGTTTATAACAGACATTCTAGTTGGTGTGAAGTCATATCTCATTGTAGTTTTGATTTGCATTTTCCTGATGATTAGTGATGTTGAGCATCTTTTCAGGTGCTATTGGCCATTTGTATATCTTCTTTGGAGAAATGTCTATTCAAGTCCTTTGCCCACTGCCCCTCCACTCCCCCCCCCTTTTTTTTTTGAGACAGAGTCCCTCTCTGTCGCCCAGGCTGGAGTGCAGTGGCATGATCTTTGCTCACTGCAACCTCCGCTTCCTGGGCTTTGGTGATCCTCCTCCTCAGCCTCCTGAGTAGCTGGGACTACAGGCATGCACCACCATGCCTGGCTAATTTTTGTATTTTTGACAGAGATGGGGTTTCACCATGTTGCCCAGGCTGATCTCAAACTCCTGAGCTCAAGTGATCCGCCCATCTCGGTCTTCCAAAGTGCCGGTATTACAGGCATGAGCCACCACACCTGCTCCTTTGCCCATTTTCTAATCAAGTTGTTTGTTTTTGTTGTTATTGTTGAGTTGGAGGAATTCTTTATATATTCTGGGTATTAAACCTTTATCAGGAAAGGGTGATTGATATTACATTTTTTAGTGGTTGAAGGAAAGGGAAGAAGAAAGAAGAAGGAGGAGGAGGAAGAGAGACCACATGTGGCCTGCAACGTCTAAAATATTTATTAACTGACCATTTACTGAAAAAGAAATTGTTGACATAGAAGATGAGAGGGACGGTAGATGAGAAAAGGAGAATAAAGATAAAATTTTACCTTTTTTTAAGCATTAGAAATAATTAGGGCAAAATGTTAACTTTAGGCAATTCTAAGTAATATACATATGGATGTTTATTATATAATTTATTGTATTTTCTGTATTTTCAAAATTCCAAAATTTATTTTTTTACTTTATTTTATTTTTTGAGACAGAGTCTTGCTCTGTCACCTAGGCTGGAGGGCAGTGGTGAGATCTCGGCTCACTGTAACCTCCACTTCCCGGGTTCAAGCGATTCTCCTGCCTCAGCCTCCCAAGTAGCTGGGATTACAGACACCTACCACCATGCCCAGCTAATTTTTGTATTTTTAGCAGAGACAGGGTTTCGTCATGTTGGCCAGGCTGGTCTCAAACTCCTGACCTCAGGTGATCTGTCCGCCTTGGCCTCTCAAAGTGCTGGGATTATAGGCGTAAGCCACTGTGGTTGGCCAAAATTCCGAAATTTAAATATAGATTACATACATAATATATAACGTGTGTATATACAGAGAAAGAGAGAATAAATGGCATTAGGCTTCAATTGGAGTGTTTCTACCACTTGTAAGTGGGGAAATCACATCTGCAAACTGAAGGTGGTCTCCCGCCTCCCAACACTGTAGTGAGGACTAAATGTGAGCAGGAATTCACGAGGGGATCTTTAAATGTAGGCCTGTAAGCTGTGGTTGTCTGAATCCCTAACTCCCCATGATGGAGTCCTTCACGACAAAACAACTTGATAGCTACCTACGGGTTAAGGTGAGGGAATAAAGCGTGCAAAAGTTAGAAGATGGACTGTGAAAACGTTTTCTAAAGGCTCTGTAGGGAGACCTGCTGTAATGTGCCCAGGACCAGCCCAGAGTATGACTTTGGTCACATTCGTTTAGCCCCTCCGTACCCCAGCTGCCTCGTCTAACACACTGCGCTCCCCTTTCCCTAAACATGATGGGTCAGGGAGACAGAAGTGCGCTTCGTAAAGCATAGAGCTTCTCACAAACATCCTGGTGATGCTTTCCACAAGCCTCTCCATGTTCCCATGGAGTAACCGCTGTATTAGAGGTGGCATAGTGTTCCCCTGACACCTGTGCCAGTACCAGGCGCATAGCCACAGCGCTCCATGCATGCGCCACACAGACAGTCCATGCCTGCATGGACCAGACTGTGCATGGACCAGAGTGTGGCCCTGGGCGCTTGTGTGCACACGCGCACCTCTATGCACGCAGGCTCCCGCCCCTCCTTAGACATAGCTGATGCTGCTGTAACCAGAGCCAATATCCCAAGCCAGCTGTCCCTAATAAATATACTCCCCCCACTCCCAGGAGTCCATGAATACTCTCATTCTGTTCTTCCCAGAAGAAAAAGAGACTGCCCCTCCCTCAGTCGCCTCTCATGAGGCCATACACAGGTCTCTCCTACCAGCTGAATAGTTTAAAAGATTGTTTTCTGATCCCGTTTATCCCCCCTACATGCCACCCCATTCTGGTCCCTCTGGGTGCCCCAGCTCAAGCCTCACCCCCTCAGCAGGGGAGCTGTAATCCCTCAGGTTGTCGTCAAAGATGAATGAGGGACCAGGCACAGTGGCTCATGCCTGTAATCCCCGCACTTTGGGAGGCCAAGGCAGAAGGATTACTTGAGCCCAGGAGTTCAGGACCAGCCTGGGCAACACAGGGAGACCCCATCTCTACAAAAAGCATTAAAAAATTAGCCAGGTGTGGTGGCAAGTGCCTGTAATCCCAGCTACTTGGGAGGCTGAAGTGGGAGGATCACCAGGAGTTCTAGGCTGCAGTGAACTATGATCACCACTGCACTTTAGCTTAGGTGACAGAGCAAGACCCTGTCTCTAAAAAAGAAAAATGAATGAGGCTTCGTGGGCCTCCAGTCCTAGGAGTCAGAGCTTGACACAAATGCCCTTCGAGAGTGGGATTCTTCTGGCCGCAGTCGGCAGGAGAGGGAGGGGGTTTTCTTTCTTTCTGCTGGAGATTTTCTGCAGAGGGTTCCAACCCTCACTCAAAGCCACTAGGGACAGAGCCTTGCCTCCCTCCTCCCAGCCTCCCCATCCCTGGTCCCCATAAGCTCACAATAGCCAGGAGAGCCACATAAGGGCCCCACAGTCACCCAGGGTTGCACAGGTAGACAAGATGCTTCTCTCTCATGGGTCCCCACTTTGGCCAGCTTATCCTGCTACCCCCACACCCCAATCTGGCTTTCCAAAAAGGAAGGCACCGTTCTTCAAGCCCCTCTCCCTTCTCTGACACAGGTCTCTGAATGCTAACAAGAAACTCCCAGCCGCCTCTCTTTAGGGATCTGTGAGCCTAGGACTCCCTCTTCTGGTGAAGTGTGAGGAGGTGACAGCTGCCCAGAGGGGAGGGCTGACCTCTGAAGCTGGGGTGTGTGAGGCATGAAGTATCCCCGGATCCCGGCTTCCTTCAGCCTTCCCAGCTCATGAATCATTGGCCTTCTTCTTTTCTTCCTCAGCAAATAAGCAGGAAGCAGCCCTGCCTCCTCTCAGACTCAATGATTTCACCCTGTTAGTGGTGTTCGTTCATTCTCACACTGCTGTAAGGAACTAACTGCAGCTGGGTAATTTATTTAAAAAGAGGTTTGATTGACTCACAATTCCACATGGCTGGAGAGGCCTCAGGAAACTTACAATCATGGCAAAAGGCAGAAGAGAAGCAAGTATCTTATTCACAAGGCAGCAGGAAAGAGAGAGAGCCCGAGGAGATGCCAAACACTTATAAAACAATCAGACCTTGTGAGACTCAATCACTATCGTGAGAACAGCATGGGGGAAACCGCCCCCATGAGCCAGTCACTTTCCACCGGGTCCCTCCCTCAACATGTGGGGATTACAATTCCAGATGAGATTTGGGTGGGGACACAGAGCCAAACCATATCAGGCTAGAAGGCCTCAAAAATCTAGGAAACCCTCTACCTAAGTGAGAGCCAGTAGGGGGATCCCAAGAGCACCATGTTGAATGGTTTATGTGTTAGTCAACTAAGAACCTCCTTGTTCTCCCACCCTACCTCTGCTTTTCCGGGGTCCCCCCTCCGACCCCCCTGCAGACATCCCAGCTGCAACAGCCCAAGCCCAAGGAGGGAAGGAACCTTACCTTTGAATGAAGTTCCAAGTTTTGCTTATTACACTAACATTGAACTGCATACAGAACTAAATGGAGACTGTCCTTGTCACTGATCATACCTGGAGGATCTGTATTATCTAAAAGTGACCAGAAAAGTTATGGGACTTCTCAGAGTTTTCATCCAGGTTTAGGAAAAGAAATAACTTGCAGCATAGGTTTAAAGGAGCATCTTGGGGAAAAAACAAAACTGTTTTTTTCTTGCACTACATAAGGTTCTGAGCAGCCAACACAGTTATATCCATATCACTCTATAGGTTTCCAAGCAGCCCTGTGAAGAAGGTCAAATTGTTACTCCCAGTTCACAGATGAGGAAATCAAGGAGCTGTTCCAAGCTGGAAAGGCAGGCGGCAGGATTCCCACAGCCCACAGCCCTGCACTCCCCCAACATGGACTAGATCCAATGCCCCCAGCTTGCTCCTCAAGCAATGATAGCACCTCCATGAGGGAATCAACTTTATTCCCAGGACCTCACTTGGTGTTTGACACCTAGCCGGTGTTCAGCCTTGAGCAAGTGGAAAGCACCCAACCATGGAATACAGCATAGCTACATTTTATAGGCATTTACCAAATATTGGCCAAACAGAAACTAACTGGTCACTCCCGTCTCCTCTTGCCCCACCTCTTGCATTATGTTATGTTATGTTATGTTACGTTATGTTATGTTAGTGTAACCCATTACCCCCAAAACTGTGTAATAATTCCACTGTGGGAGAGACCAAGTGTCCGCCAATATCCACTCTCCCCATCTTCCTTCCTCTAGCTAAATCTCTAGAAGTTTAACTACTCACAAACTGGCCTAACTGAAGACTACATTTCCCGGACTCCCGTGCAGCTAGCCATGGTCATGTGACCAAAGGCCAACCAATGGGATGTGAATGGAAATGACCCATGCTACTTCCTGGTTGTGAACTTAAGATGAAGCCACCTTCCCACCATTGCCTCTTTTTCAGTTATCCCCTGGGTATGGGCATGGGTGTAGGGGTGGTGAACCAGCTTCAATCACTACCTCAAGGCAGTGGTTCTCAAGCTCACCTGGACATAGACATCACCTGGGAGAGGCGCTAAAAAAAATCCCAGTGTCACAGCTCTGTGCGTGTGCCCTGGACAGCGGGATCTTTCAAGTTTCCCCAGTGGATTCTAATGTCCAGACAAGATGGAGGAGCATCATACTTGTGACCAGGGGATGGGTGGAGCAACAAGATAAAAAAATTTATTGGTTGTTGGATTTTTTTTTCTCTTCCCTGGCCTCCATTCACTTCCAGCCCATGACCTGGACTGCCCTACTGCCTTTAGGCAACTCTGTGTTACAGACAGAAACTCTGTCATGTTTGAACCCACTTCCTCCCTTCTGAGGTCTATTTATTACTGAACTATAGCCTGGACTTTATTTAATCCAACCAGTGGATTCTGGAGCCTTCTGTCATTGACGCTCTATCCATGTGGATCTTAGTTTCCATGTGGGCTTAGTTTCTCTTTAGGACCCTGGGGGCTTAGGAGAGGAACCCTTAAACACTGATATACAAACCTAGGGTTGAGATTCTCCTTATTTCTTGACATTGGCTGGTAGTAAACTAAGGGTGTGGATTGCTTCGCCTTTCATCTCATTTTAGATCAGCATTGCAAATAAAGGCATCAGGTTAACAGCTCACTCACTCTTCCAAGAAAGGACCAGACTCTCTCACTTACATTCTGGGGGAAAATTTTTCTTAGCCCTTTGTGAGTGACTCTTGTGAGCCCAGTGGAATAGATTCAGTAAAATCTACAATGAGCAATGGTCTTTAAGTATTGAAGCTCTGTGTTTTCCCTACGGGGATTAGCAAATCTAGGTTTCAGCCATGCACCCACCCAACATTCATTTGTAGAAGTGTGCAGAGATGAGTCAGCAACCCCAGTATTTATGGGCTAAATAAGTTGTCAGAGGTTAAAAGCAAGTCAGGGGCTCTTATCTACTAATTGAATTCTGAGGAAGTTGAGGGCTAAAGGGGAGGGGTATAATGAGTGGTTTGGCAAACCACTTGATTTTTTTCTCCTGTGAGGACTTCCTATGCAACTTTTAAGAGCTGTTTTATTCACCGCGTAGCCCTTAATCGCAACCCGCTGTCCAATCTAATTATGATCCCAGCAGTGCCGTTTGGGGCAATACTTCAGAGCATGCGCAGAAACCAGGGACAAGTACATACGCTGTAATCTCTAGTGCGGGGTTTCTCAACAGTGGCACCACTGGTGGTTTGAACTGATAATCTTCTGTTGTGGGAGCTTCTGTGCATTGTAGGATACTTAGCAGCGTCCCTGGCCTTTACCTGCTAGACACCAGTAGCAACCCCCACCCACTGCCGCAGTCTTGATAACCAAAAATGTCTCCAAACACTGACCGGTGTTCCCTAGAGGGCAACATTGACCTGGTGGAGAAACACTGTCCCGGATGAATTCCATGAGACAAGGAGTCCTACTCACAGCAACATCCCCAGCGCCTGTCATAGCGTCTGGCACATAGTAGGGACTCAATAAACACATGTTGAGTGAGTAACTAGGAGGGGAGGTGGGAGGAGCACACCAAAGCCCAAACCTCTAGAATTTCCCACTGGCCTAGTGCAGCGGAAGTGAAAAGGAGCACTCAGATCTCCAACTGCAGGGAGCACGCGGGCTGATGGCCAAGCTGCTGCAGCTCAGGATCCACCAGCATATCCATGCCAAGGTCAGGCTTTCCACGGGATCTCCCAGCACATGACCATGCACCGTGGGGGTACGAATGCAGGGCCGTTCCCAGAGATGCAGGCCCTCTCCAGCAATGACTTTGGCTCAAGGACACCCCAGCAGCCTGGTCAAAACTTTCTTGGACTGCACAAAGGACACCCCAGCAGCCTGGCCAAAACTTTCTTGGACTGCATAAAGGACACCCCAGCAGCCTGTTCAAAACTTTCTTGGACTGCACTGCCATCTAAGACTCTCCCTGCCCAGAGGTCAGACTTGCAGCACGGTCTGGACTGCCCCCCGCCCCGAACCCCCTCAACACTCAACTTCAACTTTCTCCAGCTCTGGCCCTTCCTTTATCTACCACAGGTGTTTTCCCCAACAAATCTCTTGTCCATCGAATCTCACCTTGGTGTCTGCTTCTTGGAGGACCTGAGGCAACACACCTGGCATTTTAGGAGTGTGCCTGCTCCCAGCCCTCTGTCCATTCCTGTGAGATGCCATGCCCCGGGGCATCCCCTGGGGAGCTCTGCTGATGAGAAAAGCATTGTGCACAAACCCATTTAGACAAGGAGAGAGCTCTTGGAAGCGACTCAATGTCCCTTTGTCCAGAAGATTGAAGAAGACGTGAGTTTAACTCATAAATAATAGCTCACAAATTACTAACAAAACCAGACACACACTAACATTCCAAGAAACTTAAAGTTAACCTTTTATTGGTTTTAAGGCAGCAGGGAAAGTCTTCTGGTCCACATGCGTTTCTTCTGCCCAGGGGAGGGAGGGTCAGGAAGAGGAGAAGGAGTTGGCCCCTGGTAACCAGCCAGAGCATTCTTTGCCACAATCTACCCCATCTTGTCTCCCCAATCTTCAAATGTCACCCAAATGCACTTTGGTTCTCGAGCAAGTGTGTCCTGTGGCCCATACCATGGCATCTGTCAGAGCATCTTCCTGGTCCAGAGCCCCCAGCTCAGCCTGCCTCTTTCCTTACAGGCTCTCCCAGGGGCAGATGACCTCCTTTTCTGTGGCCCGGTCACCCGACTCTCCTGTTCCAGCATCCTCCGAGTCCATCAAGCAGGTCCCGCTCCCCGTGGGCACATCCATTTTGATCTGGAAAAAGCTTCAGGTGCAAGAGGAAAGCCAGTAATGTAGGGGCAGGGGCAGGAGGGACTGCACCTCCCCAAATCATCCTGACATCCTTGAAGATGAACATACCAGGTGCATTTGCCAAAGACTGTGGTGGGGGCAGGTATAGCTCAGGGGTAGAGCATTTGACTACAAAGGTTGTGTGTGCAGTGATTGGCTTGGTGGAATCTTTTTATTGGGGATTCATATTTTCATTTTGAATGAAAAATAATTCTGAAGGTGCTTTGTTTTCATTTTTGAGGTGCTCGGATCCCTGTGGTTTTGATGGATTCAGGAGGTCCCTGTAGGACATACCAGGACTTAGTCATCAACCCCTTTAAACTGACTTCATGGGTGCTGGGCACTGTGGCTCATGCCTGTAATCTTAGCACTTTGAGAGGCTGAGACAGGCGGATCGCCTGAGGTCAGGAGTTCGAGACCAGCCTGGCCAAAATGGCGAAACCCCGTCTCTACTAAAAATACAAAAAAATTAGCCGGGCGTGGTGGCATGTGCCTGTGATTTCAGCTACCTGGGAGGCTGAGGCAGGAGAATTGCTGGAACCTGGGAGACGGACACTGCAGTGAGCCAAGATTACACCACTGCACTCCAGCTTGGACTACAGAGCAAAACTCCATCTCAAAAAAAAAAAAACACCCAGACAAACAAAAAACTGCCTTCTGAGGAAGTAGTGGCCCTTGAGAAGAGAGCCTTTTAAAGTCCCAAGCCCATGTATGAGGCATAGCAGCGGCCCCAAAGCTGGAATATTCCCTCTGCAGGGCCTGTTGGGAAAAATCAATAGACACACTCACACAGGATTCTGACCCTTCTCCTAAGGCAACTAGAGTCACCTGCTCCTCCCTCTCCCCCTAAGCGACACAGGCAGGAGGGATAACAACCTCTGCCTGGCTGTCCCCGGGTATCCCTGGCAACCTAAGACTTCTGCATGGTGCTTTCTTCTCCAAGCCCAGACGAGGCCAAACACATGTTGATTGGTGCAGGGGTGCCCCTGACTGTCTCCCCCAAAACTCAGTAAGTGTAGGAGCTGATTCTCTGTGTTGCATCGCTCACAAGTTTTCTTTCTGCTCTGATCCAGGCGTTATGGAGCACTCCTCAGAGCCTTAGTTCTGCCCCCTCTGGCCTGTCTCAGGGAACTGGGGGTTCTCAGAGATCAGGCTTGCAGGACCACCCAAAATGAAGTTTAGAGGGGCCCCCCCTCAGGCAAAGGCTACGCACTTTCATTTTCACAGAAATGACTGCCAGAACAAGGCTCCCTGAAAGTCCCTCTAAGAGACTGTGCCAATGGATGCAGAGGAGGGTGGGAAGGTTTCCTTAGGGTGGGGGAAGGGAGGCAAGGGCACTTATGGTGAGGGAGGGGCTGGAGCACCCAGAAGCATGCCCAGGGCATCCCAACACCTGCAGCTCCCACTGCTGCCACCAATCTTTCCTGCTCTTTACAGATGCAATGGGTTTCTTAGACTAATAACGGTCTTGGGATGGGACAATGTGAGTGGAAGAACATATAAGGGGAAAAGAGATTTGGAAAAATGGAAAAGATTTGGAAGATGAAAAAGAAGGACACCTGTTCCTTCTCCCTCGGGAGGACAGCAGAGGACAAAACTGAGTTTCTGAATATCTTCCAGTGGCCAAGGGATCTGAGTGGGCTGCCTGGGGTATCTGTTCTCACCCATCCCAGTCCCCAGCCCAAAGCATGCATATTCACATGCAGAGGCCTGCACACCCACAGCCACCCATGCATACGGCACGTCCCCTTCGGGTTCTTACTTTGCTACTCTCTTGGATTTCAATCGTGGCAGCTGCTGGCCCACGTCCCCCAGGGGCTGCACCCTCCCGTGGGACACAGCAGGGCACTTGGGTGAGAGCCTGGCAAAGACAGGTGAGGCCAGACAGCCTCGTCTCAGAAACCTGCTGAAGGACAGAGCCATGCGGGCCTTAGGAGGGGCCCTGGGCCGGCTGCGAGGCCAGGAGGTGTCGAGGGAGGCCTCGCTGCTCTCGGTGACAGAGGGCCCACGGGGGGCCATGGACCCGCTGCACTCCCCTTTCTGCTCCAAGCCCGATGAGCTCTCCAAGGCCACTCTGATGGGTGAGGGGCAGATGGTGGTGCTGGGTCGCCGGATGAAGCGGCTGGGTGAGGCGAAAGGCTTCCTGGGGGAGCGGCAGGAGGAGGAGAAGGGGCTAGAAGGAGACGGGGGCATGCAGGTCCCGGTGTACACGGTCAGATGGGGGCTGGGAGCCATGTGCTGGCCCGGCTGTAGAGAAGGAAAGGAGAGAGCTCAGTGGTGAGTTGCATGGCCCCAGCCAGCAGGGCCCCTGGGCTGTCCTCTGCTAACTTAGTCCCCTTCCAGCGACAAGAGTGCGGGCCTGATATGGCTGCCTCCTAGGGAGCTGGGAACGGTGTCCAAAGCTACCTATGACAATGGCACAGCCACACAGAGGCCTCCTGTCCAGGGACCTGCCTGTCGCCCAGCCCTGGTCACAGTCCCAGGGCTAAGCAGTTGTATCCCGGGACATGAACTGACCTTCTTCCAGGCCAAGGATGCTGGAGTATGGCCAGGCTGCATTCCCGATCACCCCTCAACTCCAGTCCCCAAATGAGCAATGCATAGTACCTGCCACAGCCCATGCCCTGCCTTCTCCATCCTTGGGCCCCAACCTCAGGTCTGGAGGCATTTAAAACACTTTTAGCTGATAAGTGGAGGTGACAGAAGAAGTCCCAGCTCATGCCTTCCTGACTGCTCCGGGCCTGAGGCCCCTCCTTGCTCTGAGCCCTGCCCAGTATCCACAGTGACCACCCTTTTGGGGTGGTCTAGGCCCAGCACCTTCCCAGATCTCCCCTCAGGCAGAGCCGGGGTGGTCAGGAAGAAAGGTTGAATGTGGAACCAGGCCAGGCTGGGGAGAAGGAAACAGGAATACATGGCGAGGAGGTGTTCAGTGGAGAAAGGGGAAGTATCTCAACCTTCCTGGGCCACCATGGCCCCAGCCCCCAGAGCATAGGCCAGGAGGGGTAAATCTGGCATTTACAGCCCAAAGTTGCCTGAAAGCAGACAAAAGGAAATTAAAATCGGAATTTTCAGTGAGCCTGTCTGCTATCACCACTTTTCCCATGGCGGAACACACTGGCCCATGGGCCTGGGTTTGCTGGATTCCCTCCTAAAGGCCTGCTGTGGCCCAAGCCACATCAAAGCCTGGCATGAAGCCCAGCATGGTGGCTCACCCCTGTAATCCCAGCACTTTGGGAAGCTGAGGCGGGTGGATAACCTGAGGTCAGGAGTTCGAGACCAGCCTGGCCAACATGAAGAAACCCCATCTCTACTAAAAATACAAAAAAAAAAAATAGCTGGATGTGGTGGTGGGTGCCTGTAATCCCAGCTACTCAGGAGGCTGAGGCAGGAGGATCACTTGAACCCGGGAGGCATAGATTGCAGTGAGCCGAGATCGCGTCACTGCACTCCAGCCTGGGTGACAGAGCAAAACTCCATCTTAAAAAAAAAAAAAAAAGCCTGGCATGAACAAGCTGGGGATGCTCTGGTCCTCGAGAAGGAGGTGAGGGGCTCCAGGACAGTCAGAGCACAAAAGGCCTAACACACAGCACAGCCACATAGTTGCCCTGCTCAGTGAGAGCTGGCTGACCCCGGGATCTGGGCACTGCCCCCGGGCTGAAGGAGGTAGCCCTGGTCCCTGAGCAGGTGGCTCCTGCAGAGGGTGGCCTGGCTTTCAGATCACCTGCATGGGCAGGTCCCAGCCTGAACAGGGAAGGGCAGGCGCACCCAAGAACAGCTCTGGTGGGGGAAGAAAGGCCAGGGGCCACTGAGGGCAGGGCCAGGAGGGCATGGAGGGCTTGTCTCATTCCTTCCCACCAGCTCCCTGAAGTTCAAACGAGATTCTGTTCCCAAACAGCAGCTCAGAGCCCATCATTCCCCCTCACTGCCCAGAATCCCACAGGGTGGCAGAGCAAAAGCCAGGCCCACGCCCAGGGCCATGGGGTTATTATAGTAATAACAATCACATCATTAATTCACAGTGAGAACACAGCAAATGTGAGGCCCTGGACTGAGCACTTTACTCAATAATCATGAATTATTGCATTTGCAATAACTATTATAATTGCAATTATTACTGTAATTGCAAATCCACTATTGTGGATTATTGCATGCTCCACAGAGCCACCCAGTGAGGCAACTGTTATTATCCCCATTTTACAGATGAGGACACTAAGAGAAGTCCAGCCATTCCTCCAGGGACACCCTGCCAGGAACAGTGGGCTCAGACTTTGAAACCCAACTGGCTGACTCGGAGTCGGCGCAGTCATCGCTCGCGGGATGCCTCGGTGTGGTCTACAGATCGGCCACATCAGAATCACTCAGGGTGCTTAGTACAAAGGCAGAACCTGGCCCCACCACAGCCCCACTGAAGGAGAATATCAGGGGGGTGCGACTGAAGGAAAGCATTTCTAGCTGACATCTGAGATTATTCTGCCCTGTAAGCTTAAGGGACTCTGCACTAAGCTTCTAACCCCTTCCCTTCTATAGGGAGGTGCAACTCTACTTAGGACACATTCTGCAAAGAATGTACAGCAGGGAAAGCTGGGCCTTGATTAGGGGCTTGGGAGACAACTGTTAGGTGGAAAAGGGTGGCTCGTAGATGTATCAAGTATCTACTACATGCTAGGTACTTTGCTTATCTATAACCACCCCATTTTAGAGAACAGAACATTGAGGCCCACAGGGGCTCATTACCCTTTACCAGCTCTCATGACTAGTCAGTGACTGTGGCATGTAGAATCACAGTGACTGTGGCATGTAGGATTCCCACCCCTGTCCTTGAGTGTACACGTGAACCATAAATGTGATGGGGTAGTCACTCCCAGTCAGGCTATGTGATGAGGCATAGCTGACTTTTAAAAAGGGGGAGTGTCTGGGTGAGCTCCAGCTGGTCACAGGAGCCCTTTCCATCTGAGTCTAGAGGCCAGAGGCAGAAGGCAGAGAGATCGGAAGCTTGGCAAGGATTCAACTGGGGAGAAGGTCTCCATGGCTGGCTTTGAAGATGGAGGGGGCACATCTCAAGGAATGCAGGTGGCCCCCAGCTGCTGAGAGCAGCTCCCAGCTGATGGCCAGCAAGAAGACAGTGACCTGAGTCTTAAACGAGGAACTGAATCCTGCCAGCAACCCAAATGAGCTTGGAAGCAGATTCTTCTTAGAAGCATCCAGATGAGAACCCCGTCAGCCTGGCTGACACCTTGAATGTGAGACCCTGAGCTGAGAACCCAGCTGCGCTGTCTAAGATTTGTGTCCTCCACAAAATGTATATGTTGAAGGCCTTCCCCTTGCAGGTGATAGTATTAGGAAGCGGGGTCTTTGGGAGGTGATTAGTCATGAGGGCAGAGCCCTTGTGAAAAGGATCAGTATCCTTATGAAATAGACCCCAGGGCACTAGGTTGGCCCTTCCACCGTGGGAAGACACAGTGAAGAGACTCCATCTATGAACCACAAAGTGGGACTCCACCAGACCCCGAATCTGTTGGGGCCTCCATCGTGGACATCCCAGCCTTCAGAACCGCGGGAAGTGTTTGTTGTTGATAAGTTCCCTAGTTTATGGAATTCCCTTACAGCCCCTTGAACAAGACATCAGCCAAATGTCTCCTGGAAAACTGAGCTCATACCTGGCTGGTGCTTGTGGTCATTGTTATGCAGCAATAGAAAACTGAAGCAGTGACTAAATGAGAACCTGAGGCCAGGTCTGTGTGACCCAAAGGGCCTTGCTTTCCTTGCTGATTCACATTGCCATCCAAAAATACCAAAACTAGGAACTCGGCTTTGTCAAGAGAGATACAGAATTAACTTCCATTCCACTTCCTCAGAATTTGTGATAAACTTCTATCATCCCACTATACAGATAAGACAACTGAGGTTCATGGATATGATGCAACTTGACAAAACTCAAAGTTTGTGACCAGATCAGCCTCTCTATATGCCCTCCCCCAACTCTGTGCCCTCCTCCCACCCTCCTACCTCTCTCGGTCCATCTCTGGCTCCACTCCTCCCCTAGCATCTTCTCTTTTCTGGGATGAATGACAGACAGGCGAGGAAGATGGCCACTTACCTGGCCTGAGATGGTCCTTTCTTCTGGGCAAATGACCATTAGCTTTACTGGTCCTGGACAATCTAAGCAGATGTCTTTTCCACCCGTTCCCACAATTCCCCACCTTGGTCCCTCCCATGGAGCCTGGGGCTCTGCTTGGAGACCCAGCCCCTCCAGCCCATGCCCCACCTACCATTGGTGTGAGGCAGCAAAGCAGTGGCATGCATGACACATGGCAAAGAAATGTGACACCACAGAGACACAGTGAAGGAGAGCTTAGCATTGTTTTGTTTCATGCTGCTGTTTTATTGTACAAGGGAACCAAGAGAAGGGAGTAAAGGAGCATGAAATGAAACAGGTATGTTAACATGAGAACACAATCACAGGCATTTTAATGAATGGCAAAGCAGGTAGTGCATAGAGATGAAATTCATTTTCTGTCCTCGGAATGTGGTTGAGAATTTGAAAGAGACCTTGGGGCCACCTGAACTCCCACTTCCTGGGAGCAGAAAGGTGAGCAGAGGGCCACATTTAGGTGCAGCATGCAGTGTGCAAAGTCCCCTCTTCCAGTGCCTTCCCACTCTCCCCTTCCCCACCGCCCCCAAGCAAATGTGCAAAGTTAGCCCCATGGGGAAAACTCTGCCATGGGTGAACACATGGCATGACCCCATACTGGTCATCCCATTTGACACAGTCTAGCACAAGACCTTCTCAGTTAGCAACGACCCTTACTTCAGCCATGAAACTCCAGACTACAGGATTGACCAGTCACTACACTGTTGCTGGTCAGTCCTCTCCTAGAAGCTGCAGACAGAGGACATGACATCAACTTCTCCCCCTCCTCCCCTCAAATATATCCTAACGTTCTCTGGAGAGCTGGAGGACCGCACTGCAAAATTCTCAAAGAACAGAGAAGATAGATGGTTTGAGATGACAATGTTTTAAATATCTCTCAGGAAATGCCTTAAATAAAGAATAATGATTTACTATATTGGACAACACCAACAGCTAGAAGAAAGCACAAGCTTACTCTAAGACTGAAGCTACTAGGTGATGATGGTGATGATGGTGTATTAATGGTGATGGTGATGGTGAGGATGGTGGTGATGATAATAATAATGATATGGTGATGATGGTGATGATGGTAGTGGTGGTGATGTTGATGGTGATGATGATAGTGATGATGATGATGATTGTGTATTAATGGTGATGGTGATGGTGAGGATGGCGGTGATGATAATAATAATGATATGGTGGTGATGGTGATGATGATAGTGATGATGATGATGGTGATGATGGTATGATGGTGATAGTGATGGTGATGGTGGTGATGGTGATAATGGTGATAGTGATGGCGATGAAGGTGGTGACAATGATGATGGTGGTGATGATGATGATAGCAGCTAGTGTTCGTTGAGGGCTTATAATAGGCCAAGAATTGTCTTAGGTCTTTACTCATATTTTGTCCCTGGCCCTTATATTTTTACTTAATATTCACAATGAAAGCAGCCTTTTCTCTAAAAGTCAAGTTGGAAAATGGAACTCTATAAAGGAAATCCTTGTACTTACAGAATAACTTATATCCTAGCACAAGCTATGCACCCCATGGATAGAGGGGTTTGTTAAGTTGTTTAAAATATAACATTAAGGAATTCAAAGGTGTCTAAGGACACGGCATAATAGAGATTTTCATAGTGATTTAAATATATCGTTAATATTGTCCAAATAAATGTTTATTTTTTATGCTATTTGGGATTTCAACGGGCCCTGTGGGACACATAGTTTAAACATTAGCAGGAGAAGCTGCCACCTGCTGGAACAATAGCAGCAGCCACAGATGCTTGCAAGCCCTCAGAACCTGCAGTCCCTTCACTACCAAACATGAGAATTTCCTGGTGGACTCCAGGGTTGGAAAGCAGAGCACTGGCATACACTGATGTTGGGGAGAGGGAGGTGCAAGGTGGAAAAGAGCTGATACCTGGAGTTGAGATCATGGTGAAGCCACACAAATGCACACAGCCCTGAGTCCCTAGGAGCTGCATAGAGCTTTCCAGGATGGATGGTCCCGGTTGGCCACTGGTCCTGATCACCAACGAACTGCCCTGCCTGGCCCTGCCCACCCCTCTGCTTTAGCCTCTGCTGATCTCCCCAAGTCTCCACTGCCTTCACCAGGCTAGCAGTCCTTGCCAACCCTTCCCAAAACATTATGTGGCTTCCCTATAATATCACACCATTTGGTTTAATTGTCTCTCCTGTTGAACAGCAAATGCCGCAAGGGTGTCTCTCTTGCTCACTGGTGATCCCAAGCACTTAGCAGGATGCTGGGCATGTAACAGGTGCTGAATATCTCTGTTGAATGTTGAGTGGTCATAACAGATAGAGGAAAACTGTTATCAGAGCCTGACCCCTCTATTCACAGAAGCTGGAACTCTGGATCCCAGCCTTGGCAGATTACAAGAAGCAAGAGAGTGAGCAAGAAAGAGAGAGTGAGAGAAGAGGACAGAAAGAAAGGGGGAGGAAAGAGAGAGAGAGCTATTTCTGAGCATCCACCCTAAGCCAGACACTCTCTACTATCAATAACATTCTAAGAGAAATGATAACTTCAGACAGGTTGAAGGTCAAAGCCACCCAGCTAAAATATCAAAACTATGTCTGCCTAACCCCAAAGTCCACATTCCTTCCCCTACCATTCAAGCCTGGCTTCAGAAAAAAAGCTGTTCTCATACCATCTAGCTTCAAGGATTAAAATTCCTGGAACCACAAGACAGAGATGTGTTCATTTAGCGATGTTTAAGGATCAACCCTTTACAAGTGCTGTTCTGACTGGAAGCTGATAGCAAGCGGGTTTCTTAAAGTTCTGCATCGAAAGTAGTCAATGACTGCTGGAAGACAACACCTCCCTCTTTCCCGTGGCCATCCCACAGCATTTCCCATTGACAAAGTTGCTGGGAATTCCAAAGTTTTCCTGAATGGCTGCTTGGCTGACCAAGGAGTATCATGGAATGTACATCTCTCTCTATGCCACCTTTGAACATACAGAAACTTCCATATAAGGAGAGGAGACACTTCTTCCCTCTCCTAGCTTGACAACCTTCTACTCAACTGTTTGGTTCAGCATCCATCATCACTGCCTCACAGTGATTGTCAAGCACTTGTTTGGTTCAACACTTCAGGGACTTCTCCTGCAGTCACATGGCCTTGCTTCTGTAGCCACACTGCCCTCCTCCTGCAATGCTCTCAGCAAATGCCTCAAATATTCCCTAATCATTAAAATTGATCTTACCTTAACTTAGCCTTCAGCTTCCTTCCCTTCCACTTCCAAATCTCTCTGAGTTGCAACATCAGAGAGTAAACTATTCCTCTCCAAAACCAATCTTGGCTTTGGTCTGATCCCCTCCAATTTTTTCCAGGCTTTCTCTTATCAATTATTCTTTATTTTATCTCCCCACCTCCCCAGGATCATCCCCTCATTTGGCAAACACCCCCACCTCACGCTGTCCTTTGGAAATGCCTCCTCTCAACCCTCCATTATCTAAGTTACCACTATATCTCTCGCCTTCCTCCCAAACTACTTGAAATGGTAATCTACACACACAGCTCACTCTCCTTACTTCCAACATCTTCTCCTTTATTCCCACAAAAGTGACTTCTTCCTTCACTATTCTGCTGAAATCACCCACTCAAAATCCCCAGTGATTTCCTTACTGCTAAATCCAGTGGCCTCTGCCAGTCCTTGACATGCTCAACTTCTTGATTCGGCACGGCAGGATGGGCTATGCTACAGCAACTCCAAACTCTCTGTGACTTCTTATAATAAAGGTCTGGTTTTTTGTTCACATAAAGTCCTGTGTGGGCCAGGAGGGACTCCCAGGTCCACAGCAGGGGATGAGATGGAGGTGGAGCCCCATGCTCTGATCCACCTCAGCAGAGCCCATGTCTATTGGCCACAACTAGACATGTGGCCCCAGCTAATTGCAGGGTGGCTGGGAAGTGGAAGGGTGCCCAGGGACTATCCAGTAGGCACTGTCTCTGCTCAACGCTGCTGGCCACCCACCCGTATCCCCCACCCATCTTCTCAGGGAGGCGTCCTAACAGCTCTGCCACTCCGTTCTTAACTCTTCTCTCTCCTCTTACACCTTTAAAATGTGGCCTCGTCCAAGCTTCCCTCTTAGCCTTCTTTTCTCTCTCCATCCACTCTCTGGCCCTCAAGTTCCATCCACTGTCACATCTTCAACAGTCAATTCTGGATCAATGAACCCATCTAAAATTACTCCCCTTCCTTAATTCAGAGTTACTCGAACCTACTTTCCTTTCCTTCAGAGCACTTATTTATTATCTACTGCCTGTCCCCGCACCCCCAGCTAAAATGCAAACTCGATGAAATAAGACTTGATGATCTTATTCAGTTCTGCATCCGTTATGCCTAGAACAGGAATGGATTAGAAATCTCCCTCACCAGAAGCACATTTTCAACCTCGTGTTGGGACTTAGGAGTAGGGGGAGGATCCAGGTAAAAAAGGACTTGAATGCTTGACTTCATGACACTGTAAAATCGTTGCCCAGGCTGAAGTGCAGTGGCGCGATCTCAGCTCGCTGCAACTTCTGCCTCCCGGGTTCAAGCGATTCTCCTGTCTCAGCCGCCTGAGTAGCTGGGACTACAGGCGCCTGCCACCACGCCCGGCTAATTTTTGTATTTTTAGTAGAGACAGGGTTTCACTGGGTTAGCCAGGATGCTTCGATTTCCTGACCTCATGACCAGCCCGCCTCCGCCTCCCAAAGTGCTGGGATTACAGGCGTGAGCCACTGCACCCAACCAGACACAGTAAAATTCTAAAACCAATCTGTCTCTCTGTTTGCTTGGTAGTTGTCAGGAATTTCAGAGCAAAATTTAATGCTTAAAAAAAATGTAACATTCAGTTTTGATAACCCAGTCATCCACGGTTCACTGTGTACAAACTACTGTCTAAAATTAGTTTTCAATCTATCATTTTAGACATTCCATCATATAGTATTATAGTATTATGAGCTGCCTCAAATCCCTTCTGGAAGAAGGGGGAACTATAATTATTAACCACAGCTCTCTGCCTTCCACTTGGAAAATTATACTCAATCTTTGAGGTCCAGTTTCCCCGATGCCTCCAGATAGGATCCATCACTTCCTCCTTGACATTCTCCTTCTGTTCTGCTTGCTCCGCTATGAGTCCTGATACCCTCTGTGTCAGTGAGTTGTACAGTGTGTCTGTCTCTTTCCTAGTCTGGAACTCCTTGAGGGGCTTTGCAGGCTCCCAGTGTCTGGTACATAAGAGCTCCAAGGCCAGGCGCAGTGGCTCACACCTGTAATCCCAGCACTTTGGGAGGCCGAGGCCAGCGGATCACTTGAGGTCAGGTGTTCGAGACCAGCCTGGCCAACATGGTGAAACCCTGTCTCTACTGAAAATACAAAAATTAGCCAGGCGTGGTGGTGGGTGCCTGTAATCCCAGCTACTGGGGAGGCTGAGGCAGGGGAATGGCTTGAACTTGGGAGGCTGAGGCAGGGGAATGGCTTGAACTTGGAAGGCTGAGGTTGTATTGAGCCAGGATGGTGCCACTGCACTCCAGCCTGAGACTCTGTCTCAAAACAAAAAAAAAGAAAGAAAGAAAGAAAGAAAGAAAGAAAGAAAGAAAGAAAGAAAGAACGAAAGAACGAAAGAAAGATAGAGAAAGAAAGAAAGAAAGAGAAACTCCGTAAATGTTGATTACATGAATGGTGTACACATTTTCGTCTGGGACTCCAAACCTCCCTGGTGCCTCCCCAACTGCTAACACAAAATCCAGTCCTCTTTCATAATCAATACCTTTCTTAACATCACCCTTGTCTTAGGAGGATCAAAATCTCTGGGTCTTCTTTAATTTCTTCCCCCACATCACCCCATTTCAATCGGGTCCTATCCACCTGCCTCCAGCATCTCTCTTCTTTCCTCTGAACCCACCACCACCCTCCTAATCCACACCTTCCTCTTGACAGAGACCACAGCAACCACTTCTTAACTCGTCTTCACTCCTCAGCTCCTGATTTCCAGTGTGCTGAAGCTCTTCAGACATCCAGCATACGAACTGCAAGCCCATGCTGTGTCTAGCCCTGAGACACAAAACCCCACAAGACACTAACTCTCCTTTTTAAGGAGTTTTACAGCCCAGTGAGAGAAAAAGACACATAAACAATGTTTCGATACAGTGCAGCATTCACAGACAGAGGTATGAGCAGAATGGAAGGAGAGCCAGAGAAGGGGCATCTAAATCAGCCAGGGGTGGATGGGGAGTGGCGCTTATGAGACTGCAGTAACGAGTCCACATTCCAGCCTTCCATGATACATCTTCAACCTAGCACCCTCCCAGCTTTGCTTCCTGGACCCTGTGCTCAGGGCCACCAAATGGTTATGCAAGCTGTGTGCTGCTCAGGGGCACCTGGCTGAGGGGCAAGGTGGGACTGAAATCCAGCCAGGTGTTATAAGGACACCTACTTGGAGGGAGCACCTTTTCCTGACCCAATAAGCTGCCTAGAGGCCAGCAGTAGCCGTGCCTGGGCTCTGCCCACATGCCCTGCAGTGCCCACTTCCCAATCTCTATCTGATGACACCCTACTCTCCTTTGAGACATACCTCAAGCACGCCTCCTCCAAAAACCTTATCATGATCCCCCAGCCAAACAATTCTCTCCCACCTCTGGGTTCCTCCAGCTTGTGGTCTCAATCAACAATCATCATCCTTGATCATCATCCAGTCTCGACTGCATCCTGCCTCCGGCTACAGCTGTTTGCATCCATGCACCTTGTCAGCCCCTTGAGGGCAGAGACCATTTTGTTCATTTTTGTATCCACCATAGCACTCACCACAGATTCTTACACAAAAAAGGTCTTTAAAATATATCTATGGGGCAGGTGCAATTGTTCATGCCTATAATCCCAGCACTTTGGGAGGCTGAGGTTGGTGCATCACTTGAGCCCAGGAAATCAAGACCAGCCTGGTCAACATGGCGAAACCCAATCTGTACAAAAAATACAAAAAATTAGCCAAGCCTGGTGGCGCACACCTATAGTCCCAGCTACCTGGGAAGCTGAGATGAGCGAATTGCTAGAGCCTGGGAGGTCAAGGCTGCAGTGAGCCATGATTGCACCACTGCACTCCAGCCTGGGCAACAGAGCAAGACCCTGTCTCAAACAAAAAATAAATAAATACATAAATAAAATACATCTATGAAGCATAAATGCTGCCATTTAGCCATGAAGCCATTTATATTCCTTCCTCTAGACAGATAGTGTTGAGACGCTCATGTCCTCATTCATTTAATAAAGAATGCTCATCTGCTTTGTTTACGTGCTGTGTCTCTCATTAGATTGTGAGATCCTGTGTGTCTCAACTTGAGCAGGCTTCCATCAATACACAAGGAGTCCCCGTATGAGCCTGACACAGAGCACATAGTAGCCTGTGGGAGAATGAGAGATAACTGGAGCACAAACCTGTGGCGAGTGAGACAAGAGATACCTGAGCCAAAGATGAACAAGACACAATCTGTGCCCTGTAGAAGCCACAATGCATGCGATGCCCACACCACCACCCTCACCACCACACTCACCACCACCCTCACCACCACACTCACCACCACCCTCAACAACATGCTCACCACCACCCTCACCACCAGGCTGCTGGGTATGTCATCTCAGCTCATATGGAGTAACCAAAAGGGACAGCAAATATTCTCTGGTTTCATGCTTCTCAAATGTTCCCATAAAAGTAGGCCACACAGCAGGAGAGCCCGAAAACACGTTCCCCCAGAAGTTGGAGGGCAGGGCCTGAGCCTGCCACAGCCAAGCACAAAATGCCTTTGATGTCTCAAATTGTATCTTTAAAAATTCATGTACATTTTACATTCTATTTCATAATATTTTCATGATTATTTTAATGTGAAACTTTTAGAAATTACCTAATTTTCCTCCCATTCCAAATCTTCAAGTAAAATGGATGCCCCAGCCCGGGTTCCCAGTCGGAATTCACAAAGTCTGTTTAGAGAAGTTTAGAGCTGGTCCTGATACCTCATTTCACAAATAAGGATGTAGAGAGGTTAAGTGACTTGTCCAAGGCTACATGACTAGTGCTAGAGCCAGGAACAGGAACCAGGAGGCTTTCTCCAAATCCAGGGCTCTTTTCATTCATTCATTCATTCTTTCATTCATTCATCCACTCATGTCATTCATGTTGGTGCAGAACCCCCTGGGTGTCAGGAATCAGGCTCCAAGTAATGAATGAGATAAATACAGTCCCTCCTCTCGTGTCACCCAGTTTACAATGGTTTACATTTCTACTTGGGGTACCTTCCAGAGTGGGAAGACTCCAAGATTCTCCAGAAGAGAGATGAGCAAAGCATATCCCTCCATGCACTTTCAGAGTGGAAACTGGTCTGCAACCAGTGCAAATGGAAAGTGTAAGTGTCCCTCTTCTGGGCTAGAATCATTTTGCTAACATGAAACCAGTGACCACAGACTCCTTAGAACAGCCTTGAAGGTCATCAATGATCTGGCCCCTGCCCACTCTCTAAACTCATCTTGCACAGTTTCCCCCTCACCCAGCAGGCTTCACTCACCTGGCCTTTCGGTTCACTCTGAGCTACTTCCCAGCTCTGAGCCTTTGCCCACACAGCCCTCTCTCCCCAGAACGTTCTCCCTGCCTGGTCCACATGCTCTTATGGCCAACTCTTTCTCATTCCCTGCTTCTCTGTCACCAGCTAGCAGGGGCATAGCCTACACACATCCCATCTTTCCTATCCCAGTACCACATTAATTTCCTTTATAATCCTTGGGCAGGCATTTGTGTTGTTAATTACAACAATGGCCCTCATTCTTCAACTTTCCCTGTCTTTTGCAACGAGACTTTGAAATTTCATCCATCTTTCGCCATGAGACTTTGAAATTTCTCTCACTAAAGAGGTAGAGTCTATTTCCTTGCCCCTTGAATCTAGGCTGGCTTTATGACTTTCTTTGGCCAATAAAATAAAGTAGAAGAGACTATGTGAAGCCTTGTGTGTTTCTACTTGCTCCCTTGCAATTCAGTCTTCAGCATGGGATTCTGCCTAGGCAAGACTGCTGGGAGAAGAGAGGTACATGAAGCAGAGAAAACTCATCTCACTCATCTCAGCCTAGGCCACTGCAACACTCCTAGACAGATGAGTGGACCCAGCCAAGATCCACAGAGCCACACAGATGACCCCACATGCATGAACAATGAACACTTGCTGAATGTTGCTCTATTTTTCTGGTTGATTGTCACACAGCAATAGCTACCTGATAGTTTGTTTAATTATTTTGTCTCAGTCCTAGACTAGAAGAAGCTCCATGAGAGAGAACCACGTCTGTTTTATTCACCGATGTTTGCACATAGTAGGTGCTCAATAGACGTGCTGAATGAGTGAGTATTCCTGCTTGGTCAGGCTGGTCTCTTGCTCACTTCTGTGCTCTATCTCTGTTGCATTCTTGCACAAGTGTAAGGAGTGAGCCTAACTTCGAGAATGACCTTCTAAACCCCCCAAGGTCAGTTAGAACTGTCCTCTCCCCCAGTCCTGACCACAGGGCTGACCTCGTCTACACCTACAGAAGAGGGAAGAATCAACATCTAGAAAATGTCCTAGAGAGTATCATCTCTGATCCTCACTCATCTCGATGTCTACCATCCTCTTCCCATGAATGAAGACATCAATGCCTTTGTTCTTTAGCCAAAAAGATGCTCCTCAGAGGGCCATTTGAGTCCTTCATTCCCGCAAGCCGCTTATTTCCCCAGCATGGACAAGGGGATGGGGAGATGGGAAGAAGAGAGCCCATCAACCCTCCAGTAATTATGACTAAGAACAAACTCAACAGGAGAAACGTCTCAGCAGGGTCTTTCCAGGCAGGCATAGCAGGGGAGTTCAGAGAAAGTACTTCCCTGCAACTAGCCCCTCGGCGGATCCTCAGAATGATTTGGAAACAATAGTCTAAATTAGAGAGATAGGATGAGGAGCTTCATAAAGCTATTTTAAACAAATCTCCCTGAAAAACACTAGGCCTTGGGTATGGGGAGAGGCCTTCTTTTTAATTTTCCAAAGCAGAGAGTGGTAGACAAAGCTCTCTCTCAGTGAGAGCTTTGTGTACCACTTTTCCCTATGGCTCTCACTGAGACAGCTTTTTCCCCCTGGCTCTTACTGAAAAAGTTCATAGTTCCCCTAAGAACTCTCTAAGGTACAATAGGCAGCCACACAGCAATTGAGTCAGGTGATCCCCTCTCCCACCCACCGCCTTCGCCCACCCTGTCCCCTGATGAGTGGGCTTGGGAGAACAAGCTCTGGTTGCTGTGGTATTAGGAAGTCCCCCATGAAGAAAGTTAGAGGAGTATGGGATGAACCTGATGACCTCCACAAATGGGGAATGGAACCTTCTAGACTCTGACCCTACCCTTCTTCATTTGCCTCTCCCAAGTGCATGACCCCACCCCCAGGAATCACAGATTTATTTAGGAGGCAGCTCTTTTTGGAGTTGGCTCCTGCGGTCCAGCTTGCTCATGACCTGGGTGATGTCCACAGTGTTGGCTGCTTCTCGGGCCTTGGCTTCCTCTTCCAGCTGTCTCAGGATGACAGGGCTTGGGCTGGAGCGCAGGTGACGCCGCATAAAAGGGAGGGTGGAGCTGGAAGGAAGGACAGATTGGTGGTTGGAGGAAAATGACACAGCTTGCCCAACACTGACCCTGTCACACTTGATGGGAGCTGGGGCTGGAAGGTCCAGAATCTATATTTTGTTCCCTCCTTTTTCCAGTGAACCTCCAGTGGGGTCCAACCTTGGCTCCTTTCTCCCCACTTGGAGGATGAGACCAGAGTGAGTACCAACTGCCATCAGATTTTAGGTCAGGCACAAGGAAGACCCTTTTGTTGGCGAAGTTGCATTGAACTTCTACAGTATGTAGAAATCAATTTGTTATCTTAACTTTTTGTAACATCTTCATGAAAGAAGTGGATAATGAAGGCTTGGGTACTGGAGAGAGTTGGAGCATTTGTTTATTTTCTTTTCTTTTTTGGGGCGGTTGGGGGGTGGGCAGCGGGGACAGAGTCTCTCTGAATCACCGAGGCTGGAATGCAGTGGCACGACTTCGGCTCACTGCAACCTCCATCTCCCAGGTTCAAGCCATTCTCATGCTTCAGACTCCCAAGTAGCTGGGACTACAGGCATGTACTACCACACCAGGCTAATTTTTATATTTTTAGTAGAGGCAGGCTTTCACCACGTTGGCCAGGCTGGTCTCAAACTCCTGACCTCAACTGATCCATCCGCCTCAGCCTCCCAAAGTGCTGGGATTACAGGCGTGAGTCACTGCGCCTGGCTGGAGCATTTGTTTTCAAAAGCTATGGTTCTGGGAAGGAAGGAAAGAGCTGGACTGTCCAAAATAGCTAGGCCCCAGTGAACAGAGAAAGAGGGAAGAGGCCTGAAGAGGGCTGGTGGGCTGGTGGTACCCTGCTCATGTGCAATATCTTGACACATGCCAGAACCTTCTTCAAAGCCAAACTGGATTCCTGGAACCAAACTCTCCCTGCCATGGCCTTAGGAGCCAGGACAAAGCTCTAGGTATCCAAGTGATGTAGTGGGCAGTGAGCAGTGGAGCCCACCTGCCTTTGAGGGCCCACGTAAGCTTGGAGCCAAGAACTTCAGCAGCAATAAGAGACAAAGACCTGCAACATACTCCATATTTCTGGACTACATAAGCCCCTTGACTACATAAGCCCCTTGAACTCTTATATCTATCTTAAGGAGAAGAAGGGCTCCCCTACCAGGATGTAAAGCCTGACACTGACATTGGATTTCTCACCAGCCCTGCCAAGAGGAAGGCTTGGAGCTAGGGGTAACTTGTCATGCAAAAATTGAGTTTGAATACATTGTCTTATACCTGGGATCATGGAACAAAATTCACACCCACTGTAGTCCTGGTATGGACACAGACCAGGCTTCACACTTTACGAATGCATTCACGTGTAATTCTCACTCACAATAGTGAGAATTCTCACGTCTGCCCCAACTTCTAAAATATCTGGAGAGAGAGGTATGAGACTCCTCTTTTGTCCCCTCATTACTTTCTGGCAGAACTACTGGAGCTATTACAGGCCTTTCTTCTGGCTTAAAGTAGAAGCTTTTAAGTCCCCAGGGGCACTGAACTCCCTTCCTTACTTGGTAAACCCAGAAGAATAGCACCACAAAGACCTTCTTTCTCTCCTTTTCATAACAGGGCCATTATCCTCAAGAATGAAGCCAAGTTGGTTTTTTTTGTTGTTGTTGTTGTTTTTTCTCCTTTGATAAAGGCTCTGGTCCGGCCATCCCCCTTTTGAATTGATGGAAGATGCTGGAAAGGAGCCCAGTGTGGGTTGACCCAGCAAACAGGGGAACAGTCACTCACTTTGGGGGGGACAGGACACACGATTGCCAGTGGAAAAACCTCTGCCAAAGCCTTACAGTTTTGTTCAAGCTGCCATTCAATTTATATTTTAAATCTTCAATCCTTGTAGATTGAATTCCCCCGGAAAAGAGTTCAATCTGCCCCTCAGGACATTATTTCGTCCATTGTCCCAATGGCTCTACCAGATGAGATGATCCACATCTCCAATGAGAAAAGTGAGAATGAACAAGTTCATGGACTTCTAAAACATGGTCCCCGGAGGCAGCAAGAATACCTAGCCCGTTACTGTCCGTTTCCCCTTCACTGAGCATTTTCTCTTGGGGTGCAATCTGCTATTCTCTCTAAGGTCTTAGAACAATTTAAATACAAGGATGTACCTTAATTAATTCCCATACATCAGTTTGGAGGTAACGAGTAGCAGTTAAAAAACCAAGGAGAAGCTTCCATTTGTGATAAGGGTAATTATTGGTCTGATCCTCTAAACTCTTTCAAGCCAGCTTTAGGGGAAACAAAACTTAGTGGTGGTAATTACTAAGGAAATCTTGCTAGAGTGATTTCAGGGCATTATGAAGCAAATGAGGCACTCATTCCCTGAGCAATACTTCCCAGTCCCCAATATTTTCATCAAGCAAATATCTCCATAATAGCCATTTGGCTGAAAGAGACCCTCACTTCTCTGTAAACTAAGCAGCAGGCAGCCAGCAATTACAGATAATTCCACTTGCCTTTTCTTGGTGGTTTCCTGAGGTTCAATAGCTTTGGCCAGCATGTCCTTATAGATCGGAGATTTTAAATAGCGAGCATAAGAATCCTAGTGGGAACAAGAAAACAACAGTAATTATGAGAGAAAAAAGCAGTCAAATCAAACCAATACCCTTGCCATTTTCAAGCCTCCCTTGGCAGTAGAATGGAAAAGTTATGAGAATTTGTCTCCTTGGGTGAAAGGTGTTGGGGGAGGTGTTGAGAGCAGTGGTTCTCAAGTGTGGTCCCCTCCAGAAGCATCAATTTCACCTGGGAACTTCTCAGGCCTGCCCCAGCCGTCCTGATGAGAAACTCTGGGAGTGATTCACCCTGAGCCTGAACAGTCTCAGGTTTTACAGCTCACAGCTTCAGATCCTATCAACATTGTCTGTGATTCAGCCTATGTTGTAAATGTAGCCAGTTGCATAAAAGCTGCTACAGTTAAAAGTACACTAGACCCAGAACTGCTTAATTTGTTTCACTTATTCTCATATGCTGCATGCTACATGCCAAACAGGTGAGACAGCTGGTCATGTATGGAGACATTGCCTGTCATCATTTGTTCACATGAGGACACCTAAACAATTAACAATTAACAACTACCTGAACAGTCTCCAGGTAATTCTGCTGCACCTTTAAGTTTGAGAATTACAGTCTGTAACCCTACACATGAAGATCCACCTTGGAGTGGTTCAGTGAAGCCAGCATGAGACAAGAGCACATCTGACCTCTCCTCTCCAAGACTTTCTTCCAAGGAAGATGAGCAGCCAGGAGTATGGAGCCCACTTCTAAGCCATTGACATCCCTTTCTGCCCTGTGTTTTGGGTGTAAAGGCAAGAGAATACCAAAGCAAAAACAAAAACAACCAACGCGTAGAGTCCAGTTATGGGGCTGTTTACTGGGACTCTGGGCAATTTCAGAGAAGCTTCATGAATGCTCGTTACTTTTAAGCGAGCGGAAAACTCTAGTCATACCCAATATGGGACAAAGGCCACTGCAACAAACCAGGGATTGAGGTATTTTAAAAATTTATTGAAATGGCACTATTCTAAAGACTAAGTGGGAGCAGTAAAAGTTATGAGAACTAGGATAGAGTCTAGGAATAGGGACCATGGAGCCACTGGGATACGTTGAGTGTTTCACCATAGGACATAGCTGTAATGGCATATAGGGAGTCCAGTGGGCATATATGCCATTCTTTTCTGCAGTTACCAATGACTGTTCCATTCTGGCTAGTAACTGGCCTCCCTGGGCATCCCCTAAAAAGCCGTATGAAAACTACAGGTTTTTTTGTTTGTTTGTTTGTTTGTTTTTTGAGACGGAGTTTCACTCTTTCGCCCAGGCCGGATTGCAGTGGCACGATCTCAACTCACTGCAACCTCCACCTCCCAGGTTCAAGTGATTCTCCTGCCTCAGCCTCCTGGGTAGCAAGATTACAGGCATCCACCACCACGCCCAGCTAATTTTTGTATTTTTGGTAGAGACGGGGTTTCACCATGTTGGCCAGGCTGGTCTCAAACTCCCGACCTCGTGATCTGCCCACCTCAGCCTTCCAAAGTACTGGGATTACAGGCGTGAGCCACTGCGCCCAGCCGAAAACTACATTTTTAAGAACCAAAACGTTTTAAAATACATTAAAGAGGATTATTATTAAAGAAACCCTGCTGTGAATCGTCTAGTAACAAAAACAAAGAGACAGCCACTGATTCAAAACACACAGAAACACCCCACTGATTCAAAAAATGATGAAAATGGCTAATCTGGCTTGGCGGCAATTCTAAATTATTACATGCTTTAAAAACAAAGTAAAAATACTTTTAAATGATACAATAAAAGACTAAATAGAAGAAATATAAATCAGGAAAGCTAATCAGCATTTACCATTCACACAAACCTATATACATAACCTATATCATATAACCTATATCACATAACCTATATCACACAGCCTATATCACATAGCCTATATCATATAAACCACATCATATAACCTATCTCATATAACCCACATCATGTAACCTACATCATATAATCTATATCATATAACCTATATCACATAACCTATATCAGATAGCCTATATCACACAACCTATATTATATAACCTATATCACATAACTGATACCACATAATCTATATCACATAACCAATATCACATAACCTATATCATATAATCTATATCATATAACCTATATTACATAATCTATATCACATAACCTATATCATATAATGTATATCATATAACCTATATCACATGACCTACATCAGATAGCCTATAACACATTACAATCTATAACATATAACTCATATCATATAATCTATCTCATATAGCCTATATCACATAACCTATATCAGATAGCCTATATCACATTATAACCTATATCATATAACCTACATCATGTAACCTATGTCATATAATCTCATATAACCTATATCATATAACCTATATCAAATAGCCTATATCACATAACCTATATCATATAACCTGTATGACATAGTCTATCTCATATAAGCTATATCACGCAACCTATGTCATATAATCTATCTCATATAACCTATATCAGATGGTCTATATCACATAACCTGTATCACATAACCAATATCCATAACCTATATCACATAATCTATCTCATATAACCTATATCACATAACCTATATCAAATAGCCTATATCACATAACCTATATCCTATAAAGATACTTTGCCCTTAAAGAAATCATTGCCATAATGAGAAGTTGAAGCACCCAAAGAAAGTCTTGTCAAGGATGGCACCAAAGAAGAATCAAACTAGACAAGTTCTTTAAGGCTAACTCTGAGCCTCCGATTCTAGTTTCTTAAGAAAATGATTGATTTTTCTCTCAGGTACCCTTCACATATTTTTTTTTAAATTCCCACCGCATTCGCACTTTGTTAATAATCCAGAGGGCTATCTAAATTCTCACAGGGTCTTACTACAATCACACACACACAAATTTGTCTCTCCTAGACACTACGCCTCTATGTGTAATATTTGCCTGGGGCCAGGGTGGTGAGAATTGCCATCACTCTGCAGCAGAAACTAAGAGCTCGGCCTTGAAACCCAGGCAGACCTGGCTATGAATCCCAGCCCCATCTCTGGTGAGACCTTGACCAAGCCACTAGATTCTGGAGCAGCAAAGCCTAACTTGTGGGCTGTCTTTGAGCATAAAGTTCTGTGTTTCGCACAGCGACTGCACCTTGTAAGCCCTCAACGAATGATGGCTGTTATTATAATGTTGTCATTACTAATGCCATTACTCCTACCTGTCTACTGCTGCAGAGTGGGGCCCGTAAGGATGCACACAGCTTCTACAGGAGTTCCTCTAGGCCCGTGGGTGAGGGGCTCAAGGCAAGTCCACCCCAGTGGACAGGTGGAAGAGACGGTTGACAATTCTGGGGTTTTTCTCTTTCTCTCTCTTTCTTTTTTATATAAAGACAGGGTCTCACTGTGTTGCCCAGGCTGGTCTCAAACTTCTGGGCTCAAGATATCCTCCCATCTCAGCTTCCCAAAGAGCTGGGATTACAGACATGAGCCCCCATGCTTAGCTGCATGCCACAACCGGCAAAGCTCTATCCACGTATCCTCTCTCTTTTTCCTATATCTAAAGAATTTTCCGGGTACTTAGTGACAGAAAGCCTATCTGGACCCCGTATCCACAGCACGGACCCACCTACCTTCTTCATGAGCATGTAAATGTGGGTTTGTGCGGCGTCCAGCACATAGCGGTGGGGGTGCTTCAGCCCCTTCACTGTGATGTCCATGGTTTTGCCATCTATGTTGATCCAGCGCCTCGCCCCCGGGGCCAGGAACAGCCTGGGGTGGGAGGGAGATGTTAGCAAAAGTAACTAAACCAAGTCAATTCATGGATAGCTCACAGCTGCTTGGGAGGGAAGGACTGATACGAATCGGTTACCGAGGGTGAGGGTGGTGGTTTTTTTAGGAGACACTAAAGAGCATGAACTTTTGAAGAGGTTGTCAAGCAATTTTTCCTTGAAGCAAGAAACTTCCAGTATTGGGAATATGAATATTTAACTTTGATGTTTCCAACCTCCAGGAGAGAGAGCAAGAAGGGGCTGGGGCCCAGGTCGGATTAGGTCCTGGCCATGAGGGTGAAGAACTCAGCCTCCAACTTCACACCTTCTGCACCAGGATTCCAGGGGCAACCTGGGACCAGGCTAAGACACCTTCACACAGGTGTTCTGGGGGTCTCTGCTCTCCTCCCAACCCACATGTGCTTTGTAATGAATTTCACATGCTGTGTCGAGAGGCAGCCCATAGTCCCAGAACCCAGAGGTCTGACCCGCTGGGCAGACAGGCCAAGGCTCCCAATTAGACCAAACTTGGCCACACTTCCTGAGCCCGTGGCTCTACCTGGGATGTCGGGATGCAGAGCTCTCTCAGTATTTCCAGTTCTGAGCTGTTGCTGAATTAGAAATACTCATATGAATATTTTCCTACCTTTCTAAGATGTACATTAAAATTTTGGAATTGAAACTGAGATTTACATAACATAACCAGGGAGCCTGGGGAAGGAAACTGGTCTAATGGCAGAGGCAGCGGGCTTCCTGTAGCAGATTTTTGGAATCAGGAGTTGTGTGTGCGTCACTGTGTGTAAGGCAATCAGGCACCCATTGTACTGCAAAGGATGTCATGGAAGCTTCCCGGACCGACAGCCCTCCCCACTGCACCCCACCCGCACCCCCATTTCTCTCAGCGCATGGATCCCCTCCCTGTGGGAGGAGCTGGGCAAATTTGCAATAGAGTGTATGAACCTCTAAGTATAAGAAGAAGTGAGACCTCAAGCTTTTCTCTTCAATGCTGCTGGTGCTTCTCTGGAAACCGGGGTGTTGCAATCTGAGTTCATTTGCAGGAAGGACATCCAGGGTCCAGAGGCTAAGTCCTCAGAGGGAAGGGGCTGTTTGGCCTGCTGCCCAAAGTTCAGCACCACAGTCTGGTGACTGCAAAGGGCTGGTTCCAGCCCAGCGTGGTGCTTGGGCTTTGGGCAACACGGCTAAGCATGTGAGTATGAACTAACAATGCTGGGCCCTCAGTATCCAGGACTCATGTCCACTGCAGCCAGTGCAGATGAAAGGACCCACAGAGATGGGACCACAGCAGGACAGGAGCACCCACCAGGCCTGTAGGGGGAGGAGTGTTGGGGAGGGGGAGTGTGGCTTTCAGCAACCTTGGGAGCCTCATCACACCTTCCCCTCCCTCTCCACCTGGCCATTGAAAACAGGACTGACCCTTTTAACCTGGAACTCTTGGCTTTTGTGTAATTTGGAGGAGAGACAGTCATGGAGAGGGACAGACTTATTGCTGCTCAGAACAAGTGGGGGCTGGAGCCGTGATGTCAGGAATGAGATGTGCCCACCCATGTTTGTACCCCAAGCTGCGCTCACTGTCCCAGACATGTGGGAGGAGCTCCCTTCCCCTGTGTTCCTCACATCTCTAAGGAAGCGTGAGGAATAGGTTTCCCATCTTGCTGCTTCTTCTCTCTCTCTCTCACTCTCTCTCTCTCTCTCTCTCTCACACACACACACACACACACACACACACACACACACCCCTCAGGACACCTAAGAAGGCTTTAGTCAAAGACAGAGCACTCTGCACTGTAATTCGGGACAGCTTGCTTTTTTAACCCCTAGACACATTCCCATAGGAACAGGTGACTCACACTGCATGTCTCACCAGGCTTTCTTCAGGGAACCCCCAAACCTCCCAAAGCAGCGGGGAACTATTTCTAGCATGGCAAGTACAGTGAACTGATGCTGACCAGGGCCCAGCCAGCTACCAGGCTGTTGTCCTCTCATCCTATCTTCACCTCAAGCACAATGGGGTGGTCCTCAGAGGCCCAAGGGAAGGCTTTCCAGCACCCTGGCTGATGCTCACTTGTAAATCTCCTCTGCTTTCTCCTTGACTTTGGACTGATCTCCATACTTCAGATCCTCGCAGGCTTCCCAGAATCCCAGATTCTCTCCTGCATGGTGAGAAGTCCACGTGGATGAGGGCCGGGCAGGAAATAAGTTGGAAGAAGAAAAGAGGAAATAAAAGAAATGAGTCAACCGGGATGGATTCCATTTCCCAGCTCAGTGAACACCTTTCCTGCCGCAGAACAAGCTATTGCACATTGTGATGCTAGACAACAATACTCCTTGGGGAAAGGAGCCACATCTTCACTTCTACGGCCTGGAAGAACATTGGGAACTTAGTAATTGCTCAATACGTGGCCTTAGAAATAAACTAGATTGGCACCTACCATGTTTGCAGCAATGCATTCACACCGTGGCAGCTTCCTTTCCTCCAACAATACACAGGCCAGAGTTCATATCACCCCCCAGAGGTTGTCGTACTCTTTTTTATTCTAGAATTTGGCTGTAGGAAATATTGCTTGAACGAGCTCGCACATGAATAGGCTTCTATACATGCGTTGCTACGCTACGGTTTTCTACATCAAGACCTCCTTCCTTTGCTCCCGTTGAATGACTGAGCGTGAGTTCTTCCTCCTTTGTTTGGCTGTGCTTAGAGAACCCATCATTTGCAGTCCCTCACCAGACATATTCCAGGCCAACGGTTCTTACAGAGAGGCTGTTCAAGAAGCAGTGCTGATGGACTGACCCTCAGGGAAGGTCTGGCCAGGAGCAGGACTGAACTGAGCATCACCTGAGCCAGAGGGGATTGGCCCAGAAGGAAAAGCCAGGTTCCCCCAAATCCTTCATCTCCCTCCAACTCGAGGTTCTCTAACCTGCAGCGTCCAGAGGTACCACGCATATGTTCATACAGTGGTCCCAGGTGGTGATTTTTGCCTGGGAAAATAAAGACGATCACAAGAGAGAGCAAGTGTGTGTGTGTCTGTGTGTGTGTGTGTGTGTAAATCGTGGAGTGTGTCACAGTGTGGGGAAATGAACAACAAAATCCTCTCCTCTCTTTTCTCAGTACAGTTGACCTTGAACAATTAAGGGGTTAGGGCGCAGACCATTATGCAGTAGAAAATCCAAAAACTTAACTACAAATAGCCTACTGTTTACCAGAGGCCTTACTAATAACATAAACAGTCAATGGACACATAAGTGGATATGTATCTACATATATATTTTATGGATTCATGATACCTTTTCATAACTTTTTTCTATTTCTAGGCTATGCAGTTCATCTGCAAGTTTTTTCAGATTGTTGCAAATCCCCCCAAGTTTTTAAATATATTTACTGAAAAAAAAATCCACCTATAAGTGGTCTCGTGCAGTTCAAACCAGTGTTGGTCAAGGGTCAACTGCATTTTTTTAAAAGCTCCTGGGTGCTTCATATTAGAAAAGGCTGCACAATTTTAAACTAGTTGGCATTTGTCCCATAGCTCTATAGAGGTCCTTCCTTTTCAGCATGAACTTTAGGGCGTTCTTTGGACTGAGATCACAGACCAGTGATGCTCTCAACTAAAATGTAACTGATCTGACAAAAGTGCCATGTAAACCATCTTGCCCATAGCAAAAGACAGTTGATTGCTTAGTAAAATTAAATAAGCAATTATTCGTGATAGCCAGTAAGTGGAAAGCACTCAGATGTCCATCGATAAAAGAATGGATGAACAAAATATGGTGAAGACTACAAGGGAATATCATTTGGCCTTAAAAAGGAAGAAGATTTCGGCTGGGCATGGGTGGCTCACGCCTGTAATCCCAGCACTTTGGGAGGCTGAGGGGGGCGGATCACAAGGTCAGGAGTTCGAGACCAGCCTGACAAACATGGTGAAACCCTGTCTCTACTAAAAATACAAAAATTAGCCGGCCGTGGTGGCGGGCGCCTCTAATCCCAGCTACTCAGGAGGCTGAGGCAGGAGAATTGCTTGAACCAGGGAGGCAGTGGTTGCAGTGAGCCGAGATGGTACCATTGCACTCCAGCCTGGGCGACAGAGCAAGACTCCGTCTCAAAAGCAAATGGTTAAAATGGTAAAATTTATGTTACATACGTTTTCCCACCAAAAATATTAAATGAGCACACAAAAATATGTACACCAAAGTTCATAGCAGCATTATTCATAACAGCTAAAAAGTCAAAGCAACCCAAATGTTCATTAACTTACAAATGGATAAGCAAAATGTGGTACATACAAACAAGGAAATATTATGGGGTCATTAAAAAGGAATGAAGGAAATATTATGCAGTCATTAAAAAGGAACCACGTGGCCAGGCGCAGTGGCTCACGCCTGTAATCCCAGCACTTTGGGAGGCCGAGGCGGGTGGATCACCTGAGGTCAGGAGTTTGAGACCAGCCTGGCCAACATGATGAAACCCCGTCTCTACTAAAAATACAAAAATTAGCTGGGCATGGTGGCGGGCGCCTGTAATCCCAGCTACTTGGGAGGCTGAGGCAGGAGAATCACTTGAACCCGGGAGGCAGAAGTTGCAGTGAGATGAGATCACGCCACTGCGCTCCAGCCTGGGCGACAGAGTGAGAATTTGTCAAAAAAAAAAAAAAAAAAAAAAAAAGGAACAGAAGCGCTGTTATATGCTGAAACACAGACAAGCCTTGAAAACATTATGCTAAGTGAAAAAAGACAAAAGGTCACATATTGCATGATTTCGTTTACATGAAATGTCTTGAAGAGGTGAATCCGTAGGGGTAGAAAGTAGATTTGTGGTTGCCTAGGGCTGGGGTGCAGGAGAAGCAGGAATAGAAGATGATTCTAATGGGTAAAGAGTTTCTTTTTAATGTGGCAAAAATGTTCTAGAATTAGTGATGATGGTTGCACAATTTAGTGAATACACTAAAACCCCTGAATTGTACACTTTTAAAAAGTTAATTTCATCATATGCAAATAATATTTCAATTTAAAAATCTTTTTAAAAAGTAAATGAGCAAATTGATGATTTATCTGCCCTGTTCATACCTAAAGCCTCAGGAATCTCATGAGGAGATTGCTAATAATACGGTTTAAATAATGCAGGGAAATCTTTTCGCTGGATTCTCACTAAGGAATTAGTGGGGGGGAGATAATAAATTCAGGGTGTATGTTGTCACTTTGCCACTAGATGGCACTATAACCACTTATTCGCCAGTCCATCCATCTTTTCTGGGTTTTGTTCTAGAGCAGCAATTAGACTTGATTAGGGAGATGATTATCAACAATCCATATTATCATGTAATGTTTTGCATCCGGCAGTCAGCCAGGCTAAAGGCATGTCCAGTAGGATTCGTTTCTGGAGCAGTGCCACAGACAAGTGGATCTTGGGTAGTAAGCAGCTGAGTGTCAAGGCTCAGGAGTGATGCCCCCAGGGCTGGGTACTGAGCAAGGAAGTAAAAGAATCCCGTAAAGGTAAATATTTCAATGAAGGTGGTGAATGCACAGCCTGGTTCTGATCTGGCCTCGTGTTTTTTTGTGGATGCTTCTCCGGGAAGTGCAGTATATTTAAAAAGCCACAGTCCTGGTGCAGTGGCTCACGCCTGTAATCCCAACACTTTGGGAGGCCGAGGCAGGTGGATCACTAGAGGTTAAGAGTTCGAGACCAGCCTGGCCAACATGGCGAAACCCTGTCTCTACTAAAAATACAAAAATTAGCCAGGTGTGGTGGCACGTGCCTATAGTCCCAGCTACTTGGGAGGCTGAGGCAGGAGAATCACTTGAACCTCGGAGGCAATGGTTGCAGTGAGCTGAGATCATGCCACTGCACTTCAGCCTGGGCAACAGAGCGAGACTCCATATCAAAAAAAAAAAAAAGTCACAGTTCCCCTCATGAGGTGACATTCAGAGATGGGACAAAATGTGGCCCTGCCCATTTCACTAAAATCCACACCCTCCTAAGGCCCTGAAGAAATCAGGCCAGGAGCTAAGGTGATGGCTGTCAATCACCACACATTGGAATCATCTGGGGAGTTTCCAAAACTTCAAGGATTCCAACCCCCACCAATTTAAAAGCAACTTTAGGGATGAGATCCAGGAAAACATGTTTTAAAATATCCCCAGGCAGACTGAATGTGTAGAACCACTGAGCTAAAGAGAATCAGGAAGCCAGGCGCAGTGGCTCACGCCTGTAATCCTAGCACTTTGGGAGGCTGGGGAGGGCAGATCACCTGAGGTCAGGAGTTTCAGACCAGCGTGGCCAATATGGTGAAACCCCATCTCTACTCAAAATACAAAACAATAGCCAGGTGTGGTGACAGGCACCTGTAACGCCAGCTACTTGGGAGGCTGAGGCAGGGGAATCGCTTGAACTAGGGAGGCGGAGGTTGCAGTGAGCTGAGATCATCCCACTGCACTCCAGGCTGGGCGACACAGCAAGACTCTGTCTCCAGAAAAAAAAAAAAGAAAGAAACAAAGAAAAAAGAAAATCAGGCTGGGAGACAAAAAGAGAAAGAAAGGGAAAGCCTGCCTGTCTCCCTTCCCTTCCTCCAGGTTCATTATATTTAGAGGCTGACTAGAAGGAGCGGGGGCTCCTCGGGTGACAGTGGGGGCATCCAGGATGGATGGAGCCCTCAGAAATGTGAGGGATCCTGATGTAGATTCTGTGAGCAGGTGCAATTTTCCCCCAGACGGTGGGGCCTCTTTGAGTCTATGGAAAGAACGAGTCTTGGGCTCAGGTCCCATTCTTAAAGCTGTGAAAGGAAGCAACTGTTTAAGGGCATAAGCAAAGCTCTGAAAACATCTGCTGAGAAATTCCCCAAACCCTAGGCTAGACAT
This sequence comes from Homo sapiens, assembly GCF_000001405.40. NCBI lineage: Eukaryota > Metazoa > Chordata > Mammalia > Primates > Hominidae > Homo > Homo sapiens. The sequence continues at coordinate 65,197,299 of NC_000017.11, read as the reverse complement.
TAAAGGACTCTTTCTAAAAGTAAGTTATTTTAATTTTTTTTTGTAAACAAAGACCCACCACTGAATTCTTTCTTGAGGAAGTACTGGAAGCTCTGTCGACCTTTGGGGTCTCGGATCAATTCGCTGAAGTTGAAGGCCCATCGTTCCACTCGCATCTTGGTTGGGATTTCCACCCTGCAAGGATGATTTGTAAATGCACCAGAGAGGTAGCGGTTGTGACAGGTGGTGGCCTGGGTTGGGGTGAGGGCCTTTAGTCTCATGGCCCAGGGCTCAATTCAATCCTCCTCCTCCCAATCCCTGCATAACACACAAGCCAAGTAATCACTTGCTAGGAAGATGCAGCCACAGACAAGTCCCCCGGGGCTCACATCAAAGACATGACCATCCCAGAGGTGAGGAGGATGCCCACCGTGGGGAGCCCACACTCAGGTCCTGCTCACTTAACCTTAAGGACAAACGAATTCAAATGCCTCCTCCAAGGCATGGTAACAGCCTGGAGCCTGGCCAGCAGAGGGTCAGGCTGCCACCTGGACTAGGAGAGAATTCTGGAGCAGCATTGGTGATGGGTGCTACAATCACTGCCACCTGCTGGGTGCCTATCACCCACGACAGCTGCCCCCCTACCATGGCACACCCTGGCTTCTGGTGGGAGCCGGTGGCTCCTCCTGTACCTGCCTCAGGCCATGTGCCTCGGAGTAGACCCATTTGCCATCTCTGCACTCCCTTTCAGGGCTTCCTCTAAGATGCAGGTCCCACTGCACCTCCTTGTTTGGAAAGATTTCCCTGATCCCAGGTAGGATATTCGAGCCCAGCTAGCAGAGATCTAACATTCCAGAGAATCAGAAAAAGACTCAGTGTTCTCTCCTATCCCTTATGGAATTCTCCTAAACCTAACACAGACCTTTGAAACTAAGGTTTCAAGTCCCTCACACCATTTTTCCCACTGATGTAGCAGCTAGGACCAGAACCAGGCACAATTCATGTCTATGGGATCCAAGATAAAGCATGCCAAGCAAGTTTTACACTTTCCATAAGAACAAGTGTACAAACAATAAGAAAACTGATAACATTAACAACTGCCATTCACAAAGCATTGTCCTATGTGAGGTACTGTGCGTTACACACATACCATCGAATCCTTAAAAGAACACTATGAATTGAGTATTACTATCCCATCTCATTGTCAAGAAAACTGAGGCTCAAAGAGATTAAATACTTGCCAAGTCTCACATAATTAGTAAGAAGCTGAGTTGTGATGACGACAGTGGTTTGCAAACTTCCACATGCATCAGAATCACCTGGAAGATGCATTGAAACAGATTGCTGGGTCCCAACCTCAGAGTTTCTGATTCAGTAGGAGTGGGTGGGGCCCAAGAATACGCATGTCTGACAGGTTCCCTGGTGCTGCGGATGCCGCTGGTCCAGGGCCCACACTGGGAATCAACGCTGTAAACCAGCCTAAGAATCCTGGCTGTTTGTGAAAATCAGCAGAGCTTTCAAAAAACGCTGATAGTGGTGAGACAGCAACCCAGGCCAACCAAATAAGAGGTTTGGGAGGATAAGGCCTGAACGTTGATGTTTTTGTTAAGCTTCCCCAGTAATTGTAATACTGTTCTAAAATCTAAACCATTAAGAACAAGACTTCCCGCTTTCATGTGAGCTAAGCTATGAGGATGCAAAGGCTTATGAATGACACGATGCACTTCGGGGACTCAGGGGAAAGGGGTGAAAAGGGAGTGAGGGATATAAGACTAAAAACGGGGTTCAGTGTACGCGGCACAGTTGATAGGTGCACCAATAAAAATATATATATACATATACTTACAAATACATATATGTGTATATATATATTTGGTTCAATAAACATATAGGATCCACAAAAAAGAACAGGGCTTCCCACTTTAATGGGGAGTTCCAGTTGTCACCCACCCAGTGCCCTCTGATCAACGGTTCTTACACAGAACACACATTTTTCTTCTTGCCAGCAATCTCTACCTGTCTTCAATACCATGCTCCCCATTTTATTTAAAATTCAGCGGCCATCCATCTCTCCTCCCCAAGCCCTCCTAGGACAACCCTCTTCCTGGCCAGATTCCCTGCCTTCTCCTCCAGGGAGAGCCAGCGTCCGCACATGCTTGTCCACAGGCAGACACAGGTCGCCTCTCTCATTCAGTACGCTGGGAGGCAGACATGGGCTGCAGAGAAGCACCCCAACAGCCAGAGCCCAAAGAGGATAAGGGAAGCCTCCCCAGAAGGTAGTTCTAGAGTCTTTGGCTCTGCAGTTGACCTTAGTAGACAGGGGACCCCTGACTCCAGAGGAGTGGCCTCCTTAACCTGTTGGCTGCCCAGAGCGGGCCACGTGGAATAGGTACCAGTGTTGCTTAAGATGAGAATCAGGGCCCTCCCAGGCCAGGCCTGCTTACCCAGCTGGGTCAGTGTCACCTGTGTGTTCCTCATGGCCTCGGCAGTGTTGACCCAAGCTGTGACCTATACCTGGCACTCCTTCCTTTCCCATCACCCCACCTCCCTCACACACTCAGGCCTGTCCCTTCTCCCCTGTCCTCCTCTCTCTCTCCCTCTAATTTGACCATTACACCCTTCTCTTCTTCCTCCCTCTGTGTGCCGGAACTCTCCTGTGTTTCTGCCTCTGCCCCCTCTTCCAAATAACACAAGCGTGCAGGTCCAGTGAGCAATGACTATTCAAAACTGACAAAAAAAAGCCAAAGGGTAAGGGAAAGGGCAGGTTTAGGGCCCTGCCCGCCCAGAACTTAAGTTTACGCTAATTAGATATCAAACATGCAAAGCCATACATATGATTTTTTAATTTTCAAAACCAATCTGTTGTTAAACATAGAGTCACCATTTGACTCAGCAATTCCACTCCTGGATATACACCCGAGAGAAATGAAAATATGCCCACACAAAAACCTGCCCACGAATGTTCATAGCCGCATTCTTCATAATAGCTAAAAGGCAGAAACCACCCAAATGTCCATCAGCAGATGAATGGATAAACAAACTCTAGTGCATCCATACCATGAAGATGATTCAACCATAAATGGGAATGAAGTTCTGATCCATGCTACAAGATTCGTAAACCTTGAAAACATGATGCTAAGTGAAAAAAGCTCGTCGCAAAAGACCCCATAGTCTTTCCTAGATTTCCTAGAAGCGCAATACCCAAGAGATGAAATCAATACACAGGTCAACTGACCAGCCTGTCCTCTTTTCCTGTATCGATTTAGTGACATACTTATTACTGTCTTCTTAGAAACTTGCTCGAATCGAGTAGCCCTTGGGATTGGCAAGTATTTGACAAAATCAGTTCCTCTTCTACTTGTGAAATGAAACATTGTCTGCCAGCCAGTCCCTCTGTCATTCCTCAGATTCCAAGTGATGCCATTGATAGGAAATGTCCAGACAGACAAATCCGTAAACACAGAAAGTAGATTCATAGTTGCCTAAGGCTGGAGGGCGTCCAGGGTTTCTTTTTTGTGTAATGAACATGTTTTAAAATTGATTGTAGCTCTATGAATATAATAAAAACCATTGAACTGTATGCTTTGAAGGGGTGAATTTTATGGCATGTGAATTGTAACTCAAAAACGGTTTTTTAAAAAACACCAATATATAAAATACATACAATTTGGCATTTAAGTCCCAGAACTGGGTGTCATCGGTGATCCAGGGGTTGCTGGGGAGGCAGCCTGACATGATGGCATCGTTGGATGAGAACTGCTCACTGTATTTCACAATCCTGAAAAGGAAACAGAAAATGATTTCCTAGAAGCTCGACACCCAAGATATGACATCAATACACAGGTCAACTGACCAGGCTGTCCTCTTTTCCTGTATCGATTTGGTGACATACTTATTACTGTTTTCCTAGAAATTTCCTCAAATCAAATAACCCTTGGGATTGGCAGGTATTTGACAAAATCAGTCCCAATTCTACTTGTGAAATGAAACATTGTCTTCCATCCAGTCCCTCTGTCATTCCTCTATACCTATTTCTTTTTCTTTTTTTTCTTTTTTTTTTTTTTTTGAGACAGCCAAGCTGGAGTGCAGTGGCACAATCTTGGCTCACTGCAGCCTCCGCCTCCCAGGCTCAAGCAATCCTCCCACCTCAGCCTCCTGAGTAGCTGGGATCACAGACGCGCACCACCAGGCCAGGCTAATTTTTTTTTTTTTTTGTATTTTTGGTAGAGATAGGGTTTTGCCAAGTTGCCCAGGCTGGTCTCAAACTCCTGGGGTCAAGCGATCCACCTCAGTCTCCCGAAGTGCTGGGATTACAGGTGTGAGCCACCATGCCCGGCCTTTCTGTATCTATTTCATTAAAATATGGCCTGTTTATATTTTATCAATAGGTTTTTAGATTCAAACCAACTTGGAGTGTTCAAACTTGTGTCTCTGCACCCATCTTAGAAGCCCAAAGTTGCCACAGACTCCAAGACTCTTGCCATGTTGGGTTCTACCCTTTCTCAGGATAATGCCTGGGTTTGGAAACTTAGGCCCATTATTTAAACCTGGGGCTTAATTGGTCCAAACACACTATTTGGAGGAAGAGCTAATTCCTTCTCTTCTAGCTATTATGGAAATACATACTGTATTATTATTAACTACAGTCATCCTTCAGTGCTACAGAACACTATCTAGCTGTAATTTCGTAACTTTTTTTTTTTTTTTGAGACATTGTCTTGCTCTGTCACTAAGGCTGGAGTGCAGTGATGCAATCATGGCTCACTGCAGCCTTGACCTCCCCAGCTCAAGCCGTCCTCCCACGTCAGTGTCATGATGAGATGGGACCACGGGCATGTGCCACCACCTGGCTAATTTTTTTTATTCTTTGTAGAGATGTGGTCTCACTATGTTGCCCAGGCTGGTCTTCAACTCCTAGACTCAAGCAATCCTCCTGCCTGAAACTTCCCAAAGTGCTGGGATTATAGGCGTGAGCCACCGCTCCCGGCCTAATTTTTTATCCTTTAACAAATACTTCCCTATCTCCCCTTCCCCCTTCCCTTCCCAGTCTGTAGTAACCTCTGTTTTACTTTATATACTTTCAAATAGCCAGAAAAGAAGATATTGAATGTTCCCAACACAAACAAATGATAAATGTTTGAGATGATGGATATGCTAATTACCCTGATCCTATCAATACACATTGTATGTATTGAAACATCACTATGTACCCCCTAAACATGTACAATTATGTGTCAATTTAAAAAACTTTTCTAAAAAAAGCTAATTCCCTTGAGTTGAGTCAGACCTTCTGAGTCAATGCATTTCCTGCTGTCTGGGTATTGAAAACCTGCTGTGCCTCCTCCCCGTAGGTGGGGAATTGTGTCCACAGTGAATGTGAAATGCACCTGCCCTGAAGTCTTCCCTCAGCCATAAGATTTGGACAGAACAGGATCCATGCCTTAGAGATAAACCACTGGTACCTTAGAGACAAGCACTGGGTTTGCAATTCTATTCAGAACTCAAGCCCCCTGGCTTATTCTCTCCCGAGACTCTCTTAGTCGACAATCAGACCTTTTTTATTTTTTTCTTTTTGAGACAAAGTCTTGCTCTGTCTCCCAGGCTGGAGTGCAGTGGCGCTATCTCAGCTCACTGAAGCCACCTCCTCCTGGGTTCAAGCAATTCTTGTGCCTCAGCCTCCCAAGTAGCTGAGACTACAGGGGCACACCACCATTCCTGGCTAATTTTTGTATTTTTAGTAGAGACGGGGCTCCATTTTGACCAGGCTGGTCTTGAACTCCTGACCTCAGGTGATCCGCCCCGACCTCAGCCCTGAAATCCTGACCTCAGGTGATCTGCCCACCCCAGCCTCCCAAAGTACTGGGATTACAGGCATGAGGCACCTCGACGGGCCCAGACATTTACCAGTGGAGAAGCTGGAGGTAAAAAACAACAACAACAACAAAAAAAAAAACTGGTTCACAGGTCAAAACACTAATGATGTCAAAATTACGGTAATGAGGTCCTGAGACAAATAAAAATTGGAAACTGGGTCTAAGAACTATCCTTGGGTCTCCTTCCATTTTCTTTCTGTTTGGTTTCATGAAACTGGGTTTATGGAACACGGAAGTAAATGGTTTTGAGTTTATCACTGAACAATGATGATTATTATAACCCAAAGTGAATGCCCCTGAGTACACAGGTGCCCTCCTCAGCTGGGATCAGGGCTTAGCAGCAGCAGAGTCACTGAAATGTGTGTGGGGTCAGGGCATATTTTCTCAGGCAGATGGCATTTTTGCAAACTGGGGACATAGGAAGATGTAAAACATTTTTACAAGAGCCCAACCCTTAAACATATTGAAGGAAGGCACTAAACAAAACAGCATCTTCAGTCCCGATTAGTACCATGACTTGAGTCTTACACAGTCAGAATACATGATTAGTCACATCGTGCCTCCCAGGAATAAGCCAAGTTTATTTTCATGTGTGCAGGAAAATCCCAGAGTTAGAAATGCAGTCCTAAGATAAATTCCGCATTTTAAAAGAATAACTGCTTGCACGTGGGAGGCAGCACTCAGCTCTTTCTTGTCTCCTAGATGATGTCCTATGGGGGGCTGGGTCAAGGTAGCCAGAAAGTTCAATAAATCAAACATAAATGTCCAATTTATCTTAATGGGATTTTAAATCAAAGATGAACAATGGACATTTAGTAGCACATGGAACCAGTAAACATGACTCACACACTCCTAATGAATTGGAACCAGTAACGATAGGAACCCAGGCTGTCTTGGATCCTCACAGGGTCTACAGTCCACGGACTTCCAACTCTTTCTAACTTCCCCATCCACACATTAGTGGATTCCAAGAAACATAACAGTCTTTTCTAGAACCTCACCTACGCTCGATTTTGCATAACCCAAGATGAGACCCGGAGGTTTATTCTGAGGGATGAACTAGGAACTAAGCCCCCAAGAGACTGGTTTTGTCCCTCACAGTTCTGCTGAATCTTCAGTCTGTCAGCCCAGGACTTGTCGAGTTTGCAGAAGTTCTCCTCTTGTCTACCTGTTCATCAGACTTTAGCAAGATCAACAAATCAGGGACATACCCTCCCAGGGACACAGAAGACTTCACTGTGGACCTCATCAAGGCCTGTTGGTAATACATGATCTGGAAGAGACACAGTTGTTAGAAGGTATTCAACCCCCTCCCACCCTTCAGTGTCACTACACACAGCCTCCAAACCCAGAAGCCATTTACCCAGAGCCACATCCCGTTCCATGCCCAGAGCCAGCCCCCTCAGTACCAGTGGGTCAGGCCCACAGTGGACAGATGACCACAGACTTCAAATCAGTGGCCTCCTTCAGCCATTATGTATTAGTCTGGGAAAAAGCATCAGCAGAAAAAAAAAAAAGTTCTAAGGAGCATTCAACTGAGACACGGGGACAAACGCTTGGCTTTTCCCTCACATGTCTCTGGCAGACAGAAGCAGAGAGTGGTCCCCACCACAGGTGACATCCTTAAACTTCCTGATTCTGCAGCATTGGCCAAAGCAAGTTATCCCCTCCTCAACCACCTTCCTCCACGTTCAGATAGCTAACCGTACACCCCAGCTCAATGCCCCATGGTTCCCAGGACTCTGTCTTGGGCCCCAGACATAAGATTTGCCAAAATAGGCAGTTGCCACCTTGGGTAGATTCTGGCCCTGTAATGATAGGTGCAGGGGCCACGTTGGGGATGTAGAGTCTCTGCAGCCTGCAGCATTGGTTCCACAGTCCTCTCTGGCCACCCCTCAGCTCTGTGCCTTCGAGGGGTTTTTCAGACCCTGAGTGCCAGCCTCAGCCCCAGCCCCAGCCAGAGCTTACAGAAGATGCTTCGTCACTCTGTGCTGTCCGTGAATTTGGAAATAATTGTTTGAACATTGCACGTGGTTTTCATTTCATTACCAAGCGCAGAGGGTAAAACAAAGTACATATAACCTGTTAGAAGATTTAAAACCATTCTTCACTGGAAGTGTAAGACTAATTACCTCTTTTTTGACAGCAACGACTGTTTGTTTCTGTAAGACAAAGAAACAAAACCGTTAGGCAGATGTCATGAAATCATTACAGTTCAAACACCCATTTGAAAAATAAAAATCCTTCCCCATGAGAAAAATGCCCATTTTTTTCTTTCTTAAAAGATAGGATTTCTCCATGTCTACTGCCTCCACTCTATTCTATGTAACCCCTGGGGAATAAATACCAAGCAAGAGATTTTGTAAGCGAAGGAGCGTAATTTACCACTGTAACTTTGCTCACCTAAAGGCCAAGATCAATTAAGGACTAAATTTGAAACTGGTGTCAGTTTAGCATAGTGCCTACAGAATGATCTGTAGAGTGAGAGATACAGATTCCTGTCTGAGATATGGATTAAGAGAAAAATGGGGAAGGCCAGGTGCGGTGGCTCAAGCCTGTAATCCCAGCACTTTGGGAGGCCGAGGAGGGAGGATCGCTTGAGCCCAGGAGTTTGAGGCTAGCCCGAGCAACATGACAAAACCCCGTCTTTACTAAAAGTACAAAAAAATTAGCCAGGCATGGTAGCGTGCACCTGTAGTCCCAGCTACTTGGGAGGCTGAGGTGAGAGGGTTGCCTGATCCCAGGAGATTGAGACTGCAGTAAGCTATGATCATGCCACTGCATTCTAGCCTGGGTAACAGAGCAAGACCTTGTCTCAAAAAAGAAAAAAGAGAGAGAGAAAGAGAGAAGAGATAGAAAAACTAGCACAGAGCTTGGGTGTTGGTTTCTTTTGTTACAGGGGAGAGCTCTGAAGCAATGGTGAGATGCATTCCCCAAGTAGTCATAACAATTTGACCAATAATATAAGTTGAAAACTAAACCAATGTTACCAAAAATAAAGCACATAATGGAAAGGCTTGAGGCCAGCATGCACTGCAAGCTGAGTCCCCGAGTTGAGCTGCCCTGTGGAATCAGGCCCCATCCCCTTGCTGAAGCTGTTGGAGCAGGGTCATACTGGGGATAAGCTTCAGGGTGTCCCCTCTCAACTTTTTGAGTTAAGGCAGAGAAAGAAAGGACAGTTCCAAGAGGGGCTTCATGTTCAGGCTCTTAGAAGCTCCTGGAAACCATTCAGATCTATCTCTGGCTAAAATACATAGATCTGCAATTGCAGTGGGCCGTGCTTCCTCTGCACCACTTTTCTGCTCCATGTAACTCCTGGAGACTGGGCAAGGTGGTGATCCCAGCCTCAGTTCTTCTAGGTTTGGTTGTGTCCAGGGGCTGGCTGGTACTGACTCTTATACTTCAAGAGGAGCCTCTTTTTGTTGCTGTTGTTGTTGTTATTGCTGTTGTTGTTGAGACAGAGTCTCTCTCTGTTGCCAGGCTGCAGTGCATGGTGTGATCTCAGTTTACTGCAACCTCCTCCTCCAGGGTTCAAGTGATTCTCCTGCTTCAGTCTCCCAAGTAGCTGGGACTACAGGCACACACCACCACGCCCAGCTAATTTTTGTATTTTTAGTAGAGACGGGGTTTTACCATGTTGGCCAGGATCACTTCAATCTCTTGACCTCGTGATCCGCCCGCCTTGGCCTCCGAAAGTGCTGGGATTACAGGCGTGAGCCACCGCACCCGGCCTCACGCGGACCCTCTTAATTCCTGCCTTGTTAATATCCATGCTGCTTAACCCACCCAAGTCTTCACTTGGAAAAGAGTGGTTAAGTCTGAGGAGGACACTACTTCCTTTGAGGCAGTCAGCAAAATAAACACTGGCCCATGAGCCCATTGAAAAGGAGTAAAGGAGAGTCCAGTCTAGAATGTCATGTACTGGTCTCTCCTTTCTAACTCAGGCTGGGTTTCATTTTGCTTCCCCGGATTGCTCTTCTATCATTGCTTTTCACAAGAAATCTTTTTCCTGCATAGGGGATTAGGAAGAGTTATCTCAGAAAGGTAAGGCTCACGTAGTTCTCTAAGTTTTAGGCTCTTATACACCCTGACTTCCTCCTTCATAGCACTGATCGCCATTTGAATTTTATCCTTATTTGTGTGACTCTTTGTTTAATGTATGAATCAACATGAAGGCACCATTAATGGCAGGGGACCAGGTCTATCTTCCCTAGCACAATGTCCGATGCAGAGTAGATGCTCAGTAAATGTGTAATAAATGATGACTTCAGCATGCTTGGGGGCCTAGAAGAATGGGGACATTTTCTAAGCTTAATAGCATTTTTTTCCACTAAAAAATTGAAAGCACTCCCCAAATGATCCAAATGCATTGGCAGTCATACTTATTTGATCCCATTCTCTTCCAACCTAAGGCACTGTTTTAGAAGATGCACATTTCAGGTAGAAAAGGACCCTGGGGCCAGAGTGGACTTACATTCAAATCTAATACTTTATAATTACTTCCTTCTGTTGGAGCCTTGCTGGAGTGGGTTATTCAGAATAGCATCTACTGGTTTATGCCCTCTGCTCAAAGGGGGAGCTGTACTTTTACATAATGATAACTGCCTAGCAACTACTGCAAAGCAATTTATACTTCTTTGAGTCTTTACAAAGCTTAAGGTAAGGAGATTTTATTATACTAATTTTTAGCTGAGGAAACAAAGCTTCTGAGAGGTTGTGGGTAAACTTCTCAACACCTCCTGGTCAGTAATTGGATGGGCCAGGATTCAAATTCAGCTCTTCCCTTTGCAAAGCTGAAGAGCGATTGTTGAGAAACACAAAATCGCTGATCCTGTTCACTTTTTCCTCCTAGCCTGCTCTCTTCCCATTCCTTCCTTGCCCTGAAGCTGAGAGTGCTACAGGATGGAATGACTCTGTCCAGTCACTTAATTTAAAACATAAACAAGGCCGGGTTCGGTGGCTCACGCCTGTAACCCCAGCTCTTTGGGAAGCTGAGGCAGGCTGATCATCTAAGGTCAGCCTGGCCAACATGGTGAGACCCCCATCTCTACTGAAAATACAAAAATTAGCCGGGCATGGTGATGAACACCTGTAATCCCAGTTACTTGGTGGGGGGTGGGGTGGAGGCGGGACTGACCCAGGAGAATTGCTTGAACCCAGGAAGTGGAGGCTGCAGTGAGCCGAGATCATGCTACTGCACTCCAGCCTCGGCCACAGAGCGAGACTCCATCTCAGAATAAATAAATAAATAAATAAATAAATAAATAAATAAATAAATAAATAAAATGTAAACCAAAAGTGAACTAGAGCCGTAACGCAAGACAAAATACAAGTACCAGAAACACTCTGTCCTTAACACTCATGATGGTGCAGAATCGTGCTGGGCTCACACTCAGCCGCCAGTGTCATAAGCACCTCCAAGGTGTCCAGACCCCAGCATCAAGCTTTCTGCCTGTCGGCCACTGTTCTGCGGCCAGAACATGGGGGCACAGGGCTCCTGAGTGGACGCACACAGATGCATCCTGGCTGCCTGGTGTTCTCTGGGCCCTGCAGGGAGCTGTATTTGCAGGACTTTCTGCCATGCTCATTTCCATTCTGCCTCTAGGGGGTCTCCCTTTGGCTTACTATACTTGCTTCTAGGGCCATTATCTCAGTCTTCGGGGGTTTACAATTTGTATACTCCTGTTCACTTCATTTGATTTTATTATCTCCCTAGGGCTCTGCCTCTGTGCTGTAGTTTGCTATTTTGTTTTCTGATTCCCAGAATTACCAGTTACCTTCTGGGAATGGAACTGCAGCTTGCTCTCCATTAATAGGATTTGGTTGAAGGTGAGACTTTCCCACCTCTACCTTGGATTGTCCACATGAATTTAGCTTGTATTTCTAGCTTTAAAAATAGCTGTCCAGGTTGCGTACATTGAAGGACAGTGGCTGTGGAATGTGTGGCTTTGGCTAGATTGAAATCATGGCAGGTCCAGAAACTGATGCCCAATTCCAGGCGTTAAAATGCATTTCAACTCTTAGACGCTCACAAGTACAGTGAGTTGAGTACTGGCCACATATGGAGGCATTGCTTTGATGATCTTTCACTTCAAGTCAAGATCTAAAAAAACTCCATCTGTGAAAGCAATATAATGGATTCTAAACTGTCTGTGCCTCAGCCGTTTAGTTCTCATGCCTGGAGAAGCTCATGTCGACTTGTCATGTGATAATTCAATTTGTACAATAAATTATGAACCTGGAAAAAGCAGCCATCCATGGGATCTGCTTCCTCTAGATTAACATACAGGGATCTCTGCTCTTCTAGGAGTGTGTACAGGGAGGGGACAGTGAGAGAAAAGAGTCCTGAACTTTTTAAAAGGTGAAGAGACAAATTGATTTGGAGGGAGTGGTGGAGAAGAGATTCAGGAAAGAGTATGGATGGTGGTACATGCCTGTGGTCCCAGCAACTACTGGAGGCTGAGGACAGAGGATTGCTTGAGCCCAGGAGTTTGAGGTGGCAGTGAGCTACAATGGCACCACTGCACTGGAGCCTGGGTGACAGAACAAGACCTTGTCTCAAAAAAGAAAGAGAGAGAGAGAGAGAGACAGTGAGAAGGAAGGAAAGAAGGAAGGAAGGAAGGAGAGAGAGAGGAAAGAAAGAGAAAGAAAGAAAGAGAAAGAGAAAGAAACAAAGAATGAAAGGGAAAGGAAAGGAAAGGAAAAGAAAAAAGAAAAGAGAGAGGAGGGAGGGAGAGACAGAATGAAGGAGGGAAGGAAAGAGAGAAAAAAGGAAGGAAGGAAAAAAAGAAATAGAAGCATATGGGCTTTGGGGATCGGACAAAGGTTAAAATTCTAGTCCTACCACTTCCTGGCTATGACCTTGGATGAGTTGCTCAGCATCTCAGAGCCTCTAATTTCTCATTCGTAAAAGGAGAATAGAAAAAAAGAGGGACTAAATGCGATAATAGACATAAGGTCCCTGGCACATAGCAGAGACCCACACACAGTGCCTATTCATTAGGGCTACTACACCACCACTGAGCACGTGAGCGGCACAATTTAAGCCCTCATCAGATAAAATGCAGGATTCACAGGCAATATTTGGGACCTATTATGCAAAAAAAGATATTCATTGCTTATCTGAAATTCAAACATAACTGGGAATCCTGTATTTTTATTTGCTAAGTCTTTCAAACCTACTATCAATATTATTATATCTTAGCCAAAGGCAATAAGAAACATTATGTTAAAACGAAGTTGTTACAAAAAAAAAGTACGCACAATTCTAAGCAATTCAAAGAAAACCACCTCATGATAAAATAAGAAATAAGAGTTTTTTTCCAGCCTGGCATTCACACACAACTTCCCTCCTTTCTCAGCTGCCGGCCCTCCTGGAGTGAAGCCACTTCTTTATGCCTCATCTCAGCGACACACTTTGCTACAGGAGGAAGACTCTGCTTAAGGAATCTCCGGATGCTCTGCATTCTTAGCATTCTAACAACTTCTTATTTTTCCCTTGCAGAGTTGCCCAAATAGGGACACATCTAGACTTGTTGTTTACATAGCTCTGGGCCGGCTGACTGGCAAACCCCGGATGGAGGGTGCAGACAATTGGCACAGGGCAGAAGGGGTCAGGCCACCGGCAGGAGTGCAGGGGAGAAATAAGCAAGGACCTTGGGATGGGGTAGCCAGGCAGGTATCTGCAGAGAAACTCAGGTGGGGGGCCAAGCAAGCCACGGAGCCAAAGGCGAGATGGGGAGAACCGTGAGGAATCGGGCAGCACTGGCATTGAGAGCAGAGAGGGGGTCTAAAGTCAGAAACCCGGAGATCCAGAAACACAAGTGGTTAAGCAGGCAAGAAAAGAGATGGAGCCGGGTGCAGTGGTTCATACCTGTAATCCCAGCACCCTGGGAGGCCAAGGCAGGTGGATCGCTTGAGCCCAGGAGTTCAAGATCAGCCTGGGCAACATGGTGAAACCCCGTCTCTACTAAAAATACAAAAATTAGCTAGTCTTATAACCTGGTCTCAAAACGAATAAATAAAGGCCAGGCGTGGTGGCTCACATCTGTAATCCTAGCACTTTGAGAGTCCAAGGCAGGCGGATCACTCGAGGACAGGATTTTGAGATCAGCCCGGCCAAAAAGACACAACCTTGTCTCTACTAAAAATATAAAAATTAGCTGTGCATGGTGGCACACATCTGTAATCCCAGCTACTCAGTAGGCTAAGGCATAAAAATCTTTTGAACCCAGGAGGCGGAGGTTGCAGTGGTCCGAGATTGTGCCACTGCACTCATGCCTGGGTGACAGAGCAAGACTGTCTCAAAATAGATAGATAGGTATGTAGGTAGGTAGGTAGATAGATAGATAGATAGATAGATAGATAGATAGATAGATAGATAGATTTAAAAAAATTAAGGGGGTGCAGCTGTCTAAGGAGTCTTGGATTTAAGATTGCGATCATGTGAAGTAAATAGCCGTCCAGCCAGGTACGACCTCATCAAGTAGAGGTAGAATTGCTTACAATTTGCAAGGCTCAGTGCAAAATAAAAATGCAGTTCACTGTTCAGAAAAAAAGTGTAAGGAATTCTGAGATGGTAACAGAACATTAAATCAAACAAGGGTCCTTCTGAGGGTGGGGTCTTGGGCGGCTGTACAAGCCCCCTGCCCATGAAGCCGGCCCTGGGTGCAGGACGTAGGCCTTGTGGGGTGGAGAGGGGAGCAGCGGTTGGATCAGGGAGGCCCATGAGCTACAGAACTGGAAACACGTAACTGAATCCTGGCTGGGTCACCTTGGGCAAACGGCTATGTCTCTCTATTTTGTTTTCTTCATGTGAAAAAGGAAACTGACATTGTCTCTGTTAATGGACTTCAGGAAATGCAGAAAAACTTCTAAAAGCCACAATAAGGACATTAGAAAACATCAGGCAGGATGTGGAGTGGGCTCTGGCGGCCATCAGCTGAGGTTCAGATCCTGGCTTCACCACTTCTCAGCTGTGTGTCCTTGGGGGAGCCACCCTCTCTCTCGGCCTGCTTTCTCAACCGTGAAACGGAGGTCAACGTGGCCATCTACCTTCTAACGCAGTAGTGAGTCTTAGCTGAGCCGTTACAAAGGGTGGCGCACTCAGGTCCATGCCTGGCACGCAGGGAGCTGTCAGCAAACATCAGCCCCTTCCCTTCCCTCAGCTAGGCATGGTCACACAGAAGCCACAAGAAGAAAGAAGTTTGTCCCCTATTGGCGGGAGCATATGGTGTGTGAGGGCTCCAGGCTGAGCACCTCTGCAGAGCACAGTATTTTATACTGGGAGGCCATATTTCTGCCTTTTACCAAAAGATCTGTATACTCGCCAGTGTAGACTGAGGTTCTGAGCAGCTGCTTATTGGAGTAGGCAGAGAGGTTGAAATTGGCATGTAACCCCTCCTTCCACCTCTAACCAGGGGAGAAGTATGAGAAGGTGAAAAGGCAGAAGAGGAAATTGGCTAGGTACAGCACCCTAACATGGAGTCTGAGGTCTACAAGTCCCATAAATTCTCTCTCATAGCATGACAACATTTAGAATAATACCAGCTGTGTGTGGAGTGTCTCTACGTGTTGATTAGCATTCTAGACACTACACATAAGTGATCCTGCTTAATCCTCTGATGAAGGAACTAGCATGCTTCCCCTGTTAGAGATGAGGAAACTGAGACTGTGGCTCAAGAAAGAGCTTGCCCAAGATCACATGGACCGGAAGTGGCAGAGCTGGGGCTCAGGCCAATGTCAAGGGTCTCTTCAGCACCCGACACTGCCCTCATCCCTAAATGATGGCAGTGATCCTGCCATGAGCGGCCCCTGCCCCCATCACCTCCTGGGGTGCAGGAGTTGGGGGTTCCGTATGCCTCAAGGTATTGGAGCTAAAAGAGGACTCACTTCTAGAGTGTGGTCCCGGCCCCTGGCCAGTCCCTCCCAGCTGCCATTAGCCAGTGGGAGTGGGCCACCCAGGGCCCGAGACACCTGCCAACCTAATGACTTTCCTCCTTATGGTTGACGGTTACTTGCCTCTATTTGGGGAAAACAGATACATCTTCTCAAGAATTTACTCATTCTCGAAATGCAAATCAAAACCACAATGAGATAACATCTCACACTAGTCAGAATGGCTATTATCAAAAAGTCAAAAAATAACAGATGCTGGCAAGGAGAAAAGGGAAGCTTATATGCTTCTGGTGGGAATGAAATTAGTTCAGCCATTGTAGAAAGCAGTGTGGTGATTTCTCAAAGAACTTAAAATAGAATTACCATTGACCCAGCAATCGCATTACTAGGTATATACCCAAAGGGATATAAATCATTCCGTCATAAAGACACATGCATGCCTATGTTCACTGCAGCACTATTCACAATAGCAAAGACATGGGATCAACCTAAATGCCCATCATTGGTAGACTGGATGAAGAAAATGTGGTACATATATACCATGGAATACTATGCAGCCATAAAAAAATGAGATCATGTTCTTTGTAGCAACATGGATGGAGCTAGAGATCATTGTCTTAAGCGAACTAACGCAGGAACAGAAAACCAAATACCACATGGGCTCACTTATAAGTGGGAGCTGAACATTGAGTACACAAGGACACAAAGAAGGGAACAACAGACACCCAGGCCTACTTGAGGGTGGAGGGTGGGAGGAGGGAGAGGATAGAAAAACTACCTATGAGTACTATGCTTATTTCCTGAGTGACAAGATAATCTATATACCAAACTCCGGTGACATGCAGTTTACCTGAAATGTAACCCCTGAACCTAAAATAAAAGTTTAAAAAGAAGGATTGATAGCCAGGCGCAGTGGTTCATGCCTGTAATCCCAGCACTTTGGGAGGCCAAGATGGGCGGATCACCTGAGGTCAGGAGTTCAAGACCAGCCTGGCCAACATGGAGAAACTCCGTCTGTACTAAAAATATGAAAAAATTAGCTGGGCGTGGTGGAACACACCTGTAATCGCGGCTACTCTGGAGGCTGAGGCAAGGAGTTACTTCAACCCGGAAGGCGGAGGTTGCAGTGAGCCGAGATCACGCCACTGCACTCCTGCCTGGGTGACAGAGCAGGACTCCGTCTCAAAAAAAAAGAATAGAAAAGAAAAAAAGAAAGAAGGATCGATTCCTTCTCAAAATGACCTCTCTTCAAACCAGCTCAGGCACCATGAGTTCTCTGAAGTGAGACAAAAATCCAAAGCCTCTGCACTCCCAGGTCTTCATGGAGATGCTTCATGCTCTTGGCAACCCTCTTCTCTCAGGGCAGATTAACCCGGGAACACAGGGGACTCGCAGACAGTGGAAAATGTTGCAGACAGATAAACCACAGCATGCTGGGGCTGCCTGAGGGGAGGGCTGGAAGGGGCTCTGCATGCATGAGAATTGCAGTTCTTTATTCTTCTTAATACTTTATTCCACAGCAGCCAGAGTGCACAGACAGGAGATAGATAGATAGCTGGGAAGAGAGAGAGAGAGAGACAGAGAAGATAACGGTAAACAGCGGAGACACAGCCCGTATCACACCCCACCATGGCAAAGGCACCCTCTGTCGTACACCCAGCCTGCCCACTGGGTTCTGGGCTGAGGGTGTTGCCAGCATCCACATCCGCAGGAAGTGGGCTCTGAAGGCCAAGGAGCACAAAGATGCCTCCTCAGTAAAGACAGTAATCTGGTCACCCTCCTCAGAAGTCACCCCCAGGATGGAGCAGCTCAGCTCCTTAGCTTCCCTCTCAAATGGATGAAGTTAAGGTCCTGCCTAACCACCCCCAACACACACACACACACACACACACACACACACACACACACACACACAGCTGAGCAGTATCCTGGCTTGGGTCACGGATGGGTGACCCTTTGTTCCCACCCCCCCATCTCAGAATGAGTGATGTGCTTTCTGCCTCCACCCTCTCTCTCCTCCCCAGGAAAGAGGTTTCCAGAGCTGCTAGTTAGCCATAAAAAAAAGCAACCCTTCCACCCAGGTTCAATCTTTTACTCGAGGATTCTGTTTCCATGGCAACCAAGCCTACAAGGCCTCAGCAGTGATCTGTTCTCTGGCAAGGGGAACACGGGAAAGGCTGCCCTGGGAACAGCTGAGTTAAGGCTGACTGTGCCCTGTGTGTATCAAAGGAAGGGTCTCTCCAGCTTGTGGACAAGAGACCTAATGGTTCCCCCGGTGACCCTCTCCAGGGAGCAAAAGCAAACACTGTCCCAGAGCTGCCTTGCTAACATTTCTGGCTCCTTTTTCTTTCCCCTCCCACTTCCACCCTCCTCCTTCCCCTGCACACCCCTACAGGCCCCCACTCATGCCTTAAGGCTCTGCAGAGCCCTATAGATGCACCCTAGGCTAGAGATGACACCCTTGCTACCCAAAGACAATGTTTGACAGAAAGCAATGAAACTACCTAAGATCTGTTTAAATGGGTCTAGGATGGTTCATTGGAATCAGTGGTTGTCAGCCAGAGTAATGTTGACTTCCTTCCCAGGGTACAATGGGCAATGTCTGGAGACATTTTTGATTGTTAGGACTGGGGCTTAGGTGGGCAGGGAGAGGAATGGAGGTACTGACATCTCATGGGCAGAGCTGGGGATGCTGCTGAACATTCTAAAATGCACAGGACAGCTTCACCAAAGAATTGTCTATCTGAGCCAGGCACAGTGGCTCACACCTGTAATCTCAGTGCTTTGGGAGGCCAAGGCAGGAGGACTGCTTGAGCCCAGGAGTTCAAGACCAGCCTGGGCAACATAGAAAGACACTGTCTCTACAGATAATTTCAAAAATTAGCCAAGCACGGTGGCATGTGCCTGTGGTCCTAGCTACTTGGGTGGCTAAGGCAGGAGGATCACCTGAGCCCAAGAGGTCAAGGCTGCAGTGAGCTATGAGCATGCCACTGCACTGCAGCCCGGGCAACAGAGTGAGACCCTGTCTCAAATAATAAATGAATTAAATAAATAAATAAATAAATAAATAGGAAAAAAAAAGAATTATCTGGCCCAAAATGTCAATAGGGCCATGGGCTCAACAGCTTATGAACTGTATTTCTATAAATAAATAAATACTCATAGGACATTGGCTATCCATCATGAAAGATGGCCTATTTGAGGAAAGGTATTTTTTTTTAATGAAACCTGCTTGGAGAATCTTTACAAAGATCCCACTCCACTGGGATGTGAAAGAAAGTGTTAGATTCCAGGTCCTGTCATGTGGATTAAGGTTAAATCTAAAACTGATTCAAGAGTTTCGAGGCTGGGGTCTACAGTCTCCTCAGGATCAAGGAACTGGCTGAAACTGTGTACAGAATGTCTGTCTGTGCATCTTTGAGTGGAATGAGCTCATAACTTTCATCAGATTTTCGAAGGGGGAAGTGACTCAGAAAAGTTTGAAAACCAGCCATCTAGATCCCATTAGCTCTTCCCTGCACTCTACAGCCTCTGTCTGTCTTCAGTCGTAATTTCTTCTCACCTAGCATCCTGCCATGGTCCCACTTCTCCCCTAACCCTGAGTCCACAGAGCCCACGGTCCTCCTCTCTTTGATAGTCTCAAAGAGGAGATATCGTTGCCCTAACAGACACGAATAGACATGTGGACACCTTCCCAGCCCCAGAATCCGACCTAGGCCCTACCCAAACTATGCAGCAGAGACATACCTGGTTTACCTTGACTTCATTCGGATTGGTCACTCGGTCCAGGCCGTAGTCCAGCACATTGTCCATTCCAGGCTAAATGGAATAAAAACAACATAAGGTCATTACAGGGAGAGTCTCCAGTTTCTGGTTAACTGTGGGTCTTGGTTAATCTGCCAATTGTGAGATTGAGCTGAGAAGAGCTTGTGGCCTAGCCCATGGGAAGCTTTGAGTGGGTGTAAACCCTCCAGGTGAGCTGTTGAGCTTCATGAGGGCTGTTATGCCTCCCAGTATCCCCAGCACCTAACATAGTGAGATGGAAGGATGGAGGGAGAGAAGGATGGGTAGATGCGTGGGTGGGTGGATGGATGGAAAAATGGACAGGTGGTTGGCATCCCCAGCACCATAGTGGGATGCATGGATAAGTGGATGGATGAATAGGTAAATGGGTGGCGGGTAGATGGTTGATGGGTGGGTGAGTGGATGGATGGATGGATGGATGGCCAGACAGATGAATGGCATTCCCAGCACCAGAGTTGGATGGGTGGCAGGAAAGAGGGAAGGAGAGGGGGATGGGTGGATGGATGAATGAATAGGTAAATGGGTGGTAGGTGGATGGTGGGTGGGTGAATAAACGGATGGATGGATGGGTGGATGGATGGATGGATGGATGGACGGACAGATAAATGGCATCCCCAGCACCATAGTGAGATGGATGAATGGAGGGATGGAAGGATGGATGGATGGATGGATGGATGGATGGATGGATGGACAAACAAATGAATGGCATCCCCAGCACCATAGTGAGATGGATGGATGAAGGAATGGAATGGTGTACGAATGGATGGAGGAAGGGAAGGAGGGATGGATGGATGAATGGGTGGTAGGTGGATGGTGAGTGGATGGGTGAAGAGATGGATGGATGGATGGATGGATGGATGGACAGATGAATGGCAAACTCAGCACCATAGTGGGATGTATAGATGGAGGGATGGATGCATGGATGAATGGGTAAATTTGTGGTAGATGGATGGTGAATGGATAGGTGAAGAGATAGACGGATGGGTGGATGGGTGGATGGATGGATGGATGGATGGATGGATGGATGGATGGATGGTTGAGTGAGTAGATGGATGGATGAGTGAGTGGGCATATGGATGGGTAACATTCAGGCTCCAAAAGAGTTCACTGAGACTAATACATGGGCTTCCTGACTCTTCCCACAGTGCTCCTTCCCCACACTCTGTGGTTTCATCTTGGGCTTGGCGGGAAAAGTGAAGTGACAGAGCAGTGCTTTGGGAAAGTCCAGGCTTGTCAGGCACGTCTGGGTGCCACTCCTGGTTCTGCCACTTCCCAGCTGTGCAGAAGATCTTGGAAAACACTCCTTGTCTTGGCACTCACTAACCTCTCTAAGAAACAGAGAAGAATCCTCCTACGTGGCAGGTTCTTGTGAAGATTTAACAAGATAGGGTGTGAAGCTCTCCACAGAAGGTAGCTATTGCTGAGCAAGGGGTTGTATTCATTTTAAGATTACATATGTAAAAGAATGGCCCAAAACTGGGACTGTAATCTCTGTTAGTTCCCTTTGCCAGCAGGTAACCCAGCTCTCCAGAAAATCTTACTTGGTCTCTCTCAACTCCTTGACTCTTTGAGACCAATAATTTGGGTCTTTCACTTCCCCTGATGCAGGTGTGATGCCAGGCATCCACCCATTGCTCAGCACATGTGACCAACCAGGTTGGCTACACTGAAGCAGAGAGTTGGGAAGCAACTGGGCTTTCTTGCCATCAAATTCAGCCTCATCCATGGGATCAGACTGGGTTTTAGCTCAGATGTAAGACTGCCAGATAAAATGTAGGAAGCCCAGTTAATTTAAGATAAATGGCAAATAATTTCTGTCCCAATATTTTGATGCTTATTATATATTTATACTAAATATACAAAATACATTTTACATAAAAATTATTTGTTGTTTATCTGAAATTCAAATTCAACCAAATTTCCTGTATTTTATTTGCTAAATCTAGCAACCTAGCTCACCGGGCTACCATGGAGGCAAATATGTGCAGACAAGACGACACAGGGAAGAGAAAGGAAAAGGCAATAGAAAGTGGGTGGGGAGGAGGACAGGGAAAGGGAATGGCCATCCTTACCCTAGTTGTTACAAGTGGATCTTGATCAGCAAATATCTATGGGGCACTTCTTATGTGCCGGACATTGTGCTGAGCCCTGGGGAGCCCATGGTGAGTGTGCCCCGAGACCACTGCTCCCCAGCAGGCATTACTGAGGCACTCCCAGTCTCAAGGGGGAGGTAGCCACTCAGCAATTAATCACACAAAGGATAAATTAGAGTTGAGACAGGTGTCTTGAAGGGATAACACCATGGGATCTAACCTCACATGGCAGGGGCTCAGCAGAGTCAGTGCCTTTGCCAAAAAGGGTTCTAGGAGTTGCCCCCTGAATCTGGTATGGAGAAATCCCCCTGCATAACTGAAGGCAGACTTCATACACACACTTTGGCACGTTCACACACTCTCACACTCACACTCACACACCCACACACTCTCATACATACATATGCACACTCACACATGCTCACATACATACATGCCCTGACACACTGGCACACTCACACACGCATGCTCACATACATGCACACACCTACACATACTCCCACATGTACATATGCACACTCACACACACTCACATACACACATGTCCTGACACACACACACACACACACATTAATATGGTTTGGTTCTGTGTTCCCACCCAAATATCATCTTGAACTGTAATCTCCATAATCCCCAGGGATTGAGGGAGAGACCTGGTGGGAGGTGACTGGATTATGGGGGTGGTGTCCCCCATGCTGTTCTCATGATAGTGAGTTCTCATGAGATCTGATGGTTTTATAAGTGTCTGACAGTTCCTCTTTCACATACTCGCTCTCTCTCGCCTGCCACCATGTCAGATGTGCCTTTTCCCGTTCCGCCATGATTGTAAGTTTCCTGAGACTTCCCCAGCCATGCAGAACTGTGAGTCAATTAAACCTCTTTCCTTTATAAATTACCCAGTCTTGCGTATTTCTTTATAACACTATGAGAATGAATACACAAAAACATGCTCACATACATGCACACACATATGCATGCTCACACATAACACATTCACACACTCACACACGTGCATACTGACACATATATGTTTACATGCATGCACAAACCTAGGCACACTCACATATACATATGCACACTCACACTCACATACATGCTCACTTACATGTACACATCTACACACTCTCACACATACATACATATTCTCACATACATGCACACCTTGACACGCCAACACACTGACATACATGCTCACACACATGCACACATGTACACACACTCGCACACATACATTCACACACTCACTCACATACATGCACACCCAGACATACTGACATGCACTCACACTCACACACAGCCTGTGCTCATGATGCCCTACAACCAGTGTCTGGCTGCTATTCCACAGGCGCTCACTGCCTCGGTGACTTCGGTGTGGTCATCTGCTCAAGTCTTGAATTCGTTATCTAGTTCTTTCCTTCCAATGTGCCCCAGGCTCTGATATAAATTTGGTTGCCCCAGTGCTCAACAGTGCACTGCATAACTGAGATAGAGTCCTCTATGCCCTCAGCTGCCCAGACCAGACGGCCTTAGACTCTCAGACCTGCAGCCACCCACTGGGCTTCATGATTCTGCCAGCCTGTCCAGTTCCAGCCCCAACCTGGCTCTCCATGCCTTCCCTACAGAACAGCCAGGCACAGTCCTCTGGCCACTGCTGCCTCGGCTCTTGCACCTCTGTGGGCAGCAGCCCTTAAGTCTCAGTTGTTCCCAATCAAGCTGTGGTCCTTTTCCAGTTCCCTGCCCTCGAAACTGGTGAGAGGGCTGCCTTTCTGCCTCTGCTGGTTTCAGAGACTCCCAAGCTCCTTTCATTCATCCATTTCTTCATTCATCAGGTAGTGTAAAGTCTTTGACCCACTATGATCATCACCAGAGTGCTGCTGACACAGTTTCTGGCACATAACAGGGTGTTCAGATGAAGTTAACCAGAACTGACTGTCAGCGCCCAGGAAATAAGGGCAGCCGATGCATCCTGCGGTGTGTGGCCCGCAGATAAGGAGGCAGCAGGCACTTTCTGCCCTGGTGCCTCATGCAGGAAGCCTTCAGAGACATGCAAGCTCCCCTCCTCCACCCTGAGGAACTGTGAACACCAGGGTATGACCCCGCCCCCCACAAACAACATCCCTTGGGTGTAAGCCAAAGAGGCAATTTGCTCAATGCATCATCATTCAGGTCAGGAAAGGAGCTCCTGTACTCGTGACAACTGCTCGTGAGGAGGCGATGTTCCCAGGAACCCACATACAGAGCAAGGCCAGCGTGGAGCTGACGGACACTTCTCGGTGGTACTCCACCGTGTCCCCCTGCCCCTCCTTCTCTCAGCTTCACTCTCTTCCCAAAAATATCAGACTCTTCTGGTGCATGGAACAGAAAACAAATACTAAGTAAAACACTAACTCGTTTTCTAAACAAAATAAGACAGGGGAAAGAAATAGAGATGAGGCCAGGCGCGGTGGCTCATGCCTGTAATCCCAGCACTTTGAAAGCCTGAGGCCGGCAGATCATGAGGTCAGGAGTTCGAGACCAGCCTGGCCAACACAGTGAAAACCCATCTCTACTAAAGATACAAAAAATTAGCCAGGCGAGGTGGCGCACACCTGTAATTCCAGCTACTCGGCAGGCTGAGGCAGGAGAATCGCTGGAACCCAGGAGGCGAAGGTTGCAGTGAGCTGAGATCACGCCATTGCACTCCAGCCTGGGCAATAGGGCAACACTCCATCTCAAAAAAAAAAGAAAGAAAGAAAGAAAGAAAAAAGAAATAGAGATGAGGTGAAACAGGGAGACAATTTTATGTTGCTGTGTTAGGAAAGTCAGCTCCTAGAGGATCTTGGCTTGAATGTCACTCTCCACGTCCTGTGTCCTGTGTTCCCTGACCCCCAACCGGACGCAGAGCCCCTGCCTCCTACCAGCTGCCATGGCATTCTGCTTGTTACTCATTCATTGGTTTAATCATTTTAGTCTTTGTCTCTCCACCAGACTGCAAGAAACTCCTTGAGGTCACGGGCAATGTCTGTCTTGGCTCATAATCCAAATATCCCCAATGCCTAGTAAGCACCCGGCATAGAGCAGATATTCACAAAATATATGTTAATTTTTTTTATTTTTTATTTTTGGACCATGGCACATGGAGCATTCCACCCACCCTGGTTTTATAATATAACATTATGTGTCAGGCCGCCACAGTGGCTCATGCCTGGAATCCTAGCACTTTGGGAGGCCAAGGTAGAGTCAGGAGTTCGAGACCAGCCTGGCCAACATGGTGAAACCGCCGTCTCTACTAAAAATACAAAAATTAGCCAGGTGTGGTGGCAGGCGCCTGTAATTCCAGCTACTCAGGAGGCTGATTCAGGAGAATTGCTTGAACCCAAGAGGCAGAGGTTGCAGTGAGCCAAGACCATGCCACTGCACCCCAGAGCGAGACTCTGTCTCAAAAACAAACAAAAAACAACAAACAAACAAAAAACACATTGTATGTCAGATCATTTTCCTAGATCAATGAATGGCCTTTGAAAATATTATTTGAATAGCTTCACAATGTTCCATCATGTTAATATACCTCAATTTATTTTGCCATTTTCCATTGTTGGACATTTAGCCTAACTTCGATGGGAAATGGAGGGCAGACATCTCTGGCAAGTGTCTGCATATGTGGTTGAAACAAGGGTCATTTAGCTTGATAAGCAGATAAGCACACCCACCGCCAGGAAGCAGCCTCAGACTACATCCTTGGGAGGCAGGAAGTCACAGATGGCACAGCAAAGATGCAGGGAAGGCCTCCACATGCCTGTCTAAGGGAGCACTTTCTCCCTTTGTTCATTTACAAAACTCACTGTTGTTTGCATCGTGCTCAGATCTGTACTTGGTTCCATTTGAGTAAAAAACAGGTGAGAAACATCGTTTTCCTTCATTACAGGATGCTGAATCACAGGTGTCCTTTGGGCTCTGGGTAGGAATTCAGGTCAGAGCCCTCAACTACCACCACCCACGTGGGGTCTTGGCCTTTGCCAGTGATGATCTCCCTGAAACACCATCTATCAGACATTTCTCCCTGCCTTTCTAAATCAATCACCCTCTCGCTGTGCCCCTTCTGCAATTAGGTCTTATCTCTGGGAGAGTGTCACTCACCTGTGCTCCAGCAATTTGGATTTTGAGCTCCTTGAGCTGAGAGAGGGACCACGGGTGGGGCCTCCTTGCACAGAAGCAGAATATCGGGCTTTACCATCAGAAAGATGTGGCTTCCTCTCCCAGAACTGAGCAGGCTACTGAACCTCTATGAGCCTCAATTTCTCCATCTGAATAACGGGGATGGTGATATTCCCTACATCATAGCATCAGGCGTCAATGAGGTCATCTGTGCCAAGAGCTTAACACAGGTTCAGAGGAGTACTCAATGACTCTTGGCTGTTATTTCACACCCAGCACCTAACCCCTTCCCTGGGACAAAGTCAAGGCTCAACGAAGATTTCATGGATCAATGAACAGACAAATGAACAAGTGAATGAGTCGGTTCAGTAACAGCAGGCCACGTCTCACTCTACAACTGTTGGTTACAGTCTGACACGGAGTGGCCGCGACACTCCACGGCGCCAAGTGCTTTGTTTGCCTTGGCTGGCTTTTTTCCCATTGAACTGACGGTTTGTTTGGGTCTCCTGGAGACAGTCTGGCAGCCTGTGAGCTCCGGGGCTTCCTGAGCCTGTCAGTCAGATTGCTCAATTTCTAGACTGAGATGCTCTTCAAAAACACTACCTTCCACCCCCACAGGCCAACAAGAGATGGGGAGAATTTTAAGAAAATCACAGAGAGTGGGGCCACTGCACTCTCCTGCCTCATCTTTGACTACTGGTCTGGTTTTCACTCAGGGAGCAGCCATGAAAGAGGTTAGATGTGGGGAGCAGTTTTTAGTCCTGGAAGTTCTAGGACCACTCTGAGTCCATCAAAGCCTCATGCTGAACTTGGGTCCCCAGTGCTGTCAAAGAAGGACCAGGCACGTGTAAACCCAGGCATTCGGCTTCTTAGAGCAGCAGTGACCCAGGCAACGTTCTAATGACCGAGGAGGTTACCAAAGGACTGAACTGTACCAAGATATCACATGACATTGTCATGAGAGGCAGAAGTGCACAGGGCTAAGGTGCAGGGGTTGGTGCTCCACAGTCAGTGGTATGTGGGTTCAGACCCTCTGGCACTAACTAGCTGTGTAACTTTGGGCAAATTAGCAGCATCCTTGAGCTTTCACTTGCTTATCAGTACAATGAGAATAATAATAAACCCTTCCACACAGGGCTGCAAAGGTTCAATAAGAATGCAGAAGGCGGCCAGGCGCGGTGGCTCACGCCTGTAATCCCAGCACTTTGGGAGGCCGAGGCAGGCAGATCACGAGGTCAGGAGTTCAAGACTAGGCTGACCAACATGGTGAAACCCCATCTCTACTAAAAATGCCAAAATTAGCCGGACATGGTGGTGCATGCCTGTAATCCTAGCTACTCAGGAGGCTGAGGCAGTAGAATTGGTTGAACCTGGGAGGCAGAGGTTGCAGTGAGCCGAAATCGTGCCATTGCACTCCAGCCTGGGTGACAGAGCAAGGCTCCATCTCAGAAAAAAAAAAAAAAAAAAAAAAGAATGCAGAAGGCTTAGCACAGTGCCCAGCACACTGGGAGTTCTCAGTTCATGTCTACTGTGATGGTGACGGTGACAGTGACCACAGTGATGAAGACAATAAGGGTGGTGGAGGTGGTGGAGAAAGTGGGGGAAATAAGAGAGGTGGTAGAGGTCAGGGAGATAAAGGAGGTGAGGGAGTGGGAGGTGGGATGACGGTCATGGTGGTGGAGATGGGCTGGGGGGGAGGCAGTGGTCATAGAGACACATGGTCATATTTATGTGATTCAGCATCATCCTGTGAAGAGCCACTCAGCCACTAGCCTGGTGGGGGCTGAGAACTTACCCCAGAAGAACTGAGAAGAACCCGGATGATCAATTTTTCATGTTAATGCATAGCTAGTCTATGTCACTTTGCAAGGAATGTAGTCACATAGGCATTCGCACAGTGAGGAGTCTCTGCACATAATATAGAAGCCGTTCTTTACCTACCCTCAGGTATGGTGCCACTGGGCACCAAGGTGTCTTGCCAAATGTGGCATATCCGCCATGTCTCCTTATCCTCACCACAGAGTGCTTCTGGAACACACGAGCAATGTGAGGCTCCTTCTCATACAAAGAGTTTCTTCGCTACCAACCAGGAGGGGTGCTTATCTCTGGGACCCTGTGCTCTGTCACCCGGCCCCCAGATACCTGCGTCAGGCATCTGTAAACTGGTTTCCCTAGAGGAGAAACCCTGAAGCAAAGAAAAAATCAAACAAGCTGTTTGGGATCAACCTCAGCACCTTAACCTCAGCAACACAGCATCCAAACCCATGCCGCTACAGAGTGGAACACCTTAGGAGAATCTGTTTTCAGTATATAAAGAATATAAGCAAAACAGCCAAAATCGGATGGGCTTGAAACTCAAAAATCCATAAACTCTGACACCAGGCCTCACTCAGTTCTCCTTCTGCTTCTGAGAATTTCTGATACCTGGCAGGCAAGGAAGCTAAAGGAAGAGGAGGAAGAACATTTCTTTCTAACTCTTCGGTTTCCAGAATCTCATTCACATCTCCTACCTCCCATGACCCATAGGCAGCACAGGGAGCTGTACAGGAGGAAACTGAGGTAGCAGAGTTAATCCCAGTATGTAGCAGTCAGACCCCACTTCTGTGTGCTGGGGAATGAGGCTACCATTTCCCAGTGATGAGCTGGGGCAAGTTACACCAGCTCTGTACAGCTTGTCCCTCTGGGCCACTGAAGTCCCAAAGCCAGAGATTCAGTGTGCTCCAAGCAAGGAGAAGCTCAACACAGACGTATTCCTTCTCCTTCTCCCATCTCAGCTGCTGGGAACTGGATCTAGGAGAGGAAAAAGTGAGGGAGCTAGAGACACCAAGGAGAACTTTGGCCAAGCAGTTTCCATTCTCACGGGACTCTATTTTTCTGCATTGGCGCCTCCATTGGGGCCTACGTTCTAATTTTTTCTCCTTATATTCCTTTCCCAAGGTATGATATCCTAGCAAAAAAAAAAAAAAAAAAAAAAGTCCCAGCCCTCGTAAAAGACAAATTCATTCAGGTCCCTCCCTACCTAACACCAACAGATGGGCCATGAGCAGACCCCATCCAGGCAGAGAACTTCCTTTTCTGGCCAAGAGGCACTTGGATGCTAACCCAACACTGAGCAGCTCCTCCTGCTGATCCAATTCTCGCCCTAGAGAAAGAGGAGTTGGCAACAGGTATGGAGAGCACAGGATGGAGGTGGGAGGCACAGGAAGAGACAGAGGACACCAGGCAGGAGGATACTCACAGGGCATCGGTGCACCAGCCAGTATGCCTTCTCCTGGCAGTCCAGGGCATATCTGTCTGCTTTGTTCCTCTCCTTTCCAGCCCTGGAAAGCCAAAAGCCACGTGTAAGGCCAGGAAGACTTTGTGTCTTTTGATTAGTGATGCCCCTCATTCCTGATGACCTAGACCCCTCTCCCAACCTGCCCAAGTAATTCACATATACCGTAATAGTAATGAACACAGCAAGCACTGACATCTCACTTAAGTACTAGCACCCTTCTAACCACTTTGACACGTATTAACTCTTTTAATCCCACTTCATCCTCCCGGTGGCCTTTTCTTACTTCAAAGTTCAGGGCACTGAAATGAAGAGGGGGTGAATGCCCCACCAGCCCACCAGGGTCACACTGCTAGCAATTGGCAGAAGTGGCACTTGCACTTGGGAGTCTGGCCAGGGTCTAACTCCCCCGGACAGGACAGTGCTGCACTGAGATCATATTGCCGCCACCAGCCCTAAATCAAACCAACTCCACCAACTTCAACATTAGAGAGCAGCGCGCATGGGTGAACTTCCGGGTCGACATTTGACCTCCTGGCTTCTTAACTTTTCCCTGTTTGGGCAAACAACATAGTCAACGTCTGGTCAGGCAGGCAACCCCCTGTGGGATGGTGACAAGGAAGATGCTGGCCTGGGGAGTCCTCTCTCCTCCGTGCCTGTAACTTCTACTCTGGCACTGCAAAGAGTTCATGCCACGTCGGGGCTTTTTCTGAGCACAACTTATTGCTATAAAAGGCTATTTATGGCCCGGCGCAGTGGCTCATGCCTGTAATCACAGCACTTTGGGAGGCTGAGGTGGGCAGATCACTTGAGGTCAGGAGTTCAAGACCAGCCTGATCAACATGGTGAAACCCCGTCTCTACCAAAAATATAAAAATGTTCCGGGCATGGTGGCAAGCACTTGTAATCCCAGCTACTCAGGAGGCTGAGGCAGGAGAATCGTTTGAATCTGGGAGGCAGAGGTTGCAGTGAGCCGAGATCGCGCCACTGCACTCCAGCCTGGGCAACAAGAGCAAAACTCCGTCTCAAAAAAAAATAAATAAATAAAAAAGGGCTGTTTATTTTCCTTTTTATCTCTCAGTCTCTCTCCCTTTCCCACTCTGGATGGGAAATGACGCAGGGCCTTCTTCCTCCAGGGGCAAAGTAACACTAATGATCCCGCCGTGGGCCCCCTTCTGTACCATTTCCACGGAGACCCGCGCTCACACTTGTTAATGCTTGTTTTCCCAGGCAACGTGGGATGACGCACACGCCCTCTGCAAGACAGAGTCGGCGAATTCATCTCCCCGTTAACGTACTGTGAAAAACATCATAACACTCAGGGAGCCAGATGGGTGAACAGCGCCATTCCATTTGGGCGTTCCGTCAGCCTCCTCTGGAAATTAAATATAAACATTGTTTTCAAACTTCCCCCTGACAGCCTAACTGGATTTTCTACCACATTAACTAGCCCCTGACCTCAGGAGCATGGGCCACAACCAGCCTGAGGCATTGCAGTTTCCACAATGCTGGAGAGCCTGGTAAATAGAGTCACTCTCTGATTTACCCCACGGGTCCTTTCCGGCTTTGCTCTTCTGCTTTTCTGTAACAGATGTTATTAGAGGAGAGTCATGATAAATGGAATGCAAGAGAGTTAGTAACCTAGGAATTACTTTAGTTTGTGATTTTTTCAGCAACAGCATTTGCTTAATTTTTCATTCATTCATTCGTTCATTCATGTACTCATTGATCTTCCAGTATATTCCAAGCACTGGGAGTCTACTGGTGAACCAAACATAGTCCCTGCCCTTGAGTAGCTTTTGAGCTAAACATCACATACACAGTCAAAGAATCAATACAGAATTGCAAATTGCATTATTTGCCATAAGGAAACAGAGTACCATCATGCAGCATCAGGGATGGCCTCTGTGGTGATTTTTAAATATGTCTACAATTCTTTGACACTCTTTCCATTGACAGATGTGTCTATGTCTCCTCCCCTTGAAGCTAGATGGGATTTTGTGATGGTTTCTACCAACATGGGACGTCAGGCATGGCACTAATTTCTGAGGCCAGGCCATAAAAGGTGGGACAGCAGTCACCCTCCTTACTGGAATATGTGGTCTTGAAGTCCCCAAACACCTCTAAGCAATCTAACAACCCTCCCTGATGCCGCCATGCTGTGAGGTAGCTCAAGCTAGACCACACAGAGAGGCTACAAGAAGAGAGTAGGAAATGCCAGCCAGCCCCAGTTGCTCCAGGCCCCCAGCTCCAGCCATCTGACAGCAACCACTCAAGAGACTCTGAGTTAGAATTGATAGGCCAAGACCTTCCCAAATCCCTAACCTATAGAAATCAGGACACATAATAAAATAATTGTTGTTGTTTTGAGCCACTAAATTTAGGATGATCTGAGTGCAGTAACAGCTAATCAGAAAAGCCTCTTTGAGGAAGTAACATTGGAAGTGAATGTTCTCCCCGATAGCTAGAGAAGATGGATTGAGGTGATCTTATCTGTGTTTCAAACATGGGGAGAAATTGGGAGCAGAGAGGCCAGTTGGGAGGATGTTGCCATGGTTCAGGTGACGGTGAGTTTGGTTCAACCAGGGTAGGGGCAGTAGAGGTACTGATATGGGTGATACTGGAGGAAGAGGTTTGGAGAGTGAGGGAAAGACATATTTGAATATGGACAAGGTAAGTTTGAGGTTTGACAGCAACATGAGATCTTGAGTAGCTGTCTGGGTGCTGAGTGTGGAACTTGGAAGACAGGACTCAGCATAACAAAATGACTACTTTATGGGCCAACCTACATGGTCAACCACGTTTTGTGCTGAGACCCTAAATCTGAAATCAGAGGCAGCCTTTAAGCCATAAAATAAGTGGGAAAAAGCCATCTCAAATGGAGCAAGCCTTTTAGGAATCGCTCATTCCAAGGCACCTGGAAGAATGAAAGAGGGGAATGTCCCAGGACCTGGGCAGCACAGAGCTTTATCGCAGCTGAGTCCAAGGCCTTGGTGGTGGACCTGCAGGGATCACTGAGAACAGCTCCAAGCTTCAAGAGCACCCAGAGCGCCCAAGAAAGCAGATGTCAGGGTTCATAGTCCTGTGGGTTGCTGGGATAGTCCTGCTCAGAGCAGACAGGAGGAAGAAGGGATGGAGGGGTTGAGGGAGAGGGGCACATCTTACCCATCTCTGTGTCCCTGGAGCCCAGCCCAGTGCTGGAACCCATCAGAAACTCAAAACTGGTGCAACAAATGGAATTAAGTAATATCAGCCTAAGATCTACCATTATCTCACCAAGTGACTTCAGCTAAGTAATTTTCACCTCCCTAAGTCTCAGTCTCCCCATTTGTAGAAATGAAGGGTGACAATAATTACTATGGTAAGTATTTCCCCACACCAACATAAAGTGAGACAGTACCCAGAAACTCACCAAATGAAGCCTTATGAACAAATATAAGTGATTAAAGATAACCCGTGTTGTTTCGCCTCAAATGTACCCAGGTAGAAACATGTTTGTGGCTAATGAGCAGTGGCAGCTCTCTCACTGATGTTCTACCTGATTCTAAACCCTAAGAACATATTTTCCCCCCTGGAGGGCAATAAAGCTGTTCCGCCATAAGAATCTATTTTTCCCGGACCAGCTCTCCCATAAACAGTGTTCATCACTACTCCAATACCTAGGCTGCTGGGTGAGAATCAGGTCTTCCCCATCCAGCCCAGCTGAGCACCAGCAAGTCTAGACCTTCCTGGATCTGGGACTGTCACAGCGAGTGAGGCTGGACTGGGGGGATCATCGGTTTTGGTAATCACTGGTGCGGGTCACCAGATGTTCCCAGCTGTCCCTCTTCTCAGGCACCTAGTAGGATTCTATGTCCCCACCCACCAACCTTTGACGTTGACCTGCTTTGCCTAGTGACTCATGAGCAGGATGACAGGGCTGCTCTGATACACACAGGAAATCCCTGTCCCTGCTAAGCAACGCACAAAGCCCAGATGGTGCTGCTTCTTCTGCATATGGGTCCTGGAAGTGGGGAAAGCATGTCAGGGCCCCAGCTGCCCCACGGTGGATGAGGAGCACCAGCAAGAAATGGACCTTGTGGTTTCCAGCCCCTGAGAGTTGGGGGCTGTTTGTAATGATAGGCTAACCTTGTCCTGACCACACCCTCTCCCTACCACTCCCTGTCCCCAATATCTGCATCCAGCTCTTGTTAAGGCAGAGCCCTGGAGGGGACTTCCAGTTCCAGTTCTGATATGGCAACAGGCAAATGCAAGTGAACGAGGCGTGGTTCTAACATGACAATCTGATCACTGTGTATCCCTTCCCTGCTTAAACATCATTCTATGGCTCCCTATGGCCCTCACCACAAAGCCCTCTCACGATCCACTCTTGCTAACATCTCTAGTTCACATCTTCCTAATTCCATACTTTGCACTCTCAGATGCAGCTGCAAGGAACTGCTTGCAGTGGGCACACTCCTGCCTCCAGCCTCTGGTTCTGCCTGCTGAGAGCCCCTTCCTCTCACCACACCTCTCCTCTTCCTCCACAACTGCTATCCTTCACCTGGACCCCTCCTATGCATTCCCCAGGTTCAATGCCATTTCTACGATTCCTTCTGAAAACCCCAGCCAGGTGGCCCTCATCTCACAGCAGCACCATAGCCTATTCTTTCATCTGCCTGACCTATGAGACTGTGTCTTTTGATTCCCCCTGCGCAGCCCAGTGTTAGGCACATAAATGCTCAAAAACAAGTTTATTTTAATAAAAGGAAAGAGTCCAGGCGCAGTGGTTCACGCCTGTAATCCCAGCACTTTGGGAGACTGAGGCAGGCTGATCACGAGGTCAGGAGTTTGAGACCAGCCTGGCCAACATGGTGAAACCCCGTCTCTACTAAAAATACAAATAATAATAATAATAAATAAAAATTAGCCAGGCATGGTGCTGGGTGCCTGTAATCTCAGCTACTTGGGAGGCAAGGCAGGAGAATCGCTTGAACCCAGGAGGCGGAGGTTGCAGTGAGCCGAGATCACACCACTGCACTCCAGGCTGGGCGACAGAGCAAGACTCTGTCTCAAAAAAAAAATAAAAATAAAAAATAAAATAAATAAAAAGAAACAAAGAAGGAAGAGAGGGAGGAAAGACACCGAGAGGACAAGCATGGTCTCCTTTCACTCACCTGTACTGCTCTTTGGCCTGCATAATGACAAAGTCCCACTTATAGTTCATTTTTTGGTTCAAGAAATTGTAATTTTCCTAAAGAAGAAAAACAAAATGAGAACAGAAAGCCCCAAGACATATGCCATGTGCCGCAGGGCAACAAACTCTAAGTCAGCAAGGGCACACCCCTGGCTCATGGCAACCATGGACCCAGCCCGATGGTATCTAAGCTGGTTTTACCATGGTGTTCACTCAAGGAGCAGCTGAATTCTCAAAACACTTTCACAAGAAGCCTCACTTTTATTGGTTTTCTTTGCTTTTGTAAAAATAAATGTATCCCGGCCAGGCGTGGTGGCTCACACCTGTAATCCCAGCACTTTGGGAGGCCAAGGCAGGCAGATCACAAGGTCAGGAGATCGAGACCATCATGGCTAACATGGTGAAACCCTGTCTCTACTAAAAAAAAAAAATACAAAAAATTAGCCAGGCGTGGTGGCGGGTGCCTGTAGTCCCAGCAACTCGGGAGGCTGAGGCAGGAGAATGGCATGAACCTGGGAGGCAGAGCTTGCAGTGAGCCAAGATTGTGCTACTGCACTCCAGGCTGGGTGACAGAGTGAGACTTCCTCTCAAATAAATAAAAAATAAATAAATAAATAAATGTATCCCAAATCTGATTAGGAAGAGAGCATCAGAGATTAAAAATAATTTGAAAATCAATTTTTTTTTTGAGACAGTGTCTCACTGTGTTGCCCAGGCTGGAAGGCAGTGGCACAATCATAGCTCACTGCAGCCTCAAACTCCTGGGCTCAAGCCATTCTCCTGCCTCAGTAGCTAGGACTACCTGTGCATGCCACCACACCTGGCTAATTTTTTAATCTTTTGTAGAGATAGGGTCTCACTATGTTGCCAGGCTGGTCTTGAACTCCTGGCCTCGAGTGATCCTCCCATCTTGGCCTCCCAAAATGCTGGGATTATAGGCGTGAGCCACCACACCCAACCTGGAAACTCACTATTCAACAACAGAGCATCACAAATTCACAAAATAAACCCTAAGATAAAACAAAGATAAACCGGCCTTTCTGAAAACATGTTTGTAAGAATAAAAACACGTGGCCTAGCATGGTGGCTCACGCCTGTAATCCCAGCACTTCGGGAGGCTGAGGTGGATGGATCACTTGAGCCCAGGAGTTTGAGACTAGCCTGGGCCTCCTGTCTCTACAAAAAATACAAAAATTAGCTGGGTATGGTGGTGTGCTCCTGTAGTCCCAGCTGCTTGGGAGGCTGAGGCTTGAGCCCAGGAGACAGAAGTTGCAGTGAGCCGAGACTGCACCACTATAGGCCAGCCTGGGTGATTGAGCAAGACGTTGTCTCAAATAAATAAATAAATAAATAAATAAATATATAAATAAAAATAAAAACACAGCAAGATTTTAACCCTCCACCCAGAAATTTTGGCCTTTTGAGGGCTAGCATGTGTTCTTTGGGAAACTGGACTCACCCAGCCTAAAACAAAAGTCTATACAGTCCTATTGTTTTCCCATCATAAATTGAAGTTCGGGCCAGGCACGATGGCTCACACCTGTAATCCCAGCACTTTGAGAGGCCGAGGCAGGCAGATCACTTGAGGTCAGAAGTTCGAGACTAGCCTGGCCAACATGGTGAAACCTCATCTCTATTAAAAATACAAAAATTAGCCAGGCGTGGTGGCACACGCCTGTAATCCCAGCTACTCGGGAGGCTAAGGCAGGAGAATCGCTTGAACCTGGAAGGTGGAGGTTGCAGTGAGCTGAGATCATGCCACTGTACTTCAGCCCAGGCAACAGAGCAAGACCTTGTCTCAAAAAAACAAAAAAAACAATTCAAGTTCAAATCTGTTAACCAAGGGTTGTCCATTAGAGTACATATTTATTATGTCACATTGTTTTGGGATGGCAAAAGGAAGTGGGTAGCCACTGTGTGCCCAGTAGCCACTGAGGCAAGGGCTTAAATTACAGCAAGAGAAACTGAAGTTAGACATGAGAAAGAATTTACTTCAGCTAGCTGCTTCTAATTAATAAATGGATGGCTAGCTGGCTGGCTGGATGGATTGCATATGAATGTGGGCGCATATGAATGTAGTGATGTGGGAATGAGGAAAGTACAGCTCAAAACTATCTTCCACTCAATTATAACAACCTCTACTTAAAAGCACCTCCATACCTTTTCATATTCTTCCAAAATCCCTTTCTTTTTGATATTTCGCTTGGCCAGATAGATGGCTGGAAAAGAAAGCAATGACATTTTCCATCATCATCTTTCAAAACCCCATCTGCAGCCTCCCTAAGCCTGAGGCTGCTGTGCTCAGAGTCGGGGAGAGAACGCTCAGCACACCCAGCCCCTTGCCCCTGGGGACATGCCCAGTACAGATGTGGACTGACAGAAAGGTCATGATGACAGCAAGACAAATGTCACCAAAGTGCAGCAAGTAAATAAGCAGCATGTTAAGCACTACCAAAGGCATAGTTGGGGCTGAAGTATTTACCGTAATCGGTATCTTCAGCTGGCCACTGCTGGGTGGGCCAGAAATACGGTGTCTGCAAAAGAAACCAGGGAAACCACGCTTTAAAACTGGATTGTGACTCAATGGACCCCAACCCTGTGACTAAAGAAATCCAACCACCTTGGCCCCCTCCACCATTTCTGAAGTCCTTGATCTGTGAAACTATGAACCCCACCTTTTCAAATGAGATCAACCCCATATGAACAGCCAGGGTCAAGGCCAAGACTCACCTGAAATCTGTAGAGGCTGCCATCAGGCTTGAGAATGAGATTCTTGGGGTCTTGCAGGGGGTAAATGTAGCCATACCTGACAATAAAGTTGCCCAAGTTCTGTGCCTCTGGGAAAAGCAGTTCAGACATGGATGTTAAGAGCAGGGCTGAGACAGGAGCTCATTGCCGGCCCCCACGGCACCCCAAACTCCAGGACAGGTGCCCCTTCCTAACAGCACTGCATCTCATGAGCAGTGAGGACACTGGTTGCTGAACTTGGCTGTGGACAAGCGTGAGCTGGGTTGCACGCTAAAAGGAGGACCTCCCAGGTCTTATCCCCAGGAGTGACAACTCAATAAGTCTAGATGGGAACTAGGAAATCTGGATGTTAACAGAAACCACACGTGGTCTGCTGCAGCGGGTGATGGTTAAGGAAGGCCTAGAGAAGCCTCTATAGGCCCTTTGGGTCTGGGAAAGGTCACAGGACTGGGAAGAAAATGTCTCTGTTGGACCAACAGACACTTTGTCACTCCAAGAATGAGCAAGGAGCATCATGTTTATTGCCAACTTCTATCCCAAGCTCACCTCTGCCTGCATCTCGGGTCCAGACCCTTCCTCTCCTTCCCACTTCACTTTAATTCCCACCCTGCTCCAGTTTATTCGGAAGCACAGCCTTGTTTATCAATTATATCAATTAAAGGACAAACTTCCTTGGTTCTTTCTCCAAAGCATCAATGAAAGCAGATATCCTTCCATCCTCTGGGGAGGATTCCATCCCTCCATTCCTGCAGGACCCCCCAGCCCAAGGACCCAACCCATCTCCCCATCCCATAGCTCAGCCTCCAAGGTGTGGGAAGACTTCCTCCCCAGCCCTCCCTCTCCAGGTCTCGCTCCCTCCATCAAAGACCAAGTCCTAAAGTTGTATGCCTCATTGTACCAACAGCCTATTTTCTAGTGTGAAATCTACTCTCCAGTTTCTTTCTGCTCCAATCCATTTTCTAAATTGCTGCCTTTCACTCGTGTCCGTGTGAAGAGACCACCAAACAGGCTTCGTGTGAGCAACAAGGCTGTTTATTTCACCTGGGTGCAGGCGGGCTGAGTCCGAAAAGAGAGTCAGCGAAGGGAGATAGGGGTGGGGCTGTTTTATAAGATTTGGGTAGGTAAAGGAAAAAGGGGGGGTTGTTCTCTGGCGGGCAGGAGTGGGGGGTCACAAGGTGCTCAGTGGGGGAGCTTTTTGAGCCAGGATGAGCCAGGAGAAGGAATTTCACAAGGTAATGCCCTCAGTTAAGGCAAGGACTGGCCATTTTCACTTCTTTTGTGGTGGAATGTCATCAGTTAAGTCAGGAACAGGCCATGTAAATATCACTTCTTTTGTGATTCTTCAGTTCATTTCAGGCCATCTGGATGTATACGTGCAGGCCACAGGGGATATGATGGCTTAGCTTGGGCTCAGAGGCCTGACACTGCGAGGCACCCTAGCTGAAATATGATTATCAGGCACATTGCCATGCTCAAAAATTGCCTGTGGCTTCCTATTGCCTATCTCCCAGATCTGCAGGTGCTCTTCCACCCCTCTGCCACCCTCCATAGCCATCTGGAGCCATGACTCTCAATCTCCCTTGTCACTCCTCCACTTTCCACTCATTCCATTTCTAAACCATTGCTCTTGCTAGTGTCCCCTTATAGGAAGACCCTCAGAGCTCCTCTTCACCAATTCACAAGCATCACTTCTTTCAAGACCAGCTATACACAGCACCCCCTCCAGGACTTTCTTGACTGAGTCCTCCCCACTTATCCCTGTTATTTATGCTCTAAATATTTTGTACAAAATAACTCTTTCGTCCCCAAATTATCCTGCCTTTGCTTTTGATTCTGGTACTTTTACACACGAAGGTCATGTCTGTCCAATTAAAATGTAAATTTCTCAGAAACACAGGCTAAGTCTCTATTTAGTTTCTCCCATGGTGCTGTACACAAAGCTGTCCCGGATAACTGAGTGCCAGATGAGCTCTCACCCAGACTGGAGATCCAAAGCCGCTGGACGATCCATTGCAGAACATCACTTCCTGAAAAACAAGAGACATTTGCGGTTATTGTCATAGCCTCCTGACACATCCCCGCTCCTCCACGCTGTTGCCTGACTGGTCTCCTTCCCGTTCAGCTGCGATTTCATTCCTCTTCGCTCAGAACCTTCAGAAACCCCCACCTCATCATGCTCAGTCCCAGCTCTGCAGCCTGTAATTCAAGGCTATCCATGATCTGACTCCAGCAGAT
This sequence comes from Homo sapiens, assembly GCF_000001405.40. NCBI lineage: Eukaryota > Metazoa > Chordata > Mammalia > Primates > Hominidae > Homo > Homo sapiens. Next base: position 65,158,086 of record NC_000017.11, on the reverse strand, counting down.
GTGCAACTTAACACCGCACGCACCCCCAGCCCACACATACATACACACACGCTTCATCTTTACATCTCTTGTTGTATTGATCTTTTACCTGACGATAACTTGTACATGGTCTGTTATTCACTAACTGGATAGTAAATAGGCTAAGTCTAAACACACACACACACACATACACACACACAAAACAGACCCGAGGCAAGCTGTTTGCAGGGCTCTGGACCAAGCTGGGACTCTGGGAGTAAAACAGAGACAGGGATGAGAAGAGGACAGGCTGAGGGCTGGGGCCGGCTCTCCAACTCCCCAAGTTCCCAGGCAGAACTCCGAGGAGTCAGAAACTTCTAAACTTGAACCTGGCCTTCCATGACATTGTGAAGGTACTTTTGTCAGGGTAGGAGGTTGGGACCTATCCTAGTTGATTTATAACTTTAGATGATGGAATGAAGGCTCCATGTGTACTCTCGCCCCAGGCCCTGCAAATCTTAGGGGCTGGCTTGGGAACAACACACAAAAAAACATGAAAAAATGGCATGAAAAACAGCAGGAGAGGCGGGCTCAGAGGCCAGGAGAGAATGTGCACCCGTACACCCGTCCCACCCACCTGCTCCCCTCAAGGATTCAGATTTATCTAAGGGTCAAGGCAAGCCAAGTTCCACCAACAAGCCCAGAGCTGCCGTACGACCCCACAGAAGCTCTGAGCCCCTTCCCTCAGCCTGGGCCCTCTCACCTCACAAGCAGAAGGTACAGCTCGTAGGCACAAGGTAATAGCATCTCAGAAGATAGACAAGGTGCCCTGGAACGAAGCACCGCATCACAGATACCATCGTGCAGATGCCAATGGTCACATTTTCCAGCAATCTTAGCCTGCTTTCCAAAGGCCAAGCTGGAAGCCTGTCTGCATGGAAACAGGCCCACATAACACATCAAAGAAGAGGGCCAGGATTGAGACTCCACTCCCTGTGTTCTTATGTCTGGATAATTGCCAATGATACTTCCCTCCTCGGAGGCGGTGCAGGGACATTTCTTCTTATGACCCATATACACGCTCTCTGGGCGTAATTGCCTGCCTACGACCATGGCTGGGTGTAGACAACCTGTAATTCTTCCCTTCATGCCCACACCCTAGGACACAAATGTCCAGCCATGATCTCTGTCAGTGTCCACATGCACACTGTCATGGCTTTCCATGGTTCTCCCTCTGTTGCTCTTAGCATCATTCACTCCTGGATGGCTGTTCAAAAGCAAAATCCTTCATCTAAACTCCTAGGACTGGGTGTTTAGACTTTCCACACCAAGTCTCTCTCTTTAAATGCTACACAGTGGTGCGCAGGCAGAGAGACAGACCTAGGCAGACATCAGACTGATTAGCTCTCTCCACCGAGGAGCCGAGGGCTTTCTCATCCACTTGACTGCCTCCCGAAATAGATCAAATGAGATTATGGTGCCACCAGCATCTGTACCACGCGGTCTACGTTGACAGCCTGGCAGGCTGCTCAGCCTCCCGCATCAGCCACCTTTGTCCCGAGGAAGCCCTGGGACGCCTGCCGTCCAAGAAGTTAAATAATTTTTTTTTATCGGTGCTGTTGTTGCAGGACCAGGGCTTCTCCCTGTGTTGTTTCTACAGCAGCTGGAATTCACCTGTGCAGGAGGAACAAGGAAGCCATGGCAGGATGGGCGACCTCGCCCAAATCCAGGAACCAAGTGTGCCCCGTGTGCAGGGAAGGAAAGCAGCTGGTGCACAACTGACAGTAGATAAGAATATGGACTCTGGGCTGGGCGCGGTGGCTCATGCCTGTAATCCCGGCACTTTGGGAGGCCGAGGCGGGTGGATCACCTGAGGTCAGGAGTTCGAGATCAGCCTGACCAACATAGTGAAATCTCATCTCTACTAAAAATACAAAAATTAGTTGGATGTGGTGGTGGGTGCCTGTAATCCTAGCTACTCCGGAGCTGAGGCATGAGAATCGCTTGAACCCAGGAGGCAGAAGCTGCAATGAGCCAAGATAGTGCCACTGCACTCCAGCCTGAGCAACAGAGAAAGACCCTGTCTCAAAAAAAAGTATAAGTAAAAATAAAATATATATATGGACTCTGGAGTCACATTGCTGGGCTGAAATTCAAGCTCACTCATGAAATGAGCTTAAGGACATGAAGGCAAGTTGCTGAAACTCTTTGGTCTCCATAACCCCATGTGCAAAAAGTGGGCAGTCATATCTACCCTTAACTTTATTGTGAGTGTTAACAGACAATGTGTGGGAAAGCACTAGCTACCACCACCATCCAGCACCCACTGCATACTCAGCACCTGCACAGAACTCTCTCACTTCCTTCCTGCACTCGTTCCCTTAGGGAGGGATTGCCATTCTTGCATTAAAAATGAGAAAACTGGCCAGCTGTGGAGTCTCAAGCTGGTAATCCCAGCACTTTGGAAAACCGAGGCAGGAGGATCACTTGAGCCCAGGAGGTCAAGGCTGCAGTGAGCCATAATTTTATGACTGCACTCCAGCCTGGGAGACAGCATGAGACCCTGTCTCAAAACAAACAAACAAAACAAAACAAACAAACAAAAACAATGGAGAAAGTAAACTGAGACCAGGGCTACAGCTAGAAAAGACACCTGAAGGATTTAATCCTTCACTCTCCACACAAGGACAGACAATAAGTGACTCATGCATTCAATAAACTTTTACTAACCATCTGTTACAAACACAGCTCTGAGAAGCATTGGGATTACCCAGATGAGCAAGACAAGGTACTTTCCCTTAAAGGGCCCCAGTCCAGTAGAGAATTCAGGCCAAAATTAATGACAGTCAAAGGCAGGGAGGGGGACAGGGTCAGGGATGCCTTCAGGAAGAATTGCCCCAGCTGCATCTGAGGTGATGGGGGACACAAAGGCACCCTGAAAAGTCTGCCCCCTGTTTCCACTCTTTGGGTGCCCAGAGCTACGCTGGTTCTTGGCCTTTCCAAAGTCTGGCTTGTCAGTGTTTCCTTTTCCTCCATGAGCTGCTCTATAGCATTTCAATTACTTCCCCTTTTGCTCCAACAAAAGAGTGGGTCTTCTGTTGCTTGCATGCAAGGAAACCTGAGTGACACATTGCTGGTGGGGGCATCCTTTCTTCTAAGCAGTCAGAAAGGGAAAGGGGAAGCTGTGAGCCAGCTTGTCTCTGCAAAGACTAGGGCACCTTGAGTGAAAAATAAATAGTCAGGTCAGGGGTGGCATAGAGAGGGAGGCCTCACATTGAGCACAGCCGTGGTGAGGCCCGGGCTTGGGCTATGAGAAGCTGTCTGCTTCTGCAGGCAATACGCCTAAGTATGAAACATTGTCTTTACTGCAAAATCAAGATCAGAAAACAGGTAACACATTAACCAAAATGCTCTCTTAATATTGGCGTCCAGCCCTTCTTGCCAATATCCCCAAATGATGCTCTGTAGGCACCTCACCCCCACACACAGAGAGGAGACAGTGGCACCACTCCCACAGGGCAGTTGAGAAGGGCCTGAAATGAATTAGAAGGTAAACGGTGGAGCAAAACAAAGGCCAACTTTTTTCTGCTAAATAGTATTTTTTTTTCTGCTACTTGGTTTCATTAAAACAAAGCAAACAAAACAACAAAACAAAAAATGACAGTGAAGGTTTCTAAAATGACCTTCTGGGAGGAATGGCTTCAAGAAATGACCTGTTGAGTCCTTTTCTCCCTCCTGACCCCTTCCTCAGAGGAAGACTTTAGTCCAGGAGTCAGCAAATGTACTCTGTAGAGCGCTAGATAGTAAATAAACATTTCAGCTTTGTGGGAGTCTTGTTCTGTCACCCAGGCTGGAGTGCAGTGGTGCGATCTTGGCTCACTGCAAACTCCGCCTCCCGGGTTCAAGTGATTCTCATGCCTCAGCCTCCCGAGTAGCTGGGATTACAGGCATGCACCACCATGCCTGGCTAATTTTTGTATTTTTAGAAGAGATGGGGTTTCACCATGTTGGTCAGGCCGGTCTCGAACTCCCGACCTCAGGTGATCCACCTGCCTCGGCCTCCCAAAGTGCTGGGATTGTAGGTGTAAGCCACTGTGCCTGGCCACAACTATATATTTTAACTCTGCCATTGTAGTGTAAGAGCAGCCATAGACAATACATAAATGAGTGAACATGGATATGTTCCAATAAAACTTTATTTAGAAATAAAGCTTTGTTTTGTTTTGTTTTGTTTTGTTTGAGACGGAGTCTCGCTCTGTCGCCCAGGCTGGAGTGCAATGGCGCAATCTCTGCTCACTGAAAGCTCTGCCTCCCAGGTTCAGGCCATTCTCCTGCCTCATCCTCCCGAGTAGCTGGGACTATAGGCACCTGCCACCATGCCCAGCTAATTTTTTGTATTTTAATAGAGACAAGGTTTCACCGTGTTAGCCAGGATGGTCTTGATCTCCTGACCTTGTGATCCACCCGCCTCGGCCTCCCAAAGTGCTGGGATTACAGGCGTGAGCCACTGCACCTGGCCAAAAATAAAGTTTTTTACAAACACAGGAGGTGGGCCGTATTGGGCCTGTGGGGTCTATTCCAGGCCAAGACTAAAGTGCAAGCTACATCACCTGTCATGGCATGAGGAACGCTGGTGACCAGGACCCTCTGGTTCTGCATTCGGACCCCTGTCTCTGGGTTCTGCATGTCCTTCACGAGCGCTTCAATCTGCAAGACAGAACAGGAAAAAGCCGACTGACGAGAACAATTTTGAAAGTTGTGCAGGGCAATTTCCACTGCACTGAGAGGGACCTCAAAATGCAAAGGTGGACACAGGGGTTCCCCATCTGGTACAGGAGCCAGGTGGGCACTGAGTGACTCTAATGCAACCAGGACTAAGGTGTGCTCCACAGACACAGATCCCATCCCTGCATGTGAAGACTCGCAGATTCATCCTGACTGGGAGATTCTGGGGTGGCTTTTAAGGAAAGATGGAGCTTAACAAGAAAGGATTTTGCTGAACAGAAAGTGATAGAACACCATGGGCAAAGGCATGGAAGGATGACAGCTCCCAGGGTTAGTGGAACAGAAAACAGCAGGAGTTGCAGCTGGAAAAGCCAGTGGAGGCCAGACCACATGGACCTCAAAGCCACCCCTGCAGTGTGGATTTTATTCCAGTGACTGTTCCTAGAGAGCGTTCTGGAAATTTGGCCCATGACAGAGAGAAGAACACTGAAGTGTGAAGAAGTTTGCAGAGGTAGAAAAAAGTGCAGTGACCTATTCAAAGCTATTGCATACAGCCCAGGTGAGAAACGACAGTGACCAGGCACAGTGGCTCACGCCTGTAATCCCAAAATCTGGGAGGCAGAGGCGGGAGGATCGCTTAAACCCAGGAGTTTCTGACCTGCCTGGGCAACATAGTGAGACCCTGCCTCTACGAAAAACTTAAAAATTATCTGGGCGTGGTGGTACATGCCTGTAGTTCCCAGCTGCTTGGGAGGCTGAGGCAGGAGGATCACTTGAGCCCAGGAGTTCCAGGCTACAGTGAGCTATGATCGCACCACTGCACTCAGCCTGGGTGACAGAGCGAGACCCTGTCTCTTTTTAAAAAAGAAAAGAAATGACAGCGTTTCAACCCTTAACACTCCCACTCTTTGTATTCTCAGCAGAGCAGCCAGATGGGCTTTCCATTATTTTAGAATATGTCACTCTTCTGCGTGGCTGTTCCACTGCAAGGACCACTTGACTCCAAGTAAATGATAAAGTTCCCCTACTGGTCTACATGTTCGGGACCCCCTTCCTCTCTGACTTCTTTCTTACCCACTCCCCACCGGCTCCCTCTGATCCAGCCACACTGGCCACCTTCCTTCCCCCAGCCATACCAAGGACACTCCCAGCCAGCCTTGGGCGGGTCCCATGTTCTGGCTCTTCCCTCTACCTGGGCCAGTCTTCGCAAGAGACCAACTTGGCTCCCTCCTCACCTTCTTCCCCTTCTGATGGTCTCAGGAGGCCCACCCTGACCATTCCTAAAGCTGCAACCCTGAACTCCACCCTTGGCACTCCTGACGCCCTGCTCCGTTTCTCAAGAGCATGTGTGGTCTTCAAACATACAAAATAATTGACCTAGTTAATACATTGTCGGTGGTGCATCTCCCCTAGCTCCTGGAAAGCAAGCTCTTCCTGGGGGTCTTTTTCTGTTGTTGTTTGCTGCTGGATGTCAAGTGTCAGGAAGCATGCCTGCCACATAGATAGTACCCAGTAAGCAAGTGATGTGTGAATTAATAAATAAATGAGGCAGTGGCCAGGAAGATGGTAAGGAGGCATGACTTTCAGAGCCCTGGAAGAGCGAAAATAAACTGCATTTGCAAGTGATTGAAAGGTTCACTAAGGGTGACACAGAATAATGCCAAGGTTTATAACTTATAAGACCAGAGTTACCAGTTACCAAACTAGAAAATGCAAAGAAGAAGCCACTTCTGGAAGCAAAGGTGTCTGCCTTGGAAGGTCGACTGTAAGGGGCTTCTGAGATTCCCACAATGTCTGGGAGGTGATTGGAAATGACTGCCCCAGGTTCAGAAGAGACAGGGTCAGAGATATGAATTAGAGCCATGAATGTCAGGGAGAGTTGAAGCTAAAGAGAATCAACAAACTGTCCAAGGAAGCCTGCACTGCAGGAAGGCAGCCACAGGGACAGCCCTGACTATCTTTAGAGTTGTTTTTTTCATTTTTATTATTAAAAATTATTTCCCACTTGAAAAAATCAAATGGAAATAATATCAGCTGAAGGACTCTTTTTTTTTTTTTTTGGGACAGGTCTTCCTCTGTCGCCCAGGCTGGAATGCAGTGGCACGATCTTGGCTCACTGCAACCGCCACTTCCTGGGCTCAAGCAATTGTCCTACCTCGGCCTCCCGAGTAGCTGGGATTACAGACACATGACACCATGCTCAGTCAATTTTTGTATTTTTAGTAGAGACAGGGTTTTGCCATGTTGGCCACGCTGGTCTCAAACTCCTGACCTCAAGTGATCCACCTGCCTCAGCCTCCCAAAGTGCTGGCATTATAGGCATGAGCCACCACACCTGGCGTGAAGGATTTTTTTTTAAACAAACTGGATGTTTGACACTAGTCAACAAAGATGACTAGAGAAAACCCAGGTGTTTCTCTTGTTATTCGCTGTTTGCTACTGATCTTGACAAAGCTTCATGTGCAGAGGTTTCAAACTTCATGTTCCCCTGGAAAAGCCCTCACTAACGGGAAAGCTGTCCACTCCCCCTGCCCCAGATGTGCTTGCCAATGGTCAGCTGGTCATTCGACATCCAGGCACAGTCATGATCAACTCTGGGAAACCAGAGAGAAGCTGTGGTCCCTGAGCCCAAAGATCTAACTGACCAGTGCAAAGATATTCTAGGACAATGCAGAACATGCAATGACAAGGGTGAGTCTATGGTGTCATGTGAACACAGCAGTGCCTAGAGCTGGGCAGGAGAGAAGGACTCCTCCTAGGTTTATTTTTATTTTTATTTTTTTAGACTGAGTTTCTCTCTGTTGCTCAGGCTGGAGTGCAGTGGCATGATCTCAGCTCACTGCAATCTCCGCCTCCCGAGTTCAAATGATTCTCTTGCCTCAGCCTCCCAAGTAGCTGGGATTACAGGTGCCCGCCACCACGCCCAGCTAATTTTTGTATTTTTAGTAGAAACAGGGTTTTACCATGTTGGCCAGGCTGGTCTCGAACTCCTGACCTCAAATGATCCACCCGCTTCAGCCTCCCAAAGTGCTGGGATTACAGGCATAAGCCACTGCACCCAGCCTCCTAGGTTGAATTTTACAAAGATTAGCAAGGAGTAGGAAGCAGAAAGAGAAAAGGAGCATGGGTGAGGGTGTTCTAGGTGGAAGGGCCACAGAAGCAGAAGCACAGAACATGAACCAGCAGCGGGAAACAAAGCCCTTTCCTGCCTTCACCTGGCCCAGGGCTCTCTCCTGAGGTCTGGGCTGCTGCGTGCAGCTGGACATCAACGTGGATGGCTGCTCTCACACCAAGTCTGTCCACATTCCCGCCATTACCCAAAGTAAAACATCTCATCCATTTACCTGCTTCCCCTCCATTTAGCCACCTTGCTTACACCATCATTAGTCTTCTGGCACTGAATTAAACAACATCTCCCAACACTGTCTGGCTCATTACAATTTACAAAATCCTTTCATGATCTGAAGGTGCTTGCTTGCAGTCCAAAGAAAAAGCACTCAGTCTCCATGGGACTTTCTTTCTCTATTAACTGTAGGATCTTGGGCAACTCACTTAACCTCTCTGAATCTCCTTTCTCTCCATAAAATGGGGACCATGATGTGGACTACTAAAGAATTCTATAATCTCTTAGAATTTAATTAATTTGTGACTTTATAATCCCTTAGAATTTAATTATGTAAAATGCTCTATAAGGAGAGATATATGTTATGTATGCATGAAGATATATGCTTTATCAGGAGAGACATATGTTCACTATTATGGTTAGAATTATTAATATTAGTAGCATTCATACTAATACATTTTGAAACTTTGCATGCAGGGTTGTGTTTAGGTGCCCAGGAATAGAAACCCAGGTCAACAAACCAAATAAGTATAGGTATTTATTGAGCATGTATTAAGAACCCTGCACTGCAAGGATACAAGGTAAAAGACATACACCCAGTCTTCAGAAAGTTGAGCAGACAGTTACATGAAAATGAAAAGTTAACTAATATGAAAGCTAGGAGTCTGAATGCAGAGAAAGTTCAGTTTCACATCTCTGCTCCAATTTAGAAGCTAGAGGCTTTTGGTAAATTGCTAAATTTCACTAGGACTCATTTATCTGTAAAATAGAACTTGCAATAGCATCAGGCCCGGTGCGATGGCTCATGCCTGTAATCTCAGCATTTTAGGAGGCCAAGGCGGGTGGATCACTTGAGGTCAGGAGTTCGAGACCAGCCTGGCCAACATGGCAAAACCTCGTTTCTATTAAACATAACAACAACAAAAAAAAAACTAGCCGGGCATGGTGGCGGGCGCCTACAATCCCAGCTACTCAGGAGGCTGAGGCAGGAAAATCGCTTGAACCTGGGAGGCAGAGGTTGCAATGAGCCGAGATCACGTCACTGCACTCCAGTCTGTGCAACAGAGAGAGACCTTGCCTCAAAAAACAAAACAAAACAAAAAAAACACCAAAACCAATCATCGTAGGGATATTGCAAAGACTAAATGAGATTAAGCATACAAAGCATTTCATATCATTCTGTGCACAAAGTATTTATGAAATAGCAATTGCAAGTCAGACATGGTAGCTCATGCCTGTAATCCCAGCTACCTGGAAGGCTGAGGCAGGAAGATCACTCGAGCCCAGGAGTTTGAAACCAGCCTGGGCAACACAGGGAGCCCTTGTCCTCCTCCCCACACCTACCCACAAAAAAAATAGCAACTGCAGACTGGCTGAGATGATCCCAAAAAAAGTGCAGAGAGGGCCAACAGAATCTCCCTAGATGGTGAGGACCAGGCCGCACTCCAAGGGAGGGGTGGTATAAGAAGGACTCAGGTTTCTTAATTCAGAAATGGAAAGAGATTGAAATTGGAACCCTGTGCACTGTTGGTAGAAATATAAAATGGTGCATCTGCTGTGGAAAACAGTATGGAGGTTCATCAGAAAAATTAAAAATAGAACTACCACAGCATCCAACAATACCACTTCTGGGTATGTACCCAAAAGAATTGAAATCAGGCTCTGGAAAAGATACCTGCACTCCCATGTTCACTGCAGCACTATACACGTTAGCCAAAATGTGGAAATAACCTAAGTGTCCACTGTCAGATGAACAAAGAAAATGTGTTCTATGCATACAAAAGAACATTGTTTGGCTTTCGAAAAGAAGGAAATTCTGCAATATGCAAGCAAATGGATGAACCTAGGGCTAATTATGCTAAGTGAAATAGGCCGGTCACAGAAGGACAAATACCACACGATTCCACTTACATGAAGTACCTAGAATAGACAGATTCATAGATCAAATATCAGAATGGTGGTTGCCAGGGGTTAGAGAGAAGGGAAACTGGGGAGTTGCTACTCAACAGACATAAAGAACTTTCAGTTAAATGAGATGAATACATTCTAGACATCTGCTGTACAACATTGTACCTCATCAACAATATTGTATTGTGCACTTAAAGTTTTGAAAGGGTAGATCTCGTGTGAGATGTTCTCACCACAATAAAATAAAAATTTTTTAAAGAGAGGCCGGGCACAGTGGCTCATGCCTGTAATCCCTGCACTTTGGGAGGGTAAGGCAGACAGATCATTTGATGGCAGGAGTTCGACACCAGCCCGGCCAACATGGTAAAACCCCGTCTCTACAAAAAATACAAAAATTAGCTGGGTGTGATGGCGCATGCTTGTAATCCCAGCTACTCAGGAGGCTGAGGCAGGAGAATCACTTGAACCCAGGAGGTGGAGGTTGCAGTGAGCTGAGATCATGCCACCGCACTCCAGCCTGGGTAACAGAGTGAGACTCTGTCTCAAAAAAAAAAAAAAAAAAAAAGTTTTTAAAAGAGAGAGAGAATGATCCAGGTGCATTCAAGGTGACGGGTCATTCAAGGGAGTCCTGAAGTGGAAAAATGCTACCTGCCACCTGTCACTCAGGCAGCCTGAAGCTGGGAAGCTCCCACCTTCCCAAGGAGCGTGGGACCATGACCTAACTTGATGCTGAGGGGTGAGATTCCCTATTTCAATCTTTATTGCTAAACCAGCATTTGCAGCTGAACCACGATTTCAAGAAATGGGCCAAGGGCAGGTACACAGCTGAGGCCACTCTGAGCACACAGCCAGCCAGCGTGCAGACCCAGGCAGCTCCAGGGACTCCTGGTGCAAGACTGACTGTCAGCTTCCTCTGCACGGACACATTCTCGGCTCACAGAATTGTTTTGGAACAGAAAATACTTATTTTGGCTTGACTCAGAGCCATAGTCCTTGGCCATCTGCAGTGTCAGGACTTGGCAGCATCTGAGGTCACTGGGTCAGCTGTAGGTCCAGCAGCAATGAGGGAAGCAAAGGGACAACGCCAGGAGGGTGTTTGCGGGGCACTGGGAGGTACAGCTGCTGCTCCTGGGGGTGGCCCAGGGAACTGAGGAGGCAACAGGCTGCAGGAGTGACTCCTTCTGGAGTTCTCCACTAACTGTGACCTCAGGTCTCCATGGTACCCAAGAAGTGCCTGATTTTCTTTTTTTGTTTGTTTGTTTGTTTTTGAGACGGAGTCTTACTCTGTAGCCCAAGCTGTAGTGGCATGATCTTGGCTCACTGTAACCTCCACCTCCTGGGCTCAAGCGGTTCTTGTGCCTCAGCCTCCTGAGAAGCTGGGACTACAGGCGCGCGCCACTACGCTAATTTTTTGTATTTTAGTAGAGATGAGGTTTCACCATGTTGTCCAGGCTGGTCTCAAACTCCTGACCTCAAGTGATCTGCCTGCCTCAGCCTCCCAAAGTGCTGGGATTACAGGCATGAGCCACCGTGCCCGGCCAAGATTTTCTTTTCTTTTTTTTTTTTTTTGAGACAGTCTTGCTCTGTCGCCAAGCTGGAGTGCAGTGGCGGATCTTGGCTCATTGCAACCTCCGCCTCCCAGGTTCAAGCGATTCTCCTGCCTCAGCCTCCCAAGTAGCTGGGACTACAGGCGCACCCCACCAAACCCAGCTAATTTTTGTATTTTTAGTAGAGACGGGGTTTCACCAGGTTTGCCAGGATGGTCTTGATCTCTTGACCTCGTGATCCGCCCACCTTGGCCTCCCAAAGTGCTGGGATTACAGGCGTGAGCCACCACGCCAGGCCAAGATTTTCTAATATGAGGGCCCAAGACTCCTTTTTCCCACATTAGCTGCCGGATGAAAGGCTGCCTTCATTCAAAATGGTTTTTATTAGATGTAACAGCAGCATGTTATAAAAGCAGGGAGCCCATATATTGGAGAAGACATATAATCCCACTTTAAAAGTTAGAAACCCGAGTTTCTCTGATAGAAAGTTGGCAGATTTGATTCCTTGTCTTTGCATTTAAAAAAAAATCGAGTTATAAAGAGTTTGAAAATAACCTTCAGAGGAGGAATAATGAGAGTTATTTTAAAAACACAATGAGGGGAGTCAGATTTCTTTCTAGGAGGTGTGTCACCCTTCACAGAAAGAAGGGCTGGGTGGGAGGAGGGAACGTCACGTGGACCTCGGGAACATTTTGAGGGAGTTCGGCCCATTGGGATCCGATCCTTTTTCCTCAGACCTTTCCCCGTACAAATTCCTCTGAGGCGTCTCCTCAGTCTCCCCAGGAAACCACAGAACTCTAGCTCTATGGGCTGAACTGCGTCCCCCTACAAATTCGTACATTGAAGTCCTAACCCCAGTACCTCAGACTGTGACTGCTTTTGAAGATAAGGTCTTTAAAGAGGTGAAATGAGTCCAGGTGCACTGGCTCACACCTGTAATCCCAGCAATTTGGGAGGCTGAGATGGGCAGATCACTCAAGGTCAGGAGTTCGAGACCAGCCTGGCCAACATGGCAAACCTCATCTCTATTAAAAATATATTAAAAAAAAAAAAAATAGCCAGGAGTGGTGGCAGGCTACAATCCCAGCTACTCAGGAGCTGAGGCAGGAGAATCGCTTGAACCCGGGAGGCAGAGGTTGCACTGAGACGATATCAAGCCACTGCACGCCAGCCTGGTCAACAGAGTGAGACTCAGTCTCAAAAAAGTAAAAATAAGGCTGGGCACAATGGCTCATGCCTGTAATCCCAGCACTTTGGGAAACCAAGGCCGGTGGATCATGAGGTCAGGAGTTTGAGACCAGCCTGGCCAATAAGGTGAAACCCCATCTCTACTAAAAATACAAAAAAATTAGCCAGGCGTGGTGGGGGGCACCTGTAGTCCCAGCTACTCTAGAGGCTGAGGCAGAAGAATCGCTTGAACCCGGGCGGTGGAGGTTGTAGTGAGCCAAGATCTCGCCATTGCACTCCAGCCTGGGCAACAGAGTGAGACTCATTCTCAATAAAAATAAAAAAATAAAATAAAGCGGTGAAATGAGGTCATGGAGTGGACCCTAATCCCCTATGACCAGTGTCTTTATGAGAACAGATTAGGACACAGATAGACACAGAGGGAAGATGATGTGAGAACAGAGAGAAGACGGCCATCTGCGAGCCAAGGAGAGAAGCTTCAGGAGAAGCCAACCGTGCCACACTTTGATCTCAGACTTCCAGCCTCCAGAACTGTCAGCAAAGAAGTTTCTGTTGCTTAAGCCACTCAGTCTATGCATCTTTGTGACGACAGCCCTACAAACTCATACAGACTCTGTGTCCTATATTCAATCAGAAACATCCCTTCCCCTGCACAGAGGGGAGAGAATCTGAACTGTTTCCCAAGTTCTCCAGGGAGTGAGATGCCCTTGCTATTCTGCTGCAAACTTCAGCAGACCTTGCACTCTCCTCCTTGTGTCCTTGGGGGCATGCTCACCCTCAAAGGCCAACACTCTCACTCCCAAACAGACTCTGCTTCCCAGCTCCTCCCAAGACAAAGCATCAGCCCCGCTTCGTTCCCAGGCAACATGTCAGTGCTGCACAACCAGGCCACCGCGGGACCCTGTCTGACCCCGTGTCGGGGAGAAGGGGGTCAGGGTGTCAGCTGCACCTTTCCTCTCTCAGATGCCAATGTGCTGAGGCATGACAGTGGGCGTGCCAGGGAACCCCGACATCACAGAGGGATCAGAAATGAGGGCTTTGATGGCTCTGACATCCCACCCACCACGCCCACGCTGCTCCTCACATTAAGGAGCTGTCACTCACTGCGGAAGATCTCTGGGGCTGGAATTTTCCTTTAAGCTGGAGAAGGCACCCGGGGGAACAATAATAATCGGTACTTTTCTATACAAAGATGGGAAAAGTGACCCAGAACCGCAGAGTTGTTTTTCTAACAGAGGAGGATGTACTCCTGCTAATAAGCCTGGCCACACAGAGTCCAGCCACCCTCCCGCTGTCTCACCCGATGTCTCGCAGACGCTCAGACACTCATGAGGCACCATGCCCTAACCAGTGCTCGGTAGTCTTTCTCCAAAATCTGCTCTTCCCACCGATTCAAAAGCCTGGGAATCGTTCCAGGTGACCCCAGCCAAGATGTGGCCAACTTTTGTTGAATCTGCTTTTGTTTCCTTTTTTTTTTTTTTCAGGCTGGAGTACAGTGGCATGATCATAGCTCACTGTGGCCTCAAACTTCTGGGCATAAGTGATCCTCCCACTTTAGCATCCCATAGCTAAGACTACAGGCATGTGCCACCCTGCCCAGCTAATTTTTTTTTTTTTTTTTTTTGAGACAGAGTCTGGCTCTGTCGCCCAGGCTGGAGTGCAGTGGCACAATCTCGGCTCACTGCAACCTCTGCCTCCTGGGTTCAAGTGATTCTCACACCTCAGCCTCCCTAGTAGCTGGGGCTAGAGGTGCCTGCCAGCATGCCCAGCTCATTTGTGTGTGTGTGTGTGTATTTTTGGTAGAGACAGGGTTTCACCATGTTGCCCAGGCTAGTCTCGAACACCTGGGCTCAAGTGATCCACCCACCTTGGCCTCCCAAAGTGCTGGGATAAAGGCGTGAGCCACCACTCCTGGCCCCCAGCTAATTTTTAAATTTTCTTATAGAGATGGGTCTTGATATGTTGCTCAGTCTGACTGCTTTTGTTTTCAACACATCTCTTCTCTGCCCACTCAATCCTGCCTCCGTGGAACATCTTCTAACCCCCTTCCTGGACTATCAGGTTCTGCCTTTGAGCTGGCATCTGTCTCCAGCCTCCGGGGTGCTCCTTAGCCCAGGGCTCTCAACAGTGGCCCCATCAACGCTTGGAGCTGGATCATTCTTTGGGGGTTGGTGAGGGCGGCTGTCCTGTGTGTTGTAGGATGTTTAGCAGCATTCATGTCCTCCACCCACTAGATGCCAGGAGCACCCCCAGTTATGACAACCTAAAATGTATTTAGACATTGCCAAATGTCCCCAGAGGCTCTCATCCTGACTGCACATTCAAACCACCTGGAAAACTTTTCAAAAAGAGCAATGGTTAAGCCTGGCATGATGGCAGGCACCTGTAAATGAAATTACTCAGGAAGCCAAGGTGAGAGGATCCCTTGAGCCCAGGAGCTTGAGTCCAGCCTGGGCAATATAGTGAAAACCCATCTCTAAAAAAAGAAATTGTTAAAAAAGAAAAAAAAAGAAAGAAAGAAACAAAAAGAAAACCAGGCCAGGCTTTGTGGTTTACACCTGCAATCCCAGCACTTTAGGAGGCAGGGCAGGTGGGGCACCTGAGGTCAGGAGTTTGAGACCAGCCTGACCAACATGGTGAAACCCCGTCTCTACTAAAAACACAAAAATTAGCCAGGCATGGTAGCAGGTCCCAGTATCCCCAGCTACTTGGGAGGCTGAGGCAGGAGAATCACTTGAACCCGGGAGGCAGAGGTTACCGTTAGCCGAGATCTCGCCACTGTACTCCAGCCTGAGCAACAGAGACAGGCTCTGTCTCAAAAACAAACAAAAAAAAAAAAAAAAGAAAGGAAGGGAGAAAAACAGTGGCATAAAAAGACCAATGCTTAAGCCTCACTTCCAGGCCAAGTAAATCAGAAACTCAAAGTAGAGTGAGTTGATATTAATGTTTTTTAAAGTGCAGCCCAGGTTGAGAATTACTCATTCCCTCTCACCAGAATCATCTTTCTAGCATATAAACCAACTCATCTTATTCATCCCTGATTTTAAAACGTCAAACAGCTTCTCATTAAACACAGAAGCCATCAAACTCTGTAGCATGACCTAGGAAGCCCTCCAGTTCTGGGCTTTTCTTTTTGTTTGTTTGTTTTTGGTTTTTGGTTTTTGGGTTTTTTTTGAGACTGAGTCTTGCTCTGTCACCCAGGCTGGAGTGCGGTGGCATGATCTCAGCTCACTGCAGCCTCCGCCTCCTGGGTTCAAGCAATTCTCCTGCCTCAGCCTCCCAAGTAGCTAGGATTACAGGCGCATGCCAGCATGCCTGGCTAATTTGTGTATTTTTGGTTTCACCATGTTAGCCAGGCTGGTCTTGAACTCCTGACCTAGTGATCCGTCCACCTCAGCCTCCCAAAGTACTGGGATTACAGGCATGTGCCACTGCACCCAGCAGATCTGGGCCTTTCTTACCTACCAGTCTTCTCCATCAACGCCAAACTCACTTCCTGTACACTTGGGGCCAGCTCTCCCAACCCGCAGGCAATCTCCCAAACCACCATGCTACTTCACATGTCCCTGTTTTGTATTGCCTAAAATGTCACTCATTTCCTCAACCTCCTGGCCAAAAACTACTGACTTTTTATAATTCGACTCCATTGCAAGCCCCCTTGTAAAATCTGTCCTGATCCCCCCTGACCCCAGGTAGAACTGACCACTCCCTGCTTGGTGTCACATGTATCCTCCAACAATGTCTGCCACAGCCTATGGAACACTTCTTGTCTCCTTGTTTATACATCTGTCTTTCTCCACTAGACTCTAAGCTCCTTGGTGCTCCCAGCACCTGGCACAGCATCTAGCCCATAAGTACCCAATTATATGTCTGTATTGAATGAAAGAATGTTACAAGCAAGAGATACCAAACTCGGCCTGGATATCCTCAATATTTCTGCTTCTGCATTCCTTTCTCAGGCAAAAAGAGATGCCAGAAGCCGCACAGGAAAACAAAGCTGTCACCAGAAGGCTTCTCCAAGAAAGTCCAAGAAATTCGCCCATGGTGAATCCCAAGGGCGGTGGTGGTACTGGCTGGGATGGTGATCTGGTAATTGCAGAGGGGAATGGGCCATCCCCAGAACAAGAGTCCATGGGTGCTGGAACCACAGGAGGCCACCCACCTGTGTTCATCTGTCCACTGTGTGCCATCAGCTAATTCCCCAGCAAAGCCATGAACAGATGGGCCTTCTGCCTCTTTCTACCACATCTGAAACGAGCCCAGGCATCAGAGGTGGGAAGCAGCATGGCCGGCGGGCATCCCGACCCACAGCTGCATTGAGACTGAGATGGAGGCATGGGTGTGAGAACCTCGGGAATCGCACACGGTCCTTTCTGACCAGTATGGCTCTCCATGGCCCCATGACAGTTGTCATTTCTCAAGAGGTTGGAGCTGCAGGGGCACAGGAGGATCCTGAGTGAACTCTCTTAGTTCAGGGAGAAGGCATTCCACCCATTCCTCTGGCTCACACCAGTGGTCCTTTTTTTTTTTTTAGACAGAGTCTCTCTCTGTCACACAGGCTAGAGTGTAGTGTAGTGGCAAGAACTTGTGAACTCAGTTACTGCAACCTCCACCTCCCGGGTTCAAGCAATTCTCCTGCCTCAGCCTCCCAAGTAGCTGGGATTACAGGTGCTCACCACCACGCCCTGCTAATTTTTATATTTTTAATAGTCAGAGGGTTTTGCCATGTTGGCCAGGCTGGTCTCAAACTCCTGATCTCAGATGATCCACCTACCTTGGCCTCCCAAACTGCTGGGATTACAGGCATGAGCCACTGCAACTGGCCCACCAGTGATCTTCTTAATTTGCAAATCTGCCATATCACTTGCCCATTCCAATTTCTATAGTGGCTCCGTATGAGATAAAACCAAACCTTTAAAAGGTCTTGAAGGCCCATAGGCACCCACTACCTCTGCCTTTCCTTTCCAGCTTCCCACTCCCCTTGCACTTCAAAATCCATCCATTACAGAACATGGCCCCAAACCCACTAGCTTTCCCATGCCTCTGTGCGTAAACTGTTCCCTCTGCCTGAAACATCTTTCCCTTTCTGCCTGGAAACCCTATGTATCCTTCAGGTCTCAGCTCTGTGTCCCTAAGCACACTGAGCCAGGCTTTCCCACAGCCTCCACACTCTGCCCTACGTCATGGGAAAGCTCAGGGCATTGCACCACAACTTGTGACAGACAACGACCACTCCTGTATTTCTTCTTGGTTTCACCACCTAGTGCTGCGTGACTGGCAAGCCGCTTAGCCTCTCTGAGCCTCAGCTTTCTTCTCTGTAAAATGGTGGCCATAACCTCCAGCTAATGAAATAGATGAGATAATGCACATAATGCCCACCCCTCCACACCATCATGGACACCGTGTACTTCATCACATGCATGGAACGAGTGATGAGTGACAGTTGCACCCAGGTCCACATTTTTTTGTTCCAGGCCCTTCTCCAGAAAGCTGAACATCGAATGTAGCTGGTTCTTCATTAAGGATCGCCTGGCATGGGCTCTTGAGACCTGTTCTGCAGACCTTTATTCTGTCTGCTGCTCCAAGGAGCTCTGTGACATGACCAATACATACATAGATATAGAGGATACATAGACAGGGCCCTTGCCAGCACAAGGTCTAGGGAAAGAGCAATGCTGGAGGTGTGGCAAGGTCTGTAGTGCACAGAGAAGGGAGCTGTCCTGCCCAGGGGCATTAGGAGAACCAGCCTTCACAGCCGAGGGGTGACTGAGCTGGGCATGGGAAGAGAAGTGGAGCTTGGCAAGCGAGAGGGGGAGAAAGGACTTTCCCAGCAGACGGACCCTGAGGCATGAAAGGGCACCGGGTTCCTAAAAAGGAAGGAAGTGTTTGAGGCAGGAGCCCAGGGGTGCCTGTGGCTGCTTTGTTGTTTCCCAGAGGGCAGGTGTGGAAGGCAGGCAGGAGGCAAAGCCAGGAAGATGGTGGGAGCGGAATCCTGGGTAACCAGGCTGCTCAGGGGAAGGTTGGACTTTATGCTGGGAATGTGGGAAGCCAGTGGAGCGTTTCAGGTCAAGGAGGTCACCATTGATTTGGGGGAAAAAAACAGTGTGTGTAGGAAAGCTGTCATGGAGGAGGGGAGACCGGGGTGGAAGATGGGGAGCTGGGATGCAGGAGGGGGAGGTTAGGGTAGAGGAGAGGTAAGTTAGGATGGAGGAGGAGAAGGCTGGGGAGGAGGAGGAGGATGGGGTAGAGGAAGGGGAAGACAGGGTGGAGGAAGAGGACCTGGGGTGGAGGAGGGAAAGGTGGGGTGGAGGGGGGAGAGCTGGGGTGGAGGAGGGGAGCTGGAATGGAGGAGGGAGAGGTTAGGGTGGAGGAAGGGAGACTAAGGTGGAGGAGGGAGAGTTTGGGTGGAGGAGGGGATGCTGGGGTGGAGGAGGGGATGCTGGGGTGGAGGAGGGGTGGCTGGGGAGGAGGAGGGAAGCCTGGGGTGGAGGAGAGAAACTAGAGACCAAGACACTAGTCAGAAGACCAAGGTAAGGAGAGGAGAATCTACCAGAGA
Source organism: Homo sapiens (assembly GCF_000001405.40). Taxonomy (NCBI): domain Eukaryota; kingdom Metazoa; phylum Chordata; class Mammalia; order Primates; family Hominidae; genus Homo; species Homo sapiens. The sequence continues at coordinate 65,138,861 of NC_000017.11, read as the reverse complement.
AGAGTCATGATGGAAAAGAATGCCAGAGATTCAATAAACAAACTGAATTTATCTCTTGACAATTACCCTCTGAGCCCCCAAGCCAGAGCTGTCCTGCCTGGGAGGAGACAGTCCTAGGATAAATCCTGGAAGATGATGTGTGGCTTTGAGATAGCCGACTTAGGCAGTTTCTTCTGCTTTTAGTAACTGGTATCTGCAATACAGGCTCTCAGGGTTCTTTCTGAGTGAGACAACATTCAGCCTGTCTGCTTTACAGATGATACCCACACCTCTGCTACCCGGAAGATGAGCACGAGCATCTTGAAACAGGTGGACCAAATGCGACCGTCTCGGGGTCCCCAGGACTGTCCAGGTTTTAGCATTGAAAGTCCTGGGCAAATCAGGACAGCGGTCACTGACTATACAAATTTGCTGAGCTCCAGGGGCTCAGGGAGAGCTCAGCTTGTCACAAAACATTCAACTAATTCTACTCAACAAGATAAGCCTAAGAAGATGGACACTACGCTGTGAAAAGTGGCTACGGGTGGGAGGAAGGACAAAGATGTGACCCGGGACCTAATCCTCTGTAGATCTCATCGGACAGTGATTATACCAGAAGCTCAGAACTAAATGAACCACTTTGTCCCCAAACACATCACCCCACAGGTGCATTCCACCTCCCACATGTCCATCCTGTGTGCACACCCTGTGCCCGGTCACTTTGTCTGGGAAAGCATTCGCAAGGGAAGCGAAAAGGTTGGGACTTCTGCCGCCAGCGCAGACAGCAGGAGATGCACAGATAGACACACTCAAATGAGGGCTCTCAGGGCATTGTAAATGGGGTGGCCCTTTATCCTACAAATCACCCCGTTTTCATGGTCTATGTGTACACACACACACACTTTAAAATAGTGCAGTTTGGGATCAGAAAAAAAAGGCAAAAATGGCAATGTCACATCTGGTCGTCTTACAACAATATCAGCAGGCTGTCTCAAATCTGCCACAGCCTGAACTGAACCTGCCTCTCCCGAGTAACAGGTTGTTTTCACCTCCCGCAGACCATCAGCGCTGGCTTCAGATTCTCCACTACAGGCAGGGCACACGAAAACCTAATTATTATAGCCATCAATATCGACACACACAGCAAAGAAGTCACTTAATAAAATCGAGCAGCACAAATCGACCCAAAGGGGTGCTCTCCACTCCTGCCCCTCTTGTCCTCGGACGCTTCGCAGATGCGGTCCCCCGCCCTCCTCCCAGGGTCCAGGTGAGGGGCCAGGGTTACCTTTTGGAGAAATGCCATCCTCGGCCTGTACTGCTGGCCTTGGTGTCGGATTGTCATCCTGGCCCCTGGATGGATTCACAGCCAGAGCACCAGTGGGAGACAAGAGGAGAAGCCCCCCAAGTTCGAAAGGCAGCCTGGCTCGCCCCAGCCCTGGGCGTCGACGGGGAGGCGGCTGGGCGGGGAGGGCGCGGGCCGGGCCCCCCTGACTCTCACTAGGCGCCGCTGACTTGGAAAGCAGCTGGAATCCGCGCCAGCCAATCCGCGAGCGGCGCCGCGGGCTCATTAGCATGCGCTGCGCGGGCGCCCACCTGCCGCCAGGGGGCGCTATCCGGCCCCCGCCGGGACCCCGCGGAGCAGCAGGTGAGACCCGCAGGGCAGGGCCCCGGGAGGAGAAGGAGGAGGAGGACCTGGCGGGAGGAGGAGGAGGACCTAGCGGGAGGAGGAGGAGGACCTGTCGAGAGCAGCGAGCCTTTTAACTTGGGGCGGAGTTATGCACAGAAGTGACACAAAGAGCCCTCACTAATACAGCGCGGTGGAAAATACGGACTTTCCCATCCCAGCTCTGCCACTAACCAGCCGGCAGCCTTGGGCAAGTTCCTTACAATCTCTAAGAATCAATGTCCTTCACTCAAAAGTAAAAATTGAAAAATGGGATCATAATATCGACCAGAAAAGGTTGCTATACCATTTTAATGAGGAGATGTGTAACACAGTGCTTGGCCCTCAATAAATGCTTAGAAAAAAAAATTAGAGGTGGCGATTTAATGACCCAATAGCAGAGGAATTGCTAAGATGTGGGTTTAAAAAGAGAGAGCAAAGAAGTGAAGAAGGAAGAGAGGAAGGTTGTAGTCCTCACCGGGCTAGCTGTCTGGATGAAGCGAATTATATTTTACTTCTCTGATTCTTAGTGTTTCGGTTAGTTGGTTGTTGGGTTTGTTGTTGTTTAACTTTTTTTTTGAGACAGGGTCTTGCTCTGTCACCCAGGCTGGAGTGCAGTGGCGTAATCATGGCTCATTGCAGCTACAACCTCCCAGGCTCAAACAATCCTCCCACCTCAGCCTCCCCAGTAGCTGGGGCTACAGGCACGTGCCACCACACCCCGCTAATTTTTACAAAAATTGTTTGTGGAGAGGGAGTTTCACAAACTCCTGGGCTCAATCGATCTACCCACCTCGGCCTCCCAAAGTGCTGGAATTACAGGAGTGAGCCACTGCAGCTGGCTGGTTTGCTTGTTTTAATAGACTTTATTTCTTAGAGCAGTTTTAGGTTCACAGCACAATTGAGCGGAAGGTATAGGGACACGTCATATATCCCCTCTCCCCACGCACGCACAGCGTCCCCCATGATCAACATCCTCCACTGGAGTGGCCCATTTGTTACAATTGATGAACCTACCTTGACAGCTCATTATGTTAGCGTTTTCATCTTGAGAAAAATGCAAGGATGAAGCCTCTAAGTTATTATCAAGAGCCTTTCTGCTTTGTTATATAAAGCACTTTCTCTTAAACATACTCGATGGTTATTGAGTGTAGCAGATAAAATGTTTAAGTTGGAAGAAAACAAGAAGGCCTTTACCTTAGGAAGGCACAGTCAACCAATGTCCCTTTAAAGCAGTGGTTCTTGGCTGGGTGTGATGGCTCACGCCTATAATTCCAGCACTTTGGGAGGCCCAAGCGGGTGAATCACTTGAAGTCAGGAGTTCAAGACCAGCCTGGCCAACATGGCAAAACCCTATCTCTATTAAAAATACAGAAATCAATCAGCATGGTGGAGCAACCTGTAATCCCAGCTACTCAGGAGGCTGAGGCACAAGAATCACTTGAACCCAGAGGCTGCAGTGAGCCAAGACTGAGCCACTGCATTCCAGCCTGGGTGACAGAGTGAGACTCTGTCTCAAAAAAAAAAAAAAGCAGTGGTTCTTATCCATTCTCTCGGGTGATATTTACCTGTAAGAATCTGATGAAAGCTATGGACACTCAGGAACACACACACATGCACATGTACACAACACTGACTGAAGTTTGCAAACAATTTCAAGAGGTTCATGCTTGGGCCTCTCTTGTGCCTTTTCAGGAATCCCTGATTCAGAGCCTCCAATTTAGAGGACGCTGGACCCTGCAGAGATCCATCCAAGCAGAAGACCAGAGATCCTGCCAAGCAAATTGAACCACTGAGAAGTATGCTCCTGGTGTGAGCTGAGATCCAAAGAAAATGCTGGAATATCTTGATTTTTTTTCTCATGAAGCATCTTTTGAGCCTGGTGTGAGTTTAAATCCAAAGAAAATGCTGGAATATCTTGATTTTTTTTCTCATGAAGCATCTTTTGAGCCTAGTGTTATACAGAGCACATGCTGGGATCTGACCAAGATGAGCTATGAAGTTCCTTCCAGCTTCAACATCCCTTGTCTCTAGAAACCCTAAGCATCAAGAAGATAAGTGGCTTTCCTAAAATGAAGGATGAGAAAAATTATTCAGGAGCAAAGAGAGGCAAAAATAAAAGGCACTTTGCTCATTAATAGAATAGGAGAGGCCTCAGTGCCTGCCACTCTCCTCCCCACCCCTTCTGTCAGGCCCTGCTCTCCAAGCAACTACATTTTGTGGGACCCATCTTTGCTCATTGGACCAGAGGCCAGTTCCCCACATGATAGGACCATGATGTGGATCTGAAAAACGGAGAGGAGCTTGTTAGATTATTACCTTCACAAATGCCAACTTGAGTCAGATAAAGTCAGGGCCACAGGAAGCTGAGACCAAATGCAAGCTGAAGTTATGAGGAAGGAGAAATGAAAGGTGAGCAGAGGAAGCTGATCAGAAAAGGGAGGCAAACAGGCTGGGCGCGGAGGCTCACGCCTGTAATCCCAGCACTTTGGGGGGCCGAAGCGGGCGGATCACCTGAGGTCAGGAGTTCGAGACCAGCATGGTCAACATGGCGAAACCCCATCTCTACTAAAAATACAAAAAAATTAGCCGGGCATGCTGGCGCATGCCTGTAATCCCAGCTACTCGAGAAGCTGAGGCAGGAGAATCGCTTGAACCTGGGAGGCAGAGGTTGCATTGAGCTGAGATTTGCACTCCAGCCTGGGCAATAGAGCGAGACTCTGTCTCAAAAAATATACATATAAAAGAAAAGAAAAAAAGGGAAGCAACAAGCTGAACAGAGAGCAGCAGAGGGGCCATGACACAGACAAGCCCCTCGGACTAAGTTGGGTCAGTGCCTTACCAAGGGCAAGGGTATCTTCTGGAATCCTCCCACATATCTGAGTCTTTGTTTCTTGCAACTGAAAGAGCCTGTCATATAATATGGTATTCAAAGTTTCATGCCAGTGTCCTAGGGGAAAAAATTGATTTAATTCATCGATTTATTTAATCAACAAACATATTGTTTGCCAGCCATTTTGCTAGAGTCTGGAATTCAAAGCAGAATATGACTCAGTCCTTTCTATGAGAATAAGACCAGAAAAATACAAATATAAAAAAGAAAAAAAGAATATGACCCAGTTCCTGTCTCAAAGAGCTCAGAGTTTAAAGTGGAAAAAGAATATTTAGACAAAAATGTTATAAAATAAAATCTATGTGTGATGAAGATGTAGTCAATGCAATACAGGATTTTGTGGAAAGGCACCTCACCCATCCTGAATGGAAGAGAAGATCAGGAAGGCTTCCTGGAAGAGGAGTCTTAAAAGAAGATAGGAAGTTAACCAGGTGTAGGGGCAAGCTAAGTTTCCTCACAGGGAACAGCACAAGAAAAGGTGCAGAGGCAAGGATTAGCATAATTTGAGGGTGGTGACTAGGAGTTTGTTGGACACAAGGTCAAGAAGTTTAGAGGGGTCGGGCATGGTGACTCATGCTTGTAATCCCAGCACTTTGGGGGGCCGAGGCGGGAGAATCACCTGAGATCAGGAGTTTGAGACCAGCCTGGCCAACATGGTGAAACCCCTGTCTCTACCAAAAATACAAAAAATAGCTGGATGTGGTGGCAGGCACCTGTAATCCCAGCTACTTGGGAGGCTGAATGAGGCAGGAGAATCACTTGAACCCGGGAGGCCAAGGTAAGCCGAGATCACACCACTGCACTCCAGCCTGGGCGACAGAGCGAGAATCTATCTCAAAAAGAAAAGAAAAGAAAAGAAATTTGGAGGGTTTGGGTCAGGGATTAAATGGAAAGGGACATAAACCTTTTAATTGAGGTAAAGTTTATATTCAAGGTACAGTTTACATACAATTACATGCTCTAATTTTAAGAATAGTTGGATGAGTTTTGGCAAACTTATTTCCCTGTTTACCAGCACTCCCATCAAGATAGAAACCCAGGTTTGAACTCCTGAGCTCAAGCGATCCACTCACCTCGGCTTCCCAAAGTGCCGAGATTACAGGCGCGAGCCACTGCACCTGGCCTACTACCTTCTTAAGAGCCTTTCAAGAAGAGCCCCTCACCTTCTTTCTAACAGACTTGTCCAAAATTTCCCAGTCATGGATCAATCAATCCCATACCCAGGTAGACACAGCCAGAATTTATTTATTTATTTATTTATTTATTTATTTGTTTGTTTGTTTGTTTGCTTATGTATTTATTTATTTATTTTGAGATGGAGTCTCTCTCTGTTGCCCAGGCTGTAGTGCAGTGGTGCAATCTTGGCTCACTGTCATCTCAGTGCTTTGGAAGGTTGAGTCGGGTGGGTCACTTGAGGCCTGGAGTTTCAGACCCAACCTGGATAACATAGTCAGATCCTGTCTCTACAAAACGTTTTAAAAATTAGCCAGGCATGGTGGTGCGTACCTGTAGTCCCAGCTACTGGAGAGGCTGAGGCAGGAGGATCACTTGAGCTCAGGATCACTACTGTACTCCAGCCTGGGTGACAGAGTGAGACCCTGTCTCCAAAAAAAAACAAAAACTGAGGCCAGGCACAGTGGCTGATGCCTGTTATACTACCAGCACTTTGGGAGGCCAAGGCAGGTGGATCACTTGAGATCAGGAGTTCAAGACCAACCTGGCCAACATGGTAAAACCCCATCTCTACTAAAAATACAAAAATTAGCTGGGCATGGTGGCAGATGCCTATAATCCCAGCTACCTAGGAGGCTGAGGCAGGAGAATCGCTTGAACCCAGGAGGCAGAGGTTGCAGTCAGCCAAAATCGTGCCACTGCACTCCAGCCTGGGTGACAGAGTGAGACTCTGTCTCAAAAAAAAAAAAAGGACCAAAAAAACAAATATTACCTTGCAATAAACCAGTACTAAAATTAAATCCTCCTGTGACTCTGACTGAGTCAGTAAATGGACATTCCATTATCATCAACATCATCATCAGTTTTGTGACCAGTATCCTCTGCATCAATATCAACAAAAGAGTGTGATTCAGACCCTAAGCGGACTCATGCTGCCCTGGGTATTGTACAACATGATCTACATAGTCCTGGACCTTGTTCCCTGTAGGCTAAAACCTCATCTCGGTACAATCATGTGTTCATCCAGACAGCACACGCAAGCAGCAGTGCCCTTTAAAATCCAGGTCTAAGATCATCTCAATAAAATGTCGCAACACCCCTAGTCAACCCAACAATTTAGTTCAGTCCAAGCGCTGCACTAAAGCTTAAAAGGACATGTTCCCTGCCTTTGTGCCCCTCTCAAAGTCTGGAAAAAGAGACAGAAACTTAAACAGTTCATTTCAACAGGATGGATGTTTCAGACCGCTGCCAGGCCAAGACTTCCATGAAGGGACTTCTTAGAAGTGGGGCAGGGTTAAAGGAGCCACTAAGGGATGTTAAAGATCCCAGGTAATATAATAGCAACCGTGGAAAGCTATTATGCATTATCTAGGCATTTAAGGATGGAGAGCCAGGGCCCTGCTGGGGGGGTCTGTCATCTTGGAAGGAGAAAACCTGAGGGAATACATATCCTGGCTCTCTCTCCTCCTGCCCTCCATCTCCTGTTTCCTCCCGGTGTTCAGTCTTGACCCAAATCCAGAGGGCAATGGGTCTGCAGTCTTTTAGAGTTAGCCTCCTGGAGCACAGAAGTCAGGCAGAGAAGGGCAAAAATTCTGGTGGCTGGGAGGGACACAGGGGAGGCACAGTGTGAAGAGGCAGCGTGTGGTTTAAATGTCTATGGTAGTGCGCACACCCAGATCTCGGTCTCAGAGTTCATCCACTGTCCCCCAGCACTTTGAACAACTCAGGTACAGCACCTCCCACACGTGCACAAAGAGACATCTCCCTGACCTGGACAGAAATGGTGTCGGGTTCATCTGACTCCCAGAGTCACTGCCCATCCTTTACCCTTGCTTACATTTCATCTAATTGTCTTGTTTGAAATTATGATACGTGTATATTACATCTGCAATTCTAAAAAAATCATACAGACAGAAAAACCTTCAGTTGCATGAATGTTTCTTCTTAGGTCCTTTTAGGCAATACAGCATGAAGACATACTCTGGTGGGAAACCAAAGGGCCTCATTTTCCACACTGAGCATATCGAGCCAGCTGGGCAGAGTCTCTATGCTCCTCATGGGTCAGCCCAAGTTCAACAATAAAGGGAAGTGATGGTTGGACACACCAACCTTTATCTCTGCACTTCCACATGCTCCACAAAGAAGCTATGTTGGACCTCCGGAAGCTGGCCACACCTCGTGGCCCTGGGTGTTTGATCAGGGAAAGAAGGAGAAAAAGAAGAGTTGGTACTTCCTAGAAGGCTTCCTGCATCTTCCTCATCTAGGGGTTGTACGGAAACTATTTCGACCTAGTGGGGACCACCAGCTACCACCACAAACCACAGTCCTATAATAGAAACCTGGTTCCTCTCAATTTTTTTATCCTAAATTAAATTCACTTGATGCATCCAGAAAAGATATTTTGCACATGCATTGCTCAAGATGAACACAGGAAAAAAGAAAAAAAATCACACCTTTCTCTGTTCCCCACCCCTTCCCAATTCTGTAGGGTACAATTCCATCTAAGGACCGGGTCAGATTGGAACTGTTGAAGGGCATTTGCTACTTGTTTTAAGGGTGTTATTATTTTTTATTATAGAAAATTTATAAATACAGAGTTTTAAAAAAATGACAATATGGGTAAAGGTACTTTTATGACTTAGAATAAGCTTTGGTTTTAAGACAGTGCTGGGGTTAGGGCGGTGTGAAGACCACGAAGCACAAGATGTGTGTTCTTATCCCTCCTCTGCTTCTGACCAGATAGGGGCCTTTTGTTCACAGCTTCATCGAGTATAATTGGTATACAATAAACTGCACATATTTAAAGTGTATAATTTGATACGTTTTGGCATATATATACACCCATGAAACTATACACACAATCAAGATAGGGAACCTATCCATCATCTTCCAGAACTTCTTTGCACCACCTTCTGACCTTCACCTCCTCCCCCTACACTGTACCCACACAACAACTGACCTGCTTTCTGTCACTATGGATTAGTTGGATGGGTGACTTTGTTGTATTTATTTATTTATTTTTATTTTTATTTTTTTTAGCTCTGTTGCACAGGCTGGAGTGCAGTGGCACGATCATAGCTCGCTGCAACCTCCAACTCCCGGGCTCAGGAAATCTTCCTGCCTCAGCCTCCCGAGTAGCTGAGACTACAGGCATGCACCACCACGCCAGGCTAATTCTTTTATGTTTTGTAGAGACAAGGTCTCGCTGTGTTACACATGCTGGACTCCAACTCCTGGGCTTAAACGATTCTCCAGCCTCAGCCTCCCAAGTAACTGGGATTACAGATGTGTGCCACCACACCCACTGAGGATGGGTGACTTTGATCAAGTTACCTAACCTCTCTGATTCTCTAGTTTCTCACTAGTAATATGTAATTTCAGAAAGAATCAGACGTGATGAATTCAAAAGTCCCCTCAAATTTTGAAATCCTATGAGGTCAGTATTCTGAGTAGAGTAAAAAGTTCAATCAGCCCTGAGGTGTAGCAGAGTGGGAACAGTGCTCCCCCTAAGTCAAGGCCCCTCTGAACTTAGACCAGCCGCCCCAAAATGGGATTCCATGTGGCAGACATTCAAAAGAGCTGAGTGCTACCATCAACATTCCCCACAAGTTATCAGACAGAGATCGGGGTTGGAGCAAGAGGGACCTACTTTAGAAAAAAAGACCTCAGGAAAATGTACTAATTGCTGCACTCCATTTGTATTAATCTTACTGAAGCCCCTTTCTTTGGCTAAACACTCCCACCCTGCAAAGGATGCTTAAACAGAATGCACGCCAACTGAGGGTCCTCTACTGACACAGGCCCCCAAGATCCACCTGGAGGCTTGTGGCTCCCTCGGTGTTTCTGCCAACTGCCCAGATTCTCCCCTTGCCTGACTGTGACGGGATGGCTCAGGCACCACAGCTGTGTGTTGGAGGTTGGGGGGTCCCACCTCCTCCTTCAGCTTCCAGCAGCCACCACCGCTCTTTGTAAGGAGCTGAGAGGGTGATAGGGAACAAGTGTCTGTCTTATGGTTTTCCAAAGCAAGGGATTTTCCAAAACTCCTGCCCATTTTACCCTTGGTTTTCCCAGAAATGGAAATGTCTGGAAGGGCACAGGGAGATGATTGATACAGGAGACACAAAGAAACATTAAATGCTGCAAGAATGCATTTTTAATCCAGTTCAGGTGTTGCTTCTAAAGATCCACTTTCCCTAGGTTCATTTATCTTTGTTTTGATGTATGAACCTAATAATCGCTTTCTCTATCTGCGAATCAATCAATCTATCTGTCTATCTAACCATTTATCCATCCATCCATCCATCCGTCCATCCATCTTTATCTTTATGTCTTATTACATCACCTGAACCTTGGAAAAGCTAATTGTCCTTTTTTTCTCATCTTTCTTTATCTTTAGTAGAGATTCCTTCTGAGTTCAAAATTGAAGCCACCCTACTGACAGCAAATGTGGTGTTTTATTAAAAAGTACAAATCCCGGCCAGGTGCAGTGGTTCACGCCTGTAATCTCAGCACTTTGGGAGGCCAAGGTGGGCGGATCACTTGAGGTCAGGAGTTCGTGACCAGCCTGGCCAACACGGTGAAACCCCATCTCCACTAAAAAATACAAATATTAGCCGGGCATGGTGGCACACGCCTATTAATCCCAGCTACTTGGGAGGCTGAGGTAGGAGAATCACTTGGATCCAGGATGCAGAGATTGCAGTGAGCCAAGATTGTGCCACTGTACCCCAGCTTGGGCAACAGAGTAAGACTTCATTTAAAAAAAAACAACAAAAACAAAAAACAAATCCTTAGGGGTGGAAGGAATGAGAAGTGACTGCTAATGAGTATAGTGTTTCTTCTTGAAAATGTTCTGGAATTTGTAGTAGAGATTCAGCCTGTGAATATACCAAAACTACTGAGTTGTATACTTTACAGGGTAAATTTTATGGTATGTGAATTATATCTCAATTTTTTAAAACACATGAGTCAGGTAGTGGCATGTACCTGTAATCACAGCTACTTGGGAGGCTAAGGGAGGAGGATCACTTGAGCCCAGGAGTGTGAGGCTGCAGTAAGCTATGATTGCACCACTGCACCCCAGCCTGGGTGACAGAGCAAGACCTTGTCTCTAAAAAAATAATGATAATAGAATGAGCATTCTGTCCTCCTGGAATATTCTACTAGATCTTCCTCCTAAGGGCAACTGGGCTTGTCCTCCGGGGTGTCACATCCATTACAGGGGAGGTTGCTTTACTCCCCTGTCATCACCCTATTTCCAGGCTGGTATTAGGAGTTCCCCAAGCTTCCCATTGCCACTTCTGAGGCATCGCTCTTCTACTTTGGTGCTAAACCTTTCCTCCTCTGAGACGTACACACCCCTCTCCACCCCTCTCCTCCTCCTTGCACTCTTGTCTTCCTCCAGATTTTCCCCCACAGAACTTGAGCACCTTACCCACATCCTCCTCTTGTCCATCCTGGGTGATTTCAGGGTCCCAGTGGATGAATTCCCCAACCTTCTGACCTTAACCTCCTCCCTTCCAGCGATCTTTGCTTCTGCTTCACTTCAGCTATCCACTTCCATGGCCATATCCCGATCTTAACTTTGAGCTGAGTCGTCTTGGAAAGTCTGAACTTGTATATTTGCCCTCTAAGTCCAGCATTCAGTTCTGCTCAGGGTTCACTTACCTGTTGTTCATCCTTGTGAAACCTCTAGATCCCAGGACCCTCTGTTTGCTCCAAGTGTCCCATCCCTCATGAGTTAGGTCTTCCCTCCTCTCAGCTTTAAGTCTGCCACATTTGCTACTTTCATTTCTTTTTATTTTTCTCTGGGCCCAGGGGTCTCACTGCCACCCAGTCTGGAGTGCAATGGCGTGATCTCGGCTCACGCAGCCTCAACCTCCCGGGCTCCAGTGATCCTCTGACCTCAGCCTCCTGAGTAGCTGGGACTACAGGCACGTGCCACCATGCCCGGCTAAATTTTTTGGTGTAGTTTTGGTGAAGACGGAGTTTTGCCATGTTACCCAGGTTTGAACTCCTGAGCTCAAGCGATCCACTCACCTCGGCTTCCCAAAGTGCCGAGATTACAGGCGCGAGCCACTGCACCTGGCCTACTACCTTCTTAAGAGCCTTTCAAGAAGAGCCCCTCACCTTCTTTCTAACAGACTTGTCCAAAATTTCCCAGTCATGGATCAATCAATCCCATACCCAGGTAGACACAGCCAGAATTTATTTATTTATTTATTTATTTGTTTATGTATTTATTTATTTTGAGATGGAGTCTCGCTCTGTTGCCCAGGCTGTAGTGCAGTGGTGCAATCTTGGCTCACTGCAGCCTCCACCTCCCAGGTTCAAGCAATTCTCCTGCCTCAGCCGCCTGAGTAGCTGGGACTACAGGCTCATGCCACCATGCCTGGCTGATTTTTGTTTTTTTGTTTTGCTTTGTTTTTCTGTTCATTTGTTTGTTTAGTAGAGTTGGGCTTTCACCATGTTGGCCAGGCTGACCTCAAACTCCTGACCCCAAGTGATCTGCCCGCCTTGGCCTCCCAAAGTGCTGGGATTACAGGCATGAGCCACCGTGCCTGGCCAACACAGCCAGAATTTATTTCACTGAATTTATGTCACTGTTATCTAGCAGTTCAGGGAGGCCGAGCACTGCAGTCATGGAAACAGCACAGGATTCAGAACAAAATAAACCATGGCTGAGTCTTGGTTTGGCTGCTTACTAACATGCGTACCCCTGGGCAAAGCCTCCACTTTCTAATAATTCATTTGCTTGCTATGAGAAAATCAAATTATTCTTAAAAAATTATAATTAATATTGTAAGTGAAAATGTTTAGGCCAGGCATGGTGGCTCACGCCTGTAATCCCAGCACTTTGGGAGGCCAAGGCAGGCGGATCACCTGAGGCCAGGAGTTCGAGAACAGCCTGGCCAACATGATGAAACCCCATCCATACTAAAAATACAAAAATTAGCTGGGTGTGGTGGCGCACACCTGTAATCCCAGCTACTTGGGAGGCTGAGGCAGGAGAATCACTTGAACCCGGGAGTTAGAGGTTGCATGAGCCGAGATCATGACAATGCACTCCAGCCTGGGCAACAACAGAGTGAGACTCCGTCTCAAAAAAAAAAAAAAGTGAAAATGTTTGCTAAATTGCAGAATCTGGTGGTAGGAGAAGTCGGTTAAGTCAGGAAGTCCTCTATCTGTTAGGTTCTGGATGCTTCACCGAAGATTGCTAAGGGTTACCAATACCTGAATTAAGACACTATTACATTAATACTAATTAGGACTTCATGGAAAAACTTTCTAACAACTAATTTTGTACTTTAAGCAGATGATCTCACAGACCAGGGAACTGGGTGTCTTTGGAGTGTTCCCAGCTTCAGTGGCCACAGTCCAAAGTTGTAGATGAGATCTACTCTATACTCAATGGCAAACTGTGCTGCTGTCCATCTCTTTCAAACCTGAGAATTTCTGAGTCTCAGATGGATTCCAGGAGGGTCTTGTACAGCAGAGAAATTGATGCTGGTATCACTCGTTCAGTATCACCATCAAAAGATGAGCAATCACTCATTAGAAAGGGTTTTCGAGGGTTTCCAGGCTGGCCTGACCCATCTCCTCCAGGCACCTAATGAAGCCTGTCCTTTCCCTAGTGTCTTACTATATCTTTGTTGAGATGGGGGTCTCGCTAGGTTGCACAGGCTGGTGTCGAACTCCTGGACTCAAAGGATCCTCCTGCCTTGGCCTCCCAAAGTGCTGGGATTACAGTTATGAGCCACCATGCCTGGCCTTGTTTACTGTATCTTAAAGCCTCCTCTACACTTTGCATTTTATGTCTGAATTTTTGCACATGAATATTGGCCATGCGGGGTGGTCTTTCCTGAAGGCAGATTGGATCTATCTGAAAAGAATGCTAATTTCTCCTGTTAGTCTCCAAGGGAAGAGATGATTCCTAAGGCAGAAAAAGGAAGCAGTAATTCAGAAAGTGAATCTTAGGCACAAGTCTGTCCTTAGAACTCATCTGTCCACCACATGGGAGCCAGTCCAGGGCTAGGGAGATAGGGAGTCTGCAATCCCCAGGGATCAAGTTTTTTTTTGTTTTTTAAAGAAAATTGTTCATATTCATGTGGTTCTCTCTATTCCCCTTTTGTTTATCATCTAGGATTTATCACCTTTTCACTAGTTGTTCCAACTTCTTTCTCATCTCTGGGCTCAAGGCTATTCCGTTTCTTCAAGAAGCCTTTATTGAGCACCATTTCTGGGGTGGGAACTGTGTTAAGCAACCAGAGTACAAAGATGAATAAGACACAGTCCCACCTTCAGGGTATTCCCCGGAGGAAAGAAAAATATAAAATAAATGTCTAGGATAATGCAGTAGATGATATTGCAACATGTGGAAAGTAAAAAGAAAAGGAAAGAAAGGAAAGGTGGTAATAAAGCATGCTAGACATAGGAAATATTGATCAGAGTCACAGAGGTAGGAACTGATCATGGTAGGACATAACAAGCCCTGTTACACCTGCTTCATTCATTTAATCTTTACCCCTGTGAGGCAGGGGACTATTAATGTGCCCATTCAACAAATGAGTATACTGAGAGTCAGAGAAGCTGAATAACAAGCTGACATTCATGCATCTGTTAAGCAGCAGAGCCAGGACTCGGGGCCTTCAGCCTGGCTCATGACTTCATGTCTTACTGCCTTGCCATGCTGGGATATTCTCATTGGCCAGGCCTGGGTCATGGGCCCACCCCAGAAGTGGATTGAGGGCTAGTAGGTTTCCCACAGAAAAATCCTACTGTTAAAATCATTAAAAGAAAAACTGAATGTTGGGCGAACAATAACAGTAGTTGTCCATTGCAGAATCACTTCAAAAATACAGCTTTTCCTTTCTCTTGCATTATTTGCTTGAGATAAATTTTCACAGATGGGATCCCATGAGTCACGGTGGCTTTTGATATAAAATGCCAAGTAGTTTTTCAACAGGATGCATATATTTACATTCTGTCTGCTCAGAATGAACAAATTTCACCACACCCTTATTTGTGTTGGATGCCATATGTTTTGTAAACCTAGACAATTCTAATTTTAGTAGATTCTGCAGTTATTTATATTTGCATTGTTTTCCCTATCCCTTTTTAGAGTGGAAAATACAAATAAGAAAGTATATGTAAGTTGGTTAGCATGAACCTTCGAATCAACAGATGGGCCAGCTGGAGCCCTGGGAGCAAGTGGAAGAACAGGTGTGTCTCTCCTGCTCGCGGCCTTAGGGACCAGAGGACAGGGTCTGTGCTGAGAGACGACGCCAGCTCATCCAGTTCCAGCCTGGGGTTCAAACTCAAAAGGAACTTCAAATGTCAAACATTTCTGGGTTATTATTATTGTTATTACTCGTCATTTCAGCTGTGTTATTGCATGAATGTTAGACTTCATCTAAATTTTAAAAATGCATGTGCGCTACACTACTGGCAAAAAGCTAGAGAAACTTGTTGAGTTTGGGGGTGTCCTATTGTGTTCCTGTGTCTTCATTTTGTTAAATCGTGATGAAAGCAATTTCCGAGGCTCTGCTGGTGGTACTGCCAGGTGCGCACGAGTGAGAAGGGGTAGGAAAGGGATCGCGAAGAGACAAGCCGATGCTCCTTCCCCTCCTCGCTGGGAGTTCACTTTCCTTTGCGCCAGAGACCACAGGCTCCGCCGCTCGACGCCCAGACCATAGAGATGCGGAAACCTCCGGATTCCTAGAGAGGAAATGCGGGCTCAGGGTGTCGGCTTCCGGCGGTTGCCCACTTTCGGCTTCTTTCAGACAGCGTCCTGAGTGCACTGAGTTTGCGGGGTTTTTTCTGCTGGAGGGTTTCTCGCATCCTCTTAGGTCCCTGCTCTGGGCTCACGGGAGGCCTTGCCGGGTGGACGCGAACCCCTAATGCCGACTCTGGGGCCGCGGGCGGCCTCCTCCACGGAACTCGCGCGCCGCGGGATTGGGGGCCGGGGTGGAAGGCTTTTCGGAGGGGCCCCCTTGAAGCCCATAGCGCCGGGATCCCTTTCGCCTAAGTGCTACCTCGAGATCGGCCCCTCCAATACCTAAGCTCTGGACTTTCCTTTTTATAACCCCTACAGGCTCGAAAAAAATAATGGTGACACTGCAACTTAAAAGTATTTAATTTAGGCCGGGCGCACTGGCTCACGCCTGTAATCCCAGCACTCTGGGAAGCCAAGTTGGGAGGATCGCTGGAGCTCAGGAGTTAGAAACCGGCCTGGGCAACATAGCGAGACCCAGTCTCTACTAAAAAAAAAAAAAAAAAAAAAATACAAAAATTAGCCGGGCGTGGTGGTGTGCGCCTGTGGTCCCAGCTGCTCTGGAGGCTGAGGTGGGAGGATTGCTTGAGCCTGGGAGGTCGAGGCTGCAGTGAGCCTTGGTGGCACCCCTGCACTCCAGCCTGGGCGACAGAACAAGACCTGTAAATATATATACTTCAGGGCCCATTTTTCCCGTATGTAGGAGAACGACTGACTTGTCAATTTTAACAAGTCAAGTAACCAAAACAAACAAACAAAAAATGCACTTTAGTATTGTGACCACATAATGGGGAAGAAGATTAGTTCAGAAGATGAGGAACTATGAGCCTGGAAGAGTAGAGTACAAGAACTATGCAGACAGTGCCACTTGGAAGGAGGATTGGAGGTACAGGGGTAGAAAGGGTCCTAACGTCCTCCCTATGGGAGAGGAGGGTGAAGACAAAATCAAGATCTCTTAACCAAAGGCTGTGCATCATGGTGCACGCCTGTAGTCCCAACTACTCGGGAGGCTGAGGTAGGAGGATGGCTTGAGCCTGGGAGGCGGAGGTTGCAGTGAGCTGAGATCGTGCCACTGCACTGCAGCCTGGGTGACAGAATGAGGCCCTGTCTCAGAAAAAAAAAAATCTTACCAAGGAGAAATGAGACTCATGATTGTAGACTACTAGTTTGAGAATACTGGCCTGGATTCTCTACCAGGGCAGCCACTTACCACAGGTGTTAGTTCCTCAATAATTTTGAGATGTTATTTTACTGTTCATGATGTATGCTGGAGGAAGGCCAAGGCCGGGTTTTGTTCATTTCCATTTCCAGGTGTTATATGGCTTGTGGCAGTTCAGTGATTATGAATCATTTTCTTGAACATTTATAAAACGGAAACTATCCATAAAACGGAAACTATTCATGTGTGAAACTGATATACCTTCTCTGACACTTCTATGAGATTGTGTTGGGAAATATTCCCTATAAAGAAGCATTTGCCATTATGTGTTCCTGAGGCGAAAATAAGAAAAAGAGAGAGAGAGAGAGACAGAAAGAAAAGAAAAGGAAAGAGAGGGAGGGAGGGAGGGAAAAGAAAAGAAAAGAGAAAAAGAAGGAAAGAAAGAAAAAAGAAAGAGAGAAAGAGCGGGGGGAGGGAGGGAGGGAGGAATCTGCCAGTCTCTTAACACAGTTAATAGAATATTAGATCGTTCAGAGAAGGCCTGCCGTGATGAACTTGCTTAACTTTGTTTAGTCTGGTGTTTCTCTAGCATTTTAACCACAGAAACTTTAAAGTAACACTCTATTAATATCCCTCCCATGTGGTTTTTCCCAGAACACATTTTGCAAAATGCTGACATAAAGCATTCACCTGGGCACAGGACTGCTCAGAAGGCACTCGCAGCTCTCAAAAGGCATTTCAGATCTACTTTTTTGAAATCATCTGACTGGATTTCGGTTAGGATAGTTTCTGTTTTGTGAACGTTCAAGAAAATGATTCCTAGTTAGTGAAGTGCCACAAGCCATATAACACCTGGAAAAGGAAATGAACAAAACCTGGCCTTGGACTTCCTCCTGCACACATCATGAACAGTAAATAACATCTCAATATTATTGAGCAAACATTATCAATATACAGTTATTTATAAAACAGTAGAAATAATTATTTGGAAAAAATGTGAATTGTGTCGAAATTCTAAAATTCAGTAGATTCAGGGATTCTTAATGACAAACCTAGAAATTTGTTCACAGTCTCCTAGATGGACCTATTTTAATAAGATGTGATCAACATTTGCTAACTGTATAAATAGAATGTAATTAAAAACCATTTAAATGTGTTGTATATTTGCATTGATATTCATTGGAACCTTGCTCTGACATAGAATAAAATTTAGAACAATTGTTTTGAACATCACTCAACATAGCTTAGTTACTGAAACTATCTTGTTTGGCACAAACCTTCTTCAAGTAGAGCTACAAATTGACTTACTAGTATATTACTAAACTGTTGGAGTTTCAAACAAGACCTGACTGGGGATGACTGGGTAACAATGCCTTGGACTGTCTTCTTCCAGTATCCTGTCCTTCACTCTGTAGGGCCAAAACGCTGGTTCCATTAGTTCACACAGAGGTAAGCAGGATCCAGAGGTCACATGCTAACCAAACTAAAAGAAGTTGATGTATAAACCTGGAGTGTGAGTTAATTCCTTTCTAGTGAAAAACATAATTATCAGTCAGACTGGATCATTGTATTTGCCAACAGTGTGTTTCTTTCCTGTAGGAAGATCTACATGGGAGACTAGATTCTTATATTGTACTGAGACATATAGTGAGCTTGCAATCAGAACAAGGAGATGGTCAGGAGTTCAAGACTAGCCTGGCCAACATGGTGAAACCCTGTTTCTACTAAAAATACAAAAATTAGCCGGGCATGGTGGCACGTACCTGTAATTCCAGCTACTCAGGAGGCTGAGGCAAGAGAATTGTTTGAATCTTGGAGGCAGAGGTTGCAGTGAGCCGAGATCACACCACTGTACTCCAGCCTGGGCGACAGAGCGAGACTCTGTCTCAAAACAAACAAACAAAAAATAAAGTGTCCTGAAATTGTGCTGCCTTTTACTCCCAAATAGCAAAAACCATACATTTTGTTTAGAGTGGCCTCCATCCCACTGACCACCCTGCCTCCGCTTCACATTCGACTATCAGTGTTTAAAGTGTTAACATCCCTCCCTTTCTTCAGGCCTTAGACTAACCCCCATCACCACCACCCTTTTTATTGGACCTCAGGCTTATTGGATTGGGTTAGTCATAATTCTCAGTCCCTGGTACAAAAACATCTTTGTTCTATGCGTGGCCCTTTCTATTTATTTTATTCTATTTAGATTTATTTAATAGTATTAGGAATATTTCATGAACCAACATGACCAATAACTTAGAGTTACAACATGCTCCTCTCTGACCAATCCTCCTGCTTCCCTGTCTATAGGAGTGACCACTATGATAAACTTTGTAAAGTTTATGCTCTTGCCTTTGGAGTTTTTTGTTTTATCACAGCCATTTATATCTAAACAATACATTGGTTTCACTTTTTTAAAACTTTATCAAAAGGATGTCTTACACTATTTTGTCTTCTGGACTAGCTTTTTTTACTCAACACTATGCAGCTAATATTAATATATGTAGTAGTGTTTAGCTCTAGCTCATTCATTTTCATTGCTTGTATGTCATTCTGATTATACCCCTCATCCTTTCTCAATTTTACATTAGTTTGTTCCAGACCCTTTCCTCATCCAATAAAGAAGAAAATTTTCTTAGGCACTTTTGTGCTCATTTTCACTCTTTATTCATCTATCATTTATCAAGTGAACCACAGTGGGTGAAGGGTTAACAAAACCCTTTCCACTACTCAACAAGAATGTGACCTTCAGCTAACTCTCATGTTAGTTATTGCTGAGTAACAAATTTCCACAAAACTTGTGGCTTAACACAACAGGCATTTATTATCTCACAGTTTCTATGGGTCAGGAATTTTGCAGCATCATAGCTAGGTAGTGCTGGCGCAGGTTCTCTCATGAGATTGTAGTGAAGATGTCGGTCAGGGCTATATTCATCTGAAGGCTTGGGTGAAGTTGGCGGATCTGCTTCCAAGATGGTGCCCTCACATGGCTGTTGGCAGGAGGCTTCAGTTCCTCATCACATGGGCCTCTCCATAGGATTGCTTGAGTGTCCTCACAACATGGCAGCTGACTTCCCCTGGAATAAGTGACTCAAAAGAGTAAGACAGAAACCATAATATCTTTTATGGCCTAACCTCAGAAGTCACACACCATTATTTCCCCAATAACCTAGCGATTACATAAGTTGACCCTACTCAATGGGAGAAGGCATGAAAACAGGTGCAGGGATGATTGGGAGCCATCTTGGAAGCTGGCTACCAAAACTCTCTTGCTGTTCCCTTGCTATAAACACACACATGTTTATAGCAGCACAATTCGCAATTGCAAAAACATGCAACCAGCCCAAATGCCCATCAATCATCGAGTGGATAAAGAAAATGTGGTATATATATATATACCATGGAATACTACTGAACCACAAAAAGGAACGAAATCATGGCATTCACAGCAACCTGGATGGAATTGGAGACCATTATTCTAAGTGAAGTAACTCAGGAATGGAAAACCAAACATCATATGTTCTCACTTATAAGTGGCTAAGCAGGGCGGGCATTTTGGCTCACACCTGTAATCCCAGCACTTTGGGAGGCCGAGGCAGGTGGATCACGAGGTCTGGAGTTCAAGACCAGCCTGGCCAAGATGGTGAAACCCCGTCTCTACTAAAAATACAAAAATTAGCCTGGGGTAGTGGCACACGCCTGTAATCCCAGCTACTTGGGAGGCTGAGGCAGGAGAATCGCTTGAACTCAGGCAGCAGAGATTGCAGTGAGCTGAGATGGTGCCACTACACTCCAGCCTGGGTGACAGAGTGAGACTCTGTCTCAAAAAATAAATAATAAATAAATAAACAAAAATAAGTGGCTAAGCTATGAGGATGCAAAGGCATAAAATTGATGCAATGGACTCTGGGGACTCTGGGGGAAGGGTGGGAGGGGGGTGAGGGATAAAAGACCCCACATGGGGTACAGTGTACACGGTTTGGGTGATGGGTGCACCAAAATTCAGAAATCACCACTAAAGACCTTATCCATGTAACCAAACACCACCTGTTCCCCCAAAACCTATTGAAATGAAAAGAAGAATAACACAAACTTGCTTTTTGACAGTGTGAGTGAGAGATTCATAAACCAAAACATTGCAGCATTTGAGTGTTAATGCAGGAAATCTATATTCAAGCATATGGCAGAACATACAGCAGGTGCGCTGGGGATCCCAAAGACCACTCAAGACTCCCAGGTCCAGTGATTTGCTTGGAGGACTCACAGAACTCAAAGTATAGCCATCAGCATGGCTGTAATTTATTACCATGAAAGGATATAAAGCAAAATTAGCAAAGGGAAAAGGCACATGGGGCAAAGTCTGGAAGCCACCAGGGGCAAGCTTCCAAGAGCCTCTCTCAGTGGAATCACACAGGACACGTTTAATTCCTCTAGCAATGCGCTGTGACAAGTGTGAAATGTTGTCCATTATCAGGGAAGCTCATTAGAGACTCAGTACCCAAAGTTTTTACTGAGGGCTGGTCATGTAGCCAACCTCTGCCTAGCATGCACCAAGATTCCAGACTCCCAGAAGGAAAGCAGGTGTTTCACATAAGCCATACTGTTTGCACAAACAGTCCAGGCACAATGAGCCACTCTTATCAGGGAATCATGGGAACTCTCCTGAAACCCAAGCTCCTACATGCCAGCCTTGGAAAGGCCAACCTTGAAAGCAGGGCTTTCTAAGGTTAGCAGTCTCAGGCGTGCTGTGGTAACTCCCCTGCACAGTAGAAATTGCTAAGTGTAGCCTGCAGATACTCAGGAGATGATGAGAGAAATGATGCTTGGAGTGAATCTTGAAAGCTGAAAAGATCATTAACAGTGTGAAATGAGGAGAAAGGGGACTTCCAGCAGAGGGAAACTTGTTAGCAAAAGCAGAGAGGTGGGAACACCCAGATGCCTTTGGAGAAATGTGTGTAGTTTGGAGTGACTGGCACGTGGGTATGGATGGCACGTGGGTGTGAATGACAACCACTGACCTGGTCCAAGTCTCAGTTTCCTCATCAGTGAAATGAGATGGTTGATGTGGATGACCTCTGACTGAGGTCCTTTCCAGCTCCTACTTTTCCAAGGAAAATGGGAGCAGCTGAGTCACGTGTCAGCAGCTGAGATAGGCATAGAAGATGTGACTGGACCTAGAGCAAAGAACATGAATTAAATCTGATCCAAACACTCTCTGCACTTACTAGATGTGTGACCTTAGGCAAATTGCTTCCCTGAGCTTCCTCTTCCTTATTTGAAGTTGTATAGTGTATTAATCCATTCTCACACTGCGAATAAAGACATACCTAAGACTGGGTAATTTATAAAGGAAAGAGGTTTAATTGTCTCACAGTTCAACATGGCTCGTGAGGTCTCAGGAAACTTATAATCATGGTAGAAATTGAAGCAAACACGTCCTTCTTCACGTGGCAGCAGGAAGGAGAAGTGTCGAGCAAAAGGAGTAAAGTCCCTTATAAAACCATCAGATCTCGTGAGAACTCACCCATTATCATGAGAACAGCATGAGGGTAACCACCCCCATGACTAAATTACCTCATACTGGCTCCCTCCCATGACACATGGGGATTATGGGAACTACAATTCAAGATGAGATTTGGCTGGGGACACAGCCAAACCATATCAGATAGTAATGATATTTTCTTCACAGAATTATTTTGAGGATTCATGAGATGCTCTATAGAAGTTTCTGGCAGAGCACCTGACAGTAGGTGCTTAAGGAATGGTGACTGCTAAAAAAATTTGTTAACTTCGTTTTGTCCATAATTCAGTTTATTATTATTATAATTTAATAAGACAGGGTCTTGCTGTTACCCAGGCTGTCACGAACTCCTGGGCTCAAATGATCCTCCTGCCAGCTTCCCCAGTAATGACTGCTAAAATTGTAGTATTCAGTCTTTCCTCCCATACAGTTCAAGCTCTTGTTGTTGAACCAGTCATCAATGTCTCAAGCCTTTCCAGTCGTAATCTCCACAGAAGGCTAAAGCACAGCTAACAAATGGTGCAGTCAAAGGGAGGCTCTGCCCCCATGACCAGGCCATGTCTCAGAGCAGCCACAAATGACAGCAGGTCTCCAGATCAGCAACATGCAGAAAGAGAAGCTGATGGGGGTTGTGGGGAAAGGCTTCCGTCCCTCAGGGCAAAGGAAGCCAGAAGGTTGACAAAAGGACCCTGTCTCGGTTGGCCTGAAGCAGAGGTGAATTGAATTGAGGAGGACACCTTGACAAGGAGAAAAAAAAATCAAGTCACAGATGGGGCAGTCTGGGAGGGCTGACAAAGACAGCCCCATAGTGTGAAGTCACACACATTTCCTCAGGAAACCATCTGTTTGAACAGTAAGTAATGTGTTCCTAAAATACAAAATTTTGCTTCTTTAAACAGAATTTAATGTTTTAAAATATATGTACCACATTCTGCTTGTGAAAATGTATTGATCTGTACATGTTTTCTGAGTGAATACCATATTTCAATTAAAATGTATATATATATATATTTTGGTATATATATTTTAATATATATATATGCCAGGAGTGCCTATAATCCCAGCATTTTGGGATGCCAAAGTGGGAGGATTGCTTGCACCCAGGAGTTTGAGACCAGCCTGGGCAACATAGTGAGATCTCACCTCTACAAAAATTTAAAAATTAGCCAGGCATAATGGCGCATGCCTGTAGTTCTAGCTACTCAGGTGGCTGAGGCGGGAAGACTGCTTGAGCCCAGGAGGCTGAGGCTGCAATGAGCCATGATTGTGCTAGCACACCAGTCCAGCCTTGGTGACAGAGCAAGACCCTGTCTCTCAAAAAAGAAGAAAAATACCAGAATGGATGAATATATAGGTAATTATTAATGAATATTTATTGCCAACCCAATAGGTATAATGTCTTATGGAATTTAAATATATGTGTAGAACTAAACATGTATAACAACAACACAAAATGAGGAAGGAGATAAATAAAACTAAAGTTTCCTAAAGTTTTAAATGTTTTGGGAACTGGTAAAAGTAATAATTTGTATTACACAGAAATAAGTCAAGATTGCATGTTGTTTAATCTCTAGGATAACAGCTAAAGAAAAAGAATATGTAACAAAACAATGTATAACTAACAAGCTTGAGGTAAAGAATAGAATGATAGAAAATATTTTCTTAATCCAAAAGAATGCAAGAAAGAAGAAAAACAACAGAAAACAGATGGGTCAAGCAGAAAACAAATAGAATAAACCCAACTTTATATCAATAATTACTTTACTATTATTTAAATAGACTAAATAATCCAAATAAAAAACTAAGATTGGCCAGGTGCAGTGGTTCATGCCTACAATCCCAGCACTTTGGGAAGCCAAGGTGGGCAGATCACAAAGTCAGGACATCAAGACCATCCTGGCCAACATGGTGAAACCTCATCTCTACTAAAAATACAAAAATTAGCTGGGCGTGGTGGCATGTGCCTGTAATCCCAGCTACTCTGGAGGCTGAGGCAAGAGAATCACTTGAACCAGGGAGTCAGATGTTGCAGTGAGCCAAGATCGCGCCACTGCACTCCAGCCTGGGGTGACAGAGCGAGACTCCGTCAAAAAAAAAAAAAAAAGAAAAAGACTAAGATTATCATACTGGATGAAAAATACAAAACCTAACTCTATGTGACTTCTAAAAGAGACACTTTAAATACATGGAGATCGATGATTAAAGAAAAAGGATGAGGAAAGATAGACTGTAAAAGTCTAACAAAAGAAACCAGGCATTCTATAGCAGTATGAAGTAAGATTTTGAAGCAAAAAGCATTACTAGATATTAAAAGGTACATATTATAATGGGTCAATCCAACAAGTAGATATCAAATCACAAATCTATACATACTTATAACTTCAGAATACAGAAAGCAAAAATTAAGCAACTCAAAGAAGAAAGTGACAAATCCACAATCATTATGGAAGACTGTAAGATACATTTCTCGGTAACTTATAGAGCAAGAAAATATAGTAAGGATCTAGAAGATTTAAATAACGCAACTAACAGACTTGACTTAGTTGTTGTATATGTATCAAATTCTGTACCCATAATGATAGAATTTATTTTATTTATTTATTTATTTTTTAAGATGGAGTTTTGCTGTTGTTGCCCAGGCTGGAGTGCAATGGTGCAATCTCGGCTCACTGCAACCTCCGCCTCCCAGGTTCAAGCAATTCTCCTGCCTCAGCCTCCCAAGTAGCTGGGATTACAGGCATGCATGAATTTACTTTTTAAGTGTACATGAAACGTATCAAAATTGATCATATGATGGGCAATAAAGAAAGCCTCAACAAATTTCAAAACATTGAAATCATTCAGAGAATGTTGTTTGACCAGAATAAAATTAAGTCAGAACTCAATAATAAAAAGATAATCTCCACGGCCTGGAAATAAAAAATATATTTCTAAATAACTCATAGATTAAAGAAGAAATCTAGACAGATATTAGCAAATATTTTGAACTGAATGTGACCCCATAAAAGACGTAACTTCTAAAAACTCATAGGATGCAGCTAATGTAGGGACTAGAGAGTTATTTATAACCTTAAAAATGTGTATATTCGAAAAATGGACAGGGTGAAAGTCAATGATTTATTTTTTTAGTTTAAGAACAAAAAGAACAGTAAGTTATATCTAAGGAAAATAGAAGTAAATAATAAAGATTATAAATCAGTGAAATAGAAAACAAATCTGCCTGGCGCGGTGGCTCACGCCTATAATCCCAGCACTTTGGGACGCCGAGGCGGGCAGATCACGAGGTCAGGAGATCGAGACCATCCTGGCTAATGTGGTGAAACCCCGTCTCTACTAAAAATACAAAAAAATTAGCCGGGCGTAGTGGCGAGCGCCTATAGTCCCAGCTACTCAGGAGGCTGAGGCTGGAGAATGGCGTGAACCCGAGAGGTGGAGCTTGCGGTAAGCCAAGGTCGTGTCACTGCACTCCAGCCTGGGCGGCAGAGCGAGGCTCCGTCTCAAAAAAAAAAAAAAAGAAAGAAAGAAAAGAAATAGAAAACACATATACAATGGAGAAAAATCAACGAAATCAAAATTTGGTTATTTGAAAATATTATTTATATTGATAGACTCCAAACAATACTGATCAACAGAAACAAAAAAGACAAATTTTCAATATTAGAAAGGAATATCAATACAGATCCCACAAATATAACAAAGATAAGAGAATATTATTGTCTTTACACCAAAATATTGACAACTTGGATAAAATAGACAAACCCCCTGAAAAATACAACTTTCCAAAGCCCACATAAAAAAGTAAAATCTGAATAGCCAATATCTCATAAATAAATGGAATCTATTCAAGAACTTCTCACAAAGAATTCCAAGCCCCAGATGGCTTGCTTCATCAGTTAATTCTTCCAAATATTTAAAGAATAATACCATGGGCTGTGTGTGGTGGCTCACACCTATACACCCAGCACTTTGGGAGGCTGAGGTAGGAGAATCACTTGAGTCTAGGAGTTCAAGACCAGCCTGGACAATACAGTAAGGCACCGCCTCTACCAAAAATTTAAAAATTAGCAGGGCATGGCAGCGTGCACCTGTAGTCCCAGGTACTTAGGAGGCTTAGGTGGGAGGATTGCTTGAGCCCAGGAGTTCAAGGTTATAGTGAATGAGCTGTGATGGCATCACTGCTACTCCAGTCTGGGTGACAGAGTGAGAACCTGTCTCTAAAAAAAAAAGAATAATACCAATCTTGCATAAACTTGGACAAACTCTACCAAAGAATAGCAAAACAGAGTATAGTTCCCAACTCTTTTTATGTGGCCATAACCTTAATAGAAAAACTGGACTAGGATATTATAAGCAGAAAAAATTACAGACCAATGTCAATCATTGTGGTATGAGAAAAAATAAATATTTGGGTTTTGTCCCTGGTTCCTGGCACATGGCTCCCGAAACTCCTGAAATCTCCACAATGGCAAGAGTGTCTTTTGTATACTAATGAAATGACTAGTGGCTGGAGGCTTCTAGGTAGTTCAGGATGAAGAGGTCACCAGAAAGACCTAGACAATAGCTCTTATTCTGCATGCCAAGAAAAATAAACAACTAAAAAAAAAAAAAGGAGAACTAGGCATGATTAGAGGGTTGGAACTTTTAGCCCCACCCACTGACTTCTGGGGAGGGGAGAGGGACAAGGGGCTGGAGATTGAAGTAATCACCAGTGTTCAAAGATTCAATCAGTCATTGCTATGTAGGGCTCATGCCTATAATCCCAGCACTTTGGGAAGCCAAGGCAGGCGGATCACCTGAGGTCAGGAGTTCAAGACCAGCCTGGCCAACATGGTGAAACCCCGTCTCTACTAAAGATACAAAAATTAGCTGGGCATGGTGGTGTCCACCTGTAGTCCCAACTACTTGGGAGGCTGAGGCAGGAGAATTGCTTGAACCTGGGGGGTGGAGGTTGCAGTGAGCCGAGATGGTGCCACTGCACTCCAGCCTGGGCGACAGAGCGAGACTCCGTCTCAAAAAAAAAAAAAAAAAAAAAAAAAAAAAAGTCATGCCTATGTAATGAAACTTCCATTAAAACCTCTAAATGATGGGGTTCAGAGAGCTTCCAGGTTGGTGAACACATCAAGGTGCTGGGAGAGTGGTGTGCCTGGAGAGGGTAGGAAAGCTCTGTGCTCATTCTCCCTTGCCTTGCTCCATGCATCACTTCCATTTGGCTTTTCCTGAATTGTATCCTTTGTAATAAACCAGTAATATTAAGTTAAGCACTTTCTTGCTTTCCACTAATCATTCTAGCAAATTGTCAAGCCTGTGGGAGGTGGTCATAAGAACCCCCAATTTGTAACCAGTTGCCCAGAAGTATGGGTGGCCCAGGACTTGCAACTGGAGTCTGATTGGGACAGTCTTGTAGGGCTGAGGCCTTAAATCTGTGGAGGCTAATGCTAACTCTGGGTAGTGTCAGAATTAAATTGAATTGTAGGACACTCAGTTTGTGTTGGAGAATTGGTTGGTGTCAGGAGAGGAAAAAAATCCTCACTTGTGAATATAGATGCAAAATCCTAAATAAAATATTAGCATTTTTGCTAAGGAATTAGAAAAAATCAAGCATCCATCTAGGGTTTATTCCAGGAATACAAAAGTGATTTAATATTCTAAAATCAATCAAGGTAATTCATCACATTAGTAGGAAAAAATAAGATCATAAAATCATATTGATATATACATAAAAATGATGAGTTGATAGATACATAAAAATGGTGACTTCAGAAAATGTGGTTTCAAGAAGTAACATCAGATTCATTTTTCTTTCCTCCCTTGGAGTTCTGTCTGTCCAGTCTAGATTGATTTGTAGAAGAGAACTGCAGTCTGTTCCACGCCTAGCCTGAGCCATGGCCTGTACTGCCTGTTATGTTGTAAGACCCTCTGATTTCCAGGACCCTCTGGCTTTGGATTTTGGTCCCCATCTTTGGGTCTGCATGTTTTTTACTGATATTTCAACCTGCAAGACAAAAAAGAAGGAGGCCGGTAAACAGGTATTATTTAACATAATTATTGACATATGTAATATAATTACTATGTCGGACACTCTGGTAGGTTCTGGAGGGACAAATATGAACCCAAGTTCTGGAAGTCTAAGTAACTCATCGAAATTCCCACTGCTGGTAAATGACAGAGCTGATATGTGAACCAGTCAGTCTGGCTTTGGAATTCATACTCTTACTCATTCTGTCACTAACTCTACATGACCAACCATAATACTAGGCATTAAGTGTCAAATAGACATAAGTTACACAGGCTGTGAAAGCACAAAGAAAAGACATCAATTCTGGCTAGGGGTGGGTTGGTTCTGGAAGGCTTTTAAAGAAAGAGGATTTAAGCTGATACTTAAAGATTTGTAACTGGCAGAAAATGAGAATGTATTACTCAGGATAATTTAGATTATGCTGTGGTAACACAGATTTAACCCAACAAGGGTTTATCTCTCTTAAGAAAATGCTAAGTCAAGTTGGGCAGTGTCCAGGGCCCTCCCTTGATGTCTTGACTCAACTCTCTAGGCTGCTACCATTTATGGTTTCTCATTCCATTACATGTGCTCCATCACTGTGCAGGGGAAGAGAGAAAAACATGGAGAATTGGTACTCACCCTTCAAGACTTCAGCCTGAAAACCCACACAACACTTCTGCTCATGGCCCAGTAATTCTAACTCAGAGAACATGGGCTATTTGGCAAGAAGTTGTTGCTTCTGCCCCAGAGAAAAGGAGCATTCCAGGCTGAGGAACAAGCACGTGCAAAGGCATGAATGGGTAAAACTGCATGGCATGCCAAGGGAGAGCAAATAAATCCAGGACACAATAGGTCTTCGATGTCATTCATAGACAAATGGAAGCTCTCATGGAGAAGCAGCAGAGTTTGCCTTGTTTTGCAAAATTATAGATGGTTTTAGATGTGCAAAATTATAGATGCAAAAAGGAGG
This sequence comes from Homo sapiens, assembly GCF_000001405.40. Taxonomy (NCBI): domain Eukaryota; kingdom Metazoa; phylum Chordata; class Mammalia; order Primates; family Hominidae; genus Homo; species Homo sapiens. The sequence goes on along the minus strand of NC_000017.11, from coordinate 65,109,739 downwards.
GTATGCAGTTGTAGCCATGCCCTTGGACTTCGCAGCCTCCATAATCGTGAGCCAAATAAGCTTCTTTTCTTTGTAAATTGCCCAGTCTCGGGTATTCTGTTAGAGCAACAGAAAATGGACTAAGACAAATAATCAAGAAATACTTCCTAGAGGAAGTGAACTTGGAAGGGAACCCATGGTACGGCCAAGTAGAGAAAAAGGAGGAGTAAACCTTTCTGTATCAGAGGAAATAATCATGCAGGAGAGAGCACAGTTCAGGCAGAGGCAATGAGGAAAAGTAAGAGAATATGGTCACTAGAAGCACTATAGATGAGTCTCTTGTACTTAGACACTGCAATCCTAATTGCACAGGAGCTCAAAAGGGACAGCAATCATAGGATGGTCCTGTGGTTTGAAGGTGACTCCCAAAAGTTTGTGTGTTTGAAACTTAGTTGATAATGTATACAATTTGGTGAAGGCAAGAGAATATGATTCCAAGATTTCCTACCTCTCTGCCAAGCCAATGGTGGTAGTCAGTATTTAAAACAGGAAACACAAAAGAAAGCAGCCTGTTTTGAAAGAGAAAAACTTGTTTGTGCCGTGCTCTGGAACATATACACAGAAATGTGTAGCAGCCAACTGGAAATAACAGCCTCAAGCTCTGGGGTGAGGAGAGGCATCCCAGGATGAAGGTACAACAGAAGCAAAGGAATGGAGACAGGAAATATCAGGGTATACAGGAGACCTACAGTAAGAATGAAGGTCATTCCTCACCCATTTACTCTGCCCTTGCCGCCCTCCTCAGAGTTATTTCCCGCTGCCTGCTACACATCTGCACCTGGAGGGCCCCTCAAACGCAATCAACTCTTTGGCTCCTATCAACCAAATCCAGAGCCATCCATCCATACTGCTCTGTCTTCATTGAACTGTTTCAATCTTGCAGTATCTATTTTTCTGCCATTAATCATAATTTTTTTTTTTTTTGAGACGGAGTCTTGCTCCGTCGCCCAGGCTGGAGTTCAGTGGCGCGATCTTGCTCATTGCAAGCTCCGCTTCCCAGGTTCACGCCATTCTCCTGCCTCAGCCTCCCAAGTAGCTGGGACTACAGGCACCCACCAACACGCCCGGCTAATTTTTTTGTATTGTATTTTCAGTAGAGACAGGGTTTCACCATGTCAGCCAGGATGGTCTCGATCTCCTGACCTCGTGATCTGCCTGCCTCGGCCTCCCAACGTGCTGGGATTACAGGCGTGAGCCACCGTGTCTGGCTGCCATTAATCATAATTCTATGCACCATTGTATGAGCCCTCAGTTCACAAAGTCCTTTTAACATATATGCACGTAGCCGTCCTCAGAATGAGACCACTGGTTTTTCTAGCCTCAGTGAAGCTGAAAAATAGATGATGTCAGCTGTGTGACACTGGACCAGTTAACTGACCTCTCTGAACCTTAGTATTTTCATCCACTAAGGAAAAAAACATCTAATATCTGCCCTATCTATTTAAAAGGGTGCTTGTGATCAAATGAAAATAATGAATATGAAACAGTTATATAATCCCTAAGGCAATATAGGAACAGTGACAATAGGGTGGGAGTGGTAGTGATAGATGTTATCATTGTCACAATATGCCTTCTAGGGACCAGACAGTAAAGACACATAAGAAAAACTCAGTTAGACAACCTAATGCAAAGAGTGAGATTTAATTGAATACTTTTTATGAATCCAGTGGCATGACTGCTACAAATAAACAACATAATCTTTGTCCTCTGGGAGCTGAGGTGGTAAAGTATATAGAGAGAGATGACCAATACACAGCACAGAATAAAAATGTGTCTCATGTGAAGCATACAGATCCTAATTGCACAGGAGCTGAAAAGGGACTGTGATCACAGGATGCTTCTATAGGTTTGAGTGTGTCCCTCAGAAGTCCATGTGTTGGAAACTTAGTTGCTAATGTAACAGTATTGAGAGGTGGGGCCTTTTAAAAGGGAATTAGGTAATAAGGGTAGAGCCCCATAAGTGGATTAATGCTGTTTGTGAGTGAGATCATTTCCAAGGGACTGAGTTAGTGCCCTGAGGTGTCTTTTGCGTGCACTCACTTGCCCTTCCCCATTTCTGCTGTGTTATAATGCAGTATGAAATCCCTTACCAGGGGCCAGGCATGGTGGTTCACGCCTGTAATCCCAGCACTTTGGAAGGCTGAGGCGGGCAGATCACGAGGTCAGGAGATTGAGACCATCCTGGCTAACACAGTGAATCCCCGTCTCTACTAAAAATACAAAAAATTAGCCAGGCATGGTGGCAGGTGCCTGTAGTCCCAGCTACTAGGGAGGCTGAGGCAGGAGAATGGCGTGAACCCAGGAGGCGGAGCTTGCAGTGAGCTGAAATCAGGCCACTGCACTCCAGCCTGGGTGACAGAGCGAGACTCTGTCTCAAAAAAAAAAAAAAAAAAATCCCTTACCAGAAGCTGTCACCATGCCCTTGGTCTTCCCAGCTTCCATAACCGTGAGCCAAATAAGCTTCTTTTCTTTATAAATTAGCCCATGTCAAGCATTCTGTTATAGCAACAGAAAATGGACTAAGACAGATGGTCAATGAATGCTTCCTAGAGGAAGTGAACTTGGGAAGGAACCCATGATATGGCTAGGTAGACAGGAAGGAGGTGTAGACTAACCTGGATATATCAGAAGAGAGCTGAATCAGAAAAATCCTAATTGCCCCCTCCCTCTCAGGCAGCCTGCTCCTGAAGCTAGGAGGCTCCAATCTTCCCAAGGAGGGAAAGAGTATGGAACAATGTCTTATGCCAACACTAAGGAAAGGGATTTCCTATTTCAATCTCTGTTGCTAAACAAGCATTTGCAGCTGAACCACAATCTCAAGAAATGGGCCAAGATCAGGTGCACAGGGAAGGCTCTGAGGATAGCCTCACCACTCAGCATTCCGGGCACAGCGCCAGTCACTCAGACAGCGTGCAAAACACGGCTGGGGCTCCTTGTGCAAGACTGACTGCAAGCTTTATCTGCATGGACACTTTCTTGGCTCACAGAATTGTTTTGGAACAAAAGCTATTCATTTCAGCTTGATTTGGAGCCACAATCCTTGGCTTTCTGCAGTGTCAGGACTTGGCAGTGTTTCTGGCCACTGGGTCAGCCATGAGGCCAACAGCAGAGAGGGGAGCAAAGACACAACCCCACACTGTACTGGGGGATGCTGAGAGGTGGTCCTGCTCTTCCTGGGATGGCCAGGGGACTGAGGAGCCATGGCTACTGGAGTGATTCTTTTCAGCAGCAGCCAACAGCCCCGTCCTCCCCAGCACACACACACACACACACACACACACACACACACACACACACACACTGTTATGCAGTTTCTGATGACAGGGCTTAAAGCATCCTCGTCCTTTCAGTCATAACTTTTCAGATTATAAATACGGTACTTCATCGGGTAAAATAACCATCTCCTTAGTAGTGAGGCAGAGGGAGCTAACGGTGGATGGCGGAGTTGTACCTACTTTGCCAGTTAGACATTTAAACTTCTCTGATAAAAATGACAGTCACTCCATTTCTTTCCCTTTGTGTTTAAAAAAAAAAATCAATCTCTGAGGAATTTGCAACTACCCCTCAAAGGAGATTAACAGGAGTTATTTCTAAAAGCACAATCAAGAGGGGCTTTCCAGCGATGACGTCTCTGCACAAAGGAGGGATTTTCTGGGAAGAGGGGAGTCTGTGTCTTGAACATTTTTAGGGGTCTTCCCATTAGGGGACAGAATAATTTTCCTCCAACCTTTTCCCCTGTAAACTCACTTAAGGGATTCCTTTTTAAATTGTAATAAATCTCAATTACGAAAAATATGACTGACTCCTTGGGTCCGGAATGGTCTTGGAGAGGTGGTCTTGGTGGGCAAGGTGGCAGGTGACAGGTGCCTGTACTCCACTCACGACGGGAGAAAACCCACCTTGATTTTCAAGCTCCCCAGGAAGGGTGCAGCTGTGGCCTTTCTCCAGGCTACCCCTTCTTCTGTCCAGCGTGCATCCCTTCTGAGCTATCTCCTTTCGTGAGACACATTGAAGACCCCCGGTCCTTCCCCATACCATCACCTCCCCACCCCACCCCACCACTGTTTACCAGAGCACAGCTGCCCAGTTCTCCCAGAATCCTGACTTCTCCACAACTATTTCCTGAGGCCTCAAACAAATGCTACATAAAAGGGTCATCACTGGGCTGGGCACGGTGGCTCACATCTATAATCGTAGCACTTTGGGAGGCCAAAGCGGGTGGATCACCTGAGGTCAGGCGTTCGAGGTCAGCCTGGCCAACATGGCAAAACCCCATCTCTACTAATAATATAAAAATTAGCCAGGCATGGTGGCAGGCACCTGTAATTCCAGCTACTCCAGAGGCTAAGGCAGGAGAATCGCTTGAACCCGGGGGTGGAGGTTGCAGTGAGCCAAGATCGCACCACTTCACTCCATCGGGGGAAAAAAAAAAAAGCATCATCACTGGACTCTCTCTGACCCCATCACAGGCCTAGCGTTGCCCCTCTCAGATTCCAGCTAAGTGAGGTATGACATTGAACATTTTAAAGTACCCAGACAGTCACTGAAAGTATCAGAAAGTGATAGTCTCAATATTCCATCCACCCCATGGTCACGATTTCTTCTCATAGTAAGTGGCTGTCACTCTCTACAAGATTTCAGGGACTGGAATTTTCCTATAATCCAGAGCAAGCTTCCTGGAAGACAATCATAATTATGAGTTTGCTGTGCAGAGATGTAAATAGTGACCCCAAACCACTGTGCTCTTTTTTTTAGTTGGCAACTCACATCCCAACTATAGCACTGCCAGCCACAGTCCAAATGCCCAAGTCTAATATGCCTTGTTAACTGTACCCAGCCTCAGAAACATCCCTCATTTCTATTACATTCTCAATGACCAGTTTAATGTGTCTCCCAGGTTTTTCAGGCCCTGCCTCCAGACACAGAATTGCCTACTGGACATCACCATCTGGCTCTGACCAACAGCTGACACACAATAGATCCAAGCCAAGTTCATGTTCCTCTTCCACCTTTGTCCCAACTCTCCTCCTGGCACCCCATCTGCCCTAAGAACAGCCTCACATCCTCAAGACCTAGAGAAACCACCACCATATCTTTCAGAATGCTTTCTTGACATTCCACCCAGGATAAAGTAAAGGCCCACACTTAAGCACCTCCTTTACCCTCCAGCTGTCTGCATGGCACCTGTGCCATGCCACTGTGTTGATACATGTGGCCATCTCCTACCACTAGACTACAAGTCACTTGAGAACAGGGACTGTGTCCTGAAGTCTGTGTTATGACAGTGTCTAACAATACCTGACACATAGTAGGTGCTCAATAAATGTCTGTCACATGGAGGAGTGAACAAATGATACAAGCAATTCTAAATTCTGCCCAAGCCTCATTAAGATCCTTTCTTCTTGTAGCCCTCGTCTAAGCTCAACTCTCTTCCTGGCACCCCATCTGCTGCAAGAACACCCTCACATCCTCAACTTTTCCTTAAGTCAAATAGGAAAGCATTTTAGAAGTCCAGATGGAAATTTTTTCCACCTCACCCCAGGTGGTCAGGGCTGCCGGAACACAGGAAATGAGAAGCTAGGCTGAAACAAGAGCCCTGCGTGTGCTGGAGGCCACAGCAGTTTGCCCAGCCCTGCTGTTTAGTTCACTATGTGTCACCAGCTAACACCCCCCAGGCAGAGCCGCTGGACAGGGGAATTCTTCATCTCCTTCTACACATTAAAAAAAAAAAAAATCTACCTATGTATTTTTGAGACACTGTTTCATTCTGTCGCCCAGACTGGAGTGCAATGGTGCAATCACAGCTCACTGCAGCCAGGACCTTCTAGACTCAAGCGATCCTCCAACCTTAGCTTCTCGAGTACCTGGGACTACGGGTGTGCACCACCACACCTGGCTAATTTTTTTCTTTTTTTTTTGGAGAGACAGTGTCTCACTCTGTTGCTCAGGCTGTCCTCAAACTCCTGGGCTCCAGCCATCCTCCCTCCTCGGCCTTCCAAAGTGCTGGAATTATAGGCATGAGCCACCATGCCCAGCCTCCACCACATTTTCAACAAGTCCAGGCATCAGAGGTGGGCATCAGCTTGGCTGGTTGGCATCAGCTTGGCTGGTAGACATACCTACACAGGGCTGCATCGAGCCTGGGACATCACAGGAGTGATGACAGGTGTGAAAGCCTCCACAGTCACAGGAGAAGGGCCCTTCTGATCAGCACCACTCCCTCTGACCCCATGAAAAGCTGTCATTTCCTAGGTAACTGGAGTTGCAGACAGCACAGAAAGACCCTGAGTGAATTCTCTTGGCTCAGGGAAGGAAATATATCCCATCCATTCTTCTGGCTTACATTAGAGCCCTCATTTGAACCTAAATCTGACCACTTCACTCACCTGCTCTTTGGGGAAAAATAGCACCACCTCTGTAAGGCATAGACCTTTCCTATCCATCCCTGCCTGCCTGTCCCACCTCACACTCCCCTTGTACTATATGCTCAGTGAACAGCAATCAGCATGCCCTCAGACACACCAGACTCTCATACATCCCTGTACTTCGGCAGGGGCTGCTTCTGCAGGTGGGGTCTTCCTTCCTCTGCCCAGCGGAAGCCTCAGGATCCTCCAAGCTTGAAGGCTCTCTCTTCAGTGATGACTACCCCCACTCTTCAAGTAGAATCGGAAGCTCCCTCTCACCACAGTCTTAATTTTATATTTCTCCTGGCTGGGCACAGTGACTCATGCCTGTAATCGCAGCACTTTGGGAGGCCGAGGCAGGCAGATCACATGAGTTCAGGAGTTTGAGGCCAGCCTGGGCAACAGGGCAAAATCCCATCTCTATTAAAAATACAAAAAAATCTCTATAAAAAAAAAAACAAAAAAAATTAGCCAGGCATGGTAGTGCCTGCCTGTAGTTCCAGCTACTTGGGAGGCTGAGAAGGGAGGATCACTGGAGCCCAGGAGGTCAAGGCTGCAGTGAGCCGAAATCACGCCACTGCACTCCAGCCTGGCCAACAGAGCCAGACTTTGTCTCAAATAATAATAATAATAAAATAAATAATTATGTTTCTACAATTGTAGTGAGACCAGCTTTTCTGTATCATGTCAACAATTCTTCTAGTGTTAGCCCTTACCAGCCTCAGTTTCCTTACCTGTAAAACGGAGATAATAATTGAACTAGCCTGTCGCATGGGTGGGAAGATTGATTCCTGAAAGCGGCTGGTGCCTGGGGAGGTGGGACAGGGTAAGTAAGGTGGACAATACAGGGCTCATTCATGAGCAGCAACCCCCGTGGGCCACCTGAGTTCTGTCCTACTGGGAGCCTCTGGGAGAAACAACATAGAACACCCTCAGAAGAGCCATACCCGGTGGGGAGGAAGCTTGGTACTTTTCATCAAGCAACTGTCTTTCACTATCAGTTGCAGGCTGATCCAGGGGGCATCCACTCCCTGGCACTCTGGCCACATGTGTGGCAGTCATGTTCCTATGGCCAGAGAAAACCCCCTGAGCAGAGAGGCTCGGGCACTTACAGTAGAAGTCCCTGATGTTGGGTGGGATGTCAACACCATCTGATGCCATTCACCTGCAGCTCTGCCATTGGCTGGCTGAGGGAGCTTGGCTCCTCTAGAAAGATGTATTTGGCCGGGCGCAGTGACTCATGCCTGTAATCCCAGCACTTTGGGAGGCCGAAGGGGGCTGATCACTTGAGGTCAGGAGTTCGAGATCAGCCTGGCCAACATAGTGAAACCCCGCCTCTACTAAAAATATAAAAATTAGCCAGGTGTGATGGTGCGCACCTGTAATCCCAGCTACTCGGGAGGCTGAGACAGGAGAATCGCTTGAACCTGGGAGGTGGAGGTTGCAGAGAGCCAAGATCGCACCACTGCACTCCAGCCTGGACAAGAGAGTGAGACTGTCTCAAAAAAAAAAAAAAAAAAGTAGATATATTTGACTGGGGGCACCCTAAGGTACCTTGTGGTGGGCCCAGTCCTCCATCAGCCCACATCCCCCAAGGCTGGGCACTGTTAAGCTGCCCTTGGGTGGGCCATTTAGCCTCAAGGGACTTTGAGGGCAGGGGCCATGCTCGTTTTGCTCATCACTGTGTCCCTGGTACCTCGAGCAGTGCCCAGCAGATGCCAGCCTCCAAGTCCACATTGGCTGCCTGGCTGACAGCACGTGGTGCAGAATGAGGTTATGGCAAAGGAAACCCTGACATTCAGCCTCAAACCCGGCCCCAGGACCCCAAGCAATGGAAGACCATGACCACTGCCTTTGCATCTGTGAGTAGGTTGTGGTGTAAGATACGTTTTAAGATCTATGTATGTAAGATAACGTTTTTAACTTTCAAATATCACACTTCGGATGCAGAAAGGGCAACTTATAGGAGCTTTAAATTCGTAGGTGGTTGTCTGGGTTACCTTATATGACTCGGATCTGGGGTGGGCTGCCTGCACTGCAGTCCGTGGATCTCTGTCTCAGTCTCCAGGCCCAGGACGCAGCTTGGAAACCTAAACGGAATTGTCTTTATCACAACTCACACCAGTCACTTAATGAAATCGAGCTGCACAAATCGACCCAAAGGGGTGCCCTCCACTCCTGCCCCACGTGTCCTCGGACGCTTCCCAGATGTGGTCCCCGGCACTCCAGGGCCCAGGTAAGGGGCCAGGGTTACCTTTTGGAGAAATGCCATCCTCAGCCTGTACTGCCGGCCTTGGTACCGGATTGTCATCTCCTGGCGCCTGGATGGATTCACGGCCAGAGCACCAGTGGGAGACAAGAGGAGAAGCCCCCAAGTTCGAAAGGCAGCCTGGCTCGCCCCAGCCCTGGGTGGTCGACGGGGAGGCGGCTGGGCGGGGAGGGCGCGGGCCGGGCCTCCCTGACCCTCACTAGGCGCCTCCAACTTGGAAAGCAGCTGGAATCCGCGCCAGCCAATCCGCGAGCGACGACGCGGGCTCATTAGCATGCGCTGCGCGGGCGTCCACCTGCCGCCAGGTGGCGCTGTCCGGCCCCCGCCGGGACCCCGCCGAGCGGCAGGTGAGACCCGCAGGGCAGGGCCCCGGGGGGCGGAGGGGTACGGGGGGAAAAGGAGGAGGGAGAGGAGGAGGTGGAGGGAGAGGGGGTGGAGGAGGAGGTGGAGGTGGACGAGGAGGAGGAGGAGCTGCCGGGAGGAGGGAGAGGAGGATGTGTGGCAGAGGGCGAGCCTTAGACCGCACCACTAAGGCCTGGGGAAGTGAAAACAGATGCAACACGCTTTGGCTCCCTGGCTAGCCAGCCCCAAGTCATTGAATGGCACTAAGCAAATTATTCGGGTTTTGCCATTAAAATGGCAAAGCCACAATTACTTTTGCTCCAACCTAATATTTAAACTTTATCAGCGTCAGTTACCCCATCTAACCCGAGAAAAGCAAGTGGGTAGGAAATGACTCCTGTCGATCATGTGCTGTGAGGACTGAATGAATAACTGGGTTAAAGACTGGCAGTGGGGTGTGCTTGGTGGTGAAGAATGCTGCTCACGGGCCAAATGGGCTGGCTCTGAGCCCTGGATTTGCCACCTAGCTGTAGGATCTCAAGCAAGTTATGGAACCTCTCTGGGCTTCCTTTGTCTCATCTGATGAGTGAGAATCACTGCACTCTCCCCAGGGGGTGGGCGGCGGTTTGTTTGGTTCTGGTTTTGGTTTTAAGATTACTGAGCTGATTCATGTACAAGCGCTTAGAACTATGACTGACACTTGGTGAATGTCCAGTAACCAATAGTTTCTCTCCTATGTCTCTTGGGACCTTAAAAAAAACAATTTACTAGGCGTAGTGGTTCCATTATATACATATATACATTATATACATAGTCTGGCATATATATATATATATATGTATATATAATATATACACATATATATATTATTCTGAGAATAATTCTCAGAATTCTCAAAATAATATGAAAACTGTTGGAGTCATAATTGGAGGTAAAATATAATCTCTGGAATCAGATTACTTGGGGTCAAATATCAACTCCATTACTTACTCTCTGTGTGGCTTTGGGCAAGTTACTTAACCCCTCTGTGCTTTGATTTCTGTAAAATGGGGATGGTACAATGATAGGGGACAAAGGAGTAAAGAATCAATAGATACCAGTTGTTGTTACTATTGTCAACATTAAAATCTTTAAAGATAGTTTAAATATGGAATGCTAGCTACATCTCTGGCAGGAGGAGATTTTCCAGGTTTAACATTCAGGATCAGGGACGTTCCCATCTTTTATTTCTAGAGCCAGGTGGCCTGAGCATGGCAGACAAAGCTGATGTCAGATGGAGGCATGTGGGCATTTATCATAAGAGGTATGCTCAGGAGATATGTCTTCAGATCATCTGTGTCTCATTCCCATGGAAGAGCCGCGTTCCCACCAAGCTACAAAGACATCTTAGCTCTAGGTTAGAGTACTGGAATAAAAGTTTCAGAAATGAGACTCTGAAGTCTGGTTGACTCACAGGGAAATTACTAGGCAGAAAGCCATGAGATGTAGCTTCCAGCCCTAGCTTGGCCACAGCCATGGTGAATGACAACGTGGAAACCAGGTTTTCAAATTTAGTTGAATGGGTTCAGCAAAGCAATTTCAAAATCATTTCAACTTTGTATGTATCTGTGATTGGTTCCCATATTCTCTTATTTTGCTAATTTGGGCTTTCTCTCTCTTTTTTCTTTTATTCTTTTTTTTTTTTTTTTTTGAGACGGAGTCTCGCTCTGCAGCCCAGGCTGGATTGCAGTGGCGTGATCTCGGTTCACTGCAAGCTCTGCCTCACGGGTTCATGCCATTCCCCTGCCTCAGCCTCCCAAGTAGCTGGAACTACAGGCGCCCACCACCACACCTAGCTAATTGTTTGTATTTTTAGTAGAGACGGGGTTTCAGCCTGTTAACCAGGATGGTCTTGATCTCCTGACCTCATGATCTGCCCGCCTCGGCCTCCCAAAGTGCTGGAATTACAGGCGTGAGCCACTGCGCCCAGCTTCTTTTATTCTTAATGAGGTTAATTTTTTTATTATTATTATAATGAGATACATGTATTATTTTTCCTTGAGAACCAGGTTTTACTTGAAAGTTAGAACTTTAGGTTGGACATGATGGCTCATGCCTGTAATCTCAGTGCCTTGGGAGGCCGAAGCAGTTGGATCATTTGAGGTCAAGAGTTCAAGACCAGCCTAGCCAACATAGTGAAACCCCATCTCTACTAAAAATACAAAAATTAGCTGGGCAGTAGTGGTGCATGCCTGTAATTCCAGCTACTTGGGAGGCTGAGGCAGGAGAATCACTTGAGCCTGGGAGGCAGAGACCATGGTGAGCCAAAATAGTGCCAGTGCACTCCAGCCTGGGTGACAGAGTGAGATCCTGTCTCAAAAATAAATATAAACACATAAATAAAAGTTAGAACTTTAAAATTATTTTGTCATCAGATATTTATGCAGTTTAGTTAACAAATATGAAGGGGCCCTGTAAACTAGAAATATCTTTAGGTATATAGAGTGACCACTTATGTCAGGTTGCATTTATTGTCCTGAAATAGCTAATGGTGCCCTCTTGCACTCTCAGAAGTGACTATGTTTAGGCTGGGTACAGTGGCTCATGCCTGTCATCCCAGCACTTTAGGAGGTCAAGACAGGTAGATCGCTTGAGCCAAGGTGTTCAAGACTAGCCGGGCAACATAGTAAGACCCTGTCTCTAGTAAAGAAAATTATTTTATAGTTAAAATAAAATAAAATAAAACAAAAAAGCAACTATGTTTTGATGATAACTTATGTGGTCACCCCAATCACATGCTAATTTCCTTCTCTAACAATGACCAAATCAGGCCTCCTTGTTTTCTAGATGAGGGAGACACCCATGTTGTGCTGGAAAGTTAATATGACTAGGACTCGTGACACTTGGATTCTAATCCCAGATCTACTACTGGCTAATTAGGGAGCTTAGACAAGGCACATTACTTCTCCGAGCCACATTCACTGATCAGACTTGTTCAGTGTTTCCCAAGTTTGCTCTAAGATCAATGCTTCTCAACATTTAATGCAAATGTTAGTCTCCTGAGGATCTTGTTAAAGTGCAGATTCTGGCCGGGCACAGTGGCTCACGCCTGTAATCCTAGCATTTTGGGATGCTGAGGCAGGAGGATCACTTGAGGCTGGAAATTCAAGATCAGCCTGGGCAACAAAGTGAGACCTCCCTTTCTATGAAAAAAATAAAAATATGAGTTGCATGCTGTGGTGTGCGTCTGTAGTCCTAGCTATTCAGTAGGCTGAGGTGAGAAGATCTCTTGTGACCAGGAGTTTGAGGTTGTAATGAGCTATAATCATACCACTGCACTGTAGCCTGGGCAACAGAGCAAGACTCTGTCTCAAAAATAAATAAATAGGCTAGGTGCAGTGACTCATGCATGTATTCCCAGCATTTTGGGAGGCTGAGACGGGAGGATTGCTTGAGGCCAGGAGTGCAAGATCAGCCTGGGCAACAAAGTGAGACCTCCATTTCTACAAAAAATAAAAATAGGAGCTAGATGCTGTGGTGTGTGCCTGTAGTCCTAGCTACTCAGGAGGTTGAGGTGAGAAGATAGCTTGTACCCAGGAGCTTGAGTTTGCAGTGAGCAATTATCAAGCCACTGCACTCCAGCCTCGGTGACAGAGCAAGAACCTCTCTCAAAAATAAATAGGCTGCACATGGTGACTCGCGCCTGTAATCCCAGCACTTTGGGAGGCTGAGCTGGGAGGATTGCTTGAGCCCAAGAGTTTGAGACCAGCCTGGGCAACATGGCTGGTCTCAAGCCAGATGAACACCTCATCCCTATTTTTTTTTTCTTCTTCTAAAAAAAAAAAAAAAAACAGGATACGTGTGCAGAACATGCAGACTTGTTACATAGGTATATGTGTGCCATGGTGGTTTGCTTCACCGATTGATCCATCCTCTGAGTTCCCTCCCCTCACCCCCCACTCCCCAACAGGCCCCGGTGTGTGATATTTACCTCTCTGTGTCCATGTGCTCTCATTGTTCAACTCCCACTTATGAGTGAGAACATGTGGTATTTGGTTTTCTATTCCTGTGTTAGTTTGCTGAGGATACTGGCTTCCAGTTTCATCCATGTCCCTGCTATGACATGATCTCATTCCTTTTTGTGGCTGCATAGTATTCCATGGTGTATATGTGCCATATTTTCTTCATCCAGTCTGTCACTGATGGGCATTTGGGTTGGTTCCATGTCTTCGCTATTATAAATAGTGCTGCAATGAACATATGTGTGCATATGTCTTTATAGTAGAATGATTTATATTCCTTTGGGTATGTACCCAGTAATGGTATTGCTGGATTAAATGGTATTTCTGGTTCTAGATCCTTGAGGAATTGCCATACTGTCTTCCACAATGGTTGAACTAATTTACAGTCCCACCAACAGCGTAAAAGAGTTCCTATTTCTCCACAGCCTCATCAGCATCTATTGTTTCCTGACTTTTTAATAATTGCCATTCTGACTGGCATGAGATGGTATCTCATTGTGGTTTTGATTTGCATTTCTCTGATGATCAGTGATAATGAGCTTTTTTTCATGTTTGTTGGCCACATAAATGTCTTCTTTTGAGAAGTGTCTATTCATATTCTTTGCCCACTTTTCGATGGGGTTGTTTATTTTCTTCCTGTAAATTTGTTGAAGTTCCTTGTAAATTCTGGATTTAGACCTTTGTCAGACAGGTGAATTGCAAAAATTTTCTCCCATTCTATAGGTAGCCTGTTCACTCTGATAATTTATTTTGCCATGCAGAGCTCTTTAGTTTAATTAGACCTCATTTGTCAATTTTGGCTTTTGTTGCAATTACTTTTGGCATTTTTGTGATGAAGTCTTTGCCCTTGCCTACGTCTTGAGTGGTATTGCCTAGGTTTTCTTCTAGGGTTTTTATGATTTTGGGTTTTACATTTAAGTATTTAATCCATCTTGAGTTAATTTTTGTATAAGTTGTAAATTTCTAATTTAATTAATTAACTTTATTAGTTTAAATTTATAAATGTATTAAATTAATTAATTTAGCTATTTTAAAATAATTAAAACTTTTTAAATTTAGTAAATAAATATATTAAGTACAGTTTCTGATGCAGTAGTTCTGGGGTGAGGCTGAGATTCTGCACTTCTAACAGGCTGCTAGGTGATGCCCAAGCCAACTTCAATCTGAGTAGCAAGATGTAAAAGCAATAGCATGTTAGCTACTAACAGCTGATGTAAATAAAGAAATATAAGAAATGGGGTACAGGGGGGTGTATTATAGCCACACACATTCAGAAGTCTATGTGTTTAATACATTTAAAAAGGATTATTGCCGGACACGGTGGCTCACGCCTGTAATCCCAACACTTTGGGAGGCCGAAGTAGGTAGATCACCTGAGGTTGGGAGTTCGAGACCAGCCTGGGCAACATGGTGAAACCCTGTCTCTACTAAAAATACAAAAATTAGCTGGACATGGCAGGTGCCTGTAATCCCAGCTACTCGGGAGACTAAGGCAGGAGAATAGCTTGAACCTGGGAGGCAGAGTGAGGCAAGATCATGCCATTGCACTCCAGCCTGGGCAACAAGAGCAAAATTCTGTCTCAAAAAAAAAGCGGGGGGTATTTTTTAGTGCAGAGCTCCCCAAAGCCTCTAACATACTTCCAAATAGAATGACTTAAGCAACTCAGAAGAAAAGTTTTTCAGAAAGACAAAAGCATTTATTTGCAATAGAGGCAAGAGGGCAACGGGTTTTCCCATGCTCCTGCTCAATCCCTCTCCCAGATGAACAGATGATGTCTTGCCATCCTTAAACTTCATTGCAAAGAAACTGGTTTCATCCACAGCTCCCTTCACATTCCCACCCAATCCCTTAGCTTCCATTTTGGACCATGGGACTTGACTCATAGACTGGCTATCAACCTGTAACACAGCCAGGTATAAAAGGATGACCTGAGCTTGGGCAACGCAGTGAGACTCTGTCTCTGCAAAAAAAAATTTTAAAAATTAGCCAGGTGTGGTGGTGCATGCCTGTAATCTCAGCTACTCAGGAGGATGAGGTGGGAGGATCACTTGAATTCGGGAGGTCAAGGCTGCAATGAGCTGTCATTGCACCGCTGCATTCCAGCCTGGATGATGGGGAGAGACCCTGCAAAAGAAAAGAAAAAAAAAAAAAGGATGACCTGGACCAATCAACTATATGATCACTCTTGGAAGTAGCCAGTTGAGCCAGTTGGTAGAGGTGGACAAATTTGAAAAGGGTGGAATCAGACCCATGGTGAGGCAAAGCCACATGAGAGCAAAATTATGAGGGAAGTGAACGCTGAGCAGGCCGTGAAAGCCCAGAGTAGAAACAGAAGCAGAATGTTCTGTTCCAGAATGGAACAGAAGCACAGAGCACTGCAGAGATGCCCCGAGAGCTCTTAGAAATGGAAGTTGATGTGGTGTGGATGCGTGTCCCCTCCAAATCTCATGCTGAAACGTGATCCCCAACGTTGGAGGTAGCCATGGTGGCAAATATTGGATCATGGGGGCAGATTTCTCAAGGATGACTTAGCACCGTCCCCCTGGTGGTAAGTGAGTTCTCCTTCAGTTACTTCACGTGAGATCTGGTTGTTTAAAAGTGTCTAGAACCTCTCCCTTCTCTCTGGCTCCCTCTCTCACCATGTGACATATCTGCTCCTGCTTCGCCTTCAGCCATGAGTGAAAGCTCCCTGAGGCCTCCCCAGAATTGAAGGGGATTCTGGCACCATGCTTCCTGTACAGCCTGCAGAATTATGAGCCAATTAAACCCCTTTTCTTTAGGAATCAACACAGAAGGAGGCCAGGCGCCGTGGCTCACCCCTGTAATCCCAGCACTTTGGGAGGCCGAGGCGGGTGGATCACGAGATCAGGAGATCAAGACCATCCTGGCTAACACGGTGAAACCCCGTCTCTACCAAAAATACAAAAAATTAGCAGGGCGAGGTGGCGGGCACCTGTAGTCCCAGCTACGCCGGAGGCTGAGGCAGGAGAATGGCTTGAACCCCGGGGGGCGGGGCCTGCAGTGAGCCGAGATCGCGCCACTGCACTGCAGCCTGGGCGACAGCGAGACTCCGTCTCAAAAAAAAAAAAAAAAAAAAAAAGGAGCCAACACAGAAGGGAAAGCCACTGGGGGCTGGGTGAAAAAGAGTAACTTAGTTTTTCATGATGGTAACAGGCTACAGACTAGAAGAATAGTACAGTTATGTTTCAATGGGACTTTTTTTTTTTTTTTTTTTTTTGAGATGGAGTCTTGCTCTGTCGCCCAGACCGGAGTGCAGTGGGCGCGATCTTGGCTCACTGCAACCTCTGCCTCCTGGGTTCAAGCGATTCTCCTCCCTCAGCCTCCAAGTAGCTGGGATTACAGACGTGTGCCACCACACCCGGCTAATTTTTGTATTTTTAGTAGAGATGGGGCTTCACCATTTTCAGACCAGAGGGGAAAAAGTGAACTTTGCCCCCTTCCCTCTAGGAAGCCCAAAGCCAATTTGCAGCCAACTTGAAGCAATAGTAGAAGTTTATTGCCTTTATATCTTCATTCTCTCCAACCTCACCCTATATCCACCCTGGTCTTGACTCCATATTTAATTTGTTTTTCTTGTACCGATTTTTAATTTATACTTTATCATTTTATTTCATGCATCTCCTAAATGCCTTGTTGACTCACTTGTGAAAAGAGACACAACGGCTGGGCGCGGTGGCTCATGCCTGTAATCCCAGCACTTTAAGAGGCCGAGGTGGGTGGATCACGAGGTCAGGAGATTGAGACCATCCTGACTAACACGGTGAAACCCCGTCTCTACTAAAAGTACAAAAACAAAATTAGCCGGGAGTGGTGGCGGGCGCCTGTAGTCTCAGCTACTTGGGAGGCTGAGGCAGGAGAATGGAGTGAACCTGGGGGAGCGGAGCTTAGAGTGAGCCAAGATCATGCCACTGCCCTCCAGCCTGGGCGACAGAGCAAGACTCCGTCTCAAAAAGAAAAGAGACACAGAGACACAACATAAATAAATACATGTACCAGATGAGAGCTAAGTTAAGTGATTTGTATCTGAATGACCATAACCCCAATTCCTCCTGTTAATCATCATCACAGGGGTAGAGATAGGTCTCTAGAAGCATGTCACAGGATTCACCCAAAACTGCCTCCTGTTAAAAATTAAAATGATTTAGATAACAACATTGATGACACACTGTTTACATTTGCAAACAAAGATGCAAATGGAAAGAATGACTAACACGTTAGAAAATAGGATTTGCTTCCAAAAGTTCTTGCCAACCTAAGCGTAAGCTATCGTGCTTTCAAGAACTGATCAAATCTCCACTGTGAATCAGCATCTCTGGGCTAAAGTTCAGTGTTACAGTTTCCCACTGTTATCTAAAATCATTATAAGAATTAGTTGTGCCTGGTGCAGTGGCTGGCACCTGTAATCCCAGCCCTTTGGGAGGCTGAGGCAGGCAGATCACTTGAGGTGAGGAGTTTGAGACCAGCTTGGCCAACATGGTGAAACCCAGTCTGTACTAAAAATACAAAAAAATTAGCTGGGCGCAGTGGCTGTAATCCCAGCTACTGGGGAGGCTGAGGTGGGAGAATCGCTTGAACCTGGGAGGCAGAGGTTGCAGTGAGCCGAGATCGCACCACTGCACTCCAGCCTGGGCAACACACAGAGTGAGACTCCATCTCAAAAAAAAAAAAAAAAAAGAATTAGTTGTGTGAATTTCTCTTTGAAAAAAAAAATTGTGATTTGATACCAAATCAGATTCAAACACTTTTGTCAAAGAATTACCCATTCTATCTCTCTACCATGTATAATAGGAGAAATTTCTTTCAAAGTTTTGTACCAAGAAAAACTTAATTTTCCTTAAAAAAACTCAAAATGTTTCTCTGCTCAAGAGAGATGTATATCATGTTTCTTTTTTCATCTTGATCATCAGATCACTTCAGATCTGCCATCAGGCTCCCTTGGAATAAACATTTGATTTCTAGTATTTTCTCCACTCTTTTCCTATTTTGATTCCTATACAATTGGCTTTTATTATCTGGGCTTTTATCTATTGGTAAGCCACAACAACTTTTTTTTTTTTTAGAATGACTTGGGATATAAATAAACTAAATATATCCTGTTTGAATAATAAGTGGAAGACAGCTTGATGAATTGGACAAGGTAGGTAAAAAAAGGGCGAAAAGGAGCAATCTCAACAGTTTTCAAGATAAGTAACTATATCAAACTGATTTTTTGAATCTACATTGTTTTACATTGGTCCAAGACATCTGCTAGAGGGAGAACAGTCTGAGGAAGTGTAGTCAGCTTTGATAACCTTGCGCCTTCTTATCCTTACATTCTTTTGCATCTTTGTTTGAAAATGTAAACACTTTGCTTAGAGCACCTCTCTCCATCTAAATCAATTGGCTTTGCTTGACAGTAAAAGGGTGTCTTGTTCCCGCAAGCCTGGAACTCTGTTCTTCTCCCTGCACCTCCATCATTTCCAGGCAAGGTGGGCCAGTGAGCAGGCGAGGAAGGGAGGAGTGGGGAGGAGAGTGGGTTTTAGGGATTTCATGGAGAACGATTTGCCCTAAGACAGACCTCCTGGTCACCTCCTCCATATGCTACCCTACAATAAGAGATGTTTCCTCCTTTCCATCCTAAGGAATGGAGTTCCTGCAATGATAGAAATTTCCCAGAAACACTTGCTAGAAATTATCAAAGACAAATATGGCAACACCATCCTGTCTTCTGATACCCCACATGCCTCCTTTAGACCAAAGTCAGATGAATTCTGTTTAATAATATTGATGTCTCTGCTTTTGCAAGTCTCTTTTTCCCCACTATGAATATTATACATGTCCCCTACTGAAAATTTAGAAAACAAAGAAACACAAATTTTTACAAATGTAATAATATCTACACAAGGCATGGTGGCTCACATCTGCAGTCCCAGGTACTCAGAAGGCAGACAGGAGGATCACTCAAGCTCAGGAGTTAAAATCTGCAGTGAGCTATGACCTTGCCACTGTACTCCAACCTGGACAACAGAGCAAGACTCCATCTCTAAAAACAATGAATCTGGGAAAAGAAGTGTAAAAGATGTGAAATTGAATGTATGGTAGAAAGGGATGTGCTGAGAGTCAGAAGACTTGGATTATAGCCTCATGTCTGCCATAACTATTAATAGCTGGGGTGATCTTGGGCAAGTAACTTATCCTTGATGATTTTTTTTTCACTTATAAAAGGAAAAGGTTAGGCTGGGCAGACCTGCTCTTCTAGCATTCCAGGATCACAGAACGGTTCAACAGGAGACATAATAACCAGACTGTCAGGGTTTATATTCCCAGCACTGCCACTTATGAGTTGTTTGACTTTGGGTAAATTTCACAGCCTCTCCATGTTTCAACATCCTCATCTATAAATGAAAAATGATATTATCTGTCATATATTGATGATTTGGTGAATGTTGGCTACTGTTATCTTTTTCTTTCTTTCTTTCTTTTTGCAATAGGGTCTTGCTCTGTTGCCCAGGCTAAAGTGCAGTAGTGCTATCTCAGCTCACTGCAACCTCCACTCCCAGGCTCAAGTGATCCTCTCGCCTCAGCCTCTCAAGTAGCTGGGACTACAGGAGCGTGCCACCATGCCTGGCTAATTTTTGTATTTTTTGTAGAGATGGGGATTTTCCATGTTGCCCCAGACTGGTCTTGAACTCTTGAGCTCAAGCAACTGCCCACTTTGGCTTCCTAAAGTGCTGGAATTACAGGCGTGCTATTATTATCTTAAACATGGCCCAGTCTACCTTTCCAGCTGTATCTCATGTCACACAAGACCTCTTTTCTGAAAGCCATGGGTGTCCAATGCTGTCTACCCAGCAACACCATAACCTCTCATGTCATTTGGGATCTCAACTTTGTGATATCCAAAACCGAGTGAATAATTTCTATGCACCTACAGCCCATGTCTCCTTAACTGTTTCCTATCACAGCAGATAATACCAACACCTACTCACTTGCTCAGCGCAAAGACCTGGGATTCAACCAGATACCCCTTTCTCCCTTACTCCTGAGAGCCAATCAATCATTAAATTAACCAACTCTGTCTCCTTAATGTTTCTTTAATACATCAATTTCAGTCATCTTCACTGCCACCCACCCTACCAGTATCTCTTGCCTGGGCAACTCCCATGGTGCCTTATTGGTCTTCCCGCATTTGCTCCTGCCCCACACCTCCTTCTAGCTTCCAATTCATTCCTCCACTGTGGCCGGAGCAACTTTTTTTTTTAACTCTATGTTTAGACATTCCACTTTTCTGCTTAGAGGGCTTCAGTTGTCTACCACAGCTCTTAGAAAACAGCCCATTTGTAATGAGTCCTGAATGATCCCTCAATCTGGATGCTGCCCACCCCAAGGATCCCCCCCATGCCCCTCTCTCTAAGGATTTCTGTGCCCCAGTCACACTGCTCCCTTTCCATTTCTGGAACAATCTAAGCTTCTTTTTGCCTCGAGGCTCTTACGTGTGGCCAAAACTATTCTTCACTTACCTTTTACCCAGCTAACTTCTCATCCTTTGGGCTCCAGCCAAAATAGAACTTCCTCAAGGGAAAACCTTCCCTCTCTCCCCCTATTAGGTTAGATCCTTCTATTATGCCTCTTTTTAGTCCATTTTCCTTAACTGTACTTTTTTTTTTCACTTGTAAAAGGAAAAGGTTAAATGTATACCCATGTTCATAGCACCATGATTCACAATAGCCCAAAGGCAGAAGCAACCCAAGTACCCATCAATGGATGACTAGACAAACAACATGTTATATACATGCAGTGGAACATCGTTCACCCTTCAAAAGGAAGAAAATTCTGACCCATGCTGCAACACGGATGATTTTTATGTGATTCTCCATAGTGTCTGTCTTGCTCATTGGCTTGTCAGTGCCTTCAGGGCAGAGATTTTATTATTCACTCTCTCTTCCCAGCACTTGGCTCCATACCTAGGATACAGCAGTTCCTCCATCAATATACAAAAGAATAAGATTCAGAGAGAAATGCAGAGGCCAGAGATGGGGAACCACACAGCCCCAGGAGCCTCCGTTTCTGCCTGCTGGGTTCCAGCCCTGAAGAAGCTCAGCTGTCCACTGTCCATGGAGGCACAGACACGTCATTTAAATTCCTTTACTTAAGGTGGCATGAGGTCCTTTTTCTTTCTGGAGAGCTGGAAATTTGCTTTTTCCCTCTTCAAAAGAAAGGCTGCAGCGAGCCTCATGGGCTGGGTGTGGTGGCTTATGCCTGTAATCCCAGCACTTTGTGGGGCTAAAGCAGGAGGATCACTTGAGCCCAGGAGTTCGAGACCAGCCTGGGCAACATAGTGAGACACCCCCATCTCTACAAAAAATAAATAAACACAATTAGCCAGTTGTGGTGGTACACACCTGTGGTCCCTGCTTTTTGGGAGGCTGAGGTGGGAGGATCACTTGAGCTCAGGAAGTCAAGGCTGCAGTGAGTCAAGATCACGCCACTACATTCCAGCCTGAGCAACAGAGTGAGACCCTATCTCAAAAAACAAAAAGCAAAACAAAGGAACAAAAAAGCCCTCAAGGCCTTTCATTTAATAGCAAGGGTAATAACAAACACTCATAGAGTCTATCTGTAAAACATTCATTTAAAGACCACTCATTTAATCTTCATGACCAGCCCCTGAGGGGGATATGGTGATAGCCTCCTCATTGTTCAGGTGAGAATCTGGAGGTAGGTGTGGACTTGGCACAGAACTGGGAAGTAGCGAAGGTCAGATTCAAAACCTGGGTAGTCCAGCTCCAAAGTCCATTGCCGAACCATTATACTGGTTGCAACGCCCTGCCCCAAGTGTAGCATAAAAGTGTTTGTAGAATAGACATAAGAGACATGGAGTAGCTGAGTGTTAGGAGAAGGCTTGCTCCCCATTCCCTTTTTCTTCTTTGAGTCTGCCCTCCCCGCAACAACTGCTGAGGCTTTGCCCCTTTGCTGGCTGGGCCCTAGAAGAGATGGAATGACTCACTGGATTAATACATTTGGGAAGAACTATGTAATGAAAAATAAATATTATAAATCTAATATAAACTATATTCATATTAATAAAATATTTAATATATTATAAATATATAGTTTATATAAATATTATTTTTATATTATATTATATATGACTGTTAAATTTATTTATTTTATTTTTTATTTTATTTTATTTTTGAGACAGAGTCTCACTCTGTTGCCAGGCTGGAATGCAGTGGCGTGATCTCAGCTCACTGCAACCTCCGCCTCCTGGGTTCAAGCGATTCTCCTGCCTCAGCCTCCCGAGTAGCTGTGATTACAGGTACCCGCCACTATGCCCAGCTAATTTTTGTATTTTTAGTAGAAATGGGTTTTCACGGTGTTGGCCAGGATGGTCTCGTTCTCTTGACCTCGTGATCCGCCTACCTTGGCCTCCCAAAGTGCTGGGATTACAGGCGTGAGCCACCGCGCCCGGCCGTTAAATTTATATATAATACATGAATATATAACATATTAATATGAATGGCTTTCCTCTTAGGCACTGAGCTTCCTGCAGGCAGCATCTATTCTGCATTACTCCACCCTAGGCCAGCCCCCGCCTGGGGCCAGCGTGGCTGTGACCAGGTGGGAGAGTCCACCCCACTCTAACTTTAGGCAGGCCCATTTGGCTCTCAGACTAAGCTAAGGTCTTCACTTAGCCTTTATCAGAAATAAAAGTGTAGGACAGGCATAGTGGCTCATGTTTGTAATCCTAGCACTTTGGGAGGCCAAGGCATGAGGATTGCTTGAGCTCAGGAGTTTGAGACCAGCCAGGGCAACATACTGAGACCCCTGTCTCAGGAAGGAAGGAAAAGAAAGAAAGAGGGAAGGGAAGGGAAGCAAAGGAAAGGGAAGGGAAGGGGAGGGGAGGGGAGGGGAGGGGAAATGGGAAGGGGAAGGGGGGGAGGGAAGGGAGAACAGGAAGGGGAAGGGGAAGGAAGGAAAGAAAGAAAGAGAAGGAAGGGAAGGGAAGGAAGGAAAGGCAGGCACACTCTACACCCATTAGGATCTTAAGGGAGTCCTGAGTGGTCTGGGTGGAGGGCTGGGGTTCAGTGCCAGGCCCCTCTGACTCAGACAACCCAAGCTGAATTCCCAGTGGCAGGCACTCAGCCATGAGCTAAAGGATCATACCCCACCTTTACTGGGTGTTTGGGGTCCCCACCTTTCAATTCATTTAATTCTCACAAAAACATCCCTATGAGGAAGCAGCAATTATGATCCACATTTTAGAGATGGGGAAACTGAGTCACAGAGGCTTTAAGTCACTTGGGGAAACTGAGTCACAGAGGCTTTAAATCACTCGCCTGGGTCCTGTAGCTTTGAATGGTAAGTGGCAGCACTGGAGTTTCGCCCTCGGCAGGCTGGTTCTGGAGTCCACACTCCTAACCTTTCCCAATCCCTGCCTGGGCTGCTTCGGCCAAAGAGACACCAGCTGATGGCCCTCAGAGACACCAGCCACCAAGACCTCCCGAGGGGTCTTGGCATCCCTAGTGTTCCTGTGACTCAAGCTCAGCCTTCCAGACCCCCAGCCCCTCCTTGTGCTTCCGGCAGGCGTCTCCTTCCGTGAGCAGCAGATGGGGGAGCAGGAGCCGGTGCATCCCCCCAAGACCCTCCACGGCAGGGACTTTCCAGTTCCCACCCATGCTGCTCTCTGCCCCTGATTTTCCTGGGAATGGCAACATCTGCAAGGGTGCAGGAAGATGACTGAGCCAGGATATGCAAAGGAAATGAAAACGGGAGCACCTGCAAGGATTTTGTTTACTATTCCACAAGTTCCACTTTCTTTCTTTAGACAGGGAGTTTCAAATTCCATCTCCTTCACTCTTCGGGTCCTCCCACCCTGGTGTGAAGATTCACCCTCCAGTCCCCCAGGTACGGGACCATCTGTGTTGCGTTTCACGAAACGTAACTGTGACATCACATCAGGACACTCCCAAGGCTCACCGTCCAATTGGGGTCCCCAAACTGTTCATCCCCCTCTTGAACTTGGCAGCTCCCTCTGCGGCTCTCACACATTAGCCCATCTTCTCAAGCTCCTGACCAAGCCTCCACTCCTCTCATTCTTGGCAGCTGACAATGCATTTGCTAAGCTAAGCAGCTGGCAGCCTTGACTGCTACCTCCCCCACCACAAATGCATCTTCATCTGCCCCTGTTAGAGGGCGATGTATCTCTTTCCTCTTCAAGGCCACCCCCTCCAGTTGTGTGTGCTCTCCTCCTGTCTCCTTTTTGACCTTGCCCATCCCTATTCTTTTGATCTATAAATATGCTAAAGCCATTTCTATCCTTTATTTTTATTTATTTATTTATTTATTTATTTATTTATTTTTGAGACAGAGTCTTGCTCTGTCGCCCAGACTGGAGTGCAGTGGCACAATCTTGGCTCACTGTAACCTCTGCCTGCCGGATTCAAGTAATTCTCCTGCCTCAGCCTCCCGAGTAGCTGGGACTACAGGCGCCTGCCACCACGCCTGGCTAATTTTTGTGTTTTTGGTAGATACAGGGTTTCACCAAGTTGACCAGGCTGCTCTCGAACTCCTGACCTCAGGTGATCCGCCTGCCTCAACCTCCCAAAGTGCTGGGATTACAGGTGTGAGCCACCGTGCCCGGCCACCTTTTCTATCTTTTAAAAAAATGTGGTCCTCCCTTCCCTGCCCTCAGCTATCACTTATATCTGTTTGCTACCACTCTATCTGTTTTCGGCCCTTCTCTGTCCCTTCTGGTGGGTGGTCGTCTCTTGCTCTCCTCCCATCTACTCCCTAATCTGGGGCAATCTGGAATTGGTCCCATCCCTGTTTCATTTAAACTGCTCTCTTCACAAATGTCCTGCCAAATGTCAACTGCAAGAGACACCCTGCATTCCTTTTTTTTTTTTTTTTCCCCAGTCAGGGTCTTACTCTGTCACCCAGGCTGGAGTGGCATGATCACGGCTCACTGCAGCCTCAACCTCCCAGGCTCAGGTGATCCTCCCTCTGCCTCCTGGTTAGCTGAGACTACAGGTGTGTGCCATTCACTCCCAGCTAGTTTGTTGTTGTTGTTGTTGTTGTTTATTTTTTTGTAGAGATCAGGTTTTACCCTGTTGCTCAGGCTGGTCTGGAACTCCTGGGCTCAAGTGATCTGGTCACCTCAGCCTCCCAAAGTGTTGGGATTTGCAGCTCTACAAAAGAGGGCCACTGTGCCTGCTCCCCCTTTTCTGTTCTATCTGCAACATTTTACACTGCTCACCTCTCCCTTCTTGATGGCTCTTCCTGGGTTTCCGGGACATGACTCTATTCTAGTTCTTAGTCTTCATCTGATAGCTGTTTCTTGGTCTTCTTTGCTGGCTCCTCAAGCTGCCCAGTAAATGTGTGTGTTCTGCAAGAGTTCACTCTTTTTTTTTTTTTTTAATACTTTAAGTTCTAGGGTACATGTGCACAACATGCAGGTTTGATACATAGGTATACATGTGCCAAGTTGGTTTGCTGCACCCATCAACTTGTCATTTACATTAGGTATTTCTCCTAATGCTATACCTCCTCCAGCCCCCCACCCCATGACAGGCCCCAGTGTGTGATGTTCCCCACCCTGTGTCCAAGTGTTTTCATTGTTCGATTCCCACCTATGAGTGAGTACAAGCGGTGTTTGGTTTTCTGTCCTTGTGACAGGTTGCTGAGAATGATGGTTTCCAGCTTCATCCATGTCCCTGCAAAGGACATGAAAGAGTTCACTCTTAGTCCATCTGTCTTCTCATTCTTCGTGCTCTTCAAGCTGACCTCACTCATCCCATCATGGTTAACCACCCTTACGTGTTGATGACCTCCAAGTCTCTCCTTTCCAGCCCTACCTACTCTCCAATCTTCTAATCAAGTGCTGTGCAATAGACCTTGCTGTAATAATGAAAATGTTCTATAAATTGGGCTGTCCAATATGGTAGCCACTAGCCACATGTGGCTACTGGGCACTTAAAATGTGGTTAATGGCCAGGCATGGTGACTCACACCTATAATTCCAGCACTTTGGGAGGTTGAAGTGAGAGCCCGGGAGTAGAGACCAGCCTGGGCAACATAGTGAGACCTCATCTCTATATATTAAAAAAAAAGAGAAAGAGAAAAGGAATGTGGCTAGTGTGTTTAAGGAACTGAGTTTTAGATGTTATTTAATTTTAATTTTAATAGCTACAGGGCCGGCTCAAGCCTGTAATCCCAACACTTTGGGAGGCTGAGGCAGGTGGATCACAAAGTCAGGAGTTCGAGACCACCCTGGCCAACCTGGTGAAACCTCATCTGTACTAAAAATACAAAAATTAGCTGGGTGCGGTGGTGGGTGCCTGTGATCCCGGCTACTCAGGAGACTGAGGCAGGAGAATTGCTTGAACCCGGGAGGCAGAGGTTGCAGTGAGCCGAGATTGCATCACTGCATTCCAGCCTGGGAGACAGAACAAGACTCCATCTCAAAGAAAACAAAAAAATTAAAAATTAAAAAAATCAATAGCTACAAGTGGCTAGTGGCTACTGTATTGGACAGTACAGTTGTAGACCTACATTGCCAACTGCCTGGGGACATCTTGATTAGGATGTCTCTCTGGCTCCTCAACAAGTCCCAAACTGAGCTTATTAGCATCACACTCTCCCCTACCTTCGCCTCCATGCCCTTGAGCAAAATGAAAACCTTCTCTTTCTCTTGATTTCTCTTCCTGAGTTGACAGCATCAACACTCATGCCTTTACCCAAACCCTAAACTTCTAGACTTCCAGGCTCTTCCTTTTCACTCATCTTCTATAATTATGTGGTCAATTCTCCCTCCTAAATTTCTTGTAGCTCCATCCTTGCCTTTCCAAACCTTCTCAGAGGCTTGAGTTCAGAATCAAAGCTTCTCTTGTCAGGCTATCACCAATTCCCTACACCCAGCCTCCGCCAAGCCACCAGCAGACCTCTGAGCTGGACAGCTTTCCTTTGCTTCTCCGGATGTCCTCTCCATCTCCACCCTTCCATCCTGATGTCCTAGTAGCTGGTTTCTATAGACCCTGTCACCTGGACTTCTTTGCTCTTGGACTTCCAACTGGGTCAGGAAGACTGGAGGGTGGGAAGAGGTTGGCGCATCTAACCACTGAGCTCCTAGGGTTATTGGTAGCTGCCTTCCTCTACCAAAGCCCATGTCCATGAGGTGGCCACTCCTACAGCTACGGGATTCTGGTTCTCACTCTTTTCACTTGCTGCTTCCAGCCTAGATGCAGTAAGAGTTCCCTGCTGTGGTTCTGCTGGGGCACTGCGCCGCCCTTTGTTGTTTCCCTAATCACGTCTCAATCCCCCCGCGCACCACCCCCCCAACTTTTTTTTTTGAGACAGGATCTCACTCTTGCCCAGGCTAGAGTACAGTTGCACAATCATGGCTCACCGTAGCCTCGACCCCTGGGTTCAAGTGATCCTTCCAACTCAGCCTCCCAAGTAGCTGGGACAACAGGTGTGTACCACAACACCCAGCTGAGTTTTTTTGTTTTTGTTTTTGTTTCTTTTTAATTTTTAGAGATGAGGGTCTCACTATGTTTCCCAGGCTGGTCTTGAACTCCAGGGCTCAAGCAATCCTCCCACCTTGGCCTTCCAAAGTTAGAATTACAGGCATGAACCACCTTGCCCAGCCCTTCTCAAGTCTTTATTCATGGTCCGTTTATTAAACTCTCCTTGGTTGCCCAGATTCAGTGTGTTATCCATTTCTTCTGGGACTTGATTGATATTTCCAAGCCTTGAAATGCCTCCTCGTCACCCACAGGAGACAAATAAAGCCTGTGCTTCTTTGAAGAGCACCTGAAGCCACTTATGATCTGTTTCCTGCTTGCTCTTTCCACTTCATCTCCCACCTCTCCTTCTCTTGCGCTTTATAGTCCTATAATGCCAGATTGCTTATGATGCCCGGAAGGGGCCCTATTGTTTTCCACCTCCATGCCTATGCCTGCCAAACTCTTGCTTAACCTTTAAAACCCTTCTCCAGATGTTGCCTCCTCTGGGAAGTCCCCCAGGCCTTCCTTTCTGCTTCTACTGTATTTTGTTGGTATTTCCATTATTTATGACATCATGATATATTATAATTTCTTGTTTAGGTCTGTATTGTCTTTTCTGCCCATAGAGTGCCTCTTAAGGAAAGGACTAGGCCAGATGTGGTGGCTCACACCTGTAATTCTAGTGCTTTGGGAGGCTGAGGCAGAAGGTTCACTTGAGGCCAGGAGTTCAAGACTAAGCTCAGCAACATAGTGAGATTCCACCTCTACAATAAAATTTAAAAATTAGCTGGGCAGGGTATCACACACCTGCAGTCCCAGCTACTCGAGAAGCTGAGACAGGAGGATCACTTGAGCCCAAGAGGTTGAGGCTACAGGGCTACAGTAAGCCATAATCACACCACTGCACTCTAGCCCAGGTAAGAGAGTGAGATCTTATCTCTTAAAAAAAAAAAAAGTAAGGATATAAATATATATATTTATTTAATAAAATATTTATTGATCCTGGCATTCTAGGTGCTAGATAGCTAGATATATCAGTAGTGACCCCTTTCTACAAGCACTATGAGGGAAGCACTATTGTCCTTATCTTAGAGGACACCCAGAAGGCCGAGGTTGCAGTGATGTGCCAGGTTCAGAAAACTGGCAAGAGGTTTGGATTTGGTGTCAAACCAAGTCCTTCTAGCTGCACAGTTCATACTTTTGGCCACAGTTTTACGTTGCTGCAGGTCTTGCCAAGAATAGTTTTATTGGCCGGGTGCGGTGGCTCATGCCTGTAATCCCAGCACTTTGGGAGGCCGAGGCAGGCGGATCACGAGGTCAGGAGATCGAGGCCATCCTGGCTAACACGGTGAACCAGTCTCTACTAAAAATACAAAAAAATTAGCCGGGCGTGATGGTGGGCGCCTGTAGTCTCAGCTACTCGGGAGGCTGAGGCAGGAGAACGGCGTGAGCCCGGAAGGTGGAGCTTGCAGTGAGCCGAGATCGCGCCTGGGGGACAGAGCGTGACCCCGTTTCAAAAAAAAAAAAAAAAAAAGTTTTATTAAGACTGGTGTTACGGGTTGAATTGTGACCCCCTCCCACACTCACAGAAGGATATGCTGAAGTCCTGACGCCCACTGCTTCAGAATGGGCCTTATTTGGAAGGAAGGTCTTTACAGAAGTAATCAGGTTAAAATGAGGTTCAGGGCTGGGTGCAGCCGCTCAGGCCTGTAATCCCAGCACTTTGGGAGGCTGCGGCAGGAGGATCACTTCAGCCTAGGAGTTTGAGATCAGCCAGGGCAACACTGTGAGACACTATCTCAATTATATTTATAAATATATATACACACATATATGTACATATTGTTACATATTTATTGAATATATATTTATAGTTTAAATATATTTTAATATATGATATTTTTATAATATATAAAATATAAATGTAAATGTTATATATCATGTATTATATATAAATTTAACATTTTTATATAATATAATATAAACATTTATATAAGCTATATATTTATAATATATTAAATATTATATTAATATGACTATAGTTTATTGGATTTATAATATTTATTTTTCATTATATATACATATATAAGAAAAATAAAAATATTATATTAGATTTATAATATTTATTTTTCATTATATATACATATATATAAGAAAAAAAATGAGGTCGGGGGCCCTGATCTAATATGATTAGTGTCCTTGTAAACAAGGGAAATTTGGACACAGAAATACAGAAGGAAGGTGGTGTGAAGATGTGGGGAGGAGACAGCCATGTGAATAGAGAGGGGAGGGCAGTGTGAAGATGCGGAGAGGAGACAGCCATGTGAATAGAGATGTCAAGGATGCTGGCCAGCAACCGAAGCTGGAAGAGACGAGGAAGCGTTCTTAACCCAGAGCCATCGGAGAGAGTACGGCCCTGCTGACGCCTTGCATTTAGACTTCCAGGCTCCAGAACTGGGAGATAGTAAATGTCTGTTGTTTTAAGCCTCTCAGCTTTTGGTTCTTTGTTATGGCAGCCCCAGGAAATGCATACATCTGGGGAGGCTCAAGCCCCTCCTCGCTGGGAAGTGGGGGGGTGTTGGAATACTAACTGGATGTGGAGTCCCCCTGGGGCTCTACTGGGAGTGCCAAGTGGATCCTGGCAGTCACTGAGTAGGCTTCTTTGTGTGATTTTGCTCCAGCATTGACCTGACAACTCAACAATTATTTTTCTTTTTCTTTTTTTCTTAGAGACAGACTCTTGCTATGTTGCCCAGGCTGGTCTTAAATTCCTGGGCTCTTGCTCTGCATATTCTCAGTGCAATAAAAAAAAGAAAAAAAAGTGGCAGTCACCAATTTTATTTTTTGGTGTTTTTTTTTATTTTGTTTTGTTTGTTTGTTTGAAATGGAGTCTCGCTCCGTCACCCAGGCTGGAGTGCAGTGGTGCGATCTCAGCTCACTGCAACCTCTGCCTCCTGGGTTCAAGCAATTCTCCTGCCTCAGCCTCCGGAGTAGCTGGGATTACAGGCTTGCACCACCACGCTCGTCTAATTTTTGTATGTTTATTAGAGAGAGGGTTTCACCATGTTGGCCAAGCCAGTCTTAAACTCCTGACCTCAGGTGATCTGCCTGGCTCGGCCTCCCAAAGTGCTGGGATTACAGGCCTGGGCCACCGTGCCTGGCTGTAGTCACTGATTTTAAATTACGCTTCCAACTGCCTCTGGTGACCCCATAAGTCTGTGACATGCAGTAATTTGTAAACCTGAGCCCCCCCGCCCCAAGAAAGTGATCCTCAGCATGCTCAAATCCCCAGCTCCCAGCTCAGGGCCTAACACCCCACAGGCTTCCAGTGCTGGGCATTGAGTCACTAAATCCTGCTCAACTAAGGCACCAGGAGTCCGTGGAGTGCTTGCGATCTCGAAGGGTGTCAAGGAGACTGGTAGAGCTATTGTGCCCATTCCCACAGGCCAGCCCCCAGGACATATTCCAGTCTCATGCCATGGTCAAAACAAACAAGTCAAGTTTCAGGATGCTCTAGTGGGTTCTACTGACTCTTTCCCAGGGTGACTCACTGCTGCAGGGAGAGAAGCGGGCTGGGACTCAAGTGCCTGTGCTTTCTTTTTCTTTCTTCTGTCTTTCCAGGAAGCCCTTGGAACAGGATGTAAAAGCAGCACTTTCCATCCAGCCTGACATCCTGCTTCCAGATGCAGAAGGCTGAGCAGGCCACCAGGATCACATTTAAATGGCTGTGGCCATGATGTTCCAATTTGAAACCTGGACTCCACCAACTTCCATACTCATCCCTTGCTCTCAGCCCTCTCCCTCCCCTGTCCAGGTCCTCAGGATGATCTGAGAAATATGTTACACTTTTCTTCCTCGCTAGATGTCAACACGTTGGAAGGCAGGGACCTTGCCATATTAATCCTTAGGGCCTTGGGTTCTGCTGTAGTAAAGACTCAAAAAATGTTGGGTAAAATTAATTTTAAAAACAACTGGTGGCCGGGTGCGGTGGCTCACGCCTATGATCCCAGCACTTTGGGAGGCCAAGGCGGGTGGATCACCTGAGGTCAGGAGTTCGAGACCAGCCTGGGCAACATGGTGAAACCCTGTCTTTACTAAAAATACAAAAATTAGCCTGGCGTGGTGGCAGCGCCTGTAGTCCCAGCTACTTGGGAGGCTAAGACAGGAGAATTGCTTGAACTTGGGAGGCAGAGGTTGCAGTGAACTGAGATTGTGCCATTGCACTCTAGTCTGGACGACAGAGTGAAACTCTGTCTAAAAAAAAAAAAAAAAAAAAACTGGAGAGAGTCAGGCATAGTGATGCATTCCTGTGGTCCCAGCTACTTGGGAGGCTGAGATGGGAGGAGAGCTTGAGCCCCGGAATTTTTTTTTCTCTTTTCTTTTATTATTATTTATTTGTTTGTTTTTTTAATTGAAACGAGTCTCGCTCTGTCACCCAAGCTGGAGTGCAGTGGCACAATCATAGCTTACTCGAGCCCAGCCTCGATCTCCCTGGGCTCAAGTGATCCTCCCCGCTCAGCCTCCCAAATAGCTGGGACTACAGGCATGCACCACCATGCCCAGCTAATTTTCGTATTTTTTTGTAGAGACAGGGTTTCATCATGTTGCTCAGGCTGGTCTTGAACTCCTGCCCTCAAGTGGTCCTACTGCCTTGGCCTCCCAAAGTGCTGGGATTATAGGTGTGAGCCACCATGCCCTGTCATATTTTTTTCCTTTTTTATTGGACTGAGAATATGTAGAGCAAGAGCCCAGGAGTTTAAGGCCAGCCTGGGCAACATAGCAAGAGTCTAAGAAAAAAAGAAAGAAAGAAAAAAAAAAAAACAATTGTTGAGTTTTCAGGTCAATGCTGGAGCAAAATGACACAAAGAAGCCTACTCAGCTGGGGGTCTGCTGGCCACCCATCCTATCAGGGTCCCACTAGCACCACCCAGCTAGTGATCATCTTAAACAAGGACTCCACAATTTTACAGTCTCCTCATCCTCTTTTTTCCCAGGTTCTCAAAGCTCCAACTCCCAGAGTAGGAGACAGGAGCTGAAATGAGCTGATGTTTACGTGGAACATGACTGATTGTGCTGTTAAGTGAAATAGATGCCAGAGGTTTTTGCAGGTGTCTGACTAATAAAGGGAAGGGACTTTTAATGTCCCCAGGTCCATGGTGAGAGCTGAGCACCCCAGAATGGGCAGGATAGGAGCGTAGAGGATCAAGGAACATGAGTGACCACAAGTCAAATCCTGTGGCCCAACCCCAGCCTCACATTTGGTAGCAGCCTGTTTGGGTAAACCCATCAGGATACGATTCCTCATGGCTCTAGCTAAAAAAATACATTTATTCATGCAGTGTCGTTGTCTGGGCCTCTGTGTGGCAGCAGTTCTGCTTGTGCCAGGAAAAAACTTCTAAGATCTTTCCATGTGAAAAGTGCCACAATGGCACTATCATTCAACCTGTTAAATGACAGTACTGAGCTAGGGGATGCACCTGACCATCAGGCATCTATTGAGACCTTATTGGGAACATTATTATTATTATTATTATTATTATTATTATTATTATTATTATTATTTTGAGACAGAGTGTCACTCTCGTTGCCCAGGCTGGAGTGCAATGGCATGACCTCAGATCACCGCAACCTCTGCCTCCTGGGTTCAAGCAAATCTCATGCCTCAGCCTCCCGAGTAGCTGGGATCACAGGCGTGCACCACCACACTTGGCTAATTTTTGTATTTTTAGTAGAGACAGGATTTCACCATGTTGGCCAAACTGGTCTCGAACTCCTGACCTCAAGTGATGTGCACGCCTCTGTCTCCCAAAGTGCTGGGATTACAGGCGTAAGCCACTGCGCCTGGCCAGGGCACTTATTATTAAGCCCTTAGGAAACCTGGTGGTCCCTTGCTCCTGGGAGGCCATCTTATTGATACTGAACTTGGTGCAGACGTCCAGTTGGCATAGTGCACTACAGCCCAGAACTCCAGGACTCAAGCAATCCTCCTGCCTCAGCCTCCCAAGCAGCTGGGACTACAGGTGCATGCCACCAGACCTGTATGCATGAATACCAGGCATAGAGTCACATTGGGGCTACCCTGGAGGCCGGCTACTGCTAGTACTAAATTGTGTATAGAGACCATGAGCTCCACAGGAGTTCAGATGAAAGGGAGAAAAATGAACATTAGAGGGCTCAGGGCATGTTCAGATTATTATCCGGTCTATAAGCTAGATCTTGAAGGAATGTCTTTCCTCATTTCTTTTTCTTCATATTCCTCCCGTCAGCAAAACTTGGAAAGAAAGGAGGATGGAGGACAGGACTGTCACAGTCAGAAGGGCAAGAAGGAAGCAGGGAAATATGAGGAAATGTTTAAAAAGAGTCGAGCAAGGCCTTATTTAGGGGCAGTGAAGAGTAGACTGACATTGAAAAGCATAAAAAGTTTAGAAATAATGAAGATGAGGCCAGGCGCGTTGGCTCACACCCATAATCCCAGCAATTTGGGAGGCTGAGGCGGGCGGATCACTTGAGGTCAGGAAATTGAGACCAGCCTGGCTACCATGATAAAACCCTGTCTCTACTAAAATAAAATAAAATAAAATAAAATAAAATAAAATAAAATAAAATACAAATACAAATACAAATACAAATACAAATACAAAAATTAGCCTGGCATGGCGGCACACTCCCATAATTCCAGCTACTCAGGAGGCTAAGGCAGAAGAATCATTTGAACCCGGGAGGCAGAGGTTGCAGTGAGCTGAGATCGCGCCACTGAACTCCAGCCTAGCGGACAGAGCAAGACTCTTGTCTCACAAAAAAAAAAAAAAAAAAAAAAAGACATAAGATGAAAGAAGCTGAAAGAAGCAGCGGACCCATCAAGGAGGGCCCAAAAAGCCAAGAAAACACATTTTAACTAGCTGGAGTAGAAAGTAAATGTTCGGGGCCTAAGGCTTTGAAAACAAATTCCTGCAGGTTTGTTTAAAGTGGAGAATTTGAGGCTGGGTAATGGATGGGGGGGGCGGGGGTGTGTGAAAAACTTCTCTAAAGGACATCTGCTTCCACACAAGTTAAGTCCTGATGGGGTCAAGGCAATACCAGGAAAGGGACTTTAATAGCTTCCTTATATCAGAATAGGAAACACAAGTTGATAAGAAGTTGGAATCCAGTATCCCAACTGGAGGGGGAGCCTCCCCAAAGGAAAAGCTGCAGTGGGAGATAGTCTGTGTTTACACAGCACGCCAGCAATGTCTGCAGTTTACACAAACCGTATCCTCGGGCCAGCCTGAAGATAGAACTGCCTGACCTAGAAAAGCCTGGGTCTGGGAGCGGTGCCCAGCCAGCTCCGGGAGGAAGCGCCTGCCCAGACCCACCCAGCCAGGGGGCTCTAAGCTGCTGGGACATGCTGGGGGCTGGGGGAGAGGGGCGGGGGCTGCCTGCACACTGCTGGCTCCATATTGCAGGCTGAGCAGAGCCATGACAATAGCTTAAGTATCCCTTTCACGTCCTGCACAGAATTACCTGTTCAATTCTTCCAGTTTATTCCAATGAGAAATAGGAAGTACCTCATGACACCCCTGCTTCATGACTTTGGTCCACTCATCAAAACCATAATAAAACCTAGTTTTTGTAGACCAGTGTGGGGTTCCCCAGTACTCCCAATAGGCTGCTCAGTGGTTTGCAGATCTGCGCTGCTTAAAGAAGTAGACATGAGGCCAGGCACGGTGGCTCACGCCTGTAATCCCAGCACTTTGGGAGGCCAAGGCGGGCAGATCACGAGGTCAGGAGATCAAGACCATCCTGGCTAACACAGTGAAACCCCGTGTCTACCAAAAATACAAAAAATTAGCCGGGCGTGGTGGTAGGCACCTGTAGTCCCAGCTACTCGGGAGGCTGAGGCAGGAGAATGGTGTTAACCCGGGAGGCAGAGCTTGCAGTGAGCTGAGATCGCGCCACTGCACTCCAGCCTGGGTGACAGAGCGAAACTCTGTCTCAAAAAAAAAAAAAAAAAAAAAGAAGTGGACATGAGTCAGGCTTTTATGGGTTTGAATGTGCACCATTCCTTGAGTATGACCTTGGACAAGTGCATTTTACTGCTCAGAGCTTCAGTTTTTCCCTCTGAGCAATGAGAAGGCTAATAGATGAGAACCCCTTGAACAGTGCCCAGCATGCAACAAGAGCTCAGCAGACAACAAGCGCCATCATCATCCTATTATGGTTGCATTATTATTCCACATCTGTGTCTTTACCCCATATGGTTCCCCAGCCCAGAACGCCCTCCTTCCCCTCTGTTGCCTAGGCTGGAATGCAATGGCCCGATCTTGGCTGCCTCCCAGGTTCCAGGGATCCTCGGCCTCCCAAGTAGCTGGACTACAGGCGCAAGCCACCATGCCCAGCTAATTTTTGTATTTTTAGTAGAGATGGGGTTTTGCCATGTTGGCCAGGAGTTGGTTGGTCTCCAACTCCTGACCTCAGGTGATCCACCCTCCTTGGCCTCCCAAAGTGCTGGGATTACAGGCATGAGCCACCGTGCCCAGCCTCTTCCTCTTCTTTTGAAACTCATGCCAAGCTCCAGGCTAGTTCTTACTGTCAGAGTCCTGGGCAGCTGTCCCTGCCCCCATCATGGCACAGAGGACTTAGCACTGTAGGAGCTGGGTGACACATTTGCCTCGCCCAGGTTGACTGTGATCACCCCATAAACTCTTACTCCCAGCATCTAGCCCAGTACCCAACCCAGGGTGGGCACTCCTCATATGTCTGAACAATGCAGCGTTGGGCTTGTTTTACATAACAGAAAGCGCAGTCCATGGGTCAGTCGCTGAGTGCCCGCAGCCTGTCTGAGTCCCAAGAGGCTTGCTTTTGACCTGGTCTGTCTGCGTGTGGTGACTGGACTTTGCAGAGACTCAGGGGAGTGGAAGATTAGGGAAGCTGAGGGGAAGAGGAGGAGCAATTTCCCCAGCGGAGCCTCCTCCATAAGGCACAGCAAAACCTAAATTCACATTAGAAGTAATGCATTTCCCAGGGAAGATGTCGGGGTAAGAAACAGCAAGCCAGAGAGCCCAGGGGTTGCTGCCTAGCCTTCCTTTTTCTCTCACTTCTGAGTTTGAAGCGCCTTTAATTCGAATCCCGTTTGGACCCAGCACCTCAAAGAGTTCCCTAGAACAAAGGAGTGTCTCTGAACAATCTCAGAGACTCAGGGCAAAGTCCAGGGTCACTGTGATTCAGAGGGTGGGGTGGGTGTTACACATTTTACATTTACGTTTTAAAAATCAATTAAAAAATACAGATTCCAGGGTCTGGGTTCAGTTATCTGTCTTAGGGAGTCATGTCCTAACCAACAGAATCACCCTGGTTCCTTGAACTTTTCAGTGTCCACCCAGTCTCCCAGGCACGTAGGCCCCAAGCTTCCTGCCCTCTCTGCCTCTTTCCTCTAAAGAGCTATCTCTAAATAGCCTGGCTGGTTTCTAAGTCCTTTGGAGTATGGCTTTGTAAAGCCTCTGAATGGTTCTATTGGCTCACATGCTAGCTAGGTGCTTTAACCCCATACCTGAATCACTGCAGCCATCTCCAACCTGATCTCACTGGATGGTGTCTGTTTTCTCCATCCCCTCACGGGCACTGGTGCCAGACAGTTAACCTAAAACAGTGCTCACATTGCCTGCCCCTTGCTCAGAAATATTCCTGTTGGCTGGGCACAGTGGCTTATGCCTGTAATCCCAGCACTTTGGGAAGCCGAGGCAGGCAGATCACTTGAGGTCAGGAGTTTGAGACCAGCCTGGCCAACATGGGGAAACCCTGTCTCTACTAAAAATATAAAAATTATCCAGGCGTGGTGGTGCGCGCCTGTATCCCAGCGACTCGGGAAGCTGAGGCAGGAGAATCGCTTGAACCCAGGAGGCAGAGGTTGCAGTAAGCCAAGATGGCACCACTGCCCTCCAGCCTGGGTGATAGATCTCTATCTCAAAAAAAAAAAAAAGAAAAGAAAAGAAATATTCCAGGGGTTACTGTTTAACAACAGAACAAAATGCTAACCTCATAACCTGAAGTCCAAACCCTTCCCAATTTGACTCTACCCTGACTCATCAGCCTCAGCTTGTTGGTCCTAATCAAACTGGCTTCCACACTGTCCCAGGCTCACGCCAGCTGCATGCCGGCTCTCAGGCTATTCCATCTGCCTTTCCCTACTCCTTTCCTCATATCCAATCATTCAAGGCTCCTGCCCACTTCCCATGGACTAGCCCAGGAAATAACTGCTAGCTCCAGGTAACTACTGAACACTTGAAATGTGGCTAGTGTCACTAATTGGAATTTTTATTTAATTTTAATTAATTTTAAGACTGATACTTAACTCTGACTAGAAATTGTATGACTACATTTGGAGCAGCTTGGTTTTGTGAATCTACTTTTTCTACTGCAAATTTTATGAAATTTAAATACAGATGAAGTATCTCTGACGAAAATTTCACATCTGAACTGAGATTGCTGCAAATATAAAACACATGCACTGGATTCTTTCTTTCTTTCTTTCTTTCTTCTTTTCTTTTCTTTCTCTTTGGTTTTCTCAGAAACAATTCTTCCTCCAGACACACTGGTTGTTGTTTTTTTTATTTTTATTTTTATTTTTTGAAATGAAGTCTCACTCCATCACCTAGGCTGGAGTGCAGTGGTGCAACCTTGGCTCACTGCAACCTCCGCTTCCCAGGTTCAAATGATTCTTCTGGGTCTGCCTCCTGAGTAGCTGGGACCACAGGAACGGGTGTGGTGACACCCGAACAATTTCTGTATTTTTAGTAGAGATGGGGTTTCACCATGTTGGCCAGGCTGCTCTCAAACTCCTGATCTCAGGTGATCTGCCTGCCTCAGCCTCCCAAAGTGCTGGAATTACAGGCATGAGCCACCTCGCCTGGCCCAGACACACTGGATTTTGAAGACTTAGTCTCATATCTCTTAAATGATCTTTATATTGATTACATGTTGAAATAATACCTTAGAGATATTGGACTTGATAAAATATTATCAAAATCAATTTCACTTTCTTTTAACATTTTTATTTATACAATTTTAAGTTTTAAGAAACTTTACATGAACTTTTAACCTTTCTAATGTGGCTACCAGAATATTTAAAATTATCTAGGTGGCTTGCATTGTATTTTTGTTAACAGTGCTCTGGTCTCTGCATTCCTGAAGCAATGATCAGCACACCTTCTTTAAAACTCAGTATATGCAACTTTGTGTTGGTTTTTAAAATCTTTGTATGTATATAATGACTTCATTGTTACCATTTTTTATCTCCAATACCTAGCAGCAAAGGCTACTATTTCTGGACTCCTGTTATGGGCCAGGCACTTTGCTAGGTGCTTATGTTATCATACTTAACCCTTTCAGCAACCCTGACGTGTGGGCATAATTAGCTCCATTTTTCAGATAAGGTAATTGATGCTCAAAGAACTTAGGTGGGTCATGACCAGGAACCGATAGATGCACGAGGTGCCAGAGCTGGGATTTGAAAATGCCAGCCGACTTCTTTCTGACCCCAGCTCACATCTAATGGGAGTGGGAATCCATGAAGTATCTGTTGTTGATATTGATGGCTGAAGTTCTAATTTACCCTGGCCTACACAGGGAAACGTGACTGTCCTACTCGCCCATCTGTGAGGAGGCTACTAGACTGATGTCTGTTGTATGCTGTTGTGCCCCAATCTTCCATCCCCACCCCAACATAGATACATCCTTAATTAGATCCACTTAATAGCCCACAATGTGGTATTATGTGCAACCTCCCCCTCCTGGGTTCAAGCAATTCTCCTGCTTCAGCCTCCCGAGTAGCTGGGACTACAGGCGTGCGCCACCACAGCCAGCTAATTTTTGTATTTTTAGTAGAGACAGGGTTTCCCCATGTTGGCCAGGATGGTCTTGATCTCTTGATCTCGTGATCTGCCCTCCTTGGCCTCCCAAAGTGCTGGGATTACAGGCGTGAGCCACCGCACCTGGCCTATTTACCCATTTCTAGGTAGCATAGTATGCAGTAAGACCCAGGACTCTGGTTCTAACCAGTAGAGATGAGCCAAAAGTCTCTTTTCTAGCCATTGCATAGTTCCCTATCATTCTGGTGGACAGCAAATCCAGCTCCCAACCCTCAGAAATGCAGGAAGAAGGGTGGTTGCCTGGAGATGGTGCATACTCACTTAAATTATGCTCAATTATTGCATCTTGCCCAGGTGTGGTGGCTCACTTCTGTAATCCCAGTGCTTCGGAAGGCTGAGGTAGGTAAATCGCTTGAGGCCAGGAGTTCAAGATGAGCCTGGGCAACACAGCAAGACCCCATCTCTAAAAAAATTTTTTTTAGCCAGGCACGGTGGCTCACACCTGTAATCCCAGCACTTTGGAAGGCTGAGGCGGGTGGATCACAAGTTCAGTAGATCGAGGCCATCCTGGCTAACATGGTGAAACCCTGTCTCTACTAAAAATACAAAAAAAATTAGCCGGGCCTGGTGGCGGGTGCCTGTAGTCCCAGCTACTCCGGAGGTTGAGGCAGGAGAATGGCATGAACCCGGGAGGCAGAGCTTGCAGATCATGCCACTACACTCCAGCCTGGGCAACAGAGCAATACTCCGTCTCAAAAAAAAAAAAACAAAAAAAAAATTAAATTAGCTGGCTGTGATCATACCACTGCACTCGAGCTTAGGCAACACAGCAAGACCTCATCTCTACAAAAAATTTAAAACTTAGCCAGGCATGGTGGTGCACAACTGTAATTCCAGCTACTTGGGAGGCTGAGGCAGGAGGATCACTTGAGCCCAGGAGTTCGAGGCTGCAGTGAGCTGTGATGAGGCTGAGGCACAAGGATCACTTGAGCCCAGGAGTTCAAGGCTGCAGTGAACTGTGATCGTGCTGCTGCACTCCAGCCTGGGTGACAGAACGAGATGCAGTCTCTAAAAAAGTAAAAAATTTTAAAAAACACTATTGGGCCTTTATTATATGCCATGCTAGGTGCTGAAGATACAGAATAAGTTAGCTGTGTCCCTTTCTTCAAAGAACCCATATTCTGGTGTGGTAGGCAAGGAAGGGGACAATTACAATCTAGGGTGACAAGTGCTGTGATGGAAAGAAGCGAGGATGCTGTAGAACCTCAGAGGCAAGGTATCTTGAGCAGCCTGGGAAAGGAGACTAGGGATGGAAGGGCTGGGAGGGAGGGGGAGGAAGGAAAGGATGGGAGAGGGGGCAAGATGAACTGGAAACCAAAAACAAGGAGAACTTTGTGTGTTTTCTACCACTGCTGGTAAAACTCGAAAAACAGCTGGCACTGTTGGGATGGACATAAAATTAACCAAGACAGTAATTTGTCAAAAAAAAAAAAATCCGAAGAAAATGCTGTTATTCTGACCAGCCTGGCCAACATGGTGAAACCCCGTCTCTACTAAAAATACAAAAATTAGCCAGGCGTGATGGTGGGTGCCTGTAATCCCTGAGGCTGAGGCACAAGAATCACTTGAACCTGGGAGGTGGAGGTTGCAGTGAGCCCAAGATCGTGCCACTGCAGAAAGAAGGAAGGAAGGAAGGAAGGAAGGAAGGAGAGAGAGAGAGAGAGAAGAGAGAGAGAGGAAGGGAGGGAGGGAAGGAGGAAGGAAAGGAAAGGAAAGGAAAGGAAAGGAAAGGAAAGGAAAGGAAAGGAAAGGGAAAATGCTGTTATGTTAAGAGAAGACTAGGTTGAGGGATGGAGGCAAAGGCATTGTAGAAATACTTCATCGTTTCTGCCTATTGATAAAGTGATCACTACTATTATTTGTTCCCTCATTTATGTCAATGATTAAGTAATTAAGAATAGGACCATTGAGGGTCAAATCTTTCAGGAAACAAGACATAAAATTGTTAAGTATGTAGTTTG
Source organism: Homo sapiens (assembly GCF_000001405.40). Classification (NCBI taxonomy): domain Eukaryota; kingdom Metazoa; phylum Chordata; class Mammalia; order Primates; family Hominidae; genus Homo; species Homo sapiens. Next base: position 65,068,312 of record NC_000017.11, on the reverse strand, counting down.
TTTAGATTTTCCATCAGAACTCATTTTGCTCTCCTTGGTGAGTCTATTGGGTGAAGAGTGTTTGTCCCAAGAGGAATTAAATAGCATCCCTTTTCCCAATTCCTTAATTGTTGTAACAAATTAGCCCACAGTCTCTGTGGATCTGTGATCCTTAGAAAACCATCTAAGGAAGTAGGTGTTAATTTTTTCTTTTTCTTTTTCTTCTTTTCTTTTTTTTTTTTTTTTGAGACGGAGCCTTGCTCTGTCCCCCAGGCTGCTCTCTGCAACCTCCCCACCCAGGTTCAAGCGATTCTCCTGCCTCAGCCTCCGGAGTAGCTGGGACTGCAAGCATGCACCACCACACCCGGCTAATTTTTGTATTTTTAGTAGAGACGGGTTTCACCCATGTTGACCAAGCTGGTCTTGAACTCCTGACCTCAGATGATCCACCCTCCTCGGCCTCCCAAAGTGCTGGGATTACAGGCATGAACCACCGCGCCCATGCCCGGCCTGTAGGTATTAATCTTTATAAATCTGAGCACCTTGCACCTTCCACTCTTCTGAATGCCTACACTAAGCTCATAAATCATGGAGGAGGAAAAGCCTTAAGGGCTTCACACCCTACCTCAGGGTAGAACTCTCACCTCCTCTTGAAGTGTGTTTAATTCCTTGAGGGTAACTTTCTTCCCTTAGCAGAAATCCAGGGTAACAGAATAACTGAGGGATAGTCCAAAATGCATTTTGTATCTGCTGTTCTATAAAGTGCCCTTTGGGTTCTTGCCCCGGGTAGTCTTGAGAAGGAGAGTGACAACAGGAGCCTCAGCAGGCTCCCACGGGAAGGGCACAGACAGTCCCCTGCCAAGCTCTGGCTACTGCATGAATCCAATGCAGTGTTTCAGCCGAGCATTCAGTGTCCCTATTGGGATCCATTTCGAGAGTCTTGGAACTTGGAGGTCTAGTTCAGCCCTTGACAAACAGGGGCAATTTAGATGCTATTGCATTATGTCTTCCCAGCCAGTACCACTCTTAGCTCCAGGCAACAGAGGCCCCTGCCCGCCTGTGCTTTAGAGGATCCTGCTCTGGTCCTCGCCTGGTGCTACCCCTACACATGGAGCAATGCCAAGGGACTTACCAGAGCCTGTACTTCCCCTCAGACCAAACCCTAGGTACCGGGGACTACAAGGCTATTCATTCAAGTGGGCCAAGGTCTGGGTGTAGGGCTGTGCTGAGGGAGGACTGCACCACTGATGTACCCATCCTAAGCCTGAGGGCTGTCCAGTGGCAGCTGCTGGGGGTGAAGGAGTGCACAGAGCATGGGCGTGCGGGCTGACTCATCCACATTCATGCCCATGAGGCACCCCCCATTGCCCATGACCTTGATGGCATAGATACCAGTCCATCAACTGGACAATAAGCACTTTGATAGAAGAAAACATGGTAACATGGATAGCCTGCTCTTTTATATAACCCCTACAAAACCCTCTGAAATTATGATGTCCAGTTTCCAGATTAGAATACAAAGCCCAGGCCGGGTGCAGTGGCTCACACCTGTAATTCCAGCACTTCAGGAGGCTGAGGTGGGCAGATCATTTGAGGTCAGAAGTTCGAGACCAGCCTGGCTAACGTGGTGAAACCCCATCTCTACTAAAAATACAAAAAAATTAGCCGGCCATGGTGGCGCACATCTGTGATCCCAGCAACTAAGGAGGCTGAGGCAGGAGAATTGCTTGAACCCAGGAGGCAGAGGTTGCAGTGAGCCGAGATAGTACCACTACACTCCAGGCTGGGCAACAGAGTGAGACTCTGTCTCCAAAAACAAAAAAGAATACAAAACCCACTCCTTTTTCTTCCCCCTTTTGCACAAGCCCCCCACCCCCTCAGATAAAAGCTCTTGCTCTTACTGTACTGTGCCAGCATCCCTACTCTAACCTCTGCTCTCTGGCTGAAGAAGTGATTGCTTAGGCTTGTGGGAATTAGTAAATCCTTCCTCTCTTCAGAGTTAAGATTCTGGATATAACCCCAAATAGGCATTTTTTTTTTTCTTATTGCTGCATCAGGCCCTTTCCACCAGAAACAGATCCTGTTTGGGGACACACCTGTGGCTGTGAGTGAGCCTGCGCATGAGACAGAGAGCAACCATGTTTAAATCATAAAAGGAAGGGCTTTGGAAAGATACAGAGAGAGCATTCTGACAGTGACAACGTTGCTAAACCTTCAAAGGGCTTTTAAAGAAGTTTTGTTGTTCCTTCCTCAAAAAACCTAAAACGGAACCTCCCATTTATGGACAAACACTGAGCCTGGGGGTTCTGTAATTTAATCCTACAATAAATCTGTGTGTGTAACTCCCAGTTTACAGATAAGAAAGGCAAGGCTCTGTTCTATTAACTGAGTTCTCCCTGGGGTTCTCCCCACTGTACTACATCCTTCTCTGGAAAACCAAATGAATAGCAAACAATCTGATATGGGCCAGGTGCAGTGGCTCAAGCCTGTAATCCCAGCACTTTGGGAGACCGAGGCGGGCAGATCACGAGGTCAGGAGTTTGAGACCAGTCTGACCAACATGGTGAAACTCCATCTCTACTAAAAATATAAAAATTAGCCAGGCGTGGTGGCGCACACCTATAATCTCAGCTACTCAGGAAGCTGAGGCAGGAGAATCGCTTGAACTTGGGAGGCAGAGGTTGCAGTGCACCATTGCACTGCAGCCTGGGTGACAGAGCAAGACTCCATCTCAAAAAAAAAAAAAAAAAATCTGATATGATCCATACTGGTTTCCACAGAAAAGTCGATTCCCTCGCTATCTTTAAAAATATATATATGTATGTATATATGTACGTATATGTATACATTTGATATAGAGATGGGATCTCGCCATGTTGCCCAGGCTGGTCTCAAACTCCCGGGTTCAAGTAATCCTCCCACCTTGGCCTCCCAAAATGCTGGAATTACAGGTGTGAGCCACCACACCCAGTATCTCACTATCTTAAGGGAGCTTTTCCTATTATAGTTCTGTTAATGAGCAAAGAAAGGGGAAACAATCACAAATACACAATTGCTTGCCACACACCCAGCACCTTCCTTTGTTTTTATTTTCTCCTCTTCTCCTCTTTGGGCCTGGCATAACCTTTCCACAACCAGGAGAAAGCTAATAACTAAAGCAAATGAGGGCCAGGTGCATTGGCTCATGCCTGTAATCCCAGCACTTTGGGAGACTGAGGTGGGCGGATCGCTTGAGCCCAGGAGTTTGAGACCAGCCTGGGTAACATAGTGAGACGCCCTCCGATCCCTACAAAAAATTTAAAAATTAGCAGGGCATGGTGGCATGTGCCTGTGGTCACAGCTACTTGGGAGGCTGAGGAAAGAGGATTGTTTGAGCCTAGCAGGTAAGGCTGCAGTGAGCAGTGATCTCACCACTACATTCCAGTCTGGCGACAGAGCAAGACCCTGTTTCTAAATAAACAAAGTAAATGAGGGACCTCAGCTACAGTGCCTCATCTGCTAAGCCCTTTAATTCTGTCATTCTGACTCAGCAGTTGCTGCCTTTCCCTGAATCCTATCGTGAGCAGGCCTTTCTTTTCTGTAGCAGCTGACACAGGAGTTTAAAGAAAACTTATGATATTATTTGCACTGGGAGCCCACGTGTTATGGTCTGACAAAGGCTGCATGGACCATTTCTCAGCACCCTCTGAGCCCTTACTGCTCGATGATAAACTCAACCAGAGGACATGCCCTGGCATTTTGCACTGAGGTAAAGGCCGGGTCTACAGGCCATGACATGTGATGCTACCTGTAGACAGAGCAAGCTAGCCAGGAGTGTGGCTGCTGGAAGGGGCAGGTCCAAGCTTGCTAATCCAGTGTTCCGAGGGAAAGAAAACTGCTGTCTGCTGCCGGGTTGTGAGCAGAAGATCTTTACATGGAGGAATGAATTGAGACTGCCAACTTGAACTTCACTGGAGAAACAGAATTTACATTCAAGCATCCTTAGGCCAGGCACAGTGACTCTCCTCTGTAGTCATAGCACTTTTTGAGACCGAGGTGGTAGGCTCACTTGAGGCCAGGAGCTCAAGACCAGCCTGGACAACAAAGTGAGAACCTGTCTCTACAAAAAATAATTAGTCGGGTGTGGTGGTCTGTAGTCCCAGCTACTTGGGAGGCTGAGGTAGGCCCCTTGAGCCTAGAAGTTGGAGGCTGCAGTAAGCTGTGATCATACCATTGCACTCTAGCCTGGGTGACAGAGTGAAACTGTCTCATAAAAATAAACACATAAATAATTTAAAATTATCGTTATCCGTTTCTGGCAAGGCGCAGAGCATTGACAGGCAATAAAATACTAAAAATGTATCCTTCTGCTTTAAAAGCTGTAAGTAAAAATAAAGGAGAAGGGGTGAGCACGATGTTTTGAGTTTTTCCGAATCTCAGATTTACAGGCAAAGCCTTGTGATGAGTGTTACATACAGATTGCCCTTAAACCTATCTGACGCAGTAAGCAAGGTGGAAGGATTTTAGGAGTGCCAGTGTCCCTTTAAGACAGTACCAGCTTCTGACTTTGGAGGAGCTGAGGTCTCAGCTGGTCAACAGCAGCCCATAGGTCTTTTTTGGAGGCTGAGAAAAAATACAACCAATAATTAAAGTCATGTTTTCGGTTATTAACAACAACAAACAAAACCACCACCAATTTGATTCCACATGTCTAGTTTCATACAAAATTTTCCACATGAGAGGCTTATTCTGGTAAAGGCAACATCAAATTTCATTACACACACACACACACACACACACACACACACACACACAAAAGGGTTTCTTTTTAAATCTTCCTACGGTAAGTGAAAAATGTGTGGGGCTTGTGCATCATACAAATAAACAAACAAACAAGCTTGGCTCCTCTTTTCTTATTTCTCCATCAGCCACCTGGAATATTTTACAAACCAGAGCCTGAGTTCAAAGTACAGAACATCTTACCAGGATCTGTCTGAGCTGGGGAACTTCAAGATGGCAGTCAGCCTGAAAGGGGCTGGAAAAATAATAAAGTACTGAACTCTATGGTGCCTGGAGGTTAAGTCCAGTTAGCTACTTGTCTCAGGTTTGAAATTCATACACTTGGGCATTCTGGGCACTACGGCAATTTTTGTACATCAAAAAGAGCAAGGGGGGCCAGGCATAGTGGCTCATGCCTGTAATCTCAGCACTTTGGGAGGCTGTGGTGGGAGGATAGCTTGTGGCCAGGAGTTCAAGACCAGCCTGAACAACATAGTGAGAGCCTGTCTCTTAAACAACAACAACAACAGAAAAAGTCAAGAACACTGGGGCAGGGTGCAGTCATTCATGTCTATAATCCCAGCACTGTGGGAGGCCAAGGCAGGAGGATCACGTGAGCCCAGGAGTTCAAAATCAACCAGGGCAACATACTAAAAATTAAAAAATTTGCCAGGCCTGGTAGGGCACACCTGTAGTCCTAGCTACTCAGGAGGCTGAGGTGGGAGAATCGAGGCTGCAGTGAGCTATGATAGCGCCAGTGCACTGCAGCCTGGGCAACAGAGCGAGATCTTATCTCCTACCAAAAAAAAAAAAAAAAAAGCACTGGACTAAGCAGCTTCCAGTTCCAGCTCTGCAACTGGCCACAGTGAATGAGGCTTTCAGAGAGTCATTTGCTAAATGGGAGCGAGGTTAATGTTGGGTGTTCCTAGTCGGGCTACTGTGAGCAGAGAATGAGATAAAGTAGGTCAAAGTGCTTTGAGGCATTTAAAACATGACACAAATGCAAGGGATTTGTATTTTGGGAGGGCTTGGGAATTCCCTTCCTTTCCCTATGGAAGGTAAGAAAAGTCTACGCCTGTTTTATCTGTAAGGAAGGGTTAGAATCCACCTATTTTGTACTGATGGTGAGACAAAAGAGAGTTTCGTAATAAGAAGGCTGGATTAACACAAGGTTTAACCATCAAGTAATGTGACAGATTTTTAAATAAACATCTAAATGGGCGTTGTCTCATCCTGAGTAGTAAGTAGTCACCTTGGCAGGGGAAACACTTATTTAAATTATATTTCCCATCAAAAAAAATTTTTGACACCTCTTTTGGAACTGTTCCTAGAGCCTTTGGCACATTCTTCTGAACATGTCTGAGGGTGACACATTTTTTGTCCTTTGTGGATGATTCTGATTTTTGTAAACAGCCCAAAGTTATTTGGCACAAAGATTGGCAAATAAGCTAAGTAAGACCTTTTTTTTTCATTGAAAATAAACTGTAACTATAAGAAGCCTATCTTTCCAGAAGAGTTAGAAATAGATTTCAAGACTGGCAGTATTGTTGGAAAGAGCTTGTTTCTTTCTAAGGTGACAAGAGGAGAAAAGCTATTTGGAAATGTATTTCGTTTTTAATCACACCTTTAATTATTTATCTTGCAAGACGGACACTGAACTGAGTTTCCAGAAAGAAACGAACATTGCAACTAATCAACAGCTGCAATTATTTTATCACAGCTCCACAGGGCATCTGAATCTATTTGCATATGGATTAACTGGCTGGCAACAATACAGACGCTTCCAGTGAGTTAACGTCTGGGTCTGTTGGAAATAGAGCATCCAGCAGATTCAATTCTAACTAGTAGACTTTATACTCCCTTAAAAAGTTTGGATTTTTTTCAGTTATAAAACAATGTATCTGAAAATGAAAATATCATTAATACGATTGCAATGTATAACCTGAAGCAATGGCTAGATTTCCTTCTGTTGCAAAGAATTTCAATTGTTAGTATTATTTTGAAATAAACACAATGGCATTTGCATTCTTTGAATGTTGCACACTGTGAGCACTTCAACCTTAAATGATGCCAATGACTTTTTAAAGAAAATATTTTTCTGGCTGGGCACGGTGGTTCACGCCTGTAATCCCAGCACTTTGGGAAGCCAAGGTGGGCGGATCACCAGGTCAGGAGTTTGAGACCAGCCTGGCCAACATGGTCAAACCCTGTTTCTACTAAAAAACAAAAATTAGCCTGCCATGGTGGCGGCGCCTGTAATCCCAGCTACTCGGGAGGCTGAGGCAGAATTGCTTGAACCTGGGAGGCGGACTAAAAATACAAAAACTAGCAGGGCATGGTGGCAGCTCCTGTGTTCCCAGCTACTCCAGAGGCTGAGGCAGGAGAATTGCTTAAACCCGGGAGGCAGAGGTTGCAGTGAGCCGAGATCACGCCACTGCATGCTAGCTCTAGATGACAGAGCAAGACTCTGTCTTGGAAAAAAATAATAATAATTTAAAAATAAAATAAAATAAAAAATATATATTTATATTATATATATTACAAATATATAATATAGATTTTTTTCCCCAATTCATTTTTTTATTGTGGCAAAATTCACATAACATAAAATTAATCATGTGACCACTTTACAGTGTAGAATTCAGTGGCATTTAGTACAGTCACAATGTTCTCCAACCATCATCACTATCTATTTCCAAAAACATTTTCGTCATCCCAAAACGAAACTCTGTACCGTTAAGCAGTCTCCCCACAACTTCCCTCACCCCATCTGCTTTCTGTTTTATGGATTTGCCTATTCTGGACATTTCACATAAGTGGAACCTTATAATATGGGGCCTTTTGTTTCACTTTGCCTAGTATTTTCAAAGTTCATTCATGTTGCAGCATGTGTCAGCACCTCATTCCTTTTTATGGCTGAATAATTGCAATGTATAGATATGCGACATTTGGTTTATCCATTCGTTCATCGATGGACATTTGGACACCTTTTGGCTATTCCTTTTTTGTTGTTGTGGGTTTTTTTAACTTTTATTTTAGGTTTAGGAGTACATATGCAGGTTTGTTATACAGGTAAACTGCTCATCTCGAGTTTGGTGTACAGATTATTTAGTCACTCAGGTAATAAGTATAGTATGCGATATGTTTTTTGTTTTGTTTCGTTTTGTTTTGGTTTTTGAGACGGAGTTTCGCTCTTGCTGCCCAGGCTAGAGTGCAATGGCGTGATCTCGGCTCACTGCAACCTCCGCCTCCCAGGTTCAAACAATTCTCCTGTCTCAGCCTCCTGAGGAGCTGGGATTACAGGCGCGTGCCACCATGCCCGCCTAATTTTTGGTATTTTTAGTAGAGATGGGGTTTCATCATATTGGCCAGGCTGGTCTCAAACTCCTGACCTCAGGTGATCCGCCCGCCTCGGCCTCCGAAAAGTGCTGGGATTACAGGTGTGAACCACTGCACCCGACCAGGTATTTTTTTTTTAATCCTCTCCCTCCTCCTGCCTTCCACCCTCAAGTAGGTCCCAGTGTCTGTTGTTCCCCTCTTTGTGTCTTGTTTTTTAGAGATAGGGTCTCACTCTGTCACACAGACTTAGAGTTCAGTGGCATGATCATAGCTCACTGTAGCCTTGAGCTCCTGCATTTAAGCAATCTTCCTGCCTCAGCCTCCTGAGTAGCTAGAACTACAGCTATGTGCCACCACATCTGGCTATTTTTTTTTTTTTTTTTTTGAGACAGGGTCTGGCTCTGTTCCCCAGGCTGAAGTGCAGTGGTGCAATTTTGGCTCACTGCAGCCTCCGCTTCCTGGACTCAAGCGATTTTCCCACCTCAGCCTTCTGAGTAGCTAGGACCACAGGTGCACACCGCCTTCCCCTACTTTTTATATATTTTTTTGTAGACAGGGTTTCACCATGTTGCCCAGGCTGCTCTTAAACTCCTGGCTTAAGTGTTTGGATTACAGGCGTGAACCACTGCAGCCGGCTAATCTCTTGGCTACCATAAATGGTGCTGCCATGAACGTGGGTATACAAGTTTTTGTTTGAACACTGTTTTCAATTCTTTTTAGTATTTTGGGGGGTATACCCAGGATAAAATTACTGGGTCATATGGCAATTCTATGTTCACCTCTTTGAGAAACCACCAAGTCTCTAACTCATTTTTATGTTTACAATTTACAAGGTGTCTTGATCACCAGTTAGAAGAAGCTGGACAGCTGCAGCCAAACCCCTAGGTTGGACCCAAAGAGGTCTCTTTTTCTTTCTTTCATTCATTCATTCTTTTTCTTTTTTTTTTTTTTTGAGACAGAGAGTCTCACTCTGTCACCCATGCTGGAGTGCAGTGGCCTGATCTCGGCTCACTGCAACCTCCGCCTCCCACGTTCAAGCAATTCTCCTGCCTCAGCCTCCCGAGTAGCTGGGACTACAAGCGCCCACCACCACTCCCCACTAATTTTTGTATTTTTAGTAGAGATGAAGTTTCGCCATGTTGGCCAGGCTGGTCTCGAACTCCTGGGCTCAAGTCATCTGCCTGCATCAGCCTCCCAAAGTGCTGGGATTACAGGCATGAGCTACTGTGCCCGGCCTTCTTTTTCTTTCTTTCTTCCTTCCTCCTTCCTCCTTCTTCTTCTTCTTCCTTCATTTGACTTTCAGGTCAAAGAGGTCTCTTTTTAAAAACTACACTGACTAGAACAGCCAGACTTGATGTGAGCCAAGTTTGTTCCAAGGCAAGCTTACACGCAGGGCTTTAAACAGCTTTCTCTGCTGCTCTGCATGTCACGACATGAACTGGCTGGGCAGGAATACCTTCCTGCCTCCTAGGCATTCTTGGTTTTCCATTATATTACACACACTTCTGAAAAAAGATGTTAACTACCTAACTTACAAGTTTCTCTCCTCTTTGTTGGAGTTCAGATTAGCACCTGGGGTCAATGCAGAAACAGTGCTCGGGGACAGGTTCTATGCCCCAATCCTGGGAGAGGCGAGTCCTTGCATGGTTAGAGAACAGGGCCTCCCAAACACTAGATGAGATGATGGAAAAATTCTCCATCCAGGGCAGGCTTTTACCATATATTTTGCCTGACAGCACTGCTCAGTGATTCTGACTCTTATCAATCCACAGATATTGGAGGTGAGCCTACTCTACTTGTATATTGTAGGTTGTCCACCCTCTGGGCTTGCCAGAGCCACAGGAGATAATCCTACTACAGGCATTGTTTACTGCAGCCAATCTACTGAGTCGAGGCTTCTCGGTCATTAACCCAACCCCAGGGAGTAACTGATTAGTACCGATTTTAAAATTTAAACCTGTTCGGGAGTTTCTTGGAATGCTGACCTCTTACCTCCGCTCCCTTATACATACGAAGTTTCTGAGCCACAGGAGCCCAAAGCTACGTTGCATTGCCCAAAACAGGGACAGACCAAAGTGGCTTTTTCCACTTGAAACTAAATACTAAGAATGAAGAGGTCGGCTCTCGGGGGTCCCGGTTAAGCAGTTTCTCTGCCAACCCACAGCTGTCACTTGTGGCTTGTCTCCTGGCCTCCTTTCAGGTGTCCTGGCCTGAATCTGCTGTTAGGACAGAAAAAAAGTCCCTGGACGGGTCATATCCTCTGTAATCTGGCAGGAAAGCTAAAATTTGCGTGCTCCCATTCCTCGTTGTGTTTGTGTATCTGCTTCCTTGTTGGGAAGAGCCTACATCACAGTGTCCGGTGTAGGGGATTTTCACCATGACCTCACCCTCCTGCTGCCACTCGCTAATTCCGGCGCGGCCAAGCGTCCCTGAAGTCACATCACAGCCCAGGTGGAATGCACGAGTGAGCCATTAAATGCCCCTGGTAGCACGTCTCAAGTGAACATCAACTCCAGTTCTTTCCCCTCACAGAGAGCCCTGGTAGGGGTCTGAAAATGCCAGAAAGAGCTGGAAGTGGGGGTGGACGACGTCTGGTTACCGTTCTGGGATTCGGAGACTAGAAGGTCAAGGGAGTCACTTTAAGAAAACACACCAGGCCTGGGCCTGGTGGCTCTGTCTGGAATCCCCGCACTGTGGGAGGCCGAGGCTAGAGGATCGCTTGAGCTCAGGAGTTCGAGACCAGCCTGGGCAACATAGGGGGGAGCCCCTGTATCTAAAAATAAATACAAAAAATTTAGCCGGGTATGATGGCACACGCCTGTACTCCCAGCTACTCGGGAGGCTGAGGCGGAAGGATGGCTTGAACCTGGGAGGCGGAGGTTGCAGTGAGTCGAGATCGAGCCAATGCACTCCAGCCTGGGCGACAGGGTGAGACTCCGTCTCAAAAGAGAAAAAATAAAATGAAATAAAGAAAATGCACCAAAGGCCTGCCAGGCTCACGCCGGCTGTTCTGTTCGAATAACTTTCGAGTCCGTGGCCTCGAAATGGGTCGGGTGGGCGGTGACAGCGGGCAGCGGGCGCGCAACGCGGGAGAAAGGGAGGCTAAGTGGGAGCCCAAAGAACCGCGTCCGGGACCTGGTCTCCGGCCTCCCGGCCTTGGGGAAGGAGCCCTTCTGCCCACAAGTGGGCTCAGGCCATGAAAGGGAAACAGAAAGTCGGGCTCCCCAGCCTGGCCCACGTGACCGCGGTTCCTCAGCCCTCCCCGCGCGCCCGGCCGCGGCTGCGGGCGCGGGCACCCGAGCGACACATCGAGCTCGTGACTCGCCGCCCAGGGCGGGAGGCGGAGAAGCGGCCGCGGCGTGCGAGCGCGCCTCCGGGAGGCAGCGGGAGCGCGCACGCTCCGGGGCCACCGCCCCTCCGGGGCCGGGCCCGCCCTCCTTCCCTCCCTCCCTCCCCCGCTGTCCTGGCCCGCCCTGCCCGGCCCGCCCTGCGAGTCAGTTCGCTGGTTCCCTCCCTCCCTGGGCGCGCTCGGGCCGCCGCCGCGCTCCCCGCCCTCGAGCCTCGGTGCCGGAGCCGCCCGCCGCCGGAGGAGGAGGTGGAGGGAGCCGGAGGGGCCCGCCGAGGCGGCGGCGGCGGCGGCAAGATGGCGGACTTCCTGCCGTCGCGGTCCGTGCTGTCCGTGTGCTTCCCCGGCTGCCTGCTGACGAGTGGCGAGGCCGAGCAGCAACGCAAGTCCAAGGAGATCGACAAATGCCTGTCTCGGGAAAAGACCTATGTGAAGCGGCTGGTGAAGATCCTGCTGCTGGGCGCGGGCGAGAGCGGCAAGTCCACCTTCCTGAAGCAGATGCGGATCATCCACGGGCAGGACTTCGACCAGCGCGCGCGCGAGGAGTTCCGCCCCACCATCTACAGCAACGTGATCAAAGGTGCCGGGCCGGGAATGGGGGCCGGGGGTTAAGGGCAGGGGGGCTGGGGCGGCGGCGGGTGCGGGGCGGGGCACCGCCCTGGTCCGCTGTGTCGCTGGCGAAGGAACGGGCCCGGCGGGCGGGCTGGCGGGAAGGGGGCGCGCCCCGGCAACTGGCCCTGCCCGCCCGGGGTGCCCTCGCGCCCCAGGGCGAGAGGATGCTCGGGGTCGCCCTGCTCTCCCGCTTGTCTCCCCGGTGGGCGTCACGGCCATTCCCCCACCCCCCACCGCGTCCTGGTCTCTCCCCCTGCGAGAGGGAAGTGGGGCGAGCTGGGTGCTGCCTCGGGGTGTGGGCAGACCTCTCCTGTCCTCCCCGCTGCGGATGAGGCAGGAACACCAATAGCAGCCCTAGCCGCTTCACCCCCATCCCCTGCTCGGGCGATGTGGGCCGAACCTCGCTACCCTGGCTGGGTGACCCGAGTCACATGGGGTCGCATGCGCTCCCAACTCCCTGCTTCCTTGGCCGTCTCCTAAGCAAGCGAGTTCTGGAACCGTCGCAATAAGGGAACTTTTTGCCCGAGACTTCTTGTCAAGGGCGTAGGGTGACAGCCTCCTTTTGGGCGAGAATATGAAACTTGAGGAGTGTCAGGTTGACTGTACTGGAATCAGGAGAGAGTGGACCCATACAGTTAGCATGAAAATGTAGCATCTGTGCTTTTTCGCCCCAGTGTCACGGTCAGGTAGGATGTTTGCGTGTGATTTCTGTGCAACACGTTCCACTCTCCTTTTCGCTAAGTAACTGGGGGCTGGCAGGAAGGGAGTACCACTGCTTCTATTTAGATGAAATGTAGTAGTAAGAAGACTGGCCTAAAAGTCATGTGGATCCTGTACAGATGGAGACAATGAATGAGTGTTGAGTTAGATAATTGGCTCGGCTCTTTATTGACAGTAGTTTTAAAATTAAACTTTGTTCTTAAGTGAAAAATAAACAAGTTGTTTATTTCTGGGCATTCAAAGAAATCGAAAAGATGGTTTTTATTTTGTCATTTGAAAGATAATTAACACTCGTTTCTGCGTGTCAAGTATGTTCTATAGAAAAGGCATTTTGGCAAAATTTAGGTGCAGCGCCTGGTAACTCAGGTGCATCTGGATTTTATTTTATCTGGGGAGCAGTTTAGGAGTTTGCTACAGATTGCAGGTCTTTTTAAGTGGGATTTTTGTTCAGGAAGTACATAAGGGACTTCTGCATGTCACCCCCCCGCCCCCTCCCCGCCAACCGCCTCCCGAGCTTCCAGCGTTTGGGTAAAGGAAAACTGCCTGAAGAGCCAGGCATTATGGAGTAATGAATTAGAGAGAATCACTAGACCACAGCCAGCTCTAGCCCTAGTACCTCTGCAGTTAAACTATAAAGAACAGTTGTATTTATCCTGCTGTAATGTTTAGCTCAAAACTAATTAAGGTCTCTTTCAAGGCTGCAGACTCTGCCTTGACAGTCCTTAATTGAAGGTACCTTTGTAACCTGATGCAGCTGAACTTAAGGAATTATGTTAATGAATAGCATCAACATGTTAACTGACTGTGAGCCTGGTAAACACCTCGTTCTTAATGTACACTGAGTTGTAAGTGTGATCTACGTTGAGCATTGATTATGAGATGATGTAAGTCATCAGGAATCTAGTTTTTTCAAGTTGACATGAAATTTGACAGTAGAACAGTTTCTCAGGCTGGGCGTGGTGGCTCACTCCTGCAATCCCAGCACTTTGGGAGGCCAAAGTGGGAGGATGGCTTGAGCCCAGGAGTTCCAGACCAGCTGGGCTACATAGCCAGACCTCGTCTCTATTAAAAAACAAAAACAAAAAAACCCCACCCGTTTTTCAGTTATTCAGATGACTTCCTAATAGCCAAGTGACTGTTCAGATTGATCAAACTTAATAAAAGTAATAGATCAGTGATAGGAAAAATGAGTTTCAACTAACCTCTGTGAGTTGGAGTCCGACTTTGTATTATTTTGCAGTTGATCTTCCTCCCTTTTAGGGAAATTGAAGGCCATCCTGTAACTTAAACTGGATTGAAACTTGGGCTGGAAGAAGTTTTTAAATTTTGAATGTGTTGCTAGAAGACTCAATGTTGGGTTAGGGTGCCGAAGCAACAAACAGAACATGGAGCTATAGTAGTTGGTTCTTAGTGTTTCATAAATGAACATCTTTTAGGCTCATAAAACCTTGGTTGTGTCTGTTTTCTTCTGAGCTTGGACATTGTTGGTCTGTGCAGCATAACTTCTTTTTCTTTCTTGAGTTAGATTGTTTTTTGACTACCTTCTATCCTAGAAGTTATTTTATAAATTGGAACATGTTAAAAATCCTTCAGAGAGAGGAATTGTGCTAATAGTATTTGCTTTTCAAGGCTCTAATTTTAAGACAGTGAGCAACTGTTATTTTTTTTAACCTCTGAGAAGTTACATTTGTTTTCGATGTTGGTCTTCATTTTTGAAGAAGGTTTGTCTAGGTTAATTCAGAAGTATAAGGAAATAATACTGGAATAAAAACTTATGATAATATGTAATGACTCCTCTCCATACATTTTTTTTCTTCTTTTTAAACAAAGGTATGAGGGTGCTGGTTGATGCTCGAGAGAAGCTTCATATTCCCTGGGGAGACAACTCAAACCAACAACATGGAGATAAGATGATGTCGTTTGATACCCGGGCCCCCATGGCAGCCCAAGGAATGGTGGAAACAAGGGTTTTCTTACAATATCTTCCTGCTATAAGAGCATTATGGGCAGACAGCGGCATACAGAATGCCTATGACCGGCGTCGAGAATTTCAACTGGTAAGAGATTTGCTCTTTTAAAACGTGTGGTTTTATTTTAATGATGTTTAGTAATACAGGTTGCACATCCCTAATGCGAAAATTCGAAATGTTCCCAAATCTAAAAGTATTTGAGATGGAGGAACAGACTGAAAGGCTAAGGCACAGACCTAATGTGTCCTAGTCTCTAATGACTACGTGTAAAAATAGTGTATAAAATTACCTTTAGGCTACATATCTTAAGGTATATATGAAACATAAATGAATTTCTAGTTTAGACTTGAGTCCCATTCCCAGCATATCTCATATGTATGCAGATATTTCAAAAATCTGAAAAAATTCAAAATCCAAAACACTTCTGGTCCCAGGCATTCGGATAAGGGACACTCAACCTGTATCTGATTTTAGCACACTTTTTTCACTGACTTCCATAATTTAATGTATCTATCCAAAATTATAGCCTCAGAAATTTGTTTTTTTGTTTTTGGGGGGTTTGTTTTGAGACGGAGTCTCTGTTGCCCAGGCTGGAGTGCAGTGGTGTGATCTTGGCCCACTGCAACCTCTGCCCCCAGGGTTCAAGCAACTCTCCTGCCTCAGCCTCCTGTGTAGCTGGGTCTATAGGCGCGTGCCACCACACCTAGCTAATTTTTGTCTTTTTAGTAGAGGCAGTTTCGCCATGTTGGCCAGGCTGATCTTGAACTCCTGACCTCAGGTAATGTGCCCACTTTGACCTCCCAAATTGCTGGCATTGTGCCAGGCATTTTTCCCCTTTTTTCTTTAACGAGACTACCCATAAAATGCTTTGTAGCTGTTACACAGCATTGAAGACAGGTTTGGAATAAAAGTATCCAATCCAGGTTAAAGATACAGAATACAGTTGAAACAAATTTTTAATCAAGTGTTTTGTAATTTAACTGTGAATGCTGTGATTGGGTTTTATTTGCCAAAGATCAGAAAGATTCCAGCAGTGATAGAAATCTAGACTGTGTGCAATTTGGAGGTAGTTCAGATCTGAAGTGTTTTACTCTAATATGATTAAAATGAAGTGACAGTTAAAAGTAAAACTGCTGGCTGGGCACGGTGGCTCATGCCTGTAATCCCAGCACTTTGGGAGTCTGAGGCGGGTGGATCACCTGATGTCAGAAGTTTGAAACCAGCCTGGCCAACACGGTGAAACACCGTCTCTTCTAAAAATACAAAAATTAGCCAGGTGTGGTGGCAGGCACCTGTAATCCCAGCTACTCAGGAGGCTGAGGCAGGAGACTCGCTTGAACTCTGGAAGCGGAGGCTGCGGTAAGCCGAGTTCGTGCCACTGCACTCCAGCCTGGGCAACAAGAGCAGAACTCCATCTCCAAAAAAAAAATAAATAAGCTGCTTAGGAAGTTGTTTGATGATGTCACCAACATTAATCCACATTAATGGGTGTGGCTGCAAAGCGATGTACAACCAGCAGTCCTTGCTGTTATTATTTATACTTAGAAGCAGTCTTGCCTTTTAAAAGTTCCAGGAAAGTGTTCACGATAGCTTTTTATAAAACTGACACCTTAATTTTGACTATATCTGAATTATGGCTTTTATATCTGTCATTCAACTAGCATTTGATTATTTACCGTCTTGTATAGTTCTCTTCTATCATGTTTGTATCTTGTCTTTTCAAGTAATGTGTTTATTTCTGAAAGGCAGGGACTGTCTCACATTATTGTTAAAATTACGTAGCTGCCAGTATTGCATGTTGAAAATGATGAATTTAACTTGACAAATGACCTCCATCCAATTCCCAGATTTCTGGTTAGTTTTGTCCCTTGATCAATGTTTATTACTTTATTTTTGGTAGATTTGCTTGCATGAGTTCTTCCATATACCCCTTTCCATCGCCCATCACTCTACCTCCTGTTTTTTGTTTTTTTGCATTTTTTTGAGAGTTTTGTTCTTGTTGCCCAGGCTGGAGTGCAGTGGCGCGATCTTGGCTCACCTCCGCCTCCTGGGTTCAGGCGATTCTCCTGCCTCAGCCTCCCAAGTAGCTGAGATTACAGGCATGCGCCACCACACCTGGCTAATTTTGTATTTTTAGTAGAGACAGTGTTTCTCCATGTTGGTCAAGCTGGTCTCTAACTCCTGACCTCAGGTGATCTGCCTGCCTTGCCCTCCCAAAGTGCTGGGATTACAGGCATGAGCCACTGTGCCTGGCCATCTACCTCCTGTTTTTAAGTGCTGCTTATTCTCCTTTCTTCTTAGTTCATTTTCTCAACAAACCACACACTTTCAACTCAATTTTGTCAGGCTCTATTCATCCTTCCAGGTCAGAGAAGAAACATTCATCTGTAATAAGCATACAGTGCATATGGATTAAATGAATAAATAAAGAACTGCATACCTGAAAGTTCTCTGTGGGGAAGTTCCGTATTTGCCCTAAGTCCATTTAATTAAAGTTGTGTTTCATGGACAGTTTTTTAATTTGGAAGCTGACGTCTAACTGTCTCACATCAGGACTGTCATGTCCTCATTGTTGAGAAAGCATCCCTAAGTATATCTTTGTGATTAAGAACGAATAGGTAAAACCACTCAGGATGAGGACCTGCTTGTTGTTGACTTGAGCCAGTTGATCCTTAAGGAGCAAAGAAGTCCTCAAAGATGAGGAGAGATAAGTTCCAGAAATACTTTTTTCCATGATGAAAAGTAGAGACAAGAAAAGAGGAACAGAGCAAGACCTAATTTTAAACTTCTGGAGGACAGAGATTCTTTTTTCCTGAGTCTACGCTCAGCATTGTTTTTTGTTTTTTTGTTTTTGTTTTTTAAGAGAAGGTCTCACTGTTGCCCAGGCTGGAGTGCCCTGTTGTGATCATAGCTCACTGTAGACTCAACTCCTGGGCTCAAGTGATTCTCCAGCTTCAGTCTCTCAAGTAGCTAGGACTACAGGTGTGTGCCGTCACACCCAGCTAATTTAAAAAAAAATTTTTGTAGAGACGGAGTCTTGCTATGTTGCCAGTGCTGGTCTTGGACTCCTGACCTCAAGCAGTCCTCCTGCCTTGGCTTCCCAAAATGTTGGGATTATAGGCATGAACCACTGTGCGTGGCTTCAGCATTGTTAATAGCACCTGACACATAGAGATGCTCCATTATTATGTTGACTTAATGACTCTTAAACTCTTGGATGTGCTGTGGTGCTTGGCATAGTGTCAGGCACTGAGAAGGCACTTGGCTTACTTAAAATTTTCCTCAAAGTCATCATCAATTCCATCTACTCATCTACATGCAGCAGCTCCCCAAGTTCTGATTTTTCTACCTCTGTAACGTCTCTTGCATTCATTCCCTCCTTTCCTCTATTTTGTGTTCTGCTACCTCTTGCTTGGACTCCAAGGCAGTCTTGTTCAAACACAGCATTGGTTTGCTCAGAAAGCTTTGGTGGCTCACCATTGTCTTCAGAACAGAGCTCAGCTTTTTTGTGGGAGTAAAGACTCTAGCTAGCTTACCTGTGATTCCAGCAATATATTTCATTAGGCCACTGGACATACTCTGTAATCTCTTGATTCCCACATACCCTAATTTTTTGCTTCTATAGCTCTCATCATGCGTAGTCCCTCTGCCAGAATTATTCTTTACCCTATCTGTTACTAGGTCTTACCCTTCACTTAATGTAGTGATAATCACACTAAATGTGGCCCATGGACCCCATGGACTGGAATGCTTGTTAAAACAAACAAGCAGATGCTCAGACTTTATACCTGAGGATCTGATTCTGGATTCTGGGATGGGACCCAGTGATCTGTGTTTTCAGCAAATAGCCATAGGTGGTTTGGATGAATTTGCTCCATGCCCCCTCCCTTTCCCCAGGAACAGTGCCTTAGGGGCTGTGTCTCTTTATTTGAAGCATCTCCAGTCTTCTTGGCTAGAATGGAGATCTCCGTGTCCTTTGCTTTCCCTAGCATGCTTACTCCTGTCACTCCTCACAGTACCCATTATGTGTGTTAGAGTCACAGCTTTCATGTGTGGCTGTCAGTCATGTAGAAGTCCTTTGGTATGCCTAGTTTGTCTTTTTCTCTCCTACTAGCATAGTGCCTGACACTTTTATTTCCTCGTTTTTCAGACATTCTTAATTACAAAGATGTTCTAAAAAAATAAAATACCTGTAATCCCAGCTCTTTGGGAGGCTGAGGCAGGCAGATCACTTGAGGTCAGGAGTTGGAAACCAGCCTGGCTGACATGGTGAAACCCCATCTCTACCAAAAACCAAAACCAAAACCAAAAATTAGCCAGGCATGGTGACATGTACCTGTAGTCCTGGCTACTCAGGAGACTGAGGCACGAGAATCGCTTGAACTCAGGAGGTGGAGGTTGCAGTGAGTGGAGATCATGCCACTGCACTCCAGCTTGAACGTCAGAGTGAGACCCTGTCTCAAAAAAATAAAAATTAAAAAATATGTAATATAATTTAATTCTACATTAAGTTCCTTCTGGGAAATATGGATTATTTCTATAATAGTTTCCTAATTTTCTAGGAAGTGGACAGTTCTTGTGTAATTATAATTTTTATTTGGGGGGGTTGAAATGTGTTTTGTTATGTTTAGCAGCATATTTTTGAATTTTGGATAGGAAAGGTAAACATCAGAAGAAATAGAGGTTAGCAGATAAAATAACTAAAATTAAAATTAACCTTTTCGTTTCAACTAATGATTTGATTATTAAACTTATTAATGCACATTAAAAACTGACAGGTTTTAAGGCCCTACATGACTTAACATTTTGCCTAAGATGAACAACTGCCCTTTAATCAATTTTCGGGACAAGGGATAGGGTGTTGATAACACAGCTTAGGTTTTTAGCAGACTACTCATTTGTTAGTAATAACTTTGGGTGTAAACATGAATGTTTTTCTTTCTAAGTTCCCAAAGGTAAACATTTCCTTTTTTGGTTAGTTCCATCATGGGTCAGCTAAATAGCTTACTGTGGAAAAGAAAAATACAAGATTCACATTCTCGTTATAACTTAAGGTACCTTTCTAGTTATTATAAATTAGCATACTGAGGATAATAGATTGTAAGAAGTGGCCTGTTTTAGTACTGAATTAAATATTTGAAATACTCTACTCTGGCTGTACATTCAACATAGCCTGCCACTGCACTTTTGAGTTACCCTGTCTTTAGAAAACCTTCTTATGTGACAATAGCTAGATAATTTGGTAACTCAGATGAATAAAGAGATGGGAGTCAGGGGTTGGCTGGATGATACAATTGGAGATATGGATGAAAACTGACAAAATGGCTAGGAGTCATTTCCAACTATTTTTTTTTGTTTAATTTATATTCACTTATTGAGAAATAAGGCAACACTTGTTACGTAGGACAGGACAGTGTGTGTGACAGTGGGAGGAACATCCCACAGCTTCCTACTTTCTGTAAACAGTTTAACATTGTCAGCATTAATACAACTTCCTGTAATGGCCAGTCTGTCTTTGCAATTCCTGAAACCAAAGTGTTTTTGCTAATCATGGTACCTTCAGTTAGACTTAATTCTTTTCTTTTTGTGCTTGAGGTTACTCTTCTTGAAGCCGATAAGATAGTGTATTCATTAACACAGAGATTTACTCCCTCAATCTGTGTAACAAAGTAACCATTTAGCTCCATGATTGGCCTGTAAAAAGGGGAGGTCCAACTAAGTATTCTAGAAACTTCAGTTTCAGCTAATTTTTTTTATTTATTTATTTGCACTGCAGCATGTATTGGAAATATAATACAATCAAGAGTCATTTGAAGCTCCTGTAGTCCCAGCTTCTGGGGAGACAGGAGGATTGCTTGACCTCAAGAGTTCAAGTCCAATGTGGGCAACATAGTGAGGACAGCCCCCTCCCTCTTAAAAAAAAAAAAGAATCAGAGTCATTTATTAATTAATGCTAATTTGGATTTGCTTTAAATATTAAAGAATTGCTACTTTCAGTTGTAAAATACTATGTTTCTTTTGGATGATTGGTCCATTTTCTCTATAAGTATAGTCAAGCAAGGACTTTGAGTTGCTAAAAACCTATTGGTTATCTTTTGATTCTAGGATTAGTGTTAAATATTTCATCCCATCTAAAATAAAGATTATATATAACATTAGAGATAGTAGAGGTTTTTATCTTACTTTATTAATATTTTTTAGAGACAGAGTCTCACTCTGTTACACAGGCTGGAGTGCAGTGGTGTGATCATAGTTCACTGTAACCTTGGGACTCCTGGGCTCAAGTGATCCTCCTGCTTCAGCCTCCTAAAGTGCTGGGATTACAGTAGTGAGCCACCTCACCCAGCCAGAGATAGTAGAGATTTTAAAGTTGAGTTTAATTTCCTTTTGATGAAATTGATCAGATGTCAGAGTGGTTACATTTTATCCAAATCTTGTAAACCCAGAGCTTTATGTTTATTTACGTTAAAAATGAAGTTTTTTTCTTTTTAATTAATTTCTTTTTTAAAATTTCCGTCAGTTCCTTTAAGTTTACACTTATAGTTTTAATACAACTTTGTGAAGTGTGTGTGCATGCACACATAGGTGGTATCACTTGTATTCTATTATGTTGAAATTTTCATGTTCGCATTTTTTTGGGTGAAAACTTGACTGGCTGTAGGATGTCTGGGTTCTTGGTGCTAAAGCTTCCGGAATTGGAAAATACTGTGCTGCTTTCTATATTACCTTTTATTGCTAAACAAAGCTAGGGGCACAATAATTTATGATTCTCTGAAAATGTTTATTAAACAACTAAGAGATGGAACAAGTAAATAGTTTTGTTATGAAAAGTAGACTTTAGTTTCAGAACTCTTTACCTAGAGCGTGGACCTAACCCAGGAAAAAGGTTTGTGAGCTTACTTTAAAGAAAAGCATAATGGCCAAAGGACTCCTTGGATTGAATGTTCCCTGCTTATCTTTCACAGATATGCGCAGCCAACCAAGTTGGGGTATCCAGTCCTATTAGCCCAAAACAGGTGCCAGTTTCTTTCTTCAGAAAATTAATTCAGGCTGAGGAATGCTTGAGGCCAAGAATTCCAGAACGGCCTGGCCAACATAGCAAGATCCTGTCTCTACAAATAATTTTAAAAATTAGCCAAGCGCAGTGGCACGTGCCTGTAGTCCCACCTACTTGGGAGGTTGAGAGAAGGAGATTGCTTGAGCCCAGGAGTTTGAGGTTGCAGTGAGCTATGATAGCACCATTGCACTCCAGCCTGGCCAACAGAGTGAGATCCTGTCTCAAAAATAAATAAAAATAAAATTAATTCATAGTATTGATAATTATAATAATTGTTTAATTTAATTATAATAATTGTTTAATATCTTACGTTTTATAACAACATTTGCTTTGCACTTTTCAAATCCCTATCACATTCATGATCATATAGTGCTATATTTAAAAAGGAGAAAGAATCCTGAAGTGTCAGGTCCACAAAAAAGCAAAACAAGATATACTGTTATCCGCATTTCACAGATTAAAAAATGGAGACTCAGAAAGATCCCTTGAGATGCTTCAGTTCACAGACCTAGTAAATAATAATAGAATAGACACCGCAGTCCCAATCTGCTGACTCCTAGTCCACAGCTCTGGCCACCAAACCATTTTACTAGCACTCAAACATGGCATCTGTGGAGCATTCTTCTTGTCTTTCATTCCCAACTTCTTCTGACCACCACCCATACATACAAATAATTAACACTCCCCTATTAAGTTTTAGCACATTATTTTAAGTGCATGTAAGGTTTTATTTAAGAATGTTTGGTGTTACACTGATAGTCACGTAGTTATTTTTATATCCTGAACTTTCCTAATATCCTTGTACCATTTCTTCTTTCTTTATTATAGTAACGATATAAGTGATCTTAAGCAATGTTTAATAGTAAATTTACTAACTGTGAATGGTACATTTTATCCTAATCACTATTCAGCTTGGTAAAGGTTCAGTTTGAATCTTTACCTCCTTGAAAACTAACTGTAATAGTGATTCTCAACTGATGTTTCATCAGTGGAAACAGTTTGGTTTTTTTTTTTTTTTTTTTTTGAGACAGAGTCTTGATCTGTTGCCCAGGCTGGAGTGCCTGATCCCAGCTCATTGCATCTTCCACTTCCCAGGTTCAAGCCCTGACCCAGCCTCCCAAGTTATTGGGACTACAAGCGTGCACCGCCATACCCAGCTAATTTTTGTATTTTTAGTAGAGATGGGGTTTCACCATGTTGGCCAGGCTGGTCTCGAACTCCTGACCTCAGGTAATCTGCATGTCTTAGCCTCCCAAAGTGCTGGGATGACAGGTGTGAGCCGCCATGCCTGGCTGAACACAGTTTTTAATGTATTCTGAAAAATAGAAGTTTAATGGCAACCAGTTAGCTGAAAGAGATTGCCAACATTTTTCTAGGACAGTGCCATCTTTAGTGCCTGTCTTCTATGTAATTGGTCAGATTTGCTTTTGTTTTAGAGAAGGGGACACCAGAACACTTTTTCTTTTCTTTTCTTTTTTTTTTTTTTTTTGAGATGGAGTCTCACTTTGTTGCCCACGCTAGAGTGCAGTGGCGTGATCTTGGCTCACTGAAACCTCCACCTCCCAGGCTCAGCCAGTTCTCCTGCCTCAGCCTCCCGAGTACCTGGGATTACAGGTATGGGCCACCATGCCTGGCTAATTTTTGTATTTTTAGTAGAGACAGGGTTTCACCATGTTGGCCGGGCTCGTCTTGAACTCTTGACCTCAAGTGATCTGTCCGCCTTAGCCTCCCAAAATGTTGGGATTACAGGCGTGAGCCCGGCCTATTGTTAACTTTTTATGAACTCCTTTGAAATGCTTCTCATGTAATCATGTCACAGTTTTCATACTGCCTGTGAGCACTCGAGATTGCAATTTCTCACAAAGTTTTTTCTTTTTTTTTTTTCCTTTTTTTTAAGAGATGGGGTTTTTGCTGGGTTGCCCAGGCTGGTCTTGAATTCCTGGGTTCGATTAATTCTCCCACCTTGGCCTCCCAAAGTGCTGGGACTACAGGCGTGAGCCACCACCGTGCCTGGCTTGTCACAAATTTTTTTCCAGTTAAAAGTGACCTAATTTTTTTTAAGTGTGTATTTCTGGAAATGAGAAGTGATTTTTATTTCCCTGCTTGAAAGTATTTCGTTTTTCCCTAGCTATATACTATTCACCTTTGTCTATATTGTGAACCTATCTTGTTTACAAGATGCCTTTTATTCAAAAGAACTTGTTATAGCCACATTAGCAGAGCAGTATTAGAATGAGCTGATATGAATCAAGAAAATAGTTTTGTTTTGAGAACTGAACTTTAGTGCACTTGGCCAAAGTACCAATCTGTTGCGTTGATGGTAGCTATTTATCTTAATCTTCCAAATATAATCACTCTTCCTTTGGCAAAATGAACTGAAAGTATTTTTTCTTTTTTTTACTTTTTGAGACAGGGTCTTGCTCTGTTCCCGAGGCCAATGTGCAGTGGCACAGTCATGGCTTACTGTATGTAGCCTTGACCTCCCCAGCTCAAGCAACCTTCCCACCTCAATCTCCCGAGTAGCTGAGATTACTGGCTCATACTACCACACCCGGCTAGTTTTTTTGTTATTTTCAGAAATGAGGTCTCACTGTGTTGACCAGGGTGGCCTTGAACTCTTGGCCTCAAATGATTCTCCCATCTTGGCCTCCTGCAGTGCTGGGATTTCAGGCGTGACCACTGTGCCCAGCCTCGAAAGGATTTTTAAATCCATGCGGTGGGTAAACTTTTTCATCCCCATCTACTCTGCAGTAGATCCAGAATACTTTAGTGGAACTCTTCGTTGATGTTTGTTTTTTTTGTTCTTGTTTTCATTTTTTATCAGTCCTGGCCTACAGATATTTTTGTTTTTTAATCTAAATAGTAAAATCTGTGTGCTTGGTTGTGCTATCTGTGACTTTTTAAAAGCTTTTATCTTCCATACAAATTAAAATAAACCACATTCAGTCCAAGCGCAGTGGCTCACACCTGTAACCTCAGCACTTTGGAAGGCTGAGGTGAGCAGATTGCTTGAGTCCAGGAGTTTGAGACCAGCCTGGGCAACATGCTAAAAGCCTGCCTCTACAGAATACGCAAAAATTAGTTGAGCATGGTGGCGCACACCTGTGGTCCCAGCTACTCGGGGGTCTGAAACAAGAGGACTGCTTGACCCTGGGAGGCAGAGTTGCAGTGACCTGAGATTGCACCACTGCACTCCAGCCTGGGAGACAGAGCAAGACCTTGTCTCAAAAAAAAAAAAAATTAATAAACATGTTCAAACTTAATGATTGTATATATTGCAAAACATTTTTACATTTGGTTTCATGTGATGGCCTTAAGATTGGATTTGGTTTTGTGCCATGCTGTGGGATAAAGTGGAGTAAGGCAGCAGCCAGAGTTCGTCTTCCGGCTGCCACTCGCTGTGTGAGCTCAGGCAAGTCCTTCGGCCTCTGAATTTCTAGTTCTGCAACTGTAAAATGAGAATGATCTATTATTAGGGACCTACTGTTACTATTGTGACGAGGACATGAGATAACCCATGTAAAGCCCCACAGTACCTGACTTGTATTAACCATATTATTAATATTAGTTATTAATATTCCTAATGGGCTTTATGCACCTAAGTAGCTGCATAGAAAAATAAAGCAGTATAAACTTTGATTTGATTTACTCTCTAAACCTCATTACCAACATAAAAAATTCTGAATAATGTAGAATATATTACTTGTGTTTTCTTATTAGACTGTATGTTGTCTCTAGGACCACATGTTGAAGAGAGATTTGAAGTTTTCCTTGTTACATTAGTTCTTTTTTTTTGAGATGGAGTCTCGCTCTGTTGCCCAGGCTGGAGTGCAGTGGCGCGGTCTTGGCTCACTGCAGCCTCCCTCTCCCGGGTTCAAGTGATTCTCCTTCCTTGGCCTCCCAAGTAGCTGGGACTACAGGCCCGCACCACCATGCCCGGCTAATTTTTGTATTTTTGGTAGAGATGGGGTTTCACCGTGTTGGCCATGCTGGTCTGAAACTTCTGACCTCAATTGATCTGCCCACCTCAGCCTCCCAAAGTGTTGGGATTATAGGCTTGAGCCACCGTGCCCAGCCACCGTGTTACATTCGTTCTTGTTGCCTAGTGATACCGCTTTGCTTGATTTTTAGATCAAAAACTTATGATGTGGTTCTTCTTTTTTTTTTTTTTTTTGAGACGGAGTTTCACTCTTGTTACCCAGGCTGGAGTGCAATGGCTGATCTCAGCTCATGGCAACCTCTGCCTCCCGGGTTCAAGCAATTCTCCTGCCTCAGGCTCCCGAGTAGCTGGGATTACATGCATGTGCCACCACACCTGGCTAATTTTGTATTTTTAGTAGAGACAAGGTTTCTCCATTTTGGTCAGGCTGGCCTTGAACTCCTGACCTCAGGTGACCCACCTGCCTTGACCTCCCTAAGTGCGGGGATTACAGGTGTGAGCCACCGCGGCTGGCTGGTTCTTCATTTTTTCACAGTACCTTTTTAAACAAGTGAAAACATTTTACAAACAATGGGTCTATATTTTTATGGCTAGTCCTTGTGTGTCTTTGTAAATGTAAAAACTTACAACTCTAAAGAATCAAATGTCATTTGAAAATAATAGAGTGTTATATAGATGGTTGGTGAAACTAACCAGTATTGATCCTTCTCATCACGATGACATTTGTAGCCAGAATTATTTGATTGTTTGGAGAATGTGTTCCTGAAATGCCTCAGATGTACCAGAGTGAGACAAGTCATTTATCTTCCTGCTGGAGGCATGGGGAGATAACCTCTGGCTCAGGTGCAGAGTGCTCACCACTCCCACTGAATGTGCTGCTTTCATCCCCTCTTCCTTCACCTTTGTCTCTGAGGTGCTCCCCACACCCCTTCCACGTGCACACACAGACGTACTCTTTCCCTTTCTGTCATTTCTCTGCCCTGTGACTTAGCAGAGGCGTTGAGAGTACTTAGTTAAAGAGGGTGTTAGAGCTTCATTTCCAAGGTAAAAAAATTCATATGTTCACAAAATACATATATATTTTTTTTTTTAGATTCCATGTTTTTTGTGAGATCTTAAAACTTCTGACTATTTTGTATAAAAACCAACTAAAAAGTCTAGAGAATATCTACTTTTTCTCATGGAGCAAAATTAGCAAATTTCAAATTTGCTCCCCTCAAAGAAGAAAGTATTGATTTTAGCATTTAAAAACAAAACTCTTCTATACCACCTCACTCTCCCCAAAAAACATAAAACAATGTCATTGGGTTCTTTGAGCCAAGGCAGCTATATTTAGCTTGTAAATAGGCCATTTCTTTTCTCTTTAAACTCTTTTGGAAAGGTTAAAGAAAAAGAGCTGGAATAATGAATAATTGGGGCAAGAGACTTTCACTTTCCTTTTCAACATCTTGGTTACTGTTTTCTTAGTCTCTTTTTAAAAAATTATTTTTCTGCTAAATAGGATGAATTGGCTCAGAAGTTATATAGAAAATCAGATATATCATCATGTGATTTTTATTTAAGCATCATGATGTGAAATGTGGTTGTATCTTTTCATTGATATTAAATAAAAGAAACATTTATGGAAGCTACTAGCAATGAGCAGCTGTCCCAGAATTTCCATGTTGCTAGAGAGTTGCTCACAAGTTATTGCCTGGCCAACTGCTACAGTAAGCCTAACACATGAGAGAATGTACGGGGGTATACTTTAGACAGATAAAGTTGCTATTCAACTAACGGGTTTTTAAAAACCTAAATTATTGGCTGGGCAGAGTGGCTCATGGCTGTAATCCCAGCACTTTGGGAGTCCAAGGCAGGCAGATCACAAGGTCAGGAAAGCGAGACCATCCTGGCGAAGATGGTGAAACCCGTCTCTACTAAAAATACAAAAATTAGCTGGGCGTGGTGGCGGGCACCTGTAATCCCAGCTACTTGGGAGGCTGAGGCTTGAACCAGGGAGTTGGAGGTTGCGGTGAGCCAAGGTCATGCCACGGCACTCCAGCCTGGTGACAGAGCAAGACTCCGTCTCAAAAAAAACAAAACCTAAATAATACTGTATGTTCACAAAGTTGCAAATACCATTTATCCTAATTGCAAATTTTAAAAAGAAAATGTGATTTATCCAATTCAGTTAAAAATATTATAATACAAATGATTTGCTATTTTTAACTGTTACCAGCTTGCCACATTTACTGTTAAACTATTTGCCACAGCTTCAAACATGGTAGGGACTTTAAACTGTTGCCATAAAGATAATATACATTTCAACTCTAGACTAGAACAAGGAGAATTATACTTGCTTCCATTTTTTCTGGACTTTTCCAATTATGGTATGTTATGATTAAATGTTGCAACCAATTTTAAAGTTGGTGTTTTGTTTAATAGTTTAGTAAGAGAACCAAGGTTCCCCTTGTTGTACAGTATTTTGCACAGTTGGCCTTACTGTGTCTTTTTTTTTTGAAAAAGTATTTTATTAAAAAGCTTCATTCTATAGAAATACTTTTTCTGGTAAGAATATGTTCATGTGATATTTGTATATGTAATTATATTTTATTCTATATGAAAAGTAACTAGCGAATGCAAAAAGTGATGAGGAGACAAGAAAGCCCTAGGTAGTGGATTACAGGAAATGTGTTATTCTGAAACAGGTCTGGTAACAGTTCACTGGTAGCTTTCAGCAGCCATGCAGTCACGTGTTACTGAACACCTATTAATGAGTCAGTTACCTTTTTGTGGGTTAGGTGTTTGCTAGTGAACCAAGTGAAAGTAATCTCTGCGTTGACGTTAGATGCTAGTCAGAGTAATCTACATGAAATATGCAAACAAATATGTAATTACACATGTGGTAAATGCTGCGAAGGAAGAGAAACAATGAGAGACCAAGAGGATGGTCTGAGGAGGCAACATTTAGGTTCAGATCCCATGGATGAGAAAGTCCTCCAGGAAAGGAGGGGGAAGAATGCTCCAGGCAGAATGAGCACCATGTGCAAAGTTGGAAAAAAACTTACTGCTGGTCAGAAAACGTGATCCAGGCCAGGGTGGAGGAGTGAGTGAGGGAGAACTGAGGTGGAAGAGGCAGGCAGCAGCCTGTGACTGCCAGGCCTTGTAGCCCATGTTGAGAAGTTTGGGGTTTCTCTGACTGCCTTGGGAAGCCACCAAAGGATTTTAAGCAAGATCACTCAGGCTGCTGTGTGGAAGTTAGAGGGGAGTGAGGGAGAGCCTTTGCACCAGATACTGTTCTTCGTCCTAACCAGTTCCAGAGTTTGGAGACTATTGCAGAGCAAGCAGCTTGTCGTCAGTTGGTGGCTGTAGAGATAAGAGAAGAAAATGGATTCAGGATATACTTTGTAGGGAAAATCATTGGGATCTGCTAGATTGGATGTGGGGTAGGGAAGAAAGGCATATATTAAGAGTGACTCAAGTTTCTGGCTTTATCAACTAGGTGGATATTGGTGCTATTTACTCAAATCACAGGATCATGGGAGAATGATATTTGAGGGGGATGATTAAGAGTTTAGTTTGGGCATACAGACAGTCCCTGGTTTACTGTGGTTTGACTTAACGATTTTTTTACTTTATGGTGGTGTAAATGCAATACACATTTAGTAGAAACTGTACTTCAGGTACCCATATAGCCGTTATGTTTTTCACTTTCAGTATGGTATTCAGTAAACGTTGTGAGATATTCAACACTTTATTATAAAATAAGCTTTGTGCTAGATGATTTTGCCCAACTATCAACTGATGTAAGTGTTCCAAGCATGTTTAAGGGAGGCTAGGCT
Source organism: Homo sapiens (assembly GCF_000001405.40). Classification (NCBI taxonomy): domain Eukaryota; kingdom Metazoa; phylum Chordata; class Mammalia; order Primates; family Hominidae; genus Homo; species Homo sapiens. Next base: position 65,038,770 of record NC_000017.11, on the reverse strand, counting down.
AAGCTGTGATGCTTGGTGGGTTAGATGTATTAAATGTATTTTTGGGCGGGGCACGGTGGCTCACGCCTGTAATCCCAACACATTGGGAGGCCAAGGTGGGCGGATTGCTTGAACTCAAGAGCTCGAGACCAGCCTCGCCAACATGGTGAGAAACGCCCCCCCGCAACCCCGTCTCTACTAAAAATACAGAAAAATAGTTGGGTACGATGGTGTATGCCTGTGGTCCCAGCTACTCAGAGCTGAGGTGGGAGCATCCCTTGAGCCCAGGAGGTTGAGGCTGCAGTGAGCCGTGATTATGCCACTGTACTCAAGCCTGAGTGACAAAGCAAGACCCTGTCTCTAAAAATAAATGGTTTTTTTTTTTTTTTGAGATGGTGTCTTGCTCTGTTGCCCAGGCTAGAGTGCAGTGGTGCAATCTTGGCTCACTGCAACCTCCGCCTCCGAGCTTCAAGCGATTCTCCTACCTCAGCTTCCCAAGTAGCTGAGATTACAGGCACGTGCCACCAGGCCCGGTGAATTTTTGTATTTTTAGTAGAGACAGGGTTTCATCATATTGGCCAGGCTGGTCTCGAACTCCTGACCTTGTGATCTGTCTGCCTCGGCCTCCCAAAGTGCTGGGATTACAGGCATGAGCCACTGCACCCGGCCATAAATGTGTTTTTGACTTAACGATATTTTCATCTTAAGTGATGGGTTTGTTGAGGCATAACCCTGTTGGAAGTCAACGAGCTTAAGTACTAGGTTGAGATCTCTGTGAGATGTATGGGTGGAGATACCAGGTTGACAGCTTGATACATGAGTCTTGAATCCAGAACAGTTTGGGGCTAGAGATAGAAATTGAGGAGGTGTTTGTATCTAGGAGATATTTAATGTCTGTGAAATAATTACTGAGTATAATTTTTCTGATATGATTACTCGGGGAAAGGGTGTAAAAAGAAGAGATGAAGGCTCACGGTAGAGTCTTTTTGTCTTTTTTTTTTTTTTTTTTTTTTCCATTTTTGTAGAGGCTGGGTCTCTCTCCATGTTGCCTAGGCTGGTCTCGAACTCCTGGGCTCAAGCAGTCTGCCTCTCTCGGCCTCCCAATGTGTTGGGATTGCAGGTGTGAGCCACTGTGCTCAGTCTGACAGTAGAGTCTTGAGAAATCTCTACATCTTTTGAGAATGTTCAGAGGAGGAGATCCTAGCAGAAGTGGCCAGAAAGGTAGGAGAAATGTAGGCACATGTCACGTCATGGAAGCCAGGAAAGTGTTTCAAGAAGAAAAAAGTGGTCAGTGGTGTCCTGTGCCATTGAGAGGTCTAGGAAGAATTCTAGGAAGAATCGATGTTGGCACAGGAAAGTTGGATATGCTGACTATGGCAGCAGGTGCCCTGGTGAGGGAGAGGCCAGCCTAGAAGGGCTTAAGAGGAGAGAGAGGCGAGGAAGTGGAGAAGATTCAGTTGAAGTCAAGCTCACTGTTCTCTTTTCCCTTTTACAGTACTTTCAACCCTCTGGCTTAGTAAGTTGTGGTTTTTCTGACCTTTTTAAAGTTTGAGAGGACATTTTATTTATATTAACCAATTTATTTGAATTTCAGTCTCAGAAGTATTAAATATTAGTTCATAAGATTGTTAATCTGCTGGGTCAGGCAAATACAGAAGAGTTTTTCACTTTATTCTTGATTATTTTACTTATGATCATTTCCAATTTAGTTGGGGTAATAACCTGATCAGTTATATACATTGCACTCATTCATTCTTCAGCAAACATGTACTGAATACCTGCCCCTAGTATGTTCTTGGCCCAGACTAGGCCCTAGCAACCCAAGTGAACTGCCTGTCTGGCTGCCTTAATGGGGGCTCCCAATCTAGTGGGGAGCAAATGAAATGATCAGTGCGATCATTTACTGCACTAGCAGCTGTTCTGCCAAGAGTGTGCAGAATCACTCTTTATTAACCTAGAAATGACCTGAGAGAGCATGTAGTCGAGTTCTGGTCATTTTGTAAGTAAAGCATATGGCCACAGAGGTGAAGGACACATAGAGGCTAAGGTCACAGCTAGTTTTATTTATTTATATATTTATTTATTTGGGACATAGTCTCACTCTTTCACCCAGGCTGGAGTGCAGTGGCACGATGTAGGCTCACTCCAACCTCTGTCTTGCAGATTCAAGCGATTCTTATGCCTCACCTTCCTGAGTAGCTGGGACTACAGGCACGCACCACAACACCCACCTAATTTTTGTAGTTTTAATAGAGACAGGGTTTTGCCATGTTGGCCAGGCTGATCTCAAACTCCTGGCCTCAAGCAATTCACCCACCTTGGTCTCCCAAAGTGCTGGGATTACAGGCGTGAGCCACCGTGCCTGGCCCAGCTAGTTTTAGTGATAGAGCCAAGATTCAGACTCCGGGTTGTAGGATTCCAAAGCCCGAGGCTGATACTCAGCTGCCTTGCTTTATTGCTTCCTTAGTAACAAAATTGACCAAATCGGGACTTGGAAACAGGAGCTGATGTGCCAGCATACATTTTGAGCTAATTTTCACATTCATCAGCTTTTGAAAATATTTACAGGTTGGCTTGCTTTGCTGCCTGACTGTGAAGGATGGGAAAGTATTTAGTGCTCCTTATAGGCTGTGTGGAAATTTTCTTCTGGAGAGAGTTTGGTTGGGATAATGATTGAGCTCTAAACTGGGAATAAAGTCATCTGGGTTTTCCTTTCACCTGTTTTGTGATCATAGGCGTAGAATTACCTTATTAATTAGTGTTGATTATTGTGTAATATTTGAGTTATAGGGTATTTTTTAGCACATCATCACAGCAGAATTTTCCACCTGGAGTGCGTTCACGAGGACTTCGGGGTATTATGAAGCGCTCTAATAGGCGCCTCTCTTTAGATAGTGGAGGAATTGAAACTGTATTTGGGAAGTATGTCCTGCGTTGGAAAACAGCATATACTTTTTTTCTTTTTAACAATTGAAGTCGTTGCTTTTTGGGAATCCAAAAAAAAAAAAAATTAACAACGAAGGGTTCTAGTTCTGACAAAGCTAAATATTTCTTGATATGCTGATGGGATTATATATGATTGGCCCTTTTCAAAAAAGTATTTTAACCTTGAGGGATTTTTCAAGGCTCAGAATTCTTAAGCTTTCTGTTGTTATCATTATGTGAAAACTGAAGAGTAGGAAAGTGGTTTGTCTGTTCATGACTTACAGGCTCCAGAACCTTAATTAGCTTGTTTTTTTTAAGTTTAAAATTTTAAAACATACATGGTTCATTGTAAAATATCATCCAGTTAGCCACTATCCTACCACCTCAGGACATCTCTGCTGACATTTTGGTGTATTTCCTTCCAGTATTTGAATACGATATTGGATGTTGAGATAAGCTTGTTTGTACTTTCTGTACAACTTTATATCCTGTTCATTTAATGTTGCATCATGAGCATTTCCTGGAGGAGGTGATTTTCTCAGAGGAGCAGCAAGGCATTTTTTAGAAATAGATGTGTATTTTTTATTTAAATGGAAAATTCTTCCCGCTATATATGTATTTTTTTAGCCAACAGAAGATAGTGGTGCTAAATGGTAACATGGAACAAATATGGGGTAAATATTACCATGTTGCTACCTGATCAGCAATATATATGATGTCAGAGCTGACCCATCTCTGCAGTATTAAACTCCTTTCTCACATTTAAAATTTGTACTTAATTTTGTTAAGTACCGTGGCTCATGCCTGTAATCCCAACACTTTGGGAGGCCAAGGCGGGTGGATCACCTGAGGTCGGGCGTTCAAGACCAGCCTGACAAACATGGAGAAACTCCATCTCTACTAAAAATACAAAATTAGCCAGGCGTGGTGTTACATGCCTGTAATCCCAGGTGCTCAGGAGGCTGAGGCAGGAGAATCGCTTGAACCAGGGAGGCGGAGGTTTCAGTGAGCTGAGATCGTGCCATTGCACTCCAGCCTGGGCAACAAGAGCAAAACTCCATCTCAAAAAAATAAAATAAAATAAATACTAAACATATGGCTAAAACTTTTTTCTCTGTTTCTCCACGATGAAGCATTTTAGTAAGGTCCTTTTTTTGTGACTTCTGTAGTAGGAGAATTACTAAACTGCGTTGTACATTTTGTGTTAACATTTGATAGGACTACGGAAATACTCCTAGAACACTTGGATCATTAAGATTATTAGCCTTGGGCCAGGCACGGTGGCTCACACCTTTAATCCCAGCACTTTGGGAGGCCGAGGCAGGTGGATCACAAGGTCAGGAGATCGAGACCATCCTGGCTAACAGGGTGAAACCCCGTCTCTACTAAAAATACAAAAAATTAGCTGGGCGTGGTGGCGGGTGTCTGTAGTCCCAGCTACTCGGGAGGCTGAGGCAGGAAAAGACTTCATCTCAAAAAAAAAAAAAAATTATTAGCCTTAAATTATTTTGGTGATAAGGCCAACACAAAAACTTGATATAAAGAGGAATTTATTAATTTGTGAGCAGCAACAAGAAAAAGGCAATTTCTAGAATAATGTAATAAGTTCTTTCCAAAAAAGCTCTTATTTCATGTGCAGTAGTTTATTTTTGTAGCTTATATGCTAGAAAACATTGAAATAACTTATCTAAGTGAGATAAAGGTAGTATTCTACTTATGCTATTATAGACTGTCTTACATTGGTCTGGAAAGATACTTAGTTTGAAAAAGAAATTTTCAAATATTGAAATGGTTTATGATGTAACTGACTAATTTTGGTTCTTTTGGATTTTTTTTTTTTTTTTTTTTTTTTTTGAGACGGAGTCCTGCTCTGTTGCCCAGGCTGGAGTGTAGCAGGGTGATCTTGGCTCACTGCAACCTCCGCCTCCTGAGTTCAAGTGATTCTCCTGCCTCAGCCTCTCGAGTAGCTGGGACTACAGGCGCCCACTACCACACCCAGCTAATTTTTGTATTTTTAGTAGAGACAGGGTTTCACCATATTGGCCAGGCTGGTCTCAAACTCCTGACCTTGTGATCCGCCCACCTCGGCCTCCCAAAGTGTTGGGATCACAGGTGTGAGCCACCAAGCCCGGCCTCTTTTGAAAATTTTAACTGATGTACATAGAAATTGCTGGCAAGAAATTTGGAACTGTGTATTCACTTGGAGTCTGCTTAATTTTTATGTATCTACACAGCAAAGGAAAATGGCTTGTCGGCTATAAGTTTTGTTCCTCATGAACTGAACATTTTACTCCTCCTGAACTAAACAGAAAGGCATGACTGGTGGTACTTTGAGTATGCTGTAATTTTTTTAATTTTTTTTTTTTAATTATTTTTTTTAAAGGCAGGGTCTCATTTTGTCACCCAGGCTGGAGTGCAGTGGTGCAATCATAGCTCACTATGGCCTTGCACATCTGGGCTCAGGCAATCCTTCTGCTTCAGCCTCCTAGTAGCTGGACTACAGGTCTACCACACACCCACACCCAGCTGATTTCTTCTTTTTTTTTTAGAGATGGGGTCTTGCTTTGTTGCCCAGGCTGGTCTCGAACTCCTGGGCTCAAACGATCCTCCCACCTTGGCCTCCCAAAGCATTGGGATTACAGGTGTCAGCCAGTGTGTCCAGCCTAACTATGCTCTAATGATAACAATGACAGTATTACCCTCATTGAAAACATATCCTATACATCACATCAAGTACTGTGATTTTTTTTTTTTTTTAAATGGAGTCTCGCTCTGTTGCCCAGGCTAGAGTACAGTGGCACGATCTTGGCTCACTGCAACCTCTGCCTCCTGGTTTCAAGCAATTCTCCTGCCTCAGCCTCCTGAGTAGCTGGGATTACAGGTGCCAGCCACCACGCCCGGCTAATTTTTGCATTTTGAGTAGAGACGGGGTTTCACCAAGTTGGCCGGGCTAGTGTAGAACTCCTGACCTCAGGTGATCCACCCATCTCAGCCTCCCAAAGTGCTGGGATTACAGACATGAGCCGCCGCACCCAGCCTAATACTGTGTTTTTTTTCCAGAGAAAAATGAAGTCATAGAGAAAGCCATGGGGCAGAAAAGGCAATATCAAAGATAAAGACCAATAGAATAGGTCCCGTGTGACAACCAAGCAAAATGAAAATGTTGGAAAGGCATTAAATAAAAGAAGTGAAACTGGTCCATGGTAAGCTCTGAGAACCAGGAGGAGAGTTTTGTATGCTGTATGTAAAGCCAGCCTTTGGACTGGGAAGACCTTCTCAAGTCATTCTTTATCACACTTAATTTGAAATAAAAATTAAAGGGAGAAAGACCTAGGATAAGAGGTAGTATATTTCAAATGTTTGAAATAGGATGGTTCCAAGATTTTTTAACTTTAAAATCATTTTCAAAGCTGTGAATAAACTTAAAATGTAATCAGGCCTGGTTTTGTATTTACTGTCTTTAAGGAATTGCATGTAATAGATTTCAGATAGTGTGGGCAGAACAATCTCATGGTATATTTCATATTTTTATGTTAATATGTGGAGAGACGAGAGAGAAAGGACAGATAGGGTGGGAAATTGAGTGTAAGTACTAATAAATATTACCTTCTGTCTTTTTACTAGCCATATCCTCGGGTTGAATCGAAAAGTCTTGGTTGATTAACCAGCCTTAACCCCAGAGTTTTCCATTTTGTATCTATTTATGTTTGGCATTTAATTGTTGCTGAAAACTTTATGTAAGTACATGCTAGATGGAATGGCTTCTGAATAGACTTCATTATAAGCCTACTGTTACAATGAACAGCTCCTTATTTATATATGACTTTATCAAGATGTTTCCAGGACTGAAATTATTAGTGTATACATATGCGAATTATTGATAAAAGCCTATATCTAGGTCTCTTTTATACACACACACACACACACACACACACACACACACACTCTCTCTCTCTCTCTCTCTCTCTCTTTCTCTCTCTCTCTCTCTCTCTCTCTCTCTATGTTGTCCGGGTTGGTGTAGAACTCCTGGGCTCAATAGTACCCCCTACCTCACCTCAGCCTCCTGAGTAGCTGGAATTAGAGGCATGCACCACCATGCCCAACTCTTAGGTCTCTTTTAAAAGCAAGTTAATAAGTTTGCTATTGAATAGCTTTCCCCAAGCATATGCTTAATGAGTCCTGCCTAATAAATATTTAGAAAACATTTTGACCTGGATTTGTTTTGGGATTATAACACTGATGGAAATTAAAAGTATATTATAGGTATATAAAAACCTTACGATAATAAAAGTAACTCACAGTTGTGATTAAGTATGAATAAACTTAGATTTCCAGTTTTCTCTGATATCACTTGATTCTTTTTCCTCTTTGAAATGTTCCAAACTTGCACAACAAAGGACTTATATATGCATGGGAAGTGTGTAAACCATTTAAACCATTGGGCTTAGCTATTTTAGAACACAGACATTTACAGTCGTGTGCCAGGAAGATGTTTTGGTCAAGGACTGACTGCATATAAAATGGCGGCCCTGTAAGATGATAAGGGAGCTGCCCTATACAGGTGTAGCATTTTTAAAATCTTTTGTAGTATATCTTTACTGTACCTTTCCTATGTTTAGATACACGAATACTTACCATTGTATTACAGCTGCCTACCCTATTCAGTACAGTAACGTGCTGTACAGCTTTGTAGCCTAGAAGCAATAGGCCATGCCATATAGCCGAGGTATGTAGTAGGCTGTGTATGCTAGTAATTAAGATGTTCTGCTCTTTATAGCACTTGGTTGGTTCTCTATAAAGAAAAACTGGATATTAACTTTGAATTATACTTTCATTTTTGGAATCACATGTATACTTAGGTTTCAGAAGAAACTCTACTTAATTATCTTGGTAATATAGATTTTCTTTTACTTTCAATATTTTTTGAGTTGTTTACTTTTAAAAGACACTTGCAGGTGATGTTAGCCTCATAACTAAAGAGATCTCAACACATAAAAATTGGGTACTTTTTTAAAAAATTGAGATGGGGTCTTGCTATGTTGCCCAGGCTGGTCTTGAACTCCTGGGCTCAAAAAGTCCTCTGATCTTGGCCTCCCAAAGTGCTGAGATTACAAGCATGAGCAGCCATGCCCAACCAAAATTGGAAACTTTTTAATTCACTTTATTTTGTCCTTTATAGTTGGCTTGTTTTTTTCAAAGTGAAATTTCTGCCATTTACGTACATTCTTAATTGGCCTGCAATTAAATTCTGGACATTTTACAAGATTAAGCAGTGATGTTTTATTTTAGTAGCAAACAAACTTTTGAATAGCCTACTTGAGTGTGATAGTCTTCTGACCTTCATTATAGTCTATAAAATCCAGTAAAATGAAGTTAATTACATGTGTGATGCATATTATTACCTAACATTCTCATTATCAGAATTTGACCTTTGTCAGATTTCCGGTATTAATCATTAGAACATATACTATCTATGACAAAAACAAACCTTTCAAATTCTGCATGATCTGTGATTCTTCACCAGCATCTGGAGATCTAGTCTTGGAGTAGTTAATAGCCCTGCTTGGTCATTACTTTGAATTTGGATCTGCTGAAACTTCAGGATTATAAATATTCTGAAAGTTTCTAAATCTGCTCAGAGAAAAAGCAGTTAGGAAGATTTGTCATCATCTTTGCTCCTTCCAAATTCTATCTTTATATTATTCTCTTCGAACTACCAGGATACTTTATCACTTTTATGGGATGTCTTTTTGATTGATGTTAACACTGAGTGGTTACTTACATGGAGTAGGAGCTTCCCATTTTGTCTTAGCATCTTCCCGTACCACTGCCTACAGTGCTCTTCAAAGCATTCAGACTTACTGAAAAGAGTCACGCACTTTATGCCACTGAAGATCTTTGCCATGTACATTTGAGTTGATCTCTTTTCTGTCTTTAGCATTTACATTTATAAACAAGTGGAATTTAGTGGCAGAAAGTTGCCTTTAAAAAAAAAAACCTTCCCGTTCAATGTATTATGCTTGTGACAACTCTGACATTTGTAGAAATAATAAGATGGAAACAGGATGTCATAAAGGGGAAGTTATAATACAAAAAATTCAACAGATGTTTATGTAGCTATTGCTCTGTACAGGGTAAAATTGCTATCCTAGGATACAGGGAGGTGTAGCAAAGAGATTTTGAGTCTAAATTTGACATGTAGGACTACATATAAAAATAAAGAAGTGCCATGAGTGGTATAAACCGTAAGTGCAAAAGATATTGAGTGAAGAGTATGATTACCGAGAGTTGGGAAGTTGCAGTGGAGGTAGGGGAAAAATAAGAATCAGGATACATTAAATTCTTGGTTCTGCCACTGAAACAGTTTTGTTGGCTAAGCCACCTAACTTCCCTGACCCTTAGGCTTCTCATCTGTAAAATGGAGCATAAGGTTACTTGTTCTCCAAGCTGTCTTCCAACTTAAAATTTATCTTTGCTCCCTGTATAATAGTAAGAACCCCAGAAGGAGAGGTGGAAGCAGAGGCGTGTGGGGGAAATGGTGTTAGGCAGAGGAGGTAGGAATATGCACAGAATTTTCCAGAAGCATGGGGAGATGAGCATGGAGCTTGTTTCATAGGGAAAAGTAGGAGATAATGTTGGAGATAGTCAGTTGGGACTAGCTGGAGACTTCAAACACGAGACATGCTAACTGCATAGCTAATTCAGCATTTTATCAGATACTATTATATTTCTCCTGTTTTAGGTAGTTCTTGGTAAATACTTTTTGACTCAGCAGCACAACTGAACAGTATCCTTGATCCTTCAGTGTTCACCAAGTTTTTCCCAACATCCTTATGTTTCTCATTCAGGTGAACTTCTCAGTATTATATCAGTAACTCTGCCTCCTTTTTTTTTCTTTTTCTTTTTCTTTTTGTTTCTACCTCCTTTTTAAGAAACAAAATCCATAGTATTCCTCTTTAAGGAAACTGTCACCTACTTGGGGAAGGCTAGATTCTAGAGACTGCATGTAGAGGCTGTAGCTCTCTGGAAGGTGTGTAGGTGGGGGAAGTGGAGGCTGCAGATTGGAAGAAGAAGGTGGTGTGGAGCTGAAGAGTAAAGTAGGGAGGCAGGAATTAGAGATAGTTTGATCTGTATTCCTTGACTTTCATCTTTCTTGGTGACCTGAAAGTTGCTTAAGGTTGTGGCGCTATCATCCTAGTGTTGAGGCCAAGACAAGTGATCTGCAGTCATACCTCTCATGACACATGAAACAGTCTTCTTAGGCTCAAGTATTTCATGAAATGCCCTAAGTACCAGTGAGCTAATTACAAGAGGCAACTGCTACCATTTAGGAAAATTATAATTACAGTGGTTCTTGCAAGTAGATGATGAGCAACCTTAAGAATCACCTGTGAAGTGGGTTTTTTTTTTCCACTTTCTTCCTTATATGGTAGGTGGTATTTTTTTTTTTTTTTTTTTTGGAGACAGCCTCACTCTGTCGCTCAGGTTGGAGTGCAGTGGCGTGATCTCAACTCACTGCAACCTCTGCCTCCCGGATTCAAGCAGTTCTCCTGCCTCAACCTCCCTCCCAAGTAGCTGAGACTACAGGAGCCCATCACTATGCCCGCCTAATGTTTGTACTTTTGTTTTGTTTTGTTTTTTGAGACGGAGTCTCGCTCTGTCACCCAGGCTGGAGTGCAGTGACGCGATCTCAGCTCACTGCAAGCTCCGCCTCCCGGGTTCACGCCATTCTCCTGCTTCAGCCTCCCGAGTAGCTGGGACTACAGGCACCCGCCACCGCGCCCGGCTGATTTTTTGTATTTTTAGTAGAGACGGGGTTTCACCGTGAGCTCGATCTCCTGACCTCGTGATCCGCCCACCTCGGCCTCCCAGAGTACTGGGATTACAGGCGTGAGCCACCGTGCCCAGCCTAATGTTTGTACTTTTAGTAGATGGGATTTCACCATGTTGGCCAGACTGGTCTTAAACTCCTGGCCTCAAGTAATCTGCCCACCTTGACCTCTCAAAGTGCTGGGATTACAGGCATGAGCCACCACGCCCAGCCTTGTTTTCTTAACTGATAGAAGTTTTGAATATTTGGTTTTGTTTTGGCCTCTCCCATCATTCTTAGGAAAGCCTTTTGTTGTAAAGGAGAAATTAGCATGTCAGTGTTCCTAGTTTCAAAGAGAGTCCAATTCTGTGATACTCACTTTTTTCAAACATATATATTATTTAACACTATATGCAAATATTTAGAGGGATACAGTGACTAAGAAGGCAAAAACTGTCCCCAGGAACAATACATTGTAGAAAAGGAAATAAAACAAGTACACAGATGATTGCATATGAGGTAGAAAATGACTCATGCCATAGGAGGTGCTGATAAAACCACTATGGAAATTTAAGCAAAAGGTTTTCTTAGATTTTTAAAGGGCCCCCAGTGGCTGCTTGTGGTGGTACGCCTGTAATCCCAGCTACTTGGAAGGCTGAGGCAGGAGGACTGCTTGAGCCTAGGAATTTGAGACCAGCCTGGGAAACATAGTGAAAACCTATCTCTTTAAAAAAAAAAAAAAGGCGGGGGAGGGGTGTGAGGTGGGAATTTGGCTTTACTATATAAATAAATCTGGATGATTTGAGAAAGACAGGTGCACTTTGGATTTCTGAGGCAAGAGAAAGGACACAAAAGTGCTAGTGTTAAGATCAGAATTGTAGAAAAATTATTAGGAAGTCAGTAAACTAGATTTTCATAAAATGGTTTCTTTCCTTCTGCTTCAGAAAGTAGTGAGCCTTAAGAATATGCTGGGAAAAGAGGCCGGGCGCGGTGGCTCACGCCTGTAATCCCAGCATTTTGGGAGGCCAAGGTGGGCGGATCACCTGAGGCCGGGAGTTCGAGACCAGCCTGACCAACATAGAGAAACCCTGTCTCCACTAAAAATACAAAATTAACTGGTCATGGTGGCTCATGCTTGTAATCCCAGCTACTTGGAAGGCTGAGGCAGAAGAATCGCTTGAACCTGGGAGGCGGAGGTTGTGGTGAGCCAGGATCCTGCCATTGCACCCCAGCCTGGGCAACAAGAGCGAAACTCCGTCTCAAAACAAACAAACAAACAAACAAAAAATTGAATGTGCTTGGAAAAGGTTCATGTATATGTCTTTATAACCACTGTTACATTTTGATGAGTTTCCTTGTAATCTCATTTTCTATGCAATTTTCTTAAAAGGGGGTTCATACTATATTAGATCTTGAATGATCTAGAAGTTCTGTATTTTAATGAACCCCCTCTGCTTCATATTTTTTGATGAATTTGTGATTCTTTAGTGTAAGATTCATTTGGCAAAAAATTATTTCTTTAATTATACTTACTTTGGAAACGGCTTTATTTTACAGCCTATATAAACTTGGCTTATGATTTGTGAAAATGAGTACTGTTTTGTTTTTGTTTTTAATGGAAAGTCTTACATCTAAGCCATAGAGTATTTTCTAGTCATGGCTTCCTGATATAACTATAGATCATCATTCCCTTTGGGGATCAGATGATAAAGTGATAAATTGTATTTGTCAATTATGTTGGTATTGGGACTCTGACCTGACTCAGAGGGATAGTGTAGTCTTGATTTGAAGGATTTGAGGTTTGTTTAAGGGTTGGATGTGATTTTTGTGTTGTCTTATGGTTTTTTTTTTTTATTTTGGTGGAGAGTAGTGATTTGGTCTTATTTTGGGAGTATAAAATATAGAAAATTGTATAGTTTTTGGGTTTTTAGTGATGATTAACTAATATATAAAATCATAGTAATGTTTGGCAGAGTAGGCCTCTCATTTTAACTCTGAAAATTAAAACCTTATACATTACTTATAATTTTTTTTGTTGTGTCTTATCTGCTGTTTTCATCATAGTGCAGTTTTTTTACCTGTTTACCACGTAAAACGATGGAGAGTGCTGCTGCTTAGTCGTGGCTCACTGCAGTCTTGAACTCCTAGGCTCAAGTGATCCTCCCACCTCAGCCTCCCAAATAGCTGGGACCACAGGCGTGCACCACCACACCCGGCTAATTTTTTTTTTTTTTTTTTTGTAGAGATGGGATCTCTCTATGTGTTCTAGGCTGGGTCTCGAACTCCTGGGCTCAGGCGATCCTTGCTCTTTAGCCTCCCAAAGTGCTGGGATTACAGGCATTGAGCCACTGAACCTGGCCAGGGAGTGCTGCCTATTAAGCATTTTTAATTGCTTATTTACCTATCATGCAATGTTTAGGTGTCTATTATAGAAGCAAATTAATTTTGTAAGTTTAATTGAGGTTTCAAGTTCCTTAGAGTCCTATTGCTAAAATATAAGTAGCACTTAACGATAACTTTTCCCATCCGCGCTTCTCAGCACGTTCAGTAATGTTACATCTGGAGTATCAGGTCCATTAATTTTTAACCACAAAATCTGAGTTAGCTTGAAAGCTGTGGACTATGGTGAACATTTGAAAATAGGCTCTAGGGGTATAGACAAGTAGGCAGCTAGAACTGTAGTACAGTAGGAAATAAAGCTTGTCAGAATTGTCAAATAAGTTTTTTTAAAAGAGGAAGCTATATATAGACTTAATTTTATTGTTTATGATTCAGATATCCCAAAAGAAGGCCTGATAGTTTCTTGTGAGACGTGGTGAATTATGAAGAATGCAAATACTGCTTGAAATCCACTTTTACAGCTGGGTGTAGTGGCTCATGCTTGTAATCCCAGCACTCCCGGAGGCCGAAGTGGGTGGGTTGCTTGAGTCCAGGAGTTCGAGACCACCCTGGGCAACATAGTGAAACCCCATCTCTACTAAAAATACAAACAATTAGCCAGGCATGGTAGCAAGTGCCTGTAATCCCACCTACGCTGGAGGCTGAAGTGGGAGAATCACCTGAGCCCGGGTGGTCAAGGCTACAGTGAGCCTCGACAGTGGCTACATTGTGCCACTGTACTCCAGCCTGGATAACCAGAGTTGAGACCCTATCTCAAGAAAACAAAAAACAAGCCCACTTGTACAGTAAGATAAAACTAAACTAAATTTCTTATCTTGGCATTTTTAGACTTTAAAAACAGATTTTGTGTAATTGATCCTAAAAGATGAAATTAATACGAAATCTAGTTTTGAGTAAAATATATATCCAGATTTGAAGTAATGCGAGGGCTGGCTACATCAGAATCACTTCTCTCGGAACTTGCTAAGATTTTGATTGGGTGGATTTGTTTGGAGACCTGGGAATCTGTATTTTTAATAAGCACATTAGGTAATTCTGATAGATTACCAGGATTAAGTATCATTGGTCTAGAAATGTGTAAAGGGTCAGATAGTATAATATTTTAGGCACTGCGTGCCAAGGGAAGAAATCAAGGGCATTATGTAGGTATTTATATAAAAAGTTTTATTGATGAGATTAAAAATATAAACTTGTGTGCAAGTTTTTGTGGCTACGAATGTGAAAAAAATTGGATTCTTTTGGAATAACATTTTGTTTATTGGGATTCAATGTTTTAGCATTTTTTTGTCAGAGTCAGTTGCAAATATTCCTCCATTCTGATCTGTAATGAGATTTTACACATTTCATCCTTGAAAATATATTTTCACACAGATACTACCAAATGAGCATATGATTTTTTATTTTTTGGAGAAGGTCTTGCTCTGTCGCCCAGGCTGGAGTGCAGTGCCATGATCACAGCTCATTGCAGCCTCAACCCCCGGGCTCAGGTGATGATCCTACCTCACCCTCCCTAGTAGTTGGGACTACAGGCACATGCCACCACACCCAGCTAATTTTTTAACTTTTTGTAGAGATGAGTCTCAGTATGTTGCCTAGGTGGGTTTTAAACTCCTGGGCTCAAGCAATCCTCCCGCTTTGGCGTCCTCCCAAAGTGCTGGGATTACAGTGTGAGCCACCGTGCCAGCCATAGCATATGATTTTTATTGAGCATAGTCAGTGCTTGAGAGATACTTACAGAATCCTGTTAGATTCTTCTCAGTGTTTGCCTCTTAGCATGTCATTACATTGCAGATTAACCACTTGAAGGTTAGGTAGAAGCTCTTCATTTGCGTAGTTAAATGGATTTTGAAATATGGAAATTTCCTTTGCACTTACATAGGGGTCTGAAAGATGCTGTTGGAACTGTAGTTAGAGTTTAGAAATATTATGTCCACTGGAAATTTGTATGGGAATGGAAGTCTCACTTTTTGTTTTAACTTTTGACAGCAAAGAAAGTATATAAAGCAGTTTGACATTGTTTTGATTAAAACTATGCTAGCTGTCGAAATGACTTTACCAGAGTGTAAGTTTCACCAACAGTGCCGTTTTGCCTTGTAATTTTAGGTTGAATTCATTCAGAAATCAAATCAAGTCTGCCCTAAGGCTAATTTCCGAAACCATTCAGCGTTCAACAATAGTGGTTAAGGGTAGTTCTTGTTCAGGAAAAGAAATCAGTTCCATCCCTGTGCTCAGAAAAAAGTCAGTAAAACTTTAGCGCTGCTAAGACATCGAACTGTGTCAGAATTTTCACTTTTTGTTTCTGACAGAAACTCATGACCTGCTGATGGTCAGGTTCACAGGAGCGTGTTAAATTCATCACTGACATTACTCGTTCATGAGCACAATAGATTCATGTGTTTCCCACAAGGTACATGCTCATGAGTAATGCAGTGAGTAACCCTTACACAGGTTTTGCATGTTTGACCCCCTTTCTGTTCCACGCATTTTTACCACCATCAGTTGTAACACAGCCTAGCATATTCCAGTTTAGGCTGTACTCATTTAGTGTTTTCTCAGCTTCTCTGAAAATACTCTCACACGTAGCTCTTCCACATGGACTGTTCATACAGGCTGGTTCTTCAGTCACTTCAAACTTGGCATTGATTCCCTAAGTAAACAACAACTGAGCATTGTGGTAATAAACTCAGCAAGAGCCAGGGAAAACCACTGAAATAATTTGCCATGTTTCTTAATTGACAGTTGATGGTTGTTCCGAGTGTCCTCAACTCTGAGCAGCTGCTCTCACTGAAAGGCTAATAGTCTTAAACAAGGTTACTTTCTCTGGCCATATTTCTTCAGCTGTTACAATCAAACATGAGTTACTCACTCACTTGGTAAATGGCATTCCTTGCTTGTCTAACAAAAACTTTGAAAACTTGAAAATACTTTGGTTGCAGTCTCATTTCATTTTTTGTTTTGGTGAAGAAATTCTGCAGTGATAAGCTATTCCATTTTAAAATTTTGCATGTGTTTTGTTTTTGTTTTATGACCGTTGCTTTTCTGTGGGTTGGGAGGATTGAAGAAAGCTTAGTCTGTAAATGTTGGCATACATTGTATTCTTCTAGCATAGCTATAGTGTCATTGCATAATAAATAATGCTTTACCATGGAATTTGATAGCAAAATTATTTACATCCTACTGTGCCTTAAAAGTGTGGTATTCAGGGCCTTCTTTTTATTTGGATGGATGTGTATTTACTCCCTTTTTTTTTTTTTTAATGTCATGGTGTGGCAATACTGGTGACACTTGGAATATTTTCAAGTTATAACTGTGTCACTGCAGTTTGTGGTGCACCAAGCAGTGGTGCAGAGTCATGAGAGTGCAACACACTGCCTCAGTCTCCACTCCTCACCTCTGCTGTTGTAGCCTGGAAGTTCCCATAGACGATACACCAACAGGTGAGCGTGGCTGTGTTCCAGTGCATTTTTATTTATGGATGTTGAAGTTCGAATTTCATATCATTTTTACATATCATGAAATAGTCTTTTAAGTTTTTTCCCCAACCATTTAAAAATGAGCCGTACAAAAACAGGCATTGGGTTGGATTTGGCCTTCAGGCTATATAGTTTGTGGACAGACCCCTGGTCCAGAATCTAGTTAAATATAAGGAGCAATCCATTTGCTCTCAACCAGCTCTTCCTTCTGCCATAATAGTAATTCACTAGCACTGTTGTAGTTGTATATACTTTTTCAGTGGTACTGTGTTGAGGATCATTTGAAAGATCTTAATACATATTGCCAAATTGCTTTCTAGAATATGTTTACCTTGCTTTTTATTAGAAAATCTATATTTGATACCCATCTCTATAAACCTTATGTTATATTCTTAAGGCATGAATCAGACTTTGAATTAAAAAACTCTACTCTTTACCTATTTTCTATAAGCAGAGTTGCCCTTTTCTTATTGACATAAAGCCACTGGTGTTTTTGAGTATGTTCTAAAACAGCAGATCAGTTCTTCTTGTGTGTTCTTTGGCTATCCAGCTTAAATTCCATATCCTTTTAAAGAAGTGCATTCTAAATCCTTTCCTTTTAATATTTTAGCTGTGCAGAAGAGAGCATTGAATACAAATGTCACTTGTTCAGTAACTGGGTCGATAAGCTGCTAAGCCTCTCTCTGTATGACTATGAATTTAATAGAAATTATTTTCTAACTTTTGTTCTTAGCTTTTCTGTTACCTTCAAGCTTAGGACTCCAGACCCATTTTGTCTTTACAAGCAAAGGATGTTTATAACAAATTATTGTTGTGAAGTGGGGGCAACATTGAAGCCATTCCCAGCTTAGACACCATTTTGTAAAACTCGTAAGAAATATGGTTCGTGGAACCTCATAGACTTCTAATACTCAAAGGGTCACTGAAGCTCACCTAATATTGTTTGTTGACTTTGTCAGTAATAAAGTCTATCTTGGGGCTGGAACCCAGGTACACTGGCTGCTATGCCATTTAAATGGAACTGAAATATCCACAAGGCTAAAGAAATATTGGAACACTTTTCAGAGTGCCATGCTACTTTTACTCTTCAGCCTTACTACAGTAACCTAGAAACTTACCTGTAGTGTTCTGAACAGAGAAAAAAGAGCTAAGGGCCGAATAAAATAATCTTAAGTTTTTAAAGTGTTAACTGTGAAATGAAATTTCTTTGAAATTTTATTTTTAAAATTTCCAGGCCGGTCATGGTGGCTCACACCTATAATCCCAGCACTTTGGGAGGCCGAGACGGGTGGATCACCTGAGGTCAGGAGTTCAAGACCAGCCTGGCCAACATGGGGAAACCCTGTCTCTACTAAAAATACAAAAATTAGCCAGGCGCGGAGGCACACACCTGTAATCCCAGCTACCCCAGAGGCTGAGGCAGGAGAATGGCTTGAACCCGGGAGGTGGAGGTTGTATTGAGCCAAGATCGCGCCATTGCACCCCAGCCTGGGCAACAGATTGAGACCCTGTCTCAAAAAAAAAAAAAATTCCCTTCAGTAACATAAAATGAACTGGGAAAAATATGAGAGCCTCAAGTTACAACCAGCAAAAAGTGAGTCTTAAACCCATAATATTCTTGCACAATACATTAAATCCTTTATTTATTAGCAAAGAACGTGGAAGCAACACCGCTTGAATGAGTCACAACAAAAGCAGATTTAGGATTAACAAACACATGGCCTATGAGGAAAGGAGAACTTAACTTGAAATCAGTGGAACTAACTGAAATTGTTGCACAGGGCAGAACTTAAGCGGTTGGTTATCCATTGAACCACTGAACTTCTTCATGTAACTCTGGGGGAAATGGAGACCTGGAGGAGTTTAGAGACTTGGCCAGATCACTCCTTGTTAGAGAAAGGACTGAAATTCACATCTGTTCCTTAACATTAATATTAGAAAACAAGAAGACTTTGATCACTTCTGAAATTGTTAAGAAAAAAATATTGAAGGGTAACTTCCTCCCAGTAATTCATATTTTATCTGCCAGACACTTTAGGAAGGTAGGAGGAGAGGATACCAGTTGCCTCGTACTGAGCTTTGTATAAAATTTGAATGAGGACACTAAACACAAAAAGAAGTGATCAGAAGCTGTTGAGCTTATTGAGTCCAGAGACATCATCATTTGTTTCCATGTCTTCCGTTTTTATTTTTTTAATTTTTCTGTTTTTAATTTTTGTGGGCACATAATAGATTCATATATTTCTGGCGTACATGAGCTGTTTTGATAGAGGCATGCAATGCGTAATAATCACTCATGGAAGATAGGGTATCTCTCCCTTCAGGCATTTATCCTTTATGTTACAAACAATCCAATTATACTCTTTTGGTTATTTCTAAATGTACACTTAAATTATTAGTGACTATAGTCACCCTGTTGTGCTATCAAATACTGGTCCATATTCATTCACTTTAACTATCTTTTGTACCTATTAGCCGTCCCCACCTCCTGCCACCCCAACCCTTGCTGCCCTTCCCAGCCTTTGGTAACCATCCTTCTTTCTATCTCCATGGGTTCAATTGCTTTGATTTTTAGCTCCTACCAATAAGTGATAGCATGCAATGTTTGTCTTTTTGTGTCTGTCTTACTTCACTTAACATAGTGACCTACACTTCCATATATGTTGTTGCAAATGACTGAATCTCATTCTTTTTTATAGCTAAATAGGACACCATTCTGTATGTGTATCACATTTTCTTTACCCATTCATCTGTTGATGGACACTTAGGCTGCTTCCAAATCTTGGCTTTTGTGAAGAGTGCAGCAGTAAACGTGGGGGTGCAGATATCTCTCTCCTCCATATACTCATTTCCTTTCTTTTGGGTATATACCTAGCAGTGCCATTGCTGGATCATATTGTGTGATCTTGAGACCAAAAAATTATAGAACTGCTACTTTCAAGCTTTGTGACTCAAAGTGTGGTCCCAGGCACTCCTTGAATTGCAGAAACTGGGGTCCCACCCAGACCTACTAAACCGGAGCCTGCAGTGTGAGGAGATCTTCACATGATGCCCAGGCATACTAAATGAGGTGCTGCTTCAGGAACACTTGGAAGTAGCTTCAGGCAGGGACAATGCTGCAGCTGTAGAATCCCGCGGGAAAGTGAAACGCAGGGGGTGAGGACTAGGAGACTCGGACACAGACCCCTTCTTTCCCAAAATAGTTCCCCTCTTCTCTGTGTGCTCTGGTCAAGCGTTTTCATGTTAGGAATGTATTCTCGTACAGTTTAGATGTTTGAAATTGCTTGGAAGTTTCGTCGAGAAAACTGGGCTCAGAAAGGATAGGCCACTCGGGAAAAGACCTGTTGGAGATGTGAAGCTGGCAGCACTATCCAGGGCCTTCCTGAGCAAGGCACGCCTGTCCATGCCTGTGGTTGGGGGATTTTGTACAGTATTCTTACCTCATCTCTGGTTTGGTTTGTCTCTGAAGATAACTATCGTCACTATTAAGCTAGAAAATGTAGACAAAAAGACTGTCACTTAAATTTTATATGTAGATTTATGTTTTATCTCAAAAGCAGTTTTCATCTTCTAATTATATGTCTTCACTGTGGATACGTAGTTATAGCAAAAAGCATGCGTGTAATCCTGTCCAAGCAGATGATCACTTGGGATATTGATTCTATTAAGCATTTGTGAAATCAGCCTGCCTTTGCAGATTTAGCAGTCTGTGACAGAGCAGACGTTTTATATGTTTTTAGGAAGGTTAGCTGTCTGAAATTGGTGACTAAACAAAGTCTGTTTGGGTTAAGTGTACAACCAGACAGTATGATGTAAACTGTTGTAACAAGATCTTCCATTTCTAAGCCCTAATAACTATTTGTTTTCTTCTTGTTTTTAGGGTGAATCTGTAAAATATTTCCTGGATAACTTGGATAAACTTGGAGAACCAGTAAGTGTTTAAACCAAATGTTTATGTTTAGTGCCATTTGAAAGCAGAAGTCAGGATATCGATGTTAGGAAATTTAGAAAAATTATGTATTAAGCTATTTGCTTCTTTCTCTCTTTTTTTTTTTTTTTTTTTTTTTTTTTTTTTTTTTTTTTTTTTTTTTAGTGGTGGCGTTCTGATTCTTCTCTGCTTTATTTAGAGTGATTGGTAGCTCAGAATATTGAATGATTTTTATTTTTTCAAAATGAAAGTATTTTTATTGTTTAATCACGACACTTCTTTTTTCTCCCTCTAACTGTCCAGGTCTCTACCATTTTCTTGAGGAATGCTTTGTCTGCTATTTCTTGGAAGTAAAACTGTTTAGAGAAAGAAGTTTGTGTTTGAAGATGATATTGTGCATTATCTGTTATACTTTAGTATCTTTAGAGGTTTTTGTTTGTAAACAGAAATAGAACACAGTGGGTTGACTGATTTCCAAATCTTTTGACAAATGACATTTTCGAATTCATGCCCCCTTTGTGTCGAGTCACGGAGTAGGAGGGCTAGATTTAAAAGGCTGAAGAGACTCCACGAGGTAGGGGGAGTCGCCCTTGAAAAGAGAGTCTATCATTTTCCTGTAGGTATTCCTCGGAGCCAGCAGCTCTAAGCTGGCGCTGTGGCCAGCGGGGCCCACTGCAGGCAGAGCATCTCGCTTGTTTGACCTCTGTATTGGGCGTACACAGAAGAGTTCAGTGGGAGAAAGGTTTCTGCTGCTTAGGAAAATTTTGAAAGCCATTGCCTTAGAGTCATCTGTTACTCTCTAAATGTAGCACAGCTTCATTTGCCTCCTCATAAGGCAGGTTTCTTCTTCTTCACACAGCTAGTATGTGTGTGTCCTCATCAACATACTCTGCTCTGCCAGACTATTTAGCACTCGATTGCATGAAGTTCTGTGCTTCATGTGAAGCAGCCTTTAGATTGCTAACTAGATTATTAGCTTTAATAGAGACAAAGACAATAATAGAGAACTTTTTATTTTTATGGAATTACATTTTTTAAAAGCTCAGGGCCCGGCGTGTTTCTGAAGGAGCTGGCATAGGTGTATGTTGTAAATTGGTATTGCCTTCTAGAAAGCAGTCGGGTGTTAAGTATCCAGAGTCATTAAAATGTTTGTAACCTTTAACGTCATAATCGTACCCCTGATTATTTTAATCTTAGGAAATAGTCCAAAGGAAAAAAAAAATGTGCATGAGAATTTTAATTGCAGTATTTCTGTTAATTATGGCTAAAAATTGGAAACAACCTTAATGACCACTAGTAGGGGAATGTTAATGTAAAGTACAGCACGTTAATGCATTTGGTGTATTTTCTTGTCTTTTAAAATGAGGTATGATTGTATCAGCATATGGAACAGTTCACAAAATATTAAGCAAAAATGCAGAGGTAGGCTGAACGCTGTGTGCATATGCTGATTATAAATAAAGCAGGCGTGTATCTGAACAAAGCTAGAAGAAAACATGGAAAAGCTAACACTTGAGTCCTAGAGTTATTTAATGAATGGCTGTTGGTTGCCAGTAACTAAGAACCCACCTACTTTTAAAAAACTCTGAATTCTGGCCGGGTGCAGTGGCTCACGCCTATAATCCGAGCACATTGGGAGGCTGAGGCGGGAGGATCACTTGAGGTCAGGAGTTCGAGACCAGCCTGGCCAAAATGGTGAAACCCCGTCTTTACTAGAAATACAAAGAAGTAGCCGGCCGTGGTGGTGCACACCTGTAATCCCAGCTATTCGGGAGGCTGAGGAGCAGAATCGCTTGAACCTGGGAGGCGCAGGTTGCAGTGAGCCGAGATTCCGCCACTGCACTCCAATCTGGGCAACAGAGCAAGACTCCATCTCAAAAAAATATGTATATATATATATTCTTAATTCCATTGCACCATTTTGAGACAATGAGTATTCTTGTAATGAAATTTCAAAATCATATGACACTATTCAGAAAGGCATAAAGTGCAGCATTGTGAATAACAGCATTGTTTTAAATCCTGCCTTGATTTTTAAAATATTTTGACCTTGATGATAAATATTAGCTGTCCCGTTCATGTATTACCAGAAAGTTGTGTTGTAGTTTTGGAAAAATGCTAGACTGACAAGGAAGAACCAGTTACATTGCATAAGGAAGTGTGCCATCACAGAGTAGCCAGAGACTTGTGTGACCAGCAGCTTCTGTTTGTTCAGGGTCTTAGAGTTCACTGACCAAGAGTGCAGAGAAGAGCTCATTTGATCCTTGCAACAACCCTCCCTCCCAGGTATATAGACCAAGTGTGATCACCTCCATTTCACAGACAGAGGTGCTGACACTCAGAGTAAGTGACTAGTTTGAGTTCTTGGGTCAATAAGTAAGAAATTAATTATAGTAGAGAAAGGATTTTTCACACATGTAATATAGCAGCAATGAAAACATAGAAGTTTTAAGTCATGAGTGGGGTTGCACAGTAAAAGAACTTTTAGAATAGGTTAGAGAGAGGTGGGCAGAACTTGGAACTGGGAAGTGATCCTTGTGAATTGGCACTGGAATCAGATCCCATTGCCTTTTTTTTTTTTTTTTTTTTTTTTAAGACAAAGTCTTGCTCTGTCACCCAGGCTGGAGTGCAGTGGCATGATCTCAGCTCACTGCAAGCTCCACCTCCTGGGTTCACACCACTCTCCTGCCTCAGCCTCCCAAGTAGCTGGGACTACAGGCGCCCGCCACCACACCTGGCTAATTTTTTTGTATTTTTAGTAGAGATGGGGTTTCACTGTGTTAGCCAGGATGGTCTCAATCTCCTGACCTCGTGATCTGCCCGTCTCGGCCTCCCAAAGTGCTGGAATTACAAGCGTGAGCCATCGCGCCCAGCCCCCATTGCTTTTAATAGAGGAGCAAGGAGCAGTGTGGAGAAGGTAGATACGCAGACAGGAAGATCACTCTGGCTAGAACCAAGAGTGGCTGATAGTGGGGAGTAAGATTGCAGGTGGATATATAGCAGTGAGGGTGGGTAAGAACAATTGATAAGACTTCAGCTTAAATTTTGAGTAGTATTGCAGGGATGAAAACAAGTAGATTCTGGCCATTTGTAGTAAATTTTGAACCCGTCCTGCTAACATTTTAATGTATCTTGGCTTTTGTTGTGGGGAGCACAAGTGGGTCTTGCTATATTGCCCAGGATATTCTCAAACTCCTGGCTTCGCAAGCGATCCTCCTGCCTCAGCCTCCCAAAGTGCTGGGATTATAGGCATGACCCACCATGTCTGACCAGTCTTGGCATTTTATAATAAGCATAATCTATCTGAAAATGTCACTTAAAAGATCATTTTGTTTGCATATCTATTCACTAGTCCAGTTAGTAGTCCATTAAAAATTCGCATTACTTCGGGATTAATAGGTATAAAACAAGTTTTTTCTTTTCCAGGATTATATTCCATCACAACAAGATATTCTGCTTGCCAGAAGACCCACCAAAGGCATCCATGAATACGACTTTGAAATAAAAAATGTTCCTTTCAAAATGGTTGATGTAGGTGGTCAGAGATCAGAAAGGAAACGTTGGTTTGAATGTTTCGACAGTGTGACATCAATACTTTTCCTTGTTTCCTCAAGTGAATTTGACCAGGTGCTTATGGAAGATCGACTGACCAATCGCCTTACAGAGTCTCTGAACATTTTTGAAACAATCGTCAATAACCGGGTTTTCAGCAATGTCTCCATAATTCTGTTCTTAAACAAGACAGACTTGCTTGAGGAGAAGGTGCAAATTGTGAGCATCAAAGACTATTTCCTAGAATTTGAAGGGGATCCCCACTGCTTAAGAGACGTCCAAAAATTCCTGGTGGAATGTTTCCGGAACAAACGCCGGGACCAGCAACAGAAGCCCTTATACCACCACTTCACCACTGCTATCAACACGGAGAACATCCGCCTTGTTTTCCGTGACGTGAAGGATACTATTCTGCATGACAACCTCAAGCAGCTTATGCTACAGTGATGTACAAAAGACTTGCTGTTTTAATATCTTTTTGTGTTTTTGATGTTTTCTGTTTGTTTTGTTTTTTAAAATAGCAGTTTACAACCAGAATTAGAACAATCTTAATTCTACGTTTAACTTCTTGAAAATCTTAGTACTTTTTCTGCGGCCTTTGGTTTGTGGCTGAAAGCTGTTGAGTGACTCATCGCCAAGATTTGCTGTAATGCAGGCTTTGATCTGTTTCACCATGGCTTCTATTCAAGTCCAGTTAAAACCTCCCAGCTGACCTCAGACTAGGCATATTTCAGGCTTTAAATTATTCTACTTTCCAAACTGAATTCTCCTGCAGTGCCAAGTATCAAAGGTGTCCTTAAATACTTGTAGGGATGAGGTTAGGAATATTCAGTTCCAAAACAAGATATCTTCTGTCCGCCTTACATATAGCAGTGACACTTGTTGCCTAACTTTATGGTGACCTCCTATTTTGTAAGGGCTGTTAGAAGTTCTATCTAAGAAATGGCATTCTGTAGGTTTATAGAAGGTTTAGCCTTCATATTTTAATTGCTTGTATACACAACAGCTGTTTTGCTTTTAGATTTCTGTGTTTCTGAAGGTAATGTTCTTCCTGTTTTCAAGTTTACATAAGGATCTTTGGTCTGATGCTGATGAAGAGTTCACAGGTGGTATGGGAGAGCAAAAGGCAAGCTAATGCTGTTTACCGTGTTTTGGTCAAACGTAACGAGTGAAATAGAATTTGCCTTTCTCATATTTAATTATCATGTAGTTTAATGTACCATATGTGAAACATTCTGGCCATAGCAGCAACTAAAAACTGCAAGCAACTTGGTAACAGAACTTTCTAAATAAACTTAACCTGTTCCAGAATGTCATGTATTTGACTTTTAAGCCCTATCTCAGTTGGTCAGTAAAGACCAATCCTTACTGTAGGAAATCATTGTTGTATCATCACAAACATCTATCTTTTGCTGTCCTGTCCAGTCCCATCAACTCCACACTGTGCCATTTGTGGCATCGTTTTGTTTATTTGGAGTTTGCTAAGGGCAGTATTTTTCTGTCAAGACTATTCAAGAAGGCATTATTTGAGATTCCTGTTCATTCTTGGTGTGTCTCTAACAGATACAGTATGTATACATTTGTATAATTGTTGTTGTTGAAAGTCCAGCTTTTTTGAGGTATATTTTAAATGTTTTAAGGATGCTTCTAAGGATCAGTAGTAATTTTTTTAGTTCGCACCTAAAGATGATTACATTGACCTCCCCCGACTGCTTACCAAATTAAAATGTGTCCACGAAGTAGCTTTGTGATCGCAGATACATTCATAGTGAACTCATCAGAATGGCTGGTTTGCAGTACTGAAATACTATCTTCTAGGCTGTATGTAGTGCTACAATTAGAGAAACAGAAGTCCAAGGCTGGCGACAGCTTGAAAAGTCTGACAGCTTTTCTACTTTTCCTGAAAATTTTAAGACTGTGATATCTGTCATTTTACTGTATAGCTGACTGTGTACTCAGGTATTTTATTGGTCCTTGAAAGATTGGTCGTTATGGATCACCCAGCCTTTCCAAGTCAGTGGCTGTTGTTCTGTCTTGCTGTCTGATACGAGAGTGGGGCTTTTCAGTGAACTAACCAGGGATTGTTCTTGACATACCTGACTTTTCTCACATTTGAACTTCCACTATCATTGTATCCATATAACTTCTAGCATTTTCATGCCATGGTAATCCATGAGCTACACATACGTAGCCCGGCACCGTGATGCAAGTTCATGGTATCGTGCATGTTCGTGGTATCATGGTATCATTCATGCGTGTTTGAATAGTTCTACATCTAGTGCTTCTTGCCAAAAAGAATACATTGTTTAAATTCACAAAATTAGCATAATTGCAGTGCTAATGAATATCGGAATATGTGCACAGTAACATTTGGACTATTCATTGGAGAGTTTACCCATACATTTAGCAAATTGAATGGCCAAAACATTTGACTCCAGTGAGGGCTCAAGTTAGATCCCTATAGAAAGAGGACACTTCATCTTACTTAAGTCATAGTTAAGATCTGTGATACGAACCATAGATATTGCCTGACAAAGCAGAAATCACCAAGTTTCCCCCTTTTGAATTACCACCAAGAAGTGTTGAAACACCAAATAGATATCATGTTATTTTGGGCATTTGCAGTTTTCTTCCCTGCTGCATGTAATGTCTCAGAATCAACATTCTTTTAAAATCTAGACTATATTTTGAGGCAATGAATTACTTATATTCAACTTAGGCTTGTTTTGACATTCAGTAGAACTTTAAGTTCAATCTAAAGGCTTCAGTCCACATTTTTTTATACGTTGTATTTTAAAAACGTTTGAAAGGAGTCTTACACCTGTATCATGAAAACTGAATCCTTTTGAAATACCACTATATGAAGAGAGAGATGAAATTTAGTGAACAGAATTGAAAAGGTGCTCATAATTTCACTATGCAAACTTACCCCAGTCTCTAAAAAAGTAATTTAGATTTAAAGTTCTTTGATGTATTTGATTTTCTAAATCTTTATGGTTATGATTTGGAATAAAATGTGCCTAATCCTGTGTTACATTCTGTTCTTAAATCTGAATGCCTTCTCATTTAATTCTGAGGAAATATCACACAAGTGTCTTCATTGACCTTGAAGAAATGTATATACAGTTGCCTTATAAAACAACATAAATTTAGACCATAACTTTTATAGAGAAAGGGTTTTGTCAAATGTTTTCTGAAAATCTGAGTAATTCAAAGCATGCCTCTGCCCCTTTAATATTTTTAATAACCTGCATTGTTGCTGTCTGCCAAATATTAAATTGAAATCTTCATTTCAATTTTATTATCTGGAAAGGGCACTGGATTGCTCTGCAACCAAAGAAAGCAATATGGAATGAAAAAACTCATTCACTTTTGTCTTATTTTCTTTTAAGGTGTATTGGCATGTAATTTGCATAGAGAAGGTCCTCTGGTTAGTCTCTCAAATTGAGGCTGTTTAGGGAAATCCTTATTCAGTTGGTGGCAGTGGTTGGTTTAAAGTAGAAGGAAATAAGATCGCCTTAATACCAGAAATGATTAGAAGTGCTGATTTAGATTCAACAAATACCATATGTCCTTATCATTTTTTGTAAGAAGAAATTGGTTAAGTCCTAACTTTCAATGTGTACCCAAATACTTGTATTTATGCTTTTGATAAAATGTATTTTCAGCATTAATACACATCCGATTATGCCTTATTTATATATGAAGAATAAAGTTACCATGTTACACTGTTATGTCCTAAAATTCAAATCACTATTTGAGAAACCCTCAAATTGGTGCTTTCATTATATAATGATACATTTAGACAAAACCCCAAACTAAGCCATTTGAAACAAGATTCTCTCCATTGCAGTTTGTAGCAATGTTATTTCTGTGTATGTCATGAGAAGGCTAAATATCAGTGTTAATTTCTTGTTTGAATCCGTGAAATCATGCCTGTAAAGCCCAAACATTTGTAACAAACTCCCTAATAAATTTAGAGAAAGTCACTCTGTTACCATTTCATTTATTTTAGTTTTATTTGAGAAATTAAGACCAGAAGTTTTGCTCATGTCTTTTTCACTTGGAAATCTGACTTAGTACCTAGTTAATTTGTCTCTCTCCCATCATTTTAAGGCGTTCGCTTCTGTTAATCACAGATGATCTGTCCTTGTGTTGTGCTGCTTGACTAAAAGCACTGTTTTGTTTTGTTTTGTTTTGTTTTTTAATGATAGGATACAGGGTGGCTTTTCAGTCTAGTAAACATGAGGAGGGGAGAGATTGTGGGTGGGTGTGGGTGTGTCCGCATGTCCCAAATACAGCACATGCCCATTTTTTTATGGTACGAGGTTAGGGCTTATTAATAAATGTATACTAGATCTTGAAGTGTAAGTCTAAGTCTGAACATTTTAAACAAGTTGGACTTTATGGCTTTTTCAAGTTCCATCAAGTAGATACTAGTCTTAGGCTGGTAGGTGATTAACAACATCATTTGGAGTACAGTGTTTGTACCACTAGCATTCTTATGTCTGTACTTGAACGTGTAGTTAGCATTTAAGTTATGTTCACTCTTGTAGCATTCAGGTCTTACCATCTGGTTTCAAATGCGAGAGCTTATATGAACATTGTTTTGAAAGCATGAATGATATGGCAATATTTTATGTCTTGATAAGGAGAGTTTTGTGACATATACAAATCTGCTGTTGATGATGAAAGTTTACAGGTGGATCAGAGTATGCTGGAACTCAGTGTGCATAAAATTTCAGTCAGTGAATATCACTGAACGTCATATACTACTTGGTATGTGACTTTGGTTTGTGTTAAGAAAGCTTGTATATAATATTTTTTGCCATAGTAAGTGAGAAATTGTCCTTAATCATGCCTGTTTGATGGTACTAGGAAAGAAAGGGGTAGAGATTAATTCTTGCACAGTATAAGCAACAGTGCAACAAACTATGCCATTTACCTTTTACCTCTTACTTGAAGGCAGAATCGCAAAACGTTTGAAATGGCTTTTCTAAACTACTCTACTCTGGTGAGAGCTCATTTACCACAAGAAGCCTTATAAAAAAGTATATTTTGTAATAACCCCGTAGATACTGTACCTAACAAAACATGACTCGTATTAGCTCTATAAAATATTTGTGGCTTAGGATTTTTTTTTTACATATATCTTTTTATAACTTTCCAGGAACTAAGCACATTATCTGATAATTGTTGTAAATTTTTTTGTCAGTGCTTTAGTTCAGGATGGGCAATAAATTATTTCTAAAGGAGGTCTAAAAGTGGAAAGAATGGTTTGATTTTATAAAATGAGTTGCTAGTTCATTACAGCTTTTTACTTTTGTACATATTTTGCAAAACATTTGCCTCTTGCTATTAATATTTGCTTTGTAAAAATTACTGACATTTAATAAACATTTGTAAACAATTCAATACTATGATGTTATTTAACAGTTTGGTAATTGTAAAATGTAAAGCAGATACTAAAAGTTTGAAAGCAAAAGTTTCATCTAGGGCCTGAGTTAAGGCACAAATCTACTTCAGCAGAATCCCAATGCCACTTGGCTTGAATATTAGTCTAGAAACTTCTTACTAGAAATGGAGATGTGGACTTCTTCCAAGGAAGTTCTCAGACACTTAATATGTTTTGACAAGGGAATAGGGGAAGAGAAACCACTTGTTTTCTCTGCTCCTCTTATGGCCACTGAAACTGTATTAGGGTGTACCTGAGCTCAGTTCATCCAGCTGCGACAATATTAATAATTCTGTTACGTCTGTTGTAATTAATGTTTGGAGACAAACCAACATTGACCACTCATCTTTTTTAAAAAAATAAACTTCATGTTAGATTATGATTTACAGAAAAATTTCAAGACAGTACAGAGTTCCCCTATACTCCACACCCCTTATAATAGTTCCCGTAGTTACCGCCTTGCATTACTTTGGTACATTTGTCATAATTAATGAACCAATACTGATAACATTATTCACTAAAGCCCATGCTTTGTTCTTGTTTCCTTAGTTTTCCCCTAATGCCTTACTTGTGTTCCAGGATCCATCCAGCACACGACATTACATTCGCTCGTCATGTCTCCTTCAGCTCTTCTTGGTAGTTAACAGACTCCTGTTTATCTCAGACTTTGTTTTTGATTACTTTGGCAGGTGTTTTTTGTTTGTTTTTTCTTTTTGAGACAGGGTCTCACTCCTTTGTCACCCAGGCTGGAGTGCAGTGGCCCGATCTCAGCTCACTGCAACCCCCACCTCCCAGGTTCAAGTGATTCTCCTGCCTCAGCCACCCAAGTAGCTGGGATTACAGGTGCGTGCCACCACACCCAGCTACTTTTTGTATTTTTAGTAGAGACAGAGTTTCGCCATGTTGCCCAGGCTGGTCTGGAACTCCTGAGCTCAAGCGATTTGCCTGCTTCGGTCTCCCAAATTGCTGGGATTAGAGGCTTGAGGACTTTGGCAGTTTTGAGGAGTACTGGTCAGGTATTTTGTAGAATGCCCATCTGTTGAAATTTGGTGTTTTTCACATGATTAGACTGGGTTATGGGTCTGGGAACCAGAGAGAGAAAGTATCATTATCAAATCGTGTCAAGCACACCTTCTGTGGTTACTACTCATCTTTTCCCTTTACGCTTTCCTGCTAAGTTAGCAGTTGTCAAATCACTTGGCATCTTTATGCCTTTTCTTACCTGGCATGTATTGAAAGCTATGGCTGGGCGTGGTGGCTCACGCTTGTAATCCCAGCACTTTGGGAGGCCAAGGCTGGCGGATCACTTGAGCTCACGAGTTTGAAACCAGCCTGGGCAACATGGTGAAATCCCGTCTTTACAAAAATTAGGTGGGCATGGTGGCATGGGCCTGTAGTCCCCCAGCTACTCGGGAGGCCGTGGAAGTTGCAGTGAGCCAAGATCGCGCCACTGCACTCCAGCCCGGGTGATAGATCCAGACCTTGTCTCTAAGTAAATAGATAGACAGACAGATAGATAAAGCTGTGCTTGTACTGTTCTTCCCCTAAACAGAATGAAGGGCTTTCTCTTGGTGTTGCAAAGCAGGTGTGAGGAAATGGCTGGAGGTAATGGCTGGCTGTGCTCCTAGCTGCTCTGGTTCCAACCTCTCTGGCAAATAAAAATTCTTCTCCAGGTTCTCACCTCTAACATGAAATGTTACTGTTGATCTCAAGAGAAACTGGGTTAGAAAATTTGGACTTTGAGTCTAACTCTTAACATCTAAAAATCTGTGACTTTGGAAACAGGTCTTTCTGGGAGAGATTTAAGATCTTTAAAAATTGAAACTAGACTCACTTGAGCATTTGAATCCCCAAACAAACCAAGAGGTCATTTAAAAAACAAAAACACCTTTTTTATGCTGTTGTTGGAACAAGGGAATATTTATCTGTGTAAAAAGAAACAATACAAACTATTGTGTAGCAAAGTGGGCACAATCCTGGTTAATTGGCACTGTGGGATGTCATGTCAGTACAGGATGCTCTCCCAAAATGACCTGTTTCATTGCCCACAGAGTGGGTTGTTGAAAACGAAAAGGGAGACTTTTTGGTCCTGAGAATATAGGAAACTCAAGGTTTACAGGTTAAACTAGAGGTCTGTTTTGGTGACTTGGGAAATTTGGCAAATCCTCAAAAAGCAGATGGCCCAGGGCAGTGTTTTAAAATACATGCTATAGGCCAGGCGTGGTGGTTCCCGCCTGTAATCCCAGCACTTTGGGAGGCTAAGGTGGGCGGATCACTTGAGGTCAGGAGTTTAAGACCAGCCTAGCCAACATGGTAAAACCACGTCTCTACTAAAAATACAAAAATTAGCCAGACCTGTGGCGGGCGCCTGTACTGAGAATTGCTTGTATCTGGGAAGCAGAGGTTGCAATGAGCCAAGATCGCACCACTGCACTCCAGCCTGGGTGACAAAGCGAAACTCCATCTCAAAAAAATTTAAAATAAAAATAAAGGCCTGGAGTGGTGGCTCACACCTGTAATCCCAGCACTTTGGGAGGCCTAGGCTGGCGGATCACCTGATGTCAGGAATTCGAGACCAGCCTGGCTAACACAGTGAAACCCTATCTCTACTAAAAATACAAAAACTAGCCGGGTGTGGTGGCACGTGCCTGTAGTCCCAGCAACTCAGGAGGCTGAAGCAGGAGAATCACTTTAACCCGGGATGGGGAGGTTGCAGTGAGCCAAGATTTTGCCACTGCACTCCAGCCTGGGCAACAGAGCGAGACTCCGGCTCTAAATAAATAAGTAAATAAATAAAAGTACATGTAATTTTTCGTCAGAAATTAGTGGGGCCTCTGAAATACGGTATTGTGGTTGGCATAAGGGGTATCCACGAAAATGCTGTGCAAGAATATTTCACAGTGTTCCTTTTTCTTTGAAGTACACCAAGAAAACAAAAGGCTCAAACAAGTATGGGATACAAATTAGCCATTCAAGGAGGCTGTGTTCAGCTTATCTGTTTGCCACAAGAATACTGAGGGAAGTTGTGTCCAGAATTAACATTTATACTGAGTGGAGGAGTATGTTGCTTTTTCTTTTCCCCATGAAGGTTCATGGTAGGAAAACAGAAGCTATCATGTCTTTTTTAAAGTCGATGATTCTTCCGTAATGACCTAGACTGCCGCTTTAGACACGCTTGATTTTCTGCCCCTGCCAACTGCTGAAGGGGAGACAGAACATAAGATGAACTGAAGGCTAAGCACTGCTGACCTTGGGGGGAGAAAAAGTTGTTTCGTTTTACTTTCACATTATTCTACGTGGAAAATCCCCAGTTCTTGTAAGCTTTGTAGGATTTAACTAGCTGATTTTACCATCAGACTTAGTTGAAATTTTGTTCTGAAAACAATGAACCTCCCTGGGTGCTGGTGGCTCACACCTGTAATTCCAGCACTTTGGGAGGCCGAGGCGGGTGGATCACCTGAGGTCAGGAGTTCGAGACCAGCCTGGCCAACATGGTGAAACCCCGTCTCTACTAAAAATACAAAAATTAGCTAGGCGTGGTGGCACACGCCTGTAGTCCCAGCTACTCGGGAAGCTGAGGCAGGAGAATCGCTTGAGCCTGGGAGGCAGAGGCTGCAGCGAGCTGAGATTGCCACTGCACTCCAGCCTGAGCGACAGAGCAAGACTCAATCTTGAAAGAAATAAAGGAAAAATGAACCTCACAGCACCCACAGCTTGGCTCTGTTAATGAAATTACAGATCAAGGCTAATTTTCTGCAGGCAATCCTTGCATTTGTAGCAGGTTATAGTCTGGGGGAAGATGCCATACATCGCTATAAAAGGGGAATATATTCTAGATGAAGAGCCGGATGCCCAACTTAATGGAAATAAGAAGCGTTAATCCAACACGGGAATACCGGATATTATTCCTTTCTGTAGTGCGTGAGACAGAAGAGTATTCCAACTCCCTGCATGGCATCCACACCATTCAGGACCCAGCATCAACCTTTTTCTTTCTTTTTTGAGACGGAGTCTCGCTCTGTCACTAAGCTGGAGTGCAGTGGCTCGGTCTTGGCTCACTGCAATCTCCGCCTCCCGGGTTCAGGCGAGTCTCTCACCCCAGCCTCCCCACTAGCTGGGATTACAGGCGCGCGCCACCATGCCTGGCTAATTTTTGTATTTTTAGTAAAGACAGGGTTTCGCCATGTTGGCCAGGCTGGTCTCGAACTCCTGACCTTGTGATCCGCCCACCTCGGCCTCCCACAGTGCTGAGATTACAGGGGTGAGCCACCATGCCCAGCTGCATCAACCTTTTTCTAACCGGCCTTCCCTTCCAGCTTCCTCCACTCTAGCTAAACTAGATGGCTTCTTTGCCCCACACCTCTTCTCTCTGGTTCTGTTGTTCACACGGCAAATCCTACTCATCCTTCAAGACCCAGTTCAAAGGAGGACATCCCAATTGCTATGCATCCTGGGCTAGAAGCAGTTCTTTCTCTGAGTACTTATCCCATGTTATTGCTTTTTCAGGGCACTTAAATCACTCTACATTACTATTATTATTATTATTACTATTATTTATTGAGATAGGGTCTCACTCTGCCACCCAGGCTGGAGTGCAGTGACACAATCATAGCTCACTTTTGCTTTGACCTCCCAGGCTTAAGTGATCCTCCCACCTCAGCCTCTCAAGTAGCTGGGACCACAGTTACGCACCACCACATCTGGCTAATTTTTTTTTTTTTTTTTTTTTTTTGGTAGAGATGAGGTCTCACTATATTACCCAGGCTGGTCTCTAACTCCTGAGCTCAAACAATCTGCCCACCTCAGCCTCCCGAAGTGCTGGGATTGTAGGCATGACCCACCTCGCCTGACCTCTGTACCTTATCTTGAAGCTATTATTGTTCATAGATTCTTAGCTCCTCCACTCCACTGTGCTGTGAACTCGACATTGTTACACAGATGCTCCTGTTAAGCTCTTAGAGTGCCCATCGGACTCAATCTAATTCAAATCTCAATCAAATTGTGATGAGAATCTGACTGTGGAGGAGTGGAGAGAATGCCACCCTGCCAGTATGGAGACTGGCTCTCCAGTTTTATAGCATATGAATTATATCTCAATAAGGCTGTTCAAAGAATTTGAGACTTCAGTCACTCCACAAAGTTAGCAAAGAGATTAAAAGTAAATATAGCAAAATGTTAGCTTTTCTGAGTGATGGGAATCACAAAGTATTTTGTCCTCTTTACACTTTTCTCTTTTCCAAATTTTCTACGAAGAGGATTGGTCACTTTTATATGAAGAAAAAACTTAATAAACATTTAGAGGCAGAAGATCAGCCCTGCATTTGCCCTGCACAGAGTACACCTCCCCTTGCTTGCTTTACAAGAGTTCACCTACTGCATTGATCTCGGTCATCACATGTGTAACTATTTGTCTTCCAGTCTGACTTCTAGATTAGACTGTAAGCTCCCGGAAGTCAGAGATCACTGTATTTGTCTCATTTGCCTCTGAATCCTCAGTCTAGTAGCTTGATGGGTATATATAAGTGCTCAAAAAATGTTTGTAGAATTTAACTGAATTTGTTAAATGTCTACTATGTCACCCGTGTGCTGGACACTTTGGGTGATAAGAAAATGATCCACTTATGGAGTTGAATTTAAGATGCTTCCAGTCCAGCAGGGGAGAAGACACAGGTGCATAAGTACTTAAGTCAAGACGCCATTCGAGGGGACTAGATACAATGCTCCAAGCCTTCAGAGAAAGGCAATTCCTTCCATCTACGTGCAATCAGGGACACTTTTTTCTTTTTCTTTTTTTTTTTTTTTTTTTTGAGATGGAGTTTCACTCTGTCACCCAGGCTGGAGTGCAGTGGCGCAATCTTGGCTCACTGCAACCTCCGCCTCCTGGGTTCAAACGATTCTCCTGCCTCAGCCTCCCGAGTAGCTGGGATTACAGGCACCCGCTACCACACCCAGCTAATTTTTTGTATTTTTAGTAGACACAGGGTTTCACCATGTTGGCCAGGCTGGTCTTGAACTCCTGACCTTAGGAGATCCACCCACCTCAGCCCCACAAAGTGTTAGGATTACAAGCATGAGCCACTGTGCCCAGCCTTTTTTTTTTTTTCTTCTTTTTTTTTGAGGCACAGTCTCGCTCTGTCACCCAGGGTGGATTGCAGAAGCAGGATCACAATTCGCTGCAGTCTTGACCTCCTGGGCTCAAGTGATGTTCCTGCCTCAGCCTCCCAAGTAGCTAGGACCACAGGTGCGTGCCACTGTGCCCAATTATTATTATTATTTTTTTTTTGTAGAGTCAGGGTCTCACTGTGTTGCCCAGCCTGGCAGGGATACTTTTGTGGAAGAGAAGGTGTTTGGGCTGGGGCTTTAAAGATGTCTTAAATTTACCTAGACCTAACACGCAGGAAAGGCTGCATGCCAGATGGTGGAACATTGTGTCAGTAAGAAAGCCGGGAGTTCTTTCATTATCTAGCTTTGATCGAGCACCTTTCACTGATAGCCTTCTGTAAGGTGATGAGGGTAAGGAGGAGAAACAGTTCCCTGATCCCCACCCCCAAAAGTTCACTGTTTAGTAAGGGGAACAAAAATATGAAAGACTATGATAAAAGATGAGTCAGACACAGGTATGGAAGGGAGTCCTAGACAGAGGGTACCGCATGTGCGAAGGCACTGAGGTGTGTGGGGCTTACAAGTTGGGTAGCAGCAAGAACCCTAACCAGTTGGAAGATAGAAAGGTGGTGGATGAGTAGCAAGAGGTAAAGCTGAGTAAATGAGCAGTGAACATGTCATGGAGGTCCTCACGTGCCAGATCAACACCGTTGGCTTTTATCCCATGGGCATGAAAAACCAGTAAGCATTATAAGAAGTGGAATGGGGCCGAGTGCAATGGCTCACGTCTGTCATCCCAGCACTTTGGGAGGCCAAGGCAGGCAGATCACTTGAGGTCAGGAGTTCAAGACCAGCCTGGCCAACACAGTGAAACCCCATCTCTACTAAAAATACAAAAATTAGCCAGGCATGGTGGCGCATGCCTGTAATCCCAGCTACTTGGGAGGCTGGGGTGAGAGAATCACTTGAACCTGAGAGGCGGAGGTTGCAGTGAGCTGAAATCACGCCACTGCACTCCAGCCTGGGCATCAGAGCAAGACTCTGTCAAAAAAAAAAAAAAAAATTAGCCGGGCATGGCACACTCCTGTAATCCCAGCTACTAAGGAGGCTGAGGCAGGAGAATCGTTTGAACCTGGGAGGTGGTTGCAATGAGCTGAGTTCGCACCACGACACTCCAGACTAGGTGACAGAGTAAGACTCCATCTCAAAAAAAAAAAGAAAAAGAAAAAGAAAAACAAGAGGCAGAACGACATGACCTCAGCGGTATTACAGTAATCCCAGTGAGGGTGACAACTGGCCGGAGGCAAGAACTGAAGTGAGGGCTGCTGAGGTACAGGAAAAGCAAGATACCTGAGCTTATACATTAGCAATGGAATTGGAAGGAGGTGAATGAAAAGGATACTTCAGGCAGAAAACTGGACAGAGCACTTGGAAGCAGCAGGTGGAGGGAAGAGGGTGAAACCCAGCAGGCTGCCCAGGTTTCTGGTGGAGCAACTGGATGGAGCCATTCCTGAAATAGGACGTCTGGGGGAAGAAACAGACTTGGGTGGGCCAGGTAGGCTCTGAGGGACATGCTGAGTCTGAGGTCCCTTTGGGGCATCTAACTGCAGCTGGATCTACAGGTCTCAAGCTCAGTGGAGAGGTCTGATTGATAAAAGTGCAGAATGTAAGCTACAAGCACAGTGGCTGAAGCTGTGGGTTGTAGGGAGATGGTTCTAGGGCAGTGGTCCCCAACCTTTTTGGCACCAGGGACCGGTTTTGTGGAAGACAATTTTTCCACGGACCAAGTGGGGATAGTGGGTTTGGGATGATTAAAGCATGTTACATTTATTGTGCACTTTATTTCTATTATTATTGCACTGTAATATATAATGAAATAATTATACAACTCACCATAATGTAGAATCAGTGGGAGCAGTGAGTTTGTTTTCCTGCAACTAGATAGTCCCATCTGGGGTTGATGGGAGACAGTGACGGATCATCGAGCATTAGATTCTAATATGGAGTGCTCAATCTCGATTCCTCAAATGCACAGTTCACAATAGGGTTTGCGCTCCTATGAAAATCTAATGCCACCGCTGATCTGACAGGAGGCGGAGCTCACGGTAATGCGAGCAATGGGGAGCGCCTGTAAATTCAGAGGAAGCTTCCCTCATTCACCCACTGCTCACCTCCTGCTTGTGTGGCCCAGTTCCTAACAAACCATGGACCAATACTGGTCTGTGGCCCAGAGGTTGGGGACCCCTGTCCTAGGGGACTGACTGCCTAGAGTCAGGAGAGAAGTGGGCTAGCAGGAAACCTTGGCTTCAAGAGGAGGACAGAGAACTGTCCAAGTAGGAGCATCAGAAAGGCGTGTGCTCTCGGAGGGAGGGGTATCAAGGAAGCCAAGGAGGAAATCGAGGAAGAGAGAGAGACAGAGACAGAGAAATAAAGCAAGTGGTAAGATATTAATTGTCCATTATTCTGTTCTTAGGTGTTCCTGATTCTCTTCTTTCAAATTTTGTGTATGTTTGAAACTTCTCATCATAAAAAGTCAGAAAGAATAAAGAGATCATACCCTCATTGGGGAAATGTTGTAAACATAATCAGTTTCAAAGCCTGGGCTTGAGTAGGGTCCACACCAGAAGGCAAGAAGGACTGAGTTATGCTGGATCCATGACATCAAGATCTTTCATCTCAGCCAGAAGCCCCTCGTGGCCTCATTATAATGAAGCCCTGCGGGGCAGCGCTTTCTTGCCAGCCTTACTGTGCTCCATTTCTTTAATGGCCTTTTTGCTCAACAATACAAGAGATCCAAACTGCTATTCCAGCATAAGACATAACTCACTACATTTTCTCACTCAAGCTTTCAACTCTAACTAATGGATTTTCTTTTCTTTTTTTCTTTTTTTTGAGATGGAGTTTCACTCTTGTTGCCCAGGCTGCAGTGCAGTGGCATGATCTCAGCTCACTGCAACCTCTGCCTCTCGGGTTCAAGTGATTCTCCTGCCTTGGCCTCCCAAGTAGCTGGGATTACAGGTGCCCACCACCATGCCCAGCTAAATTTTTGTTTGTTTTGAGATGGAGTCTCGCTCTGTCACCCAGGCTGGAGTGCAGTGGCGCAATCTCAGCTCACTGCAGCTTCCGCCTCCCGGGTTCAAGCGGTTCTCCTGCCTTGGCCTCCTGAGTAGCTGGGATTACAGGCGTGTGCCACCACGCCCAGCTAATTTTTGTATTTTTAGTAGAGATGAAGTTTCATTATGTTGGCCAGACTGGACCATGTTGGCCAGGCTGGTAATTCCTCTATTTTTAGTAGAGACGGGGTTTTGCCGTGTTGGCCAGGCTGGTAATTTCTCTATTTTTAGTAGAGATGGGGTTTTGCCATGTTGGCCAGGCTGGTCTCGAACTCCTGACCTCAGGTGATCCACCAGCCTCAGCCACCCGAAGTGCTGGGATTACAGGCATGAGCCACCGTGCCCGCTAATGGATTTTCTAGAGAATTGCTGTGCTGCTTTTTTCTTTCGTTTTGTAAGATTCTTTAAGGAATGAGAGTAGGGTGCTTCTGTGATCAGTAAGCAAGAACATGGGCTTTAACATAAGATGGACTTGGATTCAAATCCAGGCTTCTGTGTTTCCTGAGCTGTGTGGCCTTAGGCAAATGCCAGCCCCTCTGCGTGTCGCTTGCCTTACCTATAACACCTATGCGGCAGGTTCAGTTTAACATCAAATGCAGAAAGTGCTGCAGTGCCAGGCATGGGATAGGAATTGGGGGTAGCTGTTTTTTCTTTTTCCTAGAGACAGGGTCTCACTCTGTTGCCCAGGCTGGTGTACACTGGTGCAGTCATAGCTCACTGCAGCCTCCTGGGCTCAAATAATCTTCCAGTCTCAGCCTCCCGAGGAGTTAGGACTACAGGTGCTTGTGACAACATCTGGTTAATTTTTTAAAATTTTCTTAGAGTGGGGGTCTTCCTATGTTGCCCAGGCTGAGGGGCAGCTATTTTTATTTTTATCTACTTCTTCACTCCCTTTGCTTTGCCTTCCTTCTTTCCTCTTTCTCTATCATCCTCTTCGTTTCATTTGGGTTTTGCCTTGGCAATTTTCCCCCAAAGAAACTGGAAACCAGGCTGGGCATGGTGACTCACACATGACACTTTGGGAGGCCGAGGCGGGTGGATCAACTGAAGTTGGGAGTTCAAGACCAGCTTGGCTAATATGGTGAAACCCCGTTTCTACTAAAAAAAAAAAAAAATACAAAAATTAGCCGGGCATGCTGGTTTGCACCTGTAATCCCGGCTACTCAGGAGGCTGAGGCAGGAGAATCGCTTGAACTCGGGAGGCGGAGGTTGCAGTGAGCCAGGATGGAGCCACTGCACTCCAGCCTGGGTGAAGGGAGACACTCTGTCTCAAAAAAAAATAATAAAATAAAATAAACTGGAAACAAATGTGTGAAATTGTTGGGCTGTAGCATCACCTTTGCCACCCTGCAGTGATAGTGGAGCTAAAAGTCCCCTGAGAGAGGAGTCGTGTTGATGGTGGTTGAAGTGGGAGGGTGGAAATGGAGAAGTTCAGCCTTATATTAATAGGATCTGTAAGTAAAATTCACAAGCACCCCAACTGTGTGGTTGGCTGAGCATCACAGGTGTAAATTATTATTAACTCCATGCCCAACAGAATTCAGCTCTCCTCTATTTTTACTATAGGAAAACACACAATAGCCGTGTATTTTAATTTTTTTTCTTCTTCCGTCTGTGACTCGAGCCAAAGAGCAATAGCTGTTTTTTAAAGTTAGCATTGTGTTCAGGCATATAGTAAACATCCCTCAGTGGTGAGTGTTTTAACATTCTTTACTTTTCTCTTTTTTTGGGGTGGGGGGACAGAGTCTCACTCTGTTGCCCAGTCTGGAGTGCAGTGGTGTGATCTTGGCTCACTGCAACCTCCGCCTCCCAGGTCCAAGCTTCAGCCTCCCGAGTAGCTGGGATTACAGGTGCCCGCCACCATGCCCAGCTCATTTTTGTATTTTTTTAGGAGAGATGAAATTTCGCCATGCTGGCCAGGCAGGTCTTGAACTCCTGGCCTCAAGTGATCCGCCCACCTTGGCCTCCCAAAGTGCTGGGATTACAGCATGAGCCACTGTGCCCGGCCTTAACGTTCATTTTTCAACACGTAAATTCAGGCAAGATTAATAGAAAGAAAATGGGGTCCCAGATTGCCTCACCCCAAGCCCATCTTCTTTTGGCTTTTGGAGTATGAAAAGGGAGACGTGCTGTGGTCTCCGCCTGAAGCTGGCTCGCCCGGGAGCCCTCCTGGACCCGTAAGGAGGAGAACAAACCCTGGCAAATCCGACTGGCCCGAAGTGGATTTGCTAGAGTGACAGGCAGCAAAATTAATTCAGTAAGGCATTCGTAAGTGTATCACTTCACAAAGGAGTCAAAACTGCAGGAATCTGAACGCAAAGATGCCAAGCAAAAGGACTGGGAGAAGACCTGCCTACTGTGTACATTTGACTCTGTTTTGTGCCTTAAGAGTTATGCGAGAGGCTGACTCTAAAGTAGTTAGAATGGAGAACCCAGGGAGGCTTCCTTCAAGATGAAGAGTGAGGAGGGAAAGCTGCCAGGATGCAAGGCTGCTCTGGCGACAGGGTCTTCCCTTCTGCCCCTTAACCCTTTGTCTCTTTCTCTGTTGTCCAGTCCTCTACAAATTGTCCAGCCCACTGCAGGGAGCCAGTCTGATGGATTCAATACTTTGCCCCATCGGAGGAAGTCCTCATGGGCCACCCATCAGCCAGTGGACCTATTCTGGTCAAGTGTCCTCCCCTGATCTCCAGTGACCTAGGTGGCACCCAGTCTGGCTTGCCTGGCCACCTCCCACCTCTGGTGGAGGGCAGGCATCATGCATGTGTTTGGAAAATACATTTGATTTTAGAGTTTAATTCTGGACAGTGGTCTTGGGACTGTCTTCAATAGCAAGGATCATGTGACCAAGTCCCCATTTCTTTTCACATTTCAGCTGCCTAATTTACCCCTAAAATGTACTCTGTGTGCTGGGTGGGGAAATTCTGAACTGGCTTCTGATTCTGGCTCTCACATCAGGGGACCAGCCTTAAGACTTGGAGCAAGCCGCCACTTCTTAGGGTCCCAGTTTGCTGCCCTGTGGCACAGCAGGGTTAGGAGGGAGGAGCACAAGCTAACCTGCCATCACCCCGTGGCTGAGTTGGGATTTTGAACTGCTGTTGTTATACATAATAACTTCTATGGCTTCGGGCACCGAGAGAGGGAGGCCCTAATTCCTTTACCAGAACTCGAACACTTGTGTACATAATAACATTTTTAGGAATCTATGTTCATAGCTGGGGACAGAGTGGCAGAATGGTGAAGTGTTCCCACTGGTGTCACACCCATCTCAGCAAGAATCAGCCTTTGTCACAGACCTGCTCCGTGACCTCGGGAAGATGATCTGACCTCTCGACACCTGGTTTTCCTCCTCTGGGAAGTGGGGATATTAATAGGTCCTCCCCACCAGCTTATTGGAGGAGTAAGAGGCAACACATGCAAAGCACTTAACCAGGAGCCCGGGTAGGGACCTGGCTGTGAGTTCAGAGCCTGGGATTTGTGGGATGGCCAGTGTATGCACTTCCAGTGACTGCTGGCATTACCACAATCCTTGGTAGCTTAACACAACAGAAATCTACTCTCTCACAGTTCTAGAGGCCAGAAGTCTAAACTCCATACTGCTCAGCTGTGCACTGGCTGCGGGCTCCAGGGGAGAATCTGTTCCTGGTCTCTTCCAGCTTCTGGTGGCCAGCCGCATTCCTTGGCTCGTGGCTGCATCGCTCCAGTCTTCAAGGTCAGCATCTTCAAATCTCTCTCTGCTCCATCTTCACACGGCCTTCTCCTCGGTGTGTCTAATGTCCCTCTGTCTCCCTCTTACAGAGATACCTGCATTGGCCAGATGCAGTGGCTCACACCTGTAATCCCAGTGCTTTGGGAGGCAGAGGTGGGAGGATCACTTGGGCCAGGAATTGAAGATTATGCTGGGCAACATAGTAAGACCCCGTCTCTACAAAATAAAAAGAAAACAACTGTATTTAGGGCCCATCCATGTAATCCAGGATAATCTGCTTCCATGTCAAGACCCTTACTTAATCACATCTGCAAAGACCCTTGTATTCACAGGTTCTGGGGATCAGGGTGTGGATATATTTTGGGGAGGGAGACATTTTCACCTATCACACCCAGCTGCAGGAGGCATGTTCAAGCCGGCTGTCCTTTTTGCCTCCACTGCCCGTTTGCTGTGGAGTTGGGCCCTCGTCTCCACCAAGCTCCCCTAGCTGCCCACGCATCATCTTTCCTGCCCGAGCTCAGCTCCCCATCCTGAGACTTCCTATTTCTTCCCACAGCCACATCATTTTCTCCACCATCTTCCCCAGAACTATCTTTGACCCTTGGTGCTCCTTCCCTTTCCTGACGCCACCCCACCTACGCCTTACATCAGTCACCAAATCTCAGCATCACAGTCTGACCAAAAGGGAAACTTCTCATCTGACTCCTCTGATGCACAGAGATGGAGCTGAGCCCTAGAGATAGGGAGTGACTTGCTGGGGTCACATGGTGATTTCATGGCGAGACTGGACCATAGCCCAGGCCCCTGGGATCCACTCCTACCCTGACTGACCATCGGCAAAATGCTTCCTGAGGACGAGGCTGTCTCCATCCTTCTGTCCCTTCCTCAGCCCTGCCCTTGCCTCCCCTCCTCGGGAGGCTGCGGAAGCCTCATGGGCCTTCTCCAGCCAGCCACTCTGGCCACTCCAGCATTCCTTTCACTGCTTTCATTTGGGTCACCCCTGTGGAGTTAGCTTCAGTGTTTCCCAGTGACCTAGAAGCAAAGTCCATCTGTTGGCAAGCATTTATTGAGCATCTATTTTTATGTGCTAGGGGCTGGGGAGCCCAAGATGAACCAGGCATAGGCCCAGCCTTCAATCAGCCTGGCCCATATGCTGCCTTGGCCTGGCATTCACATTTCCACCTGCTCCTCCTGCCCGCTACAGCGACCCACCACTGCCCCAAGCAGCCTACATCCACAGCGGGACACCTGCACTGCTGCTTCCGCGTGTGCTGGCCTGCTGGCCCTGTGTGTGTAGTATCCTGGCCCCTC
Source organism: Homo sapiens (assembly GCF_000001405.40). Taxonomy (NCBI): domain Eukaryota; kingdom Metazoa; phylum Chordata; class Mammalia; order Primates; family Hominidae; genus Homo; species Homo sapiens. Next base: position 64,995,016 of record NC_000017.11, on the reverse strand, counting down.
CTGGCCCCGTCAGAGCTTGTGCTGTCTTCAATGCCCAGCGTCTGTCCCTGCCCTGTACTCCATCCAGTGCCCTGAAGTCAGCCCCTCCGCATGTGTGCCCTTCTGCAGCCCTCTGGCCTCCGTGGCCGGGTGGCGAGTCCTGCTTCTGTCCTGGGTTAAATGAAGGCTTGGCAGCTCCCTTGCTGTCTCATGGGGTGTTTTTTGGCCTCTATCCCTCTCTCCCTCCACTCCACCCTCCCTTTTTGCTACCGCCTGTCTCTTTTGGTTTTTGCTGTTGCCTGGAAGGTAGGGGACGTCACGGTGCTCTGCACAGTAGAGGTAGCCCTGATTCCGTGGCACTGACACCCCCACCTCAAACGCAGCCCCCCATGATGTTTCGTCTCTGGGGAAGCACAGCCGTGGCTGAACAGACACAGGCGAGCCCCTCAGCCCAGGTGCCTGTCCCCACACCCCCCCAGGATCCAGAAACCTGGGGCACTCACAGGGAGTTCCTGCTCAGTCCCCAACAGGAAGTGTTCCTGCCTGTGTTAGAACTGGGCATGTCCTTGCTTTCGACCCTGAGAAACTTGTCTGGCTGGAAGGCACAGATTCCTAACATTTTGAGGGACATTTTACTTTTCCTGAGAGTTTGACATTTTATTACCTATGGCTACATAACAGACTACCCAAAAGCGAGGTACCATAAAAACAACCAAAATGCTATTTGCCCACAAATCTGTGGGTCTGGAATTTAAACAGGGGATACTGGGTGCTGTTCCCTGTCTGGGGAGCATCACCTTCACCTAGACATCATTTGCTTTGCTTAAACATTCCTGATCTTTTGCATACCCAAGAATGAGTTCCATGTTAACTTGCATCTTGCACACCCAAGAATGAGTTGAAGATGTGGCTTCATCACCCCCATGTCAGGGGTCCCGGCTGTTGTAGCTCCGGAGTCCGGAGGGTGGCTGGGTCAGCTTGAACATGTGCACATGTCTGGCTGAGCTTCTCATTCTCCTCCATATAGTCTCAGGGCCTCTCACTCTCCATGTGGCCTCTCCAACAGGAAGGTAAGGCTTGTTACCTGGTGGCTCAGGGTTCCCAGGACTACAAATGTGGAATCCACCAAGATTTCCTAAGGCGTAGCCCTAGAGCTTGTGCAGTCTTCAAAGCCCAGCATCTGTCCCTGTCCTGTTTTTTTGTTTTGTTTTGTTTTGTTTTTTGGGATGGAGTCTCACTCTTGTTGTCCAGGCTGGAGTGCAGTGGTGCGACCTCGGCTCACTGCAACCTCCACCTCCTGGGTTCAAGGGGTTCTCCTGCCTCAGCCTCCCGAGTAGCTGGGATTATGGGTGCCCACCACCATGCGTGGCTAATTTTTGTATTTTTAATAGAGATGTTGGCCAGGCTGGTCTCAAACTCCTGACCCCAGGTGATCCACCCGCCTCGGCCTCCCACAGTGCTGGGATTACAGGCGTGAGCTACTGTGTCTGGCCTCCTGCCCTGTTCTTCATCCAGCACCCTGAAGTGAGCCCCTCCACGTGTGCCCCTTGGCACAGCTGGCACAGTATCACCTCTGTCACATTCTATTGTTTCAGGCAGCCCAGATTCAGTTGAGTGATCTATAGAGGGCATGAATACTAAGAGGTGCATTTCACTGGGGGCTACCACTGTAACAGATGACTACACATGTCCTATCTTTCCAGGTGGAGTCTAACTCTTCAAGGGATGCAGGGATGTGTTCTATCCCACAGCCCCTTTCAGAATGGCTCACACCTAGGAGTTGCTTGATCTACATTCATTTTATTGAGAAGGGAACAGGGAGATCACAGACGCCATGGGGCCATCTTGGAGGGCCTGTCATGCTCCTTACCCCTTCCTCACCAAGCACTTCCTCTGGCATTGGCTGGAGGGAAAGGTAGCCATTTGGGCTATGTTTGACAGATGAGAAAGCTGAGTCTCAATGAAGTTTTTAGTTTATACACTTGCCAAGGACCAAATGATAAATTGGCAGATTGAGGTTGAAAGCCTAGTATGCTTATTTTTTGTTGAAAACTAGGGAAATAAATTTACTTTTCAGAAATTGATTTTCAGGTAAATTTCTCTGAATGCATCTAATCTGTAGAGCAACATATATATGTATTTTTTTTACATTTTTGTTTTATTATTTTTTAATTTTAATTTTTTTTTGAGACTGGGTCTCACTTTGTCGTCCAGGCTGGAGTGCAGTGGTGTGACCATGGCTCACTGCAGCCTGGATCTCCTGGCTCCTGGGCTCAAGTGATCCTCCCACCTCAGCCTCCCGCCCTGAGGAATGTGCCACTATGCTTGGCTAGTTTTCTTGTATTTTTTTTAGTAGAGAGGGGTTTCTCCCATGTTGTCCAGGTTGGTCTCAAATTCCTGGGCTCACGTGATCCACCTGCCTCAGCCTCCCAAAGTGCTGGGATAACAGGCATGAGCCATCGTGCCCGAGGGCTTGTGTTTGACCAGACATCACTCTCCATGAGTCATCCAGCACTGTGCCTTGCATGGGGACATATTTGCTATTTGTGTGGTTTGTGTCTTTTTGGCATACAGAATTACCTTTCTTTCCTTCTTGAAACTGTGGATAGGTTATATGAGCAATCATGAGGTCACCACCACCTCCACCAATTTGGAAATAGGGAACTAGTATTTCCCTTGGAGAGTGGGTGGCCAGGTTTTACAAATAAAAATACAGGGTGCTTAGTTAACTAGAATTTCAAATGAACAACCAATCACTTTTAATGTAAATATATCCCATGAAATTTATGGGACATGCTTATACTAAAAAATTACTCATTGTTCATCTGAAATTCCGATGTGACTGAGAATCCTGTATTGTTTTGGCAATTACAAAACGGTAAAACTGTAAAACCAATGCATATGGATTAGAAGAAATATAAAGTTCTAATGTAAAGAAATGTAAAGTTACCTTAAGAGATCAGAATGAGTTCTTTAGCAAGATTTGGTTACAACTGAAGTTTGTAAAAAAAAAAAAAAAAAAGGTATATTTATAAAAACACTTCTAACCTCTTGTAAGGTACCTTAAGAACATGTCAATCAGAAAGGGGGTTAGGGCCGGGCGTGATGTCTCACGCCTATAATCCCAGTGCTTTGAGAGGCCAAGGTTGGAGGATCACTTGAGCCCAGGAGTATGAGAGCAGCCTGGGCAACATAATGAGACCCCATCTCTACAAAAAAATAAAAATTATCTGGGTGTGGTGGCCTACGTCTGTAGTCCCAGCTACTCAGGAGGCTAAAGCAGGAGGATTGCTTGAGTTTGGGACTTTGAGGCTACAATAAGCTGTGATCATGCCACTGCACTTGAGCCTGGGTGACAGAGCAAGACCCTATCTCAAAAAAAAAAAAAAAGGTGAGGAGATTGATCAACAATACAAAATGAAGGGTCAAAGAGAAAAACTTTGGGCTCGGTGTGGTGGTTCATGCCTATAATCCCAGCACTTTGGGAGGCTGAGGTGGGTGGATCGCTTGAAGCCAGGAGTTTGAGACCAGCCTGGCCAACATGGAGAAACCCCATCTCTACTAAAAACACAAAAATTAGCTGGGTGTGGTGGCACATGCCTGTAATCCCAGCTACTCGGGAGGCTGAGGCACAAGAAATTTATTGAACCCAGGGAGCGGAGGTTGCAGTGAGCTGAGATCGCACCATTGCACTCCAGCCAGAGCAAGACTCTGTCTCAAAAAAAAGAGAGACAAACTTTGGTCATTCTCCTGAATGCCATCTGGAAGCATCAACTTCCAGGCTGAGATGGCTTGGATCTTATTGTGGAGATGCACTTGCCAAGTGTCTTAGTCAGCTTGGGCTGCTACCACAGAGTATCATAGGCTGGGTGGATTACACAACAAGCATTCATCACTCACAGCAGAGGCTAGGAAGTCCAAAGTCAAGTGCAAGTATAGTTGGGTTCTGGGGAGGGCTCTCTTCCTGGTCCTGAGATGACCAACTTCATGTTGTGTCCTCACACGGCTGGGAGAGAGAAAGAGGATGCACCAAACTTTGAGGGGTAGGGACCATTAGGGTCATCAACTAATTACCCATGTTTACCAAGAAAGCTTGTTATAAATTGGCTTCCCGGCCGGGCGTGGTGGCTCATGCCTGTAATCCCAGCACTTCGGGAGGCCAACGTGGGTGGATCACCTGAGGTCAGGAGTTCGAGACCACCCTGGCCAACATGGAGAAACCCCGTCTCTACTAAAAATACAGAAATTAACTGGGTGTGGTGATGGGCACTTATAATGCTAGCTACTTGGGAGGCTAAGGCAGGAGAAGCACTTGAACCCAGGAGGCAGAGGTTGCAGTGAGCTGAGACTGCACCACTGCACTCCAGCCTGGGTGGCAAGAGTGAAACTCTGTCTCAAAAAAAAACCAAAAAGGAATTGTCTTCCCGTGCCTCCCGGGAGTGAAGGTACTATCTATGAACCTATGTCCCCAGCCCTCTGAAGGTGACGATTCAATACAAAGCCATTGGGGTTTTTCTACATCATTGTCTCTATGAGCTTGGATGATATGAGGCTGATCCATTCTTTGATTCTTTTTTTTTTTTTTTGAGACAGGATCTTGCTCTGTTGCCCAGGCTGGAGTGCAGTGGCATGATCTTGGCTTACCGCAGCCTCGTTCTCCTGGGCCAGGTGATCCTCCCACTTCAGCCTCCTAAGTAGCTGGGACCACAGGTGCATGCCACCACACCTGCTTAAGCTGATCCATTCTTGCTGTGCTGGGTCACCCCCAGGTGACACTCAATGTCAGTTAGTTGTGTTTTATTCCAACAACTACACTTTGTTTTTCTGGATCGCTGCTACAGCAAATGGCAGATTCCATTTCTTCAGGATATAAATGCACAATAAGAACAAGTAGCGACCAGGCTCAGTGGCTCACACTTGTAATCCCAGCACTTTGGGAGGCCAAGGTAGGCAGATCACCTGAGGTCAGGAGTTTGAGACCAGCCTGACCACATGGAAAAACCCTGTCTCTACTAAAAATACAAAATTAACTGGGCATGGTGGTGCACTTTGGGAGGCTGAGGGGGGTGGATCACTGGAGTCCAGGAACTCAAGACCAGACTGGGCAACATAGCAAGACTCCATCTCTAAAAAAAAAAATTAAGATTAACCAGGGTGTGGTGGCATATGCCTGTAGTCCCAGCTACGTGGAGGCTGGGGTGAAAGGATTGCCTGAACCCAGGAGGTCAAGGCGGCAGTGAGCTGTGAGAGCACAGCCTGGGCAACAGAATGTCACCTTGTCTCTAAAAAAACACAAAAACCAAAACAAAACAACTCACTGCATTATTTTAAAAAAAACATATGTATCTTATGGGCCGGGTGCGGTGGCTCATGCCTGTAATCCCAGCACTTTGGGAGGCCGAGGTGGGAGGACTGCTTGAGCTCAGGAATTCAAGGCCAGCCTGGATAATATAGTGAGACATCTATACTACAATTCAAAACAAGAATAAAAAAATTAGCTCGGCATGGTGGCACACACCTATAGTCTTAGCTGCTCAGAGGGCTGAGGTGGAAAGAATGCTTGAGCCCAGGAGGTCAAGGATAAAGTGAGCCCTGATTGTGCCACTGCACTTCACAGAGTGAAGAGTGGGTGACAGAGTGAGACCCTGTCTCAAAAAAAAAAAAATAGCTAGGTAGATAGATGTATCTGCAAATGATTCTTAGGAGCAGCCCAGGCCTAGAGAGTTAAACCACCCATAGTGACTCACATCAACAGGCTCTTTTGTCAGAGGGCATTTCCATAATTAGAACTTGTGACCAACAAGTCCAGCCACGAGGATATATCACAAGTACTTGTCTCCAGCGCTGGTTTCTTAGCAAAAAAAGAACCTGTTAAATGTCAGGGCTTTGTGTTTTTGCCTTTGGGCTTTTGCCATGCCTGGTTATTGGGCACCTTCTGGTAATAAACAGTTAGTTGAAAGGAGCTGTTCCCATGTCTTATTTAATTCTCTCATTAAGCCTGTGGGCCAGAGGTTCTTATTGTTCATACCCCTGGATAAACACACTGAGTCCCAGGGAGGTAAAGTGCCTTGGCCGAGTGCCACCCAGGAGCTGGTGGTGCCTCAGCTGAACCCAAGTCCACGGACCGTGGAGTTCGCGCCCTCTCACTGTGGCACACGGGCCTGAGCCTCAGGAACACTGCAAAGTAGGTTGGCTTCCCCCTTACGGAGCCCCTACCCGGGACAGCCTCAATCCCTCAGGGCCCCTCTGTGCCCAGGTGCCTGCTTGGCTGACTGGGCAGCCTGGAGAGAACAGTGACCCAGAAATGCAAGAGGAGAGTTTCCAGGAGGACAGAACACTGGTGCTATCAGGTGCCAGGAGCAGCGTGTGCCACGCATGGCCCTGCTCTGCTGTGGCTTTGTGTTTTTGGTACATGCTGTGCCCTCAGCCTGGGCTGCCCTGGACTGGCCGTCCCTACCCCTCCAAGACTTAGCCCAAAATCATACTTTTTTTTTTTTTTTTTGAGATAGGGTCTCACTCGGTCCACCAGGCTGGAATGCAGTGGCACAATCTCGGCTCACTACAACCTCCACCTCCCAGGTTCAAGAAATTATCCTGCCTCAGACTCCCGAGTAGCTGGGATTATAGGTGCCCGCCACCATGCCTGGCTGATTTTTGTATTTTTAGTAGAGACACGGTTTTGCTATGTTGGCCAGGGTGGTCTCGAACTCCTGACCTCAGATGATCCATCCGCCTCGGCCTCCTAAAGTGCTGGGATTACAGGCGTGAGCCACTGCGCCTGGTTTCCAAAATATTACTCTTTTCCCCAGAATGGAAATACAATTATTATTCAAAATATAAGAGTAATCTTGGCCAGGCACAGTGGCTCACGCCTGTAATCCCAACACTTTGGGAGGCTGAGGCAGGTGGATCACGAGGTCAGGAGTTTGAGACCAGCTTGGCCAATGTAGTGAAACCTCGTCCCTACTAAAAATACAAAAAATTAGCTGGGCGTGGTGGTGGGCGCCTGTAACCTCAGCTACTTGGGAAGCTGAGGCGAGAGAATCGCTTGAAGCCGGGAGGTGGAGGTTGCAGTGAGCCAAGATCGTGCCACTCTACTCCAGCCTGGGCGACAGTGTGAGACTCTGTCTCAAAAAAAAAAAAGAAAAAAAGAGTAATCTTAAAAAATAAAAATATATGTTTTAAAACTTTTTATATATACATGTAAAATGTATATGCATATTATATATATGTTCAAATGTGTGAATGTATTTTTGTATTTATAAACACTTAAACTAAAATATGTAAATTTATGTATAAAACTATAAAATATGAACATGATATTATACTATGTATATATTTTGTAACCCTCATTTTCACTCACTACAAAATAAATGTATTTTATATGGTAAGTATAGATTTACCTAATTTTTTCAAGGTAAATAGTTTAAAAAATATAAAACTAGTAAATGCTCATTGCAAAAACAAATTGCTAAAAAATATCAAGAAGAAAGTAAACAGCACAAAAAGCCCTCCTTCTAAAGACAACCATTATTAACATTTTGGCAAACATCCTTTTTTTTTTTTTTTTGAGATGGAGTCTCGCTCTGTCACCCAGGCTGGAGTGCAGTGGTGAGATCTCGGCTCACTGCAACCTCCGCCTCCCTGGCTCAAGCGATTTTCCTGCCTCAGCCTCTGGAGTAGCTGGGATTACAGGCATGCACCACCACATCCAGCTAATTTTTTTTATTTTTATTTTAGTAGAGACGGAGTTTCACCATGTTGGCCAGGCTGGTCTCAAACTCCTGACCTCAAGTGATCCGCCCACCTCAGCCCCAAAAAGGTTGGGATTACAGGCGTGAGCCACCGTGCCCGGCCCAAACATCTTTTTTTACACACATATACACCCATATTTTTATATCAATAGTCTCAAATTATATATACACTGTTTTGGGACTTTTAAAAAAATTTCAGCAAGACCTTGTGGACATCCTTCCATGATAATACGCAGAGCATGAGATTATTCTTTTAAATGATTACATAATATTTTATTGTGAGAGCATAACTTTATTGAATTTATTTATAAACACTAGTGGCGAGCATCCATTTTTCAGCTTTTCACAATTAAAAACAACACTGTGATGAGCCATCCTTATATATGGATTCTTTCTGGAATAAGAAATAAATGGACTGAAAAATTAGAATGTACAATTCTAGAGGTCCCACGTTGTCAAATTATGTTCAGAAATGTGCACCGCGAAAAAGTCTAAAAGTTCAGCCAAGATTCACATGGGTCATTTCTGGGCAAAAGGACCAGGCATGATTTTGTTGTTCTTCCTATTCTTCTGTCCTCCTCAGCTTTTCTATTCTAAGTGTGTCCTTCGTTATGCTGATGCAAGTTGGCAATTTTACATTGCACAAGAATATATGGTTTTAATCCACGCAAGTGTCGCCTCTGACGATGCTCTCTTTCCAGTTCCTCCTGCACCACACTTGCTCTCATCATCTGCTACAGGGGAGGGACCTGCTAGCCCTGTGCCTAAGTTAGCACCAGCAGGAACCCACAGGTGTTCAGTGGGGAGTCGCTGACTGCCTTGGAGAAGCGTATTTGAGACAAGCTGTTAATGGCTCACGGTCCTAGGGTAACCCCCTCGGCTGGCACCTGCATTTAGGACAGCAGTGAGCCAAGCAGTTTCCAGCTTGTGGGAAAGAAGCTTTGAGGGGTCCCTAAGGGCAAGAAGGCCTTTCCTGGCTCAGTCCAATCAGATACCTGCTGTGGCTGTGCTTCTTCTGGCCACAGGTCCCTGTCTTTGTTGGTTCCCTGCACTGACCTGGCCAAAAGGAAGCTGCTTGCTTCTGGGCAGCAGCTGTCCCCTCCCCCAGAAAGTCTAAAAGGACACAGAGGACGTCTTCAGTATTTCCGTAGAGGTCACAAGCTAAGTGGGTCGCTGTCGCTGTTTTACGTTTGGTTGGTGCTGAGACACTTCCTCTTTCATTTATGTCTTATTCAGGCCACCTCCTCCATCCCCCTTGAAGACTGAAAAAGGGGAACTTGAAAGAAAAACCGAAAATTTCAGACCGAGCTATGGTGCAGGAGACCATGCTGTCATCCTGAAGCAGAGGCTGGGGACGTCACCAAGAGGATCACAGCATCCTCGAGGGTTCACTGAGGCCACTGCCCAGGCTTTCTTTTCTTTCTTTTTTTTAATAGAGATCAGAGTCTTGCTAGGTTGCCCAGGCTGATCTCAAACTCCTGAGCTCAAACAATCCTCCCACCTCAGCCTTCTAAAGTGCTGGGTTTACAGGCTTGAGTCACTATACCGGGCTGACCAGGGACTTTCTTCCTCCCCTCATTCGAACTTTCTTAGCTCCCACTCAAGTCTTCCTAAATGCTATGTGGTATTCTTAGGACTCCTAATTCCTAATTTTTCAGGAAGTGAAATGATATTCTTAAAGTAAAAACCAAAATCTGCTTTTGCTCAATTCTTTGAATTTACTGTATTTATATGCCATATATAGAGAGAGAGAGAAAGAGAGACAGAAAGAGTGCATGTAGATATACACACACAAATGTATACACACACACACACACACACACACACACATCAGATTGTGGTAGCTTTTGGAAACTCTCTAAGGCACAGAAAATAAGTTGCCTGACAAGACATCAAAGAATTGCAAAAGAGGCCACAGCCCCAAAGGCCTTACTGACTGCTTTGTGATTTGTAGCATGACTGCTGATAAGCATCTATTTGCTTCAGTAAATAGAAGTTGAATCATAACATTTGTTCCAGGAAACAGTAACTGAAGTCGCAAATCATAAATAATAAAGCATGAAAAATCTTCTTTTAACCTAATGGACTAAAAGATTTCTTGCTTTTTTCATTTCTGCTAATGGCCTCTCTCCCTTGGCACTGCCAGAGCTGGCCCATTAAAGGTGAATTGAGCCTCAGTTTGCAGGCAGGACGTGGTCCAAAAGATCATTTGTAAGTTGGTTGTTTGGATCAAAGAATGTGTTTTCTCCTAGAAACCGTTTTTCTCAGGGTGACTGGGTTCTCAGGTTCGCTCGCACAGTGCTGTTCAACTTCTACTGAAGCTGAGCTCTGGGTCTTTGAGGGCAGGTTCTCTGCAGTGCAGGAGGGAGAAATCAGGTCACCTGCTGCTCCTTTGCATAGAGACCTGGCTCTGAGCACAATTTAAGCATAAGTAGTTTTCTTTTCTACTTTCTCAACTCCCTTTTGGCGTCCAGGTCCAGGGCCGTAGTCCCTGGATTGCAGCACCCTTTCCTAAAGTGCTTTACCCACCTCTGGGCTGCTTGCCTGCTAAGGGGGGTCTGGGACCCCAAATTACCCACTATTCCTGCTTCCTGACCAATCAGACTTCCATTTCCTCAGAGCAGTTGATATCAGCTAAGGGCCAGGGGAAAAGCAAAAGGAGAAGATATGAATTCACACTAGTAGGTGAATCATGGAGAACCTCTTAACCCTCTTAATATCTTCTCATGTTAAAATGAATTAGTTGTGAGACTTGAGAGTCCTTGTGGCAGTATGGGTTAGGGATGAACACGGTGACTAAGGATTCGGAATTCACACACACATTAGTAGGACTCTTAGGCTCTTCACTGCACCTGCTTCCAGAACACTGGCAGTCAGTTAGGAAATGATCCTACTCTGGAAAAAAAATGCAATGGTCGCAGAGAAGAAACTTTCAAGTTCAGACACTGGGGAGAATCCCCTCAGTGAATAAGCTGATTATCTGCCAGATTGCCTCTGAGAATAAGCCACATTCATGCACACAGAACCCCCCACCAGTTTTTTGTGCCTCATAATGAAATCTTAACAGATAGCCAAAGATTACCAGATGTTTATGGAAAGTTCTAACATGAAACAAAAAGACCAAAACAGAGGAAACAACAGAACAAATCTTCAAAAGTAGTATAGTTACTATCTATAGAGAAATAAGAAAAGGCATTTTATCCATGAAATAGGATGTATTTTAGACTTTCAGGATGCCGTAACAAAATATGATACACTGGGTGGTTTATAAACAAAGAAATTTATTTCTCATGGTTCTAGGGACTGGAATCCAAGATCAAGGTGCTGATTTGGTGTCTGGGGAGGGCCTGCTTTCTGGTTCAGAGATAGTGTCTTCTTGCAGTGGCCTCACGTGGAGGAAGGGGTGAGCTGACTCCCTTGGGTCTCTTTTATAAAGGCACTAATACTATTCATAAGGGTTCCATTCTCATGGCCTGATCACCTCCCAAAGGTTCCCATCTACAAATACTATCACGTTGGGGGTTAGGTCTCAACATAGAAATTTGGGGGGACACAGACATTCAAACCATCGCAGGGTGCAAAATAAAATAATCATAACAAGAAAGGGATTTTGGCTATTGAAAAGCAGAATAGTTTAAAGTAAGTATTCAAAAGAAAAGATAGAAGATAATTTATAAAGTCTGGGCACAGTGGCTCACACCTATAATCCCAGCACTTTGGGAGGCCGAGATGGGTGGATCACGAGGTCAGGAGTTCAAGATCAGCCTGGCCAAGATGATGAAACCCCATCTCTACTAAAAATACAAAAAAAAAAAAAATTAGCTGGGTGTGGTGGTGGGTGTCTGTAATCCCAGCTACTAGGGAGGCTGAGGCAGAGAACTGGTTGAAACCAAGAGGTGGAGGTTGCAGTGAGTTGAGATCGCACCACTGCACTCCAGCCTGGGCAACAGAGCGAAACTCTGTCTCAAAAAAAAAAGAAAAGAAAAGAAAAAGAAAAAAAATAATTGATAAAAACTTCAGAATGTAGTACAAAAAGATGGAAAAAATGTGAGAGATAAGAAAATTTGAGGATCTATTCTGAAAGTCCAACATCCAGCAAGAATGGAGGGAAGGAAATTATCAAAAAAATAATACCAGAAAATTTCTCAGAATGAAAGGATAAGAGTCTCAGTATCAAAGGGCCTGCTAAGTGAGCCACAAAATGAATGAGAAGAAAGGTTCAGGCTAAGGCACATCTTTATAACCCTTCAGAACGCTAAGGATAAAAAGGAGACCCTATAATCTTCCTAAAAATAACAGATAACATACAAAGAACTAGGAATCAAAATGGCATTGAACATCTCAGTAGCAACATTGGAAGTCAGAAGAAACTGGAGCAAACTGTTTATAATTCTGAGGGGAAATGATTTGCAATCTAGAATTCCACACCAACTCAATAAATTCTCAATCAAGTATGAGGGCAGGATAAAAACATTTTCAGATGTCAAAGTTCTCAAAATATTTATCTCTATGTACCTTTATTCCAGAAGGTTCTGGGGATGTGCTACTGAAACCAAAGGAGTAGGCCAGGAAAGAGGAAGACAGAATTTAGTAATTTAAGAAACAGGGGATCCAACAGAGCAAAGTGTAGTTGCAGTCCTAGGAACAGCTATGCAGTAGGCCCATGGATGACCAGTATAGATAGGAATGTGGAGATGAGGGTACCCAGAAAAAAAATGTAACTAGTGTAAACGGGCCATGTAGAGAAGCATTAAAAAACAAAGTAAAGAATCAGAGAATCATAAAAAATAAGGCACATGCATGTTATATAGTTTTTTAAAAGAAAATAAATAATAGAAATCAAGTGATGATTAACTCTAGGCAAAAATAAAGAGGTTCTACAAGAAAGAAAGCATGGTCATAGTACACTACTTGGCTCTGTAGTACACAATGTTTGCATAATCATCATAATGTAAACACTGACCACCAGATTCAACCAAAATGTGTGATATAATCACCAGAGGAATGAGAGGTAGAAAGTATGATGTATGAGAGTTAAGTCCTCATCTCTCATGGCAATAAATTAACAGATGCTACCTAAAATCAAAAGATCAAGAAATCTCACTATACACACATTGTTGAGAAACATGGAGATAAATACCAGAAAAAACAGCCAAGGAGTTGAGAACAGTAGCCTCTAGGAAGTTGGCCTATGGGGTGGGGACTATTACTTTTCATTACAATGCTTTTAGTACTTCTTAGCTTTTAAAAATGTATATTTGGAATATTTTCATATATATAGTAATTTTATTATTTATTTATTTTTTGAGACCAAGTGTTGCTCTATTATCCAAGCTGAAATGCAGTGGTGTGATCTCAGGTCACTGCAACCTCTGCCTCCCAGGTTCAAGCGATTCTCCTGCCTCAGCCTCCCAAGTAGCTGGGACTACAGGTGTGTGCCACCACACTTGGCACACTTGGCTAATCTTCTGTGTGGTTTTTTTTTTTTTTTTTTTTTAGCAGAGACGGGGTTTTGCCACATTGGCCAGGCTGGTCTCGAACTCCTGACCTAAGTGATCCGCTTGCCTTGGCTTCCCAAAGTGCTGAGATTACAGGCGTGAGCCACTGCACCCGGTCCATAAAGTAATTTTAAAATAAAGTCAACAAATTAGGAAGACAAAGGATGGCTTGGTTGTTAATCTAAATGAATCTCTAGTTAGTGGTATGTTGGTGTAAGTAAAATTCAGAGACCATAGAAAAATAGATTGAGGAGCAGCTGAAAGCCTAGGCAGAAAGACAGAGGCAGAGAACCACCTAGAAAACATGGAGAAGCTGTTATGCCCAAGGGTCATTTGTATATTTAGGAATGCCTAAATATTAATACACTACTGACTTGTTAAATTGCTTTCTGACTGTAAAAGTAATAATACTTATTGTAGAAAGTTTGGAAAAGGCAAATTAACAAGTAAAGCAGGAGAGAGAGAAATCAAAACCACCAAATATCTCATTATTCATAGATTATTACTTATCAGCACTTTCTTTTTTTTTTTTTTTTGGACACAGAGTGAGTACAGTGGCACGATCTTGGCTCACTGCAACCTCCGCCACCCTGGTTCAAGTGATTCTCATGGCTCAGCCTCCCGAGTAGCTGGGATTTCAGGCGTGTGCTACCATGCCCAGCTAATTTTTGTATTTTTTAGTAGAGATGGGGTTTCGCCTTGTTGGCCAGGCAGGTCTGGAACCCCTGACCTCAGATGATCTGCCTGCCTCAGCTTCCCAAAGTTCTGGAGTTACAGTCATGAGCCACCATGCCCGGCCAAGCACATCTTTTTAAAACAAAAATAAGATTACAACATATAGGCCAGGCAAGATGGCTCATGCCTGTAATCCCAGCACTTTGGAAGGTGGAGGCATGCAGATGGCTTGAGCCCAGAAGTTCAAAACCAAAACAAGCCTAGGCAACATGGTGAAACCCCTTCTCTACAAAAAACACAAAACATTAGCCAAGTGTAATGGTGCATACCTATAATCCCAGCTACTTGGGAGGCTGAGGTGGGAGAATCACCTGATCCTGAGACGTCCAGGCTGCAGTGAGCTGTAATCACACTACTGTACTCCAGCCTGGGTGACAGAGTAAGGCCCCGTCCCAAAAAAAAAAAAAAAAAAATTACAACGTGTAAACATTTCTGTGTCACACTTTATTTCCCCTTAGCATTTCTCTAGGTCACTACTGTCTTTGAGAAATGATTTTTTTTTTTCTTGAGATAGTCTCGCTCTGTCGCTCAGGCCGGAGTGCAGTGGTGTGACCATGGCTCACTGCAACCTCTTTCTGCCAGGTTCAAGCGATTCTCCTGCTTCAGCCGCCTGAGTAGCTGGAACTACAAGCATGTGCCACCACACCTGGCTAATTGTTGTATTTTTAGTAGAGACCGGGTTTCGCCATGTTAGCCAGGCTGGTCTTGAACTCCTGACCTCAGGTGATCAGCCTGTTTTGGCCTCCCAAAGTGCTGGGATTACAGGCATGAGCCACTGTGCCCAGCTGAGAAATGATTTTAAATAGATGCTTAGTATTCTAACATATGAATGTACATGTAATTTATGGTCTATGATTAATAATTTATGCTTTTCCAGTCTCCAATAGCTGGATATTTTGATTGTTTCTAATTTTCATAATTATAAATAATATTTTGTTGACTATCCTTAACCATAAGTCTGTGAGATCTCTTATTGGGTCAATAGGTATGAACATTTTAAAAGCTATTAATACTCCATGTCAGGTTGTTCACCAGAAAGATTCGACCTGTTTATACACTCCGCCAGGACAGTCTACCATCATTGGACATTATCATCAAATACAACTTTTTAGTAACCATGTTAATGTATCACACAATCAAAAAAAGATCAAGGTTGGGGGGAAATTCATAAAATGGAATGCAAACAAAAATAAATGAACCTAACTATATTTCATGTTAATAACAATACTACACTGAAGGGCAGAATTGGGAGGGGGAACTAACCTAGGTAGGTAACTTGAACACAGTTATTTTAATATATATCCTCTGGCTATAAAGAACCTTAAATACATACTAATTGGTAGAATTGTTTTCCTGCAGTGCTATGGATTAGGAATTCTGAAATTATTTTTAGTACATATTCTAGTACAGAGCAAATAAATAAATAAATTGTGAATAACAGGAGCCAGGTTTCTCTCTACTGATGAAGGACATCATACATATGGAAAAATGGAAGGCTAGAATGAATGAACTCTGTGGTGTCAGGCTGGACTGGAATTGGAAATGTCAGTATGGACTCATGTTTTAGTTGTACTGTGGCTACTTACGAAAATGTGCTTGATTTTTGGGAATATACTATGAGGTATTTAGGAGTCCAGGGCATCATGTCTGCAACTTACTTTTTTTTGGAGACAGTCTTGCTCTGTTGCCCAGGCTGGAGTGCAATAACGTGATCTCAGCTCACTGCAACCTCCGCCTCCTGGGTTCAAGCGATTCTCCTGCCTCAGCCTCCCAAGTAGTTGGGATTACAGGCATGTAACGCCACACCCTGCTAATTTTTGTATTTTTAGTAGAGATTGGGTTTCACCATTTTGGCCTGGCTGGTCTCAAACTCCTGACCTCAAGTGATCAACCCACCTCAGCTTCCCAGAGTGCTGGGATTACAGGCGTGAGCCACTGCACCCGCCCCCGGCCTGCAATTTACTCTCAAACAGTTCAGGGAAACAATGTACATTTACATATAGAGAGAGACAGAGATAAAGACACAGAAAGAAAGAGAATGATAAAGAAATGAGGTAAAATGTTAAGTACTGGGGAATCTGGGTGAAGAGAATGCAGGGATTCTTTATACTATTTTTGCCACTTTTCTGTTAGCTTGAAATTATTTCAAAATAAACACTTTGGCCAAATTAGCAGGTAAGAAAACATTATTAGAGTGGTTTTCCTTTGAGTTCATTCATGTGTTCAATAAAGTTGAACACATGGATGTTAATGAACCATTCGGATTATATGGTTCATATTTTTTGCTCATTTTTATGTCATGGTGTTTTTCCGTGTTGATATGTAAAAGCTATTTTTAAACCCTTCATCTGCCGTATATGTTACATTTCTTTCCTGATTTCTGCCACCTTCTAATGTTGTTACCAACTTTCTTTTCCAACCTTGGGCCACTGGCATATACACTCATTTCTAAATATCAGAACTTGTAGTGTTCTTTGAAATGCAAACAGCCTATGGTTCATTTTGCAACTGCATATTAGTTAACAGGCAAAAATACCTTAGTAAGAGAAAGTGTCTTTTCCTTCTAATGAAAAAAAAAAAAAAAAACTAACCCCCCTGAAGCACTAAGGTGTTTATTTATTTACTTTTTTGAACAGGGTCTCACTCTGTTGCCCAGGCTAAAGTGCTGTGAATCATGGTTCACTGCAGCCTCGACCTCCCAGGCTCAATCCATCCTCCCACTTCAGCCTCCCAAGTAGCTGAGACTACAGGCATGTGTCACTACACCTGGCTTTTTTTCTAGAGATGGGGTCTCCCCCTATGTTGACCAGGCTGGTCTGGAACTCCTAGGCTCAAGTGATCCTCCTGTCTTAGCTTCCCAAAGTGCTGGGATCATAGGCATGAGACACCACGCCTGGTAAGTTTTTTTAAAAAAATAAATATTAGACCATGCAGAAACATGCTATCCTAAAATTTTTGAGCAAGTACAAAGTTCACGATTCAGAAATTTAAACAGTTTAAATGCAAAATGAAGTTCTTTTTAATGAATACCAAAAAACTGTCAGGAGATCGAGACCATCCTGGCTAACACGGTGAAACCCCGCCTCTACTAAAAATACAAAAAAAAAAAAATTAGCTGGGCGTGGAGGCGGGCACTGGTAGTCCCAGCTACTCGGGAGGCTGAGGCAGAAAAATGGCCTGAACCCAGGAGGCGGAGCTTGCAGTGAGCTCAGATACGCAACTGCACTCCAGCCTGGGCGACAGAGTGAGATTCCGTCTCAAAACAACAACAACAACAACAAAAAAAAAAAAAAAAAAAAAAAAAACTGACTGAAAATCTAGTGAATACCTTTTATGCTTCAGACACCCCGTATGAGAGTCTTTACCCTCAAGCATCTCGCAGTTGAGTAAGGGTGACATGTAAGAAATAGGTTCCAATCATTGTGACAAGGACAACTGCAGTATTATTACGTACACACAAGGCAATGAACAGGCAGAAGAGAAGTTTTGTCATGAGGCAGGATGAGGCTATAGAAGAGGTGACAACTAAGCTAAAGAAGCCACTCAGGATGTCAGAAGACAGCCGTTCAGTCAAAAACAGGCACAGTATCCAAAGGAACTCATTTGATCCCTAAAATTCTGCTAAGATGTGCTGTAGGCGGGGCGCGGTGGCTCATGCCTGTAATCCCTGCACTTTCGGAGGCCGAGATAGATGGATCACCTGAGGTCAGGAGTTTGAGACCAGCCTGGCCAGCATGGTGAAACCCCGTCTCTACTAAAAATACAAAAATTAGCCGGGCGTGGTGGTGCGTGCCTGTAATCCCAGCTACTCGGGAGACTGAGGCACGAGAATCGCTTGAACCCAGGAGGCAGAGGTTGCAGTGAGCCAAGATCACGCCACTGCACTCCAGCATGGGTGACAGAGTGAGACTTCGTGTCAAATAATAACAATAAAAGATGTGCTGTAATTGTGTCCGTTTTACAAACTAGTGAAGAAATGAAAAAGAGGTCAAGTAACTGGCACAGGTCCCACGCTAGTGAGGGTTTTGGGATTCAAGCACAGACCACCTTCGCCCCTATGCTACACCACCTCAGGCTGTCGGGAGATAGGCGCCCAGTCAAAAGGCACATAGAAGAAAGCCTACGACTTCTCAAGCATTGAAGCAGGAGTGGCGCATCGGTATGCTCAACTTCAAACTTTGAGAACAGTCATGGTAGGAATGCATTTTATTCAAGAATGGGTTCAGGTGAGGGTGGATATGGGCACTGGGTTCAAAAGACAAATTTGGAGATTTCATGATCCAGAAGGGTGAACAAATAAGGATGGGCTGAGGAGATCCTCGAAGTTGAAAGGTTCAAACACACAGAGTTAATGTCCTCTAAGGAGAGCCAACAAGGGGTTACAAGTGCTGAAGTCATCAAGAAAATGTGCCTGTCTTTCCTGGAGACTGGGAAGGAGAATTAGGATGAGGAAAATCCAGAGGATGGTAAAATGACTTCAAAAGAACTGAGGCCGGACGCGGTGGCTCACGCCTGTAATTCCAGCACTTTGGGAGGGAAAGGCGGGCGGATCACCTGAGGTCAGGAGTTCGAGACCAGCCTGGCCAAAATGGTGAAACCCCGTCTCTATTAAAAATACAAAAATTAGCCGGACGTGATAGTGGGCACCTGTAGTCCCAGCTACTGGGTAGGGTGAGGCAGGAGAATCGCTTGAACCCAGGAGGCAAACGTTGCAGTGAGCCGAGATTGGGCCACTGCACTCTAGCCTGGGCGACAGAGAGACTCCGTCTTAAACAAACAAACAAAAAGCAATAAAAAGAAAGAGAATGGCGAGGCCCAGAGAGATTGAACGTCCCACCCGAGGCCACAGAACTAGCTCAGCCCTAATGCTGGCCCCGCGGTGCCTTTCCGACCTCACTGCCTCTCCTGGCATCCGGGTCTCGGCCTCGGAGCGCCAGGGACGCCACGAGGACACGCCCCACACTTGCGCGTCTGGGTTCCAGTCCCCGCCGCCCCCAACAAATAAAGAAGGGAAAGTCCTTTGGGTGACTGCCCCAGGGAGCGCCGCGGCTGTACGACAACCTGCGGCGGCCGCCGACTCATTTGGGGGCTACGCTGGTTGCATTCGTCACGCCGGGACGCCTCTCAAACCCGCGGCCTGCCGAGCACGTTCCCACACGGGCGACCCTGGTGACGCGGGCGCGTCTGTGGCTCTGGAGAACCAGGCCGCGGAGCCCCGGCGAGGGCAGACGGGGAACTGGCGACTGCGGGGGCGGACGGCTGGGGCTTGTAGTCCCCTCGTGACCCTCTACTCAGGAAAAGGCGAGCCGCGGCCGCCGAACTCCAGCTCTGGCGCGCTCAGGGGCGTGGCGCGGGCGGGTCGTGAGTGGGGCGGGGCCCAGAGAGCGTGTGCGATGGAGCGGCGCGTCGCGCGGCGCGAAGGGGCGTGGCGCCAGTGGGCGTGGCGTAGTGCGAAGAGACGCGGTGCGCACGCGCGTGAGGGATGTCGCGGGTGAGTGGTGTCGAGGCCTGTTGGGTCAGGGCGGTTCGCAGGTGCTGTCAGAGCTGGGCGGGGCAGCCGGGTCGTAGAGGCGGGCGCCAGTCGCGGTCGGTGGAGAGGGATGAGGATGTAGGAGGGACGGACGTGGCGGAAGCCGCGGGGACTGCGGGGGCGGAGTGCCTCTGGGGAGCCAGGGAGGCCTTTCCAGAGGCTCCTGGGGGAAGAAGAGGCGAAGCGAGAGTCCCCGGGGAAGCCCTACTCCACCCCCAGCCGGAGCCTGGGTTGTGCCTGCACGGACCAGAGCCCACAGTGCGAGTTGCTGTAGGCAACCAGCTAGGGTGGCCAACTTCTCCCGGTTGGCCCGAGATGTTCTGGTTTTGGGACCACAGCGTCCCAGGCCTCCAGCCCACCACAGTGACCATATTGTGCGCCCCCTGCCCATCTTCTCCCGCAGCTTCCCTAGATTAGGCTTGGGAGGCAAGGGGAGGCCTCCTGACTTTTCTCACTGCCTTCGTTAATATAAAGATGAAGGCACACTCCACAACTTCCTTCTGGCCAGGCCCAGACATGTCTGTCCTTGTGAGATAAAAGCTTCCATGGGAGCCTTCCTTCCTAATCAAGGTAGGTAGACCACTGGAAGGTACATCTGGTTTTATATTTTGTCCTGTAGAAGTCAGATTTCAGCCCAGTTGTGTAGGAGTGAGGATGAGCTTATGCTCTTATCAGAGCTTTGAGTACAGAGACATTTGATCTGGAATTTCAGCCAGCCTCTTCAACCCCAGAATTCAGAGGTTCAATCAGAACAGACATTAGCTTAAGTTTTCCCATCAGTTGTCTATCATTAAACTGGCAAAATCTAGATAATTAGAAAATATGACAGAGATGATCCAGACAGAGATGTTCAGGTTTTTCCTTGTGTAATTCAAAAAGTCTCGTGGTGGAACATCTGACCCTTTTCAAGAGGAAGGATGAAAACTCTACATAGGAACACGATGTGAATGGAAGAAACCTGTCATTGTGAGTCTGGCTTTTGATTAGTCATCTGATGTCTTCCCTAATGTGATGTGACTAAGCCGTAGCTTCTCAGCCTGCAGTTAAATTGCAGAAATGATAGGGCTTACATTAGTTTTGTTTTTATTTGATGTTGAAGATCTTTGAGTCACACTAGAAACGAGGAGTATTTTTCATGTGGCACTAATGAGTTAATTCATAATATGATTTTTTGAGACAAAGTCTCTGTTGCCCAGGCTGGAGTGCAGTGGCACGATCACAGCCCACTGCAGCCTCGACCTCCTGGGCTCAGATGATCCTCCCACCTTAGCCTCCCAAGTAGCTGGGACTACAAGTGCACACCACCATGCCCGGCTAATTTTTTTGTAGATATGGGGTTTTGCCATGATGCCCAGGCTGATCTCAAACTCCTAGGCTCAAGTAATCCTTCTGCCTTGGCTTCCCAAAGTGCTGGGATTATAAGCATGAGCCACCATGCCAGGCCAATATTATTCCCCAAAAGAAGGAAATTGGGTGTGAGGTCCTGCTCCTATGGTCACCATGAGATTTTTTTGTTTGTTTTGGACTCTTGCCCAGGCTGGAGTGCAGTGGCACGATCATGGCTCACTGCAACCTCAGCCTCCCTGGTAGCTAGGACCACAGGTGTGCACCACTATGCCCAGGGAATTTTTAAGTTTTTTGTAGAGACAGGGTCTCACCATGTTGCCCAAGCTGTTCTCAAACTCCTGGCCTCAAGCAGTCCTCCTATCCCAAAGTGCTGAAATTACAGGCATGAGCCACCACGCCTGGCCACCACTAGTTTTTGTAATGGGAGCAGGTTCCATATGAGATGGAGGAATGGATTTCATGATTGTCTTTGTAATTTCTTAGGTCCCCAAGAAATTGATTGGACATGAGGAAACCACTCTAAGTGTGACCACTCTAAAGCATTAGCAGTCAGTCATTTCACTCTAGGGAGAAATCAGAGCTGTATATGGAGAATAGGTAAAGTCCCCAATATGGATATGTATTTTTATATTTGACTGCTTGTATTTTTTTGTTAGATGCAAATAGTACGGTATTCCGAACAGACACTAAAAATAGCTGTCATCTCAAAGAATCCAGTGCTTGTGTCACAGTATGAGAAAGTAGATGCTGGGGAACAGCGTTTAATGAATGAAGCATTCCAGCCAGCCAGTGATCTCTTTGGACCTTGCATTCTCCATCAGATTGGATCACCTCCCACCCTGAGGCCCCCCAAGACTTTGAACAGTTCTTCAGTCATCCTTACAGAAAGATACCCTCTCCAGACAAACGCAGTATTTATATACGGTCCATTGGTAAATACTGGTAATGTGCTAGTTTTGGTTCGGTTTTGCAATGGTTCTGTTGTCAGGAATAGTCCGGGCTATTGGTCTGATTCAGATGGGCCATTTTAGGATCATTTTTGATATTCATTGCAATGGTACAAGTTTTGTAGCCAAACAGACCTAGAACATTTTTTTTTAATTCATATCAACACCGATGAATGTTAAAGGTGTATTGAAAATTTAGAGTTGGTTTTGTTTCTAATTTGAATCCTCTTACTCATAGACTGGGTAAACACTGAATAATCGTCTTAAAGTCTGTTTTTAAATGTTCTTCCATATTATAGGATCTCTATGAAGCACCAGAATTATCAGTGAAGAATATATTAAATGGCTCACGGGCTACTGTAAAGCATATTTCTATCGCTTGAGAGTAAAACTGCTAGAACCAGTTCCTGTTTCTACAACAAGGTGTTCCTTTAGAGTCAATGAGAACACACAAAACCTACAAATTCATGCAGGTGAATTACACAACTTTGCAATTTGAACTGAGTAAAGGAAGCATATGTATATAATATACACTCATACATTTATGTATTTCTTCTTAAATAGGGGACATCCTGAAGTTCTTGAAAAAGAAGAAACCTGAAGATGCCTTCTGTGTTGTGGGAATAACAATGATTGATCTTTACCCAAGAGACTTGTGGAATTTTGTCTTTGGACAGGCCTCTTTGACAGATGGTATTCCGTTTTTGGCATTGTTGTTAGAAGCTTCTTCAACTTGAGAATATTTGAAGATGTTAAAAGAGGGAAAAAAATTCCAACCAAGAATCATATTGATATTTAAAACTATAGTATTTTCAGTTGAGACATTATGCCATAATGGGAAGTGTGCTGTTGGTAGATTGTGATAATCTAGGTTCTGGTTGGCCACTCACTACCTACAGGACCTTAAAGGTAACAATACCCACATCATGGAGTCATTTGGAGATAATTTACATAAAAGTGCCTGTACATAAAAAGTGTGGATAAGCCTGGACAACATAGTGAGACTACATGTCTACAAAAAATAAAAATTAAAAAAACTAAATTAGCTGGGCATGGTGGCACACACCTGTAGTCCTAGCTATGCAGGAGGCTGAGGCGAGAGGATTGCTTGAGCCCAGGAGGTTGAGGCTGCAGTGAGCCGTGATCGCACCACTGTACTCCAGCCTGGGCAATAAATTGAGACCGTGTCTCAAAAAAAAAAAAGCATATATAGGCCTGGCACATATATAGGCATTCAGCATAACAGCTAGTAAACGTCAGTAATTCAGTAGCAAGGTGAATTAAGCCAATTACAGTTTGAGCTATCATTAATGGATGTGAAAATCTTGCTAATTGTTTTTCAATTCTTTTCATAGTCATCTTGCACAGTTAGGATAGCCATAGACTAAGTGTTGCTTCTTTCTCATCATACGACATTTGTTTTTTGTTTGTTTTTTAATTTAAAAAGTAAAAACTTCCATCTTTGATTTGAGATACATAGTAAACATTGACTCATTAGGAACTCTGCATGGTAATATTGGGGATGGGAAAGGTTCACGAAACAGGTTATATTTTTAACCTTTTTTTGTCATCTCTCTACTTCTCCCCTCCCCTTCATTTTTGCTCTTACTTCTCTAACTTCATCCCCAATAATCCAAGACAGACTTGAAAGGGAAAAGGCCCCCTAAGGGGAGTGGTTCATTAGTGTTCTGGGGATGGGGAGTAAGTACAGGGACTATCCTGAGAGTTTATGGTCTGTCTGGATGTTACATTAGCCTTAGGATTTGTGTGGGGTGGTAAGCTTTTTGGGACAAATGTTTCTACTAGAGGTGGGGGCTGTAGGGCTATAGAGCCTCTTCCCACTTACTCGTTTATTCTTTATTCTCCATTTATGTGAGGTTTACTTGTGGCCCCCCATGGCCCTACCAACATGCAGTCTTGGAGACGTGGGTCACTACTCTCTTACTGATTTTGGTGGTGTGAGGTAGCTTTTTATCATAAGTTTTCTCTCTTATTATTAACCTGATAGAGACGGAAACATTAAAAATTAATTTTATCTACCTTTCATTTTTCTTTTGATACAGGGTCTCCCTCTATCACCCAGGCTGATCATGGGTCACTGCAACCTCAGCCTCCTGGGCTGAAGGGATCCTCCTGCCTCGCCTCAGCCTCCTGAGTAGCTGGGACCACAGGACCACCACACCCAGCTATTTTATTTTATTTTTTTTGTCGAGATGGGATCTCCCTGTGTTGCTCAAGCTCATCTTGAATTCCTGGGCTCAAGCGAGCCTCCCACCTCAGCCTCCCAAAGTGCTTTGATAAAAGGTGTGAGTCACCACACCCAGCTAAAAAAATAATTTTCAAACCATATGTTCGTTTATCTAGATATTACTAGCTAACTTATCTTATGTATTTGAGGAGGTCAGGAAACATTTCCCCAAACTGTTTTTACTTTAATTCTTTTTTTTGTAAGTTTCTTAAATATTACATGACATGAAAGATTTACATAGGAAAGTGGCAGGATTAGACAGTGACAATATCTTAACACAGTGGTCTTGTTTTCTCCAAGTTTACAAAGATTCATATTTTTAAATTGAGAAGCATTGACTACGAAAGAAAATAATCTTCTATTTGTAGGATTATTGGAAGAAAGAAATGTCCTTGCTGAAAGTATTACTGTAGTGAAATATGCTCACACTTGATTGGCCAGAGGGGGTTACTTGTGATACATGAATAGATTTAGTGTTTTCTTAACTTCTAGAATGCTATTTTCCCTAATTTTCGAATATCAGTCCACATTTTCTGGGTAAAGGGAGGTGAGGAAGTTGTTTTTGAATCAAATTAGATTGAACAAACCTACCATGGGTTATTTTCTTTAAAAATTTATTACTTTAAAATAAAAACTGAACGAGAGACATAAATAAAAGTGATCATGTAAACAAGTCGAATTGTGAAGCAGTACCCTGTAGGGTGAGTTACGTAGCAAACCGTGTTCTCTGTGCTTGCAGAGATGGTTGATATAACTCTAAATGTAACACAGGAAGTCAGTTACAAGGGTATTTATTCTGGTCACCAGACACTAGTGACAGAATAGAGTTGAGCTGCTCTTTAAAAAGGGGGTGGGGGTGGGGAAGGGGACGAGGTTATTCTGTCTAAAGCCGTGGTTTAAAGCATGGGCTTCAAGACATCAGGGCAGTTGTCCTCAGTCAGTGCTGCGTGAGGGAAGGCCAGCAACCCCTCCAGGCACACGTGTAACAGATCTGTTTAGCGTGTCCTTAAAGAGTGAAATCATGACTGCCTATTGTTGATGTGATTTATTTTATTTTATTTGTTTATTTATTTATTTATTTATTGAGATGGAGTCTCGCTCTGTCGCCAGGCTGGAGTGCAATGGCGGGATCTCGGCTCACTGCAACTCCGCCTCCCGGGTTCAAGCCATTTTCCTGCCTCAACCTCCTGAGTAGCTGGGATTATAGGCGCCTACCATCATGCCTGGCAAATTTTTGTATTTTTGTAGAGACAGGATTTCACCATGTTAGCCAGGCTGGTCTTGAACTCCTGACCTCAGGTGATCCGCCCACCTTGGCCTCCCAAAGTGCTGGGATTGCAGGCATGAGCCACCATGCCTGACCCATGTGATTAGTTTTTGTGGTTCCTTTTTGAGTACTTGATTTGGAGTACTTGCTACTTTCAGAAAAAGACTTCTTTTGTGGGAAAAGACTCTGAAACTTCAGTTTCTCAAGTATTTGACCTCCAGCCCATTAAGTTTTACAAGACAAGGCATGGTGGATAGCAGCAAAGGATTTTGATAGGGAAATCTGGGGCTTCTTCCACTTGGAAGAAGCTGACCGGCGCCCTCTAAACCTTTGCCCTATCTGTTTGCACAAGTTGCAGTGTGCTGTTATTGGCTTCAGCATTGTAGAAAGATATAAAGTAAGTTGAGGGATGGATAGTGTAAAGAGGGGGAAGTGGTTATCTGAGTAGCAAACTGATGTATCTATTATATCCTTCTCTAGAGTTATAATTTATCAGAGGAAATTAGTGTAAAGATAAGCAGGAAGCTGTGGTTTAAAAACATGCGAAGAAATGCCCTTCTTAAAAACTTCAGCTTGCCTTAGAGTGATTTATGCTTACAGTTCAATGAGAAATAGTGGAAGAAATTTTCTGCTTCTCTTCCATTTAGGGCAAGAGAGCTTGACTTTGCAAAACTGAATAAATATTGATATGTGTGGCAAAGTTCATTTTTTAAACCCTATAAGTGTGAGGACAGGATTTATCTTTCCAAATATGGGACAGAGGTATGATGTTCATTAGGAGGAAAAAAGTGATTTTCTTTAAAAAGGAAGAAGGAAAGTACCTAATCTCAGTATGTGTGTGTGTGCCCACACTTGCCCACAAACATCAATATACATTCATGTGTTTACTCATGGGTATGACTGCATTCAGGTGACTGCACAGAAATGTCTACACATGTGTTTTCACATACATATGTCTACCCATGCCTGTGTGGACACTTATATATGTATATACATACATGTCAAATTAATATAATGCCTTGTAGAATATTCAGCAAGTTGAGAAAAAATATCCTATCATGCTAGAAACAAAGTATAAGAATGAGTGTATTTCTTTTTCATCTTTTTTCAGTGCGTACTTTTGACATCATTTGTAATTCTGTGTGTATTTGGTACGTGCCATTTCACTCAGTATATCATTAGCATTATTCATATTCACAGCATCATTATCAAATGCAGCGTCTTCATGGGGTAATATGTCACCCTATGATCTAGAAGCCAATGCTTCTCTCTTGCCTGATGGTATTTTGCTGTGGTTTGTTGAAGTGCGCATCTTTCAATGCTTTTCCAGGCACTGGTGAGGTGGATTGATGATGAATCTTCTGGCACACCTGGAGCAACTCCAGAACACAGTCGTGAGGATAATGGGAATTTACTGAAACCCGTGGAAGGAAGCCTTTAAGGAATGGAAAGAGTGGATAATAAAATGCCTGACTGTTCTCCAAAAATAAGGACCTTCAAATAGGAGTGATTGAAATAAATGACTACTTGCATGTTATGCTTTCATTTGGGTGGAATACTTCATCAGAATAAACTATTGATCTTGTGCTGTGTCAAAGTAACAGACTAGAACCTTCTTTCAAGTACCTGAATTGAAATGAAACTCATTTTGAATAATAAAAACTCTAGAAACTCTTTATCTTCTCATCTTACTGGCCTGGTCTGTGGCAGCAAGCACATTATTTCCATTCCCCAAATATGTTTAGGTCTCCCAAGAAAGCTGGGACTGGCGGTAATGAGCAAGTAAATAACTTGAAAAAGAACTGTAGATGCCCCAAGGAACCAACCAACATAATTTCCAGGGGGTGATTTTGTTTTTAGAAGAGCTGCTCCCCTCTGTTAGGGCCAGCCAAGTCACATTTTTGGACGTCCGTGGACTCTGATCACCACAGCCCTCCTCTTCCGTGAGCCTTCCTTACTCTCTCGAGTGCATTAGCTCATTTTTTTTCTTTTGCTGGTTGTCACCTTATTCCTGTTTTAGTTTTTAGCAGCTTAAAATACGACCTCTCAGGAATATTTGCAAGTGAAAATAACAATGGTCCTTACACTACCACAACATTTGGTGGTGGGAGTTCCGTTGCAGGTCTCAGCTATAACATAGTCATTTATGAGGGATCTTACAAATAGTGTGTAATGGTATTTATATTTGTGAGTGTTACACTTTCTCTATAGACTTAGAGCAGCTTTCAGGTTTATTTCAGTAATAATGTCTTTCTCACCTTCTCACATTGTGAAGTGTTTACCTGAGTCAGGGAGAGAGTTTAATGGGGTTATCTGTCGGGGTGCCATGAATGCTGATGATGGTCTGCAGGTTGTGAACATCAGCCCCATTGCTACAGGGGTGGACAGGTGGAAAAGCTCAGACTTGACAAACCACCTCTGCTAGATAGATGTGTCTTGGAAATCCAGAAATTACAGTGAATATTTTATGGAATGCCAGTGAGCAGACAGCATTTCCCACTTTCCTATCTTACCTTGAGGGTAAGACTTAAAGGTATTTTTTTTTCTTGTAATTTGAAGCCTAAATTCTTTGATTGTTTGATGTATGCAATATGATGTAAGGCACATTTTATACCCCTAGTCAGTGGTTTCCCTTGGATTCATTCTCCTACTTGATTGAACCCATTTAAGTCATTTTAGGAAATGGTGGTTTGCTATTAAAATTAATTGGAGAGAATACTTGGTCATTCTGTTAGCAAAAAGAGACTGATGGAGCATGGTGTTTTATGGATTCTGTTACAGGGCTTATTCCTCCTTGAATAATGTGCTTTAAAAATTATTGTCCATTCGATTACATTTTCTTTTATTTTCCTACAATGTAAGCACGGTTTTAGTCCTGTAGGTCAGCCTTTCTCACAAACTCTTTTGAACTAAGATTTGCCTAGGTGAATAAATTGGGGATGACGGTTGTCTGGAGAAGATATAAGGTCCATTTGTGAATACTCTGCACTATGAGACCAGGAGAAAAATCATCTAAGAAATCGTTCACTCTTGCTAAAAACTGAACTAAATTTTATATGATGCATTTATTCAGCAATCATAAGTGCTGTGCATAACTATTGTACATATTTTTGGACAATTTCTTAGGGTTCAGCTTAAAAATATAATTTGCCTACTGCAACTAAATTTTATGTACTGTGGTTAAATCTTTGTAGTTTTAGAAGATAATTTTCACTAAATAAATCCAAGCAGATTTTGCTCTGCAAATGCTGAATGAAGTATTGAACTAATAAAAAGGATTAATAATTTTCTACTGTCTAAATAATCTTAGAAATCAGTGAATTTGATTCATTTATGTCGTAGATCCTGATCCCGTTTACCTGTGGAGTTAATATCTCTCCAGTCAAGAGATTTTTCAGGCCTCAGACTTTTAATGGTGAGGGTTAAATAGAAGAATTTGGCGAGGATTACCCGTCGGTTCTTGTCCAGCTTGCTTTTTGAAGCACACATTCCCCTGATATGAATAATTTACATTTCAAGCCCTACGAGGGACAGAGGGCCGCGTTGCTCCCTCTAGGGAGCAGCAGTGCTAAAATCGAAGCAGGCAGCTGCGGGACCGCTATAGCCGGCCCTGCGCTCGGGCCCTTCCCGGGCAGGAAACGCGTCGCTGTCCCCGGCTGCGCCCAGGCCAGCGGGCACAGCAGCTGCGAACCGCCGGCGCACCACCTGTTTCCGCGCCCGGGGACTTCCCCGGCGGGGCTCAGAAGTGTGGGGTCGGTCGCTTGGCTTCCCCTGGCGTCGGCGACCCAGGGTAACCTCCTCCACTGCTGCGTGCCGTGCAGGCCTGCCTGTGTGAGAGCCACGTGTGCCGCGCTCTGGGCACAGCCTTGGAAAGTCAGGACCGCGACGGCAGCAGAGCAGTGAGTGGAATTAATTCTCAAGTAGAGCATTTAAAAAGTGCTTCATTGAAGAGTTTGAATCTCAGTCACTTTGTAGATTCGGATATCTAGAATGGCACCGTCCAATAGAAATATAATACAAGCCACCTATGTAAGCTTAATGTTTCTAGTAGTCGTATTAGCAAATGCATAAAGAAGCAGGTGGAGTTAATTTTAATAGTATATTCTATTTAATCCAGTGCATCCAAAATATTATTTCAATCAATATCAATGCTGAATATTTTATATCCTTTTTTTTTTTACCGTCTTCAAATTCCTGTATGTATGTTACACTTGCAGTACGTCTTACTTCCAACTGGCCACATTTTCAAGTGCTCAACAGCCCCATGTGGCTTGTGGCTACTGTATTGGACAGTGCAGCTCTAGAGCAGTACCCAACTCTAGTGTACCTGGAAAAATGTACCCGTGGTATTGAGTTACTAGGAGAGGAAGGCTTATTTCAGGAAAAGGTCATGTAAATCTTCTGTCAGTACAGCCGGTGCTGACATTCAAGCTGAAAGGGTGTATGTAGACACCGTTTAATGTCTACATTAAAGGCCTCTGGCTTCGGTGTTAACTTGTTTCTTTAAAAGCTTGATACTGTTCTCTGTTGCAGCTTGTTTTTTACCCTCCCGTCTTCATTTTCAAGGGCCTGGTATTGTCTTCAAATGCATTTCCATTTTTGGAAAGCGGAGTCGTAAAGCATTAATAATGTGGAGATTGTTTAGTCCATTTCATGCATGAGGACACAAGCCTGCAGCAGCCGAGTAAACTTGCGTGTCATGTAACCAATGGCAAAAATGGGATCAGATCCCAATTCTCCCTAATGCTGAGTTATTCGTTATTTTCACTGTGCTACATGACCTCATTGAAGTAAAATATCACCGGCGAGAACCTAACCATTTTTCCCCCAGGTTGTTTACAAGGGATTATACACGATTAAACTTTCAATTTCTTTTCTGTTCAAGTAGAGCCATCTGGGGTTGCTCAAAGTTGGAGAAATCAGTCTATGTACAGTTCTGCCTTAGTACCAAAAAAAGAGAGGTGCGATATTTATTTATTTATGAAATAGGGTCTCGCTCTGTTGCCCAGGCTGGAGTGCAGTGGCATGATCACGGCTCACTGGAGCCTCCACCTCCCATAGTCAAGTGGTCCTCCCACCTCAGCCTCCCAAGTAGCTGGGATTACAGGTGTGCACCACCATGCCCGGTGTATTTTTTTTATTTTTAATTTTTAGAGATGGGATTTTTTCCACATTGTCCAGGCTGGTCTGGAACTCCTGAGCTCAAGCAATCTGCCTGCCTTGGTCTCCCAAAGTGCTGGGATTACTGACGTGAGCCACCGTGCCCCGCCAAGAGTTGCAATATTTAGTAAAGCTCTTGCGACTAGTTGAGGCATTAAAAGAAAGCATTATGAAAAAAAATGTCTACTGGAAAATAGTTAAAACAAAATCTATTGGGGCAATATGTTCAAACTCACAGACTGCCATACTTAACCCAGTATTGATTTCATCCCACTGTTTTCTTTAGTGTCTGCTCATGGATCAGTTTTTTCTTCTTTACAACTGACCCACCCATGTAGTACACTACTGCTGGGCAGTCTGAGATCCATCCATCCTCAGATGCTGAACCGGTGGGTTCTCGGCACAGTGCTTTCAGTGTCCTGTGGTTATCCAGCTGTTTCATAGCAGCAAAGACTCTCTTGAGCTGTAACTGTCAATAGATATCTTTTTCTTCTCTTGTGTAACTAAAGGGGAAAAAAGTCTATAACTCATTCATTCATGTATTTTTCATTCAACAATATTCATGGAGCACCACCTACTGGGTGCCAGGCCCTGCTCAAAGCCTTGGGAATACAGCAGTGAACAAAGAACTCCTACCCTAATACACTAGTGGATGAGACAGAGAGTCAAGGAGTAAACAGATGCTTTATTTTATTTTTATTTTTAATTTTTTTTGAGACAGAGTTTTGCTCTGTCATCCAGGCTAGAGTGCAGTGGTGTGATCTTGGCTCACTATATCCTCTGCCTCCTGGGCTCAAGTGGTCCTCCCGCCTCAGCTTCCCAAGTAGCTGGGAGTACAGGCACGTGCCACCGCACCTGGCTAATTTTTGTACTTTTTGTAGAGAGGAGTTTTACCATGTTGACCAGGCTGGTCTCAAACTCCTGGGCTCAAGCAGTCTGCCCACCTTAGCCTCCCAAAGTGGATGCTGTTATAACCTAATGTCAAAGTAAACAAATAGAAACAAGTACCATTTTGAATAGGATAGACAGGAATGCCTCCCTAGGGAGGTAGCATTTGGAAGTGATCAAATTGAAGGGTCACACTGCATATACATCTCAGGCAAGGGAGTACCAAGCAAAGGAAACCACAAATGCCAAAGCCTGAAGCTTGCAACAAGAAGAACAATTCCAGAAACAATAAGAGAGGCTGGGTGTCGTGGCTCACACCTGTAATCTCAGCACTTCGGGAGACCGAGGCAGGCGGATCACCAGTTCAGGAGATTGAGACCATCATGGCTAACATGGCAAAACCCCATCTCTACTAAAAATACAAAAAAAAAAAAAAAAATTAGCCAGGCATGGTGGTGGGCACCTGTAATCTCAGCTATACTCGGGAGGCTGAGGCAGGAGAATCACTTGAACCCAGAGGTAGAAGTTGCAGTGAGCCAAGATTGTGCCTTTGCACTCCAGCCTGGGCAACAAGAGTGAAACTCCATCTCAAAAAAAAAAAAAAAGTGGGGGGGCTGGGCGTGGTGGCTCACGCCTGTAATCCCAACACTTTGGGAGGCCAAGGCGGGCGGATCATGAGGTCAGGAGATAGAAACCATCCTGGCTAACATAGTGAAACCCCGTCTCTATTAAAAATACAAAAAATTAGCCGGGCGTGGTGGCATGTGCCTGTAGTCCCAGCTACTTGGGAGGCTGAGGCAGGAGAATTGCTTGAACTTGGGAGGCAGAGGTTGCAGTGAGCCGAGATCATGCCACTGCACTCCAGCCTGGGCAACAGAGCGAGACTCTATCTCAAAAAAAAAAAAAAAAAAGCCAGTGGGGCTAGTATAACAGGAGCAGAGGGAAAAGAAATACCATCGGGCAGTTCACGCAGGGCTCATTGCCAAGGATTTATGTCAGACTTGTGCTGTAAGAAGATTACTCTGGCTACTGTATGGAAAATTAAGATGGGGTGGCATGTTGCAAGAGTGGAAGCAGGCAGGCCAGCTAGAAGACTACTGTAA
Source organism: Homo sapiens (assembly GCF_000001405.40). NCBI lineage: Eukaryota > Metazoa > Chordata > Mammalia > Primates > Hominidae > Homo > Homo sapiens. The sequence goes on along the minus strand of NC_000017.11, from coordinate 64,962,560 downwards.
TAATCCAGCTAAGATGATATTGGCTTGGATCAAGGGTCCTGATGCAGTTGGCAGAAGCAGTCAGCTCCTGGATATATTTAGAAAGGAGAGCCGATTGGATGTGTGGAGGAGTGGGTTTGAGGAGGAAGATCCAGAGTTCTGCTGAGGACATTTTAAGTTGAAGATGCTTAGTTTATATCCATGCCCTGCCATGCAGGCAGATGTAAATCAGGAGCTCAGGGACAAAGTTGAGACTAAGAATGGGAGGTGTCGATGCAGAGAAGGTACTTAAAGTTTTGGTTGAATTCCAGGGTGTATAAGTTGTTAGGGAAGTTAGCGTGCTTGTTCTTGAGTTGCTGGAAAGGCATATAAATGACACAAATACATGGCCACAATATGTATTTTCTCAATAATATTTGGGGAAATGTTCTGGGCATCAGGTTTCCCGTCTAACTTTCCCTGTAGGAAACGGATAGTCATTGAAGTAATTTTGATTTGGGTGAGTTGTTACACGGATAGCGAAGTTGTAAGTTCTCTTGCCACTTTTCTTGTTCTGCACCTTTCGAGAGTCATTATGAGAACTGAACACTAGGGGGACCCAGTTTCCTTACTTATGCAACGGCGGCTGGCCCAGCTGTACGCTACGATCGCCCTCACTTAGGACACATGCAATATAAACACAAATCTGAAAACAAGGGCAGCTTCTCTTTTCTCAATGCAATGTATATTTATAGCAGTGATCATTTTTGCATGTAACATGTCTGAATTCCTTAAATAGGTCATTTTAAGTAATGTGCATAACCATTACAATTTTTCTTTTTTGAGACAGGTTCTCACTCTTTGCCAAGGCTGTGTGCAGTGGTGCCATCTGGACTCATTGCAACCTCTGCCCCCTGGGCTCAAGTGATCTTCCCACCTCAGCCTCTCGAGTAGCTGGGACCACAGGCATGAGCCACCACACCTGGCTAATTTTGGTTTCACCATGTGGCCCAGGCTGGTCTTGAACTCCTGAGCTCAAGCAATTCACTCACCTTGGCTTCCTGAAGTGCTGGGATTATAGGGATGAGCCACCACACCTGGCCACCGTTTAAAGATTTAAAGGCAATGGTTTCTAAACTCTAGTTCCTTGTGAGCCCCATATTTGCAAACTTGTGAAAATAAGGATCATGATTTCTTATTTTTTATTATTATTATTATTTTTGAGATGGAGTCTCACTCTGTTGCCCAGGCTTGGGTGCAGTGGCGCGATCTTGACTCACTGCAACCTCCACCTCCCAGGTTCAAGTGATTCTTCTGCCTCACCCTCCCAAGTAGCTGGGATTACAGGCGTGCACCAACATGCCCGGCTAATTTTTGTATTTTTAGTAGAGACAGGATTTCACCATGTTGGCTGGGCTGGTCTCGAACTCCTGACCTCAAGTGATCCACCCACCTCGGCCTCTCAAAGTGCTGGGTGGGATTACAGGTGTGAGCCACCATGCCCAGCTGAAGGATCATGATGATTTCTAATTTACAATAGTTGAATTGGAGTATGGAAATCTAAATCTAATAAATACCACCTGGTGATTTGAATCTGTGCCACAAGAATGCTGACATAGAATCCATTTTCTATTTTATCACCAGGTATTAAGCAAAGGGAAAGGCAAATAAATGCTCAAAAGCTACATTACATGCTATTGGAGTATAAAATGTATAACTTTGTTAAAAGGTTTGGACACATTTTGTATTAGTTACGGATACATAGGTCTTAAAAGAGTACATGATCTTAATTCTTTTTTTGAGACGGAGTTTCGCTCTTGTTGCCCAGGCTGGAGTGCAATGGCGCAATCTCGGCTCACTGCAACCTCCGTCTCCCGGGTTCAAGCAATTCTCCTGCCTCAGCCTCCCGAGTAGCTGGGATTATAGGCATGTGCCACCACGCCCGCCTAATTTTGTATTTTTAGTAGAGACGGGGTTTTTCCATGTTGGTCAGGCTGGTATTGAACTCCCGACCTCAGGCGATCCACCCGCCTCGGCCTCCCAAAGAGCTGGAATTATAGGCGTGAGCCACTGCGCCCGGCCCAACTCATTTTTATAACTAGAATAATTTTAGTTTTGGGGAGAGAAAGTCTACATAAGGTTTATACTGAAACTTCTTGAAGTCAACAATCTTAAAGCAGAATCTTTTTAATCAGGAGAAATGAAAACATAATTAACAGCCTGGTGTGGTGGAGGTGGAGGTTGCAGTGAGCCAAGATCGCACCACTGCACTCCAGCCTGGACAACAAGAGTGAAACTCCATCTCAGAAAAAAAAAAAGGAAAAAAAAAGAAAACATAATTAACAAATACGTTAGCTATAATGCCAAGCACGGTGGCTCACACCTGTAATCACAGCACTTTGGAAGGCCATGGTGGGCAGATCACTTGAGGTCAGGAGTTCAAGACCAGCCTGCCCAACATGGCAAAATCCTGTCTCCACTAAAAATACAAAAATTAGCTGGGTGTGGTGGTGCATGCCTGTAATCCCAGCTACTTGGGAGGCTGAGGCAGGAGAATTGCTTGAACTCGGGAGGTGGAGGTTGCAGTGAGCCAAGATCGTGCCACTGCACTCCAGCCGGGGTGACAGAGCAAGACTCTGTCTCAAAACAACAACAACGAAAAAGTGTTAGCTGCTTGATCTTTCCTATTTTGGGGCAGTTATGATCTAAGAATTACTTTGACCACAATGAATCCTTTCCCATGAGTCAGGACTGTTAGTTTTCAGAGCTTTGCTTCTGGTGGTACTGATCTGTGCCAGTGTTACAGATATGTGGTGAAGGAGCTAGAATTTTTTTTTTTTCAGCTTGAGAGCTAATTGTGTGTGTGTGTGTGTGTGTGTGTGTTTAACATTTTTATGTGATTGAAAAAATATATATTTCCTGTATGAAAATCTTGTGAAATTCACATTTCAGTATCCATAAATAAAATTCCATTGAAACATTGCCACATTCATTCATTTATATATTGTCTGTGGCTGCTTTTGACCCTCAATGGCAGAGTTGACTAGACAGAGGCCTCATGGCCTGCAAAGCTTTAAATATTTACTATCTGGACCTTTACAGAAAAAGTTTGCCAAACCCTGGCATGTAGAGTCTGTGCTGTTTACTTACAGGTTGCAACAGTTCTTGGAACGATTCTGTAACTGGTTGTAGTCTTTAACTATTTGCCGTTATGACTTTTGATAGGCTTACTCTGGCTACCATGATATCATTTCATTCATGTATTTTTCATTAATAATTAAATACCATCGCTGCTTTCATTCTTAATTCTTAGATGAAAACATGCTTCTTCATTTGATTATATTGTTTAATTTTTATTTCGCTCTCCTGTTATTCATTACTTAATATTTCCCTTGAATTATTTAGTCTTTTTCTAAGGTGCTGTAATTTGCATGAAAAACTCAACATAAAATAAAATTGTCCTGCTTTCAATGACCAGAAAAAATGATTTAAAAGTTCAGGCCACACACGATGGCTCACACCTGTAATCCGAGCACTTTGAGAGGCCGAGGCAGGTGGATCACCTGAGGTCAGGAGTTTGAGGCCAGCCTGGCCAACATGGTGAAACCCCATCTCTACTAAAAATACACAAAATTAGCCAGGCGTGGTGGCGGGCACCTGTAATCCCAGCTACTCGGGAGGCTCAGGCAGGAGAATCACTTGAACCTGGGAGGCTGCAGTGAGCTGAGATTGTGCCATTGCACTCCAGTCTGGGCAACAAGAGTGAAACTCCATCTCAAAAAAAAATACTAGTAAATATAAATAAATAAAAAGTTCAGTAGACACTTCTTGGGAAACTTTATGTGTCTCTAGTAGAGTTAAAAGGTTTTGCAGAAGATAAACGTTAAAAAATTATTTATTTGGAGTGAATCTTTGGTGAGTTTTTATAACTTTAATTGCATCAAATACTGAATGCTGTGAGAGTCAATAAAAAAATCTTATAACAGAAGAAAATCAGTATCTTTAAATAAAAAAGCCATAAATGTATTGCAAATCTAGAAGTACCAGAATGTCACTAATACAGAACAAATCAGCAATCTTGTTTTTATTTTCTTCCAAACATTTAAAACCTTGATTATTGACATACTGAAATTGGCATGCATTCTCTTTTCATGCAGGTAACAGAATAGACATGGAGCAGATCCCTCTGAAATCAGTTATAAATATTAAATTGTATTGAACATTCATAGTAAAAATACGTTGTAAAGTGCTGAAGTCATGTAAGTCTGCAAAACTGCCACAAGCTCAAAGTTCTTCTCAAGCAGTGGCAGAGATTTGCTATATCCACCTTGTTTTAGATTATGCCTGTTTTTGACAGACACTGTGTCATTTCCTCCCCCACCCTCCCCAAAGTTTTATAGATTGTCCTATTTCTATGGCTGGTAAGATGCTCTACAAAATGTAGCAGGTGGTGATGAACTATGCCACTTTCATTTCAGTGCAGAGAAATATTCAAGCTTGTGTGTACCTGTAACCAAACTAGGCTTGTTATGTTTTTCCCCCGAGTTGTCATAAATTAACATTAATGATGAGTAAAGATGGAGCAGCGAGCATTGACCGTCACCTGCAGGGTGAGATTGCAGTAAAATAGGTGAGTAAAAAGTCCACCTATTATCCTGACACTTGTCCTCTTTACAGAAAACTGTAACGTGAGCAATACTATACATGTAGTGTGACTCCAAAAATAAAAAATAAAACAAACAACAACAACAACAACAAAAAAACAATGACCAGTTACCCGATACCTCTGGCAACTTAGAACAATCAAGTTGTGAGTTATAGAAGATGTAAATTGCAACTTGTAACTCGCTATAACATAAATGTCTCTGTTACCCCCATGTGAAATACAGAAATGCTTCAACAATTAGATGGTTTTTTCTTTAAATCAGAAATGCTTTAACAGTTCAATGAAATATAATTCTGATCAAAGAAGTTCCTCAAGTATTCTTAGATGATAAAACAAATTATTTTTGAAAGCTAAGGTGATTTGCTATCCGTTATTTTTTCCCCTTTAAATAGCACATGTTGCCCTTAATCAAATGGAAGAATCATGACAACTTGGCCTTTTATGAAAGTATTTTTTACAAGATAAGACGTATTCTGTGAGGCATTTAAAGGACTGCAGAAAGGAGGTAAAAATGCTGCTTATGTCTCAGATTTTATTTCTTTTGATTAATCATCCTAGAATAACTTAATAATAAATAGCGGTTTAAATTAAAGACACTACAGTCACATATTTCTGTATAACTAAAAGCAACAGGAAACACATTTTTAAATGCCATTTTGTATATTCTGTACTGAAACACTTCTGGTAAGGACTGGCCATAAAAAGAAGTGGTAATCTTCACATTTATGAAGTTCAAGTTATATATGTACTTAAAATTTGCTTATTAGTAAAATGTTTGGTCTTAAACTATACTTCATTTCCAGCAAGCAGAAGCCATAATTTGTTAATGGGAACCTCAGTATTTTACAAAGGGTTTAACAAAAACCATTTATTCATATTTCTGAAAATTAGGAATTTTTTAAATGATTGAAGTCTTTTTTTTTTTTTTTGACTGGCCAATTTCATTTCAATGACCTGGGTTGGATGTTGTTTTATTCAAGATAGTAGTTTATTCTGACAAGACCATACGAAGAAAGAAAAGAAAGAAAGAAAATCATTTATCCCATGTGAAAGCTTTTAAAACCACTTTGCCAGTTCGTGTCACTATTTTAATATTGGAATGTGAACCAAAGAGTCTTTCTACATATCTTTTGTATTGCTACTGAATACAGCCAGATTTATATATGGAAGAGTGCTTGGTTGTTTTTTGTTTTGGCTTTAAAAACAAGCAAAAAGGAAAACTTAAAACAAAAGCGATGTTGGTAGTGCTCTTCACATACACATTCCCTTTAAAATGTAGTTTTGAAAGTGGAGTAGAGGGGTTAGCTCCTCTACCTCCTTGTGTCTCCGTTGGGCCCACCCCATCCCTCTCCAGCCAACACAGTGGCTGTTGTTGTAAGAAAGTGTGTCATACCGGCTCCATTTGCACGTGAACTCTGTGCTCATTTTTTGCAAGATCCATTTCCAGAAAGTCTTCAGGTATGTCCTGTAAAGTCTTCCCACGATGGCTCACTACCTTTGTTTCACCTGAGTGATGATGCTGGCACAGTCCCATCTTACACGGTCTCACCAGGGCGAGGCACACAGCAGCCAGGGCCATGCCAGCTGCGCAGGAGTAGAAGGCCCTGCTGTAGATCTTACTTTGGTCCACCAACAAACCTGGAAGAGAGCATGGCGTCCGTTAACAGCATCCTTCCTAGACATAAGCCCCTCACCCAGGCGACCATCCCATTCAGAAGCCTCTCAGTTTCATTGCCTTCCTTGTTTTCTTTTGTGTTTCTAAAGAAAAATGGGTGTTAAGGGCAGAAATCTTTACTAGACTGGAGAGGAGAAAGAGACAAACACCCAATATACTTGTTCTTCTTGGGCTAAGCCTGTCCTAGCAGAGGACCTAAAACCTGGGACATTTCGATGCATACTTCTTTGAAAAGGTAATATTCTTCGGTAGGAAGGAACTGTATTATTTTCACTTGAGTTCACTTTAGGTGTTTGTTTGTTTGTTTGTTTGTTTTGAGACTGAGTTTTATTCTTGTCGCCCCAGCTGGAGTGCGATGGCACGATCTTGGGTCACTGCAACCTCCGCCTCCCAGGTTCAAGCGATTCTCCCAGCTCAGCCTCCCGAATAGCTGGGATTACAGGCGCCTGCCACCATGCCCGGCTACTTTTCGTATTTTTAGTAGAGACGGGGTTTTGCCATGTTGACCAGGCTGGTCTGGAACTCCTGACCTCAAATGATCTGCCCGCCTCATCCTCCCAAAGTGTTGGGATTAGAGGCATTAGCCACTGCGCCTGGCCACTGTAGGTATCTTTTGACAGGGGGTACAATTTCTAATCACAACACTTTAAAGACCCATTTGGGATCTAAGCTATGAAACATACCTATGTCCCTCTTACAAGGAAACATTCTATACAAATCAATTAGGTATTTACAGAGTGCTGCTTTCTATTCCCAAATACCTTTCCTAAGAAGGGAAGATGACTTACAGAAGTCCGATATTTCTGTCATTCCAAAAGTCAGGTGGGCTCTGAAGGTGATAAATCCATGCGTTCCTGTCTAGCATGAGAGAAGGCAAGGTGACAGAAAAAGCCTGGGTCGACCGGGCACGGTGGCTCACACCTATAATCCCAGTACTTTGGGAAGCCGTGGCGGGCGGATCATGAGGTCAAGAAATCAAGACCATCCTGGCCAACATGGTGAAACCCCGTCTCTACTAAAAATACAAAACTTAGCCGGGCGTGGTGGTGGGCGCCTGTAGTCCCAGCTACTTGGAAGGCTGAGGCAGGAGAATGGCGTGAACCCGGGAGGAGGAGGTTGCAGTGAGCCGAGATCGGGCCACTGCACTCCAGTCTGGTGACAAAGCGAATCTCCGTCTCAAAAAAAAAAAAAAAAAAAAAGCCTGGGTCAGTTCTGGACTGCAGACACAGCTTCCAGTCCTGATTCAACCACTAATTTACCATGTGACCTTTGGTTTCAATTCTTTGGCCTTCAGTTTCCTTATTTATTTATTTATTTATTTATTTATTTATTTATTTTTGAGACAGAGTCTCGCTTTGTCGCCCAGGCTGGAGTGCAGTGGCATGATCTCGGCTCACTGCAAGCTCCACCTCCTGGGTTCACGCCATTCTCCTGCCTCAGCCTCCCGAGTAGCTGGGTCTACAGGTGCCCACCACCACACATGCCAGCTAATTTTTTGTATTTTTAGCAGAGACGGGGTTTCACCGTATTAGTCAGGATGGTTTTGATCTCCGGAAGTGCTGGGATTACAGGCGTGAGCCACCGTGCCTGGCCAGTTTCCTCATATTTAAATCAAGAGGGCTGGCTCAAGTAATCTCTAATCCCTGGCAGCTCTAAAATTCAATGGAAATATAAAACAGCAGTAAGTTTTTTTATGGCTTGAACAGGAAGCTAGCACAATTCATAAGGGAAAGTAGACAAGCGCTTGTATTTTGTGTATTTAAATTACCCGCAAGGGGTGGTCCAGCCAGTCCTGCTATGCTCTGAATGAAGATGTAGACCCCAGCTGCAGAAGACATCTTCTCAATGCCCACAACATCATCCTCAGCAAGCAGTGGAATGTGGGTCCCTCCTGTTGTTCCAACCATAAACCCAAAAAATACGCTACATGACATTAGACCCCAGAATTCCCTAGCAAAAGTAAAGGCAAACAGAGACACAGTCAATAAGATGACGCAGATGAGCTCAATGTAAATCACACGAATGGGCTCTCTGTTGAGGACAAAACCAGCTCCGATCCTCCTGAAAACTTCTGCAATGGCCATTGTAGATAATAAAAAAGCAGCGCTGTCCTGGTCAATGCCCAGACTAATGCCCAGAGGAATGATGTACAAGGAAGGTGCAAAGAATCACAGTGTCGCAAGGAGACCAAATAATGCATAACAAATAAAACTTTTCTCTTTCAAAATGGAGAAGTCTAATAGCGGGGCTTTCTTTTTGCTTGGCCTGGGGCTGGTCTTCACCAGGACCTGCTGCAGGTCTGCCTTCGGCTCCAGTTCTGGGTTAGTGTGAGTAGGCACATTTTTAGGTGAGGTAGTTAGTTCTACTCCTGAGTCAATGGAGTCTATTGAGGTTCGTGTTTTCTCATTTTCAAGCATATACTGTGCTTCTTTCCGATTTTCCTGGATGACTATTTTTGGTGACGCTGGTCCTCTGATGATGATGGGTCTGAGCAGTGCTCCGAAGACGACAATGTTTAACTGTAGTAGGCCCACGAAGAGGAGGCTGTATCTCCAGCCAATGCGCTCCTTCAGAGCCATGAATTGCTTGAATAGGCAGGAGTGCAGAAGAAATAAAATATAAGGTCAATCATGGACTCAAGACGTGGGAGAAGCCATCAAGAAGAAATATGGATCCAGATTTCATTATAAGTTTTGTGGAAATTTATTGTACTCAGCATTATGAATGTACTCAATCTTTTTTTTTTTTTTTTTTTTTTTTTTTGAGATGGAGTCTTGCTCTGTTGCCGAGGCTGCAGTGCAGTGGTGTGATCTTGGCCCACGGCAACCTCCGCCTCCTGGTTTCAAGCAATTCTCCTGCCTCAGCCTACCAAGTAGCTGGGATTACAAGCGTGTGCCACCAAGCACAGCTGTTTTTTGTGTTTCAAGTAGAGACAGGGTTTCACCATGTTGGCCAGGCTGTTCTCCAAATCGTGACCTCAGGTGATCTGCCCACCTCGGCCTCCCAAAGGGCTGGCATTACAGGCATGAGCCACTGTGCCTGGCCAAAAATTTTGTTTTGAGATGATCTGCACACAGGTAAGAACGCTGTCTTTATTAGCATAATCTAAATCCACATTGAATGTAGCTCTCTTGAAAAAGGAGAGGACATAACAGGTGAACAACTGCAAATTACTAGATTATTCTGGAATGCATGTGTCAAGAAAGCCCTACCACTGCATATGTGCCCAGCTAGGAATTCAAACCTATTAGTAAGGTGGTCTGAATTCCCAAAGTGGGGGTTAAGGAGGACAGATCCTAAAAATGAGCTGGAGAAGAGACGTAAATAACCTGTCATTACGTATACACTTAAAGTCATCCATACTGTTGGCAAAAGTTAGCGTAGCAAGAATACCTGAGTGACGTCCCTCATCCACATTCATACTTAGACTGTTGTAGTCCACCTACCTGGTGCGAAAGCAATGTGTGTGTCTGTGTGTAAATGTTCTCCTCTTAGAAGCACGCCAGTCACATTGGATTAGGACGCACCCTACTGACCTTATTTAACCTTAATTGTGTACTTCTCTAAAGACGTTGTCTCCAAATATGGATACTGTAAGATACTGAGGGTTAGGACTTCAACATGTGAATTTGGTGGGGGTGGGTGGGCACAATTTAGCTCATAAAACTCACTAAGGTTTAATTAGGTAATTAGGGCATGGACTATTAAGCATTCTACTGTTAATTTAGTTTTTATGTTTGGAAAACATTTTGAAACATAATGATTTTTATTTATAATTTCATTATTTATATTTTCATTATGTTTAGGATTGCTTGGAGGTAAATGAAGAAAGAAGAGTTCCGCATTAGTGAGGCAGGGATGTCAGTATATAAGGAATTGGAAAGACATCAATGATAATGGCAAAAGCTGCTTATAAATTAAATTAAGAGCTTAATTAAACTGAGGAAAAAAGCATATTGCCAAATTACATGCAGTTGTTTTGTAACAGCATTTGTCCACTTGCTATGCCCTGAGATTTCCAAGGCACATTCCTCTACTAAGCGTATTATAAGATGATTAAATATGCATAGTACAAGTATGTTATGGAAGGCTATGTCACCTGATATAGTGGGACCACAATAGTATGTGTAAGTGAGATTTGGAAAATTTGATAGGCCAGCAAGGGCAAAGAAGTGTTGAATTTGCAAGTTTGTGCACATATTCTGAAAATCCAGGCAGCTGTTTCTCATTTTGAATTGTTCCTTTGGCTAGGGCATAAGGGTGAGACACAATGCACATTTGAATGTGTCACTTTGTAAATTACCACTGCAATATTATCAGTGTAAGTTGAAAAACTGGTACTTACATGTACTAATATTATCTACCATGAAAAAACAATTAAAATTTTAAAATATTATGTAAATTAAATAAAGTTCAAATACCACTAGCCAGAAAAAATATTTGGATATTATAGTCTGGGGTCAGAAGAGGAAAAACTTATGTAAAGTATCAAAATTAATTTTTATTTCAATTTAAATGCAGCATCATATAACATGGTTTCATAACTGAAATTATATTTGTCAGAATTTGACATTTTTATTAAAGAATTGAGGGAAAACTGATGATTATAATATTGACATGCAATGTAAATAAACCTTTTTTCATTGTTATAGGAATGAATTGCTCAGAAATAATTGGCCGATGTCAACCACATATCTGTTTCCGTGGAAAATGCAGCAACATTACTTCAAATAGTTTCATTTGTGAATGTGATGAACAATTTTCAGATAAAAAAATACATATATATACATATATATACCATTCGTCCTGGATTTTTTAACCAAGTACTATTATTTATAGTTGCATTAAAATAAATAGGGATGGGTTTGATAAATCACCACTTGGTGCTTTAAATTCTGCCATCATCTTTTCTAGGAGTGTGAACTATAGAGATATACATAAGCAGAAAATTATTTTTTAACATGAGGATAATATGGTAATGTAACCAGTGATAACCTACCTCTCTTTTTCAATGCTTTCCAGATGCAAATTGTATCGTATCAATTATTCGAGGGCAGCTTGTAGGACTTTGAAGACCCAAGCAGCCAAAAACTAGCTAATTCCTCCTTATTTCAGTTGGTATGAAGAGAAGGTTACTAATAATACTGCTCTTCCAGCCAAGGCTTCCTGGCTGCCAGTGAGCTTGGTCAGTAGGAACCACAGGAAATTATGAGTTATGTTTATGTTACTTAGGAGAATTGAGGCTACCAGTCTTGTCACAGGGTTTATAGATAATTGCCTTGCGTGCCACCATGCCTGGATAATTTTTGTATTTTTAATAGAGAGAGGGTTCCACCATGTTGGCCAGGCTGGTCTCAAACTCCTGACCTCAGGTGATCCGCCCGCCTCAGCCTCCAAAAGTGCTGGGATTACAGGCGTGAGCCACTGCACCCAGCTCCCCATTAAGTCTTATCACACAGCTTCTTCAAGTTTGGCTCCAATGGAGACAACTGATACTTCGGCAATATTCTATCTTCTACTCCATGAGCATAAACTAGTACTATCCTGAGAAAACTAGAATGATTGCCCTGTGAAGGTTCAGTAACTATAATAGGGGTACTTTTTGCATTATTTTGAGACCTACAGCCTGTGCCAAAAGTGTACAGGAAGCATCACATTTAAAAGATGTATAAAATATTTCTATATCTATCCATCTGATATGGCTTGACTGTGTCCCCACCCAAGTCTCACCTGGAATTCCCACATGTTGTGGGAGGGACCTGGTAGGAGGTAATTGAATCATGGGGGCAGGTCTTTCCTGTGCTATTCTCATGATAGTGAATAAGTCTCACGAGATCTGATGGTTTTAAAAAAAGGAGTTCCTCTGCACAAGCTCTCTGTCTTTGCCTGCTGCCATCCATGTAAGACGTGACTTGCTCCTCCTTCTAATACATCATCTATCTGGTTATTTCATACATATTTTCTAATATTTTATTATTGGTTTCTTCAAAACTCTTCAGAAATTAATATATGTATATTTTCCACAATGATCAACTGTGCATATTAATATATATTATTTTATATATGAATCTGGATTCATAATTGAGATTATGTTCTAATGAGTCATAGTAAAAGTACAGAAAATTAATATTTCGGCCGGGCGCGGTGGCTCATGCCCATAATGCCAGCACTTTGGGAGGCCGAGGCGGGCAGATCACGAGGTCAGGAGATTGAGACCATCCTGGCTAACACAGTGAAACCCCATCTCTACTAAAAATACAAAAAATTAGCCAGGTGTGGTGGCGGGCGCCGTAGTCCCAGCTACTCGGGAGGCTGAGGCAGGAGAATGGTGTGAATCTGGGAGGTGGAGCTTGCAGTGAGCCGAGATCGCCCCACTGCACTCCAGCCTGGGCGACAGAGCGAGACTCTGTCTCAAAAAAAAAAAAAAAAGAAAAAAAATTAATATTTCTAATGCCTTATCAACCGATGATTATTATAAAACTAGCCTTTATGTCAAATTCTCGTTGCTCCTGAATTTCATTCCAAACAGAATTTTGGAATTCATATCATTTGGAATACTATAGTTGTCATACCTAAAGCAGTTTAATAACCCACTTCTAATACAAATTTACTTTAAGACTGCAAATAATTATGGTGTAGAGTATGACAATCCTATTTCAAAACTAAAGAGCTCTTAGAAAAACAAATTCTTGATTTTTCAGATATCTCAAATATTGTGAAATAGAGTATATCTAAGAATAATTAGCCATGAGGTCAAACTTAATTTTCAAACATTATAAAAGTAAAATTAAGAATTAAAATCTAATCTAAAGCCACATGAAAATTTATTCTTCATTGTAATCCCAAATTTGAAAACGTTATATAAGATTTGTGCATCCATTAGAAAGTGATTCATTGTAATTGTATAAGATTTATTGCTAAATTTTAAAGGTGTATTTTTGATCAATGCAAGGAAATGTTAAAATTACTATGCTATACATTATTAGTTCATGACACATTTTCAAATATGAATGTGATGTAGAAACAGGTGATTGTCAGAAAATAAACTCATTGTTTTTAGTTTAAGACTAAATTAAAGCAAAAACAAAAACAAATTTAGTTTCAAGATAGGAAAGTTTATTTGTAAGGATGCTGGGATGTTTGAACCCAAGATGAGTGATGTTAAAAAGGTTTTGCAATGGCATTCAATGAATAAAAAATGTTTACAGTTCAGTAAACAACCAACCCAGAGTAAACTTATATGAACTCCTACCTATTCAATGCCTTAAAAAGTATTTACATTATTAAATGTGTTAAACATTTGCCATAAATCATCATTCCAAATTTCATAAATACTAAGCCTTAACGTTGACTATACATGTGTGCTTATCAGCTCATGTAACTCACATTTTTTTTTTTTTTTTTTTTTTTTTTGAGACGGAGTCTCGTTCTGTCGCCCAGGCGGGACTGCTGTGGCGCGATCTCCGCTCACTGCAAGCTCCGCCTTCCGGGTTCACGCCATTCTCCTGCCTCAGCCTCCCGAGTAGCTGGGACTACAGGCGCCCGCCGCTGCGCCCGGCTAATTTTTTGTATTTTTAGTAGAGACGGGGTTTCACCGTGGTCTCGATCTCCTGACCTCGTGATCCGCCCGCCTCGGCCTCCCAAAGTGCTGGGATTACAGGAGTGAGCCACCGCGCCCGGCCAACTCACATTATTTTTTAAAATTCCACTTATGAGAGTGAGGGCTAGTTCAATTCTCTACATGGCAGGGGGTTAGAGATAGAGTTAAACTGACAATCACCTGTTTCTACGTCACATTCATATTTGAAAATGTGTCATGAACTAATAATGTATAGCATAGTAATTTTACAGTTCAGTAACTTCAGTTACCATTTTGGACAGATAACAAGAGATCCAATCTGACTAGCAGAGAATAGTGTAAGACATTTAAAATAGTTAGCAGTTTAAATCAGAGGTAGACAGATTATTTTCCAATGTAAAGTACATATTTCTCCATTTGCATAACACTCACCAGTGGGTAGAATTTATGAAGAATAGAATTTGGTTCATGGAAAGAAAAGCAGGCAGGAGCTAAATCAGATATAACTTTCTTCATGTTTAATAATTGAACTTTAATCCTATTTTGAGACTCAATTCTGATAGAAGTTGGAAAATTAATCTGTCAAACTGTGTATGTCCTAGATAGAAGTCACTTGTCAGGTATGCATATAGTACAAATAATTTTTTTTCTGTCTCTGGCTCTTTATTTTTTTGATATTTATTTATTTATTTATTTAGAGACAGAGTCTTACTCTGTCGCCAGGCTGGAGTGCAGTGGCACGATCTCGGCTTACTGTGACCTCCACCTCCTGGGTTCAAGCAATTCTCCTACCTCAGCCTCCCGAGTAGCTGGGACTACAGGCACGCGCCACCACGCCCAGCTAATTTTTTTTTCTTGTCTTTTTAGTAGAGACGGGGTTTCGTCATGTTGGCCAGGATGGTCTTGGTCTCCTGACCTCATGATCTGCCCGCCTCAGCCTCCCAAAGTGCTGGGATTACAGGTGTGAGCCACTGTGCCCGGCCACCTTTTTATTTTTTTTTCATGTATTTTGATAAGCAAAAGTTTTCAATGTTAATAAAATCAATTTATCGTTTTAAAACACATTTTGTAGGTGTTGTGCCTTCTTTAGGAAACATTTGCATTTTCCAAAGTCACAAGTAATTTCTTCAATGTGTTCTTCTAGAATACATACAGTTATTTAGCCCTCTGTTAAGGTTTATTATCCACTCAGTTAATTTTTGCATTTCATGGAAGGTTGGTTTATTTTTTTTAATATATGGAAATACAGTTCAGCACCATGTGGCAACTCTTTCTTTTACCCATAGATTTGCTTGGCATCTTATCAAAAATAAATTAAACACATATGTGTGTATGTCTAGTTCTGTAATCTCTATTCTATGCTATTGGTCTGTTTTTCTTTCCTTGGCCAATACCAGTGTCTCTTGATAGTGTATATTTATATTAAAACTTGAGGTTCTATGAAACAAATCCTCCAGTTTCTTAGTCTTTATCAAAATTGTTCTGACTATTCTAGATCCTTTGCATATACATATAAATCTTAGAATTCACCTGTCAATTTATTTTAAAAATTCTACCAGAATTTTAATTCAGCCTCTTTTGATATTTGCCAAATATTTGCCAAGGAGTTATTTGCCAAAATATCTCTATCCCTTCCTTCTACAGTTACACATATGGTAGACTCAGAATTCTCCTACTGGTCACTGAGGCTCTGTTCATTTTAGTTCAACCATTTGTGGTCCTCTCACTATTCTTCAGATTAGATAATTTCTTTGGATAAGTTTTTGAGTTTACTCATGCATTCTATTTCTGCCTGGTTTTGTTCGTTCTTAAAGGACTTTGTGCAGATTTCTGTGTGTTTTTATACAGAACTTTTGTAGTTTTCAGTGAGAGAGTTCATCTGAAAAAAAGCTACACCACCGACACAGAACAGCAAATGTCAATGTGGCTTTCTCTCTCTTTCTGTTTAATTTTCAGAACTTTTCTGTGTTTCCAGTGAAACAAGCAACTCTTCAGTGATTCTAAACAGGGCCCTTTCAAGTAGAAACAGTAATTTGGGACATTTAACTAAAATCAATTATGTATAATTAGGCATAAAGATCAATTTCTTGTAAAGTGGTCCTGACTTCACTATAATTTGGTAATTGTTTAAAAATGAAATTCACTAATATAAATGAGGAAACCAGTAAATGGAACACTGTCAAGAGGATGAATTTAAGGGGAAAGAGAATTGAGTAGCATTTTTCATGTGTTTTTCTTAAGATGAAATGAACCAATTAATGTAAAATACTTGGTAAGCATTTAATTAATTTTAGCTTTGGGTACTTTTGCTATTGTTTGGCATAACAACTTCTCATTTAATTTTATTTCCACCATTTTGTGAATACAGTCAAATCCGGTATCCTTTTTATGGCATTCAGGTGTTTATGTAATTGATGTCTATCTACTTTTATAAGCATTTTTCAATATTTTCTTAACCAATCATTTGCTCTAATCAACTAGTGTTAGTGAGTGTATTATGAACAGGCCATATACATTCATATTTTCTCTGCCATCACTCATATATTATATCTTCTCTAGAATAAAGTCTCTCTTCTTTTCCTTCACTTCTGCAAAAATCCCCTTCCTTTACTTCTCCTACTGATTTGCAAAGTTCTTGACAGCAAAGCCTGTGATTGATTCAAATTTACAGCCCTATTTTACAGCATATATAAGGTATTGAATAAATGTTTGATAATGAGAAGAGTACAAGATGTGGGGATGTTCTTAATCTTAAAAGAAGTTCAAAGTATTATCATTCTCTTCTGACAGACATATTTGAAAATAAGTGCTACACAATTTTTTAGTCTGAAATCACAGAGTTATATTTGAGTATTGTACACTCTGGTTTTCTTTTTCTTTTTTTTTTTTTTTTGAGACAGAGTCTCACTCTGTTGCCCATGCTGGAGTGCAGTGGCACGATCTTGACTCACTGCAAACTTCGCCTCCTGGGTTCAAGTGATTCTCCTGCTTCAGCCTCCAGAGTAGCTGGGACTACAGGCGCATGCCACCATGCCCAGCTAATGTTTTGTATTTTTAGTAGAGATGGGGTTTCACCATGTTAGCCAGGATGGTCTTGAACTCCTGACCTCATGATCCACCGGCCTCGGCCTCCTAAAGTGCTGGGATTACAGGCATGAGCCACCGTGTCTGACTGAGTATTGTACACTCTTATTGCCATGTATAGAAAGAAAGAATCACAGCTTTCTCTCCATGTTTTATTAACACACAGAAAAATACTTTGAAAAATATACCATTTCTCAAAAATGAAATGTATGATTTGCTACAAATGGCCATATGGAAAATATGATACCTGCTTATTTTTGACTCAGGGTGCATTCAATTTTTATACTAACTGAAAATTACATGATTGCGTTTTGTTTTAAAAGTGAAAAAAAGTAATAACTGCTTTTAGCCTTGTAATATTGAATGCGTCAATTGGCTCCCCTTGTAGAATGTTGAATGGCTATCACTGGTGACAGATGTTCTGTACATCGCAGTAATACTGCTTATATAATTGTGATAATTTTCCGCTTCTTATTTGTCATTTTTAGTGATTTAAAAATCCCTTGATGACTCCCTGAAAAATGACTGATGTTTTTCCTATATTAAGTAATTTCTGCTGGTAAAGTGTAAGTCTTTTAATAATTTCTTGAATTCTGTTCAAGTCTGCATATTTTCATTCATTGTTCAACTAAACAGGTGTGACAATTTATAGAATTCCATGCAGAAACATCTCTCTAATTACTCCATCTTGGGACTTAGAAATGTGTTTTATGGGGAAATGCCATAAGCTTATTTTTTAGATACAGGAACATTTCTGAACATAAGGCTTCAACTTTAGTACAACTTTAGTATTTAGTACAAAAACTTGAAACTTGAAAATCTAGAAAGTTAAATTTACAAGGCATTTTACCTTTTCTCTGCGGGTAACCTTATTATTGTGTCTTGTCTGTGATACTCAGTGATATTACAGTTTCAGAAGCTGGCTATAAAAGCATAATACCATAATTCAGGTGTCATCACCCTTTCAATAGATATCATACTTGATTTCCTAGAATGCTGATTTGATTACTGGGATTAAAAATTCTAAATTTTTACAACCTACTTTATCATGTCCAGGCTTACCTTAGTAACCCAATCATATTCATATTGTATAGGTTTAAAAGCAATTTTAGAAATGGCTTATAATAAATGAACATTTCCTAATTCAAGATGAAGATTTGGATATGATTAATACATTTTGAACTCAAATTATACCACAGTTCAGGGGAATTTTCCATTAAGCTTAAAGGCAAATTTAAAAATAATCTGAGATAGTGAATTAAATTAAGATGTACATATAAACATCTTCTTATTTTATTATTATTTTTTAGACAGAGTCTTGCCCTGTCACCAGGCTGGAGTGCAGTGGCACAAACTCAGCACACTGCAACCTCGACCTCCCGGGTTCAAGCGATTCTCCTGCCTCAGCCTCCTGAGTAGCTGGGACAACAGGTGCGCTACCATGCCCAGCTAATTTGTATTTTTAGTAGAGACGGGGTTTCACCATGTTGGCCAGGATGGTCTTGATCTCTTGACCTCGTGATCTGCCTGCCTTGGCCTCCCTAAGTGCTGGGATTACAGGCGTGAGCCACTGCACCCGGCCATAAACATCTTAATGAGCAATCAATTTTGTAAACTTGGGGGAAAATGTAATTTATTTTTCTGTCCTTTGTGCATTAGATTGTATTCGGTTGGTATTTGTTAGTCTATCTATGGTAGATCAGCTCTGATGGCAGGGTATACATGAAGTTAGACCTTTCAAGGAACATCTTTAACGGAGTTTATGCTGTTTGATAAAACAAATGTCATGTATCATGGCAGGTGAACCCACCATTTGGTGTTTAGGATCCAAGTTTCACTTCAGGAGCAGGGTCACAAAAAACTGAAGCTTCTCTAATTCAATCATGCCTGTTTGTTGGCAAGTTACTTTTTTTAAATAAGAGAGTAATCCTCATATCTTCTGACAAAATTTTACTTAACTAATTGCTCTTAAGAGCTGTTACACTTGTATAATAAAGAATCTCATTGATATAGTGAGAAATACAGAGTGAACATTTTTAGCTTACTGAAATCATGTAATCGGTTCTATAATATTCCTTAATTATTTATTATTTTCTGAGTCTAAGATTTTTAAAATGGAATAAATTAAATTACTCCATGAAGAGAAAGCTGGGAATAGTGCTTGTGTGTGTGTTTGTGTGTGTGTGTGTGTGTGTGTGTGTGTGTCAGGGGGTAAAAAAATTTACAAAATGAGTATATACTTAAGGTAAACAACATATGTCAGATGATTTGTATTTCAGTGATTTTAAAACAGTTATTGACCAATGGTTTTCTGATTAAATCTCAGACGTTCATTTTAAAATAGTGCCTTCTCATCCTTTTCAGCATTTCTTCATAGAAAAGTAATTATCTGGCTACTTATCATTAACTAAATATAAAATTATTTTCAAATAAATATCCTTGACCACACAGAATTTTGTTAGTGTAGCATTATATGTAAATTTAGCTCTATAATTTTGAATTTTCAGTTTATTTTAAAATTTTGAGATATTATTAATAAACTCGTTCTTCCACTGAGTATATGTAAAGACCAATGGCAGAAAGATTCAATATAACTATTATTGAATAAATGAAAAGCAGTAGTTCTTTTATCTCATCTAATATAGTTTGTTTTTATGACCAAAAACCAAGAACTACTCGTATATTTTTAGTGTTTTGAACTCTGCACAATATTTTCATGCAAAGATGGCATTCAATGATTTTAACTATGAGAAAAGAAATACAATAACAATTAAGTGCTATATATATTTCAGACTTTTCTCTTAGGTAGACAGTTGGACTAGGAGATGGTTACTTTTCCCAAAATAGACACTGTGATTTTCTTAGTAAATTTATTTTGAATGCTGATAAAACACTTCTGTCTGAAAAAATCTGACTTTTCTTTTTTTTCTTTTTTTTTTTTTTTGAGACGGAGTCTCACTCTGTCGCCAGGCTGGAGTGCAGTGGCACAATCTCAGCTCACTGCAGCCTCTGCCTCCCGGGTTAAAGTGATTTTCCTGCGTCAGCCTCCGGAGTAGCTGGGACTACAGGCACCGCCACCACGCCCAGCTAATTTTTGTATTTTTAGTAGAGACAGGGTTTCACCATGTTGGCCAGGATGGTCTTGATCTCTTGAACTCGTGAAAAAAATCTGAATTTTATCAATAGCTGAAACTCTGGGAGTTTAGTCTATATTTCAAGCACATTTTTTCTCTATGCCTTTGATCTATATTCTTCTTATCCTCAGCCAAAATGCAAATCTCTCTGTTTTTGACATTCTCAGGAGCTCTCATTTGTTTCTTAACTTTTCCTCCTCTGCTGTTCACTTCCAGTTCTTTCAGCACTTTTAATCCTTACTGCTCTTACATCTTCACTACTCAAAGTTTTTACTGGTCATCTATTTCTTTGTAATAAACTAACCGTAAATTAAGTGGCTTAAAACAATGACAACGTTTATTTTCATAAAGCAGCAATTTTATTTTGATTTTGCTCTGATCATGGTCATTGGGGGGGTATTGCAAAGACTTGTTGCTAGAATTGTCTAAAGATTGCTTACTCACAAATCTGGAAGTTGATGCCAGCCATTGGCTTAGATGTTAGCTGATGCTATCTGTTGGAAGACTTACATGCTGACTTTCTGCATGGCATTGGCTTCCTTATACCTGGTACTAAATTCCACAACAAGCTTCAATAGAGACAGTGAGCTGTATTAACTTTTATGACTTATCCTCAGAAATCCTACACTGTCATTCTCTGTATATTCTATTTGTTGGGGATTTTATAGAAGCCCATTCAGGATAAAGGGGTGGAGAAAGGTCTGGAAGACCAATTTCAGTTGAAAATTTTGTTGAAGCAGTTTTTTATAGTCTACCACAGTGCACGTTCTTTTTTCTCTTTCTTCAGCTTGCTATAGAATCATAGAAAGCTATGCATTCTACCATGTACCATTCACCATGTGGGTCATTATTACTTCCTCTAAGCTAACAATTGCATTTATGAAACTATTGCTTTAGACATATTATTAAAAATCTGCTCCTTCTTTGAGCTCCATGTCACCTTGTATCAGCTTTGCTACTGCATTTAGCTTTGTCATTTACTATCTTCTTGGTTCCTCGTCATTAATTCATGGATACGCCTACTTGATAGTCTTTAAGGATGACTGCTCCAAGGTATAGCCAGCTCGCTGGCCAGCCCATCTACCCATCCACTTACCGATTCACCCATCCACCCACCCATCTACACACTGCCCACCCATCTACCCATCCACCTACCCATCTACCCAGCTAGCCATCTACACAATCACCCACCCATCTACCCATCTACCTACCCATCCACCTACCCATCTAGCTATCTACCCGTTCACCCACCTATCTACCCATCTACCTACTGATCCACCTACCCACCAACCCATCCACTCATCCACCTACCCATTTACTCATTCACCTGCCCAGGTAACCATCCACCTACCCATCCACTCATCCACCATCCACCTGCCTATCTGTCTGTCTATCTATCTATCTATCTATCTATCTATCTATCTATCTACCTAATCAGTCATTTATCTGCTGGTGCCTTAAGCGGTTATGTCTGTAGCTGCAGGAAACCATCCTCAGACTCCCTCCTGGGGACCAAGACAGCCACCGACGGAGCTCTGCCCAGGGCTGTGGACAGGCACCAAGCTTTTCTCTTGGTTAGCTCCCCCACGTCACAGTGCCTGAACCAGTGACCCCAGCTTCCCTTGTTTAGAGGAGCCAAACTCCTCTAAACAGATGAACAGCAGCAGCAAAGAGGATTGAACACCCCTCTGTCCCTCACCAGCCCTGAGTGGCTGTGACGAGCTGGGCTCGAGACTTACCAGGTGCTTGGTGAGGTCCCAGCTGTGGATGATCCTGGCCAGAATCACTGAGGCATCATCTTGGTGGCAGATGTCACAGTAATAGAGGCCAGAGAAGGCACAGAGCTTGGGTCGTACAAAGAAGCCGATCTGCTGGAAGCAGCCTGGGAGATGGGTAGAGAGTGAGTGGTATGGCCAGAGTCAGCTCCTAGTAACTTGGGAGCTTCTGTGGTGGAAAGGATCTGTTAATTTTTTTTAAAGGTAGGCACAAAGTCAAGAATAACCACCACTCATATTTCCACCACTCAGAACTCCCCCTACTAATTAATCTTTACAACAACACACTGTAAGAACTATCATTATTTTACAGCTGAAGAAATGGGTGCTCAGAGAGGTTAGGAAACCTGTCCGGTCACATAGTGATGAAGTGGTGTGGCTGGCATTCAGATCTGGGTTTGCCTGCTTCCTTGGTTTGCCTGCTTCCTGGGGAAGGCACACATGCTTGGTCTAATGCCCCCAGGCAGCCCCCGCACAGGGGCATAAGAGCTTCCGGGTGGTACACTGGAGGCAGATGGGTAGGTGACCAGGAGGGTCCCAGGTGGGTTCCATCTGCAGGGACCAGGCCTTTCAGAAGGCAGCTCTGAAGTCCTGTTTTCCATTGCTAAAGGGGCAGCGTGTTCCCACAAGTGTTATAAAACCCCATTCCAGAATGTCATCATAATCGTGCGCAGTCATTCAGGGAAGCACTTCTGGAAAAGTACTATATTGTCTCAAAACTGCCTACAGGCAGGTGAAAAATACTGTTTCACCTGTCAAATAGGAAAATATTTCCCTGAAAACTACGCTGTGCAAGTGATGATTATAGAGAACTCTTGATTCCACCTGTAGCTCCGAGCAAATCCAGCCCGATGAAGCCCCAGGTGTTTTAAATGGTCCTTCCAAAGGTCTTTACCCTCAGTAGTTGGTTTATGTAACAGCTCTGAGGGGCTTGACCAGATCTACTATTTGTTTTGTTTTGTTTTGTTTGTTTGTTTGTTTGTTTTGAGATGGAGTCTCCCTTTGTCGCCCAGGCTGGAGTGCAGTGGCGCGATCTCGGCTCACTGCAGCCTCAGCCTCCTGGGTTCAAGTGATTCTCCTATCTCAGCCTCCCGAGTAGCTGGGATTACAGGCACCCGCCACCATGCCCAGCTAATTTTTGTATTTTTATGTTGGCCAGGCTGGAGGATCTGCTATTTGTTTAATGTCCTCCAGTGCTTCCTTTTTTTTTTTTTTTTTTTTTGAGACAGAGTCTTGCTCTGTCACCCAGGCTGGAGTACAGTGGTATGATCTCAGCTCACCGCAACCTCTGACTCTTGGGCTCAAGTGCCTCGGCCTCCCCAGGAGCTGGGATTACAGACGTGCACCACCACACCCAGCTGATTATTGTATTTCCAGTAGAGATAGGGTTTTGCCATGTTGGCTGGTTCCAGAGCCTGTGTTCTGCTCCATTACCCTTGTTGCCTGTGTCTAGTGTCCCTGCTGCTGGCTCAGCAATGCCAGCCTCCTCTAGGTCCACCCGTCCACTCGGGCCCCAGAATGGAAGCAGCAGAGTAGGGGCTGTGGCGAGCAATAAGTGGCTGGGGGACAGGGGCCGCGGTCAGGGCTGGCCACGGGAAGCAGACAGGCAGCCAGCAGGGGGCAGGGCAGTCTGCACAGTGTCTGATGCCTCAGGACTGTGGAGCAAGGCTGGCTTTGGCCCCCTTGGTTGGATAGTTCTTACAGTGTAGAGGTGTCTCCACAGCGGGGGGCCAGTGGGAGCGGCCAGTGGGTGTGCCCTGGGCAAAAGGCAAAGGCCCTGACTCCCCCAGGGGCAGGCAGAAGGGTCCCTGGGCCTTGGGACCAGAGGGCGGGCTCTGCTGCTCACTAGCTGCCTCACCCTGACCTTCACCTAATTTCTTCAAGCTTCCATTTCAGTGTCTGTAAAATTCAGCTACTACCAGCTATTTTTGTGGGGTTATTACAAAGCTTAAATGAGACAAGGTTCTGCAAGTACTGTGCAAATTATGAAATACAACCCAGATGCCAGTGGTTGGTGTCTGCCACTGAGCCATGCCTGCTGGGTAGAAAGGAAACCCAAGCTCCCTTGTCTCTAAAAACAAAAACAAAAACAGAAACAAAAAATAAAAACAAAACCCCACAAGACTCCAGACCTAGTCATCAGAGTAGCTCATGAGATGAAACCAGTTTTCCAACTTTGCTTTGTAGATATCCTGGTTCTAGAACTGAATGGAGCTTGGTGAATAATCAAGAAACTACACAGTCAGGTTCTTTGCAGAATTGCTTTTTCTGAGCTGAGACATGAGGTCATGCTGCTGGCCTTCATCATAATAATGCCACCTGAAGCAGCCCCATTAAACCTCCCTGGAGGTGTTTTGCAGGGTACCTGACTTGTCCTTCTAGATCCCATGTTCACAGAGCTACACACAAGAAATTTAAGAGCGAAGGGTTAGGAAAAAGCTTTGATTCCCTCAACATCTGGGTGGGTTTTATTATTTTTTCAACAACAAAGAGACATGCACCTGATAGCCCCTCTCTTTTCACCTTACCTAGCAGGAAAGTCAGAGCTAAATTTTCTTCAGCAACCACACCTTAGCACCTGTACATCATCTGCCCCCTAATTCCTCTCCATCTTGAGTCCCATCTCTAACTTGTTTTTTGTGGTCCTGGCTTTTCAGTGAATTTGCCAGTTCACCACGTGTGTTTCTGTTGTGATCTGCCTCAAACCTTCTAGGGACTGAGGTCAGGGTAAGAGTAGTTTAAAAACAAGATAAGACGTGGACAGTGAAGGGTGTGGCATTGGGAGTACCCATCCTGGGTCTTCTCTCCCTTCCTGTGGGGGTAACCTGGTAGTCTTGCCCACTGCCCCGGTTTATTCACTGGGGATGCAGTCCAGACAGAAATGGGGCTTTGGCTCAGGGACAGGGAAGGGCACCTGGGGAGAAAGAGGTTTCCCAACCAGGCCTGTCACAGTAAGCAGCCAAGGACACGGAGCCTCCTGTCTCTCTCAGGCTGGGACGAGGGCTGCCATTCTAGGCATGAGAATTTCCTCTTCCAGAGGCCCTACTCCTCACCACCCTCCAGGGCAAGGATTATTATTAACTCAGCTCCTGGAGGGGGAACTGCAGAATCTGTGATGCTAGAAACACAGGACAGGTCCCCTGGGGCGGGGATGCAGCTTTGGCCTTGAGCCCTGAGAATGGTAGCCCCAATTCTTCCCAGGTCCTCCTACTTGGGGCTTGCCTACAGTAAGGGTCCCAGAGCACTGCCAGCAACTGCACCAATATCACCTCTCTGGCTCTGGACTCTTACCTCTATTAATACAGCCAAAAGCTGCACTCAGTGTTGGCTCATAGGGAATTAAGGGTCAAAAACCCCCAGGTCATTTCCAGGTCACTAGTTTCAGAGGGCTGGCAGGCATCACTAAGCCCCTTCCCTCCTTCTCCCCACCCCCACCACTCACCTCCAGCACGTTCTTCTTACTGGATTTGTTTTAGGGGCCCAGCAGAGAGTGGTGCTCTTCAGCTCCACTGTGTAGTCGGGGGTAGAAAACTTGGAAGGCTGCCTCTGTGGGAGAGGGAGGAAGGTCACAGGGAGCCCTCGGCTCAGATGTGTCTGCTGTGGCACTCTGACTCCAGGAATAGGATGGGCATGGCCAGGAAACAACTCTGGGGAAAGAGCTCCAAGGGTTCCTGAACCCAGAGACCCTGATCTGTGAGGCCCAGAGGGAGGGGGCGTTAACCAAAGCAGTCCCTCCCTCATCTCAGCATGGTTGGGGAGGGGGCAGCGACCCTTGCCCTTAGAGGGAGAGTGGGTTTGGGAGTCAGATAAACTGGGTTCAGAGCTTGACTGTACCATTTACAAGCTGGGTGACCCTAGCCAAATCCCCTCATCTCCCTGAGCCTCAGTTTCCCCATCTGTAAAATGAAGATAGCCCCTCAGGTAAGTGAGGAGGTCATGTGGCACCTGGCCGGGCAGTGCTCATTGAACAGCGATTCCTTCCCATCCCTAATGCCTGGTGGTGCCCCCAGATCTGCAGGCAGGCCCTGAAGTTTCTGATGCAGATCTGGGCCCAGCCCCTCATCAACCTGCAGATGGCAAACGCATCTCTGTACGAGCATGTGGAGCGGATGCACCTCATCGGGAGGAGCTGGGAGCAGCTAAAGCTCCTGGGGGATTACCTGGGCCCGTGCTGGAGCGGTGCCCTGAAGGAGCTCAGGAGGAGGTGAGCACCCTTTACGTGCATGCACACGAACACACACACACACACACACGAACACACACACATACACATGAACACACACGAACACACACACATGAATACACACATACACATGCGCACACACACCCACACACATAAATGTACACACAAATGCACAGACTTGCACACACATGCACATGCACACAAATGTACACACATGCAGGCAGTCGTGCACACACACACACACACGGGGGCAGTGCCCAGGGCAAGGCGTCCACTTGGAGGAAACATGGGCAGAGATCTTCCCATTGGGCCTGGGAAATGATCACATCTTTTGGGGGTGATTTTGGGTTTTTTTTCACGTATCTATTTGTTCACTCAAAAACATGGACTGAGAACATACTAAGCACTGCACACCTGGCAAGGCATGTGGGCTCCAACACTGAGCAGGGCAGAGCCAGGGCCGACCCGCTGGAAGCCTCTGGCCTGGCAGGGAAGACAAGTGGGAAAGCCAGCAACTCCATCCGGGGGTGAGGGTGAGAGGGAGATAGGTTGGAAAGCCAGCAACTCCATCCGGGGGTGAGGGTGAGAGGGGAGATAGGTGGGAATGCCAGCAACTCCATCCGGGGGTGAGGGTGAGAGGGGAGATAGGTGGGAATGCCAGCAACTCCATCCGGGGGTGAGGGTGAGAGGGAGACAGGTGGGAAAACCAGCAACTCCATCCGGGGGTGAGGGTGAGAGGCAGGACGTCCTGGAAGCACAGAGGCTTACATCCAGCCCAGATCAGAGGAGGACAAGGCAGGAAGGACTTCCTGGAGGAAGTGACTTCTAAGGTGAGACCTGAAAAATGACGAATTAGAAAGGGGAAGCAAAGGGGAAAAGGGCGTTCCAGACAGAAGGAATAGCACGCACAGGCCATGAACTGTCGGTGGAAAGCACAGGGAGAACTTTGGCTACAGTGAGGAGGGAAGCGGGGAGTGTGGCGAGAGGCAGGCGAGGTCCAGATATTCCCACCTCTTCCCTGTCCAGCCAGTTGTCTGGCCCATGCCAGCCTCCCTCCTGAAATTCTCCAAAGAAGAGGTGATCAGGGCGGGGCCCTCAGGATGCCCTTTAGGAAGCTTCTCTTACCCAGGGCCTGGGGCCTTTGGTGCTCAGGAATGGGATGTGATGCTGGGCTTCAGCAGGGACTTAGGCCTCTCCATGTCTGTCATAAACGCTTCCTAGTCCTCAGGTCACAGCCCAGGCTACAGTCTTCCCAGGGCTGTGCTCTCCTGGCACCCTCAGGAGGGCAGACCTCAGGCGGAGAAGCCTGCCGGTGCCTTCTCCCCAGAATGGGCTTCGAGTCCACCTCTGCTGGGTTTCTAGGGTCAGGAACCAGTTCACAAGCCCCTCCAGGTTCCCCCATCTGGCCTTCCCTCCCCACAGGGCTGGCCTAGACAGTGCCTCTCTGAAGACTGCCTCCTCCATCCTGGCTGCAGTGCTCCCAGAGCCGGGCTTCCTGGGGGCCAGGGTGTGCCCCAGGCAGGTCCCCAGGGGCTCTCAAGGGGTGCTGCGGGGGCTCTCCCCTAGGCAAAGAGGAGAATCTGGCCCCACAGCTGCCAGCTGAGCCTTGGTCTCCTCTGCAGGGCCTGGAAGAACAGAAAGCCCTCCGGGGACCACCATGTGGGACCCTAGACCCTAGAAGGCTTCGCCCCAGGAGGCTCGCCCATCCCAAGCATCCGTGGGTGACTGGGTCTCCACCTTTTGGCCATGCTGACTCACTCCCTACCTCTGAGAGTCCATGACCCAGAGCTCCAGAGAGACTATCCTCCTGCCCACCTAACCAGGTGGCGAAATCTCTGGGGTCAGGTGGGGCCTTATCACCCTCCTTGGTCAAGGAGCCAGGTATCTGCACAGGCCTACAGACCTGTGTAGACCAGGTGCCTGTGGTATGGGTTGTGGGCCCCAGCCCCATTCACCCGTCCCCGCCCTGCTGAGAGTTTGTTCATGGGCTTTACAGACCTGTCTCTGTGGGCACCAGGGGCACCCCTGTCTCTCTCTCCCTGGCCCTCCTGCTCCATCCCTGGGCAGCAGCGCTGTACTCCTGCTATGCACTCAGCCTGCTTCCTGTGCCTGTGGAAGTCCCTTGGAAACAGCATGGGGCAGGGGAAAGAGTGTGGGAGGCCCTCACCCACTGTGAGTCAGGAAAGTTGCTTCACTTCTCCGGGTCCAGCTTTCCCGTCTGTAAAATGGGCCAGTGATTCCTCTGTTCCTGTGGCCTCCTGAGCAGTGGTGAGGGCTGCATGAGGGACCCAGAGTCTGGGCCACAGATGGCCCTGGATCAGCATCGTGTGTGCCCTGAGGGCATCTGATCCAGCCTTGGCAGGGGCCAGAGGAGCTCCCAGAGGAGATGGCATCTGAGCTGAGGGCATGCAGAGTTCTTTTCCATTTTTCTTCTAACATGTTTTTCTTCTTTACAAAGGTCAATCTTCCAAGGGAGGAAAATTTATAAAGGGAATAAAGAGACCATTCAATCAGCCCTTCTCAGAGCCCACCACCACCTGCTTCTGCACCTCACTCCATCCACACACACGTGTTGCCACACCAGTGGCATCGTGTATCTATTGAACTGGGGCTCAGCCTCCTGTGTGGCTGGGACTGCAGGCATGCGCCACTATGCCCACCTAATTTTTGTATTTTTAGCAGGGACGAGGTTTTGCCATGTTGGCCAGGATGGTCTCGAAATGCTGACCTCAAATGTTCCATCCATCTTTGCCTTCCAAAGTGCTAGGATTACAGGCATAAGCCATTTCCTGCCTGGCCAATAGCACATGCTTTTAAAAAATACCTGCCAAGAAAGGGTACCCTGAGTCCTTACATGACTGAATATGTATTTATTCTGACTTTACTTGACTGTTTGGCTGCACATAGACTTCTAGGTTGAAAATCATTTTTTCTTAAACTTTTAGATTTATTCTTCCATAATCTTCTAGCACTAAATGTTGTAGCAGAAAAATCTGACACCAATCTAATTCTTGTTTTATAGATTGTCTGTTTTATCTAAAAGTTTCTTTTATTCTTAATGTTTGGAAATTTTATAGCGATGTATGTAGGGGTGAGTCTTTTTCCATTTGTCCACCTGGTTTATAATGTTTATCAACTGACCCCTTGCTCCCCCCACCCCTCATAGAGTGCAGGGGCTTTAATTTATTCACTGCTAAATTCCCTGTATCTGGCACACATCAGGTTCTCAATAGTCATTTGCTGAGTGAATGAATTTATTCTGCTAGAATTTAAAGTCCTGTGACTCGCATCAGCTCAGAAAATTTTTCTTTTATTCTTGTCTTTTTTTTTTGAGACAGGGTCTCAATCTGTCATTCAGGCTGGAGAGCGGTGGTGTAATCACAGCTCACTGCAGCCTTGAACTCCTGGGCACAAGTGATCACAGCTCACTGCAGCCTTGAACTTCTGGGCACAAGTGATCTTCCTGTCATAGCCTCCTGAGTAGCTAGGACTATGGGTGCACGCCACTATGCCTGGTTAATTTTTAAAATTTTTGTAGAGACATGGTCTTGTTATGTTGGTAAGGTTGGGAATTTTTTTTTCTTCTTTTGTGAGAGTCTCACTGTCACCCAGGCTGGAGTGCAGTGGTGTGATCTTGGCACACTGCAACCTCTGCCTCCTGAGTTCAAGCAATTCTCGTGCCTCAGCCACCTGAGTAGCTGGGATTACAGGTGTGCATCACCACACCTGGCTAATTTTTGTATTTTTAGTAGAGATGGGGTTTTGCCATGTTGGCCAGGCTGGTCTCAAACTCCTGACCTCAGGTGATCCACCTGCCTCGGCCTCCCAAAGTGCTGGGATTACAGGCATGAGCCATCACGCCTAGCCTAGTTTTACAGATTTTGTAGTTTCTTGTTTTTGGTCTATAACCTGCTGCCTACTTTTCTTGCTTCCTTGCCTATATATATATTCATTTATTTTTTAATTCCTTTGCTGAGAATAAAAATTGGATACTTTAGCTGGGCTTATCCTTCAGTTTTTTTGTTTTTGTTTTTTTTTTTGAGACGGAGTCTCGCTCTGTCTCCCAGGCTGGAGTGCAGTGGCGCAATCTCGGCTCACTGCAAGCTCTGTCTCCTGGGTTCATGCCATTCTCCTGCCTCAGCCTCCCGAGTAGCTGGGACTACAGTCGTCTGCCACCACGCCCGCCTAATTTTTTGTTATTTTTAGTAGAGACGGGGTTTCACCGTGTTAGCCACGACGGTCTCGATCTCCTGACTTCGTGCTCCGCCCCACTTGGCCTCCCAAAGTGCTGGGAGTACAGGCGTGATCCACTGCACCTGGCCTCAGTTTTTTTTTTTTTTTAAACAGGCAAGTTCTTGCTGTGTCACCCAGGCTGGGGTGGAGTGGCTCGATCATAGTTCACTGCAGCCTCAAACTCCTGTACTCAAGTGATTCTCCTGCCTCAGCCTCCCAAGTAGCTGGGACTATAGGCACTCATCACCAAGCCTGGTTAATTTTTTTTTTTTTGGTAGTAGAGACAAGGTCTCATATTGTGGCCCAGGCTGGTCTTGAACTCCTGGCTTCAAGCTATTCTCCCCACTCGGCTTCCCAAAGTACTGGGATTACAGGCATAAGTCACCTTGCCTGGCCTTTCACTTTTATTTTAGGTAAACTGCCTTTAAAATACCCTCTTAGAAACCATCTTCCTTGCTACAGAAGAGAGAAAGCACCCCGTGGCTTTTCCTCAAAGGAAGATCACTGGGGGGGCTGAGCGCGGTGGCTCATGCCTGTTATCCCAGCATTTTGGGAGGCCGAAGCGAGCGGATCACCTGAGGTCAGGAGTTTGAGACCATCCTGGCCAACATAGTGAAACCTCGTCTCTACTAAAACTACAAAAATTAGTCGGGTGTGATGGCACGTGCCTGTAGTCCCAACTACGCGGGAGGCTGAGGCAGGAGAATCGCTTGAACCTGGGAGGCAGAGGTTGTATTGAGGTGAGATCACACCACTGCACTCCAGCCTGGCAACAGGGTGAGACTCCATCTCAAAAAAATAAAATAAAATAACCGAGTATGCACAATTCAACTGTAATAGATACTATCAATTTACCCTCCAAAGTGACCATACCAATTTATACCCCCACCAGCCTTGCTAAAAGTATTCTAAGATATTAATTTTGTGGTTAATAAAATATCCACTGAGACTTCTGAAAAAACTTCATATTCAACTCATGTACTTACCCATAGGTTCCTTAATAACACCATAATAATCTGGTGCATCATTAGGGTCTACTGGTTCAAGGAAAGGCCGGGACATCTTATGGGCCTATAATGAAAAAGTAGGCATTCTTATTGTCAGTGAAAACACTAATTCCATTTAAGATTCCCAGTTGAGTCACTACATCAATGAACCCAAAAGTCAGTTTTAAATGCGATACATGAAATACTTTACATTAGGTGATTTCTGCTCTAGTAATAAGTTACCTAAGATGAGCTTCCTTTGCAATAATGGTACTCAAAGCCTGGTCGGAAGACCTTGGTGTGGTGAAGGGGTGGGTTGCCCCTCCACACCTGTGGGTGTTTCTCGTTAAGTGGAACGAGAGACTTGGAAAAGAAAAAGACACAAAGTATAGAGAAAGAAATAAGGGGGCCCAGGGTACCTGCATTCAGCATATGGAGGATGCTGCCGGCCTCTGAGTTCCCTTTGTATTTATTGATCATTCTTGGGTGTTTCTCGGAGAGGGGGATGTGGCAGGGTCATGGGATAATAGTGGAGAGAAGGTCAGCAGATAAACACGTGAACAAAGGTCTCTGCATCATAGAAAAGATAAAGAATTAAGTGCTGTGCTTTAGATACACATACACATAAACATCTCAATGCCTTACAAAGCAGTATTGCTGCCCGCATGTCCCACCTCCAGCCTTAAGGCGGTTTTTCCCTATCTCAGTAGATGGAACAGACAATTGGGTTTTTTACCGAGACATTCCATTGCCCAGGGCCGGGCAGGAGACAGATGCCTTCCTCTTGTCTCAACTGCAAAGAGGCATTCCTTCCTCTTATACTAATCCTCCTCAGCACAGACCCTTTAAGGGTGTCGGGCTGGGGGACGGTCAGGTCTTTCCCTTCCCATGAGGCCATATTTCAGACTATCACATGGGGAGAAACCTTGGACAATACCTGGCTTTCCTAGGCAGAGGTCCCTGCGGCCTTCCACAGTGGTTGTGTCCCTGGGCACTTGAGATTAGGGAGTGGTGATGACTCTTAAGGAGCATGCTGCCTTCAAGCATCTGTTTAACAAAGCACATCTTGCACAGCCCTTAATTCATTTAACCCTGAGTTGACACAGCACATGTCTCAGAGAGCACGGGGTTGGGGGTAAGGTTATAAATTAACAGCATCTCAAGGCAGAAGAATTTTTCTTAGTACAGAACAAAATGGAGTCTCCTATGTCTACTTCTTTCTACACAGACACAGTAACAATCTGATCTCTCTTTCTTTTCCCCACAGTGTGGGGGGTGGAACACAAGTTTAGAAGTCACAAAAGCAGTATTCTGGGCCCTACATGGTGAGCTGTCACTGAGTGATGCTGGCATTGCAACTGCTTCTGTAAACAGGTGGGATGGGTTCAAAGTGTGGAATCATTACCACAGCTGATTAATGATGAGGTGGCAGAGATGTGATGTTAGATAACATTCAACCACACATTGAGACTACGATTCCCTTTTTAGTTTCTTCAATTCTTGTGATTATGATAAAAATAGGAGAAAGTTTCAATCCAATGCACTATATCCTTTTATTTCCCCCCATTGTTTTGAGACAGGGTCTCGCTCTGTCATCCAGGCTGGAGTGGAGTGGCACGATCATAGCTCACTGTAGCCTCCTGTGCTCAAGTGATCCTCTCACCTCAGCCTCCCGAGTAGCTGGATAAACAAGTGCGTGCCAACATGCCCAGCTAATTTTTTATTTTTATTTTTTGTAGAGATGGGGTCTCACTTTGTTGCCCAGATTGGTCTCTAACTAAGTGACTCAAGTGATCCTCCTGCCTTGGCCTCCCAAAGTGCTGGGATTATAGGGGTGAGCAACCACACTGGCCTTCTATGTCTTCAATACATCTGTATCACTTGCTAATCCTGCAAACCATACCTATCCTGTTTTTCTTTTCTTTCCTTTTTTTTTTTTTGAGACAGAGTCTCGCACTGTCACCCGAGCTGGAGTGCCATGGCTCTATCTTGGCTCACTGCAACCTCTGCTTCCTGTGTTCAAGCGATTCTCCTGCCTCAGCCTCCCTAGTAGCTGGGATTACAGGCTCACGCCACCACACCCGGCTAGTTTTTTGTATTTTTAGTAGAGATGGGGTTTCACCATGTTGGCCAGTCTGGTCTCAAACTCCTGACCTCATGATTTGCCCACCTCAGCCCCCCAAAGTGCTGGGATTACAGGTGTGAGCCCCCGTACCCAGCCCCCTTTCTGTCTTTCATAAGGAAAATAATAACTATAATCTAATCATACTGTTTCTCAATCCATGGGAGTGAGAGGAAGTTTCTTTAAAAATAAAATGTATAAAGAAGTGAGTCACGTTAGATTATCTGAGTGTTAGATAAGCTGAGGTGGTGTGGGGATATGATAAAGCTCATGACACTGGTATGTGAAGGACTGAAGTTTGTCAAGCCCTTCACTAGACTAGCTGAGAGTCAGTAAATAATCACTCTAAGATTGGAAACTTGAAATCCTAACATTGGAAACTTGAAATCCTAGAAATGCTTCCAAAATTATGCCGGCTGATTTCATTTTCAAATGCTGCACACAGAGGGGCTCTCATCTGTAAGGAACGGAGCACCCTCTTCAACTCCTCATCATCCTTCTCTGTTAGTGGTGTGAGCACTGTCATGGCATCCTCTGTTGACTGGCACTGTGGACAGACATACTCATCAATGAGCTCTGCCTCACTTTGCAAGATGCCAATGCAGCACCCATGGTACCAATTCTGACACCGATCACGGCCAATAAAAAATCTGCAAGATCTGAAATGGAAATGTGAGTTCAAAACAGATGGGATGATGTTACTTATAATAAAGCATGCACCTGAAAATTTGCTAAACCCTGGGATATAAAATAGTTTTAGTATTATGGTTTTAATACTTTCAAGATCGACATTCCAGTACATTAATTTAGTATTTTTGATGTTAAGAACAAGCAGTAAAAAAATTTATAAGAACACTGTAATTTTGGAGAACCAATTTAAAGATAAATATGAAACATTCAATTGATTTTAAAGCTGAAAACAAGTCACAAATCTTTCAACTAGTACTGTACCATATGGGAGTTCAAAATCCTGTAAGGTAATAACAGAGTCTCAAAGCTTATACCCAAATTAGTGTTTTTCTAACCTGCAATAAAGCACCATTTCAAACACTGATAAAGTCCAAACAAGTCAGGCTATTTTAATCTCATTAATTTCTATGTTACATATTGAAGAATCAAATCTACCATTAAACCACATTTTCCCCAATGTGTCTCAAACATTCACTATGAAGCAAGATAAATTTTGAAGGGTAGGTAAAAAGGGAAAAAGAGAAAAAAAAAATGAAAAGGAATTTGTAACGTAAGTGTATAACAAATGTAGAAAAAATCTGCTTTTTATTTTAAAGTAAATAAGTAACCAGTCAGAGCAATTTGGCTTCCTAAATTATTAAATGTGATGCTCTTATCAGAACTCACTGTGACTCATCATAAGGTGTTCTGCAGATACAGTACAATTCCTCACTGCTGCCCTCTTGTGCCTGTTTACAATCATTACAGATGTACACATCCATTTTCTTAGCCTCCTTTTCTGCGATGCCAACACATTCTCCATAATACCAGTTAGTACAAAGATCACAGCCAATATAGAACCTAAAAGTATTCACAATGAAAATGACAATGTAGTTGTCGTTTTGAGCTGCATGGTACTTAAATCTGTCTTCCCTGCCTTGCTTCATTTTTTTACAGTGTAACTTCCTGCTATGAGTCAGCTAAACATTCCTGAATCCAACCATTCTACCCCTGGCAAACTCCAGTATCTGATGCTCTATCACATGTGGAAACATAAAGTCACTCACATCAGTTTCAACAAGTACACTGCTTAGTGAAATATGGGTCTTTAAAAACATACTGGAATTTGAAAAAAGAAACAACACATTGATGGTAATGTCTTCCTCTGAATGAATGTGTGTAAAACTGTAACAAGCACAAAAACCAAAGCCAAAGAATCAAAGACTTACATCTGTCAAACCTATTCCACAGAAGCCATTTCAATATCAGGGCTATTTCTTAGATAGGTTTAAAAATGTATCTCACAATTTAAATTTGAAAACAAAGCAAAGCGCAAACACCAAGTAGAAGTTACACTACAAGGACCATGCAGGTCAGCCAGGTGTAGAAGATAAATGGTCAAAATATGCTATGAAGAAGAAAACTAAGAAAGGTACATAGAGCAATTCAATCTCTACCAGGTTTTCTGAATAAACATTGGAATTTAATCGAATTTAAAATAATTTCTCATAATGGAATATGGCATGGGCCAGTTTTTCAGTTAATATAATGTTTGTGACAATGTGGGCAGCGGCCTGGCTAATTAACGGGTAGGGAACATGGAAGGAGCTGCTTCAGTTCAACATCTGGGACATGGTATGGGGAAGGATGCAAAGATAGTTATCCAGAATCTGTCTACACTGCTTGGCAGGGTCTACACTGCCTGGCAAGGCGGAGCTGTGTAAGTGTGTGATTGTGGAGTGCACAGTGGCCTCTGTAATAAAAGACCTAATGACAAAAGAAAAAGTAAATGTAACAAACGCTTATACAGTGTGTCTACAAGTGTTGATAGGCACAGTGTAGGAACATCATGTCAAAGTCATAGTGAGAATTACCATGAATCACAGGGAACCAGGCTGGCCTTGCTGATACCATTGGCACTCCTAGCTCTACCAAGGCATTTCTTGGTAGATTCACCTAGAGGAATGGAAGTCGTCCTCAAGCTTCAAATTGACCTGCTTCATGAATGTGAAGGAATAATATACGGTTATGTAGTTTATCCTGTTACCACTAACTTTTTTCTTTTTTCTTTTGTCTCGCTGTATAACCCAGGCTGCAGGGCAGGGGCAGGATCACGGCCCCCTGCAGCCTGGACCTCCCAGGCTCACATGATCCTCCCACCTCAGCCTCCCGAGTAGCTGGGACTACAGACGTGCACCACCAGGCCAGGCTTTTTTTTTTTTTTTTTTTTTTTTTTTGACAGAGCCTTGCTCTATCACCCAGGCTGGAGTACAGTGGCATGATCTCGGCTCACTGCAACCTCTGTCTCCTGGCTTCAAGCAATTCTCTTGCCTCAGCTTCCCAAGTAGCTGGGATTACAGGTGTGTGCCACCACATCTGGCTAATTTTTGCATTTTTGGTTGTGCCACGTTGGCCAGGCTGGTCTCAAACTCCTGACTTCAGGCAATCCACCTGCCTTTGCCTCCCAAAGTCCTGAGATTACAGGTGTGAGCCACAGGGCCCAGCCTCTTTTCATATTTTTAAAAAAAAAGTTTTAACGAGCAGTGAGGACGACCAGAGGTCACTTTCGTCACCATCTTGGTTTTGGTCGGCTTCTTTACTGCATCTTGTTTTTTCTTTTTTTTTTTAAGACTGGGTCTCACTCTGTCACCCAGGTTAGAGTGTAGTGGCACAATCTCGGCTCAGTGTACCCTGCACCTCCCAGGCTCAAGTGATCCTCCCACCTCAGCCTCCCAAGTAACTAGGACCACAGGCACGTGCCACCAAGCTCAGCTAATTTTTTGTATTTTTGTTAGAGACAGGGTTTCACCATGTTTGCCAGGCTGGCCTTGAACTCCTGACCTCAGGTGACCCACCTCAGCCTCCCAAAGTGCTGGGATTACAAGCGTGAGTCTCTGTGTCTGGCCAACATACTATTGTCTCAATATGCATTTTGCCATACTTTTTAAGTGCATCTCTTCTGCTATCCTGTAGTACAACTTACTCTTGGAAATGATCAAAGCAAACTATATTACCCTAGGGACAAACCCATTGTGATTGGCATCCACGAACAAACTTGGTGTAAAGAAATCATATCTACGACCAAGAGGATTTCTTTCTCATTTGGAGATAAGAGTTTCACTTTGTCACCCTGCCTGGACTGCAGTGACATAAACACGGCTTGCTATAGCCTTGACCTGCCAGGCTCAAGTGATCCTCCTGACTTAACCCCTCAAGTAGCTACAGGTGCTCACCACCATGCCCAGCTACTTTTTTTTTTTGTAGAGATGGAGTCTTGCTGTGTTGCCCAGGTAACTTACCTCCTGAGCTCAAGTGATCCGCCTGCCTTTGCCTCCCAAAGTGCTGGGATGACAGTTATGAGCCACCTGTACCCAGCCATAAGAATATTTCTTAAAATCTGACTTAAAATTTTTTTAAAAATTCTTTTAGAGATAGGGTTTCACCATGTTGGCTAGGCTGGTCTCGAACTCCCGACCTCAGGTGGTCTGCCCACCTTGGCCTCCCAAAGTGCTTGGATTACAAGTGTGAGCCACTGTGCCCAGCCAAAATCTGACACATTTATAAATTTCTACAATAATTTTAAATACCAAAAATATTCCCAAAACGTTTCATCATGATTATTTTTCTTCCCAAATCTTATAGTCTCTCAGAAAAATAACTTAGCCCACGTTTCCTTTAAAGAGTTTTTAATTTTTTTAATGAAGGGCCGAATTAATTTTATTTTTCCTTCTTTAAAAAAATTCGTCCAGCACAGTGGCTCACACCTGTAATCCCAGCAGTTTGGGAGGCCGAGGGCGGAAGATCACTTGCGTCCAGGAGCTCAAGACCAGCCTGGACACATGGTGAAACCCCATCTCTACTAAAAAATACAAAAATGAGCCAGGTGTGGTGACGCATGCCTGTAGTGCCAACTACTTGGAAGGCTGAGGTTGGAGGCTCCCTTAAGCCTGAGAGGTGAAGACTTCAGTGAGCTGTGATGGCACCACTGTGCTCCAATGTAGATGACAAAGTGAGACCCTGTTAAAACAAAACAAAACAAAACTTTTTTTTGGAGATAGGGCCTCACTTGATCGCCCCGGCTAGAGTACAGTGGTGCTATCATGGCTCACTGCAGGGTCGACCTCCTGGGGTCAAGCAGTCCCCTGGCCTCAGCCTCGCCAAGTAGCTGAGACTACAGGTGTGCATCACAACACCCAGCAAATTCCTTTTTGTAGAAACAGGGTTTTGCCATGTTGCCCAGGCTGGTCTCAAAATCCTGGCCTCAAGTGATCCACCCACCTCAGCCTTTTAGAATGCTGGGATTACAGGCTGTGAGCCACAACTCTCTTGGCCTATAAATGATAATTTAAGTGAATCTCTGAAGCTACAGTTTTTTGTTTCGACATGGAGTCTCGCTCTGTCGTGCAGTGGCATGATCTCGGCTCACTGCAACCTCCGCCTTCTGGGTTCAAGTGATTCTCCTCCCTCAGCCTCCCAAGCAGCTGGGATTACAGGTGCCTGCCACCATGCCTGGCTAATTTTTGCATTTTTAGTACAGACGGGGTTTCGCCCTGTTAGCCAGGCTGGTCTCGATCTCCTGACCTCAAGTGATCCTTTCACCTCAGCCTCCCAAAGTGCTGGGATTATAGGCATGAGCCATTTCGCCCAGCCTCTGAAGCTATAGTTTTATAGATTCTAAAGCAGAGACTTCATATAGCTGTCTATGAAAAGCCAAAAACAAACAAAAAACCCACAGAAAAACCTGATTCCCCACGCCAAAATTTCAAGGATTTGCCTAAAGGTAAGGTCCATCTGTACCTGAAATAAAGTTTGCTGTGCCTCTTTTTTTGCAGGGTCACCCAGCCCTATGCACCAATTATACTAGTAACAATCATTACATGAGTACCTCAGGAAGCTTTTAAATATATCACAAATATTTTACCAAATAAACCTGAATGGCCCTGGTTTAATGAAACTGTTTCTCTGTCTATAGACTATCTAGTCTTATAAAGTCAAAAGAGAAGCAATGTGACAAATTATTCAACAGCCCTTCTCTATTTATAGAGAGAGACTGAACTTCTTCCTTGGTTAGAAAGAAAACCTTGAGTTTCATTTCCTAGTTCATATATTTTTATAACATCGTGGGACAGATTTTGGGAAAACCAAGATGGTATAGCGGGCGCACACTTTGATCCTCCCTCTCCCTTCAAGAACATACAAGTGAGAGTAAAATATAAAAAAGAGAAATTGAAAAGACATAGTCATGCTTAAATAAGTTACAACAATCTCAACGGAACAGACACAAAACTGTGAGCAGGACTAAAACTGCAGGCCTTCTAGACTCCAGATGCAGAAGGAGGAAGTGGTGGCTGAACACTAACAGTATGAGTTTCTCGGGGATAAGGGAGGCTAACATGCTGTGTGTGAGGCAGTGATAAGCGCTGGCTCCCTGCTGGAAGTTAAGGGTTGACTGGGCTACACTGGGCTTCAGGAGAGAAGAAAACAACACTCCTCTCACTCAAAATAAGCTTGCAAAATTCAAATGTTTGAAAATGAAAATGTGTAATATGAAAAAAAGATAACCAGGGCCCATACGGTGGCTCATGCCTATAATCCCAGCACTTTGGGAAGTCAAGGAAGGAAGATCACTTGCTTGAGCCCAGGAGTTTGAGACCAGCCTGGGCAACATGGCAAAACCTTGTCTCTACAAAAAAACAATGACAACAACAATAACAACAAAAAACACCCCAAAATTAGCCAGAGATGGTGGCAGGGCACGCGCCTGTAGTCCCAGCTACTTGGGAGCCTGAGGCGGAAGGACTTACTGATCTGGGTAGGGGGAGGCTGCGATGGGGTGTGATTGCACCACTGCACTGCAGCCTAGGAAAAAGAATAAGGCCCTGCTTCTCAAAAAGCAAAAAAAAAAAAAAGCCAATAAAATCAATGGTCTAATCTGAATTCACTCCAAATGAAATTATAGAGCAATTTGACAGGCCGGGCATGGTGGCTCACACCTGTAATCCCAGCACTTTGAGCGGCTGAGGAGGGAGGATCACTTGAGGTCAGGAGTTCAAGACCAGCTTGGCTAACATGGTGAAACCCCGTCTCTACTAAAAATACAAAAAAAGCTGGGCATGGTGGCAGGTGCCTGTAATGCCAGATACTCAGGAGGCTGAGGCAGGAGAATTGCTCCAACCCGGGAAGCGGAGATTGCAGTGAGCAGAGGCAGCCCTACGCCCTCCAGCCTGGGCAACAGAGCAAGACTCCATTTAAAAAAAAAAAATTAACCCTATTTAAAAAAAGAGGCAGAAATAAAAATAGGTAGATGTAAAGAAGGAATCACATATCTTATAAACTAAAAAGAAAATAAAATGTATTTTTAAAATATGCCAGTACTTATACATATTTGAAACTTTAGCAGAGACGGAGTTTCCTCATGTTGGTCAGGCTGGTCTTGAACTCAAAAGCAAATTACCTTAGCAATAATGTGTTTTTGTTTTTGAGACAGAGTCTCACTCTGTCGCCCAGGCTGGAATGTGGTGGCGCGATCTCGCCTCACTGCAACCTCTGCCTTTTAGGTTCAAGCGATTCTCTTGCCTGAGTCTCCGGAGTAGCCAGGACTACAGGTGTGCGCCACCACGCCCAGCTAATGTTTGTATTTTTGTAGAGATGGGGTTTCACTATGTCAGCCAGGCTGGTCTTGAACTCCTGGCGCCATGTGATTCACCTCCCTTGGCCTCCCAAAGTGCTGGGATTACAGACGTGAACCATTGCACCCGGCTCCTTCTTTCCCAAAGTATAATTTTTCTTCCTCATTAGATTGTTTTTGTATAAAATGTGTTTATATATGAACACATGCATTAAAACAATATATACAAGATATATTCTAAAGTTGTTTAAAAATGATTGTCTTTGGGGTTTAGATTTAGAGATCACTTTTATTTGTTGGCTTTGAAGTGCAACTGACCTATTTATTTACATATAAAGGATATAAACTACAAATATTTTCCCACTCTGTACAGAATGTGGAATGGAAACAGTGCATGGCACACCTTAAGTGTTAAATAAACATTTCCTGAGTGAATTGAATGGATACATCACACTATATATACACTAGTCTGTAATTTGGATTTTTTGTTCAAGCACTTGTCATTGGCAATTTCCTCCAAATAATTAAAAAATGAAAAACACCAATCCCACATTATTTTCTTAAAATGGAAGTACATTTTTTGGATATTCCAAAATGTATTCCAGTGGTTCTCAGCCGGAAGTGGTTCTGACACCTCCTAGTGGGAATGTATGGGGAGCGGGCAAGGTTACCTTTTTGGTTGTAAAAATGATGAGGCTGGTACTAGCCTTTGGTATCCGGGCCCAGAGATGCTAAACTTCTTCCTACAGTGTGTAAACTGGCTTGTCCAAAAGGCCAAAGCGCTTCTGTTGAGAAACACTGATGACCAATCTCCTCTATGTGGTCCTGTGAGACTGTGAAACACGTATTTGATCTTCCTGGTTCCTGGCATACAATTCCTAAAACCCTCAGAATCTGCAAAATAAGTCTTTTTTTTATGCTAATGATTGACTGATTAGGCTTTCCTAGACAGCCTCAGGATTGGGGCTGGTGGTCAGGGCTTTCAGTGCCACTCTCAACCTCTGAGAAAGAGAGAGAGGCTGAAGGTTAAGCTGACCACCAACGGCCAACGGTGTAATCATTAATGACTCTGTAATGAAGCTTCCATAAAAACCCAAATTGAGGCCGGGCACAGTGGCTCACGCTTGTAATCCCAGCACTTTGGAAGACTGAGGTGGGTGGATTACTTGAGGTCAGGAGTTGGAGGCCAGCCTGACCAACATGGTGAAACACCGTCTGCACTAAAAGTACAAAAAATTATCCAGGCATGGTGGCACACGCCTGTAATCTCAGCAACTCGGGAGGCTGAGTCATGAGAATCGCTTGAACCTAGGAGGCAGGCTCAATGTTTATCTTGTAACTGACTATGTTACTGAATTATAATTTTTTTTTTGAGACCTAGTCTCATTCTGTCACCCAGGCTGGAGTGCAGTGGCGTTATCTTAGTTCATTGCAACCTCTGCCTCCCAGGTTCAAGCGATTCTCGGGCCTCAGCATCCCGAGTAGCTGGGATTACAGGCATGCACCACCACGTCCGGCTAATTTGTTTGCAATTGTAGAAAAGACAGGGTTTCACCATGTTGCCCAGACTGGTTTGAACTCCTGGCCTCAAGTGATCTGCCCGCCTCGGCCTCCAAAGTACTGGGATTAGAGGTGTGAGCCACTCAGTCCAGACAACATTTATTTCTTTATTCATTTCACCAGTTGGCATGGTTTCCAGACTTTTCTTGATTTATTTTATTTTATTTTTTGAGAAGGAGTCTCACTCTTGCAGCCCAGGCTGGAGTACAATGGCGCAATCTTGGCTCACTGCAACCTCCACCTCAGGGGTTCAAGCGATTCTTCTGCCTCAGCCTCCTCAGTAGCTAGGATTACAGGCACCCGCCACCATGCCCAGGTAATTTTTGTATTTTTAGTAGAATTTAGGAGTTTCCTAAATTCTGGGGGCTTGTCTCCCTGTTCCCCCACCCCGACTAATTTCCCTCGGTCGCTGGCGCTGCCCCGTCCCTTAGGTCGCTCGGGCCGCCCCACTCCGAGACTTTTTTTTTCTTTCGCTGGCTCTTTCAGCTTCAGTTTCCCTAGGGGGCGGGAGGGGAATATTTGGGGGCTCTCCTGCCTTCCTCTCCGAGCCGCGGAAGGGGAGACGCAGGGAGGAGGTCCGGCCGGCTTTGGGCTCCAGCCAGGGGTCCGCGGAGACTATGGTCTCCGAAGGCCTTAGCCGCGGGGCATTTCGCGAGCTGCGCGTCTCTCTCAACGGCGCCACCGCGCCCGGAGTCCAGCCGCGCCGCGCTGCGCCCAGCCCCGGCGCCCCAGGCTCTCCGCCCCCGACTCAATGCTCCCGCGCTCCCCCTAGCGGCCGCCGCGCCACCTCGCCCCGTCCCAGGCTCGTAGGCTGCTCAGCTCACGTGACCGCGCTCCGGTAACGGAAGAAACAAGATGGCGGCTGAAGGCGATCCGCAGTGAGGCCCCAGCCATTCGGATTGAGCCTTCTCCCTCCAACCGCTTCCGCAGGCCGGGCCCCTCCTGCCCTGCCCCTCTGGCCTCCCCACCCGGCCCCGGCCGCCCCCACTGCGCCCATTGCGCCCGCCCCTTCCCGGCCGCTTTCCCTTCTCCCTCCGCCTCGGTTCCAACATGAGGGGCCGGCGGGGCAGGCCGACCAAGCAGCCCGCGGCTCCCTCTGCGGAGCGCTGCGCCCCGGCCCCGCCGCCGCCGCCGCCGCCCACGTCCGGACCCATCCGGGGTTCCGCTCGCGGCACCGCGGCAGCAGCCGGGGCAGGTGGGCCGCCGCCCAGGCTGAGGTGGCGCCCAAGACGCGGCTGAGCTCGCCCAGGGGGGGCAGCAGTAGCCGGAGAAAGCCGCCGCCGCCGCCAGCCCCACCCCAGCACCAGCGCCCCGGCCGGGGGGAGGCGGGGGCAGCCACCTGGCCCGGACAGCTGCAGGTCCGGACGGCCGTCAACAAAGTGGTGTAGTCACTACAGGTGCTCGCTGCCACACCCAGCTAATTTTTTGTATTTTTTAGTAGAGATGGAGTTTCACCGTGTTGCCCAGGCTGGTGTCGAACTCCTGAGCTCAGGCGATCCGCCCGCCTCAGCTTCCCAAAGTGTTGGGATTATAGGCGTGAGCCACTGCACCTGGCACAGGTATATGTATGTATTTTTTACAAAATTGGATGAAGTATAATTTATTTGTTAAATATTTTCACTTATGCCATGATATCTTATTTAATCTTTAATTTGTCTATGAAAATACCTGCTCTGCTAGGGGGCTTCTAGTTGAAAACTCATTAATTTAAAAAATTAATTTTGAATTCAGCCACCTATTCTTTTTTCTAATTGTTTCTTGTAGCTTTTGCTTTGATTGGAATAACTTTATTCTAGGAATAAAGTTTTGTCATCTGCAAACATGAATCATGTACACATCTGATTTTCTTATATTTATGTCTCCTTTTTCTCTTCAAATTACATTGCCTTTACCATTGATGGGAACCTGGGTAATAAAGAAAAAAGAAAAAAATTGCATTCCCTACCACCTCCTCCAAAACAATGTCAAATGTTAGTTATAATGATAGGCATCTTAGTATGCTATCCCAATTTAATG
This sequence comes from Homo sapiens, assembly GCF_000001405.40. NCBI lineage: Eukaryota > Metazoa > Chordata > Mammalia > Primates > Hominidae > Homo > Homo sapiens. The sequence goes on along the minus strand of NC_000017.11, from coordinate 64,918,292 downwards.
GAACTGTTGCAGATATTTAATGGTTAACTGTTGGTTTGAGACCTTTAATGTGTTGAGTATATTCACCTATTTCAATTTTTTTTCTGTTTAAGTTTTTTTTTTTTAAATCAGATATGGCTATTATATTTTGTTAAATGACATCTTAGCATCTTTTAAGATGATCATATAGTTTTCCTCCTGCATGCTACATATTAATTACAGTAGTGTATATTCATAGAATTATATTAGTAGATCTTATATTGATTCACCCTTACATTCTTGCAGTGAACCTCTCTTGATCATATTATTTTTTCATGTACTGTTTGACTTTATTTATTTAGTTTTGAGACAGAGTTTCGCTCTTGTTGCCCAGGGTGGAGTGCAGTGGCGCGATCTCAGCTCACCACAACCTCCGCTTCCCAGGTTCAAGCGATTCTCCTGTCTCAGCCTCCTGAGTGGCTGGGATTACAGGCGCCCGCCACTACGCCTGGCGAATTTTTGGTATTTTCAGTAGAGACAGGGTTTCACCATGTTGGCCAGGCTGGTCTTGAACTCCTGACCTCAGGTAATCCGCCGGCCTCGGCCTCCCATAGTGCCGGGATTACAGGTGTGAGCCATCGCGCCCGGCCTGTTTGACTTTTAAATAGGTATTTTAATTTTTTAGTTTATACGTGTACAGTGCATAATGTATTTAAGATTCATCTGTGTTGTTGTATCAGTAGTTTCTTTATTGCTGAGTAGCAGTCCTTTATATGAGTGTATCACAGTGCATTTATCTGTTCAATAGTTGAATATTTCAATTATTTCTAGTTTGTGGCACCTATGAATAAAGCTGCCGTAAACATTTCCATAATGTTTTTTGTCTGAACACAATTCTTGTTTCTCTTGAGTAAATACCTAGGAGTATGATTTCTGGGTTGTATGTTTATAAGAAACTGCCAAAACTGTTTTCCAAAGTAGCTGTACCATTTTGCATTCTTACCTGCAAATGTATGAAGAGTTCCGGTTGCTCTGTATCCTCCCTAGCACTTGATATTTTCAGGTTTTTTTTTTTTTTTTTTTTTTTTTGAGATGGAGTCTGGCTCTGTTACCCAGGCTGGAGTGCAGTGGCGCGATCTCGGCTCACTGCAAGCTCCGCCTCCCGGGTTCATGCCATTCTCCTGCCTCAGCCTCCCGTGTAGCTGGGACTACAGGGGCCTACCACCACGCCCGGCTAATTTTTGTGTATATTTAGTAGAGACGGGGTTTCACCATGTTAGCGAGGATGGTCTCGATATCCTGACCTCGTGATCTGCCCGCCTCGGCCTCCCAAAGTGCTGGGATTACAGACGTGAGCCACTGCGCCCGGCCTCAAGTTTTTTTTTTTTTTTTGGCCACCTTAATAAGTATATGGTGGTAGCTTCTTCTGGTTTTAATTTCCTTGTCCCTAATGACTAATGGTTCTGAGCCTCTTTTTATGTGCATCTTTTGATTTGCCATCTGTATATCATTGTTTATGGAAAAATACTAAAGTCTTTTTTTTTTTTTTGAGACAGAGTCTTGCTCTGTTGCCCAGGCTGGAGAGCAGTGGCACAGTCACCACTCACTGCAGCCGCCACCTTCTGGGTTCAAGCCATCCTCCCACCTCTTGGCCTCCCAAGTAACTGGGATTGCAAGTGCGCACCACCACACCTGGCTAGTTTTTTTTTTTTTTTTTTTTTAATAGAGATGGGGTTTTGATATGTTGCCCAGACTGATTTCGAATCCTGGGCTCAAGCGATCTGCCTGCCTCGGCCTCCCAAAGTGCTGAGATTACAGGCATGAGCCACCATGCCTGGCCAAGATACCAAAATCTTTATTTAAGATGTTTAATTGGGTTGCTTTCTTTATTGTTATTCTTCTTTTATTTTATTTTATTTATTTATTTATTTGAGACGGAGTCTCGCTGTGTCGCCAGGCTGGAGTGCAGTGGCGCGATCTTGACTCACTGCAAGCTCCCCCTCCCGGGTTCACACCATTCTCCTGCCTCAGCCTCCCAAGTAGCTGGGACTACAGGCACCCGCCACCACGCCCAGCTAATTTTTTGTATTTTTAGTAGAGACGGGGTTTCACCATGTTAGCCAGGATGGTCTTGATCTCCTGACCTTGTGATCCTCCTGCCTCGGCCTCCCAGAGTGCTGGGATTACAGGCGTGAGCCACCACGCCAGGCTTCTTTTATTTTTTTAGACAGAGTCTCGTTCTTTCACCCACGCTGGAGTGCAGTGGCATGATCTTGGCTCACTGCAGCCTGTCATTCCCCTCGACCCCAGGTTCAAGGTGATCCTCCCACCACCTCAGCCTCTGAAGTAGTTAGGACCACAGATGCATGCCACCATGTGTGGCTAATTTTTGTATTTTTAATAGAGATGGGGTTTCGCTATGTTGCCCAGGCTGGTCTTGAACTCCTGAGCTCAAGCAATCTGCCTACCTTGGCCTCCCAAAGTGCTGGGATTACAGGCATGAGCCACCATGCCTGGCCAATTTCTTACTGTTGGGTAGTAAGAATTCTTTATATATTTTGGATATAAGTGCTTTGTTAGGCTGTGTGATGTTCATACATTTTCTCCCCATCTGTGCCTTGTGTTTCATTGTCTTAGCGGTGTCTCTTTCCCAGAGCATAAGTTTTAAATTTTGATGAAGTCTGATTTACCACATTTTTTCTTTTACACATTTGGTGTTCATCTAACAGCTCTACCTAACCCAGACCTTGCCAGACTTTTTCTGTAAAAGGTCAGATAGTAAATATTTCAGCCTTGCTGTCCCTGTTGCAGCTCTGCCATTGTAGCAATGAAAGCAGTCATAGACAATATGTAAATGAATGATAATAGCTGTTCCAATAAAACTTTATGAACACTGCAGTTTGAATTTCACATAATTTACAAATTATCAATTATATTGTTTTGATTATTAGAAAAACAGGTAGTGGATTGGCCATGGTTTGCTGATTCCTGGCCTGACAAACCCAAGTTCACAAAGATTTTCCTCTTTGATTTTGTTGTGGTCGTTGTTCCACACCTTTTTTCACTGTTTCCTTAAGGTAGAGTGTACATATTTATAAGGGTACATGCAATATTTTGATAGATTCATACAGTGTGTAATGATCAAATCAGGTTAATTAGGGTATCCATCATCTCAGATGTTTATCCTTTTTTTTGTATTGGGAAGATAACAAATGTTCTAGCTATTTTAAAATATACACTAAGTTATTGTTGACTCTAGTCACCCTACTGTGCAAATAAAAACTAAAACGTATTCCTTCTATCTGACTGAGTTTTTATGCCCATGAATCAACTTGTCTTCATCCCTACCTGCTTCCCAGCCCCCGGTAACCATCATTCTACTGCCTATCTCCATGAAATCAACTTCTTAATCTCTCATATATGAATGAGAATATGTGATACTTGTCTTTCTGCCCTTGGCCTATTTCACTTAACATAATGTCCTCCAGTTCTATCCATGTTGCTGCAAACAGATTTTATTTTCCAAACCTTAAGCTTTATAGATGACTTCACTTTTTAAATGGCTGAATAATATCCTCTTGTGCATGTATACCTCATTTTCTTTGATTTTTCTTTCTTTCTTTTTAAATAGAGATGAGTTCTCACTATACTGCCCAGGCTGGTCTTGAATTTTTTTGCTCAAGCAATCCTCCTGCCTTGGCCTCCCAAAGTGCTGGGATTCCAGGCTAAACCACTGTGCTCCTTTATGCGTTTTTTTGTTTTTGTTTTTGTTTTTAAAGACAAAATCTTGCTCTGTTGCCCAGGCTGGAGTGCAGTGGTGCGATCTTGGCTCACTGAAGCCTCCACCTCCCAGGTTGAAATTATTCTCGTGCCTCAGCCTCCCAAGTAGCTGGGATTACAGGCACCCACCACCACGCCCAGCTAATTTTTGTATTTTTAGTAGAGATGAGGTTTCACCATGTTGGCCAGGCTGGTCTCGAACTCCTGACCTCGGGTGATTCATCTGCCTTGGCCTCCCAAAGTGATGGGACTACAGGCATGAGCCACTGCGCCCAGCCCCTTTGTGCACTTTTAAAAACATATCTTAGAATTTGTGATACATGTTTTATTTTCATTTTCATTTGGTTCACAATATTGTAAAATTTCTACTATGACTTACTCTTTGACCCATGATTTGTTTTAAAACGTATTGTTTAATTTTCAAACATTTAGGGATTTCCCAGACATCTTTGTTGTTGGTTTCTAATTTAATTCCATTATGGTTAGGGAACATACTCGTTATGATGAATTAAAAAAAAATGTAGAGGTTTGTATATGGCCTGAAACATTGTTTGTTTAGGTCAATGTTCAGTTTGTAATAGGAAAGATGTGTTCTGCTGCCTTTAGGTAAAGTGTTTCATAAATAATAATTAGGTCAAGTTGGTTGATCGTGTTAAGGTCTTCCCTATCCTTGCTGATTTCCTGTCTGCTTGTTCTAGTGATTACTGAGAAAGGAGTGTTGAAGTCTGCAATGATTGTTATGGGTTTGTTCTCTTTCTCCTTAAAATTCTGTCTGTTTATGCTTCCTGTATTTTGAGGCACTGTTATTAGATGCAGAAACATTTACAGTTTTGTCCTCTTGATTATTTGACCCCTTTATCATTCTGAAATAACCTTTATTTCTGGTAATAATCATTATATTAAAAACCATTATTTGGCCAGACATGGTGGCTCATGCCTGTAATCCCAGCACTTTGGGAGGCCGAGGCGGGTGGATCACCTGAGGTCAGGAGTTCGAGTCCAGACCGGACAACATGGCGAAACCCCATCTCTACTAAAAAGAGAAAAATAGCCTAGTGTGGTGGCACACGTCTGTAGTCCCAGCTACTCAGAAGGTTGAGGCAAGATAATCACTTGAATCCGGGAGTTGGATATTGCAGTGAGCCGAGATCACGCCACTGCACCCCAGCCTGGGAAGCAGAGCAAGACTCCATTTCAAAAGAAAAAAAAAAAAAAAACCCAAAATAGGCCAGGTGCAGTGGCTCATGCCTGTAAACCCAGCACTTTGGAAGGCCGAGGCAGGTGAATCACCTGAGGTCGGGAGTTCGAGACCAGCCTGGCTAAGATGGTGAAACCCCGTCTCTACTAAAAATACAAAAATTAGCCAGGCACGGTGGCAGCTGCCTGTAATCCCAAGTACTTGGGAGGCTGAGGCCAGAGAATTGCTTGAAGCCGGGAGGCAGAGGTTGCAGTAAGCCAAGATCATGCCATTGCACTCTAGCCTGGGTAACAGAGCAAGACTCCATCTCGGGGGAAAAAAAAAAAAAATTACTTAATATTAATATAAAATTAGTGTTTTATATTAGTAGTATAATACTGTTTTTGACTAGTGTTAAAATGACATATCTTTCTCTACCCTTTTGCTTTTAATCTAGATATCATGATATTCATTTATTTTTTAATTTGTAAAAATAGAGATGGGGTTTTGCCATGTTGCCCAGGCTGGTCTTGAATTCCTGGGCTCAAGCCACCTGCCCACCTCAACCTCCCAAAACGCTGGGATTATAGGCGTGAGCCACCATACTTGGCCATATCATTATATTTTCAAATGGTTTCTTGTTTTTTCGTTTTTCTTTTAAATGTAATCTGACAGCGTCTTTTAATTAATGTGTTTTGGACCATTTACATTTAATATGATTGATGATGATTGGATTTAGGTTTCCTTTTTATTATTTGTTTTCTGGTTATTTCTTTTTTTGGGGGGTTTCTTCTGTTTCTTTTTTCTGCCTATTTTTGGATTAACTGAATATTTTTTAGTGTTATGTTTTATTAATTGGCTTTTGGTTATATCTGTGCTATGTTTTTGCTGTAGGAATTACAAAATATATACCTAACCTACCTACTTAGAGTTAGCATTTTACCTCTAAATAAAATGTAAAAGTATTGCAAACATATAGGTTTCTTTATTCTAGCCCCCCCTTATAATTGTATATATGTGTGTGTGTATGTGTGTATATATATACACTTTCAATGTATGTAGATATGTATCTATACTTTCAGTGTATATTATATCTACATGCATACATTGTGTATGTATGTAGATGTATATCTACATACATTGAAAGATATATATCTACATACATATACAATGCATGTATGATACCTTTGGCTACTACATCCTTCTTAAATTTCCTGTTGCCACTTATGACCTGATTTCCTTGACCAGTTATTCCTCCTTCAAACATCCCTCTTACATGTGATAGTCCTCAGCATTTAGTTTCCCCAACTTTCCCCTAATTATCAGTTGACTCAATTACCACCAAAATATCGATGACTTTTTTGAGACAGAGTCTCACTCTGTCACCAGGCTGGAGTGCAGTGGCACGATCTTGGCTCAGTGCAACCTCTGCCTCCTGAGTCCAAGTGATTCTCCTCCCTCAGCCTCCCGAGTAGCTGGGAATACAGGTGTGTGCCAACACACCCAGCTAATTTTTGTATTTTTAGTAGAGACGGGGTTTCACCATGTTGGCCAGGATGGTTTCAATCTCTTGACCTTGTGATCAGCCTGCCTCAACCTCCCAAAGTGCTGGGATTACAGGCATGAGCCACCGCGCCCGGCCAAAATATCAATGACTTCTAGATCCATTTTCCTACCTAGACCTCTTTTCTAAACTCCAGATATATATTTCCAACTGCCTGTGCTGTCCGCCATAAACTCCACATTGTAGGAAATAGAAAGGAGTTGTAAAAGTTTAGGTTCAAAGCAAAATTTAAAAACTCATAAATGAGACAAAATTTTGTGATGATAAAGGCTATGGTCCACAATGAAGATATGAAAGTAATGAACCTTTCTATAAAATGTATAGGTGATAGAGCTGGTCCCCAACTTTAAGCCTTTCAGCGATTCAAGTAACTACAGAACATCGTTAAAGTACTGAGAGAAATGTCAATCCAGAATTCTATATCCAGCAAAAATACCCTTCAACAATTAAGGCAAAAAGAAAAAGAAGAAAGACATTTTGGATGAAGAAAATCTAAGAGAATGTGTTGGCGGAAGTTCTGCTCTAAAATAAAAGTAAAAGAAGGTCTTTAGGCCAAAGGAAAATTATACCAGTGGTAATACTAGAACTTCAGAGATAAAGAGCAGCAGAAATGGTATCTGGGAAAATTTAAAAATGCAAACGGTTGTTTCTCCTCTTAAGCTCTTTAAAATATGTATAGTGGTTGAAAGCAAAAGTTAAAACACTGGTGAGACTTTCAGTGTATGTAGATATACGTATATATAGATACATATATCTATATACATGTAGAGGTAATAATGGTAGCTATTTTATGGAGCTGATCTGAGGATAAAATGAAATAATGCATTTTAAAGTGCTTAGCACAATGTCTGGCAAATAGAAAGCACTCTATAGGCCAGGCATGGTGGCTCACGCCTGTAATCCCAGCACTTTGGGAGGCCTAGGCAGGTGGATCACTTGAGGTCAGGTATTTGAGACCAGCCTGGCCAACATGGTGAGACCCCGTCTCTACTAAAAATATAAAAATTAGCCGGGTGTGGTGGTGGGCTCCTGTAATCCCAGCTACTTGAAGTGAGGCAGGCGAGTGGCTTGAACCTGGGAGGTGGAGGTTGCAGGGAGCCAAGATTGCACCACTGCACTCCAGCCTGGTCGACAGAGCAAGACTCCAGCTCAAAAAAAAAAAAAAAAAAAAAAAAAGGGGGGACAATGTTACTCTTCTTCCTTCTAGAAACATACATTTTATAGAGAGTTGTTTTTTGAAGTCTAGAAGTCTGAAAACGTAGGAGTCAACTCTGAAAAATCTACAGTGGTTTCTGGGGTTCAATCTTGGCATGACTTTACCCCTGCATCTCTGCCCTCGGCAGGTAGTTTTGTTTATGGGTGTCATTGGTTGAACAAATAATTGTTTTAGTTGCTACAATAAATAAAACATGATCTGTGCTCTAAAGGAGTCAACAGATGAGCCAGGGGGGCATGAGTAATTGCCTGTAATATAATTGTGCTCACGCTGTCATGGAGGACCGTACAAAGTGTCAGAAGCACAGTGCCAGGAGGCACAGCAAAGGGTAGTAGAGGTGACATTTGAGCCCAGCCTTGAAAACTGTCTAGGATTTCTCAGCATTTCAGCAAAGTAAGGCAATTTCTGTCTAAAATATATAGGCAAAGTTTTTATTAAAAATACGAGAAATTAATTAAATAACAGATTATGACCACAATGCAGATTTAAAAACTAAGGTATGATGAGTGCCGTTGACCGGTTCATCCAGACAGTTCAGAGAACAGAACATCCATGTAGATCCTTCTTGTATTACAGAATACAAAGGAGCGGAAAATTTTGCCTCAGTAACTGCCAGGTCATTCTAATTAAAGTACCTATACATTGTAATATAATTCCTCCATTAAGGTAACAGCCAATCAGGTGGTACAGAGTCTGTGCCATTCAGTCAAGAAATTCACTCCCTTAACCTAGACTGTGCTGGAAATTCATTGACAAATTTTGTTCTTTGGTTCTCCATTTTTCTTCAGAATTCATGCAGACCACTTGACTTCCTTAGCAGTTTCTTTTGTGGGCGTACATTAATGTCTTTGGTTAAGCTTCAGCTTCCGTTTGCATCAATCCTGTTGTAATCGTGCCTCCTGAGGCATCTTTTTTGCTTCCCTTGCATCAGTTTCCAAAATCCTACTTTCTGCTTGGTAAGGGGAGTATCCATTTTCTTTAAAGCAGTGGTTTTCAAACTTGCCTGCACATCAGAATTATTTGGGGAGAAGGATAAAAATACAGATTACTGAGCTTCACCTGGGATTCTGTAGATTTGAGTTGCATTTGGGATTACTTTAAACAATTTACCAGATGATTTTTGTGGCACCTCCACTTCAGTTTTAGGAAGGACTGTTTCAAGGCAGCTTTTCAAACTTTAATGACCATAGAAATCACCTGAAGATTGTGAGAAACTGCAGATCCTGATTTAGTAGGCCTGGGTTTAGGCCTGAGGTTCTGAATTTCTCTGAAATGTGATAATAGCAAATCCCTCGTTGAGTAGCAAGGTTGTTTTTTGTTTTTTTTCTTTTTTTTCCAATATCTTCATGACATTCAATGAGTAGCAAAGTTCGAAGATAACTTCTGGAATTTCATCTAATGTGTATTAATTTTTACTCATCTGGATCTTAGGGGAAATAACCTATCAGATTATAGGGAAGTGTTTCTCAAAGTATGGTTCCCCAAACAGCACAACCTGGGAATTGTTAGAAATGCAAGTTCTGGGCTGGGCACTGTGGCTCATGCCTGTAATCCCAGCACTTTGGGAGGCTGAAGCGGGTGGATCACCTGAGGTGAGGAGTTTGAGACCAGCCTGGCTAACATGGTGAGACCCCGTCTCTATTAAAAATACAAAAAAAATTAGCTGGGCATGGTGGTGGTACTTCTTAAAATATTTTTAGAGAGGCAGAGTATCCCTGTGTTGCCCAGGCTGGTCTCTAAATCCTGACCTCAAGCAATCCTCCTGCCTCAGCCTCTTAAGTAGCTAGGTACAAGCCACCATGCCCAGCTATATTGACTTGTTTTTGAGACGGAGTCTCTGTTGCCTAGGCTGGAGGGCAGTGGTGCGATCTTGGCTCACTGCAACCTCCGCCTCCCGGGTTCACGTGATTCTCCTGCCTCGGCCTCCTGAGTAGCTGGGACCACAGGCATGCACCACCATGCCTGGCTAATTTTTGTATTTTAGTAGAGATGGAGTTTCACCATGTTGGCCAGACTGGTCTTGAACTCCTGACCTCAAATGATCCACCCCCGCCTTCGCCTCCCCAAAGGTGCTGAGACTACAGGTGTGGGCCACCACGCCTGACCATATATTTACCTTTATGTGAATTTAAGATGTGTGGGTGTGACCAAGTCGTCTGCCGGCTGTTATATAAAGGAGACTTTATCATCAACATGCTCATCATCAGTCACAAACTGCCTATTTGGAACTCCCTTCAGTTCTCAGAGGATGGAAACATTCTTTAAGCGGCCTTGTAGAAATCCTATTCCATGTTAATATGCCAACCAATTTTACTTTCCCAGAGCCACAGAAGGATATCTCATTGTATGCCTCAATTCAATCACCTTTCCATTTTCAAGGACCGATTTCAATTCCTGATTGGCTACTTGATCTGACTGCTTCCTGCTAATCTTGTTGCCTATTGTCTATATATATTCCATTTCTCATTGAATTAACCTTGATCAAATCTGAGAACTCTGCTTAGTAATGACTCCAGGTATACTATACCCACTTTTGTAGCTTATTCAACACCCTCTTCAATCCTGGTTCCACTTCCTGTGACTGAAATGATTACCTGTGGAATATTCTTCAACTTTTGGACTATGATGTGTTTCTAACCTGTGACCATTTCACATAGCCACTCAAATATGGTAAAGGTACGGTAAAGATGATGAAACAGTTACTTGGTATCATTTTGTAAGTAATGAGTTTTTAGTGTGCTTTGGACCTTGAGACCACTTCATAAGCTTTAGATTTTGAGAATTTCACAGCATAAAGCTCATCGCTGATGCAGTAATGAAGGAAATGTTCTACAAGTTAATAGATGAGTGAGAGGAGAGGGCATTCATATTAGATTTATTTACTTACTGAACTCAGAGCCTTGGGTTACTGCTTGACCCCCACTGTTATCTAGTTTAAGGGTCCTTTTATTTTTTGTTTTTTTGAGGTGGAGTTTCACTCTTGTTCCCCAGGCTAGAGTGCAATGGCCCGGTCTCTGCTCACTGCAATCTCCGCCTCCCAGATTCTCCTGTCTCAGCCTCCCAAGTAGCTGGGATTATAGGTACCCACCACCACGCCCTGCTAGTTTTTGTATTTTTAGTAGAGACAGGGTTTCACCATATTGGTCAGGCTGGTCTCGAACTCCTGACCTCAGGCAGTCTGCCCACCTCAGCCTCCCAAAGTGCTGGGATTACAGGCATGAGCAACTGCTCCTGGCCTTAAGTGTTCTTTTCTACTTTAGCACATGCACCTAGTTCCTGTCTTTTTTGGTTTTTATAAATACAGAAAAGAGAATAATGTTTTAAAATCAAGGAAAGGCCTAAGGCATCTGTGAGGGTTTTTTGTTTTTGTTTTTGTTTCAGTGAAATGAAGGGAAATGGTCGCCAGCAAGAACTGTGGCAACGTTATCCAAGGTGACAACTGTCTGTACCACCCAGGGGCTTAGAGCCCTTCTGAAGTTTCCTAGATGTTCCGAAAGTCTCCACTGTGACTCATGATACAGGCTGGTCTCCGTGGTAGCACTCAACGTTTAAAAATTAGTCTTCATTGCCAGGCGTGGTGGCTCACGCCTGTAATCCCAGCACTTTGGGAGGCTGAGGTGGGTGGATCCCGATGTCAGGAGATGGAGATCATCCTGGCTAACACGGTGAAACCCCATCTCTACTAAAAATACAAAAAATTAGCCGGCAGTGGTGGGGGGGCACCTGTAGTCCCAGCTACTCTGGAGGCTGAGGCAGGAGAATGGCGTGAACCCGGGAGGCGGAGCTTGCAGTGAGCCGAGATCGTGCCACTGCACTCCAGCCTGGGCGACAGAGGGAGACTCCGTCTCAAAAAAAAAAAAAAAATAGTCTTCATTTCTCCTTCCCAACAAGCGTTTCTCTTTCTCTTCAGTGGGAAAAAGTAATTTCATTTTTTACTTGCTCATTGTTTTATTCATTCACTCAATCAACAGATCATCTATCCTGTATTGTATGCCAAGAACTGTGCTTTGTTCTGGGAATGAAAAAAGAATAAGATATGTTTTCCTCTGGCACTTATGGAGCTTATAAACCAGTGACAGAGGAAGGTGCATAAACAAATCAACAAAGAATTAACTTTACTATTCTTATTAATTTCTAATACAATAAATTTGACTATTTGTATCATTTGAGTTTCATGAATATAATCATATTCTACACTTACAAAATGAAATAGACATAAGAAAGAACTGGTGATGTAAGAAATTCACAGAAATGTGTAAAATATTTCAAGAATTAACACTCAGTAGATATTTGCATTGTCAAAGAAGCTTATAAATGCAGATGAACCTCTAGTTGTTTTAGTTGCTTGTAAAATGTATAGAGGTATGTGTATTTCCTCTTTAAGCAGGGGTAACTTGGGGTGGGGGATGGGTGGGTTCATCTTATCTATTCTTCAGGTCATGTTCTCAAGAAGGAGCTACTGAATGGGAAGACTGAAACAATTTCTTTTCTTTGCACAGTTGGTATTGATAAATCTCAGGTGTATCCAAAATAAAATCTCTGGCAGGCTGTGATATTTGTGGGTCTGTCTCTTGTGACTTTAGGTTCCTCTTGGCAGCAGACATAAGGCAGTTGCACATCAGGCCCTTGCCTGAAACAGCTCCTGATGCCAAGAACTGGTGAATTACTACTTTGGTTTCAATGGATGGTCAGAAAGGATCATCAGGATAAACTTTGTGGATTTTCTCTCACTAACCACGCTCTCCTTTCAACATTGAAATTCTAGACTTTAGACAGAAGTATTGAACTGGGTTACAGGGAGGGGATGTGAGAGGCCCCCTGCCATTGAGGATAAGTGGACATGTCTGAATTGGCCTGCTACCTAAAATTAATAATCTCAATCACTTGGATGGTGGTGTCCATAATTTTCTCCACTGTTTGTGTGGCATATAATAAGTAATGGTTGCACCTAGCAATTCATTTACAAATCTTACTTGATTTTGAAGCCATAGAACACCTCAACTGTTAGCTTGAATGACTGGAGTTTAGTTTTTATTTCTCAGAACAAAACAGTTTGAAGCCTAATTAACATCCTCGGAAGGAACTTAACACTAAAACTCCTAACAGCTTCAGTTTTCTGACCTTGAAGAAAGGGAAAATGAAGAGACCATGGTGCCACTTCCGAAGCAAAGGCTGAAGTTCTGTGCTTTAGAGGTGGTGTTGCCATCCTATGATTGCAGGAGTCTGGCCTTGGCTTGGTGGAGGAGCCTGTGGATAAGGCGAAGGAAGGTCTGTTTTCATTGGGGGTAGAGGAGGGTAAGGAGTTGAAATGGGAAGGATCTCTTTTTTCTTGCTGTCTAAAACTTGTCTTTTCAGACACATATCAAGCCTTTCCCTCTCTGAGCTACTGAAGTCCTGGGCAGAGGTTTTCTGTCTTACAATACAGACTTTTACCTTAGGCAATACCTGACAGAGCCTTTAAATAAGTAAATAAATTGCTTTAATAAATTGATTTAATACATTGATTTATTAATTAATAAATTTATTTAATACATTGATTTATTAATTAATAAATTTATTTAATAAATTGATTTATTAATTAACTAATTTTGAGAGAGAGTCTTGCTCTGTCACCAGGCTGGAGTGCAGTGGCGTGATCTCGGCTCACTGCAACCTCCGCCTCCCGGGTTCAAGGCATTCTCCTGCCTCAGCCTCCTGAGTAGCTGGGATTACAGGCGCCCACCACCACACCCAGCTAATTTTTGTATTTTTAGTAGAGATGGGGTTTCACCATGTTGGCCAGGATGGTCTCGATCTCCTGACCTCGTGATCTGCCTGCCTTGGCCTCCCAAAGTGCTGGGATTACAAGTGTGAGCCACCCCACCCGGCCAGAACCTTTAAATTTAAAATTGTACAGTGTACTTCCTGCCAAGAAGCGTAGGAGGAAGAAGGAAGTAATGTTTTTCCAGTTTTCGGTTAAGAACTTGCTTTGTATTAAAATAGTCCTTCAAGTCTACAGCCATACCACCCTGAACGCGCCCAATCTCGTCTAAAATAGTCCTTCAAATATGTATCTCTTATAGCCTTCAGTTATCCCAACAAAATTATCTAAAGATTTGTTTATCTATTTATTATTATTTTTTAGAGACAGGGTCTTGCTCTGTTGCCCAGGCTAGAGTGCAGTAGCATGCTCATAGCTCATTGCAACCTCAAACTGCTGGGCTCAAGGGATCCTCCCACCTTAGCCTCCTGACTAGCCAGGACTACAGGCGTGCGCCACCACATGTGGCTAATTATTTTTTCTGGAGATGGGGTCTTGCTGTGTTGTCCTGCCTGGTCTCAAACTCCTGGCCTCAAGTGATCCTCTTGCCCCAGGATCCCAAGGTGCTGGAGTTATAGGCATGAGCCACCCACCATGCCAAGTCATCATGTAAAGATTTACAGAAAGTTTTGTGTAAACATTGTCTTTTTTTTTTTTTTGAAGCAGAGTCTTGCCCTGTCGCGCAGGCTGGAGTGCAGTGGTGTGATCTCGGCTCACTGCAACCTCCACCTCCCAGGTTCAAGTGATTCTCCTGCCTGACACTCCTGGGTAGCTGGGATTACAGGCATGCACCACCATGCCTGGCTAATCTTTGTATTTTTAGTAGAGATGGGGTTTCACTGTGTTGGTCAGGCCGGTCTCAAACTCCTGACCTCGTGATCCATCTGCCTTGGCCTCTGAAAGTGCTAGGATTACAGGCATGAGCAACTGCGCCCGGCCCATTCAGCCTTTTTTTTACTCGTAGAAGGGCTTCAGTGGAACAAGAGTCTACTAGAGATACTAGAAAGGGTACTCAATTGATAACTGACGTTGAGATTTTTTTCTAGTACTCATGGCCCTCAGGCTTAGGGTTTGAAGTCAGAGGCAGGGCTGTAGGCTAATGGAGGGGAGTAGGCTTTCATGGATGATGCCCAGGGAGGAGCCAGATTATCTGTACCAAACCTTTTTTGTTTTTTTGAGACAGAGTCTTGCTCTGTCGCCCAGGCTGGAGTGCACCGGTGTGATCTCGGCTCACTGCAACCTCCACCTCCCAGGTTCAAGCAGTTCACCTCCCTCCTGCCCACCACCACACTCAGCCAATTTTTAATTTTTAAAAAATTTTTTAGTAGAGACAGGGTTTCATCATGTTGCTCAGGCTGGTCTCAAACTCCTGACCTCAAGTGATCTGCCCATCTTGGCCTCTCAAAGTACTGGGATTACAGATATGAGCCACTGTGCCTGGCCTCTTTTTGAAAATAGTCTTACTCTGTCACCCAGGCTGGAGTGCAGTGGAATGATCTCGGCTCACTGCAACCTCCGCCTCCCGGTTCAAGCTATTCTTGTGCCTCAGACTCCCAGGTAGCTGGGATTACAGGTGTGTGCCACCACACTCGGCTAATTTTTGTATTTTTAGGAGAGATGGGGTTTCACCACGTTGGCTAGGCTGTTCTTGAACTCCTGGCCTCAACCCGCCTTGGCATCCTAAAGTGCTGGGATTACAGGCATGGGCCACCGTGTCCAGCCAACAAAGCTTTTTTTCAGTGAGTGATTCCAGCCCTTGATGCATAGGAGGGTGGGGTCCATAGGAGTGTAGCCTTAACTGATGAATTAAATCTCTGGGTGATGTGAGATATGTGCCAGGTTCTTGGCTTGTGTCTCCCTCTAGTACTTTAGGAACTTCCCAACTAGATGGAGGCAGTAAAAATGGGCCCTGCCAGGATGTACCTATAACAGAGACGTTCAACCATACCCTTGTGCTGTCTGCCTTTAATCACGAAGATTATGAGCTAAGATTCGTGGATGCATTTTTATTTTTTAACCAACATGTAGCAATGATCACTCAGATAGGCATCTTAAATCCATTAGTTTGGGTTGGATTTAAGACCGTTGTCATTCCTATGAAAGGGAAGATAGCCCAGATTGCTATTGAGAAGGCTTTGTCAGATGCATTCCAGAAACTGTTGATTGTGGTTCTAGGTAAAACTTTCTTAATCGTCGTTGAAGTACTTCAGTTTCAGTGAGCAAATAAACTCATTTTGAAAAGTTAATTGGATAAAAATATCGATATCTAAAACACTCCCTAGGATGCTTTCATTTGCTAAGTTCTTTCACAGCGACAGGCTCAAATTTGTTCTTTGTGACATTTGTAGAAAAAATGACAGCAAATATTGTCCCTAGTTTATAGCTATAAAAGGACTTGCCTCAGGTCACACAGAAAATGTTTGAGGCAGGTCTTCTTTAATTGCATGCCTATCGTACAGAATAGTGATTATAAGCCCTGGACACATGGATTTGAGTCCTAACTCTGTCTCTTAGATTTTTGTATGCAGTTTTAGGTCTTATGGCCAGAGAGATTTGAAGATATTTAATATCTCTAAGCTGCAATCTTTATCTGCAAACTGGGGTTAGTAATCCAATCAACCTTATTGCGGATATTGTAAGAAAAAATGAGATGACAAGTGTAAAAACTCAGAACTATACTTACAAGGTAAGCAGACAAAATATGCTATTGTTGTGATTGTTTTCTCTCTGAATAAATAAACTCTGCTGAAGAATTTATTAGATTATGTTTCTCGAATCGAGAATTCAGTTCCAGCTCTCATTTCTGGCACTGACATATTGGCCAAATATGATTCTTATACAATAATCAGCTGCTTTGCTGTGAGCCTTGGAAGTGGTCATGCTGTTGAATGGCACTGCTTGTATTTCCTATTCAGTTCTACAGTGGCACAAATGTCATAGCCTGTGCCCAAAGGAAACCTGGTGTTTAACGAGTCCCTGAACAGAGTTGCCTTTCTGCTTCACAACCCTGAAGGCTTAGAGACTGAGATTGTAATTAAGTTACTACAGACCTTTATTTGCTTGTAAGAGGTGGCCCTGATTGCTCTCAGCTTTCCAACCTGGGCAGCCATTCTAGTGAAAGTCTTACTTCCTTGGTCATCAACTGTCAAGTCTGAGTAATGACATTTAATAACCAAGCTAAATGTGTGGGTTGTCTACCCCTCCCTAGTATGCAAAGGTATCCCTTGCACACACTCACTTCTTAGACCAAAAGCCTTATAGTTCTAGTTTGCCTTGAAGGAAATTGTATTGTCTATAGAGTATGTGGGCCATTTTCTGCCCGTAAAATGTTCAAATGTTTTCTCTCTCTAAAGCTTTGTTCATTGTATCTGGTGGAATTTTGGTTCTCAGGGAGTAGACACCTAGCCATGCTTCTAATGTGAAGTGTCTACTAGCCCAGTGGTCTCTATTTTGGATTTGAACTTACTTCGACCCCCCACCTGGTGCCTTACCTTTTAATCATATTATGATTGAACGTTTTTATTTCCACATTTTTTATTTCTTATGTTATTATTCCTTAGTTCCTATCTGTAAGATCATAAAGTCCTTTGAACCAAACACAGTTGATATTTCATACATATGTTAAAAACTGAGCTGTGAGACCAGACATGATGACTCACGCTTGAAATCTCAGCATTTCGGGAGGCCAAGACAGAAGGATCACTTCAAGCCAGGAGTTCGAGACCAGCCTGGAAAACAAAGCGGGACCATGTCTCTAAAAAAGAGAATTAGATGGGCACAGTGATATAGTGCCTGCTACTCTGGAGGCTGAAGCAGGAGGATGACTTGAGCCCAGGAATTCCAGGCTACAGTGAGCTATGATAGTGCCACTGTACTCCAGCCTGGGTGACAGAGTGAGACCCTGTCTAAAAGAAAAAAGAAAAACAAAAATCGAAGTGTATGATGAAGAGATGAGGAAACTTTCAGGAAAATGCTTATTTCCTGCTTTTAGAAACTAAAAGAATGTCTCATTGTGGGTTGCTACCATTATATGCAGGAAGTTTTGGAATGAAAAAGATTCTGAATTCATCCTTGCTAACTTTATTTCAGAAAGTGGTAAAATAGCTATGGAGTACAGACCCAGTGAAGAGATTGTAGATGTCAGATGGGAAGAAGAACTACACGGTTTAATATAAGTATGTGGAGATAAAAACTCAAAGGTAACAGGGCCGGGCACAGTGGCTCACACCTGTAATGCCAGTGCTTTGGGAGGCTGAGGCGGGTGGATCACCTGAGGTCAGGAGTTCAAGATCAGACTGACCAACATGGAGAAATGGTGGCACATGCCTGTAATCCCAGCTACTCGGGAGGCTGAGGCAGGAGAATCGCTTGGACCCGGGAAGCGGAGGTTCCGGTAAGCCAAGATCACACCATTGCACTCCAGCCTGGGCAACAAGAGTGAAACTCTATCTCAAAAAACAAACAGGCCAGGCGCTGTGGCTCACACCTGTAATCCCAGCACTTTGGGAGGCCGAGGTGGGTGGATCATGAGGTCAGGAGTTCAAGACCAGCCTGGCCAATATGGTGAAACCCTGTCTCTACTAAAAATACAAAAATTGGCTGGGTGTGGTGGTGGGCACCTGTAATCCCAGCTACTTGGGAAACTGAGGCATGAAAACCACTTGAACCCAGGAGGCGGAGGTTGCAGTGAGCCGAGATCATGCCACTGCATTCCAGCCTGGGTGACAGAGCAAGACACTCTCTCGAGGAAAAAAAAAAAAAGAAAAGAAAAACAACTCAAGGGTTGGATAACATTGCCAGTATAACCATAATTCAAAACAAGCAGCAGAATTTGGAGGATAATTTGTTTAATTCTCAGGAAAATGTGAAACTCTGAAACTGCTTTTTGAGTGCAGGGTATTTCCGGGGCTTTTCCTAAAGTCTTGACCCTTGGCTCTGACCCCTTATTTGAAGTTTGGAGAGCAGAACCGAGGATTGTGTTACTACAGTTGTGGACACAGGAGAGGGGTTAGTCTCCCCCCGCTCCAGGAGTAAGGGATGCTGGGCTGCTCGAACACAGGCCTTGTTAGAACTCCCTTCAAACAGGATCCCAGAGATGTGGGGAGAAGGTAACTGGCCTTAAGAATGATTGCGCTACAGCTTTTGAAAACTATAATGCCTTTCAAATATGGCTTATTGCTTGGATCTCAATATCTCCCACGTATCTTGGGTGGAATATTTTGCTGAAGATCTTTCTGTCAATCATTTACAATCATGTGCTGCAAAATGAAGTTTGCGTCAACAGTAGACCACATATATGATGGTGGTTCCGTAAGCGTATAATGGAGCTATCCCTATATAGGTATACCATTTTTATCTTTTTTTTTTTTTTTTTTTTTGAGATGGAGTCTCACTCTGTTGTCCAGGCTGGAGTGCAGTGGTATGATCCCAGCTCATTGCAACCTCCACCTCCCAGGTTCAAGTGATTCTCCTACCTCAGCCTCCTGAGTAGCTGGGATTATAGACACGCGTCACCACACTCAGCTAATTTTTGTATTTTTAGTAGAGATGGGGTTTCATCATGTTGGCCAGGCTGGTCTTGAACTCCTGAGCTCAAGTGATCCACCCACCTTGGCGTCCCAAAGTGCTGGGATTACAGGCATGAGCCACTGTGCCCAGGCCCCATTTTTATCTTTTACACAGTATTTTAACTATATATTTTCCATGTTTACATACACAAATACCTGCCATTCTGTGACAGTTGCCTTTAGTATTCAGTACAGTAACATACAGTACAGGTTTGTAGCCTAGGAGTCCTAAGCCATACCGTGTACCCTAGGTATGGTGGCTACACCACCTAGGTTTGTGTAAGTATACGCTATGATATTAGCACAATGGTGAAATAACCTAGTGACCCATTTCTCAAGCTCCTCACGTGGCAAGCAATGCATGACTGCATATGAAAGCTCTTAAATAGGGATTGTTTCTAAATTAATCTCAAAACAGTCATTATTTACTATTTATGGAATTTTTTTTAAAAAAAGGAGCAAAAGTATCATTTCAGTGGGAACTTAACTTGGGGCTACAGTGTTTTATTTAACTTTTACCCCAAAGTTGCAAAGTGTTTTGAAATTTTTCCCTGTAAAATAATTATTTTAATTCAATTTAAATAAAACCCACCAAGGAGACTTCAAGCTTTAAGAAGTCTAGCTTCCTGTGAAATGTGAGAGGAAGTCAGCACTCATTTCAGAAATCTGATTATAATAATAGCTCCATCCCTAAATGAGGTGAATCTTGGAATCTCTTCCATTTTATTTTATTTTATTTTTTTGAGATGGAGTTTCTCTCTTGTTGCCCAGGCTGAAGTGCAATGTTGTGATCTCGGCTCACTGCAACCTCTGCCTCCCAGGTTCAAGCGATTCTCCTGCTTTGGCCTCCTGAGTAGCTGGGATTGCAGGTATGCACCACCACACCTGGCTAATTTTGTATTTTTAGTAGAGACGGAGTTTCACCATGTTGGTCAGGCTGGTCTCGAACTTCTGACCTCAGTGATCCCCCCACCTCGGCCTCCCAAAGTTCTGGGATTATGGGTGTGAGCCACCACACCCGGCCCCCCTTCAATTTTAAAGCCATCACTATGCACCCTATGTCTATGCCAGGCACTAAAATAAGATGAAGCACCTTCTTGGAGTTTACATGCTGGTAATTATGCCAGACAGTAATAAAATAGGTAAGAACGGCTGTGGGGGAAGTCAGCTGGGTTCTAGTTACAGTCGCATTTCAGGAAATGATTTAACATGCTGACTTTAACAACCTAAGCCTCTTCTCCATGTGTGCACACAGGGTAGATCTCTGAACACAGGTGACCCTAGAAGTGCTGTAACTTCTAGGGGAATGGCTGTGTTGAGTCAAGGCAGGATGACAGTTCAGCCTCCTCCCAGGCTAGTGCAAAGGGCTCTTCACTCGGATTAAAACCTTCTCTCCCAGACCGAATTGCCAACTCCCAACACCCCTCCTACAGAAAATTTGGAGTCCTCGCTTATTCCCTGGCAGCCCCTACCTAATAGGGTGGTGAATTAATTATCAAACATGCGACAGTTTAGCGAAAATGGCAACACTTTGGAATAAATGACTGTAATGTGCATCCTGGCGCCCATTTTGCAGGTCAGTTGCTCTCCCTGGAAGGAAGAGTGTTCTCGGATTTCACCTTAAAGGAGGAAGGCTGCCAGAACTGAACTAGCACTTCTGAATATCCTGAGGCGAGGTCCGGTGACTTCCTTGGGAAGCTCTGCCGCGCCCCCATCCCACCCTACCCCACCCTACCCCACCACAGCAGGCGCTGGAGTCCTGGGACCACCAGGATCTGAGGCCCAAATCCTTCCTCACTAAGGGGAGGAGAGGGGTGCTCCGGCAGGGCAGGATGGGAAGGCGTGCTTGGGCGGGATTGTGACATAAGAGTGCCCTGGTGACATGGAGCAGATCTGTGGCATAAATAAAGGTGTCATAAAGACAGGGCGGGACTCATGCTTACAAGGGGCACGAGCGTCTCGGAGCTGCCAGAATGACTTCCGCTCAGTGCCCGGCACTAGCGTGTGTCATGTCCCCGCTGCGTTTCTGGGGCCCATGGCCCCTCCTTATGTGGCAACTATTGTGGCTACTAGTCAAGGAGGCTCAGCCTCTGGAGTGGGTCAAGGACCCGCTCCAGCTGACCTCTAACCCCCTGGGGCCGCCTGAGCCCTGGTCTTCCCACTCCTCCCATTTCCCACGGGAATCTCCCCATGCGCCTACTCTCCCAGCAGACCCGTGGGACTTTGATCACCTGGGGCCCTCTGCTTCCTCAGAGATGCCAGCCCCACCCCAGGAATCGACTGAAAATTTGGTTCCATTCCTGGACACCTGGGATTCAGCTGGAGAGCTGCCCCTGGAGCCAGAGCAGTTCTTGGCTTCACAGCAGGATTTAAAGGACAAGCTGAGTCCACAGGAAAGGCTCCCTGTTTCGCCCAAGAAGCTGAAGAAAGATCCAGCTCAGCGTTGGAGCCTTGCTGAGATTATTGGAATTATACACCAATTATCCACACCTCAGAGTCAGAAACAGACTTTGCAGAATGAATATTCCAGTACAGATACACCGTATCCCGGTAGCCTGCCTCCAGAACTCCGGGTGAAGTCAGATGAGCCTCCAGGGCCCTCTGAGCAAGTTGGACCTTCTCAATTCCATCTAGAGCCCGAAACTCAAAATCCAGAGACCCTTGAAGACATCCAGTCCTCTTCACTCCAGCAAGAAGCCCCAGCACAGCTTCCACAGCTCCTTGAGGAAGAACCTTCTTCAATGCAGCAGGAGGCCCCAGCTCTGCCTCCAGAGTCCTCTATGGAGAGTCTAACTCTACCGAATCATGAGGTGTCAGTTCAACCTCCAGGTGAGGATCAAGCTTATTATCACTTGCCCAACATTACAGTTAAACCTGCAGATGTGGAGGTTACCATAACTTCAGAGCCTACCAATGAGACAGAATCTTCCCAAGCCCAGCAGGAGACCCCAATTCAGTTTCCAGAGGAGGTGGAACCTTCTGCAACCCAACAGGAGGCCCCAATTGAGCCTCCAGTTCCTCCTATGGAGCATGAACTTTCCATCAGTGAGCAGCAGCAGCCAGTTCAGCCTTCTGAGTCTTCTAGGGAGGTCGAATCTTCTCCGACCCAGCAGGAGACCCCAGGTCAGCCTCCAGAACATCATGAAGTCACAGTTTCACCTCCAGGTCACCATCAAACTCATCATTTAGCTTCACCCAGTGTCTCTGTGAAGCCTCCAGACGTGCAGCTCACCATAGCAGCAGAGCCTAGTGCAGAGGTGGGAACTTCTCTAGTCCACCAGGAGGCTACAACTCGGCTCTCAGGGTCAGGTAATGATGTAGAACCTCCCGCCATCCAGCACGGGGGCCCACCTCTGCTTCCAGAGTCATCAGAAGAAGCTGGACCTTTAGCAGTTCAACAGGAGACTTCATTTCAATCTCCGGAACCTATTAATAATGAGAACCCCTCTCCAACCCAGCAGGAGGCTGCAGCTGAGCATCCACAGACCGCTGAGGAGGGTGAGTCTTCCCTAACCCATCAGGAGGCCCCAGCTCAGACTCCAGAGTTCCCTAATGTAGTTGTAGCTCAACCTCCAGAGCATTCACACCTGACTCAAGCCACAGTTCAACCTTTGGATCTGGGGTTTACCATCACTCCAGAATCCATGACAGAGGTTGAACTTTCTCCAACCATGAAGGAGACCCCAACTCAGCCTCCTAAGAAAGTTGTACCCCAACTTCGAGTATATCAAGGGGTAACAAATCCAACACCAGGTCAGGATCAAGCTCAGCATCCAGTGTCACCCAGCGTTACAGTTCAACTTTTGGACCTGGGACTTACCATCACTCCAGAACCCACTACGGAGGTTGGACATTCTACACCCCCGAAGAGGACTATAGTTTCTCCAAAGCATCCTGAGGTGACACTTCCACATCCAGACCAGGTTCAGACTCAGCATTCACACCTGACTCGAGCCACAGTTCAACCTTTGGACCTGGGGTTTACCATCACTCCAAAATCCATGACAGAGGTTGAACCTTCTACAGCCCTGATGACTACAGCTCCTCCTCCAGGACACCCTGAGGTGACACTTCCACCTTCAGACAAGGGTCAGGCTCAGCATTCACACCTGACTCAAGCCACCGTTCAACCTCTGGACCTGGAGCTTACCATAACTACAAAACCTACTACAGAGGTTAAACCATCTCCAACCACGGAGGAGACCTCAACTCAGCTTCCAGACCTGGGACTTGCCATCATTCCAGAACCCACTACAGAGACTGGACATTCTACAGCCCTGGAGAAGACTACAGCTCCTCGTCCAGACCGGGTTCAGACTCTGCATCGAAGCCTGACTGAAGTCACAGGTCCACCTACTGAACTAGAACCTGCTCAGGATTCACTGGTGCAGTCTGAAAGTTACACCCAAAATAAGGCTTTAACTGCACCAGAGGAACACAAGGCCTCCACAAGCACCAACATATGTGAGCTCTGTACCTGCGGAGATGAGATGTTGTCATGTATTGATCTCAACCCAGAGCAGAGGCTCCGCCAAGTGCCTGTGCCAGAGCCCAACACCCACAATGGCACCTTCACCATCTTGTAAGAATCACTTTTCCTCAATTGTCCTCTGTGTCCTGCCTGACATGGCAGCCTTTTCCTGGAGGCCTTCCTGGGCCTTCTTTATCTCCCCAAGCCATATGGACAACTGACTTTCTGCTTTCACCTTTGCTTGTCAACTCTCCCTTCTCCTCATTCTCTTTTAATGTTAGGCCCCTTCTCCAGTCTTTTCCTTTTACTCTGGTCTTTTACTCGTTTTTGTATCCATTTTTATTTAGCCCCATCACATCATTGCTTAACCGCTGCTCTCCTCCCATTTTCGCTTCACCCTCTTTACAGCAGCCTGTCCCTCTCCCGATCTCAGTGATGATGCTCTAAGTGGTTAAGAGTTGATTCCGGAGCCAGGCTGCCTGGGTTTGAACCCAGATCTATTTATTAGCTTGGTGACCCAGAGCAAGTTATTCTGCCTGTGACTCAATTTCCTCACCTTTAAACTGGGGATCATGCTAGTTAGCATTTCATAGGATTGTTGTGAAATTTAGGTGAGTGAATATATGAAACACTTCATCAGTGCTTAGCATATGTAGGAGAGTTGGCTGTTCACATGATTATTCAGTCCTTTAGTTTTGTCCAGAACTCATTTTTGTCCCTAGCTTTCTATATGTAGAACTAGTTTTATGTCAAACCCAGGGCCAAGTATGCTACTGTCTCCAGAACACAAAAATGATAGGAGGGAAGAGGCTGGGTGTGGTGGCTCACGCCTGTAATCCCAGCACTTTGGGAGGCCGAGGCGGGCGGATCACGAGGTCAGGAGATCAAGACCATCCTGGCTAACATGGTGAAACCCCATCTCTACTAAAAATACAGAAAAAAATTAGCCAGGCATGGTGGTGGGTGCCTGGAGTCCCAGCTACTTGGGAGGCTGAGGCAGGAGAATGGCGTGAACCTGGGAGGCAGAGCTTGCAGTGAGCCGAGATTGCACCACTGCACTCCAGCCTGGGCGACAGAGCAAGACTCCATCTCAAAAAAAAAAAAAAAAAAATGATAGGAGGGAAGAAAGAGAATAGGCATAAAAAGGGAGGTATATATAATTAAGTACTAAAAGATAATGCAGACCATTGGTGCTAGAATTTGCCAGAATCTGTGATCCTTGAGGTGTGGAGATGCTACATGGGTAAGCTAAAACTTTACTTGGGTCTTAAAGAGTAGCCATAATTTGTTAAATAGGAGAAAAATGGGAGTACAGTCTAGGCAAACGCATGGCTACAGGTATGGTTGGAATTTAGTAGACCAATGTGGCTACAAAGAATTAGGTGAGGGAGCAATGAAGATACGATTCTGTAAAACCTTGATTATCAGCTATAGGAGTTTGAAAGTTACACAATGAGGTATGGAAAGCCATTGAAAGTTTCCAAGCAAGAGAGATTACATGATCAAAACAGGAAGATTATTTTATTTTGTTTTTTGCATTATGTGCAAGTGTAGACATGCAGAGGATTGTTTTAGAATCCATATGTAAAGTGTCCAAAAGGAAAAGCTTAATTCAGGGAGACAAAATAGAAAGGTCTAGCAAAATCTAGGAGTGAGGTGTGAAGGGGCCAAATCAGATCAGTTGTAATAGGAGTGGAAAGAAAAAGCCTAGGATGTTTCAACAGAGGGCACTGGGCCAAAGCTTTGGTGTTACCTGGCATAGGGTTTCTTTCTTCTCATTTGTTGATAATGATAAGCTTTTGCCCATATTTCTGTGGAATTATTTACCATTTTGGTACTGATTTGTAGAAGTCTGTTTAGACACATAAGTGCTTTTAGATAAAATACTTACATTCAAAGTAATTAACTGGCATCATCTGTCCAAGAGATGGGATGGATAAGAAGTTAAGCTTCCAGGAGATGCCTCATCATTTGTGCCAGTGACCCCGCATAATTTCTTGATGAATTGTGCAAACTGGGAAGCTGATAGCTCTGGAAATGAGAAAGCAGGTGTTATTTTCTGTTTCTGAATATCCCCAACAAGGTTGCAATGATTCTTTTACTTATCGTGTTCATTGTTTTCCTACCTATTCAAGGATATAAACTGTGTTTCTTCACAGAAATTTCCAAGGAAACTATATTTCTTACATTGATGGAAATGTATGGAAAGCATACAGTTGGACCGAGAAACTGTGAGTATATTCTCTCCAAATATGACAAAAAGCTAACTGCATTGTAAGATCCTTCTTGGTCCAGAATTTTGAGGTCGGTACCTCTGAGGAAAGATATTTCTCCTCCACGCCCCAAATCAACCACTGTTGATTGCAATTGTATGGTTATTTTAAAATTAAATTTGGTAGGCTCTCTTTAAAATAAGAGGCAATTTAAATTTATTTTTTATCATACAAATAGTACATGGTTATATTCCTTTTTGTTCTCTTTTTTTTTTTTTTTTTTTTTTTTTCAGAGACAGGGTCTTACTTTGTCCTCTGGGCTGCAGTGCAGTGGCACAATCACAGCTCACTGCAGCCTTCACCTCCCAGGCCCAAGTGATCCTCTCACCTCAGCCTCCCCAGTAGCTGGGACCACAGGTGCATGCCACCACACCCACCTAATTTTGTATTTTTTGTAGAGACAGGGTCTTCCTATGCTGCTTAGGCTGGTCTTGAACTCCTGGGCTCAAGTGATCCTCCCACCTTGGCCTCTTAAAGTGTTCATATTACAGGCATGAGCCACCACCCGCAGCCCATGATTCCATTTTTAATATATAAAAATGCAATAACAGATATAACAAAAACTCTCCTTGTGCCCTACTCCCTCATCCCTGAAGTAATGCTACTCTGCATTTAGTATACATGCTTCCAGACTTTTCCTCATTTACCTACATACATATTTACATAAAGCAAAATAGATTTGTTTTGTGGTTTTAAAATTTTTTCTTCGCATAAAGGGTAACATCTTGCAACTTGATTCTTTCACTTCATGATATGCCTTAGATTTCTTTGCTTCCCAGTACTGAGAGGGTCACCCCATTCATTTAAACTCCTGCATAATCCATAGTATGGATGCATCATGGTTTATTTAATAATTCCCCCATTGATGAATGTTTAGATTATGCTTAGTTTTCTTGTTACATGCATTGCTGCAATGAAATCCCTGTACATGCTTCTTTGTGAACATGTGCAAGTATTCCTGTAGCATAGATATCTGGAAATGGAATTCTTGGGGTGAAGACTATGTAGATATAAAATTTTAGTTGCCTTCAAAAATTTTGTGCCAACTTACTCTATTGTCAGCAGAATATGACAGCATTCATTTCCCAACACCTTTTCACCGCTGGGTATTCTCCAACTTTTTGCTGAAGTTATGGATGAATAAAAGGGATTCCATCTAAATGTGAATTTTTCTGATTACTCATGAATTTAATTTAGTATCTTTATATGTTTATTGAACATTTGTGTTTCTTCTCTGAGTTTTCTGGCCTTTGTTCATTTTCCTGTTGAATTGTTTTATCATTTTCTTACTGATTTATAGAAGGAATTGGTTTAGACACATAAGTGATTTTGGAAAAAATGCTTACATTCAAAGTAACTGACATTTTTCACAACAGTTTGTGTGTCACATCATTATTTCAATGTATATAGACAAGCCACGATGAGTTCTAAATTAAAAATAAACATATGCTAGGCGCGGTGGCTCACGCCTTTAATCCCAGCACCTTGGGAGGTAGGCGGATCACCTGAGGTCAGGAGTTTGAGACCAGCCTGGCCGATAGGGCGAAACCCCATCTCTACTAAAAATACAAAAAGTAGCCAGGCGTGGTGGTGGGTGCCTGTAATCCCATCTACTTGGGAAGCTGAGGCAGGAGAATTGCTTTATTTATTTTTTCAGATGGAATTTTGTTCTTGTTGCCCAGGCTGGAGTGCAATGGTGCGATCTTGGCTCACTGCAACCTCCACCTCCCGGGTTCAAGGGATTCTCCTGCCTCAGCCTCCCGCGTAGCTGGAATTACAGGTGCCCTCCATCACACCCAGCTAATTTTTATATTTTTAGTAGAGACAGGGTTTCACCATGTTGGCCAGGCTGGTCTCAAACTCATGACCGTGGGTGATTCACCCACCTTGGCTTTCCAGAGTGCTGGGATTACAGGCATGAGCCACCACGCCAGGCCAGAACTACATTTTAAAAACAAGAAAATTATTACAAAGGTCAGGATAGTGGTTACCTATTAGGGTTAGAGAGAGGGATATGATTGGAAAGGGGCACACTGGGGCTTCTGGCATGCTAGCAATGATCTTTTGTAACGATGTTTACATGGGTATCTGCTTCATAATTATTAAACTGAATATTTTGGCCAGGTGAGGTGGCTCATGTCTGCAGTCACAGCACTTTGGGAAGCAGACACAGGAGGATCACTTGAGCCAGGAGTTTGAGACCAGTCTGGGAACAGAGTGAGACCCTGTCTCAAAAATTAAATTAAATTAAATAAACAACATTTATGTTATGTGCACTTTATGCACATTATAGTTCTCCAATTTTTTTGATGGGGGGAAAAAGGTTGAATGGCTTCACTTGCAGCCCTGACATGGTTCCATGTGGGGCTTTCATAATAAGGTTTGGGAAAAGAGAGGAGGAAATGGAGGTTCTGCTGATCTTGGTGCCACCCAGAGTTGGATTCTAAAAGGGATTTTGTGATCTAGAGAGGAGGCATGAAATAATAGAATTTGGTGGGAAGAAACCCACTCTTCAAGGGGTGTGCTTGAGTGTGTGTGTGTGTGTTTGTGGTGGTGGTGGAGAGAGATGGACACAAAAAGGAAAATATAAGAAAAGGTTTGAATGAAAGCAGAGCAGATCCCACCATCTTGAAGTGACCATGACCCAGCTTTCCTCCACATGCAGGAGATGGTTCTGTGTAGCAAATAGTTGTAGTTTGCATTTTAATCTAGAAATAACTTCTTCATTTTCCAGAATTCTCAGAGAAAATAACTTGACTGAATTACACAAGGATTCATTTGAAGGCCTGCTATCCCTCCAGTATTTGTAAGTTAGTTAATTATATTTATGAGTTTTTAGTCATATTATCTGTAAAATGAATAAGGGGTTCAAATTAGATAATCTCTCAGATTTCTTTGAGCAATAAAATTCTGCAATTCTGTAAGTTTGTATAGGGTCTCAGCCCATCTCTAGCACTAGCTACCTCCTGTGCATTTTCAGTTTTTAAGTTGTATAGACAAAATACAGACAAAAACATTTCACATGGTAAGAAAATCTGAGCAGTGACTGACACCCATATGAACCTTGTTTTATAAGGGTTCACATATCATTCTTTTTCTATTCAGTCTACAACCAATAGATCCAATCTAATTTATGGTCTATTTTTAAATAGCCCATTAAGTTAAGAATGGGTTTTGCATTTTTAAAGGGACTGTGAAAGAAAAAGAAAAGAAACAAAGAAATATGCGAGAGATCATATGTGGCCCATAAAACCTAAAATATTTACTGTCTGACCTTCACCAAAAAAAATTTCAAAAAGTTGGTTTAGTAGGATGAAAGGAACTAAAGTTAACTTCAGATGGTTGCCTAAAGGAGAAGAAAATGGAGACCACCTGCATTCATTTGAACATCATTAATCCAGAATTTTTTGGTAATTTAATCGGAATTAAATTAACATTTAAATATTAAAAATAGCTGAATTATATCAATAATATTATAAAGAATATTAAGCTACCAAGAGAATAGACTGGTATTAAGGATTTCATTTCAGGAATTGTTATATTAAAACAGATGTTTAAAATGATGGTTAACTGGTAGAGCTAGAAATGTTTACACTAAGAAGCACATCAGAAATGCCCCTAACTCTTCACTAATTACAAAATAACGATCGCCCCAGCCCTGTTACCAGAAAGGGATCCCTGTATTTCTGTCTGTTTAGAGACAAGAAGATACTATGTTCATTGCTATGAAAGCTTGATTCTTACCCTTTGTCCATAGAGGTCTGTATGTCATTAATCCTTATTAAGCTCATTAGTGATGCTCTTTTGCAAACAGATTCTTTCAAATATAGAAGGCTTAAGGAAAGTGGGTGTAAAGACCCTCAGGTGGATGCCAAAGTGCTACAGAGACCATGAAATAATAAAACTACATTTCCTTTAAAATAGTTATTTTCCTTCTACTCACTCCCCCAGCTATTCATTTATTTTACAAATATTTGAGTTTGCTTTATTTCCATGTGTCAGTTTTAAACATGGTGGGCAATGCAGATGAGCAAGACCTAGTCCATGCTTTCAGGGAGTTTATGCTCAGAAGAAATGGGATAAAAAATAACTACATTAAGAAGAAGAAACGGATGTGGGCACTAGGAGGGATAAATTGTTTCTCGAACATAGAAGAGGAAAAAATGCCTTCAATTTGGACCCAGGAGGATGTTACTAGAACAATGCCATTTGAATAGGACTTTAAAGGGCCATTGTGTAACACCAGACAGACATCTTGGGGAAAATACTCTAAACTTGCAAAAGGAAAATGGGAGGGCAAAACACAGGAAAGTATTCAAGGAATGCCATGAGTACCCGTAGAGTACAAGAAGGGAGAGTAGGAAAATGGAGCCAGATCTTCTAGAGCTTTGAATGCCAAGCTGAGGAGCCAACATGGGGAACCGTGTTACCACAGCAGCGCTGTAAGGTAGATCTGCATCACAGTCATTGAGAGGGCACGTTAGAACTCAGTTCTGGACTCCACCCTCGTAGTTACTGATTCAGTTGGTCTAGAGTGGGACCAAGAATTTGCATCTTCAGTAATTTCCCAGGAGATGCTGGTCTTTGCAAGCCACTTCTGGAGAGTTTATATGATGACTGTGTGCAGGATAGTTTAGGTAGGGAGAGACTAGAGATGGAGACATCAGCCAGACAACGTTACACCATCCAGGTAAAGAGGGAGGGACAAACTCCATCACTGTATAACTGAAGAAATTTTTTTTTATGAAATATTAAAGCAATACAAAACCAAAAATGAATTTCTATTAATATGATAGAAATTAATTCTATTAATATGATTTGAATTAGTTCAAAGTTATGTATTAGGTAAAGGGGTAGCTTCCTTTCAAATGATGTGAAAGGATGTCTTTTATTTCTTCTGATATTGAAGTGGCTTAGGAAAACAGACCTAAACTAAGAAGGTGTAGAAATGTGAGACTTGTTTGTTTGTTTGTTTGTTTGAGACGGAATCTCGCTCTGTCGCCCAGGCTGGAGTGCAGTGGTGCAATCTTGGCTCACTGCAAGGTCCGCCTCCTGGGTTCATGCCATTCTCCTGCCTCAGCCTCCTGAGCAGCTAGGACTACAGGCACGTGCCACTAGGCCCGGCTAATTTTTTATTTTTTTTGTAGAGACAGGGTTTCACCGTGTTAGCCAGGATGGTCTCGATATCCTGACCTCAGGATCTGCCAGCCTCGGCCTCCGAAAGTGCTGGATTACAGGCCTGAGCCACCGCACCCGGCCCGACTATTTTTTTTAATATTAGAAATTGTGTATATAGAGATAAAATCTTTGAGCTCATAATCTAAGATTTGATGACACTACAAAAGGGCATCTAATCAAGTCTACTGCTCTCAGGAAAAATTAATTCCAAAGTCTATTATGTTGTATATTTATTAAAACCATGAAGGTGAGACTCTAGGAGAGGTATGGGCAGGGTTAGGGGCTCTGGAATGTTCAAATACAAGTCCAAACGTTTAGAGTTGAGATGAAAAACAGGTATTCAGTATTATTCTAAACTCTTGCTGTTATTCATACCAATTGACATTTAATAACTAATCAAGGCAATATTTTCGTTTTCCTAGAGATTTATCCTGCAATAAAATACAGTCTATTGAAAGACATACATTTGAACCACTACCATTTTTGAAGTTTATGTAAGTTACAAATATAACTTGATTACATTTGGAATTTTTATAAAACTTAATTATAAACCTTTTTGCTATTCTTGAAATATGATTAAAATTTTACCAGTAGAAAGCTACTAAAATTATACAGCAAATCCTTTTTGTCTCTAGCAAGGATTATTGTGAGAATTATTACACAGATCTTAGTGAATCATCAGAGAGCAGTGGTTCTCAGGTGGTGTGATTTTGCACTCAGGTGGCATTTGGTAATGTCCGGAGACAGTTTTGGTTGACAAAACTGTGAGTGTGCTCCTGGCATCTGGTGGGCAAAGGCCAGAGATGCTGCTAAACATCCTTCAAGGTATAAGACAAACCCCCATGGCAAAGAGTTATATAGTCCAAAATGTTGATGGCACTGAAGTTGTGAAATCCTGTTCTAGAGAAATAAAGATCACTTAACACAGGTATTTACTGAGCATTCACTGTTTTGTATCTAATGCACCACATGTGCAGTGTTAAAGTATAAATCATAAGCCAGTATCTTCCACAGTCAGATTTCCTTAGTGCATAGAGAAAGGATTGAGGTTATGTTCCATCCTATATAAATTAGAATCATGGCAAATGATAAATGTTCTGAAATAATTTTTTTTTTCTTTGGCTTGTGTCTTTTTTTTTTAGAAATCTTAGTTGCAATGTAATTACAGAACTCAGCTTTGGAACATTTCAGGCCTGGCACGGAATGCAGTTTTTACATAAGTTGTAAGTGAAATAGAAGATGAATACATGTAAACAACTATTTATGTACAAAAACTCATACAATTATTGGGTAGCTGGGTATAAGCCCATTATCAACTCTGAAAAGCATGTCTTAAGATCCATTCATTTTTCTCAAATGGGGAAGCTAAGGTACAAAGAGGCCAAGAGACTTACGTAGCTTATATATGACCTCCTCTGCTTGTCCTAGTTCTGACCTATAGCATGGGCAAGAAAAGGCATCAAAGAAGTGACCCTCAAATTAGCCTTGTTGCTGGGCGGGGTGGCTCAGACCTGTAATCCCAGAACTTTGGGAGCCGAGGTGGGTGGATCACCCGAGGTCAGGAATTCAACACCAGCCTGGCCAACATAGTGAAACCCTGTCCCTACTATAAATACAAAAAAAAAATCTGGGCGTGGTGGTGCAGTTTTTTGCTCCCTGGAGGACTTTGTGTTAAGCTTCCTTCCTTGCAGCTAAATGTTGCAGACATTTAAGCAGTTAGAAACTCTGCATATGAGCAGGAATCAAATCCAAAGTTGTAGGGCCAGAATGGTGGCTCATGCCTGTAATCCCAGCACCTTGGGAGGCCAAGGTGGGAGGATCACTGGAGGTCAGGAGTTTGAGACCAGCCTGGCCAACATGGCAAAACCTCATCTCTACTAAAAATACAAAAATTAGCAGGTCATGGTGGCGGGCACCTGTGATCCTAGCTATCGGGAGGCTGAGGCACGAGAATGGCTTGAACCCGGGAGGGGGAAGTTGCAGTGAGCCGAGATTGTGCCACTACCCTCCAACCTCCCCTCCAGGCTGGTCTCGAACTCCTGTGACCTCAGGTGATCCGCCCACCTCAGCCTCCCAAAGTGCTGGGGTTACAGGTGTGAGCCACCATGCCTGGCCAAGATGGTGTTTATGTTAAGCTATTGTGCAAAAAAAAACTTTTGTAAAGAAAATATATCGCTGTATCTTAATTCCATATACTTTCCTGACTACTCTTCTACCATAATTGCAAAAATTCTATGATTTCTCTGTATAACATACCCATCAAATCAGAGTGGGTATATTCAGTGGCCTGAAGGGGACTCAAGGTGAAGATTCTCCTCTACATCTGACTTTAGAAAAGACGTTCCACCTGCCTTGTGGTTCAGAAATCTAGTTTCACACAGTTCATTTCAAGTTAGAGGGAGGCATTCAGGATGTGTCTGGACTAGAGCAGCAGTTTCTGCACATGCTCCCCTCTGTCCTCATTAATTTGCTGATGCATAACTTAGGAAAAGTACACTAAAGGTCTGTTTTTCTTTTGCCCTCACACCAGAGAACAGGCTCATTAGGTCCCTCCACCAAGAGGTTTAGGTAGCATCAATACAAATGTTTTAAACTCACCATCTTTACTAAGCACTTTATACAACTGGGAGTCCCTCATAAAAATCTGGTGGCCGGGAGCGGTGGCTCATGCCTGTAATTCCAGCACTTTGCTGAGGTGGGTGGATCACCTGAGGTCAGGAGTTCAAGACCAGCCTGACCAACATGGTGAAACCTGTCTCTACTAAAAACACAAAAATTAGCTGGGCATGGTGGCAGGCAACTGTAATCCTAGGTACTCAGGAGGCTGAGGCAGGAGAATCACTTGAAACCAGGAGACGGAGGTTGCAGTGAGCCGAGATGGCACCATTGCACTCCAGCCTGAGGGACAGAGTGAGACTCTGTCTCAAATAATAATAATAATATAATAATAATAATAATAATCATCATCGTCATCATCTAGCCAGCTTCACTACAATTATGTAGGCAACACCAGGAAAACACTGGAATCACAGTTGATAAAAATTAATGAATTCACTCAAAAACATTCAGAGTGTCATGTCCATTTGTGCCAGGTACTGTACTAAGTGCTGGGGCTACAAAATCCATCTCAAAGACACACCAAGATGAGGACTTTGTCCCCAGGGGACTTTCATTCCTCAAGGAGGAAGCGGATGCTGATGGGAAAACATATGAGAGCCATGTGGGGATCTGTACGGCAGGGTGACAAGGAGAGGACAAAGCAGGAATGGGGGCTGGGTTAAGAAAGACTTGAGAGACACTAACTTGCTTATCTTGAGTTTCTGTGTTCATCTTAAACAACAGAAAAAGGCATTTGCTTCATGGTGATGAAAAAATCAGAGCTAGCTGATATTGGAAACTAGCACTCATTTCATATAAACAGAATAGAGCTGTACCCTTCAAACTAAGTCACAGTTACTTTCAAAGATTGGCACAAGGGTCTCAACACACCAAGTGTATGTTAGGGGCTGGGCTCTTTTGGAGTCAAATCTTCCTGGTAAACAAAGCTACACTGCAGTCATATTTGGCATATGTGACATATAGGCCCACTGCATTTCCTTCCAAAGGCAAGATGCCAAGGGAAGGTGCCAGTAATTTTATGACCAATATGACACCATTTTGTGGTGTTTGTAAGTTGAAACAATATATTTCCCTGCATTACACAAGTTTATAAAAAACAAACAAAAAAAGAGGCCCCAGCTGTGGTTGATCGATGATGAATAGAGCCTAACCTTCCAGGCTTCTCACTTGCACAGGCCCTTCCAAGGTCCTGGGAGGGCCCCTGGAAATTTTTGTAGTCATAATTTTTTTAATGTTTTTACTAGATAAGGCTCAGGCCCCACAAAATCCTGAAATCATCCCTGGGTTCCAATAGTTACAACCCAGTAAATCTCTTGAATGAAGCCTCTATGTTATTGACAAATACTGACTGGCCAAGTTAGCAGGGTGATAGGGTCTGTCTATTTTGAATCTGAAATCCATCTCAAAGACAGGCCAAGAGCTTATTAGTGGACTTAACTGGATTCTGCTGGCCCAAGCACAGTAAAGTCAAACAACCATATCGAGGTTTTGCATTGGGGAAAGGAGGACATTTATTTGCAGGGCATCCAAGCAAGAAGGACCAGGCGGCTAACTATCAAAGCCCCTCACTGAATGGGGGCAATAATCATATCTCTTACAGATGAAATCATGAATGAAATGGTTTATGGAAAAGCAGCAATGGTTGATAATCCTAAATGTTAAGTATGTTTATATTTTTTCCCTGACTTTAAAGTGCTTCTCCTTCATTCCTATACACAGGTCCAGACTGATGGCTTATTTTTTAAAATTCTCTTAGTCACTTCATTGGTTCTAACAATAATTTTAGAAACTGGATGACTTTGCAATGTAGAAAGGCTATACTTTATTCAGATAGAGTACACTCACATATTGGCTTGTCTATGGCACATCGATATCATGCCAAGAATGTAAGCACTAAGAATAAGAGGAAAATCCAGGCTTTATCCCTATTGAATTATTTATCCCACTATTAGAATATTAGTGAGGTAGGTGTGGCCACACTGTGATGGCAAATTGAGCTTCGGTCACAAACATGCCTTACTGTTCCCCCCAGTCTACTGACATCAGCTTCCTTTACATAGCGGTAGATGCACAAAAGTTTGCACAGTTGAGGGTATTGTCATCATGTTTTGGTATGTACTGGAATCCTGGCAGCTTCTTCTCTGATTCGGAGAGGTGCAAACATTAAAGACAAAAAGAACAACTCGAGTCTGTCCTTTGGGGTGATTTAGGGTGGCTGTTTAAATTTGTAGTGGTTGAAAAGTCTTGAGATTGTCACACCTAACAACTCTTATACTTTTCTTCTCTCAGCTGCAGCTTGTTCTTTTCACCTGTGTAACAAGCTGTCTTCTCTTCTCACAGAAGCTTAGCATTTCTTCCTCTGCCCCATAGCATTTTTTCAATACTTAATTTACCAGGTGCTGTTTATGTTGTAGGCACCTAAGTACTTATACAAGTGAGATAACATGTCCGAAGTTCTTAGAACAGTGCTTGGCCTATGGTAAATGCTCCATACATGTTACCTCCTATGATACCTCATTTTCATTTTTCCAACAACTCTTGCGATGCGGTTATTATTATCATTTCTATTTTGTAGATGAGGAAGTTGAAACTCAGAGACGCTAGGTAATTTGCTAAGGTTCACACGGCTAATAAGTGGCAGAACCACTTACAAGCTTTGCAAATAATTTTCAATGCAGCTCTTAGTTCCCCTGTAATAGGAGCTGAATGATGACAATTTGGCTTTGTGTGCATTGTATCTTACTTTCTAACTTGAATAGGACCTGTAGAGCAGTGAGCTCCACTTCCCTCTGAGAATCCCACGCTTCTGGAGCTCCTGGCTGTACCAGCTCTGGGCATCCCCAGGGTTTATGCTCACCGGTCAGTGCTGGTGTGACATGATGGCTGAGCACCGGCACTGTGTCCAGCGCATTGCTAGGCACTAGACGTGCTCTTTCATTTATTCCTCAAATTGCTTTGTGCTGTAAACGCTACCCAGAAAGGCTCATGTTCATTACTCAAGTCACTTCACCAGAAAGTGACAGAGCCAGAATTCAAACCCAGGTCTGCCAGATTCCAGGTCCCTTGCTTCTTCTGTTGTTGCTCATTGCAAGGGAGTCTTCTTCAAGGTTATTCTCAGGACTTTGATTAAGATACAGGCTCACAGCTGGGCATGGTGTCTCATGCTGTAATCTCAGCACTTTGGGAGGCCAAGGTGGGTGGATCACTTGAGCTCAGAAGTTCGAGACCAGCCTGGCCAACATGGTGAAACCCTGTCTCTACTAAAAATACAAAAATTAACCAGGCATGGGGACGGGCATCTATGATCCCAGCTACTCTGAAGGCTGAGGCAGGAGAATCACTTGACTCCAGGAGGTGGAGGTTGCAGTGAGCCAAGATCACACCACTGCACTGCACTCCAGCCTGGGCAACAGAGTGAGACTTCATCTCAAAAAAAAGAAAAGAAAAGAAAAGAAAAGAAAAAGGCTCACTGTTTCAGATTCTCTAGATTTTGCCCCTGAAAAAGCATTTACGTGATGCAGTCCGAGGTCTTGTATGGAGGAGCTTGGTGTGGGGAGATGTGTGGCTCACGAACCTATGTAGATGAATAAAGGAAAGAGGTTACTTTCTCCCCAAGTACATCGCGCATATTGGGTGAGGGTCTAGGTCATCTGCTTATTTCTTTGACTACCTTCTTCCATGGAACCAGTTTTCCCTGACAGCCTTGGGATTCTAGCATAGATCATTTTGGAGTTTGTCATTTAAATTTATTTTCACGGCCTGCTTTGGACATTTTTTCAGCTAGAGCTGTTAGAATTTCAGTACATTTAAGACAGTGATGACATGCTCCAGTCCTTTCATCTCTGTCTCCTCAGTTAATAGAAAGGAAACATAGCCCATCTATCTGGACCTGTGTAGAAGAATTTGGAGGGGAAAAAAAAAAACAGGCAAGAAATGTTCCCTTATTTTGTGAGCTACCTTTATTCTGTCCCATTGTTCTACAGCAAAAGGCTTATATAAAAATATTTCAGTTTTCCTCATCTAATAAGGCATATTTAATAAAATTATTTAGAGCAGTACTTCTTAAACTTTTACTCTGAGACAGTCTTTGAGGCTGAAAAAAAGCTTGCCACATTTTACTCCCATAAAGATACCAAAAAGTCGATGGACTGGGAGTCAGTGCACCTTAGTTTAATGTATAAAATGAAGGACTTGAACCAGAAATGGAAATGATCATCTACTGTGAATCTAAAAACACTCGAGGCTGGGCGCGCTGGCTCATGCCTTTAATCCCAGCACTTTAGGAGGCCAAGACAGGCAAATCGCTTGAGCCCCTGGAGTTCAAGTTCAGCCTGGGCAACAAAGTGAGACCCCAATCTCTACAAAAAGACTTTTAAAAAGTGGAAACATAAATATAAATAAATAAAAGCATTCATATCATTTGGTTTGTGGAAAAGAGTTGCTGTAGAGTCCTCAAACTTGAGCCGTTGAGCCAGTTCCCACTCAGTCTCTCCACGGCCCAGGCACAACCTTAGTCAAGAAAAGAATGCCTTAGAACAGGAGGAAAATAGGATAATATCGAATGGCCCTATATTTTGATTTCATTAGGGACAAATGCAAAGATCCTAATGTCAGCTGGAGAAGAGCTTCCTAGTTCAGAGGTAATGCTGAGCTCAAGGCTATGGATGAGCTATCAAGAAAGAGGGAAGGTTGGAGAGTGAGAGAATTTTGGAGGAAAGATAACAAACTTTGCTAAGTTGTTTGGCTACATACTGCCTTACAGTCATTATTTTTGGTGTTTAAGAAAAAATAGAAACAGGGTCTCACTTTGTTACCCAGGCTGGTCTCAAACTCCTGGGCTCAAGCTCTCCTTCTGCTTTGGCCTCCCAAAGTGCTGAGATTACAGGCTTGAGATGCTGTGCCCAGCCTACATTCATTTTTAATAGCTGGGAGGAAAGTGGGCAGAGGAAGATATAGAATGAGGGGGTAGCCGACTTTGTACAGAGCCCACCAGTGGTCTTACAAGTTTTCATGCCAAAAAAAATCACGAAGGATATTTAAAGCCCTAGTTTGAGAATCCATACTTAACCAGTCATGTGGCACTCACATTCTTTCTCTTTGTAACATCATCTTATTGAATATTAGTGTTACAAAACAAGTTAATGGCACTGAAAAACCATATGGAATAGGAAGAGGAGGGGGATCACAAGGCAGGACAAGCTGTGTGGCTCCCAGCCTCGCCACTGACTCACTCTGATCTTGGTCAAGGGAGAGTGAATCTTCACTCCTCTTTTTTCCATCTGCCAGCATGTTTGGTCTTCTGGCACCTGGTGTTCTATACAGTACAACATGCTTCTTTGTGTTACATTGAGACTTGATCCACATACCATCAACGCAGTATTATAAAGTGTACAATTCAGTGGTGGTTAGTATATTCTCAAGGTTGTATAGAAAACAATCACCATTATCTAACCCCAGAACATTTTCATCATCCCAAAAAGAAACATGGTACCCATTAGCCATCACTCCCCAGTGCTGTCTTCCCGCAGGCCCAGGTAACTACTAATCTACTTTGAGTCCCTATGGATTTGCCTATTCTAGATCTTTCATATAAACGAATCATACAGTATGTGGCCTTTTGTGTCTAGTTTCTTTTCACGAAGCATGTTGTTTCTAAGGTCCTCCCATGCTGCAGCATGGATCATTCCTTTGCAAGGCTGAGTGATATTCCATTGTATGGAGCCATCACTATATCAGTTCATCCATTCATCACTTAGTGGACATGTGGTTGTTTCTACTTTATTTTGGCTTTTATGAATAATGCTGCTATGGACATGCATCTACTACTTTTTGTGTGGACATGTTTTTAATTCTAGGGTGCATCCCTAGCAGAATTGCTAGATCATATGGCAACTCTTATGTTTAACTTTTCGAGGACCTGTCAGGCTGATTTCCACAGTGGCTGCTCCATTTTACACTTCCATCTGCAATGTTTGAGGGTTTCAATTTCTCCGGGTCTTTGTCAACACTGTCATTGTCTGTCTCTTCTCATAGCCATCCCAGTGAGTGTAAAGTAGTATCTCGCTGCAGTTTTTGATGGACATTTCCCTAATGATTTAAGACATTCAACATTTTTATGTGTATATGAGCCATTTATATATCTTTTTTGAAGAAATATTTATTCAAATCCTCTGCCCATTTAAAAAATTGATTTGTCTTTTTATCGAATTATAGGAATTCTCTATATATTCTGGATACTCTGGATATTAGACCTTAACAGATAATTTGCCAATATTTTCTCTCATCCTGTGAGTTCTGTGACTTTCTTGCCAGTGTCCTTTGATGCACAAAAGTTTTTAATTTTGATAAAATCTAATGTATCTATTTTTCCTTTGGTTGTTTGTGCTTTTGGTGTCATGTGTGTGTATAAAATGTCTTATTCTTCTTTAAAAAGGTTCAGTGTTTGGTTTTAAATCAGGCTGTGTCCCTTTCATCTGTCTGACATTCTTTTCACCATGTCAGGCTGCCTTCAGCTAGTAATACTTCATTAAATTCAAAAGACAAAATTGTTTTAAAAGAAAAAAAATCCAGTTTGGAGAGGAAAAAATTGTTGTCTAATTTAAGGTCATGAGATTTACTCCCATGTTTTTGTGTAAGAGTCTTATCATTTTGGCTCTTACATTTAGGTATTTGACATATTTTGCATCAATTCTTATAATCGTGTGAGATGTAGGGGGTCCACCTTCATTATTTTGCACATAGATGTTCAGTTGTTCCAGCACCATTTTAAAAAAAAAAACATTATTTCCACGTAGAATTGTTTCAGCACCCTTGTCAAAAATCAATTTTCCATAAATGTGAGGGTTTATTTCTGGGTTGTCAATTCTATTCTATTGATTTATTTGTCTGTCCACATTCCAGTATCACACTGTGATTGCTGTGGATTTGATTTGGGTTTTGAAATTGGGACATTTGTGTCTTCCCACTTTGTTATTTTACAAGATTATTTTGCTATTTAGGGTGCCTTAAATTGCATTATTATTTTAGAACTAGCTTGTCACTTTCTGGAAAGAAGCCAGCTGGGATTTTGATAAGAACTGTACTGATAATAGCAGATATGTAATCAACCCAAATGCCCAACCTAACTGCTATGTTATTCCCACTCCAATACTTTGCAATATATGTAGCTTTTTAGAAAGAGGATATGTTAGCAGGGTGCAGTGGCTCATGCCTGTAATCCCAGCACTTTGGGAGGCTGAGGCAGGCAGATCGCCTGAGGTCAGGAGTTAGAGACCAGCCTGGACAACATGGTGAAACCCCATGTCTACTAAAAGTACAAAAATTAGCAGGGCGTGGTGGCAGGCGCCTATAATCCCAGCTACTCAGGAGGCTGAGGTAGGAGAATCACTTGAACCCGGGAGGTGGAGGTTGCAGTAAGCCGAGGTCACGCCATTGCACTCAAGCCTGGGCAACAGAGTGAGACTCCAATGGAGATGGGGTTTCAGCACGTTTATCAGGCTGCTCTCGAACTCCTAACCTCAGATGATCCACCTGCTTCAGCCTCCCAAAATGCTGGGATTACAGGCATGAGCTACTGTGCCCGGCCAATAAATGAAAACTTTTTCACTCAAAAAAACAACAATTGTAGTGAAACCATAGATCAATTTGGAGAATCGTGCTATTATTATCGGCTTCATGTTTACAGAATACTCCGTTGAATTTGGTTTGACAGATTTTGTCAAGCATTTTTCCATCTACATTCATAAGAAATACTGGTCTGTAATTTTTTGTGTGTGATGTCTTTAGTTTGGATACCAGGTTAATATCACCCTCATAGAATAAGTTAGGAAATGTTCTTTCCTCATCTGTATTTTGAAAGACTTTATGAAGGATTGGTGTTAATTCTTCTTTAAGTATTTGGTAGATTCACCAGTGAGGCTGCCTGCTGGTCTTCAGCTTTTCTTAGTGGAAAGTTTTTTGATTACTACCTCAATCTCTTTACTTGACATAGGTCTGTCTATTCAGATTTTCTGTTTTTTTCTCAAGTCAGATTCAGTAGTTCATATTTTTCTGGTAATGTGTCTTTCATCCAGCTTATCCAATTATTAGCATATATTGTATATATGTATAATCCTTTTTATTCATATTATAATCCTTTTTATGTCTCTAAGAACAATAGTAATGTCCCCTCTCATTTCTAATTTTAATAATTTGGTCTTCTGTATTTTTGCAGTGCAGTGGCTCACACCTGTCATCCTAGCACTTTGGGAGGCTGCGGTGGGAGGATTGCTTGACCCCAGGAGTTCAAGGCCAGCCAGGGCAACATACTGAGAGCTTATCTCTACAAAAAAAATTTAAAAGTTAGCTGAACGTGGTGGCACATGCCTGTAGTCACAGCTACTCAGGTGGCTAAGGCAGGAGGATCACTTGAGCCCGGGAGATTGGGGCTGCAGTGAGCCATGATTGTGCCACTGCACTCCAGCCTGGGAAACAGTGAAAACCTGTCTTGAAAAATGAACAGTAAAAAAACAAAATGTTTGTGGCCAGATGCAGTGGTGCATACCTATAATCCCTGTACTTTGGGAGGCCAAGGAAGGAGGATTGCTTGAGGCCAGGAGTTTGAGACCAGCCTGGGCAACATAGTGAGACCCTATCTCTAAAAATTTTTTTTAGTTAGCCGAGTGTGGTGGTGCGCATCTGTCGTCTCAGCTACATCTTAATTTTATAACGTTGTAGTTCAGATTAATTCCAACTTTGTTTCAATGGTATACAAAAACTTTGCTTCTCTAAAGCTCCACTCTCACCCCCTCCTTTATACTGTTATTGTCACACATTACATCTTTATATACTTTATGTTCATCAACTAGATTTATAATTATTGCATTATGTAAGTATCTTTTTGTTTTTTTTTTTCTTCATTTTGGGACAGAGTCTCACTCTGTTGCCCAGGCTAGAGTGCAGTGGCACAATCTTTACTCGCCGCAACCTCTGCCTCCCAGGTTCAAGCGATTCTAGTGCCTCAGCCTCCTGAGTAGCTAGGACTGCAGGCACGTAACACCACACCCAGCTAATTTTTGTATTTTTAGTAGAGACAGGGTTTCACCATGTTTGCCAGGCTGGTCTCAACCTCTTGACCTCAAGTGATCCTCCAGCCTCAGCCTCCCAAAGTGCTGGGATTACAGGCCTGAGCCACTGCGCCCAGCCAGTGTTTTTTATTTCTTTGTGTAGATTCACGTTAGTACTCCTTATAGGGCAGGTCTTCTAGCAACAAAGTCTCTCAGTTTTTATTTATCTAGAATATCTTAATTTCTCTTCAATTTCAAAGGTAGTTTTGCCAGGTATAGAATTATTGGTTGACAGTTTCTTCAGAACTTTGAATATGCCATTTCATTGCCTTTTGTCCTCCACTGTTGTGTGTGGTTGCTTTGTTTTTAGACAGGGTCTTGCTCTGTTACCCAGGCTGGAGTGCAGTGGTGCAACCACTCACATCGTTGCAGCCTCCACCTCCCAGGCTTAAGCAATGCTGTCACCTTAGCCTCCTGGGTAGCTGAGACTACAGGCATGCACCACCATGCCCAGTTTTTTTTGTTGTTGTTTTTGTTTTTTTTAATTTTTTTTATTGATCATTCTTGGGTGTTTCTCGCAGAGGGGGATTTGGCAGGGTCATAGGACAATAGTGGAGGGAAGGTCAGCAGATAAACAAGTGAACAAAGGTCTCTGGTTTTCCTAGGCAGAGGACCCTGCGGCCTTCCACAGTGTTTGTGTCCCTGGGTACTTGAGATTAGGGAGTGGTGATGACTCTTAACGAGCATGCTGCCTTCAAGCATCTGTTTAACAAAGCACATCTTGCACCGCCCTTAATCCATTCAACCCTGAGTGGACACAGCACATGTTTCAGAGAGCACTGGGTTGGGGGTAAGGTCATAGATCAACAGCATTCCAAGGCAGAAGAATTTTTCTTAGTACAGAACAAAATGGAGTCTCCTATGTCTACTTCTTTCTACACAGACACAGCAACAATCTGATTTCTGTATCTTTTCCCCACATTTCCCCCTTTTCTATTCAACAAAACCGCCATCGTCATCATGGCCCGTTCTCAATGAGCTGTTGGGTACACCTCCCAGATGGGGTGGCGGCCGGGCAGAGGGGCTCCTCACTTCCCAGAAGGGGCAGCCGGGCAGAGGCACCCCCCACCTCCCGGACGGGGCGGCTGGCCGGGCGGGGGCTGGCCCCCACCTCCCTCCCGGATGGGGCGGCTGGCCGGGCGGAGGGGCTCCTCACTTCTCAGACGGGGCGACTGCCGGGCGGAGGGGCTCCTCACTTCTCAGACGGGGCGGCTGCCGGGCGTAGGGGCTCCTCACGTCTCAGACGGGGCAGCCAGGCAGAGACGCTCCTCACCTCCCAGACGGGGTCGCGGCCGGGCAGAGGCGCTCCTCACATCCCAGACGGGCATGCCCAGTTATTTTTAAATTTTTTGTAGAGACAGGGTTTTACTCTATTGCCAGTGCTGGTATCCAACTCCTGGCTTCAAGCAATTCTTGAGCCTCAAGCCTCCCAAGGTACTGGGAGTACAGGTGTGAGCAACCATGCCCAGCACCTGCATTGTTTTTGAAGAGAAATTAGCTATTAATCTTATTGAGGATCCCTTGTATGTGATGAGTTGCTTTTCTCTTGCTGCTTTCAAGATATTCTGTCTTTGCCTTCTGTCAGTTTGATTACAGTATGTTTAGATGTGGATCCCTCAGTTTTTCCTACTTGTAGTTCCTTGAGCTTCTTGAATATGCAGATTGTTTTTCATCATGTTTGGGAAGTTTGGGGCCATCATTTCTTCAAATATTCTTTCTCCTTTTTTCTGTTTTTCTTCTCCTGGGATGCTCATTATGTGTACATTAGTAAGCTTGATGATGTGTTCCACAAACAGGTCTCTGAGATTCCATTCACTTTCATTCATTTTTATTTCTGTTCCTCAGA
This sequence comes from Homo sapiens, assembly GCF_000001405.40. Lineage (NCBI taxonomy): Eukaryota > Metazoa > Chordata > Mammalia > Primates > Hominidae > Homo > Homo sapiens. The sequence continues at coordinate 64,873,739 of NC_000017.11, read as the reverse complement.
GTCAACAATCTCAATTAACCTTCAAGTTCCCCATTCTGTCTTCAGCCTGCTGTAATGTGCCATTGAGAACCTCTAATAATTTTTCCATTTCAGTTACCATACTTTTCAACTCTAGAATTTCTATTTGACTCCTTTTTATGGTTTCTATCTCTTTATTGATATTCTCTATTTGATGAGACATTGCTTTCATACTTTCCTTTAGTTCTCTAGTCTACAGAACTGAATCGTTTCTCTTATCTCTTTGAACATATTTTAAATAGCTGAATTAAATCCTTCTCTAGGCCAGGCATGGTGGCTTGTGCCTATAACCCCAGCACTTTGGGAGGCTGAGGCTGAGGTTGAGGCTGAGGCCAGGAGTTCAAGACCACCCTGGGTAACTTCGCAAGACCCCACCTATAAAAAATAAAAAAATCTTTGTCTAGTAAGTCTAACATCTGGTCCTTCTCAGGGACAATTTCTGCTTATTTCTCCCCCAACCACGTGTTTGGGCCATACTTTGTTTCCTTGCATCTTTCATAAATGTTTGTTAAAAATTGAATATTTTAAATAATATAATGTAGCAATTCTGAAAATCAGATCCATGCTGCCAGGGTTTGGTGTTACTCCTGCTTGTGTTAGTAGTTGCTATTTATTTAGTGACTTTTCTGAACTTCTTCTGTAAAGTCTCGCATTATATGTCATGTGTTCCCACTAAAGTCCCTCCTCGGTTAGCTTACTGATCAGCTAATGATTAAATGAAGATTTACTTAAATCCTTGGAACTGATAAGTCTCCTAGTTTTTGCCAAGGGGCTCTGTGTACATGTTGGGGCATACCTTCAGCACTCAGCTAGACAATTTACAGCCATGCCTTAGCTTTCACTTCTTGCTTGTGCAGAACCTCAAGGTGTCAGCCAGGGGTGAGAGTTTATGAACTTAGTAGGTCTTTCCTGACCATGCTGACAGTCTGCCCTATGCATGCGCGTGAGATTCCAAATTGCCAGGAATATGTCTTATGGACTTCTAGTTTCCCAAGCATATATCAGTGTGTTTCAAATTCCTGTGGACATCTTATTCCTCAGCTTTTCCTATTAAGCTTTTTGATTAGGCTTTTTTCCCCCAAACTGTTATTCATTGCCGAATACAGTTGCCATGTTCAAACACTTGTCTGTAATTGTTTTCCAAAAACACCCTCTGTGGAGAGGCTTTAGCACTAGACAGCTTTCATTCTGGTCAAATAAAGACAGACCTTTCAAATGAGGTCTTCCAGGGAACCACCAGACAGATGACATCATGACAGTTAACTGAGAATAAGGCTTTGAAGGAGCTCCATCTCCATTCTGCTCCCTCTGGTTGGGGATGTGGGCTGTTTTTCAAGGCGACTACTGAGCTAGAGAGTGAGGAATGGTCTAAGGCAAGTTAACACAAATCTCACTATTCTTACAGAAATTTTTCTTGAATAAATGCTCCTTGGGTTGCTGCAAGACTTTGGTTACATTTCTAGAGTTCTGAAAAAGTTTATTCTGGTCAATTTTTTTTTTTTTTTTTTTTTGGCTATTTTTTTGGTATTTGTTGCTTTTATGAAGGGATGAATTTTTGGATGTCTCTCTTTTTTTTTTTTTTTTTTTTTTGAGACAGAGTCTCACTCTGTTGCCCAGGCTGGAGTGCAGTGGCATAATCTCATCTCACTGCAAGCTCCACCTCCCGGGTTCACACAATTCTCCTGCCTCAGCCTCCCGAGTAGCTGGGACTACAGGCGCCTGCCACCACGCCCAGCTAATTTTTGTATATTTAGTACAGACGGGGTTTCGCCTTGTTAGCCAGGATGGTCTCGATCCCCTGACCTCGTGATCCGCCTGCCTCGGTCTCCCAAAGTGCTGGGATTACAGGCGTGAGCCACCGCACCCAGCCTGGATGTCTTTATTCCACCATTTTCACTGATGTCACTTACGACATGATTTTAAATCTCTGAAGGCTCACTGGGTACATGCCTGTAGTCCCAGATACTCGGGAGGCAAAGGAAGAAGGATCCTTTGAGTCCAGGAATTCTGGGCTGTAGCATGCTATGCTGATTGGGTGTCCGCACTAAGTTCAGCATCAGTATGGTGACCTCCCGGGAAAAGGAGACCACCAGGTTGCCTAAAAAGGGGTGTACCAGCCCAGTTCAGGACTAGAGCAGGTCAAAACTCCCATGCTGATCACTAGTGGGATCATGGTTGTGAATAGCCACTGCTCTCCAGCCTGGGCAACACAGTGAGTGAGAATGTGTCTCTTAAAAAAAAAAAAAGTCTCATTGACCATAGACTAATTAACTATTTAATCATGGGAAATGATTAGGGGAAAGACATAAAAAGAGAAACTGTAATCCACTTTTTTTTGCTCTGTCGCCCAGGCTGGAGTAGAGTGGCTTGATCTTGGCTCACTGCAACCTCCGCCTCCCGGGTTCAAGCAATTCTCCTGCCTCAGCCTCTGAAACAGCTGGAATTACAGGCAAGCACTGCCGTGCCCTGCTAATGAGAAATTGTAATTCTCATAGAGGTCCTCCCAGAGGAGTAGAAGAAGGTTGAAAGGCACTTCTGTATTTAGTCTTCTCACAATTAAGGCTGGGCCCAGTGGCTCACACCAGCACTTTGGGAGGCCAAGGCAGGCGGATCACTTGAGATCAGGAGTTCAAGACCAGCCTGGCAAACATGGTGAAACTCCCATCTCTACTAAAAACACAAAAAATAGCCAGGCGTGGTGGTGCGTGCCTATAGTCCCAGCTATTTGGGAGACTGAGGAAGGAGGATTACCTGAGCTTGGGAAGAGGACGTTGCAGTGAGCCAAGATCACACCACTGCACTCCAGCCTGGTCAATGGAGCAAGACCCTGTTTGGGTGGGGAGGGGAGGGGAGTGAAGGGGAGAGGAGAAAGGAAAGAAAGGAAAGGAAAGAAAATAGAAGGAAGGGGGAGGGAAGGAAGGAAGGAAAAAGAGAGAGAAAGAAAAAGAATGAAGAACGAAAATGAAAATTTTTAAAAAACCTAAGGTTAAAATAAACCCTTTTTCTTCATACAGATTAAACACATGAGTTCAAATTACAGCTTTGCTGCTTAATAGCTTGGTGACCTAGGACAAGTTATATAACCTCTCTGTGCCTCAGTTTCCTCATTTAAAAATAGGGCAATAATAATATCTACCACATAAGGTATTTGCTGATCACAAATACCTGGCAACCCAGTAGATACTCACTGTAATAATTATTATTTTTATAATTTCTGCCTAAGTACAAAGATGATTCTTGGGTTAACCTAAAGGTAGATTTTCTTTTATTTCTTCCTGTTTCTTTTATTTTTCTTGTTCACCTTAAAGAATTAAAAAGAAAATTGATTCCAGCATTTTGGAATAAAAATTTGCATCAAAATCAATTTATTCATTTTATTGACATATGAACAAAATGTCATTTGTTTATTCAATAAACATTTGTTAAATGCCTAATACATTTCAGACATCATGCCAGGCACGGGGATGACAGGGCATGGTGGCGGGCACCTGTAATCCCAGCTACTTGGGAGGCTAAGGCAGGAGAATTGCTTGAACCTGGGAGGCGGAGATTGCAGTGAGCCAAGATTGCGCCACTGCACTCCAGCCTGGGCGACAGAGTGAGACTCCGTCTCAGAAAAAAAAAAAAAAAAAAAAAAATGTGGTCTCTGCCCTCAAAGCGCTCATAGTCCAGGAGCCTGACAAGTGGACAGGTGATTACATGCAATGTAAGAAAGGCTGTGATGTCATACAAGAGGACAAGTGGGAGTATGGTTTTGACCAGTTCTTCCTCTTAGATTTATTCCTTCTTTGGCTATAAAGCAAAATAATTGGTCCTATTTTTTTTTAACTGTGCAAATTAAACCATAAATTTTAAAAACTTTATAAAGATAAAAGACAAGCAGCCAGCCGCAGTGGCTCATGCCAGTAATCCTATCAGTTTGGGAGGCTGAGGCAGGTAGATCACCTGAGGTCAGGAGTTCAAAACCAGCCTGGCCAACATGGTAAAACCCCGTCTCTACTAAAAATACAAAAATTAGCTGGGCGTGGTGGTGGGTGCCTGTAATCCCAGCTACTCGGAAGGCTGAGGCAGAACAGGAGAATCACTTGAACCTGGAAGGCGGAGGTTGCAGTGAGCCAAGATCGAGCCATTGCACTCCAGCCTGGGCAACAAGAGCGAGACTCCATCTCAAAAAAAAAAAAAAAAAAAATAGATGAACAACTTGAATTATGGAGGTTGCTAGAAATACTGTTTCCTCCGCAGTCAGGGCTTCCTACCAACATAGTCACTTTTAGGGTTTTTGACCTGAAAAGTTCTGTGGCATATTTTTTCTTTGCTATCCACTTTTTTTTTCCTTGTAGTTCTTCCCCGCGTTCTATCCTTTATCTTCTAGAGACCTCGGTAGTTCCCATAGGAATAGTGCTTTACGGAGTCTAATGGTGATTTCTTAGGTAAAGACAGGAAACATTTTTTTCTTTTTTACCTACAAGTTCCATACCAAAAAATGAATGTAAACTTTTCATGCAGTTTTACACATTGAAAATGCAGGTTATTTTAATTCCATTCCATTTTTCAGAATTCTCAATCACAATCCTCTGACAACTGTTGAAGATCCATATCTCTTTAAATTGCCAGCATTAAAATATCTGTAAGTACTATAGTACTCTCATGAGTCAAGAGATGATTTATGCTTTTTAAATTTTTCATCAAAGCTTAAGTATTTTGCATTTAGGCTAAAATGTCATAATTTAAATTTTAACTGGGTTATTGAAAAAAAGTTATTGGCGAAGAAAAAAATTAAGAGGATGTATAATGGTCAAGACAGCCAGCAGGGGAAGAGAACAGCATTGAAGAACCCATATAGATTTGCAACATGTAGACACATGGAGGAATATTATTTAACCAAGAAAGCAAAGGGGAAAAGGTGTTCATTATTCTAAAAATAAAGAAAAGAGTAAATAAGATGGTGAGTGCAATATGAAAATGAGAAGATAATGGTAAAAAAAAAAAGTGTAAGTTCTGCTCTTGAGTATCATTAATTTGATGATGCAAATCAACTTTAATTTCTTTAATAAGAGCTCCCTGGAATTCTACAGCAAATAAACTCTTGAGCTGGCTTGTTTAATAGAGAAGCCAAAATTGAATTGTTAAGTACAGAATTTTTTATTGGGGCTCATATCATGAATGTTTCGGCTTTCTTCTTCAGAGACATGGGAACAACGCTAGTCCCACTTACAACACTTAAGAACATTCTCATGATGACTGTTGAACTGGAAAAACTGTAAGTTATTTTTTTCCGAGATTTATTTTTACGTAGTTGTTTCTTTAGGTTTGTTTTATTATTTTCTTAAGTCAGGTTCATTGAGGTATAATTTTCATATAGTAACATTCACGCTTTTTAAGTGTACAGTTTGATGAGTCTGACAAATGTATAGTTACATAACCACCACCACATTCCCAATATAAAGCATTTCTGATGCCTCAAAAAGGCCCCTCCTGTCCCTTTGTAGGCAATCCCATCCTCCCACCATCAGCCCCTGTTAGCTACTAATCTGATTTCTGTTCCTATACTTTTGCCTTTTCCAGAATGTCTTATAAATGAAATCATATAGCACGTAGCCTCTTGTGTTTGGCTCCTTTCACAAAGCCTAATTTTTTTTTTTGTTTTTGAAATGGAATCTCACTCTGTCACCCAGGCTGCAGTGCAGCGGCATGACCTAGGCTCACTGCAACCTCCACCTCCCAGGTTCAAGTGGTTCTCCTGCCTCAGCCTTCCGAGTAGCTGGGATTACAGGCACATGCCACCATGCCTGGCTAATTTTTGTATTTTTAGTAGAGACAAGGTTTCGCCATGTTGGCCAGGGTGGTTTCGAACTCCTGACCTCAAGTGATCCGCCTGCCTCAGCCTCCCAAAGTGCTAGGATTACAGATAAGATCCACCTTGCCTGGCCTCACTCAGCAGAATTTTTTTTGAGATTATGCTACCATCCATGTTGTTGCACCTATCACTACAGCTGGCCCTCCATATCTGCAGGTTCCTCATCCATAGATTCAACGAACCATGGATGGAGAATATTTGGAAAAAATAAAATATATAAAACAACAATACAACAATAAAAACAGTAGAAAATTTAAAATACAGTATAATTATGTACATACCATTTACACTGTATTAGGTACTTAGAGTATACCTGAGGCTGTATACAAACATTATGTCATTTCATAAAAAAGACCTCAGCATCTGTGGACTTTGGTATCTATCTGCAGGGGGTCCTGGAGCCAATCCCCTGCAGACACTGCGGGACAACTGTTCACTCCTTTTTATTGCTGAGTAGTATTCCGGTTGTGTGGAAATGCCATCTCTACTAAAAATGCACAAATTAGGCAGGTGTGGTGGCACATGCCTGTAATCCCAGCTACTCAGGAGGCTGAGGCACGAGAAGTGCTTGAACTTGAGAGGTGGAGGTTGCAATGAGCCGAGATTGCACCACTGCACTCTAACCTGGGCGACAGAGTGGGACTCTGTCTAAAAAAAAAAGTAAGAAATAAAAATGTTTTCTGAAGAGCAGAAGTTTTTAATTTTGACCAGCTTTAAGTTAGCATTTTTTTCTTAAATGGCTTGTGATTTTTTGTTTCTTACCTAAGAAATCTTTAAGAACCTGTTGTCTAATCCAGCATCTAAAAGATTTTCTCCTATGTCTTCTCCCAGAAATGATACACATTTAGGTCTATGATCCATTTTGAGTTAATTTGCATATGTGATGTATCTTTTTTATTTTTTATTTTTTTGTAGAAATGAGGTCTCAGTATGTTCCCCAGGCTGGTCTTGGACTCCTGGTCTCAAGTGATCCTCCTGCCTCACCTCCCAGAGTGCTGAGATTACAGGCATGGGACACCGTGCCTGGCCTTCTTTGCAGGATATATATATATATATATATATAAAAATCAGCCAGGTGTGGTGGCACACGCCTGTAGTCCCAGCTACTAGGGAACCTGAGTCAGGAGGATCACTTGAACCCAGGAGGTGGAGGTTGCAGTGAGCCAAGATGGCACCACTGCACTCCAGCTTGGGTGACAGAGCAAGACCCTGTCTAAAAAAAAAAAAAAAAAAAAATATATATATATATATATATATATATATATATATATATATGTACGTGTATATATGTATATATATATATATGTACGTGTATATATGTATATATATGCCTGCAGGGCCCTATTGTGAGTTTGTTACACAATTTACTGCAACTTCAATTGTGCCACCAGCCCCCACAATATGGCAAGCTAAATAGAGACTCAGTTATGCTAGGGCTGGTTGAGGGCATTATGCAAGATTAGCATGGAAAGGGCCCTTCATTTAGCACTCTGCTCCGTTCATTTTTGTCAGGTCACTTTCTTATCTTCACCAGGTTGTCAGATCTCTTTTACTGCTCTAGCCTCACTTTCCTCAGCCTCCTGTAGCATCTTCCCCGTCAGCTGGATCCCTTCCTCTCTGGATGAAGTCCCCTTCATCGACCAGCTTTCTCACTTAGTTCTCTAAGATAGTGAGGATCTGTCTGCTTTTTTCTTGACCATTATTGGATAGGAAAAATGCTCTCATCCTCTGTAATGATTTGTCACCAAGGCCATAAAGACATTGAACTAACTGTCTTATGGGAGTTCATTATTGGAAGTCTTCAGGAGTTTACACATTTATGTACAAAGTAAGTAGGCCAGCTCATTTGAGTCTTGGCTCATGTGTAATGATCTTTCATGTGTATTGAAAAATTATTCTCAAGTATACCTCAGGTCATTTACAGTCTCAAAGATTTGTCAGTATACTTTAAAACAATCCTGGGAACAGTTCTAGATTGAAGGAGACTAAAGAATCATGTACTAAATGTAATGTCTGATGTTTGATTGGATTCTGAATTTTTTAAGCCATGTTATGATTGGGACAATTGTGAAAATGTGTATACGGACCGCATAGTAGACAATGATAATATGAAGTTCCATTGAGTGATGACAGTCCTCTGGTTATGTCGGAGAATGCCTTGGTTCTTAGGGGCTGCACACTGAAGTCTTCAATGGTGAAGGGTCATTATGTCTGCAACTGACTCTCAAATGGTTTTGTCCAGAAAATGTATAGACATACACACACGGAAAGCAAATGTGGCAAAGTATTAGCAACTATTGATTCCAGATGAAAGTTATACAGGTGTTCATTATACCATTTGAAAATGTTTCCCAGCCATCCTAAGGCTTAAAGGAAAAAAAGAAAATGTTTAAAATAAAAAGTTGGGGGCAGAAAAAGAATAACAAAAATTTTGGGCTCATGCCTGTAATCCCAGCACTTTGGGAGGCCAAAGAGAGAGGGTTGCTTGTGCCCAGGAGTTCGAGACCAGCCTGGACAACATGGTGAAACCCCATTTCTACAAAATATACAAAAATTAGCCAGGTGTGGTGGCACACACCTGTAGTTCTAGCTACTCAGGAGGCTGAGGTGGGAGGATCACTTGAGCACAGGAGACAGAGGCTGCAGTGAGCCAAGATTGCACCACTGCACTCAGCCTGTGTAACAGAGTGAGACCTGGCCTCAAAATAAACAAAAGAAACACCTTTGTGGCAGAGGTAAAGTTGCTATATAACAAAATGCTGGGTTACGGTTCCGGGTCCATTCCATATGAAGATCAGAGGCTTCCACTGGACCCAAAGGAATAATACTAGTCACTTGTGATTGTTCCTTTATAGGTTTGAAAGATGTGTCAGGCCAACTTATTGGATGCAGTTTTAATCTAAAACTCTATACATTGTACCCCCAACTCATAGACTTCTTGTATCCATGAAACCCTCTTCTGTTTCCACAGTCTTAATATGGCCCCAATAAAGCCATCCTTTTGGAGGACTCAGAAAAGGCCCCCCACAACCTCTGCAACACAATAATTATAGTTAACTCTTATTGAGCACTCACTGTGCACCAGGCATTTTTCAGGTATTGATTCATTTGATCCTCAAAATTCATTAGAGGTAGGTACTATTATAATGACAAGGCCAAGGAACAGAGATTAAACAATTTGCCCAAATTCACATTATTAGCAGAGCTGAGATTGAAGCATAGTCTGGCTATGGAATCTGTATTCTTAATGACCATGCTATACTGCCTAAGATTAACCTTTTACTTCAGTTACAGGGATTGTTTTTATCTCTCTGAAAGTGCCCCCAATAAGCCACAACAATAAATTAATCAGTTGTCTCGGTTACCTCTTTTGCCCAAATTTACGTATTGAAAAAAATTCAAACAAGCCAGAAAGATGAAAGAATAGTACAGAATCCAATCAAAGATCAGGCACTGCATGTCATGTCTTCATTTCCTTTAATCTAAAACATGCCTCTACTTTCTTTGCTCTTTCATGACATTGGCATTTTTTAAGAGTCAAAGATAGTTGTCTTGTAAATTGTCCCACAATCTGGATTTGTCTGTTTCCTCATGACGAAATTCAAGTTAAGCATTTTTGGGAAAAATACTGCATAGGTGATGTATTCTTCCTGCCTCGTAACCGCAGATGGCCTGTAATACTAAGTTTGATCACTTGACTAAGGTGATCTTCCAGATCTCTCCATTGTAATTATTTTGCTGGGTACAGTGGCTCCCACTTGTAATCCCAGCACTTTGGAAGGCCGAGGTGGGAGGATTGCCTGAGCCCAGGAGTTCTACACCAGCCTGAGCAACATGGGGAAACTCTGTCACTACTGAAAATACAAAAGTAAAAAAAAAAAAAAAAAAAAAAATTAGCTGGGCATGGTGGTGCAAGCCTATACTCCCAGCTACTCAGGAGGCTGAATTTGGAGGATCCCTTGAGCCCAGGGGGGTTGAGGCTGCAATGAGGTATAATTTTGCCACTGTATTTCAGCCTGGGTGACAAAATAAAAATAAAAATAAAAAATAATAATTTTCCCCTTGGTAATTAATAAATAATCTGTGGGTTGTTACTTTGAGTTCAGTGAAGATCCTGTTCTCAAATGTCTTTTCACCCAAATGTGCATCAATGATAATCCTTGTCTGAATGAATTTGTATTGCACTGACGGTTGCAAAGTGACACTTTTAAAAATTCTGTCATTCCTTCTACATTTACTAGCTGGCATTATTTCATTGAAGAAGAACTCCCCCTCTTTCTTTTTCAATATCACTCTTCGTGGATTCTTCTTTATATTAAATATGTTGTAACTTATTGTTGTTATTCTTTTGAATGCTCAAATTGTCCAGATTTGACCAATGCAGTCTTTGTTATTTTTTAACTCCGCAATCCAGGTTAAACTAAGCTATTTTTAATGCCCAGAGTAATTTATAATATTTCCCACTCCCAACAGGAATTGAGAAAGGGACTCCGGAAGTTGGGGGCTTATTCAGACTTCTTAAAAGTCTACCTTCTTCCTCTGTACTTTCAGCCCAAAGTGAGACTTTTGAGTTGGGAAGAGATACTTCTGAAACTACTAATCACTGTCACCCAATTCTAATCCCAACCATCTTTATTCTAGGCATACCATACTCACTGCCATGCTTACCCTTCAGTTGGGCACTTTTGTCCTCCTTCCTATTGGCCTTCTGGTTCCTACCCAACTGTCCAGTCCACAGGCTTCAATGATACCTTTTTCCCACCCCTGTGGTAGTGTTGGCTGCCTCCTTTACCTACTCAAGTAACCGCTTTACCGCTAATTTATTGCTCTCTGTTTTCATCTATAGGATCGTACCTAGCCATATGGCCTGCTGCCTCTGCCAATTTAAAAACAGCATTGAGGCTGTCTGCAAGACAGTCAAGCTGCATTGCAACAGTGCATGTCTGACAAACACCACACATTGTCGTGAGTCCAAATTGCATGGTGATAAATTGTTACATTAAGTATTTGTTTTTAAACTTTTTATTTTTAATGATGATAAAATTTTAAGCTAATGACATAATTGCTTTATTTTTATTTACTCATTCAGAGTTAAACTCCCTCAATTTCTGAACTACTCCCTTGCTGAGAGTCAGGTTCTCAGTTACTATTACAAAATTTAATAATAGAACTGTTCCATATGCACAAAGGACCAAGACAAAGGAATGGGAAGGCTAGGGAATAACATTAACATCCACACACTGTATACTGTGCTCTCTGCTTGATGCTTTGCCCACAGTGATAATTTCTTCATATAGTGCAATGTAGTTTGTAAGCTGGTTTTAAATCCATGAGATCTCAAGTACTCTCTGCCTTATAGGACAGATGTAGATACGGTTTTGGTCTTTCTGTTTTTACAGTTTTATAAGAGTACAAGTGATGCTGTTTTATTTGAAGCCTGAGAGCTTCTGGTTCCATAACCAGAAATTGCTACCTGGCTCTTCTAATGGAATGGAGGGCTTTTCCATTCTTAGACCATCCAACTCTGAACTTGCTCCGAATCTCAAACCTTTCTGTTCACAAATGCTCAAGGGCTTTCAAGAGTATTTTTGTAGATTAGGTTTATTAGCATCAACTTCATGACTTCTAAAATGTGACTGCTTTCATGTCCAGATAGCTTGAATACAGGTATCTACCAGTGATATGGGGTGGATAATTAATAATGCTTGGTTACATAAAGTCAGTGTTGCTTATTTTTCAAAACTTTTTTTTTTTTTTTTACCAATTATGTTATTCCCTTCTCCCCAAGAAGCGGGCAGAAAAGCTTTGTTAACCTCCTTTTACAGATGAGGAAAAACAAGATCAGAGGTGCTAAGTGCTGTAGCCTAGTGTCAGGTCTTCTGGCCCCAATTCTGGGTTCTCCCCAAGCCCATGTTTCTTCCCCTTTCTCACAATCTTTACTTCTTCCTCTGACCCTCACCACCACCCAAAGTACTTTTAATTCTGGAAAAGAAACCCAGCTGCACACTGGCACACCTGACCTTCATGCAGTCAGAAGCTTTGGATGATTCCCCATCCAAAATATTAGAGATGAAATGAAAGCAAAGTAAGCATCTGACAAAAGTTGCTTTTTCCCTTCTGCATTTTAGGACCTCAAGTAATGTTTATCCCGAAACTGCTATCATACCAGAGATTCACTGTGTATTTAACAACATAGGCATACAATCTGGCAAATTTGAAAAACTCTTAACATACACCCCAAATCCCTGCCCAAATTTAAGAACTAGGGTGGACACAGTGCTTTTTTCCATGTCGCATCTTCTGTGATGGGGCTACCACACGTGGGAGCAGAGAATGGGGTGGGTGGAGCGCATGCCAGATGAGGATCTGTCAGCAATGGGAGGGGGCCTCCACTTTAGCATCTCCACCCTGCTCCTCTCAGAGGACCGCCTTTCATTGCATTCAGCTGTGATGGTAGCAAGAACACAGGTGCACCGAGGACGAGGTGAGCAGGAGCCTTGTGCTCTCTCTGCATCTGAGGCAGGACAGCACAGGGTACGGAGCAGTCTGCAGAGAGGCCAGCTCATCAGGGAAGCACTTGTCTTCCACCTTGGGCTTTGACTGAGCACTGGGCAATTGGCCTCTGGGGATCAACGAAATAATCCTAAACAGAGTTACTCTATGTCACACTATGGAATGTTCCAAGTAGGTGGCCGTGTTTTCAAAAGATGTATTTTCTCCTTTTGTTGTTGCCATTTCATAGGTTTAGGATTGAGTGTGTGTTTCTCCTCTCTGAATGGCACTCGAATGTTTGCTGACTCCTACTCTGTGTGACTGGAGTGTACAGCTATGGACTGATGCATCCCATCCCATCATCTTTCATGATCAAAGCAGTCTCTTCTTTTTTGACAGCTGAAGAAGCATCTGTAGGGAATCCAGAAGGAGCGTTCATGAAGGTGTTACAAGCCCGGAAGAATTACACAAGCACTGAGCTGATTATTGAGCCGGAGGAGCCCTCAGACAGCAGTGGCATCAACTTGTCAGGCTTTGGGAGTGAGCAGCTAGACACCAATGACGAGAGTGATGTTACCAGTACACTAAGTTACATCTTACCTTATTTCTCAGCCGTTAACCTAGATGTGAAATCACTGTTACTACCGTTCATTAAACTGCCAACCACAGGAAACAGCCTGGCAAAGATTCAAACTGTAGGCAAAAACCGGCAGAGACTGAATAGAGTCCTCATGGGCCCAAGGAGCATCCAGAAAAGGCACTTCAAAGAGGTAGGAAGGCAGAGCATCAGGAGGGAACAGGGTGCCCAGGCATCTGTGGAGAACACTGCCGAAGAAAAAAGGCTCGGAAGTCCAGCCCCAAGGGAGCTGAAACAGCCTCACACACAGCAGGGGCCTGAGAAGTTAGCGGGAAACGCCGTCTACACCAAGCCTTCGTTCACCCAAGAGCATAAGGCAGCAGTCTCTGTGCTGAAACCCTTCTCCAAGGGCGCGCCTTCTACCTCCAGCCCTGCAAAAGCCCTACCACAGGTGAGAGACAGATGGAAAGACTTAACCCACGCTATTTCCATTTTAGAAAGTGCAAAGGCTAGAGTTACAAATATGAAGACATCTAAACCCATCGTACATTCCAGAAAAAAATACCGCTTTCACAAAACTCGCTCCCGCATGACCCACAGAACACCCAAGGTCAAAAAGAGTCCAAAGGTCAGAAAGAAAAGTTATCTGAGTAGACTGATGCTCTCAAACAGGCTTCCGTTCTCTGCAGCGAAGAGCCTCATAAATTCCCCTTCACAAGGGGCTTTTTCATCCTTAAGAGACCTGAGTCCTCAAGAAAATCCTTTTCTGGAAGTATCTGCTCCTTCAGAACATTTTATAGAAAACAATAATACAAAAGACACAACTGCAAGAAATGCCTTTGAAGAAAATGTTTTTATGGAAAACACTAACATGCCAGAAGGAACCATCTCTGAAAACACAAACTACAATCATCCTCCTGAGGCAGATTCCGCTGGGACTGCATTCAACTTAGGGCCAACTGTTAAACAAACTGAGACAAAATGGGAATACAACAACGTGGGCACTGACCTGTCCCCCGAGCCCAAAAGCTTCAATTACCCATTGCTCTCGTCCCCAGGTGATCAGTTTGAAATTCAGCTAACCCAGCAGCTGCAGTCCGTTATCCCCAACAACAATGTGAGAAGGCTCATTGCTCATGTTATCCGGACCTTGAAGATGGACTGCTCTGGGGCCCATGTGCAAGTGACCTGTGCCAAGCTCGTCTCCAGGACAGGCCACCTGATGAAGCTTCTCAGTGGGCAGCAGGAAGTAAAGGCATCCAAGATAGAATGGGATACGGACCAATGGAAGACTGAGAACTACATTAATGAGAGCACAGAAGCCCAGAGTGAACAGAAAGAGAAGTCGCTTGAGGTGAGGACTACACAGAAACATGAGACCCAGATTTCCCATCATTTAGCATATCCCAGGAAAGTGCCCACACAGAAGAATCTGGGACTCCCAGGCCATAGCTTATCTTGGCCATGTAACTTTGGTCATGACAGTGATCTCCCACTTTGCTCATGTAGAGAGTGAAATAGATTAGGGCACAAGATGAACTGTAGGCTGGGGGTGGTAGCTCACGCCTGTAATCTCAGCACTTTGGGAGGCCAAGGTGGGTGGATTACTTGAAGTCAGGAGTTTGAGACCAGCTTGGCCAACATAGTGAAAGCCTGTCTCCACAAAAAATAAGAAAATTAGCTGGGTTGATGACACGTGCCTGTAGTCCCAGCTACTTGGGAGGCTGAGGTGGGAGGATCACCTGAGCCCAGGGAGGTCGAGTCTAGTGAATGGTGATTGCACCACTGTACCCCAGCCTGGGTGACAGAGTGAGACCCTCTTTCAAAAAAATAAAAAAGAACCTGTAAGCTACTCACCTGGAATACTGGGGTTTTGAATAGTTAGCTCTCATTCTGGTTTTTTTTTTTTTAGTTCACAAAAGAACTTCCAGGATATGGCTATACCAAAAAACTCATCTTGGCGTTAATTGTGACTGGAATACTAACGATTTTGATTATACTTCTCTGCCTCATTGAGGTAAGGACAATAATTAATTCAGGTTTTCAGAATGCAGTCCTGTCTTTGTGTGGATTCAGAGCTCACAAACTGAAAACCAAAGCCACTTTCCCACCTGCTGCTACTTGACATACTTCAGTCATTTAAGGCTGAGGTGTATGCTTTGTTCTTTTACTGCAGTGTATATTTCAGGATTTTTAAAGGATCCTCGCTTCCAGATCTCTGTGAATTGAAACCAAGTTAATCCCACTAGACTATTTTAAGAAGTGGATATAATAGCAAAATTTCTCCCACCCAAAACTATGTCAACAATTGGATGTACTCACCAAGTCACCCTTACTCTGCCACTAAATTATTTCCTTGTTGCTGAAATGATGAGAGAGGTATAATCTCCACCCTCACGGAGTTGTCATCACCCTGGAGAGGAAGGAGAGAGCCAAAAGACAGAAGTATTGTCTTGTAGACTTATTAGATTTACACAGTATCGTCCTCCAGTGTGTAAGGCATTGTCTAAATAGGTCCAGTTAAAGCACTACAGAGTAGCCATCTTTTACAAAAATTGTTGGCCACATTTTTAAGTTCACTGGTGAGGGGGAACATCTCATACTCTAGCCCTCCTGAGCCTAGACCCTCTGTGAGATGTGTCACCATTTCTTGGACACCATGTGAGACATTCCCCCTCAGATTAGAGATGCTCAGCTTGCATCAACTTACCTAAAGCCTACATCTGGCTACTCTGGGGCAAGTCCTGTTTACAGTGCCGATTCCTGGAGCTTGCCTCTGTCTTTTGTTCGATTACATGATGTATTACTTTTCCCAACAGGCCAGTGCTAGCATATTGGAAGAGTGATTTAATAAAGCTGGCAACCTTGATGCTATGCCACCAGTCCAACCTTATTTGCCTCATTTACCATTTCCATGATTGTGGCAGCCAGCCCTCCATTCCAGCCACAGCAGCCCCTCACCAAACCCCAGTCACACCACCCGCATTTCTGCTTTTGTCTGTGTGTTTGTCCATCTAAAATGCCCTTATTTCACCCTGCCTGTGGGAGTCCTATGCATCTTTCAAAAGCCAACTCAAGTTCATCTTTCTTCTTGACACCTTCCCTGAATATTCCAGCCCTGCTGAGCCTAGTCCCTTTGTGAGATTTGTCACCATTTCTTGGACACCATATGAGAGACTTCAGAGGCTGAAGTGGGAGGATCGCTTGAGCCTGGGAGGTCGAGGATGCAGTGAGCTGTGGTCGTACCACTGCACTCTAGCCTGGGCAACACAGCGAGGCCCTGTCTTAAAAACAGCCACCACCAAAAACTATCTTGGGATTTGAATAGGATTATGTTAAATTTGTAGATTAATTTGAGAATTTACATCTGTACAACATTCTAGGAACGTGCTATCTCATGTCATGTATTCATTTCTTGTTAATGTCTTTCAGAAGAGCTTTAGTGTTTCCATATATAGATCTTACACATCTTTTGTTAGATAAAAGATCTTTGTATTTTTGTTCCTAAATTCTTCATACATTTGTATTGCCATTGTAAATGGGATCTTTCTTCCATTTTCTAATTAGTTATTGGTGGTACATGGGAAAAGTATTTGAGGTTTGTGTGCTGATTTCTTGATTTTGTAGATAGCCACTGTATTGAATCCTCATTACTTCCAGTAAAATCTTAGTTGATTCTCTTAGGCTTCTTTGGCTAACATTTATCATTTAGTATGCAAATAATGATAGTTTTGTCTCTTCCTTTCCAATACTTCTACTCTTTCCTTCCTTTCCCTTTTCCTTTTTCCTTTCCTTTCCTTTCCTTTTTTTTCCCTTCTCAGGGCCTTGTTGTCACCCAGGCTGGAGAGCAATGGTGTGATCTAGCTCACTGTAACATCAAACTCCTGGGCTTAAGGGATCCTCCTGCCTCAGCTTCCTGAGTGGCTGGGACTACAGGCAGGCAGCTAATTTAAAAAATGTGTTTGTAGAGACAAGGTCTTGCTATGTTGCCCAGGCTAGTTTTCCTGCCACTTCAGAGGAAGGACTCAGGTTTCCTTTTTCTCCTACTTTTAAGAGTTTTTATTAGGAATTATCTGTTGAATGTTATCTAAAACAGTCAATAAAATGTATTAAGTGCCAGCTGCATGCAAGACCCTAAGTTAGATACAGTCAGCCCTCTTCATCAGCAGGTCCACATCTTCAGATTCAACTAGATCAGGCTGAATATTTGAAGAAAAAAAAAACAATAAAAATACAAACAGAAAGTACAATATAACAACTGTCACCACTGTACAATATGTATACATTTTATTAGTGATGACTTAAATTACATGGGGCCAGGCATGGTGGCTCACACTTGTAATCCCAACACATTGGGAGGCCAACCTGGGCAGCATAGTGAGACCTTGTCTTTATTAAAAATTAAAAAAAAAATAGCCAGGTGTGGTAGTATGCACCTGTAGTCTCAGCTACTCAAGAGGCTGAGGTGGGCGGATCACTGGAGCCCAGGAGGTTGAGGCTACAGTGAGCTGTGATCGTGACACCGCACTCCATCCTGAGTAACAGAGAATGACACTGCACTCCAGCGTAAGCAACAGAGGGCAATCCTGTCGCTAAGTAAATAAAGTATAGGGGGGATGCGTGTTGGTTATAAGCAAATACTACACCATTATGTGTAAGGGATTGAGCATCCACAGATTCTGGTATGGTGTGGGGGCGGTATCCTAGAACCAATCCCCCGCAAGATAGCAAGGATGACTGAACTATGGAAGAATCAAAGCAGTGTTACACAGTATGCAATTCCTGTCTTCAAAAAAGTTACCTCATCAGGTAGATGAGACTTATAATGAATAAAAGGAATCAATACAGATTTGGAGATGGTGGTTGTTGTCATAGATAATCTTAATTGCGTTTTCTTCTAAAACAGATCTGTTGTCACCGAAGGTCATTACAAGAAGATGAAGAAGGATTCTCAAGGTAAATATTAGTCTGGTGATTTTTTTTTCTTTTCTTTTGAGACGGAGTTTCCCTCTTGTTGCCAGGCTGGAGTGCAATGACGCGATCTCGGCTCACGGCAACCTCCACTTCCCAGGTTCAAGCGATTCTCCTGCCTCAGCCTCCCGAGTAGCTGGGATTACAGGCATGCACCACCACTAGTCTCGCGACGTTTTAATTAGAATTTTAGAATTAGAGGAGGGCTTAGAACTCTGCCCTCATTTTTCAGTGAGGAAACTGCCCGAGACAGGACAAATACTTACTTACCCTAATGCTTAGCCTGGCTCCAGTGAAATTAGCTCCCCAGCCAAAGCTGAGCTGGATGGAACTAACAAGGACACACCTGCTGTCCCCAGCCCTTTCGGGAGGTGGGGAGGGATAGGAAGGAGAAAGGTTTTGGTGCCTATTGCTGCTGATGGTGGGCATCAGGCCAGGCCAGGGGCCTTCTTGGAGGCTCTGGGAAAGGGGAAGGGAAGGCCACCGGGTGTGAGAGAGAGGGCACTTGTCTCCTTCAAGGCTGATGGAAGGTAGGATATGTGAGTCCTTCCTCTTAAGTGGCAGGAAACAGTATTTTCT
The DNA here is from genome assembly GCF_000001405.40 of Homo sapiens. NCBI lineage: Eukaryota > Metazoa > Chordata > Mammalia > Primates > Hominidae > Homo > Homo sapiens. The sequence continues at coordinate 64,855,245 of NC_000017.11, read as the reverse complement.
CTTTTATTTCTTTTTTTTTTTCCCCTGGATCCTAGAACTGAGGAAACACTATTTTCTCATCTTACTGGTTTTTGGGCCCCTACTCTATTCCTTTTATGCAAACCTCACAGAATTTTAACCAGAAAGGCCAGGCAGGATGGCTCATGCCTGTAATCACAGCACTTTGGGATCACTTGAGGTTAGGAGCTCGTGACCAGCCTGACCAACATGGTGAAAGCCCATCTCTACTAAAAATACTAAATTAGCTGGGTGTGGTGGCGCAGGCCTGTAATCCCAGCTACTTGGGAGGCTGAGGCAGGAGAACTGCTTGAAGCCAGGAGGCGCAGGTTGCAGGGAGCCACGATAGCACCATTGCACTCCAGCCTGGGGAATGAGCCAAACTATCTGGCTTAAAGATATGTACAAACCTCTCAGTGCCACAAGAGTAAATAATCACACATGGAAGCTGCACAAGAAGTCATCTAATGAGGACAAGATCCTCAACAGGGACCCTGGGTAAATGACGGGGCCCTCACAGTTCCCATCTAAAATGAGGAGGGGGTGAGAAGCTTAATTGCTCCTTTCAAGAATCAAAACCTTGGCATTGTTATTCTTATCCCAGGGACAGCGAAGCCCCAACGGAGGAGGAGAGTGAAGCCCTGCCATAGGAGGAGAACCCAGCCCACCTCAGGCCTCCTGCAAAAATACATAGCGTAAACAACGGCCATCAAAAAAGCAGGACTGAAGCCAGCGGCCCACACATCCACAGAGGCAGCGGGCAGAGCAAGCACAGGGCCATCGTTCCTGCCCTTGTTTCCCAGTCTAATTAGTCACCCAGACCTGAAAACATATGCTCAGGGGGTGGAGATTTTACAATTAAATAACATTGTTTTTGGTGCCCTCTCCCTTGGTTCATCAAGCACCAGTCATATAATACCACATACTTGAACTCCTGCCCACAGGGGACCTCCCATCTCCTGGCCCCTATCATAGGATCACTGGGCCTACCTGCACTGTGGGGCCAAGCCCTGTCTTTTTCCCAAGCCCTCAAGCACACGCATGAATGTTCATCCCGACTTGGTAGGGGGCTTTTCACCCTTACAAGATGGCAAAAGATTCACATTGCTTTTTTTAAAATGTGTTTTTCTTTTTAAAAATCCCAACCCTTGGATAGCAGGGAGGTGCTGGAGGGGTACAGTCAAGAAGAATGTGTAAGAACAGTAATTTCCCAAGACTGCCCTCTGAGGGACTGTATTTCAGAAAACACACTGGTGGGGCTACCTCTCCATTCACATGTACTGCCCTAGCCTCTCCCCATCCCCGGCTGATGCACATCCATAACTGCACTGTTCCATAACAGCAGTAGCATGTTGCAGAAAGCACTAGGATTCCTCCACTCCATCTTCAAAGAAAAAGTCACTAATAAATCACATTTGGTAGGTTAGTGAACGTTAAACACATTAGTGAGCAAAAGAAAATAGGAATGAACAAGAATTGGTCATCTACCTAACTGAACACAAATGAACTCTGGCAGTTCGGTAATAGGAGGTAAAGAACCGTGCTAATTGCAGAACAGCAGCCCCCCTACCTTCCCAGGAGCAGTGTGACTGGGAAGCAGCCCCGTGTGTATGCTGGTGCAGGTTCTAAGCAAAGTGAGCTGCCCATCAGTTCCGATGAGTTTGCTGATGCTAGACATATGACATCTAGACATATGACATCTGTTCTCTTGCTGCCTGCCCCAGTTATCTCCCAAAGTTCTTTACTGAGAATGAAAAGCATATTTCTCTGTGTGGTGACTTCAGTAGGCCAACAAATATTTGAGTTTAAAGCACAAGACTAAATAGTCATAGGCAGAGTAGCGCTACCATTTACAATTTGCTTACTTGATGCTAAACCGTGGGTTAGGCATTTTACAGTCACATCATCTAGCCCAGCAATTCATGGAAGCATAGTTGTTAAAATCATCTGACACTTTGGGAGGCTGAGGCGGGCGGATCACGAGGTCAGGAGATCGAGACCATCCTGGCTAACATGGTGAAACCCTGTCTCCACTAAAAATACAAAAAAATTAGCCGGGTGTGGTGGCAGGAGCCTGTAGTCCCAGCTACTCGGGAAGCTGAGGCAGGAGAATGGTGTGAACCTGGAAGGTGGAGCTTGCAGTGAGCCAAGATCACGCCACTGCACTCCAGCCTGGGCAAGAGAATGAGACTCCATCTCAAAAAAAAAAAAAAAAATCATCATCTGACAGATAAGGATACAGGGCTCAAAGAACGTAGGTGAGCTGCCCAAAGTGTCCAAAGCCACACATCCAAAGCAACAAATTAGGGTTTTAAGCTAGCACTGTTAGACTTCAAAGCCTCTTAACCATTCTACTGCCCTGCTGTAGGGCTTAGGTAGTTGGGGGGATAAGCCATGGTTGCCATCAAAGAGTTAATATAACAATAACATGCAGATGGTGAGGATGATGGCAGCTGCTGTTTATTGGCACCAGCTGTGGTCCAGGTACAGCGCTAAGCACTTTAATTACACTGTTAAGTCATCAGGACAGAAGCTCCCCACACCAGCTCTAATAGGGGTGAGTGTTGGACATAAGCAGGGAGCTGACAAGAAGCCAAGACAAGGCCGGGTGCAGTGACTCATGCTTGTAATCCCAGCACTTTGGGAGGCTGAGGTAGGTGGACCACCTGAGGCAGGAGTTCAAGACCTCCCTGGCCAACATGGCAAAACCCTGTCTCTACTAAAAATTACAAAAATTAGCTGAGGGTGGTGATGCACGCCTGTAACACCAGTTACTCAGGAAGCTGAGGGAGAGAGAATTGCTTGAACCTGGGAGGCGGAGCTTGCAGTGAGCTTATAATGGGCCACTGCACACTAGCCTGGGCAACAGAGTGAGATCCCATCTCAAAAAAAAAAAAGCCAACACTAGAGATCCTTGCACTGCTGGGCTCTCAAAGTCTGGATTCCAAGCACCTCCAGGTTTCTATTTTGGCATATTTACATAATTTCACATTTCGATGCTTATAATTTTTTTATATAACAAGAAAATTTTATGCATCTCAAATGTGTACATTTTTTTTTTCAGACAGGGTCTTGATCTGTCACCCAGGGTGGAGTGCAGTGGTGCTTCATAGCTCACTGCTGCTTCAAGCTCTTGGGCTCCAAAGATCCTCCTACCTCAGCCTCCAGAGCTGGGGGTCTACAGGCGCGTACCACCATGCCCAGCTACAATTCTTATTATTCCCAAATGCCACCCCACCATATTTCTAAAAACTCCCAAAGTAAGATTCTACTTTGCCCAGTTTGTCCTCAATTGAGCAGTTTTGTCTAAGCCCAGAGTTTCTGCTGGGCCAGAGTATGGATGAGCTGTCTCTCCCTGGCTGGTGCCCATGTCCGCCTGTAGCCTGGGAGGGGGAGTGGCGCCCAGGGTCAGGTGGAACAAAACATGACTGCCTAGGGCTCCCTCTGTCTCCATCTCACTGATTGCAAATCACAGACAGCCAGCTCTTAAGTGAGACCTGAGTGCCAGAGAGAGGTGGATACAAGGCCAACAGTTACTAAATGAATGAAAATTGTGATTCCGATGAAGCCTGCCAGAGAAATAGAGCATTTTTTAAAAGATGGAAATAAGGTGGTATCTGATTAGGGCAAACATGATGCAGACAAGAAATGCACTGGTTCAGAGGAGGGAAGGTCAGGCCGCCTGGGGAGAGTCCATGAAAAAGATGGAATGTGCCAGATGCTGTGCCTGGTGCTGGGAAAGAGTTGACTAGGCCAGCATCCCTTTCCTCAAAGGGGGGTGGCTCCTAGACTGGGGGGAGGGTTGGACATCTGAATACATCCCGAGGAGACAGTGTGGGACAGCATGGTGGCAGTGGAGCCAGCCGTGGTTCTGCTCTTGGTCGGCTGGAAAGGAGTAGATGTAAGGGATGGTTTAGAAGAAGGGAAGTGGAAGAAAAGTTTTCTGAGCTGACAAGAGGAAGGAAAGGCCTTCTAGAAGGACACTAAAAAGGCAGAGAAGCCCTAAGCAGAGTGAGCACCAGACTCCACAGGTTAAGGGCTCTGTCACACAGGACCATCCCCATGTCAGACCCCAGGTGCAAGGCCAAGCATCACCTATGCATCTGACCAACTGGCTATAAATTGGAGGTCCCCACAACTCCCTCCTCAGGTTTGAACATTTGCTAAAACAGCTCATGGAACCCAGGAAAACAGTTTTCTTACTATTGCTGATTTATTACAAAGGATATTTTAAAGGACACAAATGATGAAGCCAGATGAAGAGATACACAGGGTGACGTCTGGAAGGGTCCTTGTGGAGTTGGGGTGCACCACTCTCCTGGAACATGGATGTGTTCGCCAACCCGGAAGCTCTCCAAGTCCTGTCTTTTAAGGAGTTTTCTGGAGGCTTTATCACGTAGGCATGATTGAGCTCCAGCTCCACTCCCCACCCCAGAGGATGGGGAATGGGGCTGACAGCACAACACTTCCAACCATAGGTCTTTTTGGTGACCAGTCCCCAAATAAGGAGCCCACCAAGAGTCACCTCATGAGAACAAAGGACGCTTCTATCACCCAGAAAATTCCAAGGGATTTAGGAGCTCTGTGTCAGGAACCAGGTTTAAGGACCAAATGTTAGAACAAAAGATGTGCAACCATAAAAAACAGCGAGATCATGTCTTTTGCAGGAACACAGATGGAGCTAGAGGCCATTATCCTCAGCAAACTAAGACAGGAACAGAAAACCAAATACTGTATGTTCTTATAAGTGGGAGCAAAATAATGAGAACTCATAAACAATAGACACTGGGCCCTACCTGAGGGTGGAGGGTGGGAGGAGGGAGAGGAGCAGAAAAAACTATTGGGTACTAGGCTTGGTACCTGGGTGATGAAATAATCTGTACAACAAACCCCCATGACACAAGTTTAGCTATATAACGAACGTGCATATGTACCCCCTAACCTAAAAGAAAAGTTTAAAAAGGAAAAAACACCTAGGAGAAAAGAAAAATGATAAACTAACAAAGGACAATGCTCTTAGCACTGCCATCATTCAGGAATTTTCAAGGGTTTTGGGAGCTTTGTGTTAGGAACTGGGGGCAGAGACCAAATATATATTTCTTCTTATGTTACACTACCCCAGATAGGAAAACAGAAATTACTCTAGATATTTCAAACAAAAAAGGGTTGTATATAGGCAATTAGTGCTTATCACTGGAGGGGCTAGAGGTGGTGAAGGTTGTGGGGATGGGGTTGCACCACTGGCTTTCAGGCTACTTTACCACAGCTGATTTCCAGAGGATGGAAGAAGTCAGGAAACTTGGGAAACTGCTGCTGAGGTCCTTGCAGCCCCACGGTCCCCAGGCTGGTGACTGGTGGGGGAGTATGGAGTCCAGCTGACCACCAGAGCCTGCACACCTGCTGCTATGGGGGAGGAAAGGATGACTTCTACCTCCTTTCCACATCCCAAATTCCACGTGACTACATTTTATTGGCAGCACCCCGCTGGCAAGCGAGCCTTGATGTGTGCTTCCTGGGCTTCTGGCACCTGCACAGAAAGGGGTGAAATGAGTGTCACGAGCAGCCACCACTCTGCATCACACCTCCACATCCAGGTGTGCTGGAGAGCCCCACTTACACTTGGAGGTGTCCTGGCACACTAACCCACTTTTGGTAGGTGTTTGGGTGTCCAAGGCTTTGCAAAAGAAGAAGGCGGGGAGTCTACGGTGGAGTCACATGGTGGAGACCTAGCTAAGTCAGAGGCCTGGAGAGGTGTCACTAGCTGGGCAGCAGGTAACACACAATCATCCTGAGCTGATTGGAGAAACACCTGGGATTGATTCAGAGATTTTTCTGGAATGTTTTCACTGGAATGAAAGCTGAGCGGTCTACAGGCCATATAGTATTGGAGACAACTTAGCCCTCATTGAAAAAGTCTGCCAGAGAAAAGGTATCCACAGGGAAATTCAGGAGTTTTGTTTGTTTTTTCTTTTTTTTTTTTTCTTTTAAGGTGGAGTTTTGCTCTTGTTGCTCAGTCTGGAATGCAATGGCACGATCTCAGCTCACTGCATCCTCTGCCTCCTGGGTTCAAGCAAGTCTCCTGCCTCAGCCTCCCTAGTAGCTGGGGTTACAGGCATGCACCACCATGCCCGGCTAATTTTTGTATTTTTAGTAGAGACGGGGTTTCCCCATGTTGGTCAGGCTGGTCTCAAACTCCTGACCTCAGGTAATCCACCCGCCCTGGCCTCCCAAAGGGCTGAGATTACAGGTGCGAGCTACCACGCCTGGCTTGTTTTGGGTTTTGGGGTTTTTTTGTGTTTTGTTTGTGTGTTTGTTTGTTTTTGGAGACAGTCTCTGTCACCCAGGCTGGAGTGCAGTAGCGTGATCTCGGTTGACTGCAACCTCTGCCTTCCAGGTTCAAGTGATTCTCCTGCCTCAGCCTCCCGAATAGCTGGGATTACAGGCGCCCACCACCATGCCTGGCCAATTTTTTTTTTTCTAAAAACAGTTTCAGCATGTTGGCCAGGCTAGTCTTGAACTCCTGACCTCAAGTGATCCACTCACCTTGGCCTCCCAAAGTGCTGGGATTACAGGCATGAGTCACTGTGCCCCGCCAGGAAATTCAGTTTCTGAAAATACACCTGTGGATCTCTAGCCTTGAACATCCTTGGATGCTGCTTTAAATGACTGATCCTCGATGCCTCCCTTCTAACTCACACTCCCCTATATCAATCTCCCAGAAAAAGGGACCTCTTTTATTCTTTTTTTTTTTTTTTTTTCCAGAGACGGGCCTCACTTTGTTGCCCAGGCTGGTTTTGAACTCCTGGCCTCAAGTGATCCTCCCGCCTTGGTCTCTCAAGGTACTGGGATTACAGGTGGGAGTCCCCGCACCCAGCAAAGCCTGTATTAAACCCGTTTATGCACACTCGGCGGTACTGCAGAAACGGCAGGGAGGAAGCAGAGGTGCCCTGACATCTTCAGCTGGAGGTGAGCAGGGCGCTGAGGGTGGGAGAGGCCCGGCGCCTGGGGATGGGAGGCAGGACAGCACCTTCACAGGGACGCTTCCACCCTACCCCGGAGGTCAGGGCCTCTCGCCCAGCTCTGGCTCTGAGGTCCTGGAGGGAGGGAGATGCTGTTGCGACTCAGAAGATTGGGGGAGGGACACCCCCATTCGAGAAGAGTGAAAATCCTGAGCCTGAAGAAATGGAACCGGTTGGAGCCTAGGCTTTAGAGGATGGCGTTCGAAAGAGGGTTTGGCGCCCCCCTGTGGACCGTTCGGGCTCGCAGGGCCGAAGGCTCCGAAGACTGAGACCTGTGAACCATGGGGAGGCTCCATGCGGATGCGGGCCACAGCCCCCGCCGGAGCCCCCACACTAGCCCTGGACTTCTCCACTGGCTTACGACATGAGAGCTCAATATGCTCCTTATTTAACGCACTGTTGTATCAGGTCCCTGTGGGAGCCACTGGCTCTATGGCCTAATAAAGGAGCGGGTGCACGCACTGGATTGGTGAGCTACCGCCACTGCAACGCGTCCTAATCAACCATCCTAAACGGCGGCTGGAACAAGGTTCTCGCAGGCCTGTGCTTGGGCTTGAACGCTGGTCCAGCCGCTGCGCTCTGTGGCTCCCTGTAGGCCTGCGGATCAGCCAGGGGCCTCCGTTCCTTTTGGGCGGAGGCTGAAGAAGCAGCGGCTGCACCAGAGAAGGCCCTCTGGGTGAAGGTGGGAGCGCACGGGGCCCGCGGAACCACCTAAGGCGACTTCAGACGTGGGCTCGGAACTGGCAGCCTTTGGTTTCTGCTTCATTCCAAGGCCAGAGCAATCCACATGGGCAAACCCAAAGCCAGGGGACAGGAAAGTATCCTCCACCCACAACGAAACCATGGCAAGCGGTGGATGCAGGTACCGCCAATAGTCTATCTATCCCGGTGAGTGAGGAGACCTGCTTTGAGGGTTGCACAACCTGGATCTGCTTTTACAGTGGTGTCTATCACTATGAAGACTCCACCATGGGTCGCCATCAGGTCAGGGACCCTGACAAGGCAAGAACTGCATCTTCCTCTGCACACAGCTCTGCTCCCTTCCCCGCCATGCCTAACACCAAGCCCAGCCCTGAGGGATGACTCAGGAATATTACTGAGAGCGTTTTAGGCCATTCCTTCATTATCCCCATGTGACTTGTTATGAAATATAGACTGACTTCCTGAAGATCAGCACATAGTGCTAAGTATTTGGCTTGTAATCTGTAGAGACTCTGCCATTTGGAGCTGGGATCTGTCCCCAGAGCTGTCAGACACCAAATCCCGTATCTACTGCCACCCAAAGGGACCTCCAGAAGAAAGGGGTTATACAGGGTCAAACACCAAGGCAGGTTAGTGAAATTTCTCTAGAGGCCATTTAAAGCTGGAGTCTCACCACCTGAATTGCCCTCAGAGGAAGGCTGTCTAGGGCACAAACCTAGTCAGGGGTCCACATGGACTTAAGGACAATTTTTTTTTTTTTTTTTTTTTTGAGAAACTCTCATTCTGTCATCAAGGCTCGAGTACAGTGGTGTGAACTCAGCTCACTGCAAGTCTCAACCTCCTGGGCTCAGGTGAGTAGCGGGAACCACAGCCTCCCACCTCAGCCTCCCGAGTAGCGGGAACCACAGGCTCATGCCACGATGCCCAATTAATTTTCTTTTAAATTTTTTGTAGAGATGAGGTCTCCCCGTGTTGCTCAGTCTAATCTTGAACTCCTGGACTCAAACGATCCTCCTGCCTCTGCTCCTCAAAATCCTGGGACTACAGGTGTGAGCCAACGCACCTGGCCTCTTAAGAATAATTTTAAAAACAATGAGGTTCACCGTCAGAGCCCCTGCTGCTCTACCAAGTCCCTTGGCCCCTCTCAACAGGGCAAAAGCAAGATGAGCCCCAGATGTTCTGCTTAATGACCACCTTTCCCAGGAGACTTTGCTCTTTAAAGGAGAACCACTTAGAGATATGAGCAACCTTAAAGAATGCCACCAGCACTAGTGAATGCCAGACACGGGCCATGTGGGTGGAGAGTATATTTTAGGGCAGTCACTCATGGTAAATTATTTCCACCAGCCCCCAGAAGTGACTATTCAATGTCCAACTATGTCAGGCCCAGGCTAATAAAAGTAGAGGCATGAGGAACCTAGGGTTGTTCTGAAGTGCCTTGATTATGGTATATGTGGAAGATTTTAGAGCTTGTTGTAAAAAGTGATGACCCATGGCCCCCCAGGCTGGGTCTGGGATTGCCTTTGTGGATTACAAGAGGATATTATGCAGCAGTTTTTAAAAATGAGGCAGACTGGGACAATCTATCTCCAAGATGCATAGGTGCCGTTAAGGGAACAAAGCAAGATTTAGTAGGGCGTGTATAGTATGCTACTGTGCGCTGTGCGTTATCTGTACAGAACTGTGAGGTCTGATACAGTAGCCACTAGCCACATATGGCTATTTACATATAAATTTAGGTTGGCCACAGTAGCTCATGCCTGTAATCCTAGCACTTTGGGAGGCCAAGTGGGAGGATAGCTTGAGGCCAATAGTTCAAGAACACCCTGGGCAACATAGTGAAACCCCTTTTCTACAAAAAATTTATTTATTTATTTATTTTTATTTTTTTTGAGACGGGTCTCACTCTGTCACCCAGGCTGGAGTGCAGTGGCGCAGTCTCAGCTTATTACAACATCTGCCTCCTGGGTTCAGCGATTATCGTGCCTCAGCCTCCAAGTAGCTGGGACTACAGGCACGCACCACCATGCCCAGCAAATTTTTGTATTTTTGGTAGAGACAAGGTTTCGCCATGTTGGCCAGGCTGGTCTCGAACTCCTGACCTCAGGTGATCTGCCCGCCTCAGCCTCCCAAAGTGCTGAGATTACAGGCATGAGCCACTGCGCCCAGGCAAAAAATTTAAAATTGTAAAAATCAGCCAAACATGGTGGCATTCATCTGTAGTCCCAGCAACTTAGGAGGCTGAGGTGGGAGGATTTCTTGAGCCCAGGAGGTCAAGGTTGCAGTGACCTATGACTGCACCACTGCACTCCAGCCTGGACAACAGAGTGAGGCCCTGTCTCAAAAAATAAATAAATAGGAGTTTGAGGCCATGTTCACACATCACTGCAGTCCAGTCTGGTAAACAGAGCAAGACACTGAGTCTTTAAAAAAAAAAAAATTTTTTTTTAAATTCAGCTCCTAAGACACACTAGCCACATATCAAGTGCTCAACTGCCCCGTGTGGCTAATGGCTTCCAAACTGGCAGCACAGGCAACTGTTTTCATCACTGAAGTTCTGTTGGACAAGAATACCTCTGGAAGCACACACGAGAAACTGGTAATGGCGGTTGCCTTCGGGGAGGGAAACTGGGAGAGTGCAGGGCTGTATGCCCTTTTGTACCTCTTGAATTTCATATCATGTGTTTGTACTAGGTGTTTACAAATTATTTTAAAAACATACTGGGAATTAGGAATCCCCGTATGGAATCACTGCAGTGGGACACTGATTCCCAAAAAATTACTTTGCAATTTGCCTAAAACAAATTAAGCTAATAGCTATCATGATTTCATATTTAATATTTTTTCCCAGCTTAGAGTTTTTTTTAGCTCCTGTTGCTATCTCTCTGCTCTTATGAGCTCACAGGGTGACAAAGTGAATTAGTAAGTAGCAGGAGAACATTAAAGGAAAAACTCCTGGGCAACAGGGTAAAACGCCGGCTCTACAGAAAATACAAAACATTAGCCAGGCATGGTGGCATGCACCTATGGTCTTAGCGACTTGGGAGGCTGAGGTGGGAGGATCGCTTGAGCCCGGAAGGCGGTAACTCAATCCCAGCAGAATCCCAGGGAGCGAAAGTGGCTCATCCCAAAGGAAAAACAAGAAGGAAATTATATTACCAGAAGACAAAGGGATGAAATGAGGGATGGAGAATCAAAGACTGAAGCTACTAGGGTTTGTTTTTATTAATATTTAATTTTTTCAGAGGCGAGGGTCTCACTATGTTGCCCAGGCTGGTCTTGAACTCCTGGCCTCAAGCAATCCTCCTGCCTGAGCCTTCCAAGTTGTTGGGATTACAGATATGAGCCACTGCATCCAACTTTGGTTTTTGTTTGTTTGTTTTGTTTTGTTTTGTTTTTTTGACAGAGTTTTGCTGTGCCACCCAGGCTGGAGTGCAGTGACTCAGCCTCGGCTCACTGCAGCCTTGACCTTCTGGCCTCAAGTGATCCTCCCGCCTCAGCGCCACCCCCCACTGCCCTCCAATATCTGGGACTACAGGTGCGCGTGACTGCACACGGCTAATTTTTAAATTTTTTGTAGAGATAGGGTTTCGCTATGTGGCTCAGGCTGGTCTCCAACTCCTGGACTAAGCGATCTGCCTGCCTTGGCCACCTCCCAAAGTGTGAGCCACCGTGCCCACCCATTGAACATTGAAGCTAGACTGGGCAAACCCTTAAGCCTAAACCAGTAACAGTTTTTCACAGGTTCATAGATGTTACTGTGGTTAATAACACACAAATTCATTTAAAAGCATGTGTGTCCGCATAGTAATTTTTGGTCCTTATTTTTATTTTTATTTTTCAGTTAATGGATATTAAAGATACAACTTTATTTTCTTTTTTTTTGAGACAGGGTCTCACTCTGTCGCCCAGGCTGGAGTGCAGTGGCATGATCAGAGCTCATTGCAACCTCCACCTCCTGGGTTCAAGAGATTCTCCTCCCTCAGCTTCCTGAGTAGCTGGGATTGCAGGTACATGCAACCACACCTGGCTAATTTTTGTACTTTTTGTAGAGATAGGGTTTTACCATGTTGCTCAGGCTGGTTTTGAACTCCTGAGCTCAAGTGATCCACCTGCCTCGGCCTCCCAAACTGCTGGGATTACACACGTGAGCCACCACACCCGGCCTAAAGATATAATTTCTATCATGAGGAGGTCCAAGAACTATTCTCTTTTTCTTTTTTTAATGTTAGAAAGGGATTCTTAACTGAGTATGTGCTGCAGCAAAGGGAGGGGAAATTAAGCAAGAAGAGAAGGGAGCCAGGAAATAAAGGCCCCAACCCAGGAAGCAGTTAAGCAAAGTTCCAGGATGACCACATGTGACAAGTTTAGGGGATAACTTGAGCACATGGAGGACAGAACTTGGAGAGGGCACTGTGGGCCTGGGCGCCACCTGCTCCGCCAGAGCACTGGAAGAGAACAAGGGCACGATAATGGCAGATGGCACTGAAAGAAAAGGAGAGCTTGAGGCACCCTTGGGGGAAGCAGCCATCATCATCAGAGTGTATTTTATTTTTATTTTATTATATTTTGAGATAGAGTCTCACTCTGTTGCCCAGGCTGGAGTGCAGTGGCATGATCTCAGCCCACTGCAACCTCCACCTCCCAGGTTCAAGTGATTCTCTGCCTCAGCCTCCCAAGTAGCTGAGACTACAGGGGGGCACCACCACACCCGGCTAATTTTTGTATTTTTAGTAGAGATGGGGTTTCTCCATGTTGGCCATGTTGGTCTTGAACTCCCGACCTCAGGTGATCCGCCCACCTTGGCCTCCCAAAGTGCTGGGATTACAGGCATGAGCCACCATGCCTGACCTCACAGCACATTATTAAGCTCTGTGGTGAATAATATTTATATAGTCACAATTCTGTAAACATGGTTCATTTTCTACAAATTGTGGCATACCCAAACCTCAAGAATGGACAGGGCTGGGGTGTAAAAGAGCTAAGTCCTTGCCAGGTTTACCAGGAAGGCAACAGACAGTGTCTAAAACTATGAGACAGCTGGGCGCGGTGGCTCACGCCTGTAATCCCAGCACTTTGGGAGGCCAAGGCGGGTGGATCACGTGAGGTCAGGAGTTTGAGATCAGGCTTGACAACATGGTGAAACCCCGCGTCTACTAAAAATATCAAATTCGCTGGGCATGGTGGCAGGTGCCTGTAATCCCAGCTAGTAGGGAGGCTGAGGCAGGAGCATTGCTTGAACCCAGGAGGCGGAGGTTGCAGTGAGCCAAGATGGCACCACTCCAGCCTGGGTGACAGAGCGAGACTGTGTCTCAAAAAAATAATAAAATACAAACAATGAGACGTGCAGGAGATGTGGGGAGAAGCACCAGAAGATTCTGCTGAAAGCCTGCTCCCCAGAAGGGTGGGAACAATGGGGACAATGAACTGCTGTTGTTCGTTATGTTTCATCCCCATTCCGTTTCATTTTATTGAATTGTAAACCGTGTGTATAACAACACTTTTTAATCAATTTTTTAAAAAAGAGAGAGTGGAAAGAAACCGCTTCCTACAACAGAACTGAAGAGCACACCAGTGATTCCAGTGTCCAGAGAGGAGGGTGCATTAACATTAGTTTTATTATTTCAATCAGACGCCAAGCAAGAATATATCTGGGGTTCAGACAAGAAAGGCTCTCATTCAGGTGCTTACAAGAGCAATGGAAGGCAAGGACCTGCCCAATTGGCAGGGTGAAAATTAGCCACAACTAGAATAATAACAACTGTTCATCTTTGAGCACTTACTACAGGCCAGAACTTGCATTAAGGATATCATCTTTTTCTTTTCTTTTTTTCTTTTCTTTTTTTTTTTTTTTTTTTGTTGTTGTTGTTGTTTTGGAACAGAGTCTCACTCTGTCATGTAGGCTGCAGTGCAGTGGCGCAATCTCAGCTCACTGCAACCTCAGCCTCCCAGCTTCAAGCGATTCTTGTGCCTCAGCCTCACAAGTACCTGGGACTACAGGCATGAACCATCATGCCTGGCTAATTTTTGTATCTTTGGTAGAGATGGGGTTTCACCATGTTGGCCAGGCTGGTTTCGAACTCCTGGCCTCAAGTAATCCACCCACCTCAGCCTCCCAAAGTTATGGGATTACAGGCGTGAGCCACTGTGCCCAGCCAGGATATCATGATATTTACTCCTCACATCAACTGACATTAGCCCCTATTTACAATGAGGAACTGAGGCTCAGAGAGGTTTTGGCACTTGCCTGAGGTCACACACTCTGGGCTCTCTGCTTGGGGCTGAGGACCAAGAGGCGGTGTGACTTACTTCTCTTTCCTGAACATCAATAAAATTCAATTTAGAAATTTCTGTCTTCACTGCTATCTCAACGGGCCTGTGAAAAATGCTGATTTGGTGGCAGCTGTCAGCTGTCTTAGCCCCATACTCATTGGGTTGCCCTGGGCCCCACACTGTTTTAAGGAAGTCCCAGCAAACAATATGGGATAGAGATGAGATTCAAACCTAAACAGCCCTGGCTCTAAAACCCACTGAACAAAGCTGAAACTAGAATCAGAAAGAACTAGGTAAGAATCCTACTTCTAGCACTTAATACTTCTGTGGCTGTGGCTCCCCCGCAAGTTACTTAACCTCTTTTTTTTTTTTTTTTTTTTTTTTTTAAGAGATGAAGTCTCGCTCTGTCACCAGGCTGGAGTGCAGTGGCGTGATCTCGGTTCACTGCAACCTCTGCCTCCTGGGTTCAAGCGATTCTCCTGCTTCAGCCTCCCAAGTAGCTGGGACTACAGATGCGCGCTACCACACCCAGCTAATTCTTTGTATTTTTAGTAGAGACAGGGTTTCACCATGTTGGCCAGGATGGTCTGGATCTCTTGATCCACCCACCTCGGCCTCCCAAAGTGCTGGGATTACAGGCGTGAGCCACTGCACCTGGCCACTTAACCTCTTTTAAGCCTATTTTCTCATCCATACAATGGAGATAATGGCAGCACCCACCTTTCAGGTGGCTGGTAAGGCATATTAGGTGAACACAGGTGCCTATGTAGGTTCTTCCATTTTCCATAAATGTTAATTCCCTTATCCCTCATCTCCTAGGTTAGTCCCGGAGGACAGACTTGAACTTTGAAAACAGAAAGTAACTGCCAAAAGGGATTATTTAGGGCACAGATTCCCCCCTTTCATTATCCTTTAGGTCCTCAGTGTGAGGGCAGGGGACAGGAGCGGTGGGGTCAAGCCCAAATTCTTGGACCTCATCCTAGAGTGACTCTTTAGGGTTAGTGTGGGGCTTAGGAATCTGCATTTTGGACCTGTCCCCAGGGCATTCTGATGCCTACAGTTCTCCTGTCTGGCTTTGAATAACGCTGGGTAGTGCTTTAAATCTAAGCTGACAGACCAGTGGGATGTGAACCATCCTTGCAAATGGTTTGAGCCCTTTCTGCACTGGCCTCCAACTTTGCCTTGCTCAGTCTTCAGCTCCCCTTCCATTCTGGCCCTCTCCCCTTCCCCTTTCCTTTTTCACTTCCTTTTATTTTTATTTATTTTTATTATTATTAAAAAAATTTTTTTTGAGACAGGATCTCACTCTGTCGCCCAGGCTGTAGTGCAGTGGCATTATCTTGGCTCACTGCAATCTCCGCCTCCCGGGTTCAAGCAATTCTCATACCTCAGCCTCCTTAGTAGCTGGGACTACAGACGCACACCACCACACATGGCAAATTTTTGTATTTTTAGTAGAGATGGACTTTCACCATGTTGGCCAGGCAGGTCTCGAACTCCTGACCTCAAGTGATCCACCAGCTTCAGCCACCCAAAGTGCTGGGATTACAGGCATGACCCACCGCGCCCAGCCTCCTTTTTCACTTCCCACCTTCCTCCCCACCTCTGGGTGCACCCTTCCCTGAGCTCAGCCTGTATTCCTATCTGCTGGCCACTTACCAGCCAGTCCCTTCAGCTGCAATACCCTTTACTCACCTAGAAAGCTCATATCAAAAGTAGCCTCCTCCAGAATACCTCTCAAGTTCTCCTCTCTGGTCCCTTGGCCCTTTGCAGGTACCTTTTTTCTTGCGCAAGTCACATGATAATGTAAGGGTTTTTTTTTTTTTTTTTTTCCCTATCTGGAGCCTGCCTGGTGGGCTCAGGGTCCATTTGTGCAAACATGCATTTCCCTCTCCTCCGCCCCCCTCCTTCATGATCCATGCTTTATGCAGCTTCCCCAAGGCATGCAGAGCAAGCTGAGAAGAGGTAGACAAGCCTGCAGACTTTTCAAAGAAGCAGGGTAGCTTGGGAGGTAAGAGAAGACCAGGAGATAGGGGCTCCTAAAAAGCAGACAAGAGATTACCGGGGGGTTCCCCACACTCCAGCACACAGCCGCTGCACAAAAATGCAGTGGAATTACTGAGGGACATTATGTGCTTGATGGGGGGGGACAGGGAATGCTTGTGCCAAGCCACCAAGGATCATGCTGTGCCAGTTGTATACTATCGTTTTGCCAAGGTGAAAGGATTTCCCTACTAAATCCCTTACTTTCCACTTTGTTTAAAATGAGTTTAACACCGAGAGAATAGTTTGTCTCTATGTCCTTATTTCTAATCTTCCTGCTCAACCATTAACTGCACTAAACACACTCAGACCCATCTAGTCTAAAATTGAGAAGGGGAGGTTCTCACTCCTGGAGAGAGAATTACTGAAAGGGCGGCCCTCATACAGTCCAGGGTCATACCCCCAAGTGCTGGTTTTATACTTGAAAGCAGACAGTGGGACTCTGACCTTTGCAGAGATAAGAGGGACACCTTCCTACCCAGAGAAGCCAAAAGAGCACAGGACGCCCAGGCCGAGGGCAGTGAAGCTTGCTTCCAAGAACTGGCCCGTTCCCCAGCCAACCCCTGTGCCCACTTACGACTGGCATGTAGCAGTACCTCTCCTCATCCACACTCAGGCCCTAGGCTCCCAATTGACCAAAGCCTGCAAGTATAAAGTGTCCAGAGCATGGGTCCCTGCCAACACTCCCTGCCCTGCTCTTCACTACCTGTGGCCACCACTTATGACATTTTGTTCCGAGTTCATCTGAAAGAGAAATGTCACTTTTGCGTTAGAAAGAAGATATACAGGCCAGGTGTGGTGGTTCATGCCTGTAATCCCAGCACTTTGGGAGGCCGAGTCAGGAGGATCGCCTGAGGCCAGGAGTTGGAGACCAGGCTAGGTAACACAGTGAGACCCTGTCTCTACAAAATAAATAAATTTTTTTAAAAATGAAAAGATTGGCCGGGCGCGGTGGCTCACGCCTGTAATCCCAGCACTTTGGGAGGCCGAGGCGGGTGGATCACCAGGTCAGGAGATCGAGACCATCCTGGCTAACACGGTGAAACCCCATCCTACTAAAAACATAAAAAAATTAGCCGGGCGTGGTGGCGGGCTCCTGTAGTCCCAGCTACTCGGGAGGCTGAGGCAGGAGAATGGCGTCGACCCAGGAGGCGGAGCTTGCAGTGAGCCGAGATCGCGCCATTGCACTCCAGCCTGGGCGACAGAGCCAGACTCCGTCGCAAAAAAAAAAAAAAAAAAAAGAAGAAGAAAAAATTAGCTGGGCGTGGTGGTGCACGCCTGTAGTCCCAGCTGCGTGGAGGCTGAGGTGGGAGAACCGCTTAGTCCGTGAGGTCAAAGCTGTGGTGAGCCGTGATCGTGCCACAGCACTCCAGTCTGGGCGACAGAGTGAGACCCTGTCCCAAAAAAAAAAAAAAAAAAACAGAAAGGAAGAAAGAAATCCTCTACACGGGCTAGAAGAGAATAACCAGACCCCTAAGCTTCAAGCCAGGCGGTGCTAATGGGCGAGTTACACACGGGAGTGTGCCCAAGGGGACCTCAAGGCGTTCCCTTGGGATAAAGTGTGGTCAAAACAGCTGTGTTTATCCTGAAAGCGCAACGCGGAGGCTCCAATTTGGGCCCGGGCTCCGCCCCACGGGCTGCACTGCTGCCCTCGGAGAGGCAAAGATAGGGCAGGCGTTATTAGTCCCACTCACAAGTGGGAACTCTTCAGCTGAGGGAGGCGAAGTGACAGCCCCAATGTTGCACAGATGGTTCTGAGGCCAAACGAGGTCAGGAACCCAGAAGCCAGGATCTAGTTTGACGCAGACCTGCGGGAGGCGGGCGGTAACGGATGCGTTCTCCCTGACACCGGTGCCGTCGCCTCTCTGCGCCCTGCAGGCGCCCCCAGTTCCCCAGCCTCCCAGACCTCGCATCTGCCCCGGGGCTCAGCTCCCAGGGACTTCCGGGAGCAGCTGGCCCCGCCCCAAGGCTCCTTCGGGCTGCGCGATTGGCACCGCGGGCCGGGGGCAGGGCCGGAGCGCCGAGCCAACGTGATGGCGTCAGGGGCCGGGGCGCTGCTTCCTGTTGTCAGTGGCCGAGAGACCGCATCGTCGGCTCGGAGGCTGAGGGGCTGCCGCAGCCGGGAGCCCCCCTCGCCTCGCTCCTCGCTCCGCTTGGTGAGTTAGGGGGTCAAGATGCGAGGAGGGCGGCGGAGTGGTGGGAGGGCCGAGGCGCGAACGGGCGGTGGGCCTCCCGCTCCCTCCGCGATTCCCAGCCCCTGGTTACCCTGAGACTGCCCGGCTTCAGAGCCCTCAGCCCTGTCCAGCCCGCGCCCGCTCCGCTCCGACCCAGCCTTCCCCCTGCACCGCCGCTGTGGCCCCGTCCCCTCCGTCTGTCCAGCCCCCAGCCCGCGCCCGCATCCCCTCACCAGCGGTCTTGCTTAAATGCAGCTTCACTCGTGACCCCATTTTACCCCAGTTCCAACCCCGATCTCGGCCACGTCCCTTCGCCCCGCCCTGACACACCTCATCCTCTCTCCCCACCCCTCTGGTAATCCCGATGCTCCGCGCTCACCTCCCCGAGACCCACCATTCAGGTTTCCCCTTTTCTGGCTCAGCTTTCTTATCCCAGTCACCCCCATCCCCTGTCCAGCTCCCCAAGATCTGCTCATCCTAAACATTCTACCTCCGCCCTCTCATCTAAGACCCACCCCCAAAGTAGGTGCCCTGTTGAGCTCACCGCTTTCTTCTGGATAACTCCGATCTCAGCCTTATTCCAAGTCGTAACTGTGTCTTCTCGTCCTTAGTCTCCTAGCCCACTGTATACCTTCCTTTGCGTCTCCTGCCGTACTGAGGACACCCCATCCCTAAGTCTTTGCCAAACTGTCCCGAACTCTTGCTGCCTCCTTTCCTACCACCCTCACCCAATCTTGTTAAAAATGACATCTCCATGTCCTTTCACCCCCGCTGACCCACCGCAACTCTTCACCCTAACTCTGCGTCCATTCCTTCCCTCGACCCAACTCCCATTCAACCTGAGAACTTAGTGCAGAGTCGCCTGCCAACTCCACCAGCTGCCCCTCAACAGCCAAATGTAGGTGCTCACTCAGACCCGCAGTTACAGACTGAGCAGCATGATTGGCGGGTGCAGGGGCTCAGGTGGTAAATAAGGGTGGAGGAGCAGTGGGCTCTCCCCAACTCTTGGGTGGGGCCGGGGTTTTTCCTGGCATCTGGTCTCCTGTACCTGTCCTCAGGGATTGTGTTTCTGGCATTCATATTAAATGACTTGTGCTGGCTGCTGGAATGGTAGGTATCATTCAAATATCTGGAAGGTGAGAGATGGCCACTCACTCAGCTCACTTAGCACAGAATGATGGAAGCTGTCACTTCCTTCTGGTTGGTGTTCTCGCCCTGGAGAGCTTCTGGGAAGTTCTGTGTGGTGTTGGCTGTGGTCACAGAATATTGTTCATGTTCCTTTTCTTGGCACTTGTAAGGGACTCTCCCTGCCAGAGCTGATGGCAGATCAGTCCTGATGCTGAATTCAGGGGATATGATGGGTGCCAGAGGCAACGTTACCTGTTGTGAAGAGTATAGGTGAGTAGGTCCTGGGGAGGCTGAGGCCTAGGTGGGTACAGAGGCTCTTGAATCGCTTTCTTTTCTTATAAGTGCTGGATCATTGACTTTTGGCCATCTGGGTTCCATGAACACAGGGGACCATGTTATCTCAGAGTAGCTGAGGCAGAAGGACATTCCAGAGGCACCCAAGTCCTATGCTCAGCATTTATGGTTTCCTGGGGGCTTTTTGGTACACATTTTCTCTGAATCCTGAGGACCCGGCATCAGATGGGTGGGCCATTTGATTGCAGCTTTTTTCTTTCTTTCTTTTTTTTTTTTTCGACGGAGTTTACTCTTGTTCCCCAGGCTGGAGTGCAGTGGCATGATCTCGGCTCACCGCAACCTCTGCCTCCCAGGTTCAAGCGATTCTCCTGCCTCAGCCTCCCGAGTAGCTGGGATTACAGGCATACACCACCATGCCCGGCTAGTTTTGTGTTTTTAGTAGAGATGGGGGTTTCTCTGTGTTGATCAGGCTGGTCTCCAACTCCCAACCTCAGGTGACCCACCCACCTCGGCCTCCCAAAGTGCTGGGATTACAGGCGTGAGCTGCCGTGCCCGGCTGATTGCAGTTTTAAAGGGCCCCAAAGAACATTGTCTGTGCTTGCCACTTATAGTCGTATTCCTTTGAAAAGTGAATGCTGTTTACCTTCAATGTCCTCCCATTAATATGCAGTATATTTAAGTTGTTTTCAGCCTTATTGGCAGCTTGGCTTAATGACAGGAGCTCCACAGTTGCCCCAGCACTTAAGAGTTGTATACCCCAACTTCCCACAGTGTGTGAAGTGGAGGTACGTGCCCCGTGCCTTGTTTTTATTTTATTAATCAATTCATTCAACAGCTTATTTTTTGAGCACCAGTCTGTGCCAAACACTGTTCCAGGTACTAGAAATACAATGGTGAATGGGTCAGGCAACGGTCCTGTTTTCATTCATTCAGAGTTTGGTCCTTGTTAGAATCCTCTGGGATATGGGACAAGAATACAGGGAAGCTGGGTGATACTGGATGGAAGGAAGGAGGGAGGAAAGAAAGATAGCTAGTGTTCACTGACTCCACAATTCTGCCCTCATCCACTAGCCCTGAGTTTGGGAATCACAAACTAAAAGTTTCTCACCCTTCATCTGGTATTTAATTGCTTCAAAGCTCCAACCCCCACCACTCCACCCATCACAGAAATCCAGCTTTCCTCAGGTGGACAGAGGTGCGGTTTCCTCAGTCAGCACTCACATGCCTGAAAGATCAGCTGCCTTTCTGAATCAGAGGATAACTTTGTCATTCTTTTCCAATTGAAAAAACATGACTCCATCAATTGGTACAGCAGTTGGATGGCTTAAAGCCAGGCTGTGGCTCTGAACAGCCAGTTACACAATTCGGGCAGTGGAGAGAAGGCCATGGGGAGTGGCTGAGGAGTCCCTCAAGAGAAGAGGTTGCTGTTCAGTCATGGTGGAGTGTTTTGAGAGTGGTGAAACCAGGTTATCCCTTTCTTCTTTTAACGTAAGTCTCATCCAGGTCATTCTCTTTTTTTGCTTCCTTGATCTCTGGAGGAAGTGAAATTGGACATATAGAGAAGGCCAGGCAGTATAATGCAGGAAACCAGCCGGAACTGTTCCTTCCTAACTATGTTGGAACATTTAAGAAAGTATAGCTCTGAGACTTTAGGAGCATTGGTAGGACCTGGTCTCAGCTGGTTGGGGCTATAAACCTGATTGGCAGAACTGTTTCTTGTTGGTTTCAGACCTTCTGTGATGAAATGGAGCTTCCGCGTACCTCTAAAGAAGAAGTAATAGTTTGTCTGAATTTGAGCCAAAGACCTGAGGCCTTTTGGTCCAGGGAAAGATGCAGGAGTTGGGATGAAGAAACCAGAGAGTTCTGTCCCTTACCTGAGACCCATTGCTACTGAGCCTCAGTTTTGTCCTCTGTAAAACAGGGATAATCACTCTCTCACGGGATTGCTGTGAGAATTAAATGAGGTTAGAGAGGGACATCAGAGAAGCTTGCTTTCTGCACTCTGGAGAGCTATGTGAAGGCGAATGAATACATAGGGTGGCAGTAGACTTGGTGTGGTTTGGGGCTTCCTAAATGGCACCAGTCACCTTTCCCCTGCTAAGCTTTCACCCGTCATGTTCAAGAGCCCTTTGGTACTGTTGCCCAGCTTTGCCTCACTCCCTTCAGGTAGGTCTCCTTGAAGCCACACCTCTCTTCACTTTGGTTCTTTGTGTCAATGAAGAGCGTTTTGAGGACAGAAAGTGGAACCAGTTCCATAGGATGGTAGATTCAGAATCTGGGCCACCAGGGTGGGTGACGCAGTGCTGTCCCCACAGTCAAGAGACACAAAGCCTCCTTCTGATTCCTGCCGTGAGTTCTTATGTCACTGACCATCTGAGCCCTGCCTCCCTGAGCATGATGGAACAGATACAGATAGGTGGGGTGCTATGGCTGCCTACAAACAGAGGTGTCCTGCATTGTGGCTGGAACCCCAGAGGCTCAGTCCTATCTTGTGAATTTTCAAGTGGCTCTTCTGCTGGATTTCTCTGAGCTCTTGTCAGTCATTTTGTGGCATTTCTGACTCTGTTTTAGGCCAAGTGACCCTTCTCTTGTCTGGCCCTGTCTCTCTTAGCTTCAGTTTATTATTATTAATTTTTTTTTGTTTTGAGATGGAGTCTCGCTCTGTTGCCCAAGCTGGTGTGCAGTGGCACGATCTTGGCTCACTGCAAGCTCCACCTCCTGGGTCCACGCCATTCTCCCTCAGCCTCCCGAGTAGCTGCAACTACAGGCACCCGCCACCACGCCCGGCTAATTTTTTGTATTTTTAGTAGAGATGGGGTTTCACCGTGTTAGCCACGATGGTCTCGATCTCCTGACCTCGTGATCCACCCGCCTCGGCCTCCCAAAGTGCTGGGATTACAGGCATGAGCCACCGCGCCCAGCCAGCTTCAGTTTATTATTTATTTATTTATTTGAGACATAAATTATTTATTTATTTATTTATTCTTGCTTTGCTGCCCCGGCTGGAGTGCAGTGGCACGATCTCAACTCACTGCAACCTCCGCCTCCTGGGTTCAAGTGGTTCTCCTGCCTCAGCCGGTATGGTAGCTGGTAATACCAGTAGCTGGTATTACAGGCATGGGCCACCATGCCTGGCTAATTTTTGTTTTTTTTTTAATTAGAGACAGGGTTTCACCATGTTGGCCAGGCTGGTCTCAAACTCCTGACCTCAAGTGAACCTCCTGCCTCGGCCTCCCAAAGTGCTGGGATTACAGGTGTGGGCCATGGCACCTGGCCTATTTTGTTTTCTTAGCATACTGTTACTTGGCCAGAGCACTGACTTACCAATGGCCTGCTCCTCCCAGTGAATACTCTGTGAATACTCTATCACTCTCAGCTAATTAGTTAATGAGGTCTTAATGGGCCTGGGCTATAATTCAAATTATTGGGTCTAAGTCCTTAGGGTCCCGGCCCTGTAGCTGGTTAAGGGAAGGGCAACTTTGGGGCTTCGGGCTCTCTCTAGAAGGGTGGGCCTGAGGGCCTCAGGCCACTGGAAATTGTGGATTGGGATTGGAGCCCAGGGTTTCGGAGCCAGAGAAGCTGGACGTGGCCTGCTGAGCTGCAAAAGGGTAGCCTTGATGGAGCCTGACCTCAAGACCAGGCCTGTTTCTGGAAGTGACCCTAGATGCAGAGTCACTGCAGCATACAGCCCCCTTTTCCTGTCACCCCGTGGCCAGAATGTGGAACTGGTCTCCGGAGGAGGGCTCTGAGAATCCCTGGGTAGCTGGGAGCAGACTATGGTGAAGGGTGAGGCAGTCAGATGGGGCTGTAGTCAGGACTGAGGGCTCTTCTGGCCATCTGCAGCACCCGGCCTGTTACTGGGTCTGCAGGAACCATCCTCCATACATGCCTGCTTCCTCCTGAGGGACCTGACTTAGGGAGGTTGGCTCTGGGTCCTGACTCCCTGTGTCCTGTTTGCCCTCTGCTATCCCCAGAAGCCAGAGATCCAATCAGAGCACCTTCCACCATTTAGGGCCAGCCTGCCTGTCTGCTTTCCAAACCTCATGCTGCTCCAGGGCTGTCCAGGAAACCTTTCCTGCCACACTGGCCTTAATGTTCCCCTGCACCCCCTGTTCCCGGCCCCCAGCGAAAGGATCTTCCCAGACCACCCCTGGAATCCTAGCTCTGAGGTGATGGCACTGTTGATGAAAAAGCCAAACTCTGTTAAATATTCGAAGAGGTTTCTTCTGAGCCAAATGTGAGGGCCATGACCTGTGACATAGTCCTGGGAGGTCCTGAGAACATGTCCCCAAGGTGATTGGGGTACAGCTTGATTTTTATCCAAGTTACAGGCAGAAGTTACAGGCAAAGACATAAATTAATATATGTAAGGTATACATTGGTGGGGACAGGGTAAGGTGGATTAAAAGATTTCCTGATTGGCAATTGGCTGAAAAAGTTAAACTTTGCCTAAAGAGTTAAAAGTCAGCAGAAGAAAAGCTTGGGTTTAAGATAAGGTGGGTTGTGAAAGCCAAGGTTCATGTTACGTAGATGAAGCCTTCAAGAGAATAGATGGTAAATGTCTCTAAGGTGTCAGACTCTTAGTTAAATCTCCTCTAAATCAGGAAAAGGCCTAGAAAGGGAAGGGAATCTCTGCAGGACATAGATTTTCCCAACAAGAGATGGCTTTGCAGGGCCATTCCAAACTATGTCAAAAATATACTTGGGGGTAAGATACTTTGATTTCCTTAGGGCTTGTTATCTCCCATGTGATGTTAGACCAGTCAGGTTGGAGTTGGTGTCTTAATTGCTGAGAGTCTGTTCTGTCAGTCTTAGGAGTCTGTTTCAATGTTAATGCTGGTCAGTTGTGTCTAAGCTCCAAAAGGGAGAGGCTAGGATGAGGCATGGCCCACGCCCCACTTCCTGTCATGGCCTGAACTCAGTTTTCAGTTTTTTTGAAATCCCTTTGGCCAAGGGGGGCCCATTCAGGCAGTTGGGGAGCTTAGAATTTTATTTTTGGTTTACAGCACTCACTTAGGAATCGGGTTTTCCTAGGGCTGGGGTTGGCTTCCTCCTGGGGGCTGGTGGTGGAGTCAGGCCGCTTATCAGCCCTGGGACCTCAGGAACTTCCTTGACCTGGGTCAGCTGCCATTTCCTTATCTGTCAGGTGGAGACAATAAAACAGCACTCCTAGGGTCCTTAGGAGGAACATAAATTAGGCAATATATGTAAAGAGAACTGAGCCCATTTAACTTTTCTTGGTTTTGTTAACTTCTTTGTGCGGTGATTGTTTGAGAGCTGAGACAGACAGACATCACCTTTCCCGGCGTTCCCCTGATGCTCAGCCAGGAGTTGGCTAGAGATTTGTTTACGAGTGAATGTGCCTGCCTGGCCCAGGTCTGTCCAAGTTGCTGTGGTGGGGCCAAGCCAGTCAGCAGCCCCCTCAGGCTCAGGCTAAAGTCCCCACCCCACCCACCCCACCCCACCCCACCCCACCCACTCCCAGGAGGAAGCTGGCAGCCCTGAGGGATTTAACCACTCACTGACTTCAACTCTTCCTGCATACTCATTTAGGCGATGACATTCTTGGTCTGTAGGTTTAGGTGGCCACATCCACTGGGATGACAGATGCCAGGTACAACATATCAGGTACAGGCACATATCAGGCCCCGTGACAGGCATTTTACACATTCTCCTTCTGAGAGGTCTGTGCATGTCTCCCTGGTTAGTGGCAAACTGCGATGAGACCTCATGGTCATCCCGGTTAGACACGTCCCTGTCTGTGCTGCTCAAGCCAGACCCTCGAAGCCCAAATGAGGAGCAGAAGTGTAGCAAGGGAGCCCTCCCCTTTTGAAGCCGTTCCAGTGGTACTTTTTACTGCCGAGCTGGCAGATGTTGGACTGGGACAGGAGTGAGGGGTGGGGGCAGGGTGTTGCAGGACCCAGCCCCTGAATGTGATGTGTGAGCCTGTGAGCCCCTGCTTCCTGGTCCCAGTGGGTTCCTGCCACCTTCAGCTGCAGCCTCCCCCTCGAACCTGCAGCTCCGTATCTGAATCAGCCTGTCATTCCCTGCCTACAGGTTTCGATCCTACAGGGCCTTGGCTTTCTGGGCAGCATTTGATGTGAAGCGCCCTTACCACCTACTCCTTGGGGTGGACCCACCCCTGGCACCCAGGACTCCTTGCCTCCCAATGACTGAGCCCCCTGGGCTTTCCTTCCTTGTTTCTTTCCTTCAAATCTATTATCAGTTTTTACTTTTGTGTTCTTCAAAGGCCTTTTTGGTTGCAGTTTGAGTAAGAGAGGCTGACCTCCTGCTGCTTGCTGGGAATGGACTCTGGCTGGGGGGAAGTTCCCTGCCCATTCATCTGGCTGCCATCTGTCTCTTCAGGTGTCATGTGATTCTCTGAGGGAGCAGCTGCGTGAGTGGAGATGCTTTCAGTGGTGGAGAATGGACTGGACCCCCAGGCTGCCATCCCGGTAGGTGGGTGAGGGAGGATCAAGGGCGGGGAAGGGCTGCAGGGGACAGTTGTATCATCGGCTTGGCTCACTTCGAAATGAATGGGCACTGTCCTGCAAGAGAGACCAGGTTGAGAAAAAGTTATAGCACAAGCAGGCTCTGAGGAGACCCTGTCTTTTCTAGATCACCTTATTGGTGATAAGATGGAGATTTATGAAAAGCAGTGGGAATTTAAGATCAGTAACCTGAAGACCAAGGATTTCCATTCAGCCCTTCAGCCCTCTGCCCTTAGGCCATGATTTGGTCACAGTCTGGCCAAAGCACTGAATGGGTGGGAAACAGATATTCCCAGGCACTGGTTTGTTGTTTCAGTAATGGGGGTAAATTGGTAACTTACATGTATCTGAACACTTACCATTTTCTGGGATATTCTAAATGTAATTATTTGTGAGCAGTTCACTGGAGCCCCCTAGGACCTTTTCTTGGACAGCCCTTTGCACCCTCCTGGGCTATCTTGGGTACTCCAGATAGAGCTCTCTGTTCTCTTGGAGAGGTAGGAAGTCAGGTAGCTTTGGGGCTGGTGCCTTAGCAGCATCCTGAGATGGCTTTCGGGGAGAAGCCAGGATTTCCTTTCCTCCCCACTGCTGCTTCCCAGCTCAGAGAACTCTCTGCTTGAAAGAAACTGTAGCTCTCAGAGACGTGCCTTTCCCCGTCCTGGCCACAGGAGAGTCCAGCTCCACCTGTTTCCCAGCTGGCTTTCATGCAGAGGCTCTTCCCTCCCCTCTGCACCCCCACTCTCCCACCCCCAGTGCCTGCCGAATCCCACCCCAGGACCCTCCAGAGCTAGGGCAGAAGCCTGGCCAACCCAGCCTTCTAACAACAGCTGCACAAACTGACTCCATGAGGGTATGCCTTTCTTGAGGGTATGCCTTATTTCTCCCTGTATACCCTAACCCAACACCTAGTAGGTGCTCAATTGAACGAAGTATGTATGTACTTTTTAAATATAATATACAAATAACATCTTGCTTTTAAAAGAACATTTAAAATTAGACTATTTCAAGATTAAAAACTTTTGAGCTTCAAAGGATACTATCAAGAAAATGAAAAGACAACCCACAGAATGGGAGAAAATATTTGCAAATCAAATATCTGATAAGGGTCTAGTATCCAGAATGTATAAAGAACACTTATAACTCAACAATAAAAAGACAAATAATCCAGTTATAAAATGGGTAAAGGATTTGAATAGACCCTTCTCCAAAGAAGATACACACATGGCCAATAAAGATGCTCATTATCATTAGACATCAGGAAAATGCACATCGAAACCACAGTGAGATACTACTTCACACCCCCTAGGATGGCTGTAATAAAAAAGGCAATAACTAGTGCTGGCAAAAATGTGGAGAGATTGGAACTCATATATTGTTGGTGGGAATGTAAAATAGTGCAGCCACTTTGGCACACAGTTTGCCAGTTCCTTGGTAAGTTAAACATAGGGTTATGTGTACAATTCCACTCCTAGATATATACCCAAGAGAACTAGAAATATGAGTCCACTCAAAAACTTGTACATGGATGTTCATAGCAGCATTATTGATAATAGCAAAAGAGTAGAAACAACCCAAATGTCTATTAACTGATGAATGGATGAATAAAATGTGGTATATCTAGGCAGCGGAATATTTTCTGGCAATAAAAAGGGATGAAGTCCTGATACATGCTACAACTTGATGGAAAATATGCTAAGTGAAATAAGTCAGATTCAAAGGGTCGTATGCTGTATTGATATCTATTCATGTGAGATGTACAAAATATGCAAAGCCGCAGAAACAGAAAATAGATTAGTGACTGCATTCACTTCGTATTCCCCTTTCTCCCAGCCACTGGCAATCACTAATATACAGTATTTCTTTTTGGGGTGATGAAAATCGGTTTTTTTGTTTGTTTGTTTGTTTGTTTGTTTGTTTTTTGAGACGGAGTCTCACTCTGCTGCCCAGGCTGGAGTGCAGTGGCACGATCTTGACTCACCACAAACTCCACCTCCCAGGTTCAAGTGATTCTCATGCCTCTGCCTCCCAAGTAGCTGGGATTATGGGTGTGCACCACCATGCCCGGCTAATTTTTGTATTTTTAGTAGAGATGAGGGTTTCACCATCTTGGCCAGGCTGGTCTCGAACTCCTGACCTCAGGTGATCCACTCGTCTTGGCCTCCCGAAGTGCTGGGATTATAGGCGTGAGCCACCGTGCCCGGCCAGAAAATCTTCTAAAATTAGGTAGTGGTGATGGTTGCACAATTGTGTGAATATACTAGAAACAATTGAACTGTATACTTTAAATGGGTGTATTTTATGGTATATGAATTATATCTCATTAAAACCGTTATATTTTTTCAAATTTAACTTTTCAAAGAATGTTAACATTTAGTGTTTTGGCTGAAATCAAAATAAAAGATTAAAATATGTAGCCATAATCCTATCACCCAACAATTCAAACCAGTTTTTCTGTAATCCTTTCCAGTTCTTTTCCAATCACTTATGTGATTTTCACATACTTATAATTATGCTCAATTTTTACTCTATATTTCCAAAAGACTCTGTACATTTTGTGGTGTATTCATTTAACAAACATTTATTGAGTATTTCTATGTGCCAGGCACAGTGCCAAGTGTTGACACAAGGATGAATAAAACACTAGTCTTAGTGCCACACTCAGCTCTTTTATATACATGTTTTTTGTTTTGTTTTGTTTTGTTTTGTTTTTCTGAGATGGAGTCTCATTCTGCCACCCAGGCTGGAATGCAGTGGCATGATTTTGGCTCAGTACAACCTCTGCCTCCCGGGTTTAAGTGATTCTCCTGCCTCAGCCTCCTAAGTAGCTGGGATTACAGGCACTCACCACCACACCTGGCTATTTTTTTTTTTTTTTTTTTTTTTGAGGCGGAGTCTCGCTCTGTCGCCCAGGCTGGAGTGCAGTGGCACGATCTCGGCTCACTGGAAACTCCACCTCCCGGGTTCACGCCATTCTCCTGCCTCAGCCTCCCGAGTAGCTGGGACTACAGGCGCCTGCCACCATGCCCAGCTATTTTTTTGCATTTTTAGTAGAGATGGGGTTTCAGCCTGTTATCCAGGATGGTCTCGATCTTCTGACCTCGTGATCCACCCACCTCGGCCTCCCAAAGTGCTGGGGTTACAGGCGTGAGCCACCGTGCCCGGCCCACACCTGGCTAATTTTTGCGTTTTTAGTAGAGACAGGGTTTCATCATGTTTGCCAGGCTGATCTCAAACTCCTGTCCTCAAGTGATCCGCCTGCCTTGGCCTCCCAAAGTGTTGGGATTACAGGCGTGAGCCACCACACCCAGCCTCTTTTTAGAATTTATCTAGTAGGTTTTCTGGTTTTCACCAGAAACCACTTCCCAAAAAAAAAAAAAAAAAAAAGGTAGTCCTGTCCTCAGGAGAATCCTCATAGTACTATAAATCAGAAAGTATTATTTCCACTTTAACAGATAAGGAAATTGAGGCTCAAAGCGGTTAAGTGGAATGTCTGAGGAGGCCCATCTGGTTACTGACAGCTAGGACTGAGCCTAGTCCTCTGGCTTCCAGGCCTAGGATCTTTCTTTTTTTGAGACAAGGTCTTGCTATGTTGCCCAGGCTGGAGTACAGTGGTGTGATCACAGCTCACTGCAGCCTTGAACTCCTGGACTCAAGCAGTCCTCCTGCCTCTGACCTCCCGAAGTTCTGGGATTACAGGTTTGAGCCACCACGCCCAGCGTAGGATCTTTCTTAAAGTAAACCATGCTCCTGTTCTCCTCATGTTTTTATTGTTCTAAAGCAGTGTGGGTGTTTATTGTTTGTTAGTTTTTGCCTCTTGGCTTATTGATTCTCTACAGAAGCTTGTCCATGTAAAAAAGGTGGGAAGCCCCAACCTTGTCCTAGATGGATTTACCCAAGCTCCCATCACTGCAGCTATGATGGGGCCAATATTTAAACACAAGATTATATGGCTCTAAGTTCACTTAAGTTTGGTCTAAAAAACAAAAAGTATCTACACTAAAGGACATATGAAACAACAATAACAGTAATTATCTCTGGGTAGTGTGTGTGATTTTCCTTTTCTTCTCTATGCTTTATCTTTCTTTGCTGTAGTTAACAATGTGCTAATTTTGCAGAAGGAATCTACAGACACACACATAGGTGTGTGTGCATGTGGTTGCACATATATTTGGCACCAGCTAAAGGATTACACTCTAGGGACTCTCCATAGGATTTTCTGCTAAAGGCCTGTGTTCTGTGTGGTGCTGCCTAGGTCATCAAGAAGAAGCTGGTGGGATCCGTGAAAGCCTTGCAAAAGCAGTACGTGTCCCTGGACATGGTGGTCACTAGTGAAGACGGAGATGCCAACACCATGTGCAGCGCCCTGGAGGCCGTATTTATCCATGGCCTGCACACCAAGCACATCCGAGCTGAGGCCGGAGGAAAAAGGAAGAAAAGTGCCCACCAGAAGCCTCTGCCCCAGCCTGTCTTCTGGCCCCTCCTGAAAGCTGTCACCCCCAAGTGAGATTTAGCTGGAGAGGTTTTGCTTTGCAGAGGAGCAGCAGAGTATGGGACACTTGGCTTTTCCTCCCCGGCTGTTCAGGAAGCCAACAGAGGTGCCCTGTGTTCTAGCATAGAGAGAGGGTGAGGTAGGGGTTGAAAGTGTCTTCTAGAAAGGCTTATCTCTAGACCAAGCTTCCCAGCCAGTGTGCCAGCAGATCTTGAGACCCTCAGCACTCAGGCAAGAGCCTGTGGCTGCTTTGAGACTGGTCACAAAAAACAGGTGAGACTGGCCACCTTTAGCAGGAACAGCCTTTTTTGCCACACTGGGGCAGAATTACATAGTTACAACAGAGGTTGTGTGGCCTGCAAAGCCTGAAGAATTTACTATCTGGCCCTTTACAGACGGGCTGACCCTGCCTTAGATTTGCTGACCCTGCCTTAGATTATTCAAACATCCGAATTGTAAATCTTTTTTTTTTTTTTGGGACGGAGTTTCGCTCTGTCACCCAGGCTGGAGTGCAATGGCGCGATCTCGGTTCACTGGCACCTCTGCCTCCCAGGTTCAAGCAATTCTCCTGCCTCAGCCTCCTGAGTAACTGGGACAACAGGCACGCACCATCACGCCCAGCTAATTTTTGTATTTTTAGTAGAGAAGGGTTTTGCTATGTTGGTCAGGCTGCTCTCAAACTCCTGACCTTGTGATCTGCCTACCTCCGCCTCCCAAAGTGCTGGGATTATAGGCATGAGCCACCGCGCCCAGCCATTAATGTTATCTCTTAAGGAGGTATGGGGTTATTTTTATTAAAGAGTGGAATCAGGAAAAGCATATGAATATTCACCCGGAGACACTTATCTCTTTGGCCCCTAACTGTCTGGGCTTTTGAGCAAGTAGCTGGCACTGTGCCTCTGAGGACTACTAAATGCCATCTTCAGCCCAAAAGAAGCCTTGTCAGTCTCTAATCTTCCTTTCCATGCAGATTGCCACTGCCTTGTCTCACGTTCTTCTTTCCTGGGTGACACTGGCTTTCGATTGTTCCCCCTTATCTCACTCTGTCTTTCCTTGAGTCCATCATCTGGTCAACATTTACTGAGCTGAAGCTCCCTGGAGCTTACTCACTGAGCCTAGTAGAGTGCGGTCGACATTCCCATGGAGGAGATAAACCTGCGCTAGGGACTGTGGTAGCTCAGAGGGGCATGTACATCAGACGGAGGCATTCTGGGACTGAGTTTGGTACACCTGGGGTCTGATCTCCTTATGCAGAACATCTACCCTGCAGTCTGCATGACTGTGGTCAAGTCACTTTTCTAAACAAAAATCTGTAGCCTACAGGCTCCCAGATGCTAGCCTGGAGACTGATTCACTAGGTTGGGGTCCCAGAACTTGTATCCTGCTCAAGTTCCCCAGGGGATTCTGGTGCACAGCTGGGTGTGGGGCCATTACCCCTTGTTGCCTTATTGATTTGATATTTAAGACCCTCTCTTTCCTGGCCTTGCAACCAAACCACCCACTTTTCTGCCACATGCTGTAATTGGAGCGCTCCCCAATCCTCTTACAGGGTTGTTGATTTCCTACCCTTTATGCCTTTTTTCATCAGTTCCTTGTGCCTGAGGGCAGGGACCATGTCTTTACCCTGCATCTTCATTGCTCCAAGGACCTTGCACTTAAGGAGCTCTGACAGCATGCCTTGGATGAGCAGATGTGTCAGGGGCCCCGTGGTAGTTGGAATGAACATGGAAATTATCTTTCACAATTCCAATCTCAAAAAATATATATATAATGTATAAATATATATAATTTATATTTATATATATTTATTATATATAAATATAAATATATATATATATTGCCTAGGCTGGAGTGCAGTGGTCCAATCTCTGCTCACTGTGACCTTTGCTTCCCAGGCTCAAGCTATCCTTCCACCTCAACCTCCCGAGTAGCTGGGTAGCTGGGACTACGTGTGCAAGCCACCACATCTGGCTGTGTTGTTGTTGTAAAGACAGAGTTTCGTCCTGTTGCCCAGGCTGGTCACGAATTCCTGAGCTCAAGTGATCCACCTGCCTTGGCCTCCCAAAGTGCTGGGGTTACAGGTGTGAGCCACCACATCTGGCCTAAAACACTATTACCCAATATTTTTTCATGCCTGTATCTATTTGCAGTAGTTACTCCTGGTTCCTGCTCATCAGTGGATAAAAGCACATCTCTGTGATTTGGGGTAGTTTCTTGAAACACGTCTGTTCTCCCTTCCCAGACACATCATCTCAGAGTTGGAGCACCTGACGTTTGTCAACATGGATGTGGGCCGCTGCCGGGCATGGCTGCGGCTGGCCCTGAACAATGGCCTGATGGAGTGCTACCTGAAGCTGCTGCTGCAGGAGCAGGCCCGCTTGCGTGAGTACTACCAGCCCACCGCCCTGCTCCGGGATGCTGAGGAGGGCGAGTTCCTCCTTAGCTTCCTGCAGGGCCTCATGTCCTTGTCCTTCGAACTCTCCTACAAGTCTGCCATCTTAAATGAGTGGACGCTCACCCCACTGGCCCTGTCTGGGCTTTGCCCGCTTTCTGAGCTGGACCCTCTCTCTACCTCTGGTGCAGAACTACAGCGGAAGGAATCTCTGGATTCCATTTCCCATTCTTCAGGCTCTGAAGACATCGAAGTCCATCACTCGGGCCATAAGATACGGAGGAACCAGAAGCCGACTGCCTCCTCCCTCAGCCTGGACACGGCCAGTTCATCCCAGCTGTCCTGCAGCCTAAAC
Source organism: Homo sapiens (assembly GCF_000001405.40). NCBI lineage: Eukaryota > Metazoa > Chordata > Mammalia > Primates > Hominidae > Homo > Homo sapiens. The sequence continues at coordinate 64,821,888 of NC_000017.11, read as the reverse complement.
TCTGATAGCTGCTTACTCCAAGAGAATGGCTCCAAGAGTCCAGACCATTGCGAGGAGCCCATGTCCTATGACTCAGACCTGGGCACAGCAAATGCTGAGGACTCAGACCAGTCTCTGCAAGAGTGAGTACCCTGCCCCCACTCCTTCCCATCTTCTCTCTTCACTCCTTTCTTTCCTCTCCTCCTCCCTTTCTTCCCATAGCATGTGATTGTCTGTTACTGAACTCTATTAGTAATTAAAGAAAGCCAAGGGAGTCATCGACTTCTCCAGGGACTGGAGTAGCTGGGAACTGTAGCAGGCAATACAGGCATAGTGGAGAAAGTGGACTTAGAACAGCTTAGAGCTGGTTTGGGCTCCAGCTCTGCCCCGGTGACTTTTAGCAAGTTACTTGGCCGGGTGCAGTGGCTCATGCCTGAAATCCCAGCACTTGGGAGGCTGATACAGGAGGATTGCTTGAGCCCAGCAGTTCGAGGCCAGCCTGGGCAATGTAGCAAGATCCTGCCTCTAAATTAAAAATAAATAAATAAATAAATAAAACAAAAACTGAAAACAAACAATAACAACAAAAAAACAAGATACTTAGTCTCTACAAGGCACAGTGTAAAATATTGTTGTCTTCATCTAGAAGGAAGGAAACTAATAGGTCAGAGTACATTTAAAACTTCCAACAAATAGATGAAACATAACGCATAAGAGTGTGACTTCACAGAATACCTCCCGGGGGACACAGGACCTGAGTGCTGCATGCAGGAGGTGGTGGACAGGTGGGGACAGACAGATGTGTGGAAGAGTATGTGGGGCAGATGAACTAGGCTGAAGAGAGAACTGGGCAGAGCCTTCTTCACACAGCCTTTTAAACATTTTTTTGCAGCTGGGCACAGTGGCTCACGCCTGTAATCCCAGCACCTTGGGAGGCCAAGGCAGGTGGATCACGAGGTCAGGAGATTGAGACCATCCTGACTAACATGGTGAAACCCCGTCTCTACTAAAAATACAAAAAATTAGCTGGGCATGGTGGCGGGCGCCTGTAGTCCCAGCTACATGGGCGGCTGAGGCAGGAGAATGGCGTGAACCTGGGAGGTGGAGCTTGCAGTGAGCTGAGACCGCACCACTGCACTCCAGCCTGGGTGACAGAGTAAGACTCTGTCTCAAAAATAAATAAATAAATAAATAAATAAATAAATAAAATAAAAAATTTGCATAGATAATCTTTTTATGGTTAAAAAAAAATCTAAAACATATACAGTGAAAGCCTTTCCCATTCCTGTTCTCCCTCTACCCTGTTCTTTCCTCCCACCCCTAAAACCATAATAATCAATTTCCTGTATATTCTTCCAAATTTCTAAATGCATCTACAACAAATACCAGTATAAAGATTTTCAGCTGGGCGCAGTGGCTCACGCCTGTAATCCCAGCACTTTGGGAGGCCGAGGCAGGCGGATCACAAAGTCAAGAGATCGAGACCTTTCTGGCTAACACGGTGAAACCTCATCTCTACTAAAAATACAAAAAATTAGCCGGGCGTGGTGGCGGGCGCCTGAAGTCCCAGCTACTCAGGAGGCTGAGGCAGGAGAATGGTGTGGACCCGGGAGGCGGAGCTTGCAGTGAGCTGAGATTGTGCCACTACACTCCAGCCTGGGTGACAGAGTGAGACTCTGTCCCAAAAAAAAAAACAAGATTTTTAAAATGTCTTCCTTATTTATTACTTTCTCTCCTACAAAGGCAGTATATACACACTGTTCTATATCTTGTTTTGGAGAAGATCTTTTCATATCAGAGCTTCTTCATTCTTTTATTTTTATTTTTTATAGAGACGGGGGTCTCACTGTGTTGCCCAGGCTGGTCTTGAACTCCTGGGCTCAAGAGATCTTCCTGCCTCAGGCTCCCAAATTGCTGGGGATTACAGGCGTGAGCCACTGCGCTCAGCCTCATTCTTTTTTTTTCTATTGCATATTGTTCTAGTGTATCAATGTACCTTAGTTTACTTAATCAGCCCAGTATTTAATGGGTGCTGGGGCCTGTGTTTTCATAAATAACCTTGTGTATGTGGTCTTTTAGTTCTGCGTAGCTATCTCTGTTCCATAAACTCCCAGAAGCAAAATTGCCGAGCAAAAGGATAGACTAATATGGAATGTTCACAGATTATTGCCCATTTACACTCCACCAGGAATGTCCTTGTTTCTTAGCCTTGCCAACTGATGGTATTAGTGAACTTTTGGATATTTGCTCATCTGATAGGTGGAAAATGGGAACTTCTTATTAAAAGCCTCCTTCAGCTGGATCCATGTTGCATCAGCGGAAAAGAAGGTCCCACGTGTTTGGGACCTTCTTTCCACTGGCCCTGTGCCCTCGCCTTGGTTCAGGTCCCTCCAGGGTTCTCACCCAGCATGGAAAGAGCACCAGCATTGGGTGGTGTTACAGACTGGGCTTGGAGCAGACCTAGTTTCGAGTCCTGTTCCACCACTTACAAGCCCAGGAAGGTCAGGCACATTGCTTGTTAGTCAAACAATATAGGAGATTGTCTCGTAGGCCCAGAAATGGCTTCTGAGCACATTAGGTGGAGTTTTCAAATGTTAAATGGAGGAATTTAGATAGAATACATTGGGGAGGAACAGTCTCTGCCTCCTGTGACCACTGGGACCATGGCATGACAGGCCTGCAGTGTGTCCCGAGCACAGGGCATGACCTAGGTTTACTCACCTGTCTTAGCCCTTCCTGTGTGTCTGCCTCCTCTGCAGACCAGCCAGCCATCCCCTTGTCATATGTCTCGCCTTTATCTCATGTGTCTTGTGATGGAAAATTCCAGCTTAAGGTCACTGAATCAGTGACCATCCTCTCTGTGCAGGAAGTGTTGTCCCGGCTATTATGGAGAAACTGGAGGGGCAAGGGTCAGGATGTATAGACAAATGCCGGACAGTGGTGTGAGTAACTGGCAAATGTAAGACATACAGATGCACAAACACACAGCCAGCACCAGCATTCGTAGAGCTGGGCCTTGAAGTTAGTCCTTGAGCATCCACAGAGACCAGCATTTCTTGAAGTGTATATTTCAAGGGTAAAATGTTCTCACTGACACTTAGAGTTCATCAAAGTTATTACATTATTTAAATATTTGTAACTTTAAATTAGACATAAATTCCTTGTGCTTATCATTACACATATAAAATCAAAACATCCACAAATCAAACATAAAGAAAAGCATAAAAGACACAACATTCAAAATGAAATTTATTAATATAAATCGGTTCTGTTTGGCAGAAACCAAATTGCAGTTGGCCTAGTGAATTGACTGTCCTAAATAGCTTCTTCTGTGTAGATTGGATCTGTATTATAATCATCACTGAGTGGCATAGGTATAGTCTGGAGGGTTTAAGTACTTAGATTTAAGTACTTAGAATGGTCCCTGGCACAGAGGCATCAATAGTGCTCAATCGATGGTATTGTTGTATTTTATTTTATTCAATATTTTATTTATTTTTTGAAACGGAGTCTCGCTCTGTCCCCAGGCTGGAGTGCAGTGGCATGATCTCGGCTCACTGCAACCTCCGCCTCCTGGGTTCAAGCGATTCTCCTGCCTCAGCCTCCTGAGTAGCTGGGATTATAGGGGCCTGCCACCACACCCAGCTAATTTTTGTACTTGTTGTAGAGAAAGGGTTTCACTATGTTGGCCAGGTGAACTCCTGACCTCAGGTGATCCGCCTGGCTCAGCCTCTCAAAGTGCTGGGATTACAGGCATGAGCCACCACGCCCAGCCTGGGTAGACATGTTTTTAATTCTCTTAGTTACATACCTAGGGGTGGAATTGCTGGGTCATATGTAACTCTATGTTTAACTTCTTGAGGAACTACCAAATTGTTTTCTGCAGTAGTTGCGTCATTTTACATCCCCACCACTAATATATACAAGCTTTAATTTCTCTACATCTTTGCCACCCTTATTATTTTCTGTCTTTTTTATTACAATCAACCCAGTGGGTATAAAGTGGTATTTCATTGTAGTTTTGATTTGCATTTCTCTGATGACTGATGATGTTGAGTGTCTTTTCATGTGCTTATCAAACATTTGGATATCTTCTTTGGAGAAATGTCTGTTCAGATCGTTTGCCCATTTAAACATTTAGTTATTTGTCTTTTTATTGTTCATTTGTAAGTGTTCTGTGTATATTCTGGATAATAGGCCCTTCTGTATAATTTAAAAATATTTCCCCCGATTCTTTGAATTGTCTTTTTACTGTCTTGATAGTATCCTTTAAAACACAAACGTTTTGGCCAGGCACGGTGGCTCACTCCTGTAATCCCATCACTTTGTGAGGCCAAAGCAGGAGGATCACGAGGTCAGGAGATCGAGACCATCCTGGTTAATACGGTGAAACTCCATCTCTACTAAAAAAAAAAAAATACAAAAAATTAGCTGGGCGTTGTGGCGGGCGTCTGTAGTCCTAGCTAATCGGGAGTCTGAGGCAGGAGAATGGCATGAACCCGGGAGGCGGAGCTTGCAGTGAGCCGAGATGGCGCCACTGCACTCCAGCCTGGGCGACAGAGTGAGACTCAGTCTCAAAAAAAAAAAAAAAAAACCACACAAACGTTTTTTATTTTTGTTTTTTGAAACAGAGTTTCACTTTGTTGCCCAGGCTGGAGTGCAGTGGTGTGATCTCGGCTCACTGCAGCCTCCCCTTCCCGGGTTCAAGTGATTCTCCTGCCTTAGCCCCCCAAGTAGTGGGATTACAGGTGCGCACCACCACCACCCCCAACTAATTTTGTATTTTTATTAGAAACAGGGTTTCACTATGTTGGCCAGGCTGATCTCGAACTCCTGGCCTCAGGTGATCCACCCGCCTTGGCCTCCAAAGTGCTGGGATTACAATTTATTTTTTATTGCTTTCTTATGCTGTAGATCTCACATCTAAGAAACCGTTGCCTAATCCAAAGACATGAAGTTTATACCTCTCTTTCCTTCTAAGAGTTTTACAGTTTTAGCTCTTACCTTTAGGTCTTTAATCCACTTTGAGTTAATTTTTGTATACAATGTGAGATAGCAGTCCAGCTTTTTTCTTTTGCATGTGATTATCCACTTATCTCAGCACAATTGTTGAAAAGACTATTCCCTCCCCATTAAAATGTGTTGGTGTCTATGTTGAAAATCAGTTACTTTTTTTTTTTTGAGATGGAGTCTCGCTCTTTCACCCAGGCTGGATTGCAGTGGCACAGTCCCGGCTCACTGCAACCTCCACCTCCCAGGTTTAAGCAATTCTCTGCCTCAGCCTCCCGAGTAGCTGGGATTACAGGCGCCTGCCACCAAGCCTGGCTAATTTTTGTATTTTTAGTAGAGACGGGGTTTTACCATCTTGGCCATGCTAGTCTTGAACTCCTGATCTTGTGGTTCTACTACCCACCTCAGCCTCCCAAAGTGCTGGGATTGCAGATGTAAGCCACCACACCCGGCCAAAATCAGTTACTTATACATGTATGGATTGGCCACCTATTCTTGACGATAATGTCTTGAAATGTTGTTTGGGGTTAAGATGGTGCAGAGCTCACTGGAAAGACAATCAGGTAAGCAACTTGAATTCTAAAATCCTCATTTCCATAAGCCCAAATTAAGCAGAGCTTCATGTATCTTCTGGACCCAGTCCAAGCCATCAGGGCAGATGCAGGGAGGCTTTGGGGCCTTAGACAGCCTGTGGCCACCTGAACCAGGCTTTGCCCATGACATGCTCCACTGGTTTTATAAGCAGAAGAGAGAGCAAACGGGTTTATTTTCAAAATGGAGCTTGGATCCTCAGAAGAAGCCTCAGGAGAGGGAGGAGCAGTTGCTAGTCAGTGCACATTCCAGAGGGCCCAGGGCATGTTTCTGTGCAGTGTGTATGTGTGAGTGTGGTGTACACGCACGTGTACCAAGGCAGTAACATTTGCTCCCTGTGGCCCCAGGAAGCAGCACGGAGGAGACAGGGAGTGGCAGTCCCACCATGGAGACTGAGCAGGGGCACATCTCGTGTGTACTCATATCCACCCTCACACACCTGGTATACATTGAGCTCCAGCAGCAGTTTCTGGGGATGTGAAGCTTCTCTGTCTCCACCTCCAGTCCAGCTCTGAGGGGACCAGCCCTTGCACCTCCCCTTGCTGTCCCAGTGCCTGCACAGGAACAAAGTATGACCTCGCTTAGGAAACCTGCCTAGCCCTCGCTTCTCCTAGTCCCTGCCCCAGGGCACAGAGTCCTGGCATCTCTACTCCCTGTGCTGTGGAGGAGGAGGCTCTGCTGCATACCATGTTTGGGGAAACGATTGCCCACACAACCATGTGTTTGGCTGAGCAAGCTCTCCAGGCCCACAGCTAGCCTGCTCAGAATGCCAGTAAGTCCTCATTCATACCAAGTCCTCTTCCTCTGCTGGGGAGCTTTTTCGCCTGAGATCCCAGGCTCCACACATCACCTGTCCACGCAGTCTGCCTAAATCCTGGCCAGGAAAAACGTGGTGGGAGTGTCAGAGGAGGACTGTGTGAGGGGGAGTGCAGTGGATCATTTAGAGGGTGTGGGTTGTTTTAAATCATAAAACAGCAGTTTTGCATTCTTCCCTCTGCCCCAGTTGCCTTGGGCATTATCGCAGACAACCTGTCACACAGGTTTCTTTGTTTAAAACTTCTATGGTATTGTTGGAATTCAGCAAAGCCCAGGTAAACTGTGCCAACCAACGGACTGAGCCAAGAAACGGAGATCCCCACACCACAGGCCTAACTCTCCCTCCATGGCCTCAACACCAGCACACACCTGCACTGTGAGGCACCTGCAGAGCCCCTTCCTGCCCAGGCAGCCTCTGGAACTCAAGATGGTGTCCACGTGCAGGAGCCGCATCCCCAGGCGCCCAGCCCCCTGGACTTACAGCAGCCTGTAGAGAGCACCTCAGGCCAGCAGCCTTCTAGTACTGTCAGCGAGACAGCCAGAGAAGTGGGCCAAGGGAATGGCCTGCAGAAGGCCCAGGCTCATGACGGAGCTGGTCTGAAGCTGGTAGTTTCCTCACCCACCAGTCCGGTGAGTGGTGCAAGCCGTTCAGGGGGCGGTCTTGGGAAATGTCAGCTGACACAGGGTTTCCCCAGCTAGTGACCCTGAGTGGTCTCTGCCTTCTCCCTGTTAGCCTTCCTCTCCCTGCATAGTGATAGTGTTAATAGCATCATGATGATGGGGCTCATGTTTCTTGGCATGTGAGCTGTAGATATAAGCCCGGCTGTTTCTTGGCATGTGAGCTATAGATATAAGCCCGGCACTGTGCTGATCACTTCCCGTGTGTATCTCCTGTCATTTTCACGTCACTTTGTGAAGGTCGTTCTCAGTCTGACCGCAGTCTCAGCTCTTTAACCACTACCACTCACCAGCATAAGGCCTTGGGCAAGTCACTTCAGCTCTCTGAACCTTCATTTCCTCCTTAGTACTTGTTATTATTAAATTAATATTTTTTGATTTTTGGTTTTTGGTATTTTTTTCAGATGGAGTCTTGCTCTGTTGCCCAGGCTGGAATGCAGTGGCACAATCTCTGCTCACTGCCACCTTCGCCTCCTGGGTTCAAGCAATTCTCCTGCCTCAGCCTCCTGAGTAGCTGGGATTACAGGTGCCCACCTCCATGTCTGGCTAAGTTTTGTATTTTTAGTAGAGATGGGGTTTCACCATGTTGGCCAGGCTGGTCTCGATCTTCTTGCCTGGGCCTCCTGAAGTGCTGGGATTACAGGCATGAGCTGGTGCACTCAGCCTATTAAATTAATATTTTTAGAAAATACTAGGCCTTGAACATACTCACTTTGCAACATGACCCAGGTTTTAGAGCCGTGCTGTCCAATATGGCAGCTACAAGCCACGTGTGGCTGTTGTACACTTAAAATGTGGCAAGTCCAAATGGAGATGTGCCATGTGAAATAAGCGCTGGATTTCAATAACTTAGTATGATAAAAGAATAGAAAATCTCATTTTTATGGATTACAAGTTAAAATGAAAATATTTGGGGGCTGGGCATGGTGGCTCACACCTGTAACCCCAGCGCTTTGGGAGACCAAGAGGGAGGATTGCTTGAGCCCAGGAGTTGGAGACCAACCTGGGTAACAAAGTGAGACCCCATCTGTACAAAAAATACAAAAATTAGCTGGGCATGGTGGTGTGTGGCTGTACATATAGCATGAGGCTGTAGTTAATTCTTTTCCATTGTTCTGCAGTATTCCATTGTAAAAATATATCGCAACCTATTATCCATTCTCCCGTTAATGGACATTTGGGTTGTTTCCAGGTTTTGACTATTATGAAGAAAGCTGTAGTGAACATTCTCATACATGCTTTTGGAGAAACTCGGTGCTTATTTCTGTGGGTATATATACCTGGGAATGGAATTGCTAGGTCCTTGGGTGGCTTATGTTTAGCTTTAATAGATACCACCACCAAACAGTTTTCTAAAGTGTTTGTGCTAATTTATACTCATATTGGCAACAAATGAGCATTCTAGTTGCTCTTTATCCTGGCCAATGGTGTTACCAATCTTTTTAATTTTAGCCACTCTGGTAGATGTGTAGTGGTTTTAATTTTCATATCCTTGATGACTAAATGATGATACCTTTTCATTTGCTTATTGGCCAGTCAATCCTCTTTTATAGAATGTCTGTCCAAGTTGTCATTCTGGTCTTAAATTGAGTTGTATGTGTATGTGTTGATTTGTAGGAACTCTTTATATATTACAGATATAAGTCTTTCATTGGACAAAAACTATATTTATCAAGTATCTTTTTCTAGTCTATAGGGCTTGACTTTTAAACCTCCTAATGGTATTTTTATTGAACAGAGGTTCTTTTAATGATGTGCAGTTTATCAGTCTTTTTGTTTATGGTTTGCTTGGTTTTTGTCCCATTTAAGAGATACTCATCTCCCCCCAAGGATCTGAAGGTATTTGCCTATATTATCTTCTAGAAGCTTTAGTGATTTATCTTTCACAATTAGGTTTATGATCTTTCTGGGATTAATTTTTATGTGTGGTGTTAGAAGTCAAACCTCATATTTTTCCATATGGATATCTGATTGGCCTCGCTCTGTTTCTTGAATATGACCATGTAAATCACAAAACCGTCAGTGTGGGTCAGAGTCTTCGAATTTGCTATCCTGAAGATGCTTCAGTACATCCTGAAGATTTACTTCCTGAAAATGAATGCTCTAGGACCCTGAAGGTTGTGACTGTGCACCTGCCAACTCAAGCTGAAGGCTGAAGAGGAAAGCTCTGCAGCCCCTTCCTCAAGCTGGAGGCAGAGTGACGTCTGCTGGGGATGCAGGCTGTGCGCCCCACAGGACTCCAGAGTGGCACTAAGCATGTTGAGTTCACTCCTGCCCATGGTCTAGCTTCTGCTTTGCAGGCTCAGGCATCTTATCTTGCCAGGGCCTCAAAGCTGGTGGGACAGAATAGCATCTTTGCTCACTAAGCTCTGACCCACCGGCCTCCTTGCAGCTCTGTAGTCCAAGCGAACTCCTTCCAACATCAGGCTTCTTTGAAAAAAAAATTTTTTTTTGAGGCAGAGTCTCACTCTGTCACCCAGGCTGAAGTACAGTGGTGCAATCTCAGCTCACTGAAACCTCCGCCTCCTAAGTTCAACTTATTCTTATGCCTCAGCCTCCCAAGTAGCTGGGATTACAGATGCCTACCACCATGCCCAGCTAATTTTTGTATTTTTACAAAATTATGGGGTTTCACCATGTTGACCAGGCTGGTCTCAAACTCCTGGCCTCAAGTGATCTGCCCACTTTGGCCTCCCAAAGTGCTGGGATTACAGGCATGAGCCACCGTGCCCGGCCCAGCTTCAGGGTTTTACATTTGCTGTTCCTTCTTTCCCGACTCACTTCATTGTTGTCTCAGCCTTCCCTGACCGGACCCCCGTAGCTCAAAAGCACCATCCCCAGTGACTCTCTGTCCCATTCATCTGCTTGACTTCGCTTATAACACTCATCACTATGTGCAATTACAGTATATTATCTCTTTGTCTCCTTGTTTATTTTCTGTCTTCCTTACTAGAATATTAGCTCTATGATACAGAGCACCAGGCCTGTTCACTTCTGTATTGTCAGCACCAAGCACTGTACCTGGGAGAAAGTAGGCATGGATGAATAGTTCTTGAACTCCCAAGAGACTCTTGAGATGCCAATTCCTAAGTTTATTTTGTTCCCCCATCCTAGCTATAACGCTGTTTGGAATGGTTCTTTTTCTTGGTATCTCCAGCAAGTACCTGGCCCAGAATCATACAAGATGTGTGAATAAATCATGACCATCCCAATGTCTTTAATATAAAATAACAAAGATAAGTCAAGGGGACTTGAAGGAAGGAGACAAATGTGAAACTTAAGATTATGGACGTTCAGGCGAGGCGTGATAGCTCACGCCTCTAATCCTAGCAATTTGGGAGGCCAAAGTGGGTCAGCGAAGTGTACCATCGAGTGGACAGGGTGGTCAGGTTGGTGTGATCATGGCAGGCTCTGCCTCTGTGCCAGCTACAGGGGACTCTGATTGCTGGAAGGTTGCTTAGCGAATGTGACATCTAAGCGCTTGGTGCTGAGTCCGATGTGAGAATCTCGGATCCTGCCCCCGTCCTGTGTCTGTCTCACAGGGAAGTTGTGGATTCATTCACTGCTTATTCAGTAGGTAGTCACCAGGTGCCACTGAATAGCCTGCCAGCTCATGTGGGCCTGCTGGGCTCCTGGCCTGTGGACAGTGCCAGGCTGTGCCCTGCATATCTGCCCCTGTGGTCCTCATCTTTCTATACTTCTATCAGTTAGCCACGTGCTTTTTATTTGATGTTATTTTGGGGGAGATGTTGGGGTCACTGTCAAGTTTTATAGTGTAGAGGCCCATTCAGTCTTTCTTTTAAAAACATTTATTTTTAATTCATTGAACCCAAAGCACCTACTATAAGCCAAGCACCATGTTAGGTCCTAGGGGTAGAGTGATACAACAGGACAGACAAAGGCTCTTTGGGGACAGACATTAAATTAGACAAATGATTATCCACATCATAATTACACTTGTGCTAAGCACTGGGAAGGAGAGGTGCAGGGAATAGGGGCCTCTCAAGGGTGACGCATGTCTGGGATCTGGGGGTTGTGAGTTGGTTTCAGTTTAACTCCCAAAAGGCAGTGTGAGTTCTAGGACTTGCTCTTAATCACTGCCCCCATGGACCACCTGCCCATGGTATGTGGTTCCCCTTCCACAGTTATGAGTACAGGCAGTTCCTTTGCCTGGCATAATGAGGACTGGCTGGACAAAGTCTCATCCTTCTGAAAGTGTCCCAGAGACCTTCGTCTCACTCCTCAGCCACATTCCTCTTGGGGATTCAGCTGTTGTATATGGTGTCATGAGCCCTTTAGTAACGCAAGGTGGCATTTCTCTGTCTTGGGTCCCTGGTGGCAGTTGCAGCTCTGGTATAGATCCTTAGTCGGTGATGGTTTCTCTCCACTGTTAAAGGGCAGGGTGCTGGCCAGACATGGACCCTGAGTGAGCAGGTTGTCGGAAGGTGGTGGGAAAAAAGGAGAGAAGGGGTCCAGGTGCGGTGGCTCACGCCTGTAATCCCAGCACTTTGGGAGGCTGAGGCAGGTGGATCACCTGAAGTCGGGAGTTTGAGACCAGCCTGAACAATATGGTGAAACCCCGTCTGTACTAAAAATACAAAAATTAGCCGGGCATGATGGCGTGAGCCTGTTATCCCAGCTACTCAGGAGGCTGAGGCAGGAGAATCACTTGAAACTGGGAGGCAAATGTTGCAGTGAGCTGAGATCACACCACTGTGATCCAGCCTGGGCAACAGAGTAAGACTCCATCTCTAAAAGAAAAAAAGGAGAGAAGAGAGAAACAGTGGTGTTCATGCGTGCACTCTCTCTCACACCCTCTCTCTGCTCCCCACCCGCCTGGGGCCAGGGGCACACAGCCTCAGAGCTCTGTCCAGGCCCATGTGCAGAAGCTCCGAGGAACCTGCATTTCCACTGTTTTTTCCCTGTTGCTTAAGAGAGTAAAAGATGTTCCCTAGTTTCATTTCCTGGCAGCTGTGCTCAATGGACTGTGTCTGAACATTTCCTAGTAGTGTTTTTCCTCAAAGGAGAGAGAAGTCCTCCCCAGTGAATGTCCATAAACTTTTTTTTTTTTTTTGAGACAGACTCTTGCGCTGTTGCCCAGGTGGGAGTGCAATAGCTCCATCCATCTCGGCTCACTGCAACCTCTGCCTCCAAGGCTCAAGCAATTCTTGTGCCTCAGCCTCCCGAGTAGCTGAGATTACAGGCATGCACCACCATGCCCAGCTAATTTTTGTACTTTTAGTAGAGATGGGGTTTCTCCATGTTGGCCAGGCTGGTCTCAAACTTCTGGCCTCAAGCAATTTTCCTGCCTCGGCCCCCCAAAGTGCTGGGATTACAGGCATGATCCATCACGCCCATTCTGAATGTCCATAATCTTAAAATTTACATTTGTCTCCTTCCTTCCAGTCCACTTGACCCACCTTTGTTATTTTATGTTAAAGACATTGGGATGGTCATGATTTATTCCCTCATCTTGTATGACTCTGGCAGGCACTTGCTGGAGATATCAAGAAAACCATTCCAAACAGCCTTATAGATGCTAGAATGAGGGTAAGCACAGAATATTGTGGGATCCCAGTAGGGGCCCTAACCCAGCTAGGGGGTGGGAAGGGGTGGAGGCTGGGGAAGGGTGAGAGAAGCTTCCAGGCAGAGGCGATGGATGTCTCCTGAGCTGAGTCTTCAGGGACAGTGCCCTCTCCCACCAGGCGCTGGAGATCACACAACTTCCCAGGTATATGTGAGGCTGCCAGGACAGCCACATGGTTGCCAGGGAGCTGTTTCTCCCACCCATTTTCCTCAGGGAGGTCCCCCAGTTCTTGATGACCTAGGCAGGCTTTGCTCAGAATCTAGTGTTGTGGATGGTCCCCAGTGGCTGCCCTGACTGACACATCATCTGTCACTGGCAGGGGGGAAGCACCTGCCAATTCTGAAGGCCCCATGGAGGAGTCTCTGGGGACCTAGTTCTGTGAGCCACCCCTCAAGTTGCCTGAGTCAGAACTTGCCACCCTTGGCTTGAGGAGTCGTGTAGCATCTGAATGGATCCAACTGTCCAAACCAACCCTTCCCTGTTTACAAAGCAGGGAGTGCACTCTTGATTCAGGGACTGGAAATAGCGATGTCAGGGTGAGGTTAGTGGCACTTCACAAAACAGCGGGGCTGGTCCCACTGCTTGTGTGACTCATTTCCTCTGTGTACACAGCCACTTAGAGTTGGCCCAGCCAGCTTCCTTGCCTCTGCCCTTCCATGTTGAGGCACAGAATGCCAGGGAGGACTTGAAATACTGGAGAAAAGGAACCAGAATCCACTCCCACAAGCCCACTCACCCCAGATGCTCCCCGCAACCCCATCTTCCCCAGCCAATGAGCAGCTTCAGATTCAAAAGAGAACAACGAAGGGAAGGGGCAGGGCCTGGCTGCCTGGGGTCGCAGGGGCCTGCACAGAAGTGGGCGGCAGAGACAGAGGCGGCCAATGAGGACCCTGAGGCCTGCTCGCCAGGACTCCCTCATCTCAAACCCAAAAGCAGGACTGAGAAACCCTACATGCTGGGACAGCTGAATACCCACATGCAAAATAATAACACCCCTTCCTTACACCTTACACAAAAACTAACTCAAAATGGACCAGAAACCTAAATGTAAGAGCTAAAACTATATAGCTCTTGGCAGAAAACACAGAAGTGAATCTTTGTGATACTGACTTAGGCAATGGTTTTTTAAGATGCAACACCAGAAGCACAAAAACAACAACAAAAATAGATAAACTAGACTTTATCAAAACTAACAATTTATGTGCTCCAGAGGGCACACCATCCGGAAAATGAAAAGACACCTCACAGAATGGGAGAAATTATTTGCAAATCATAAATCTGATAAGGGTCTCGTATTCAGAATATATAAAGCACCTTACAACTTGAATTAGTCCCTAGGGCCGCCATAACAAAGTACCATACACAGGGTGGTTTAAAACAACAGACATTGGCTGGGCGCAGTCGCTCATGCCTGCAATCCCAGCACTTTGGGAGGCCGAGGCGGGCGGATCATGAGGTCAGGAGATCGAGACCATCCTGGCTAACATGGTGAAACACCGTCTCTACTAAAAATACAAAACAGAAATTAGCTGGGCGTGGTGGCAGGCACCTGTAGTCCCAGCTACACAGGAGGCTGAGGCAGGAGAATGGCATGAACCCGGGAAGCGGAGCTTGCAGTGAGCCAGGATTGTGCCACTGCACTCCAGCCTGGGCGACAGAGCAAGACTCTGTCTCAACAACAACAAAACAAAAAACAAAAACAGACATTGCTGGGCAGGTGGCTCATGCCTGTGACCTCAGCACTTTGGGAGGCAAGGGTGGGCGGATCACTTGAGTCCAGGAGTTCAAGACCAGCCTGGCCAACATGGTGAAACCCCATCTCTACTAAAAATATAAAAAATTTGCTGGGCGTGCTGGTGCATGCCTGTAGTCTCTGCTATTCAGTGGGGCTAAAGCAGGAGGATTGCTTGAGCCTGGGCAGTCAAGGCTGCAATGAGCCCTGATTGCACCACTGTACTCCAGTCTGGGCAAAGAGCGAGACCCTGCCTCAAAACAAAACAAAATAGGCCAGGCACAGTGGCTCACGCCTGTAATCCCAGCACTTTGGAAGGCTGAGGCAAGTGGGTCACCTGGGGTCAGGAGTTCAAGACCAGCCTGGCCGACAAGGTTTTGTCTCTACTAGAAATACAAAAATTAGCCGGGCATGGTGGCAAGCATCTGTAACCCCAGCTACTCGGGAGGCCGAGGCAGCAGAATTGCTTGAACCTGGGAGGCGGGGGTTGCAGTGAGCTGAGATTGCACCATTGCACTCCAGCCTGGGTGACAGAGTGAGGTTCTGTCTCAAAAACAAAACAAAACTGGTATTTATTCTCTGATCGTTCTGGAGGCTCCTTCTGGAGAATCTAAGGAAGAATCTGTTCCCGCCTTTCTCCTGGGTTTTGGCGTTGCAGGTGCTCGTTTGCATTCCTTGGCTTGTAGACATGTCACTCCGGTCTCCCCTCTGCTGTCACACATGTTCTGCTGTCATACAAGTTCTTCCTCTGTATCTCTGTCTTCACTTGGTGTTCTCCTCTCTTTGTGTATCTTTTCTCCTCCTCTTATAAGGACATCAGTCATACTGGATGAACAGCCCATTCTACTCCAACATGACCTCATCTTAACTAATTACTTCTGCAAAGACTATATTTCCAAAAAAGGTCACATTCTGAGGTACTGGGGGGTAGGGTTTCAACATGTCCTTTTGTGGGGGGGTCACAATTCAACCCACAACACAACTCAGCAACAAAAAGACAGCCCCATTTTAAGACAGACAATGGATTTGAGTAGATTCCAATGGATTTGGATAGATTTCCCAAGGAGAGAAATTGGAACCCTCGTACATTGCTGGTGGGAATATAAAATGGTGCGGCCACTTTGGAAAACAGCTTGGTAGTTCCTCAAGAAGGGAAACATAGAGTTACACATGACCCAGCAAGTCTACTCCTAAGTATATACCCAAGACAATGAAACATGTCTACACAAAAACTTGTGTATAAGTGATCATAGCAGCACTATTCATAATTGACAAAAAGTAGAAACAACCCAAATGTCCATCAGCCGAGGAGTGGATAAGCCAAATGTGGTGGATCGAGACAATGGAATATTATTTGGCAATAAAAAGGAATGAACACTTAAACATGCTTATATAACATGGATGCACCTTGAAAACCTTCCACTAAGAGAAAGAAGCCAGGCACAAAAGGTCACATGTCATATGGTTCCATCTATATGAGATATCCAGAACAGGCAGGTGTGTAGGGACCGAAAGTAGATAAGTAGGTGCCTAGAGCTGAGAGTGGCCAGGGGAAATGGGGATGATGGCTAATGGGTATGGGGTTTCCATTTTGGGTGAGGAAAATTTGCTAAACTTAGGTGGTGGTGACGATTGCCCAACTCTGACTAAGCCAAAATGTTTGAATTGGACACTTTATTTATTTATTTTTTTAGAGATGGGGTCTCATTCTGTTGCCTAGGCTGCAACCAGGCTGGAGGGCAGTGGCGTGATCACGGCTCACTGCAGCCTTGACCTCCCTGGCTCAAGCGATTCTCACTCTTCAGCCTCCTCAGTAGCTGAGACTACAGGTGTGTGCCATCACACCCAGCTAGTTATTTTTTGTAGAGATGGGTTCTCACTGTGTTGCCCAGGTTGGTCTCAAACTCCTGGGCTCAGGTGATCCTCTCACCTCAGCCTCCCAAAGTGCTGGGATTACAGGTGTGAGCCACCATGGCTGGCCGAATTACATACTTTAAGTGGGTTAATTTTATGATATAAGAGCCATATCTAGATAAAGACTTAAAAAAAAAAAAAAAAACTTCAGGCTGGGCACAGTGACTCACACCTGTAATCCCAACACTTTGGGAGGCCGAGGCAGGTGGCTCACCTGAAGTCAGGAGTTCTAGACCAGCCTGGCCAACATGGTGAAACCCCGCCTCTACTAAAAATACAAAAATTAGCTGGGCATGGTGGTGGGTGCCTGTAATCCCAGCTACTTGGGAGACTGAGGCAGGAGAATCGCTTGAACCCAGGAGTCAGAGGTTGCAGTGAGCCAAGGTTGCGCGATTACACTCCAGCCTGGGCAACAGAGCGAGACTCCGTCTCAAAACAAAAAAACTTTAAAACAAACAACTGTTGTCTTCTTTCCCAACAGAAAAACAAGAGCTGGATCTCAGAGGATGACTTCTACCGGCCTTCCCGGGAGCAACCCCTGAAGAGTGCTTCAGACCACCCAATAGCTTCTTACAGGGGGACTCCAGAGTCAAGGCCTGGTCTCCACAGGCATTTTTCTCAAGAACCAAGAAAAAACTGCTCCCTGGGGGCGTTAGACCAAGCGTGTGTACCTTCCCCAGGAAGAAGGCAAGCCCAGGCAGCCCCATCCCAGGGGCATAAGAGTTTCCAGGTGGTACACCGGAGGCAGATGGGTAGGTGACCAGGAGGGTCCCGGGTGGGTCCCATCTGCAGGGACCAGGCCTTTCAGAAGGCAGCTGTGAAGTTCTGTTTTCCATTGCTAAAGGGGTAGTGTGTTCCCACAAGTGTTATAAAACCTCATTCCAGAATGCCATCATAATCATGTTCATTCAGGGAAGCATTTCAGGAAAAGTAGTATATTGTCTCAAAACTGCCTACAGAGGACAAAAATACTGTTTCACCAGTCAAATAGGAAAATATTTTCCCTGAAAACTATGCAATTTATGATTATAGAAAACTCTTGATTCCACCTGTAGCTCAGAGCACATCCAGCCCCATGAAGCCCCAGGTGTTTTAAATGGTCCTTCCAAACGTGTTTACCCTCAGTAGTTGGTTTATGTAACAGCTCTGGGTGGCTTGATCAAATCTGCTATTTGTTTTGTTTGTTTGTTTGTTTTGAGATGGAGTCTCCCTTTGTCGCCTAGGCTGGAGTGCAGTGGCATGATCTCTGCTCACTGCAACCTCAGCCTCCTGGGTTCAAGCAATTCTCCTGTCTCAGCCTCCCAAATAGCTGGGATTACAGGCACCTGCCACCACACCTGGCTAATTTTTGCTTTTTTTTTTTTTTTTTTTTGAGGTGGAGTTTCCCTTTTGTTGCCCAGGCTGGAGTGCAATCATGTGATCTCAGCTCACCACAACCTCCGCCTCCCGTGTTCAAGCAATTCTTCTGCTTTAGCCACCCGAGTAGTTGGGATTACAGGCATGAGCCACAATGCCTGGCTCATTTTGTATTTTTAGTAGAGACGGGGTTTCTCGAAATTGGTTAGGCTGGTCTCCAACTCCCGACCTCCGGTGATCCACCCGCCTCGGCCTCCTAAAGTGCTGGGATTACAGGCATGAGCCACTGCGCCCGGCCAATTTTTACATTTTTAATAAAGATGGTGTTTTGCTATGTTGGCCAGGCTGGAGGATCTGCTATTTGTTTAATGTCCTCCAGTGCTTCCTTTTTTTTTTTTTTTTTTTCTGAGGCAGAGTCTTGCTCTGTCACCCAGTCTGGAGTACAGTGGTATAATCTCAGCTCACTGCAGCCTTTGCCTCCCAGCTCAAGTGCCTCAGTCTCCCCAGGAGCTGGGATTACAGACATGCACTGCCACACCCAGGTGATTCTTGTATTTCCAGTGGACATAGGATTTTGCCATGTTGGCCACGCTGGTCTGAACTCTTGGCCTCATGTGATCCACCCACCTTGGCCTCCCAAAGTGCTGGGATTACAGGTGTGAGCCACCATGCCCGACCTCCCCAGTGCTTTTTACAGCAAGGTCAGCTTGATCTCCACACACTGAAATTCCAGAAAGCCTTAAATAACCATAACCAAATTTTTCAGTAACCCTCATGATGGGTTTCCTCTTCAAAACAAACAAAAAAAGTACGCTCTAGAATTGGTCTCTTTCTCTCCTCATTTTCTGTTTGCAGTGACCCAGCAGAGAATCCTGCCCAGCTCAGGGGGCCTTGCTGTGGGTAGCCCTGGCATGGGTTGTGTGGGTAGAGCCCAGTCTCCGGGCTGGCTTCTGTTAGGTTTGTCTGTCGGCCCGTGTGATGGCTGTGGTCTCTAACCTGCCAGCGAAGCTGTGCTTCAGGTCTAGGCCATCAGGTTTCTTGAGGGGTAGGGAACCCCCATAGAATAGTGTGAAATCTCCAAGGCTATTCCAGGCTGGCGGAGAGAGAATTGTGTGTCCTTTGGACACTCTGGTTGTTGTCACACCCCAGGCAGCAGGGAGCTTTGGGCAACATGTGATACATAGGCACTCACCTGCTCATTCATTCAGCAAATATTATTGAGGCTCTGTGATGTGCCAGGCACTGTTCTAAGTGCTGGGGACATAGCAGGCAGCAAAGCAGTGGCCCTGTCTTCATGGGATTTAGATTCTAGTAGAGGAGACGGGAAATAAAATTAACAAGTAAGCATAGTGTGTGGTCAGGTGGTAATAAGTGCTATGGAGGACAGTAAATCTCTACCTGTCTACAGAGGTAGAGAGTGGACCACTGCATATAGGATGGCCAGAAAAGCCCTCACCAATAAGGGGATGTTTGAGGAGATGCGAGGGGAGAGAGGGAAGGAGTCATGAGGCAATGTACGTGTTTCAAGCAAGGAGAACAAATGCAAAGACCCTGCGCTGGGGCTGCGCTTGACACATCCAGGGACAGTGGAGACCAGAGTGGCAGGAGAGAGGAGATGGGGGTGTGGCAGTGAGCGACGAGGTCAATCTGACGAGGCCTGTGGGCCACTGGAAGCACTTTGGCTTCAGCTAAGGGAGATGGCAGCCACTGTGGAGTTTTGGGGCAGGGGGACATGCTCTGACTTCCCTTTAAATGGGTCATGATGGCTCCTACGTTGAGGGACTACGGGGAGAAGGGGAGAAAGACCAGTTAGGAGGTTGTCATCACAAGCCAGGCCAGAGATGACAGTGGGTGGGGTGCGGCTGGGGAGAGGCGGGGATTCCGGATGTGTGGAAGGCAGAGCCAATGGGATTTGCTGATGTAGGCTGCGAAAGAAAGAAAACCTGGGGTAACACCAAGATTTTTAGCCCAAGCATCTGGAAGGATGAATTTTGCTATTTGGTGAGATGAGGACCATTCAGGAGGAAGCAGGCTGGCAGCAGGAATTCATCCTGGACATGTCAGCTGAGATCCTAGTGGACATGTATGGCACAGGTGGATATATGAATGTGGATTTCAAGAACAAGGTCCAGGCTGGCGATAAAAATTGGGAGCTAAAGCCTGAGAGCAGGTAGAGTGGTGAGAAAGTGGCATCTACAGAGAGGAGACAAGGACCCAGGACTGACATCTGGGCACTCTAACGTGAGAGGCCACAGGGAGGACCGAGCCAGAGAGATAGAAGGGTGGGGGCGAGGGCTGAGGAGTGGCCTTGGGGGTTGGCAACGAGGAGGGCATTGACCATCTCAGAAGCAGTGTCAGTAGAATGAGGGGAGAGAAGCCTACTTGGAGCAGGTTTGAGAAGGAATGGGAGCAGGGAAACTAGAGACCAAGAGGTTTTTTGTTTTGTTTGAGACGGAGTCTCACTCCTCTGTCACCCAGGCTGAAGTGCAGTGGAGTGACCTCAGCTCACTGCAATCCCCTGCCTCCCCGGTTCAAGCCATTCTCCTGCCTCAGCCTCCCTAGTAGCTGGGATTACAGGTGCTCACCACACCTGGCTAATTTTTGTATTTTTAGTAGAGATGGGGTTTCACCGTGTTGACCAAGCTGGTCTCAAACTCCTGACCTCAAGTGATCCACCCACCTCAGCCTCCCGAAGTGCTGGGATTACAGGCGTGAGCCACCGCTTCCGGCCAAGATGAACAGTTTTGATGCCTCTTCAAACAGGTTTTCTGTAAAGGGGCCTGAGAAACATGGTGGTCATTAGGGAAGTGCGTGGAGATGAGAGGTATTTCTAAAGATGGGAGAAATGACAGCGTGCATGTGTGCCGATGGGAGTCACCCCATAGAGAAGGAAGAAAGCAGCGACAGAGGAGAGAAGGACTGCTCCTTGTCCTTGAGTAGTTGGCCAAGGGAGAGACCTCCTGCACAAATGGAGGGTTTGGCCTCACGCAGAAAGAAGCACACTTGGTTCATCCCTGGCAACAGGAGGGAAGGCGTGGGTGTAGGGAACAGGGCGTGTGGAGGTGATCTTTTGGGTGCTCTTATTTTCTCAGTGAAATACAGGATGCAAGAGCAGCAGTGGACGGTGAGAATGGGGATGTTCCCATCCAGCTTTCAGGGTCCCATGTGATAGTGCCCCGTGGCTGGCCTGTGTTCTGGGGACAGTCACTGGCCACATGCACTGCAGGGCATCAGGCAGCAGAGGCTGCCTTGGGCAGGACAGAGACAGGCCCGCCAACTAATGTGCCCCTTTTTGCCTCTGCCTCCAGGACTGTCCAACCCATTCCAGGGTCTCATGAAGCTGGGCACCGTGGAGCGGCAGGGGGCAATGGGCATCTGGAAGGAGCTCTTCTGCGAGCTCTCCCCACTGGAGTTCCGCCTCTACCTGAGCAACGAGGAGCACACCTGTGTGGAGAACTGCTCCCTGCTTCGCTGTGAGTCTGTGGGGCCAGCCCACAGTGACGGGCGCTTTGAGCTGGTCTTCTCTGGCAAGAAGCTGGCCCTGCGCGCCTCCTCCCAGGACGAAGCTGAGGACTGGCTGGACCTGGTGCGGGAGGCCCTGCAGAAGGTCCGGCCTCAGCAGGAGGATGAGTGGGTGAACGTGCAGTACTCAGACCAGCCTGAGGAACCCCCCGAGGCGCCCCAGGGCTGCCTCTCTCCCTCAGACCTGCTCTCGGAGCCCGCGGCCCTCCAGGGCACACAGTCTGACTGGTCGTCCGCCCAGGTTCCAGAGCTAGATGCCATCAAGGAGTCCCTGCTGTACTTGTACATGGACAGGACCTGGATGCCCTATATATTTTCTCTGCCCTTGGAGGCTCTGAAATGTTTCCGCATCAGGAACAATGAGAAGATGCTGAGTGACAGCCACGGCGTGGAGACCATCCGGGACATCCTGCCAGACACCAGCCTTGGGGGCCCATCCTTCTTCAAAATCATCACGGCCAAGGCTGTCCTGAAGCTGCAGGCCGGAAACGCCGAGGAAGCCGCCCTGTGGAGGGATCTGGTCCGCAAAGTCCTGGCATCCTACTTGGAGACAGCCGAGGAGGCGGTGACCCTGGGCGGGAGCCTGGATGAAAACTGTCAGGAGGTGCTGAAATTTGCCACCCGGGAGAATGGCTTCCTGCTGCAGTACCTGGTGGCCATCCCCATGGAGAAAGGCCTTGACTCCCAAGGCTGCTTCTGCGCAGGTGCCGACTTGCTCTGCTGCCACCCCCAGCCTGCCAGCCTCACTCCGCCTCCTGCTGGTTCCTGATTTAGGCTCCCCACCCTTCTGCCTCCCCGCAAATGCCCCCATCCTTCCCCTAGGGATGAGGCCACAGATCAGGCTTGCCCTACAGCTTCTGCTCCTCCCCAGCCCCGGCTGGGGCCAGTGCCCTGCTCATAGGCAGTGGGCCCTGCTCACCCGTCCCTCTCCTGGCACCTCCCACTGATGGGCCACAGGCTGGCTAGTCACTGCGCTGCTCAGGGAGTCCCAGCCTGCTTCATTTTCTTCTTGCTCTACTGTCCTGTTCTTTCAGAGCAGGGGCATGGTTTCCTTCCAAATATTTCTGCTGCTTTTCTAAGTGTACACCCTTTTTTTTTAATTACAAAAATGGGCTCGTGCTATTCAGTGCTGTCCAATAGAACTTTCTGTGATGATGAAAATGTCCTAGATCTGTGTGTCCAGTGCCATAGCTGCGAGCCATGTAGTGCTACCAGGTGCTTAAAGTGTGGCTAGTGTGGTTAAGCAACTGAATTTTCCATTTAAATTCATACATTTAAAGGGGACACACGGGGCTCTTGGCTGCTGTGTTGAATGCTGGATATATTGTTCCACAACTTGGTTTTTTCCTACACTGTGGATGTTATTCCAAATCAGTACATCTGCTATGTCTTCCTCATCATCAAATCTAATACTTCTGTGCTGGGCACTGGGCCAGCTGCTTTATTTGGATTATCTCATTTAAGTCTCATAACAACCCTGTAGAGATAGGCGCTACTATTATCATCTCTGTTGATAGGGGAGGAAATTGAAGCACAGAGCTGGTAAGTACCTGGTTGGTGTCTGCTACTGAGCTCACACAGCTAGTAAGTGGCAGAGGCAGAATTTTCCTTTTTTGTTTGTTTGTTTGTTTGTTTTAGTAGAGATGGGGTCTCCCCCTGTTGCTCAAGCTAGTCTTGAACTCCTAGGCTCAAGTGATCCTCCTGCTTCAGCCTCCCAAAGTGCTGGGATTACAGATATCAGCAACCATGCCTGGCCAGAGGCAGAAATGGGACCCTGACAGTCAGGCCCCAGAGCCTTTGCTCATAGGCAGGACCCTAGAGGGCATCCCTCTAGGGTCTTATTCAAGGTTGAGTGACATCCCCCTGCCCATGTTCCATTGTTAGCTCCTCCCACTCCCCCCACCATCCAGAGGCAGATGGCATCCCATCACCATGGGACCCTTAGGTGACCTGTGAGGGGGTTGTCCTGCTGCAGAAGGCCAGAGCAAGAAGCTGAGCCTTGGTTTGGGAGCTGTCCTGTTGGCACAGACTGGAGGGAAGCCTGTTTCAAGCGTCTGAAAGGAAGCAGTCTGCGGTTGGCCCCGGGAGGATGGGAGAAGCTAGGCAGAACAGAGCTTCCTGCAGAAAACACCTGCAAGCCTCGCTTGACCTCTCCCCCGCCTGCCCCAGCACTCACACTTTGCTCTTCAGCCTGTGGAGGCCAGGCTCTGAGGGGGCCAGGACTCCAGGGCTTGCAAGAAAGGGTTCCTCGCCTGTGGGTGTGAATGCTGCGGGGGCAACTCTCACCATGGCTGCCACCCACCAGCGGGTGGGACTGTGCCACCGGGGAGTTTGGGTTTCCTTTCTACCCAGCAGGCATGGCTCAGTGGCAGACACCAACCACTGGCATCTGGGTTGTATTTCATAATTTGCAGGGTACTTGCAGAACCTTGTCTCATTTAAGCTTTGTAATAACCCCACAAAATAGCTGGTAGTAGCTGAATTTTACAGTCACTGAAATGGAACCTTGAAGAAATCAGGTGAAGGTCAGGGTGAGGCAGCGGGTGAGGAGCAGAGCCCGCCCTCTGGTCCCAAGGCCCGGGGACCCTTCTGCCTGCCCCTGGAGGAGTTACGGCACATGTTCAGGGTTTGAGTCAGGGCCTCTGCTTTTTGCCCAGGGCACATCCCACTCCCATTCCCACTGGCCCCGGCTGTGGAGACACCTCCAACCAAGGGGGCTGAAGCCAGCCCTGCCCCACAGTCCCGAGGCATCAGATACTGTGCACGCTCCCCTGCCCCCTGCTGGCTACCCATCCACTCCCTGTTGCCAGCCCCGACCCCGGTCCCTGTCCCCCAGCTACTTCACTGCTTGCCACAGCCCCTACTCTGCTGCTTCCATTATGGGGCCCGAGTGGAGGGGTGGACCTAGAGGAGGCTGGCATTGCCAAGCCAGCAGTGGGGACACCGGACACAGGCAGCAAGGGGTAGTGGAGCAGAACTCAGGCTCTGGAACCAGCCAAACCCAGATCTGAATGCCAGCCATGCCACTTCATCACTATGTGACCAGACAGATTTCCTAACCTCTCTGAGCATCCATTTCTTCAGCTGTAAAATAATGATAGTTCTTACAGTGTGTTGTTGTAAAGATTAATTAGTAGGGGAGTTCTGAGTGGTGGAAATACGAGTGGTGGTTATTCTTGTGTTTGTGCCTACCTTAAAAAAAAATCAACCAGCAGATCCTTTCCACCACAGCAGCTCCCAAGTTACTAGGAGCTGACTCTGGCCACACCACTCACTCTCCACCCATCTCCCCAGGCTGCTCCCGGCAGATCGGCTTCTCCTTTGTACGACCCAAGCTCTGTGCCTTCTCTGGCCTCTATTACTGTGACATCTGCCACCAAGACGATGCCTCAGTGATTCCGGCCAGGATCATCCACAACTGGGACCTCACCAAGCGCCCGGTAAGTCTCGAGCCCAGCAGCCCAGCTGCTGAGGGACAGAGGGGTGTTCACTCCTCTTTGCTGCTGCTGTTCATCTGTTTAGAGGAGTTTGGCTCCTCTAAACAAGGGAAGCTGGGGTCACTGGTTCAGGCAGTGTGACGTGGGGGAGCTAACCAAGAGAAAAGCTTGGTGCCTGTCCACAGCCCTGGGCAGGGCTCTATCGGTGGCTGTCTTGGTCCCCAGGAGGAAAGAGTTTGAGGATGGTTTCCTGCAGCTACAAACATAACTGCTTAAGGCACCAGCAGATAAATGATAGATAGAAAGATAGATAAAATAGATTTGATAGATTAGATAGATAGATGGATGGTGGATGGTCAGGTAGGTAGGTGGATGAGCAGGTGGCTAGGTGGATGGTTAGGTGGCTGGGCAGGTAGGTAGGTGGATGAGCAGGTGGCTAGGTGGATGGTTAGGTGGATGGGTAGGTAGGTAGGTGAATGAGCAGGTGGTGGCTAGGTGGATGGATAGGTAGGTAGGTGAATGAGCAGGTGGCTAGGTGGATGGTTAGGTGGATGAGCAGATGGTTAGGTGGATGGGTAGGTAGGTAGGTGAATGAGCAGGTGGCTAGGTGGATGGGCAGGTAGGTAGGTGGCTGAGCAGGTGGCTAGGTGGATGGTTAGGTGGATGGGTAGGTAGGTAGGTGAATGAGCAGGTGGCTAGGTGGATGGGCAGGTAGGTAGGTGGATGGGTAGGTAGGTAGGTGAATGAGCAGGTGGCTAGGTGGATGGGCAGGTAGGTAGGTGGATGAGCAGGTGGCTAGGTGGATGGTTAGGTGGATGGGTAGGTAGGTAGGTGAATGAGCAGGTGGCTAGGTGGATGGGTTGGTGGATGGATGGATGGGTAGGTGGTTGGGTAGATTGGTGAATGGGTGGATAGGTAGGTAGATGGGTGCCTAAATAGGCATATGGGTAAATGGTTAGGTGGATGAGTGGATGGCTTGGTGGGTAGGTGGATGGGTAGGTAGATGGGTAGATGGGTGGGTGAATGGGCAGATGGCTAGATGGGTAGATGGTTAGGTGAATGGGTAGATGGGTAGGGAGATGGGTAGGTAGATGGGTAGATGGGTGGATGGTGGGTAGATGGCTGGGTGGATGGGTGAATAGGTAGGTGGATGGGTAGATGGGCTGGCCAGCGAGCTGGCTATACCTTGGAGCAGTCATCCTTGCCTTTGCCAACCCTATGAGGCCCAGGTGACTGCACTCCCCTGTAGGCCCTACATGGGCTTATTTATTTCATGTTTTTGAAAAGCACTTTTTCTGTGACTTCCCCCATTATTAAGATAATACACGGTTATTGTTTAACATTTTAAAGTTACAGAAAAACCCAAAGACCAATCAAAATTCTGTGTCATAAACAAGAGATCACCATTATTAACATTTCGGGGTATACCCTTTTCTGTGCATTTATTGACATATGCATCTTTTTTTATAAAGTTGGGATCACACAGGACTCATACTGCTTTATAAGAAGCTTGGTTCACTTAATATTATGCCTTGGGTACTTTTTTATGTTCACCAAATGCTTTTGAATAAGATGTATCTTAAAGTCTTTCAGAATTTTCCTTTTCTCCAGCTGAACTTAGCCACTTTCCTACCTGTGTTACCATGAGCAAATTAGCTTCAGTTTCCTCATCTGTAAAAGGAGGGTTAACAACAGTGTCTGTGTCGGGGTTGTTGGGAGGGCAGGTGTGGCAGTGTGTGCCTGTCAGTAAGAACAGTGTCCTTTCCCTCCCTGGGGCCTGTCACACCTCCTGCCTATGTTCACCCACCCATCCACCCATCTACCTAATTCACTTGGTTAGTGTCTGCCTCAAGGGGTACAAATTTGGTTTTCTTCCAAGGGCACAGATTTCTACTAAGACAGACACAGAAACATAAGGAAGAAGCTGTTTGCTCCTCTGGAGAGTCAGGGCCTGCCAGCTATGTAGTCCTGATGTGTGGATGTGTCTTCATCATAGTGCAGGGTGATTCTCTCAGTCAGTTCTACCTCAACCTCCACCTCCCTGGGGCAGGGGAACCCCGCAGAAGTTGGCTTCATTTTGATTTTTTTGTTGTTTGCCTTGTCCCCGCCCTTGCTCTCAGTGTTAAATATTTAACTAACTACATAGAGGAAATTAAGCCTCAAAATCACCAAAAATGCAAAGAACCCTTTGATCATAAAACACGTTAACTATTTACAGGACCCTGATACTTCCGCTGAGCCATCTCCTTATTCACTGCCCTCATCCTTGTGCCACTTCCTTTTCTAACTAGGAAAGTACAATCCTAGCTGGGCACAGCGGCTCACACCTGTAATCCCAGCACTTTGGGAGGCTGAGGTGGGCGGATCACCTGAGGTCGGGAGTTGAGACCAGCCTGACCAACGTGGAGAAACCCTGTCTCTACTAAAAAATACAAAAATTAGCTGGGCGTGGTGGCGCATGTTTGTAATCCAGCTAATCCAGAGGCTGAGGTAGGAGGATCGCTTGAACCTGGGAGGCGGATGTTGCGGTGAGCTGAGATTGCGCCATTGCACTCCAGCTTGGGCAACAAGAGCGAAACCCCACCTCAAAAAAAAAAAAAAAGAAAGAAAGAAAAGTACAATCCTTTTCTAGGCATATCTGAGATCAGGAAATCCTCAGCTCGCTCTCCCTCTCAAAGATTGCTGGCCTAGGAAAGACAGGGAAATTCAAGATAGAAAGTGGGGGGCCCACGGGTTTGGGGCCTTATTGTTCGCCGTTGCTGTTCTGGCTGACCCACTGGTGCTGAGGCCTGGCTGGCACTGGCAGGATGTCAGCCCAGGAGTGGGGCTTCTTTCTGTCTCCTCCATTCCCACAGGATAGGAACAGTCGCTGGGGAGCACAAAGCCCCTGCCCATCTGCAGTGGTTGGCAGTGTTCAGCGCACATTCCTGTGTGTTATTTCACTGGAGCCTCACCCAAGGCCTGGGGCCAAGTCATGGGAAGAGCTGAGTTAGGATTGGAGAACAGCAGCTTGACCCAAGTCACCAGGAGTTTGCCATTGGGCTGTCCCTAGGCTGGGGGGGCTGGTACCTCAGGGCCCCAGGCTTTGGGAAAAGAAGAGGTTGTCCATTGCGGGGGGAGGTGAGAGATGCTGGTGGAGCTGGGAGACAAGAGGTCAGAGGCCCCCTCAGCCCCCAAATACAGGGGCAGGTCTCCTGAGGGCCAGTTTAGTCCCCCAACCCTCAAGGGGACAACAGGGCCATACCAGGCACTCACACAGCAGCTGATAACAGCTCACATTTACTGGGGATGTGCCACCTGCCAGGCCCTAATGCCAGGAGCTCTCCTGGAATACCTCTTTTAATCTGAATTCAAAATAATCCCATGAAAAAGAAGTCCCAGTCCTGGGCTGACATCCTGCCGAGTGCCGGGCCTCAGCACTAAAGCAGCAGCAGCGAACAAAAAGGCCCCAAACCCGTGAGCCTTAATTGCTCTCATTTTCCCCATTTTACAGATGAGGAAACTGAGTCACAGAGAGGGATAAGTTTCACCAATTCATACAGGTATAAAGTGGTGGAGGCAGGATTCAATTCCATTCTGACTCCGAAGCCAGACTTTTTTTCCCCTACACAATTTATCAGAATTTGAAAAGGTTGCTGGATATAACAATCAAATAAATCAATTTCATTTCTATATATCAGCAAACAAATTACTATTTTAAAAGATAATCACTTATAATAGTATCAAAAACAAAGCCACCAGAAATAAAATATGTAACGAGAGGACTAGTTAAGATGTTAAAGATCTGAGCCAGGCCAAAGCCAGACTTCTAATCACTGTGCACTTGTCGGCTGTGGAGACAACAGCTCCTCCGTCCTTATGATGCAGCGAGGCCACTGCAGGGGAGGGGGCTTCTGATTAGTGCAGCAGCCTGGTGTTCAGAGATGACACCTCAGCTCAAACCTGGCAGGTTCTGCAGGCAGGTTGTATAAGCTACGTTAGCCCCTCTAAGCCTCCGTTTCCTCATCTAGAAAACAGGGACAGGGACACCCTCCCTAACAGGTTGTTCTGAGAATGACGGGAGGATGTGGTCAAGTTCCTGACCCAGTGTTTTGCAAATAGTAGGCGCTTGATTATTGGCATTGGTATTAGGATCAGGGCCAAGGGTAGAACCTTCAACACCCTGTCAGCCAGGAGAGACTGAGATGGATCACTCAGCTGCACACAGAGTCCCGGTGTTGCTACTGGTGTGAGCCGAGGGAGCTCAGGGAAGCCTGTTGGTGAGCTGTGTCTGATCTGTAGCTTCCTGTGGCTGGAGCCTGACTCAGCCTGTCACCTGGTTCCTGAATCAGGGCACAGAAGGGAGTGCCTGTTTCCTTTAGTGGGAGGAAATAGCGGCTGGGAGGACAGGAAAGAGTGGGAAGGATCTGTGAGGCCCAGAGGGAGGGGGCGTTATCAGAGCAGTCCCTCCCTCATCTCAGCATGATTGGGGAGGGGGCAGTGACCCTTGCCATTAGAGGGAGAGCGGGTTTGGGAGTCAGATAAACTGGGTTCAGAGCTTGACTGTACCATTTACAAGCTGGGTGACCCTAGCCAAATCTCTTCATCTCCTTGAGCCTCAGTTTCCCCATCTGTAAAATGAAGATAGCCCCTCAGGTAAGTGAGCAGGTCATGTGGCACCTGGCCAGGCAGTGCTCACTGAACAGCCATTCCTTCCCATCCCCAATGTCTGGTGGTACCCCCAGATCTGCAGGCAGGCCCTGAAGTTTCTGACGCAGATCCGGGCCCAGCCCCTCATCAACCTGCAGATGGTGAACGCGTCTCTGTACGAGCATGTGGAGCGGATGCACCTCATTGGGAGGAGCCGGGAGCAGCTGAAGCTCCTGGGGGATTACCTGGGCCTGTGCCGGAGTGGCGCCCTGAAGGAGCTCAGCAAGAGGTGAGCAACCTCTACGTGTATGCGTGTGAGTGCACGTACACATGCACATGCATGCACACAAACACATACTTATATGCACATGTACACACAGACACACATACACATGTGCACACATACCCACACACATAAATTTATACACAAACGCATAGACATCCACACCCATGCACATGTGCACAAATGTACACACATGCAGGCACTCATGCACACGCACACACACACAAGGGCAGTGCCCAGGGCAAGGCGTCCACCTAGAGGAAACCTGGGCAGAGATCTTCCCATTGGGCCTGGGAAATGATCACATCTTTTGGGGGTGATTTTGGGGTTTTGTTCATGTATCTATTTGTTCACTCAAAAACATGGACTGAGAACATACTAAGCACTGCACACCTGGCGAGGCATGTGGGCTCCAACACTGAGCAGGGCAGAGCCAGGGCTGACCCGCTGGAAGCCTCTGGCCTGGCAGGGAAGACAAGTGGGAAAGCCAGTAACTCCATCCGGGGGTGAGGGTGAGAGGGAGACAGGTGGGAAAGCCAGCAACTCCATCCGGGGCTGAGGGTGAGAGGGAGACAGGTGGGAAAGCCAGCAACTCCATCTGGGGGTGAGGGTGAGAGGCAGGACGTCCTGGAACCACAGAGGCTTGACATCCAGCCCAGATCAGAGGAGGACAAAGCAGGAAGGACTTCCTGGAGGAAGTGACTTATAAGGTGAGACTTGAAAAATTAGGAAGAATCAGAAAGGAGAAGCAAAGGGGGAAAGAGCATTCTAGACAGAAGGAATGGCACGCACAGGCCATGAACGAAGGCACCGTTGGTGGAAAGCCCAGGGAGAACTTTGGCTACAGTGACGAGGGAAGTGGGGAGTGTGGCGAGAGGCAGGCGAGGGCCAGATGTTCCCGTCTCTTCCCTGTACCAGCCAGTCGTCTGGCCCATGCCAGCCTCCCTCCTGAAATTGTCCAAAGAAGACGTGATCCGGGCGGGGCCCTCAGGATGCCCTTCAGGAAGCTTCTCTTACCCAGGGCCTGGGGCCTTTGGTGCTCAGGAATGGGATGTGATGCTGGGCTTCAACAGGGACTTAGGCCTCTCCATGTCTGTCATAAACACTTCCTAGTCCTCAGGTCACGCCCAGGCTGCAGTCTTCCCAGGGCTGTGCTCTCCCAGCACCCTCAGGAGGGCAGACCTCAGGCGGAGAAGCCTGCCGGTGCCTACTGCCCAGAATGGGCTTCAAATCCACCTCTGCTGGGTTTCTGGGGGCAGGGACCGGTTCACAAGCCCCTCCAGGTTCCCCCGTCTGGCCTTCCCTCCCCACAGGGCTGGCCCAGAGAGCGCCTCTCTGAAGACTGCCTCCTCCATCCTGGCTGCAGTGCTCCCAGAGCCGGGCCTCCTCAGGGCCAGGGTGTGCCCCAGGCAGGTCCCCAGGGGCTCTCAAGGGGTACTGCAGGGGGCTCTCCCCTAGGCAGAGAGGAGAATTTGGCCCCACAGCTAGCTGCCAGCTGAGCCTTGGTCTCCTCTGTAGGGCCTGGAAGAACAGAAAGCCTTCCAGGGACCACCATGTGGGACCCTAGACCCTAGAAGACTTCACCCCAGGAGGCTCTGCCCATCCCAAGCATCCGTGGGTGACTGGGTCTCCACCTCTTGGCAAGCGCTGACTCACTCCCTACCTCTGAGAGTCCATGACCCAGGGCTCCAGAGAGACTATCCTCCTGCCCACCTAACCAGGTGGCGAAATCTCTGGGGTCAGGTGGGGCCTTATCACCCTCCTTGGTCAAGGAGCCAGGTACCTGCACAGGCATGCAGACCTGTGTAGACCAGATGCCTGTGGGGTGGGTTGTGGACCCCAGCCCCATTCACCCATCCCTGCCCTGCTGAGAGAGTTTGTTCATCGGCTTTACAGACCTGTCTCTGTGGGCACCAGGGGCAGCCCTGTCTCTCTCTCCCTGACCCTCCTGCTCCATCCCTGGGCAGCAGCGCTGTACTCCTGCTATGTGCTCAGCCTGCTTCCCATGCCTGTGGAAGTCCCATGGAAACAGCATGGGGCAGGGGAAAGAGCGTGGGAGGCCCTCACCCACTGTGAGTCAGGAAAGTTGCTTCACTTCTCCGGGTCCAGCTTTCCCGTCTATAAAATGGGCCAGTGATTCCTCTGTTCCTGTGGCCTCCTGAGCAGTGGTGAGGGCTGCATGAGGGACCCAGAGTCTGGGCCACAGATGGCCCTGGGTCAGCATCGTGTGTGCCCTGAGGGCACCTGATCCAGCCTTGGCAGGGGCCAGAGGAGCTCCCAGAGGAGATGGCATCTGAGCTGAGGGCATGCAGAGATATTTTCCTTTTTCCTTCTAAAATGTTTTTCTTCTTTACAAAGGTCAATCTTCCAAGCGAGGAAAATTTATGAAAGGGAATAAAGCAGACCATTCAATCAGCCCTTCTCAGAGCCCACCACCACCTGCTTCTGCACCTCACTCCATCCACACACACATGTTGCCACACCAGTGGCATTGTGTGTCTGTTGAACTGGGGCTTAGAAAAATGAGAAAAGAGTAGAAAGGGCAGGGGAGAACCTGGCTTTCCTGGCTAAGAGACCGGTAGCAAGAGGCTGGCAGGAGCACAGCTCACTGACACCCTTGAGGGGCTCTGGGCAGCTGGGCTTCAGGTGCAGGGCCCAGAACTCAAAGGGCCCTCGAGGCCTTTGGATTTGATCTGCCACCTGTGGGGAACCATTGAAGGGTTTTGAGCACAGGGCTGTCACTTCCGGTCAGCGGCTTAGAAAAGACCACTCTGAAAAGACCAGGTGCGGTGGCTCATGCCTGTAATCCCAGCACTTTGGGAGGCCAAGGCAGGTGGATCACCTACGGTCAGGATTTTGAGACCAGCCTGGCCAACATAGCAAAACCCTGTCTCTACTAAAAGTACAAAATTAGCCGGGCGTGGTGGCAGGCACCTGTAATCCCAGCTACTAGAGAGGCTGAGGCAGGAGAATCACTTGAACCCAGGAGGCAGAGGTTGCAGTGAGCCAAGATCATGCCACTGCACTCCAGGTTGGGAGACAGAGCGAGACTCTGTCTCAAAAACACAAAACAAACACACAAAAAGACCATTCTGGCCCCAGCGGAGTGCAGTTGGTGAAGGGGAGAGCCCTGGGTGGCAGCTGGTGTTAGTAATTAGCCCAGGGAGCTGGGCCTGGACCGAGTCAGCCAGAGGGAAGGCTGTCCCTCCCGACAGCCGGGGAGGGGTGGGCAGAGGAGGAGCCAGGGCTCAGGAGACAGGTGGCACCCAGGCCCCCCACCCATGTCCCCCGGATCTTCCAGCCCTTGCCTGACCCTTTCCTTCCCCATCACTTCATCGGTTCCAGGAGCTAAGAGTCGACCTTTCCCCTCATCTTCCTCTCTCCCGGAGAGCCGTCCAGATTCCTCTGGTCTGTTTCCCAGGTAGCCAGCCTCACGCCAGAGGACAAAGAGGTTCTCCTTATTGTGTGGGCGGAGAAACTGAGGCCCTAAGTAGGGCTGACTGTGCCCTGGTGCATGAGAGTTTCTCTCCTGGAAGCCAGGAGGGGAAGTGGCTTCTCACCCCTGGGTCGGCGCCCTCTCCCCTCTGGCCTTGACTGAGCACTGTGGAGAAGCCAGTCACAAGCCCTTGCTGAGAGGGTGACAGGCCCAGGGCACAGGGGCTCCCAGGGCTTCCACGACTGTGGTCAGAGGACAGATGGCAAAGCTAATTCTCCATCCAGATCAGCCCACCCTCCTGCCAGCTGAGGGCCAACCTGTGTCCCCCCAGCCCGCTGTGTCCCATGTTTTCTTGGTGACAAATGGCAGCTTCCCTTCCTAGAGTGTAGGAAGTTTACTGGGGTCACCAGCATGGTAAACTGAGGGGCCAGTTGGCATCTTGGCCTGTGTGGCTGCTTGGTGAGACTCACCCTCTCCACCCCAGATTGGGCTCCCCTGGACCACAGCTGAGGCCACTAGCTGGGACAAGGCCAAGTCCCCATTCCAGATGCTCCACAGCTTGCACCTGGGAGGCCCAGACCCAGGGCTGGCACCATCCTGTCCCCAGATGTCTGGGGCATCCTGGGGCAGGTTCCCAAGCATCCTCTGACTTGGAGTAACCTCCCACCCCCAGTACCCATGTAAACACACACAGCCAGGCCAGGCAGGTTTTGTACCAGGGGACTTTCTGCAAGTGTTTCCTCTCCATCTCTCTGGATGGGGCCCGCTGGATCCCTGCCGTTGGTGTGGTGGAAACTAGAGCCGCGTTGGCAGCTGAGCCCTTGTCCTCTGCTCCCCCCGCCACCTCTGAAATGGGACTGCTGTACTTAGGACACGTCTCGGTTGCTCTCATGTAGCACTGAAACCAGACACTTGGATGTCTGTCCCTCGGCCAAACCAGGGGCCACAGGAGGGCAGAGGCCATATCCTGTGCATTACTGTCCCCAGCACTGTCCCTGGTATGTGACTTTGGCAATAATGACAACAGCCTGCATCTCTAGGCATTTACCAGGTGGACAAGGGTGCAGGCTCAGGAGCCAGGCCCCTGTGTTCAAACTCCAGCTCTCCCACCTACTAGATATGTGACCTCAGGCAAGTGACTTAACCTCTCTGTTTCCTCTTCTCAAAGTTGGGGTTGTGTTAGTACCAGCCTCACAGGATTATTGTGAGGATCAAATGAATGAGTGCGTATGAAGCTCTTAGCCCAGTTCCTGGTCCCAGATGTCAGCACCTATCCTCCTCATGATTAATTAATTAATTACATGTTTACTGTGAGCTCTGCACCAAGCCAAATGCTTTCAATAAGTTACTCAATCCAGACAACTCCATTTCCCAGAGAGGGGAACCCAAGGTTCAGAGAGCTTAAGTAACATGTCCAAGGTCCAACCAGCTAGTTAGTTACCTTGAAGACCGGGTCCCAAGCAGGCTGAATTGTGCTCCTAGGCCCTGCCCCGCCCAGGCGGGAGGTGTCTGCCTGGTGAGCAGCGCCAGGGGAATGAAAATAAACAACACGGGCTGGCCTGGGTCTTCGAAACTTTTCTAAAGAATCGCTTGTGTTTTGTTTGAAGGCTCAACCACCGGAATTATCTCTTGGAGTCTCCGCATAGGTTCCGTGTTGCTGACCTCCGGCAGGTGAGAGTGTCATGCCTACCCCGCCCAGAACTCTAGAAAGACTTCATTCCTGGAGAAGTCAGCAAGGAAGATGGGAGAGAGGGTGTCTGTAGTTTACTGAAGAAGACAGCAGTCTGCAGCTTTTCTGCAGCTCAGGGTGGGTTGCCCTGCTGCCCCAGCTTCCTGGGCAGGGACGGATACCCCCAGCACCCCTGAAATAAAACTCCAGCAACCCCAGGATCGTAGGGAAGAGAGTTTGGAATACTCCTTTCCCCAAGGGGAGGGTACAGTGGATTTGGGTCTCATCTATAAATCCCATAAGCCCCGAGTGACCTCAGTACCCACGGGCTGGATGCTGCCACTACTCAGCCTGATTCAGGGAGGTTTTCTTTTCTTGCCCGCATGGAAACTGGGGGTAGAAGTTCTCTAGGCAGGGTGCCATGGCGACTCAGTGCAGCTGCTTGAAAGGCCTGGGGCCTCAGTTTACCAGCCCTCCGCAGATCGCAGACGGGGTGTATGAAGGATTCCTACTTACCCTCCGCAGATCGCAGATGAGGTATATGAAGGATTCCTCAAGGCCCTGATTGAATTTGCCTCCCAGCATGTCTACCACTGCGACCTGTGCACCCAGCGCAGCTTCATCTGCCAGATCTGCCAGCACCACGACATCATCTTCCCCTCTGAGTTTGACACCACAGTCAGGTATGCGGGACACCCAGCCAGCTGCCTCCCAGCCCTACCCTTCGCCACACCCACAGCCTGGCCCAAGCACGCAGGGCAGCAGGCTTCGCTCTATGGGCAGGAATGTATTGAACATCTGCTTTGTGCCGTGCCAAGGGGCGGTGCAGTTGTTCAGGGCAGCCCACGCCCTGGGCAGTCATGGCCAGCTCTGGACCAGTTCAGGGGGCAAGACAAGCTCTCCCAGGACTCCTCTGCCTCTACAGAACCATCTGTCTTCCTAAAGAAGAGGTGGCTGCCGGCTCTCTGAGTGGAGCCTCCTGGGGTCTCAGTGTATGCATGGGTTGAGGAGGGTTGTATGAGTTACCGCCCTGCACTGTTGGCATAAGACCAGGCACAAAGTGGGCACCTGGTGGGTGGTAGCTGCCACTGCCACTGCTACTGCCTCGGTTGCTGAAATGATCCCTCTTGTTCCCAGTTATTGCTCATTATCAGCAACCTCTCAATGGAAAAATTCATCCAGACCTTCCTGCAACCCATGTGGGAGTGGAAAACTGAACTGGGAACATTAGTTCTTTTTTTATCGGTGTCCACTGGCCGGGATTCAGCCCTGAATGGGCCTGGGAGTGAGTTTTTAAAATTATACAGTCTTGGCCGGGTGCGGTGGCTCACGCCTGTAATCCCAGCACTTTGGGAGGCCGAGGCGAGTGAATCACTTCAGGTCAGGAGTTTGAGACCAGCCTGGCCAACATGGTGAAACCCCGTCTCCACTAAAAACACAAAAGTAAGCCAGGTGTGGTGGTGGGCACCTGTTATCCCAGCTACTTGGGAGGCTGAGGCAGGAGAATTGCTTGAATCTGGGAGGCAGAGGTTGCAGTGAGCCTCACACCAGTCTGGGCAACAGAGCAAGGCTCTGTCTCAAAAATAAATAAATAAATAAGTAAATGCTTTTTAAAATACAGGTAAGAAATCTTTAATGAATCTCAAGCAGCATTTATAAAAAATGCAGTAGGACAGAGAATATCAGTGTGCATTGTGTGACGTATGGGTAAGCACTGTTTCGAGAATCTCCTGTTCCGGGATGGAAAGGCACAGCGTGCGTGCATGGGTTACACAGTATGTCACAGCCATATCGTGGGTTCTGGTCAAAAGTGCTGGCCAGCGTGGCCACAGGTCAACCTCCAGCCCAGCCGGCACCAGCAGGTGTGCTGCTCTCTCCCCAGGTGTGCCAAGTGCAAGACCGTCTTCCACCAGAGCTGCCAGGCTGTGGTGAAGAAGGGCTGCCCCCGCTGTGCTCGCTGACGCAAGTACCAGCAACAGAACGTTTTCGCCTGATGCCCCTCTGCTGATCCCACTCTGAAGGCCGGGGGTGAGTGTGGCTCAGCCATCCCAGCTGGGTTTCCTATCAGCCCAGGATACTCACCGTGTCACAGCTGTGTCCCCTTGTCAGGAAGACCTCAGATGTGACCAGAGCACTGGCCTCCTACAGAAAGCCCAGGAAGTCCCCATGATGTCCCCTGGCCCTCCCCCCACCCCTCTGCTGCAGGAGGCGTGGCCACCACCAGATGCTCCCTGTCTGGGGCAGGCAGGGCCGTTTACTCACCAGGCCCTGGCTCACCAGCGTCCCGGCGCCTCCGTTAGGGCTGGCCAAACACTGTGGAAAGGGGACTTGGGGAACATTTTCAATTCCACATTCCTGATTAAAAGGTCTGGTTTTTTAAGGTGGGTTTTTCCCATTCATATTTCAACAGAAAGTATTTTTTATTCTTGACCGTATGCGAGTCACCCATGAAATCCAGACATTTTCACCCCCAGCGGATGCACAGGAGCCTCTCAGGCCTGTCCTAGAGGCAGCGGGTGGCTGTTGGGCAGGCCACTGCTGGGACAGGGCCTGTGGGCCCACCCAGTGCCTTTCCTGGCCCTCACTGCCAGTGCCAAACCGCCCCTCAGCAGGGCAGGGCCAGTCCTGGTGACCCCACTTCCTCTCTGTCTCCTCTTTACTCCCCACCCCAGTGCGTCTCACCTGCTGAGCCCACCCCTTTCTCAGCGTCAGAGCCCCTAGCTCTTCTCTAGCCTGGGGCCTTGGCCCCATTAGGAGAAGGAGAAATGACTGGAAACCAGCACTTTCAGCACTATGAGCCCTCCTCGGTTTAGGGAGGGTCGCCGTCTTGCCCACCCCCAATCCCCGTGCCCTCCTCACCCCTCTACAGACAGGGGCACTGCTGCAGATGCTCCAGGCCCACCTTGGTGGGTGCCCGGGGTCACCCTCTCTGCCTGACTGACCCCTGCCAGGGCACAGATAGGCAGGACCCTAGAGACAGCAGGCAGCTGGGCCCTGCACTGTGGAGAAATGACCTGGTCCTTCGCCCTAAGCTGTGCAGGGCATGCGGGGGAGCTGCCCTGTGGATGCAGCCGCCGCCTCACAAAGCTATGAATTCCCAAAGCATCACTGAACTTGCCCAGCCAGGACACTGGAGACTGAAGAACTTCCCCGGAGCAGGACTGCCTTTGAAGGGGCCTTGGTGCTGGGGTGGGAGCCTGGAATTGTTTTTGAAGTGAAGTTCAGACCCTCCAGGCTTCAGGGAAATGTGGGTTTGCTGGTCTCTCTGTCGCCTTCTCCCACCTCTCCTGGACCCAGCGGGCCCTCAGTCCTAGCTGTCTTACCTGCGCTCAGCTTGGAGTCTGAGGCCTCAGGTGGAGATCCACCTGTCACTGTCAGAGATGAGCCCACCCCCACCCCTCCCTGGGGGTGATCAGCTGCTGAGTCACCCACCCAGCTTTGGAGCTGGATGCCTGTGCAGAACAGAGGTGGCGGTGGCAGGCAGGTGGAGGCTGTGCATAGCTTCTCCCGGTCATGGCGCACACCTGTGCCCAGATGCCAATACCTCCTAAGCCAGGAGCTGGGTTATGCACCTGCCATGACCACAAGCCTGGCCTGGTCAGAGCCCTCATTGCCCCATCCCTGAGTGGGCAGGAGTCTGGCCTGGGGAGGGCTTAGGCCTGTGAGGATTCTTCCCGAAGGCGCCCTTGGAAACAGACTAATTCTCAGGGAAATCAGATTGCGGTAAAATGGGATGGAAACAGACAACATTCAGATCTGCGATTTCCTGTCCTTGAAGGCCCCTTTCAGATTACAAGTTGGCACCCTCTGCCCATCTAGGTGCCACAGCTTCCCCCAAGGACAATAGATGGTAGGGCCAGAGAAGAGAAGAGAAACTGGGGGAGGGAGGC
The DNA here is from genome assembly GCF_000001405.40 of Homo sapiens. Taxonomy (NCBI): domain Eukaryota; kingdom Metazoa; phylum Chordata; class Mammalia; order Primates; family Hominidae; genus Homo; species Homo sapiens. The sequence continues at coordinate 64,783,359 of NC_000017.11, read as the reverse complement.
CCAGTGGAGGGCCATGGCACATGACCTGGTTCTGCCCTGCCAGTGGGCTCAGCCCCTCTCCATCCTCAGCCAAGCGCCTCTGAGGGCACTTGTTTCCCCTTCTCACCCATGTTTTTTTGAGACGGAGTCACTCTGTCACCCAGGCTGGAGTGCAGTGGTGTGATCTCGACTCACTGCAACCTCCGCCTCCCAGGTTCAAGCAATTCTCTTGCCTCAGCCTCCCGAGTAGCTGGGACTTCCCCTTCTCTTCTGCCTGAAGGAGGACGGGTGGTTTGGAGATTCCAGTCCAAACCCCAAGAGCTCATCACATAATAAAAGTGTCATAATAGCTGATATAGGCAGGCACTGTGGCTCACGCCTGTAATCCCAGCATTTTGGGAGGCCGAGGCAGTCAGATCATTTGAGGTCAGGAGTTCAAGACCAGCCTGGCCAATATAGAGAAACCCCGTCTCTGCAGAAATACAAAAATTAGCTGGGCATGATGGTGGGTGCCTGTAATCACACCTACTCAGGAAGCTGAGGCAGGAGAATCACTTCAACCCAGAGACAGAGGTTGCAGTGAGCCGAGATTGTGCCACTGCACTCCAGCCTGGGCGACAGAGCCAGACTCCATCTCAAAAAAAAAAAAAAAAAAAAAAATAGCTGATATATGGTGTACGCTGGGCATGTGGTAAGCACTGCTTAGTGGATCTCATTTAATCTTCCCAATAATCCAGTGAAGTGGGTGTTACTATTGATAGGAAAGAAAGCTGAGCTGCAGAGATAAGGCAGAACTCCCAAGGCCTACCAGCCGCCAAGCAGCAGAGTGGGGCATCATACCTGCCTGACCCCACGCAAAGACCATCACCACTGCCAGCCGCTGCCTGGCTGTGCTGCAGGTGGGGAGAGACCTAAAAGGTAGGGAGGGAGAGAAGATTCCTCCAGTCACTATTTTCTAAGCATGTCGGGCACCAAAGACCAATGCTGAGTTCTGCTGTGTGCCCACCCTGGAGGGTCCCAAAGTGCCACCAGGCCTCAGACACACTGAGATTCTCAGAGGAAGTGTAGACTCACGGGTGGGCAACGCCTAGCAGGGGCAAAGATACAGAGGTAAGGGAGTTCCAGAACGAGTGTGGCCAGATTCAGCTTCCCATCCAACCCTGGGCCCCCAGGAGGTGGAGTCAAGAGGGGCCATGGCCTGGGGTGTGGGCTTCTCTTCGTCCCAGAACACTGGCCTGAATCAGCCAGCTCTCCGCACACACAGCCACGTCCATAGGCACAACTGTTTCTGGGGGCCCCTGAGGGCAGGGGGTCTGCTAGGGCTGTGGTTTGTGACGTGTGGAGTGAGCGCAGGCTCAGATCAGGGCGAGGCAGCTTGTCCAGAGAGGCAGATAATTCCCAAACAGAAGACCCCCAAGGCGGAGGGCCCTGGGGCTGGACTCCTGGCCCCCAGGAGGTTGTTCTGAGCTTACCCTGTGGACGGATTGGAGGGTGGACCTCTTTCCCCGCAAGGGTCAAGAGGGAGTGGGGGATGGTGGGAAGGCAATCTGGCCAGGAGAAGCTGCGCGGGAGACTCCCGCCATCCCCAGTCCCACCATCTCAGCCCCGCGGCCTCTTCCTCCCTGGAGACAGCCAGGATCCCGGGAGTGGCCCAGGATCCCGGGAAATGCAGGGGAGGGGGTGGCATCTTTCCTCTTCAGGCGCGGGCCTGGCCCAGAGGCGACAGGAAGCCAGGACGCCGGGGATTGTCTCTCGCAACCGCAGCCCAGCCCCAGTCCGGGAGGAAGTTCTGCCGGGCGCTCTCCGCCGGTGCCTCACTGGTTATAGTGCTATACAGGAAACCTGGCAGCGCCGGAGCCGCGCGGTCGAGGAGGGAGCGCGGGACGCCGAGCCCACGCGCGCCTGCCGGGACAAGTGGAGACGAGGCCGGCGAGCGGACGCCCCGAGGTGCCCGGGCAGGCAGTGGGCCGCCGAGCGGGAGTTGAGGTGGGAGGTGGGGTGGGGGTGGGGAAAGGGGCAGGGTTGGGGAGGGAAGGGTGCGGCAGGTGGCGGGTCCGCACCCGGGAGCTCCGCGCGCCTGCTCCCCTTGTCTCCGTGCTGGGGCGGGAGCTGCTCGGGCCGCATCCCACGGGGAGGAGAAGGTAGGCGAAGGGCTGCCCTCCCTCTGGAGGCGGGTGGGGAGCAGGCCCAGGCCCCTAGCGCCGACCCAGGCGTTGACGCCGCTGTAGCTTGCGTCGCCTGGGCAGTGGACGCAGGGGACCTCCTGGCGACGGGTGCGCTCTCGCGCTCCAGGGATCCTCTCGGCCCCCACCAATCCCTCCCCTTCTCTGTGTTCCCGCAGGTTGGCGAAGGAGCTGTGGCCGGGTCCCCTTCTTATCCAGCCCGAGACACTGCGCTCCGGTGGGCGTCCCTGCGCTGGGAATCCCTCTCGGAGTTTTTCCAGGCCCGGCCGGGTTGCTCCGGGAAAGGCCCTGTTGGGGGAGGTGGGCCCGGAGCTGGCAGGTCTACAATCCGGTTGGAAGGGCTCGCAGTGGGTGATTCAGGGTGCCAATGACCTCCCCGCGAACGGGAACGCCCGCACTAGACAACCAGCCCCAGACCGGCATTCCCAGAGCCGCAGGCGGGAGGGACGCAGGGACTCCGGGACAGCAAATCCCCGGGGGAGAAGGGAAGGGGGAAGGCGGGACAGGGGAGGCCCACCCTCCTTGGGCTCCGCTAGCGACCAGCCAGCGCCCCTTCAGACGCAGCCTTCCTGGCTCCGGACCCCGGCTTTCTGCTCCGGTCCTCGTCCCAATGCCCCCCAAGGTCCCCAGCAGAGGCATTCAGGTTCCTCCTCGCCCCGCCCAGACGCAGCTTCTTTGGGTATGGGTGACAGCACTCCTGAGCGTCGCTGTCCCTATTCGCTGCCGTTGCCAGCTCCGATTCCGCGAAACCTCTCCGGCACCACCTCGGAAGCCCCGCCCAGGGCGATGGTCCGGGCCTAACCTGCCGGCCCCGCCCACCCGGCCCTTGGGCTCCCTGAGGCCCGCCCAGCAGACGTGAGTGCGCTGCGGGGTCCGGGGGGAAGGGGCGCCGGGGCAGTGTCCACCTTGGGGTTTGTTGGCTCTGGGCAGCTCGATGACCCCGCCTCCGGGGCCCAGTGTGCTTAGTGACTCAAGTGTATACCCTTTCCTAGTCGAGGAACGCTTGACAAAGTGGCGAAGGAGCCCTACGGGAGTCCCGGATTGGACCCTGCTCCTTCGGTCCCTCAGCCTCGGCAAGCCGCGGTCTCCTGGCCCTTGGCCTGGGTCACCTTAGGAGGCAGGAGGAGATGTGGTCAGTGTGGGAGCTTGGAGGGGCCATGCACTTCCGGAGAAGACCACCGACTCATGGCTTTGGTGGAGGGGCGCCGGCAGATTTAGTTAAGCTCTCCCCCATCCCTGACACACCCAGCCGGGGCGGGAGCGGGGCTTGTGACCACTCCGGAGAGCTTTGAGGGCCCCTGCTTTGGGACTCCGCACGGACAGTCACTGTCTCAGAGTGCATTCTCCAGGGGCCACTCTCTTGGGGACACTGTAGGGGTCACAGGGCAGGTGGGCAGCCTCTCTCGGGGGGCGGCGTGAGAGCCGGAGAGCAGGGGGCGGGGGCGGGCCCGGCTCGGGCTCACGTCTGCGTTGAAGCCGCTGGGGAAGGGGAGAGAAACCGAGAGAACCGGTTCCCCCGCCTTGACAGCGGAGGCCCCCACACCAAGGCCCTTGGACTAAGCGGGGCAGGGACAGCCTCCAGGTAGAGCTGTTCGCCGGGGCGCCTGCAGAGCCCGCATCCCAACCCTGACCCCGGGGCCGGGGCGCAGGCTCCTGGAGGGAGGCGTCCAGGCGGGACAGGGCCCGGGGAGCGGCAGGAAATGGGCTGCTCTTCCCACTTGACTGACGGGAAAACTAAGGCACGGTCAACTATCAAGCAAGCGTGGTGTCGACCTTAGAGCAGGTAATCACCCCTCGTTTTAAAGCCAAAGTTTCCCTCGCAGTCGATTTGGACCAAGACTACCCACAATCTCCCCACCGCAGGACTGAAGCGAGGCTGAAATCTTAGAATCAACCCCACGGAATGAAGAGGTTGTCCTAATTCCAGCACTGAGTGTAAGAATGGAAGCCTTGCATGTGATTTTATTCAAGTCCTCATTTTAGAAATGGGAAAACTGAGGCCCGAAGGCGAACGGCAAGTGCAGCATCGGGACTCGAACCCAAGTCTCTCCTCGAGTGCTGGGCTATTCCGGGCTCAGTGGTCTTGACTTCCGCGGCCCTCTTCCTTGTTGCCTGCAGGAAAATGCCGCGGCCGCAATGGCGGCGGATGTGGAGGGGGACGTGTACGTACTGGTGGAGCACCCCTTCGAGTACACCGGCAAGGACGGGCGCCGCGTGGCCATCCCGCCCAATGAGCGCTACCGGCCGCTGCGGCGCAGCACAGAGCACTGAGCATTGGTGGCACGTGCGGCGCAAGCCCGGCGGCCGCCCCTTCTACCTGCCCGCGCAGTACGTGCGCGAGCTGCCTGCGCTGGGCAACCCTGCCGCTGACGCGCCGCCAGGTCCCCCCATCGGGACCCGCAGCCCCTGAGCCGCTCGCCTACGACTACCGGTTCGTGAGCGCGGCTGTGGCAGCGGCCCCCAACGGCCCCCCAGCGGAGCCCCGAGGCGGGGCCAGCTCCCTGTGCGGCCCTGCGCAGCGCGGCGCCGCGAGCCAGCGCAGCAGCCTGGCGCCCGGCCTGCCCGCCTGCCTGTACCTGCGGCCCACGGCGCCCGTGCGGCCCGCGCAGTCCCTGGACGACCTGACGCGCGCCGTCGTCTCGCCTCCCGCCGGCAACCTCGGAAGCAGCGGCAGCTTCAAGGCCTGCAGCGTAGCGGGCTCCTGGGTGTGCCTGCTGCCCCTGTCGCGCAGCGACTCAGAGAACGTCTAAGAGGCCATCCAGGAGGTACGCGGCCCGCCGCGGTAGGAGATCGTGAAGCAGGTACGACCCCGGGCGCGGAGGCGGGGAGGCTCGCTGAGGACAGCGCCCGCAGGGAGCCTGGGCTCGAGGAGACCCACTCCGCTCAGCGTCGGGCATGACGCCCACCTCTGTCGGAAGACTTCGGATGAGCTCCCTCTCCCCAGCCGCGAAACAGTGCAGGCCCCCATCCCTCATCTGCAATTTCCAGGCTCCAAAGCTCCCTGGAAGCCCGAAAGATTTTTCGTAATCAAATTGGTGGCAAAATTGCGCTTGAACTGATATGAGGCTGTTGATGGTCTTTATTTATCGCACTTGTGTGAATATTCATGTTTTGCTGCAGAAATGCAAATAAGCTCGATGGCCGGCTGCTGCCCCAAGCCCTGCTGGGAGGTTATGTAACCTACAGCAGGTGGGTGCCACATATTATCTTTCCAAGTCCCAGCTGTTCTATATTCCGAAGTGCATCTGGGCACGGAACGGGGGATTGCGGGCCTGCCGCCAGCTCAAGGAGCCTGGAGTCAGATGAGAGGGTGGATGTGAAAGTCAGGCGTCTGCTTCCCTTTGAGGGTGCTTCCAGCATTTCAGTTCCTTTTTTTTTTTTTTTTTTTTTTAAAAGAACTCCTGATGGGTTTGTTTCAGAAAGACGTGTTAAGTGAGGTTGTTTTTTCCCCTCTTCAGAATCCAGTTGTGTTAATCTGGGAAATCGAAAATAGAGCACGTTTTACAAACACTCTTGCATCCTCAGAACACTCTGGGGGACTCTGACATTTTGAACTTTAGGAACTTTTCAGGGAGGGGCAGCCCGAGGGGGAGAAAAGGATGCTTAGAACCGTTCTGCCATCTGCCACCGGCCGTGTGATGATCTAGAGGCAGCTCTCTTCCTCTCTCAGGGTCTCGGTTTGTTCTTTAGCACAAAGGGAGGGGATGGACAGATGACCTCTGAACCTTGGGAGCCTCTGATTTATTTCGCTGTGCCTGATGTCATTACCATGAACACTGATGCCCACCATGTGCCAGGACTGAGTCCGGGATGCCCAGACGAAGGAGACACGCCTCCGTAGGCCCGCTGCTGGGTGTTCCCTCCGCCTGTCTCGTTACAATGCAGAGCTCAGGTTTTGAGACTAGGGAAAGGGGAACTGGATTTTGCTGGGGCAGCTGCCAGCTGCTGACAGCCACTTAACTTACAAGCGAGGACCACCCCCTCCCCCCCCAGGCCCAGCGTCCTCTGGTGTAAGCACAATACCTAAGGATTAGGGTTGTGAGCCTTAAATGAATTAAGGCTTCGAAGCGCTTGGCAGCAGCAGGGGGTCCACCCAGACTGGGTCATCCTCGTTTGGCTTCCCTGGGTCTGCGCCGCCTTCACTCTGGCTCCTGCAGCGGCAGCCCGCCGCCTTGTGGCCAGGGTGGAAAACGGCACCCGGCGGGCGGGGCTGGAGACCGCGGCTGGTTCCTGTTTCGCGCCCCTGCCAGCCAGCCAGGCAGCTTCTCTGGGATGGGTGGCTGGATGCCAGCGCTCTTCCCCCGCAGCGCCCCTCCGTTTCCTGCGCAGGCTCCCGGTGGCGCACTTCCCGGCCTCTCCACATTCTCTGTCCTAGTGACGGTGGGACGGTGCCTGCCCGTCTGAGCGGAGCCCCTGGAGGTGGGGGAATGGCCTTGCTCTTTGAACCTCGCATCTGGCCCAGGGTCTGGCTCAGACAGAGTGCACAGAGAGTGTATGTTGAATAGGGCGGAGGTGCGGCAGCCCCTTACCTATGAGCCAGGCCTCTGTAGGTCTGCCCAAGGGCCACCACCCCAGGCCCCAGGACCAAAGAGGAAGGAGACTGCCCAGGTCCTGACATCTCCTGAGAAGACAGATCACCCCGGCTGCCAGGGCGCCTGCCAGGTGGCCCCTCTGCCCATCCTTCCTCCAGCTCCCAGCAGGTTCCCAGTTGCAGTGGCATATGGGGGGAGGGGCACAGGTGATGAGGGCAGGGGACTTACCCAGGGGGGAACTAGGACATTGGCCAGAGACAGGCTGCTCCCTGGCCCCACTTGTGGCCCTAATTCACTATGTGACCTCCACAAGTCACTTTGCGTCTCTGGTTCAGTTTCCTCCCCTGTGCAATGAGTGCAATAATACCACGTTCCCTGCCACGGAGCTTTATTCAAGAGGCAGCTGTGGCTCTCCCTGGTGCTCCACCCCCAACAAAGTCCAGGGTAGGGAGTTGGTCCTGCCCCCACAAGGGAACCCCACCCCTGCCCTTAGTTGTCCCAGGCGGCATTTCCCCACCATAATCCTCCAGGCCCATTCACTCGTTCATTAGGCATGAACTAGCCAAATAGCTGCAGAGCCCTGGTGAGCCTTTGGATCTAGAGAGGACTCAGGCACAGCCACGGTCCTGGGGGACTCACCCTCTTGGATAGGAGGCCAGCAACAGAAGACATGGGGCCGGGGCTCAGAGTGGAGCATGGGGTTGAGAGTGGGTGCCCACCGGGGCAGGGCCTCATGAGCCCTTGCCAGGAATGTGCACGTTATCCTGCAGCTGCTGTGAGGCTTTTAGCAGAGACAGGAATGGGATTGAGAAAAAAATCCCTGTGGCCAGGGCCTCAAGAATGGCCGAAGCTCTTGGTGGTCTCGTGGGCATGTGGTGGTAACAGAGGTTTGGGAGATGGATGGGCAGGGTCTGGGGGCCGAGGGAGGTGGGAGGGAAATCGGGTTGAGTTCAGATTCCCAGCTGGCACTTGTGGGCAGACAGTGGTGCTGCTTACTGAGTTGGGGGGTGGGGGGGACTTGGGGAGGAGCAGGGTGGAGAAAGGTGGGGCCTGCCTGGATTTAGGTGCCAGACAAAGGGAAGAGAAGCATGAGAGTGCTGGCTCAGAGGACAAGAAGTGTCCAGAAGAAAGATGCACAGGAAGGTGACGTGAGAGAAAGGCCATATAACACTTATCCGAAGTGGCCACTAGAAGCTCAGCTGGTCAGGGGGGTGCTGAAGGCAGAGGGCAGTGGTCAGGAGTGAAGTGAGGGTGCGAATTGAGTGTGTAGACAACAGACAGAAGGAGAGAGAGAGACACAGCGTGGCCAGAGGGGGTGTAGGTCATAGATGGAAACATCCCCAGGTTCAGGTGGGTGGGCAGGAGATGGGGAGGCTGAAGATGGGGAGGAGATTGTTGCTGAGAAGGGATCTCGGAAGAAAGTGGGTGCAGAACAGAGGGGGCAGGATGTGGGGATGGCATGGCACGGGGGCACTGGGGAGTGTATAGGGACCCCCGTCTGTCAGGCGGCAGCTCAGGGCTTAGGGCAGGCTACTGGGCAAGGCCAGGGACCCCCAGAACAGAGGAGTTCCTGCCATGGATGGTGTTTCACAGCCTTGTCACTCCCCATGCACTCTAATCGCACATATTGAGTACTTGGTGTGGGCTGGTCACTGTGCTGGACACTGGGGACAAAGTGTGGTAAGACGCAGTCCCAAAGGGGCTAACAGTCCTGTGGGCTCTTGCTCAAAGGCTTGTAACCCAGGGTTAAGCTCCCAGCAGCTTGGAAGGCAGGTGTAGGCACCTCCATTTGCCCTGAGTACAAACAGAGGTTCAGAGAGGTTTAGTGACAGGACGAAGCTCATACAGCCAGGAAGTGGCTGTGTCCAGGACAGTTCCAGGCCCCTGACCCCAAGCCCCACCCTGGCCAGCAGGTTCAGTTTCAGCCAGGTGGCCTTTAGGGTTGGCCACCCTGTTCCTCTCAGCAAGAACAGTACAAGCTGAAGGCAAGCAAGCGCTCCTTCTTCTGAGCATCCTGCGTGCCCAGCCCTGTGGTGGGAGAGTTGATGTCCCAGGAGAGGGACGTCTCCTGTTCTCTTGCTGCCCAGGAGAGGGCAGAAGCAACCCCTTCTGAGAGGGGAGACAGGGAGACAGGGAGAGGTAAGCAGGGATGACTCCTCCTCTCTCCCAAAGAGGCCACTCAGGGAGCCCTGGGAAGCCAGGCCAAAGGCGGTGCAATAAAGGGGCCTCTGAGACTCTTCCCCATGGCTGTGGTCCTGGCTCTGGGATCTCAGGGTGCAGTCACCATCCCCACCCAGAAGTGGGAAGGCCCAGGTGGGTGGAGCTGGCCTGGAGCCCGCCCCTGCTGCTGGGGCATTGGCCGCTGGGAGGGAAGTTCCAGCCGGTCTGCTGCACCTTCTTATACAAGCAACCCTGGAGGCGCCGCACCTGAGCAGGCAGCCCCGACTGGAAGGAGCGGGGGCCCTCATTTCTCCTCCTCCGCTGGGAACTGTGAGTGAGCCCTTGCCCCTGAGGGACTAGAGGGCGGCCACAGCAGTTTCTCCACTCTCTCCCCTCCCTTTCCCAAATCCTAAAACCCACCTGGGGGCCCCTCCTCTCTGGATCCAGGCCCAGCACCCACTTCCTAGGACAAACTCCGAGGGCAGCCCGAGGCCGCTGTGATTGAGAGAAAGAAACTGGCCTCGGGACAGACCCACCTGTCCCCACTCAGGGCCAGCCAGGGAGCCTTTGGCAAGGGGCGTTGGTAATAGCAGGAAGCTAAGTCCAAATTGAGGGGACTCCAGCTAGCCCCTTGCCTGTACTCCCTCCTCCAACAACCCTCACCCCCACCCTCCAGCTGGGGCAGCCGCCTCAGCTGTCTCCCTCCCAGGGACTCACCTGCAGCCCCAGGCTGTCCCAAGAGCCCCTCTGCCTGCCTAGGACCTGACTTAGGAGAGAGCAGCTTCTTGGGTACCCCTCCCACCCTCACCCCACATTGCTGTCCCCCCAGAGATCTCCCTGCACACCCCCCCAACTCCCCTGCAGGCCACATGGTCTCTGGGGGTCTCCCTGGAGCCTGCGCCTGGTTCTCACCTCTTTAGTCCCTGGCTCCCTTCGGCCCCCAGAGGCCTGAGATGGGCCCCACCTGCCCCCTCACTTCCTTCCCAGGCCTCAGTAGTTGACCTCACTCTAGACCTATTTTTTAATGTTTATTTTATTTTAATAGTTGTGGGGAGCACGTGGTGTTTGTTCTTTAGTGGCGATTTCTGAGATTTTGGTGCAGCCATCACCCGAGTGGTGTGCACTGTACCCAATGTGTAGTCTCTTGTCCCTCACCCCCCTCCCACCCTTCCCCCACTCCCAAGTCCCCAAAGTCCATTATATCATTCTTAGGCCTTTGCCTCCTCATAGCTTAGCTCCCATGGACCTATTTTCTCTGCCCTTCTTAGAGATGACTATGTCCAGTACAGGGAAGGGTGGGCATCAGTACTTCTGAATGCCAGCCTGGATGGGTGGTCAGTGCCAGGCCCTGGGGAATGGGAAAGTCCATGATCGTGACCAGGGGGTAGCTGCTGACCAGAAATGCGGTCGGGGCTCCATGCCTGAATGTTAGGGAGATTCAGAGCTGGATCTGTGCCGGGGAGTGAGAGGTCAGCGGCTGTTTGTTCATATTGAGGGGGAAATAGGGCTGCCAGGACTAGGGCTCTGGGGCACAGGGGCATAGGGGCACAGGTGCTCTTGCTAAATTTTGGGAAGCTCTGTTTCCAGATTGCAGAAGGATTCTGGTGTTGAGGGAACTTGCAGAGCTGTTGCCAGGTGAGCCCCGCAGGACCCTTCTGTCCAACTGAGGCCCCTGTGGGTGCCCACCCTGCCTCCTTGCCTTCTCCTGGCTGGGGGTCCCCTGTGAGGCATGAAGGGAGTGGGGCAGGGGCCCCCGTCCAGGCCTTTGTGTCTGTCTAGGGGCTGGGCCAGAGAGAGGAAGCAGAGGTAGCAGAAGGGCCTGCCTGCAGAATCCTCCCAACCTCCCCCTTCCTTTCTCCTCGTTGGCCCAGTTAAATGTGTAAATTACTATTCCCTCCCTATAAAAATAGCTTAACTCCATTACAAATATTTGAATAATAGGAGGAAATCTCAATCAAATGACTGTTAGCATGTTGGTTTCTTCCCATTTATTCTGCCTTCTTATGTGTATGTCTTGGGCAGTTCCCATAGAGACATCACAGCGTAATGACGATTGTGCCTTCTGCTTTTTCACTTACCATATTCACCTAGTCAGTGAATGTCAGCTGCTGTACTGGGCACTAGGGAGCAATGAAAAATAAAGGATGGTTCCTGCCCTCAGGTAGCTTACTGTCCAGGAGAAATTGAACAGCAGATCCAATTATGATATGGTATGGCATGGTAGTTATGGTATGGCAGATATGATATGATATGACATGATGCATCTGCAAAGAGCTGTGGGGGGCATGTTGGAGGAGCCATCCTCCCAGAATCTTGTTCGCAAGAGGGAAATCCAAGAGTGCTTCCTGGAGGAGGAAGGTGTTGGCAAAGATGAATTCAAAAGGTTTCTACAGTTCCCTCTCATGAAACCCTCTGGACCTGGTGCCTTTTTCAGTGGCAGATTTTTTTTCTCATCAGTGGTAATTAGTTTATTTAAGTTTCTACTCACCTTCTAGTTAATTTTGGCCATTTTATATTTTACTAGGAAAGCATTCATTTTCTCCAGATGTGTAAAATCTCCACTTTTAAAATTTATTATGAATTTCTTTGTGACCAAGTAAATGATTTTTCTAAGTTTTTCATAGACATATAAGAAAAATGCATATTTTCTTATTTTTATTTTTATTTTATTTTTTTTGAGATGGAGTCTTACTCTGTTACCCAGGCTGGAGTGCAGTGGCACAGTCTTGGCTCACCAAAACCTCCACCTCCTGGGTTCAAGCGATTCTCCTGCCTCAGCCTCCTGAGTAGCTGGGATTACAGGTGTGCGCCACCAAGCCCAGGTAATTTTTGTATTTTTAGTAGAGAGGGGATTTTGCCATGTTGGCCAGGCTGCTCTGGAACTCCTGACCTCAAGTGATCCACCCATCTCAGCCTTCCAAAGTGCTGGGATTAATGCATATTAATCCCTGGACGGAAAAATGCATATTTTCCATTTAAGGGCTATAAGGTCCTAACTGCATCAAATCAAGTTTATTGATTATATTATTCAAACTTTCATTTCCTTTGTATCCTTTGCTTGGGGGCAGGGGTCTTTTACTCTAATTCTGATAGAGATGTGTTATGTTAAACCTTCCACTCACATTTTCTCTATAAAGCTCTTCTGGTGCTTTTCCTAGTTTTTGCTTTTTATATTTAACTACGATGCTGTCGGGAGCCTGCAGATTTTGAGTATTCTGTCATGTCGTTACAAATTGTGCTTTTCTATCATTACGTGGTGTCCCTCTTTATCCTATTATAGTGCTTAACCTTAAATTTCACCCTTCTATTGTTAATATGACCACTCCTTATTTTACTTTATTTTTTTTTTTTGCACTTGCTTAGCATTCTTTTATTTTCTACCATTATCATTTTTTGAAACTACTAATTTCTTGTATATGTCACATCACTGTTTTGTTTTGTTTGAGACAGGGTCTCCCTCTGTTGCCCAGGCTGGAGTGCAATGGTGTGATCATGGCCCTCTGCAGCCTCAACCTCCCTGGCTGAGGCAATTCTCCTGCCTCAGCACCCCGAGAACCTGGGACCACAGGCCTGTGTGCCACCATGCCCAGCTAATTTTTTTTTTTTTGGTCTTTTTTGTAGAGATGGGGTTTCTTCATGTTGCCCATCACCACTGTATTTTTGTTGTCTTCATTTTTTCTCGTTTGTTTGTTTTTTGAGATGGAGTCTTGCTCTGTCACTCAGGCTGGTGTGCAGTGGTTCGATATCGGCTCACTGCAACCTCCGCCTCCCAGGTTCAAGTGATTCTCCTGCCTCAACCTCCTGATTAACTGGGATTACAGGCACATGCCACCACGCCCAACTAATTTTTGTATTTTTAGTAGAGACAGGGTTTCACCACATTGGTCAGGCTGGTCTCAAACTCCTGACCTCAAGCGATCCACCTGCCTCACCCTCCCAAAGTACTGGGATTACAGGTGTGAGCCACTGTGCCCAGCCTATCACTGTATTTTTAAACCCAAGATGACTCGTCTTTTGGTGGGAGAATTCACTCTGTTCATGTTTCATTTAACAATTGATCTACTGTACTTAATTACCTTTGGCTTATTTTACATTTATTGGTTTATCTTGTGTTTTTCTTCCCTCTGATCTGGTTATCGATTTCCTTTTTCTTCCCCTGTTGCACTTTCCATTTCATTATTGGCAGCTGTCCCTTCTCTGGGGTTCCTAATCAAACACATATTCTTTAGCACATGCCTCGATGGGGATTCTTTTCGCAGCACCCTCATCTGGAGCTCACAGAACCTGTCACTCTGTAGGTTCTGGTCTTTTTTCAGCTTAGGAACATCTATTTGTTGCTTGATTTGATTATTGTTAGTTTGTTTATTTATTGAGACAGGGTCTTATTCTGCCACCCAGGCTGGAGTGCTGTGGCACAATCACGGCTCACTGCAGCCTCCACCTTCTGAGTTCAAGTGATCCTCCCACCTCAGCCTCCTGAGAAGCTGGAAATACAGGCACACGCCACCAGGCCCAGCTAACTTTTTTTGTATTTTTTGGAGAGACAAAGTTTCGCCATGTTGCCTAGGCTGATCTTAAATTTCTGGGCTCAAGCGATCCGCCTGCCTCAGCCTCCCAAAGTTCTGGGATTACAGGCATGAGCCACTGCGCCCGGCCTGTTGCTTGATTATTGTTTCTTTTACCTTTTCTTTCCTTTGCATGTGAGTGCTCCTGACTGGGTCCCCTGCAGTTTATCTTTGGCATCTTTATTTCAATCTTGGTGTACTTTTGCTCTGAAATTTGATATTTCTTTTTGACCTTCCAGGCTGCAAATTTGAATCTCAAGAGTGAATTTATTCCCCTTCAACTAATACAATGACATATTTTAAGTTCTAAAAATCAGTCCTTTTTAAAAATTCTGCTTGATTCGAGTCTCCTTAAGAGTTTGTATTCAAGTTGTAATTGCATTCTCCAGGCCCTCTATTTTGCCAATAGCCTTGAATTTATTTTACTAGGTAATGTATTTACAGGTTTTTTTAATCAAAGCAATATTTTAAAATCTATAGTAAAAATCTCACATGTACCCTGTTTCCCTGCTCTGTTCTCCATCAACTCAAAAGTCACCCCTTTCGTTCATTCTTTCTTCATTCTTCCAGAGTTTCTAAGTACAAACTAGTATAACTACATATCTGATTACTTAATTTTCTCTCTCTCTTAAGCAAAGGTAGTACCTTGTACACACCATCTTGTGTGTAAAACAAGATTTTTTTTAAAAAAACAAGCTTGTTTACTTTTATTTATTCCTTTGACAATGTATCTTGGAGATTATACCTAGAGAGTTTCTATCTCTTTCCCTACAACTACAAATAATCCATTTTACCAGTCTCCTGTTGACGGGCACTCGGAATGTTTCCCATTTTTTGCTATTACAACAATGCCATAATGAATACTCTTTTATATATGTATAGGTAGATGTTGGAAAAATTCCAAAAATGGGATTTTGGGGTCAAAAGGTAAATAATAGATACTTGATGGGTATATCCCATGAGGCATATACCAATTTGACCTCACCAACACAAATGAGGGTGTCTTATTCCCCACAGCCTTGCCAACTAACTGTTGTCAAACTTTCCTTTTCTGCCAATCTGACCATAATATGTCTTATCTTAAGGTACTTTAAATTTGCATTTTTCTTTCCAGAAAGAGTATCTTTTCATATATTTAAGGGCTGTTTGTCCCCCTCCACTTTTTTTTTTTTTTCTGTGAGTGGTCTGTTTATATCCTTTGCCTGTTTGTGTATTGGGTTGTTAGGTTTTTTTCTTATTGAGTTCTAGTAGCTTTTTCTATACTAGAGAAAATAGCCCTTTGTCTATTATTACCTGAGTTGTAATTCCCTCCGCCACCCTGAGCTTGTCTTTTGACTCTGCTAATAGCATTATTTTGCCACACAAGTTTTCTTAAAACACATTTATGTAGTCAAATGTATCACTCGTTTATTTTATGGCTTTTATATTTTGAGTCTTTGTTACAAAGTCTTATATTTATATATATACATATATGTATACACACACAGACACAACATATTGAAGCCATATATACACACACATACAGCATATTATATATAATATATATTTATATATATACATACAGCATATTGAAGTCTTTTATATATATAAAGAGACATATATATAAAATATATGGGCTTTTATATATATGTACATACAGCATATTGGATTTTGTTTTCTTTTTTGATTATTTTTATGGCTTCATTTTTAAAAATGTAAATCTTTAATCCTTTGAAGGTTAATGTGGATGGACAGAATGAGATGTGGACCCTCCCTTATTTATATACATGTTTATTTGTTTATCTCTGGATGGGCTAAGTTGTCCCAGTTGTCCTGTGACCTTTCACTGACAAGTCTGTCTTTCCCCATGACCTGTGATGGCATCTTTAGTGCGTCCTGGGTCCCGGCTGTGCTGGGGTCTGGTAGCAGCGGCTGGTTTAGTGTGTCCTGGGTCCTGGCTGTGCTGGGGTCTGTTAGCAGCGGCTGGTTTAGTGTGTCCTGGGTCCTAACTTTGCTGGAGTCTGGTAGCGACGGCTGGTTTAGTGTGTCCTGGGTCCCAACTGTGCTGGAGTCTAGTAGCGGCGGCTGGTTTAGTGCGTCCTGGGTCCCGGCTGTGCTGGGGTCTGGTGGCAGCAGCTGGTTTGGTGGTTCTCTCTGTTGCCCCTGCTGAGCTGTCACAGAGTGAGTTTGCTCCTCAGAGCTGGAGTCAAGCTGCAGGAGTACCCCACTTGGAGGGGTGGCCCTAGAGTGGAGAAGGGATGGTGGTCTCTGCCAGTGAGCCTGTGGGTGTTGGACATCCGTGATGTCAAAACACCAGCAGGAATTCTCTCTGTCTCCTTGGTGCCCTGGCCTTATGGGTAGAGACTACCTGGCCCACCTGTTTGGCCCCCCTCAGCTCCTGGGCACAAGGATACAAAAGCCACACTGCCTTCTCCCTGGGGTCCCATGATGGGCCAGCCTGCCCCAGGGTTCCCCTGGGAGCCTCCACCTCAGACATAGCCTCTCACCTGTGGCAGCCAGGTCCCACCCACCCACTGCCCCAGCCTCTGCTTGACTCAGGCAGTAGTAGCAGGTCACAGTTGGGAGCAGAGGGGAAACAGGGCGTGTTTAAGTGGCCTTATTCCCAGAATCCTGGCTCCAGAGCTGTGTCTGAAAGGGAGAGGAACTACTTCGTCTGTAATACATCGGGGGCAGGGATTGCTGGAAGAGCAAGTCTGTTTCCAGGTGAGAAATAATGAACAACTTTTTCTTATTTTCTTTTTTGAGACAAGGTCTTGCTCTTTCACCCAGGCTGGAGTGCAGTGGTGCAATCACGGCTCACTGCAGCCTCAACCTCCTGGGCTCAAGCAATCCTCCCACCTCGTCCTTCCAAGTAGCCGAGAGCACAGGCTTATATGGTAGTGACAGTGAGGATGGAGAATAGTAAAAATGTTTGAGGAATTTTTTTTTTAATTTTATTTTTATTATGAAAATGTCCAATTAGGCTGGGCCTGGTGGCTCACCCCTGTAATCCTAGCACTTTGGGAGGCCAAAGCGGGAGGATTGTTTGAACTCAGGAGTTTGAGACCAGCCTGAACAACACAGTGAAACCCTACCTCTATATTAAAAATAAGTAAATAAATTTAAAACTTAAGAAAATGTCCAACATGCAGAAAAGTAAAAATAATTTTTTTATTTTTGAGACAGAATCTTGCTCTGTCACCAGGCTGGAGGGCTGTGGCACAATCTCAGCTCACCGCAGTCTCTACCTTCCAGGTTCAAGTGATTCTCATGTCTCAGCCTCCTGAGTAGCTGGAATTACAGGCACATGCCTGGCTAATTTTTGTATTTTTAGTAGAGATAGGGTTTTACCATGTTGGCCAGGCTGGTCTTGAACTCCTGATCTCAAGAGATCCACCTACCTCTGCCTCCCAAGGTGCTGGGATTACAGGTGTGAGCCACCATGCCCGGCCAAAAAGAATTTTTTTTTTTTTTTTGAGACCAAGTCTTGCTCTGTCACCCAGGCTGGAGTGCAATGGCATGATCTCGTCTTACTGCAACCTCTGCCTCCCGGGCTCAAGTGATACTCCTGCCTCAGCCTCCCGAGTAGCTGGGATTACAGGCATATGCCACCATGCCCCGCTAATTTTTGTATTTTTAGTAGAGGAGGGGTTTTGCCGTGTTGGCCAGGCTGGTCTCGAACTCTTGACCTCAGGTGATCCGCCTGCCTCGGCCTCCCAAAGTGCTGGGATTACAGGCATGAGCCACCACACTGAGCCAAAAATAATATTTTTGAAAAACGAATACAATTACCTATTGCCTAGATTTAACAATACTTGCTCCTTGCTGGCTGCTCTACTAGGAAAAAAAAAAAGAGAAAAGAGAAAAAACAATATTTGCCATGTTTATTTATATTTATTTATTTATTTATTTATTGCTGATGAATTATAAATTCTAGGCATCATATTTCACCCCGAAAACTTCAGCATGCATCTCTGAAAAGTGATGTCTTTCTCCATGAACACCCTCCATTATTATGTCTGACAAAATTAACAATAGTTCCTTAATGTCATCTATGACCTAAGCCATCGTCAGATTTCCACCTTATCCTAAAACATCTCTCTCACAGCTGGTTTGTTTGGTTCAGGATCCCATGCAAGGTCATGCCTTGTATCTGGCTGTCTCTTCAATCTCCCTTGAAGAGCCCCGCCCTTTCCTTCTGCCTGGACATTGACTCATTGCCTGCCTGCAAGGTGTTTGTTTGCTTCCTTGCAGCAGTGTTTTCATGTTCTTCTAACCCTGGTGTTACGTGAGAACTGGTAGGCAGGTCTGCAAGGTTTAGGCTGGTGAGATCAACAGGGCTCAGTGACAGATGAGGCAAAGCCAGCAGGAGGCAAGGATGATTCTACCTTGGGTGACAGAAGTAGATGTCACTCAGATGCTGAGAATGGGGAGGGAGGAGGGAGAGGACAAATTTGATTTGGGGCACACAGCTTTCAACATGTACAAAGGACATCCAGATGGCAGTGGGCTATGTGAGCCTGGAGACTGTGCTGCGAGTTGTTGATCTACAGCCAGTGGGGCTGGGCTCTCCCAAGGCGGTGGAGTGAGAAGACAGGTGAGACACCAAGCATGAGGCCGTGGCGGAGGAGATGGAGCCTGGGGCCCAACTGCTGAGCAGTAGCAGAGAAAAAGAAGGAAAACCAGGAGGCCTGGCCCGAGAAAGCCCAAGAAGGAGAGGATTTTAAAGAGCAAACACTGGACAGAAGTCAGGCCAGAGGAAGATTGTCAGGCCTCTAAGCCGGAGCAAGGTCCTTGTAACCCCTGTGACCTGCCCGTATACATCCAAATGGCCTGCAGGAGCCACAAAGTCTGGAGCAGCCAAAAAAAAAAAAAAAAAAAAACCCACAAAAAGGAGTAAAACAGCCAGCTCCTTGCATTGTCCCTGCCCCAACTCATCAATTGACCTTGTGACAATCTCCTCCTGGACAGTGAGTCTCAGGAGCTCCCCACTGAGCACCTTGTGACCCCTCCCCTGCTATCAATAGATAACCACCTTTAACTTGTACCTTTCCACTGCCTACCCAAGTCCTGTAAAGCTGCCCCTATTCTATCCCCCTTCGCTGTCTCTCTTTTTGGACTCAGCCCATCCGCACCCGGATGTAAATAAACAGCCTTGTTGCTCACACAAAGCCTGTTTGGTGGTCTCTTCACACGGACATGCTTAACAAGGACCAGGTCTGTCATCAAGGAAGTGGTGGAAGGCCTCTGAGCAGTGAGCTGGTTGTCTAAGTGAGGGGACAGAGAAGTTGGCTCGAAAAGGAGGAAGGGAAAAAGGATTTAGTTGTTAAAAGGGGATGCTGGATCCAGGGAACAAACTTTATTTTATTTTATTTTATTTTTTTTTGTGATGGAGTCTCTCTCTTTTGCCCAGACCGGAGAGCAATGGTGTGATCTCCGCACACTGCAACCTCTGCCTCCAGGGTTCAAGTGGTTCTCCTGCCTCAGCCTCCCAAGCAGATGGGACTACAGGTACCCGCCACCACGCCCGGCTAATTTTATATATATAATATATATATATATAATTTTATATATATATTTTATATATATATATAATTATATATATATATTTTATATATATATAATTATATATATATTTTATATATATATATAATTTTATATATATATATTTTATATATATATATAATCTGTAGAAATTTGTAGACCTATTTTTGAATTGTATTTTCTCTATTTCCAAAGCTGTAGTAGGTAACAAGATTAAAAACATTAGGCTTTCTAAGCATAGTTGCATACCCAAATTTCAGTCGAGGCATATAAATGCTATAAATGGCTGATACACTTTCTTACTACATGACCAGTTTTATTCTACATACAATTCTAAAGAATTAAAGCCTTCTTTACACATATGAGTAGGCTATTTTGGGTTTTATGGTTTATTAAAGAATTATCGATGATTCACTGCTCAGTTCTAGCTATGATCACTCCGGGTGAACCTGCAGCTAAAGGACGAGGCTTACCCATTGATAGCAGAACACTGTAGATAGGACAGCATGGCGTCCCAGCTCTGATCGTGAATCAGATCATGGGATCAGAGCTAGGACTCAGTATCTCTGCCCTTCAGCTAGCCATGGTGACAGGACGTGGCCCCAACTGTGTCTCCCAGATTCAAGAATTATTTGCAGTGTAAATATGTACGAATAAATGATGTTCTTAACATCACAGCGATTGCTTAAAAGTAGTGGCTTTCATACTTCTTTTTGACTCTGACCCTCAGTCAAATACACATTTTTTCATAGCAGCCCAGTATACATATTCAAAAGCTTTCTGAAAGACTGTTTTACCTTATTATGTGGGAAGCACTCTGATATTTTCTGTGCTAGCCTATTGCATTACCTTTTTTTTTGAGACGGAGTCTCTGTCTGTTGCCAGGCTAGAGTGCAGTGGTGCGATCTCGGTTCACCACAACCTCCGCCTCCCTCGTTCAAGTGATTCTCCTGCCTTAGCCTCCCGAGTAGCTGGGACTACAGGCACACGCCACCATGCCCAGCTAATTTTTTTTGTATTTTTAGTAGAGATGAGGTCTCACTACCTTGGCCAGGGTGGTCTCAATCTACTGACCTCATGATCTGTCTGCCTTGGCCTCCCAAAGTGCTGGGATTACAGGCATGAGCCACTGTGCCTGGCTGCGTTACATTTTATTTTTTAAAAAGCTGAATAAGACCCACTATTTATTTCATAGTCACTAAAGAGTTGGGATCAACTGTTTGAAAATACTATTTTGAAGTATCCATGAGGTCTTACACTATAGCTGGAATGATAAAAGGACCCAAAAGAGCGTTTTTAGGAATATATTTTGGGGGGGAGAATACCTGTGATGCCCTTCTTTTTCCCTTAGGTATAAACTTGAAAAGCTTGTTATAAACTTGAAAAAATGGTAGGTGAGTAATTTATATGTATGGTTTCATGTGTATATTTGAAATATTAATACATGAAAGCAGTGAATAATAGTATCTGACACGTAATAGGTACTTAATATGTGTTAGTTTTCTTTCTGCAGGCATATCTTGGTTGTTTAATTGTAAACAATTAGCTTTACTTTTAACTTAGCTTTTAGACTTCAAAAGTTCTATCATAAGATTTATCTTAACTTACTTTGAGTGATTAATTTTAATTATTGAAAGACAGTTGATTGGATACAATTTACATCTTTGGCTGACATAAATAATGCAGTCTTTTTATTTTTTTGGTCAGGTACTGGTAGTTAACTCTCAAGGAGAAATTTCACGGTTGAGCACCGAAAAGAAAGTGGTCATGAAAGGAAGTATCAACAATTATCTTAAATTGGGTCAAGAAGGGAAGTATCGCGTCTACCACAATCAATACTCCACTAATTCATTTGCTTTGAATAAGCACCAGCACAGAGAAGACCATGATAAGAGAAGGCATCTTGCACATAAGTTCTGTCTGACTCCAGCAGGAGAGTTCAAATGGAACGGTTCTGTCCATGGGTCCAAAGTTCTTACCATATCTACTCTGAGACTGACTATCACCCAATTAGAAAACAACATCCCTTCATCCTTTCTTCATCCCAACCGGGCATCACATAGGTAAAGGAAACTAAGGTTAATTTATTGCTGTAAATATACTAAATGTTTATAAAATGATTGTTGTAGTTGTGCACTTGAAAACGTCATTACCAATGAGTTGAATGAAGTCAATGTGGTCAGCAGACAGGACGTTAGAGGCATGAGTGTACTTCTAACTTACTGAACTGACACCACTAACTATTTGGAGGATTCCTAGGAGTCAGAATCTTTATTCCTGGAATCAGATGGAGACCAAAGTTACAACTATTATGCTTTTAATTTAGATCAACCTAGTGAAATAATTTCTTTCATTTCTTCTGAAATACAGGGCAAACTGGATCAAGGCAGTTCAGATGTGTAGCAAACTCAGAGAATTTGCATTGGCTTTAGCCATTTTGGAGTGTGCAGTTAAACCAGTTGTGATGCTACCAATATGGCGAGAATCTTTAGGACATACCAGGTAAGTGAATTCTGAGCCTTGTAAATGATGAATATTGGACTCGCTTTTGAAATACTAGCCTATTAATCATGAAAGTTAATGTATTTAAGAGGCCATATTAAAGACTTTACTTTTGGCTCAGTTTCTTCCTATATAAGTTGTAAACATGAATGAATATTATTAGTTCTTTCTTTCTTTCTTTTTTTTTTTTTGAGACGGAGTCTTGCACTGTTGCCCGGGCTGGTGTGCAGTGGCACAATCTCGGCTCACTGCAACCTCTGCCTCCTGGGTTCAAATGATTCTCCTGCCTCAGCCTCCGAAGTAGCTAGGATTACAGGTGCCCACCACTACGCCCGGCTAATTTTTTGTCCGTCAACCCAGGCTGGAATGCAGTAGTGCCATCACAGCTCACTGCAGCCCTGACCTCCCTGGGCTAAGGTTATTCTCTCACCTCTGCCTCCCGAGTAGTTGGGACTACAGACGCATTCCACTATGCCTGGCTAGTTTTTGTATTTTTTGTAGACACGGTGTCTCATTATGTTGCCCAGGCTGTTCTCAAACTCTAGGCTCAAGCGACCTGCCTGCCTCAGCCTACCAAAGTGTTGGGATTATAGTTGTGATACATTTCTGATACGAGAGCAATTAGTACAATGGTTGCTATAACATTTTAGAGAATGGTTTGACAAAACCAAAGTTAAAAATGCAATTTGACTCCTTCTCGATATGGTAGAGAAACTTTTACCCTGTGTACATGAGAAGACATTGTAACAGGGTATTCCTTATAATATTATTTCATAATGGTGAAATTTGGAAACAATTCCTAAGTACTCATAATCAGGCATGTTTAAATTGTGTCATCATTTCATAATGGACTGTTACATAGCAGTGAAAAACACACTAGAGCAACAAGTGTCGAGATTGAATCTCGTAAGTTTACAATAGAAGGAAAACATTTGGAGAGGCTGGGAGGGGCATAAGGGTTGAAAAATTACCTGTTGGGTACAGTGTTTACTCTACGGGTAATGAGTAACTAGAAACCCGGTTCCCCCAGTGCACATAGACCCCTTGAATCTAAAATAAAATAAAAATTAAAAAAAAAAGAAAACAGTTCCATCACTAAAAATACATAAGGATAAATGTATATACTACATACATTTGTGTAGCGTTTAAAAGCATGTGTGATAACACAATGTTACAGTATTGTTTAGGGATACAGACATTTGTAAAATTTTAAAGAAATGCAAGGGCTATATGCTTGAAACATAAGAAATACACTTCTAAATAAATAAGAAGTGCTCAAATGTAAATCATAATGAAAACCAGAAAACATTTTGATCTGGATGTTCATGAAAGTACTACATATATTGAAATTTGTGAGATGCAGTTAAAGACTTCCTAGGAGAAGTTGCTAGCCTTTAATGCTTATGTTAGAAAAGAAAAACTGCAAATTAATTAGCTAGGGGTACATCTCAAGGAGCCAGCCTAAAGAAAGAAAATATTAAAGATGACCAAATGTGATGAAATAGAAAACAAACATACTTTAGATCCCATTATGTTTTACAAGCCTCTGATAAGATTATCAAGGGGGGGAAATAATACAGCACAAATAACCAATATCAAGAATAAAAAAAGAGACATACTAACCAACATTTCTGATTCTCTTTTACTAGAACTTGGAATTTTAAAGCCTTCACAGGGTCTACTAACATAGTATTCAGGTTTCCTACATCTACAATGAAAGGGGTCCACCTAGAAGGAGTGGAGCAAGATGGTGGAATAGAAGGCCCCAACTCATCGTGCCCCACCTTCCATCCCCACAGCCACAGAAAGGGACCCACCGAGCTCCCTTTGGGTGGGGGGAAGGGTTGAGAAGGATGCCACAGTCATCTCAGTCCTTAATAGGTCAGAAGCCACACTCTTAGGCAGGAAAAGGATTTCTGGTTGTTTATCACTGCACCTGTCATTAAGGTGATGGCAGGACCAAATGATTTCATAAGGTTTTTCTTAAATTTTGGGAACCAGATAGTTCCATTTAAACTTTTCTGCCAGAATAGAAAAAGGAGGAAATTTTACAGATTATTGTTTCTGTTAGTGTGAAACTGTTAGAAAACTTGATAAATAGAAATAGACAAATTAAAAATTATGGCCCTGTCTCCTTTATTAATATTTATTATTAATAATTAATAGCAAATAGGTGTGTCTATAAGAAATCTCAAAATATTGGTATGCAGATCTATTCAGGAGTAAATTTAAAGAATAAGAAACCATGGCTGAATTGGCTTCACCTTAGACACCAATCTCCAATACTAGGAGATTACTAATACCATACTATTTTAGGAAGTCAAAGAAAGGCTGGATGTGGTGGCTCATGCCTGTAATCCCAGCACTTTGGGAGGCCAAGGCGAGTGGATCACTTGAGCCCAGGAGTTTAAGACCAGCTTGGCCAACATGGTGAAACCCCATCTCTACTAAAAATACAAAAATTAGTGGGGCACAGTGGTACATGCCTGTAGTCCTAGCTGCTAGGAGGCTGAGGCAGGAGAATCGCTTGAACCCAGGAGGCAGAGGTTGCAATGAGCTGAGATCGCACCACTGCACTCTAGCCTGGGCAACAGCGCAAGACACTCTCAAAAAGAAAAAAGTTAAAGAAAGGAAACCTTTTGATCATCTCATTAGATGCCAAGAAGGTATTTTTGTCTAAGTTCATTATTATTTATTGGGTTTTTTTAATTTTGAATTTTTTTTGGCTGCATGTGGTGGCTCACGCCTATAATCCCAGCACTTTGGGAGGCCGAGGTGGGTGGATCACCTGAGGTCAGGAGTTTGAGACCGACCTGGCCAACATGGCGCAACCCCATCTCTACTAAAAATACAAAACTTAGCCAGGTATGGTGGCACACGCCTGTAGTCCCAGCTACTTGGGAGGCTGAGGGAGGAGAATCACTTGAATCTGGGATGCAGAAGTTGCAGTGAGCTGAGATTGCACCACTGCTCTCCAGCCTGGGCGATAGAGTGAGACTCCATCTCAAAACAAAACAAAACAAAAATGACTACTAGGAAGTTTCAATTTATATAGCTTGCATTCTATTTCTGATGGACAGCCCTGCTCTAGGAAGTCTCAGCCCTTCAGATGGAAGGGGGACAGTTATCCGTTGGCTAAAACTATTCCATAGTGCTGAAAACATGATGATATCCCTCTAGTGCACAGGTGTGGATTCAGTAGATGCTTGATAATTCAGTTCTTATTTGGTACTATTATTGACAAAGGAAAACGATAAAGGAAATATTTTTCTCTTCCCCCATCTTTTAGCTTTCTCCCTTTGTCTCATAACCATGTCCACCAATGAGAATGCTAATACACAAGCTGCCCATCTTCACAGATCTAAGAACAAGGGAAAGGACAGTACAGTGAGTACCTTCTGTTGCTTTCTTATGGTGTTATTTAAATGGGAAGACATTTGGAAAGGGATGAAAACTTAGGGATCTTTTTAAAAATGTCCTCACTTAGCAACAAAAACTGATGTGGTAGGTGAAACAGCATGTTATCTTTTCTCAAGGAAACGAGGCGTCACAGAATAGAGGTCAATGTGGAGCTGAGGAAAGCTAAGAAGGATGACCAGATGCTGAAGAGGAGAAATGTAAGCTCATTTCCTGATGATGCTACTTCTCCGCTGCAGGAAAACTGCAACAACCAGGTAAAAAAATATATTTTAGATTATGAGTTACATGAAATCCAGAAAATCAGTAGGGACTTTTCTTAGAAATTCAAGTAAACTTAACATTTCTAGTCTTATGGTTTTAACTATCTGTGAAGATCTTTTTCTCTGTTTGCAATTACTAATTATCTTCTTTCCTGCCTTCCATAATCCACTGAAGCTGATTTAGGATCTTCCTTTAACTCTGACCTTCCTTCAGACTTCCCTGCATTTCTAGCTACTAGCTGGGTACCTTGACCTGACCAGTGTGTCCAGAGCCAACCAGTTTCTGGTTTATTTCTTTTTGCTTTTTCCCACATGGAGTCTTGCTCTGTCGCCCAGGCTGGAGTGTAGTGGTACAATCTCAGCTCACTGCAACCTTCGCCTCCTAGTTTCAAGCAATTCTCCTGCCTCAGCCTCCCGAGTAGCTGGGATTACAGGTACAGACCACCACGCTTGGTTAATTTTTGTATTTTTAGTAGAGCCAGGGTTTCGCCATGTTGGCCAGGCTGGTCTTGTACTCCTGACCTTGTTATCCACCCACCTGGGCCTCCCAAAGTGCTGGGATTACAGGCATGAGCCACCACACCCAGCCCATTTGGTTTATTTCTGTCTTTTTTGGTATTCTGTGTTTTTTTGTATTTGTCACCAGCTTTGTTCAGGTCTTTCCTCCTGAAATATTTACAGTAGCCTCCTAATTTATCGTTTCCTTCTTTCTGTGCCAAATGCTATTTTTCTGAATTTTTTCCTAAAGTACTGCTTTAGACGTGTTTTTTCTCTCCTTAAAATCCATACTCCAAATTGCATGAACCTGTGAGGCAGAGGTTGCAGTGAGCCAAGACCTTGCCATTACACTCTAGCCTGCGCAGCAAGAGTGAAACTCTGTCTCAAGAAAAAAAATAAAAATAAAAAATCCATACTCCGCTGGGCATGATGGTTCACGCCTATAATTCCAGCACTTTGGGAAGCTGAAATAGGAGGATCACTGGAGGCCAGGAGTTTGAGCCCAGACTAGGCAACATAGCAAGACCTTGTCTCTACAAAAAATAAAAAGTTAGCTGGGCATGGTGGCACAGGCCTTTAGTCCTAGGTATTCAGGAGGCTGAGGCAGAAGGATCACTTGAGCCCAGGATTTTGAGGCTGCAGTGAGCTATGATTGTACCACTGCACTCCATGCTGGATGACAGAGTAAGACCCTGTCTCTAAAAATAAAAATCCATACTCTGGCCAGGCACGGTGGCTTGCGCCTGTAATCCCAGCACTTTGGGAGGCTGAGGTGGGTGGATAATCTGAGGTCAGGAGTTTGAGACCAGCCTGGCCAACATGGTGAAACCTGTCTCTACTAAACATAAAAAAAAATTAGCTCGGGGTGGTGGTGGGTGCCTGTAATCCCAGCTACTTGGGAAGCTGAGGCAGGAGAATCGCTTGAACCTGGGAGGCAGAGGTTGCAGTGAGCCAAGATCGCACCATCGCACCATTGCACTCCAGCCTGGGCAACAAGTGCAAAACTCTGTCTAAAAAATAATAATATAATCCATACTCCATGAAGGCCTTCCACAAAGTAGACCTATCTTAGATTTTCAAATTTATCTTTCATCTTCCAAAGATAACTGGGCACTTTCCTACTTCTTTTTCTCACAATATGCTTCCTTTTTTTTTTTGAGACAAAGTCTCGTGCTGTTGCCAAGGCTGGAGTGCAATGGCGCCATCTTGGCTCACTGTAACCTCTGCCTCCTGGATTCAAGTGATACTCGTGCCTCAACCTCCCGAATAGCTGGGATTACAGGTGCCGCCACCACGCCCAACTAATTTTTGTTTTTTTTTAGTAGAGACAGGGTTTCACCACGTTGGCCAGTCTGGTTTCAAACTCCTGACGTCAGGTAATCTGCCCGCCTCGGCCTCCCAAAGTGCTGCAATTACAGGTGTGAGCCACTGCACCCAGCCACGTTATGCTTCCTTTAGCCCTTTAGCACTCCACATTTATCTTTTTTTTTTTTCCAATTGACTACTACGTGTGTTCTATTTCTAGGGTACTAATACTCAAAGCTCATCTTCTTCTTATAGCACTCCTTAGCCTCGTAGGAAAGACACTCCTTTCTCAGGATTCTCTAGCGCCCTGATTCTGCACCCAAAATTGGGAGTAAATGCTATGTAACCCATCTATTTACCACTTGTTTTATGCTGTTTGTCTACTTGTCACATTTTCTGTTAGGTGTCAAGCTCCTGGAGAGACAGGGATACTGGCTTTTTGAATTATGGGTAGCATTGGCTCTCAAACCTCCTTTCTACTTTGATTCACAACATAAAACATTTTTTTGTTGTTGGGGGGGCAGGGCACAGGTCTTGCTCTTTTGCCCAGGCTGGAGTGCAGTGGTGCGATCTAGGCTCACTGCAGCCTCTGCCTCCTGGATTCAAGCGATTCTCCTGCCACATCCTCCCGAGTAGCTGGGATTACAGGGGCCCGCCACCACGTCTGGCTAATTTTTGCATTTTTAGTAGAGATGGGGTTTCACCATGTTTCTCAGTCTGGTCTCGAACGTCTGACCTCAGGTGATCCACCGCCTCGGCCTCCCAAAGTGCTGGGATTACAGGCGTGAGCCACTGCACCTGGCCGCACATAACCCATTTATATTTGCAACAACACTCAACCATGGAAATATATAGATTATAAAATTAGATATCAAAATTCTCAGAATGTTGCTTATAACTTCATGTCTTTCTCCCTCAAAGTATATCTGAATGCAAGTTATTGAGATTAATGTAGGAATAATCTTCAGTCTGCTCTGATTCTTTTTTTTTTGAGAGAAGGTCTTGCATGGTGATAGGCACACACCACCATGCCTGGATTTTTGTTTTGTTTTGTTTTAATTTTTTGTAGAAGGGGAGGTCTCATTATGTTGCTCAGACTGGTCTCGAACTCCTGAGCTCAACCCATCCTCCCTCCTGAGCCTCCCAAAGTGCTAGGATTACAGGTGTGAGCCACTGTGCCTGGCCTTCTAGTTCATTTTTTAAATTATTCAAAGCTGCCTTTTTTAGCAACGAAACACTTGGATACTCCATAACTTGAGACTCCAGTGAGTCCTGACATCGAGTTTGGAAACTGTTCTACATATAAAATAATGAATGTTTAACAGGCAAAATTAAATGTAGGTCTAAATTTTTAGTAGCTCATGCCTGTAATCCCAGCACTTTGGGAGGCCGAGGCGGGTGGATCAGCTGAGGTAAGGAGTTCGAGACCAGCCTGGCCAACATGTGAAAACCCATCTCTACTAAAAATACAAAGAAATTAGCCGGACATGGTGGCACACGCTTTAATCCCAGCTACTCGGGAAGCCGAGGCAGGAGAATTGCTTGAACCTGGGAGGCGGAGGTTGCAGTGACCCAAGATCACGCCATTGCACTCCAGCCTGGGTGACAAGAGCAAGACTCCTGTCTCAAAAAAAAAAGCATAATCAGTTGATACCAATATTGAAATATTGCCTATTTCAGGTCATGTTGGGCCTCTTGTTAAAACTTTTGGAGTACAGAATTTCTGAAGTGCTGAGAAAAATATAAGGTAACCAGCATCAACATTTTTTCCTTTTCAGACTCCTGCCCTAAGAGCCATAGGGAATATCGTCACTGGTACAGATGAACAGACTCAGGTTGTGATTGATGCAGGAGCACTCGCCGTCTTTCCCAGCCTGCTCACCAACCCCAAAACTAACATTCAGAAGGAAGCTACGTGGACAATGTCAAACATCACAGCCAGCCGCCAGGACCAGATACAGCAAGTTGTGAATCATGGATTAGTCCCATTCCTTGTCAGCGATCTCTCTAAGGTAACGAAGTCTTAGGATTTAATCAAGTCATTTTTAGTATTTATAGAAAGCTGTGCTTGATAAGCTTCTTCATGTGCAAGAATCTTGGGTTCTACTAGGAGTCCTTTGCTGAACAATACCCAGTAACCCCTTTACTTAAGGTTGTATCAATAGAACCTTGGTACTTTCAGTCACCGTTTTTGTGAAAAAGTACTCTTGGAATCTTATTTGTGCAACTGTTCTGAAATAAAACCATTTCCTTATGTTTAATTGGCAGATTTTGAGACACAAAAGGAAGCTGTATGGGCCGTGGAACAGTTGAACAGATTGTGTACCTTGTTCACTGTGGCATAATAGAACCGTTGATGAACCTCTTACCTGCAAAAGATACCAAGATTATTCTGGTTATCCTGGATGCCATTTCAAATATCTTTCAGGTAAGTCCTATCAAGGTGGCTTTGTTTGAATTTGGACTTGATAATAATTGGTTTACTATTTAGACTTGGGGGAGGGCAGCTGTAAGTTTACTCACTAGTAAGCCACAGAATCAGAAAGCCTGTTTATGTGGCCACCCCTTTGATTAAAAATGTGGCAGGCATTATAAAAGATATAAAAGAGATGACAAGTGGATGGTGCGAACTGAATCGGAGTCAGGCGCTTATGTGGACTCATCACACCTGTTTACTTGGTTGATTTAATTTCCCAATTTCATACCGAATTTTGGTGACATTAAATTTGAATGACTTGGCCGGGCACAGTGGCTCATGCCTGTAATCCTAGCACTTTGGGAGGCTGAGGTGAGTGGACCACCTGAGGTCAGGAGTTCGAGACCAGCCTGGCCAACATGGTGAAACCCTATCTCTACTAAAAATACAAAAATTAGCCAGGCCTGGTGGCAGACGCCTATAATCCCAGCTACTTGGGAGGCTGAGGCAGGAGAATCGCTTGAACTCTGGGTGGGGGGCAGAGGTTGCAGTGAGCCAAGATTGCGTCACTTCACTCCAGCCTGGGCGAAAGAGTGAAACTCTGTCTCAAAAAAAAATTTTTTTTGAATGACTTAATTATATTTTTCTTCTGGTTCCACCCCTAACTGATCCAAGCATACCAGCATATGGCACTTTGCCGTAGTGATTGGTGGTAGGTAAGCCCTTCTCATCAACTTTGGATTCTAGAAATTTTTACATATAGAAGTTGAGCCTACAGGCTGGGCATGTTGGCTCACGCCTGTAATCCCAGCACTTTGAGGAGGCCGAGGCGGGTGGATCATGAGGTCAGGAGTTCAAGACCAGCCTGGCCAACATAATGAGACCCCCGTCTCTACTAAAAATTAAAAAAATTAGCTGGGCGTGGTGGCAGGCGCCTGTAATTCCAGCTACTCAGGAGGCTGAGGCAGGAGAATTGCTTGAACCTGGGAGGCGGAGGTTGCAGTGAGCCAAGATCACGCCATTGCACTCCAGCCTGGGTGACAAGAGTGAAACTGTCTCAAAAAAAAAAAAAAAATTGAGCCTACAATAATGGATGCTGGTGTATCTGTCACTGTGTATAAATAATTTGTCAGTATGTGGCCAGTATTTCTTCTTTCCTTCATCTAATCCCCTAAGTTATTTTGAAGCAAATCTGTTATTTCATCTATAGATATTTATGTATCTCTTAAAAGTTGAAAATTTAAAGAAAAACTAACCTACATACCATTCCATGTGCCCCGTAAATCCTTAATACCAACACACATTCTGTTCGGAGACATTTA
The DNA here is from genome assembly GCF_000001405.40 of Homo sapiens. Taxonomy (NCBI): domain Eukaryota; kingdom Metazoa; phylum Chordata; class Mammalia; order Primates; family Hominidae; genus Homo; species Homo sapiens. The sequence goes on along the minus strand of NC_000017.11, from coordinate 64,752,694 downwards.
GTTTAGCACTCCATAGGCCATCTTTGCCCTTAGACACCTTGACTACACCTTGTGATGATATAGGATGCTTTACGAAACAATACGCCCCTGTTCCCATAGCAGACCAGTTGAACTGGAGTGTAGTGTTGTTTTAAAAGTTGCCCACGTTGGCCAGGCGCGGTGGCTCATGCCTGTAATCCCAGCACTTTGGGAGGCTGAGGCAGGCGGATCACGAGGTCAGGAGATCGAGACCATCCTGGCTAACACGGTGAAACCCCGTCTCTACTAAAAATACAAAAAATTAGCCGGGCGTGGTGGCACGTGCCTATAGATCCAGCTACTTGGGAGGCTGAGGCAGGAGAATGGCATGAACCCGGGAGGCGGAGCTTGCAGTGAGCCGACTTCACGCCATTGCACTCCAGCCTGGGCAACAGAGCGAGACTCCATCTCAAAAAAAAAAGAAAACAGAAAAAAAGAAAAAAAAGTGGCCCATGTGATTTTGATACATACAAAAGGTTGAGAGCTACTGATTGTAAGATCTCTGGCTCCAGTCGAAGTACTGCTAAGAGTAGGTACAGATCCAATCACACTGAGTTTCAACAAAATATAGAATGGACATAAAACTATGATAGGCTTGATGAAGGAACTGTTAAGGTGCTTATTTCTGCCTGACATATCAATATTCAAATTTTCGATGTTTTCTTCATTAAAACATTCAGAGTATACGCCAGTAAACTTGGATTTTTTTTTTTTTTTTAGGCTGCTGAGAAACTAGGTGAAACTGAGAAACTTAGTATAATGATTGAAGAATGTGGAGGCGTAGACAAAATTGAAGCTCTACAAAACCATGAAAATGAGTCTGTATATAAGGCTTCATTAAGCTTAACTGAGAAGTATTTCTCTGTAGAGGTGAGTAATGGATGGTAATATTAATAACAACTTGGAAAAATGTAAAGCCAAGGCCATGAGCCCTTTTTTCCCTCATACTTTTAAAAATGAGCCTCATATCTTTGTTAAATATAGTAAAATATCAGTGTGCATAGGACGTAATGTACTTATTGCCCCTCTGATGTTTGGCTTGATGGTAATAAAATCTATTTATTTATTTATTTAGCTTTGGTTTCTACAAATTATTTTATTAGAATGTCAGACTCAAAAGGAACTACCAGTAACATGCCTGAACATGCTATATATGATTTATGCTTGACCCGTGACACCTGCTGTCACTGGATCCAGAGTGTGAACAAGGGAAAAGGAAGTGGATGTGGGCAGGGACAGCACCAGCCCTGGCTGGCCAGACCTCAGGCCCACAGACGTGGTCCCCATAACCACCAGGATCCCTACAATATACACATTCCTAATTCAGGCTCAACTCTCCTTTACCCAAGAGTAAATGCCTCAGGACTCAATCTGAATCACTGTCCGTCTCGGCTTCTTTCACATCCATGCTGAATTTGTACTCCTGGTCACATCCCATGTAAGCATCACTCATGAAGTATAGAGTGTAGTTGTGGGCACCAGTGGCTGGAGCCACAAAGTCCAACTTCACCTTGGCCTTCTGCTGCAGGATCAGCCTCTTGATGGAGATGAGGCTATTGGACTTGGTGTCTCCAATCACCACCCACCAGCCCTCTTCACGTTTCTGCGGGAAGAGAGGCGCAATGACAGGGCCTGTGACTTCCTCCTCTCGCTCCAGCTGCACCAGCACCACCGCTGGCCCGCCACTGCGGATGCTGTCCTTATCCACCACCTCCTAAGATAGTTCGATATTAGGGTAGCAGTTACAAAAGCGAGCCACATCTGTAATCTGGCTGTCAGTCAGCTGAAGAATTGTGTTCCGTTCTTCATCCTCCATCTCCATGATGTCGAAAACACTCTTCACTCCCTTGTCTGTGCAACGTTTGATATGCTCAGAGATGAAGTGTGGCAGCTGCTTCAGGTATGAGTCCTTGGACCACATGGCTTGGGTGACCATCTGGGCCAATTCCATAGCTGCCAGAGCAGAGCTGAGCCACCCATTGCTGGAGAGGACATCCACGCAGGCCTGGACGAGCCGGACTGCCTTACTAAGGATTTCCTCCGTATCTGACTGCAACTCAGCACTCAGCTGCATGCGGGACAGGTGAGCCTGCAGGAGCAGGTTGGTCTTGATGTGCGGATCATTGAACTTAGGGTTATTCAGCTTGTCAGGGACCTTCTGAGCCAACTGCCTCAGGAAGTTTTCTTCATGGTGCTGGATGGGGATATTCTCGTACCCTGCTGCATTGGAGATGATCTCAATAAGCCCTCGCACCTTGGTCTTGGCGTTGAGGTGAGATTTTAAAAGTCACCAGATTAGTTTCAAATGAACAGCCTTGAGAATCTTAGAATATCTTGAGGGTAAGTTAACGGGTGTCATTGTAGGAGGTGATAGAGAAGTAGGCCAAACCCACCACCATGCTCTGGGCCTAATACAGTCTTTTCCTATTGAAAAGTGACGGTTGGGGAAGAAAAAAAATCTCGGCCTGTTTCTGTTACTGTAGTAGCTAGCACTTATGAATTGGCAAAGTTTCAGAGACCCTCCCTCCCCTATGTCAGATACTACAATACCATACAGGATTAAAGGTGTAATATGCAGATCAAGACCTAGAGATTAAATACAGACTTCAGGTAGGCTGCTGCTTGGAATACTTATTATTTTTATACTTATTTTTTAATATATTTCCAGGAAGAGGAAGATCAAAACGTTGTGCCAGAAACTACCTCTGAAGGCTACACTTTCCAAGTTCAGGATGGGGCTCCTGGGACCTTTAACTTTTAGATCATGTAGCTGAGGCATAAATTTGTTGTGTACTATGTTTGGTATTTTGTCTTATTGTTTCTCTACTAAGAACTCTTTCTTAAATGTGGTTTGTTATTGTAGCACTTTTTACACTGAAACTATACTTGAACAGTTCCAACTGTACATACTGTATGAAGCTTGTCCTCTGACTAGGTTTCTAATTTCTATGTGGAATTTCCTATCTTGCAGCATCCTGTAAATAAACATTCAAGTCCACCCTTTTCTTGACTTCACCATGCCTATGTGTTGCTTTCTAATTTGGGGTCTTTAATGTTGCTAGTGAAAGGTAACCCGTCCAAACTGATGGGATTAACCAGAGGTAGTCCTGGCTGCAGTTTTTACAGAAGAATGAATAAAATTTTCCAGAAACCCTCAGCCAGTGTCTCCTTAAGTCTCCTTGGCCAGGGAGATGCGCTAAACACTGTAAATTTAATCATAAATCTCTCCTGGAGCTACAAGTGGAATTCATTCCTCCCAAACTTCAAGGCTGAATGGGATTCCAAGGTAAAATCATGGCTGCACGTGGGCCTCACCTGGGAATGTACCCAGTTCTGTTTCGTTGATGAGGGGCATGAGGGTCCACCTTGTGTCTTTTTTAAAAATGTAATTCCCAAGGGCTCTTGTACAATATAGATTGATCACCACTATTCTTTTTGAGATGGAGTCTCGCTCTGTCACCCAGGCTGGAGTGCAGTGGCACGATCTCAGCTCACTGCAACCTCTGCCTCCCAGGTTTAAGCGATTCTCTGCCTCAGCCTCCCAAGTAGCTGGGATTACAGGCGCCTGCCACCACGCCCGACTCATTTTTGTATTTTTAGTAGAGACGGGGTTTCACCATCTTGGCCAGATCCCAGCACTTTGGGAGGCCGAGGCAGGCAGATCACTCGAGGTCAGGAGTTTGAGACCAGCCTGGCCAACATGGTGAAACCCCGTCTCTACTTAAAAAAAAACACAAAAAACAAAAATTAGCCGGATGCGCTAGTGGGCGCCTGTAAGCTACTTGGGAGGCTGAGGCAGAAGAATAACTTGAACCTGGGCGGCGGAGGTTGCAGTGAACTGAGATTGCGCCATTTCACTCCAGCCTGGGCGACAGAGCAAGACTGTCTCAAACACACACACACACAAACAACAACAAAAAATAAAATGGAACACTAAACCCCTGTGTTACACGTGGTCCTCGTAAGCATAGAGCATTTTGTTTGGAACCGTGGATCACTTTCTCAGCTTTTCCTGTACAAAGGCTCCCATAAAGGGGAGGGGGAAGAGACATTAACAGTACAGACTGCCCTTCCTTTCCTACTTACTTGCTCCTCTCTTCCTCTCCCCAACTCGAGTCCCTTCTTGGATACTGAATCCAAAAGTCTTCAGCTTGAGAAAAGGTGATGGGGAAGTAAACCTGGACATCCTAGATTTTTGCTTTAACATGGGAGAGTTTTAATGGCTTCAGAAAGACTAGTGTAAAAGACAGGATAGAAAGCGTAAGGTCTGGATTTGTTAAAGGAAGCATGACTCAATAGTGAGGTAATGAACAGGAGATAGCTGGTTTCCAAAAAAGTTTTTTTTTTCATATCTTAGATAAAATGCTTAACATGCTAGTTTCCTTGGAGTGGTTAGATCCGTAGAGGCATTGGGAGATTTTTATTTAATTTATCTGTGGGTAACTTAATATCTTTGAGAATGACAGAATGACTTTATAACCAGCTTGATTTGTAAAAGTCACGATAAAAACATTGTGTAGCCACCAACTTCTCCCTCTTGCAGTGTTAATGTCTAAACTGCTAGTGATTTATTAATGTACCAACATTTTTAGTTTCCTAGCAGTTTGAAAGCTTTTTTTTTTTTTTTTTTTTTTTTTGGAGATGGAGTCTCGCTCTTGTTGCCCAGGCTGGATGGAGTTCAGTGGCGCGATCTTGGCTCACCACAACCTCTGCCTCCCGGGCTCAAGAGATTCTCCTGCCTCAGCCTCCCGAGTAGCTAGGACTACAGGCTCCCGCCACCACACTTGGCTAATTTTTATTTTTATTTTTTTGAGACGGAATCTCACTCTGTCTCCCAGGCTGGAGTGCAGTGGCGCAATCTCGGCTCACTGCAACCTCCACCTCCCGGCTTAAGCAATTCTCCTGCCTCAGCCTCCCGAATAACGGGGATTACAAGTGCCCACCACCACACCAGACTAATTTTTGTATTTTTATTAGAGATGGGGTTTAGCCATGTTGGCCAGGCTGATCTCGAACTCCTGACCTCAAGTGATCTACCCAGCTTGGCCTCCCAAAGTGCTGGGATTACAGGTGTGAGCCACTGTGCCCGGCCATCTAGCAGTTTGAAATGTCATTTAAGACTTTGGTAGTGTTAAAGAGTGCAGGGGCTGGCGGAGAGGAGAGCTAGAGGCATGGGTGGGGAACATGTTGGAATTGGAGCTCAGCAGGAAGTGGGACCAGTGCCTGGCAGATGCGGTGGTGAAGACAGGTACTGGTTTTGGATTAGGAATTGTTTTCTCACTTCTTTAAAAGAAGAATGTGGCCATTAGCCTTCAGTTCTGGCATGGGATTAGGAATGGCTTACTCCAACTGTCAGCATGATTTCCAGGCTCCATATCTTCTACATGGAAAATATGTCAAAGAGCAGGAGCAGTGACTTCACCTGAGAACGTCCCAGTGGGAGGACAAGAGAAATCATGTTTATTCCTCAGGAATACTGAAGTGTCCTGCAGTAAGCTGCCATTCTTCTGTAACAATGTTATCAGTAATGCTTTAAACTCCAGCACCTGGTTATGTATTTGAAACCAAGTCTGTTTCTTGTTTTGTATTTTTTCTCTGGAAATTGTAGGGAGGTGGTCTTAAATAAATTAAACAAAAATAGGGGAAAAAAAGTCTTTGATAGGCTGGGCACGGTGGCTCACGCTTGTAATCCCAGCACTTTGGGAGGCTGAGGCAGGCAGATCATCTGAGGTCAGGAGTTCAAGACCAGCCTGCCCAATATGGCAAAACCCTGTCTCTACTAAAAATACAAAAAATTAACTGGGCGTGGTGGCAGGAGTTGGATGTTGCACTGAGCCGAGATTGTGCCACTGCACTTCAGCCTGGGTGACAAGAGCAAGACTCCGTCTCAAAAAAACAAAAAAAACAACAACAAAAAAACACTTTGATAAATTATATATCTTTACCTATAACTTTCATTTTTGTATTTGTTTTTGTTGTAAGCAAGGGAGGAAAGGTAATATTCCTAATATCATTTGGCAATTATCAAAGTAAAAACTGCTAAGACTTATTTTGCTTGTTGAAATAATCTTAAAAGGGTAACTTTAAAAGATTGGACATCAGTGTTAAACATTTAATAAAGTATTGATTCTTTCATTGCTATATTGCATTTTTAGGACAAAGGAAATCAACATTCTGTTTCCTAATGTTGATTTTTTCCCCTCTCATCCTCAATCTTTCTGTCACTGCATCATCACTGAAGAAAAAACTCGGGATAATTTTTTCATTACTGTAAATCCTCATTGTTAAGTGAGATTTTTATTTCAGCATTTGGCCTCTTTAATTGCATAAAAGCAGTAAGAGCAAAGTCAGTTTTGTTCATAGGAGCCATTGGAAACCTTGTCAGATACAGGACCCAACTTCAGAAGGCCATTAAGGCCTGGCTGCCCCTTACCCCTCTCCACCCTTGCTGGAGCTTGCCAAAACCCGGTGGACTGATTTTGGAAAGCCCTTGAAACATGTCATTTCACTAATGGTGATTTCTTTTGGGATTGGGATGTTGACCTAATTTGTGATGAACAAAACCCGGCCAAATCATGCAGCCTGCCTCTAACTCCCCATGGGAAAGTGTTAGAGAAAAGTGTTTTAGCAACATCACCCATTTAAGTTTCATAACCCCAGCTAATAAAGATGATAAGAAACACCCAAGCTATCAACTAGGGTTTTCTGAGGGCAGAAGTGCAATTTAATTTTGAGCACTTGCATGTTAAACGACATGTTGGCATAGTTTGAAAGCTAATTCTAGTGTCTGTGAACGCTCAGTTCTTCCTAAATATTTGGGACAGTTTCATAACACTGTGTGGGAGGTGTATGCATCGAACCCTCTTAAACTGATCAGTTCGTGCGTTCCAGGCTTTTCACAATCGTAAATGTCTTTTCCCATCCTAGTTGTGGGAGGTAGCATGGTGCAGTGAAGTGGACTGGTATTTAAGAGCCAGATCTGTCTGAATTCAAATCCTGCCTCTTTATTATGTCAGTGAAAGACCTTTTGATGGGGCAGCTCAGTGCTGGCATAAGAAAAGTATAGATACTAATTCCTACATAATAGAAATATCCTAGATGAGTATTACGGCTATTCCAAACTTTTTGTTGTTGGGAATAGCTGTAATAACTGAAGAAACAAAGTTTCGCTGTGTTGCCCAGGCTGGTCTCAAATTCCTGGCCTCAAGCTATCCTCCTGCCTCAGCTTCCCAAAGTGCTGGGATTTGCAGGAATGAGCCACTGCACCTGGCTGCCTCCAACCTTTTAACACCAAAGATTTCTGTTTGTTCTTACATAGACTCTTGTTTTGATATATTTTACCTTCTAGTCTAAGTTGATTATTACTCTTCTTTTTTTTCCCCTTATCAATCAGATACACATCAACATAAGATGACCATACTGGATTGTTTACATACTTAATGATGGGATTCTACTGAAAAGTCAGATGTTTTGTCAGCCTTTAGGTCTTTTACGGGCTTGGCATAGCTCTCTGAACAGTGGAACTGGCTCAAGGAGAGCCCACTGTGACTAAGTTCCTAGACTGGCTGTTAGCCTTTGCAGTATCCCAGTGAGAGGTCCAGCTGTCTTCTTGTGCCCACTGGTTCCCTTTCTCTTAATTCTATTGGACAGACTAATTGGAGCACCTCCTCACCTAACTTCTCATTGGCCATGAGAACAGGACTGAACCACCCAAGTCCAACTTGGTGATGGAAGCTTGTCAGTATCAATACCTGATAGGGCCCTAATACTAGTGTTAATGAAGTTTCTTGAATGAGCAAACACTTGACTGTTGAGACAGCCACCACAAAGCCATATTTTCTACTATGAAGAAACTCATGTTTAGAACTTGAACAAGTTTAGGCAGAAATATTGGAAGCTTATCCATAAAAACAAGGGAATATGAGGAAAGATTGGATGAATAAGAAAACTTTAAATCAATTCAAAATTAAAATTAATGGTCAAGGTATGATACCCAGAAGGCATCTCCTGATTGTGGCTGCAAAAAATACATATTTTAAAAGCAAAACTATTGAAATATAGGAGAAATGTAGAAAACTGTGTATAAATGAGGTGGTCTTTTTCTTTCTTTTTTTTTTTTTTTTTGAGACAGAGTTCCACTCTTGTTGCCCAGGCTGGGGTGTAATGGCATGATCTTGGCTCATTGCAACCTCCGCCTCCCAGGTTCAGGAGATTCTCCTGCCTCAGCCTCCCAAGTAGCCAGGATTTCAGGCATGCGCCACCACACCAGGCTAATTTTGTATTTTTAGTAGAGACCGGGTTTCTCTATGTTGGTCAGGCTGGTCTCAAACTCCTGACCTCAAGTGATCCACCCACCTGGGCCTCCCAAAGTGCTGGGATTACAGGCATGAGCCACCACGCCCAGCCAAGATGGTCTTTTTCAACCCTTTGGCTTAGACTAAAGTTGTAAGTGACCAATGACTGTCACCCTACTCTGTTCTTGCCCATTCTTTCAACCAACGTCTCAACCACTCAGCAAAGATTAACTTAGGGAACACAAAGCTAATTCATTTTCCTTCCTTTCTTTCTTTTTCTTTCTTTCTTTCTTTCTTTCTTTCTTTCTTTCTTTCTTTCTTCCTTCCTTCCTTCCTTCCTTTCCTTCTTTCTCTCTCTCTTTCTTTTTTCTCTCCCTCTCTCTCTCTCCTCCCTCCCTCCCTCCCTTCCTCTCTCCTTCCTTCCTTCGCTTCCTTCTTTCTCTCTCTCACTCTCTTTTTTCTCTCCCTCTCTCTCTCTCCTCCCTCCCTCCCTCCCTTCCTCTCTCCTTCCTTCCTTCCTTTCTCTTTTTTTCTTCCTTTTCTCTTTCTTTTCTTTCTGGTAATTCTTTAAAATGTATTTTTGGTAGTTACAGAAATAATACTTATTTTAGAAAATTTGAAAAACAGAATACCACAAAGATTAAAATAATAACCTAAAACAATTAAAATAATAACCTAAAATTCTACCATTGGATTTTATATTTTGGCCTGAATAAGAATTCTTAACCTGTGTAACCTGAGATCCAAGATAGGTTATGGGGCTCCTGAACCTCTGAAACTGTATGCACAGTTTACTGTTAAATACATGTGGGTGCTTTTCAAAGAAAGGGGATCACAGCCTGGGGAAAATTAGGCCCTCAAAGGCAGAGCTACCTTCAAAATATTATGAGTTTCAGGTGTAGTTCCTTTCCATTTCTTTTCTTTTTCTTGTTTTGTTTTTCTTTTTTTGTTTCTTTTGAGACAAAGTCTCACTCTGTCGCCCAGGCTGGAGTGCAGTGGCGAAATCTTGGCTCACTGCAACCTCCGTCTCCCAGGTTCAAGCAATTCTCCCACCTCAGCCTCCCGAGTAGCTAGGATTACAGGTACCCGCCACCATGCCCAGCTAATTTTTGTATTTTTAGTAAAGATGGAGTTTCACCATATTGGCCAGGCTGGTCTTGAACTCCTGACCTCAGGTGATCCACCTACCTCGGCCTCCCAAAGTGCTGGGATTACAGATGTGAGCCACCACGCCCAGCCTATTTTCTACACATTTGTAAATATGCTTTTTGCTTTTTTCTTTTCTTTTCTTTTTTTTTTTTTGACGGAGTCTTGCTCTTGTTGCCCAGGCTGGAGGGCAATGGCGCAATCTTGGCTCATTGGAAACTCCACCTCCCAGGTTCAAGTTATTCTCCTGCCTCAGCCTCCTGAGTAGCTGGGATTACAGGCATGCACCACCGGGTCGAGCTAATTTTTGTATTTTTAGAGATGGGGTTTCACAATGTTGGCCAGGCTGGTCTCGAACTCCTGACCTTGTGATCCACCCACTGCAGCCTCCCAAAGTGCTGGGATTACAGGCATGAGCCACCGCGCCCGGCTGCTGTTTTTTTTTTAATGTCACTCCCTGAGCCTAATAGGTAGTTTAAGACCTCAGATCAGTGACTGTAACTGCCATTGACTAAAGAACTCCAGTTGGACAGGCGTTTTTGCCACTGTCCCTAAAAGATGGCATTTGGTTGACATTCATTCCAAAAGCATGATGAAACACACTAAAAATCTGTGGTGCCTTTGTCCTCGGAAAGAGAAGATGGCAAGGGTTTATATTTCTCGTTTGGCCAGGAGTTCAGTTTCCCTGCAAGCCCCAGAGGGTGGGTGGTAACAATGGGACATGTTTGGCTCCTCATCCTCCTGCTGACAGCCAGGTCTCAGAGAGGCAAGTCCCACACTTCCCAAACTCTGGATCCGAGCTCTGCCGCCGCCGGAGGAAAGGCTTCTAACTGGTTAGGAAGCACAGAACTTGCCTGGCCTTCACCAGCATTATCAGATCTGTCATTCTCTTTAGGAACTGGCTCTGCTCTAGGCCTTGTTCTTTGCTCCAGAGGTAACAATTGCCATTTTTCTTTGGTATTTCTGCTGTAGTGATCATACTTGCCCTTCTCATAGGAAACCATGGGAATCAGCCCAAGTCACAGCTGGCTTCCAGATGGCTCTTGATCCTGTGACACCACCAACATTCCAATGCTGATTTGCTTGGGAGGTTCAAACTTGGCTTGCCGGGGCACCATGCTTCTGGAACCCCACCCTGGGAGATTTATAGGCAGGCCTTGGAGAGAACAAATCTCTAGAGGTGGGATGGAGCCAAGCAGTTTCCTTTTGTTACATGTTCTAGAATTCTGCCTAAAACAGAAGAGGCTGACCTCATTCTTGCCCCACCCGAAGATTGAGCGGGAATAACTAACTAGCAAGCTATTACTGACATTGCTAAATTACCTAACAAAGAAAGTTCTTCATTCTTTCTGTCTCCGTCTCTCTTGATGTATACTAATATATGTGTATATATACTCTCTCTCTCTCTATATATATATATATACATATGCTAGAAGAGAATTCTTCATATATATGTGCATACACAAGAGGAATTCTCTTCCAGTGTGTGTTCTTGCTGTAGGATGCTAAGTTTGACATAAAAATGATCTAAGAAGATTGTATTCTCTAGGTCCCAGGCTGAGAGTATCCAACCTGTTCAGGTAGAAATGGCCAGTAGAGCTCAAATAGTTTCTTGTTGCAAAGAAATTCTTTGGTGTCCATTTCCTGGAGATTCTGTGGAGGATGCTAGCAGGTTTCTAACATACTTCAGCTGTTCAGGAAATACTTTAAATAATTTCCTGCTCTAGAGAATAGGAGGAGGGCCTGAAAGTTGGAATGCATTACCCTCTTTCTTTACGGTCTCAAATGTGGTTCAGAAGGACCCTTTGCTATTCACACACATGCTCTGAGGCACTCTTTTCTGCCTCTACCAGCCTTTTTATGTGGGAATGTTCTTTTTTTAAGTGTGGCGAGAATCCTAGTAACTTGGACTTCCCATAGCATGCTGGCCTGAGCTTCCTAAGAACTTTACAAACATGAGCTAATTAAGCTTGGAAAGCCCCATGCCAGTCCTCCCGGCTGTTATTGAAATGAGGCCAGCTCTGAGGTGGACCAGCCACAGTTTTTGCCCGGCACAGCAACAATTCAAACAGTGGAGAGGAAGGGAAGCTGGCTGCCTAACGCAATTGAAACTGCAAGGGAGAAGCAAGTTAGGCAACACGTAATTCATTGCCTCCTTGGTTTGCTTTAGTCTAACAGTGGGGCTCAGATTTTAACTCAGTATTTTAACTGGGTCAGTTAGGCCTTTGTCCAAGATTTCAGGCAATAGCCCCAAAAGTCTAAGATTTTGCTTTGTTTTGAGATGGAGTTTCACTTTTGATGCCCAAGCTGGGTGCAATGGTGCGATCTCAGCTCACTGCAACCTCCACCTCCCAGGTTCAAGTGATTCTCCTGCCTCAGCCTCCCAAGTTGCTGGGATTACAGGCGTGCGCCACCACACCCAGCTAATTTTGTATTTTTAGTAGAGTCAGGGTTTCACCATGTTGGTCTGGCTGGTCTCGAACTCCTGACCTCAAATGATCCACCCGCTTCAGCCTCCCAAAGTACTGGGATTACAGGTGTGAGCCATTGCGCCCAGCCTAAGATTTTGCTTTTACCTAAAGCAGTGGTTCTCAATCGAGGGAGATATTGCCCCCCAAGATGACATTTGACAAAAATCTGGAGACATTTTTTTTTTTTTTGAGATGGAGTTTCACTCTTGTTGCCCACGCTGGAGTGCAATGGCATGGTCTCAGCTCACTGCAACCTCCACCTCGTGGGTTCAAGCGATTCTCCTGCCTCAGCCTCCTGAGTAGCTGGGATTACAGGCACCTGCTACCACGTCTGGCTAATTTTTGTATTTTTAGTAGAGATGGGGTTTCTCCATGTTGGCCAGGCTGGTCTTGAACTCCTGGCCTCAGATGATCTGCCCACCTTAGCCTCCCAAAGTGCTGGGATTACAGGCGTGAGCCACCGCGCCTGGCCTGGAGACATTTTTGGTTGTCACTTCTCGGGGAGGAGGATGCTACTGTCATCTAGTGGATAGTGACCAGGGATGCGGCTAAACACCCCATAATGCACAGAACAGCCCCACAATAAATAATTTTCTGGTCTAAGATGTCAATAGCGTGGGGGTTAAAACCCCTGATTTCAAGCTTCAAAGTGACTCAGCGTTGGCTTGTCTCCTCTGTGTTAGCCCTAAATCTTAGCCTTGTGACCTTTCAGCCCACTCAAGTCTAGGATCTAAGCTCATGGCAGCACCCTGAGCCTCTTGTGGGTTCCTGAGCTCAGCCCTCCCATCGATGCCTCTGTGGGTGATGACATTGTCCTGAGCTTCTGGGTGACGAAGACATGCCTCTCACTGTGCCATAGGTTCCTGGGAAATTGGATGCCTCTGCGTCTTATGAGTGGGCTTTCTGGAAAAGAAACCACTTGTGTAGTTCCCAGTTGGGCCCCAGAGCTTTGAGGTCCTGTGTTCCTCGCAGTGAATACAGTGAGGCGTCCCGTTTCTCTGAAGAGCCCATTCAGAGAACAGCTATTTACTTCCTGCCTCCTCCGGGCCCAGCTGCCAGGGAGACCCCAGGCTTCAGCAAGAGGCAGCTACAGGGAAATTCAGCCAATGGAAAGATACCAGGGAATTTAATTTCAGCCTTTCCTTTTGTAAACTTAAAAGACATTCTCTCATGAGAAAGCCTGGGAAACCTTCACTTCAGCCAGGGAGACTCCTCAAGCAATCCCCCAGTCTCAGCCTCCCAAAGTGTTGGGATTACAGGTGTGAGTCACTGCACTCCGATCCAATTTACTTTTTGTTGTTGTTGAGAGACAAAGTCTCACTCTGTTGCCCAGGCTGGAGTGCAGTGTTGCAATCTCAGCTCATTGCAACCTCTGCCTCCCGGGTTCAAGTGATTCTCTTGTGCCTCAGCCTCCTGAGTAGCTGACAGGTGTGTGCCACCAGGCCTGGCTGATTTTTGTATTTTTAGTAGAGATGGGGTTTCACCATGTTGGCCAGTCTGGTCTTGAACTCCTGACCTCAGGTGATCCACCCGCCTCAGCCTCCCAAAATGCTGGGATTACAGGCGTAAGCCACTGCACCTAGCCAACAATTTACTTTTAAAAGGTGAAAGTAAAGCTGGTGACAATGAAAAGGGCATGTCTTTGCCCTTTTCTGCCTAAGAGATTAAAACGTGGACAACAAGCAATAGTCTTTAACTCTAGTCTCCCTGCCTTCTCTTCCTCTGTTGTCCCACACCAGTCCTCACAACCACCACAGGGTGTGTGTGTGTGTGTGTTTGTTTTATGAACTTTGTTCGCCCTTAAAATAATAATTCTCCTAGATTCCTCCCTTTCTATTGTCTTTATTTTATTAAGGTACAACTTATTTAATTTTTTTTTTTGAGACGAGTCTCGCTCTCTCACCCACATTGGAGTGCAGTGGCGCGATATCAGCACACTGCAACCTCCACTTCCCAGGTTCAAGGGATTCTCCTGCCTCAGCCTCCCAAGTAGCTGGGAGTACAGGCGCCTGCCACCATGGCTGGCTAATTTTTGCATTTTTAGTAGAGACAGGGTTTTGCCATGTTGGCCAGGCTGGTCTCAAACTCCTGACCTCAGATGATCCGCCCGCCTTGGCTTCCCAAAGTGTTGAGATTACAGGCGTGAGACACTGCAGCTGGCTTTAAGGTGCAATTTGTATTCAGTAATGAGTGTGAACTGCTCTAATCTGAAGTGTGCTGCTCAATGCTTCTTTTTTTAGACAGGGTCTCACTCTGTCATCCAGGCTGGAGTTCAGTGGTGCAATCTTGGCTCACTGCAACCTCCGCCTCCCAGCTTCAAGTGATTCTCATGCCTCAGCCTCCTGAGTATCTGGAATTATAGGCCCAAGTCACAGTGCCCAGCTAATTTTTGTATTTTTAGTAGAGATGGGGTTTAGTCATATTGCTCACGCTGGTCTCAAACTCCTGGACTCAAGTGGCCTCAGTCTCCCAAAGTGCTGGGATTATAGGAGTGAGCCACTGTGCCCAGCCACTCAATGCATTTTTACCTACATGGACACCCAGGTAACCACTATCCAGATAAAGACATAGAACATTTCGGCCGGGTGTGGTGGCTTACTCCTGTAATCCCAGCACTTTGAGAGGCCAAAGCAGGAGGATTGCTTGAGTCTAGGAGTTCAAGACCAGCCTGGGCAACATGACAAAACCCCGTCTCTACAAAATACAAAAATTAGCCAGGCGTGGTGGTGTGCACCTGTAGTCCCAGCTACTTGGGAGGCTGAGGTGGGAGGATCACTTGAGCCAGGGAGGTCAAGGCTGCAGTGAGCTGAGATTGCACCACTGGACTCCAGCCTGGGTGATATAGTGAGACTCTGTCTCAAAAAAAAGAAAAATAAAACTAACATGCCTCCTCTATCTAAAACACCAATATGAAGAACAACGATATTTCTAAAACTTCAGAGCTACGTGTCAAAATGAATTCACCCCAGAGTGCACCAGGCATCGTCAGATTCTCTTCACTAGATTCAACCCCCGGGGTGCCTAAGTGGCTTCCAATCTGTGCTGTGGATGGACAGTGAGTGAATGCTTTTGGTTTTACATAGGAAGGGTGAGGGCCGGGCACGGTGGCTCACTCCTGTAATTCCAACACTTTGGGATGCCGAGGTGGGCAGATCACCTGAGGTCGGGAGTTCGAGACCAGCCTGGCCAACATGGAGAAACCCCTCTCTACTAAAAATACAAAATTAGCCGGGCATGGTGGTGCATGACTGTAATCTCAGCTACTCGGGAGGCTGAGGCAGGAGAATCGCTTGAGCCCGGGAGGCAGAGGTTGCGGTGAGCCGAGATCATGCCATTGCACTCCAGCCTGGGCAATAAAAGTAAAACTCCATCTCCACAAACAAACACAAACAAAAACATAGGAAGGGTGAGAACAAATGTTTTTCATTCTAATGGTTTAGAAAGACAGAAAGTGGAAGTTACTGGTTAAAACAAACACACACATCAACAAAGTATTTTTTTTCTCATGGTGGGCCAAGATTTTATGCATGTCAAAAACATGAACAGAGGGCATAGGATTTGCTATGAAAAGCAACAGGGGGAGACTGAGTTCCGTGTGTTGTGGGCGAGGGAGGTATAGTATTTGTGAAAGCTGAAGACTCCCTCCTGACTGGAAAACCGCCACAGGGAGGCAGTAGAGCTTAGTGGCAAATAGCGTTGGCTCTGGAATCAGATTTGAATTTCAATCCAGCTCTGACACCTAATAGCTGTGTGACCTCCAGCAAGTTGCTTAACTGCTCTGTGCCTCACTTTCCAACTCAGCAAAATGAAGATAAAACTAGTGTCTAACTCCTAGAGGTGCTTTAAAGGTGATTTGAATACCCAGCTCAACAAGTAAGCTCTCAGTCAGTGTTATTTTACAAAGCAGGAGTTGAAAGGGGCAACTAATTTCATTTCAGATAGATAGAGAGATAGATAGATAAATAGATAGATAGCTGTTGGATAAATAGATTTTTTTTGAGAGCATACTATTTTTCAAGCTGCGCAAAATGGTTTAACCCAAAATCTAAACAGTTGCTTAAACAGCCTTTTTCCAGCCTCCACCTACAATCATGTCCCTTCTGATCATAGAGCAGATTTCAACAGCTCCTTCAGAGAAACCAGGCCCTCCACAATGTTATTCTTCTAGCTCTTTCTTGTCATGCAAAGGATGTATAATTTGTTCCATTTCACTCTCTCTCTCTTTTTTTTTTTTTTTTTTTTTTTTTTTTGAGACAAGTTCTCAGTTTGTTACCCAGGCTGGAGTGCAGTGAAGCAATCATGGTTTACTACAGCCTCCACCTCCTGTCCTCAGCAATCCTCCCACCTCAGCCTCCCAAGTAGCTGGGACTACAGGTGTGCACCACCATAGCTGGCTAATTTTTATATTTTTTGTAGAGACAGTGTCTCATTATGTTGTCCAGGCTGGTCTTGGTTTTGAACTTCTGGCCTCAAGCAATCCTCCTGCCTCAGCCTCCCAAAGTGTTGGGATTACAGGCATGAGCCACTGAGCCCAGCCCCATTTCACTCTTGAGTGTGGAAAACTTCCTTTTAGCCTTTGCAGTGACTATAGATAGACAGATGGAGATAGATAGATAGGTGATAGAAATTTAGAATACTTAATACCTATATATTCTAAATATATCTAATATATATGCATATAATAAATACATTATGATATATTATCATTACTTATACAATTTATTTTGGGTATTCTACTTGGAGTTTTACCTACAATTTCACCGAGATTGGGAGATCTGCTTTTTTCAGCTTTTTCTTATTCAAAGTTTCAAAGTAAGAGCTTAATGTGAAAGCTCCCAATGTTGCGTGTCCATTAATTACACTGAGTGTCTAAGCTTGGGAGAGGGGGAGTAGTAAGCTCTTGGCTGGTGGTTAAACTGGTGATTGGAGGCATTTAGGGGATTGATAACATTTCTGGAGGGGGAGGGGGTCAGTTGGATGTGTAGGGATCCCAGTGATCAGATGGGAGGAATTTAGATTTAATCCCTGATTGGATTGTAGTTCACCGGCTGGGACTGCAGGCTGGTTTATAGCAGTGGATTCCATGTTGATGGAATATCAGACTCCTTGTTTCTGAAAGGAGTGAGAGAAACTGCATGAAGGGGCTGGGTGTGGTGGCTCACGCCTGTAATTCCAGCACTTTGGGAGGCCGAGGTGGGTATACCACTTGAGGTCAGGAATTCGAGACCAGCCTGGTCTACATGGCAAAACCCCATCTCTACTAAGAATATAAAAATTAGCCATGTATGGTGGTGTGGGACTGTAACCCTAGCTACTCAGGAGGCTGAAGCATGAGAATCACTTGAATCCAGGAGGCAGAGGTTGCAGTGAGCCAAGATCGTGCCACTGCACTTCAGCCTGGGCAACAGTGTGAGACTGTGTCTCAAAAAAAAAGAAAAAAGAAAGAAAGAAAAAAAAAGAAACCGCATGAAGGATTCTGTCTGTTCCCCAGTAGCCCTAGGAAATCAGACTTGAGCTTGAGCCCTGGCAACTTCTGAACTGTTCAGTGAGGATTATTTGGGGCTGGAGACATCTTGAATGACAGCTAACAACCATAATAGTGAGCACTTACTGAGCAATTACTATATGCAAGGCACTGTACCAAATATGCCTCATGCATACTCAAACCTCTCAGGATAGCCTCATTACAACCCTATAAAGTGAGTAGTATTTAGAAGTCGTTTTTAAGCCGGGCGAGGTGGCTCACGTGTGTAATCCCAGCACTTTGGGAGGCTGAGGTGGGTGGATCGCCTGAGGTCAGGAGTTCTAGACCAGCCTGGCCAACATAGTAAAACTCTGTCTCTACAAAAAATACAAAAAATTAGCTGGGCGTGGTGGCGGGCTCCTGTAATCCCAGCTACTAGGGAGCCGAGGCAGGAGAATCACTTGAATCTGGGAGGCAGAGGTTGCAGTGAGCTGAGACCGTGCCATTGCACTCCAGCCTGGGCAACAAGAGCGAAACTCCATCTCAAAAAAAAAAGTTCTTTTCACAGAGGAGAAAACTGAGGCACAATGAGGTCAAATGATTTGCCAAGGTGTAACCAGTTTGTCTAATTTCACCTTCTCCCAAGGACCAAGGTGGATGGTGTCCCGGGCTTGTGCTTTGCAGTGGCTCCTGGACAAAGGCTTTTGTTGTTGTTGTTGTTGTTGTTGTTGTTGTTGTTGTTGTTGTTTTTAGACAGAGTCTCCCTCTGTCGCCCAGGCTGGAGTGCAGTGGCGTGATCTTGGCTCACTGCAACCTCCGCCTCCCAGGTTCAAGCAATTCTCCTGCCTCAGCCTCCCAAGTAGCTGGGATTACAGGCGCCCGCCACCTTGCCTGGCCAGTTTTTGTATTTTTAGTAGACACGGGGTTTCACCATATTGGCCAGGCTGGTCTCCAACTCCTGACCTTGTGATCCGCCCACCTCAGCCTCCCAAAGTGCTGGGATTACAGGCGTGAGCCACCAAGCCCGGCCGGCCAAGGGCTTTTGACAGCTGACAAGTGGGCCCACAGAAGCGGACTCCCCAGGAACACCCTGGAGGGTGCTGGAGGAGCGCAAACTGATTGCATCTGGCAAAGGGACAACATCCTTTTCTGTAAGTTTGGGGACAGCAAGAGGTGAGTTTAGGGTAGGAAGCTGAGGTCTCTAAAAGGTGCTGGCCAGGACACGGGCCTCAGGGCTCTCTCCAGAATGAATCAGCTCCCTGCTGTCTGCTGCCGATTTATTTATTTATGAGGCAAAGTCTCGCTCTGTAGCCCAGGCTGGAGTGCAGTGGCATAATCTTGGCTCACTGCAACCTCCGCCTCCCAGATTCAAGCAATTCTCCTGCCTCAGCCTCTGAGTAGCTGGGATTACAGGCATGAGCCACCACACCAGGCTAATTGTTGTATTTTTAGTAGAGACAGGGTCTGGCCCTGTTGGCCAGGCTGGTCTCAAACTCCTGACCTCAAGTGATCTGCCTGCCTCGGCCTCCCAAAGTGCTGGGATTACAGGCATGAGCCACTGTGCCTGGCCTTATTTATTTACTTATTTATTTATTTTTGAGGCAGGGTCTCACTCTGTCACCCAGGCTGAAGTGCAATGGCGCCATCACAGCTCACTGCAACCTTTGCCTCCTGGGCTCAAGTGATCCTCCTGCCTCAGCCTCCCATATAGCTGGGACTACAGGCGTGTGCCACCATGCTCAGCTAATTTTTAATTTTTTTTTTTTTTGCAGATATTGGGTCTCACTATATTGTCCAGGGGATCCACCTGCCTCAGCCTCCCAAACTGCTGGGATTACAGGTGTGAGCCACCATGCCTGCCTGGCCTAGAGGAAAGTCTTTTTTTCCTAAAACTTTTTTTTTTTTTTTTGAGACAGAGTCTCACTCTGTCACCCAGGCTGGAGTGCAGTGACATGATCTTGACTCACTGCAACCTCTGCCTCCCGAGTTCAAGTGATCCTCCTACCTCAGCCTCCCAAGTAGCTGGGACTACAGGCTAACTTTAGATACCCAGTAGAAGAGATAAGGCTGGAGTCCAAATGACCAGTAGGAATGGTGGACGTTGATTGAGAGATTTTTGGCACTGCGGCTGGGCCCGATACTCAGTAACTCTAATAGGCCAACCATGACCCCTTAAGGAGGAACTGTTGTTTCCATTTTATACCTGGGGAAACTGAGGCTCATAGAAGTTAAGAAAGTTGCTCCAGATCCCACAGCAAGCCGTTGTCTCTTCCTAGCCAAGGGAGACATTACACGAAGCACAAACAAGCCCTCTGGGTGGACATGGTGACATTTGGTACATGTGCAGTCTCAGTCTCGTTCAAGAGCCTGAAATGAGTCATCTACAAATCAAAGAACCAGCCTCTCCGGACACACGATGAGGCCGGTTTGTACATTAGGAGGAGCTGGACCCAGATAATGTGGTTCCAAGCAGAGAAGATGGCCTTATTCCAACCGCGTCCCCTCTGCAAGCCCTTGGGAGCTGGCCAGGCCCAGTGACCCGTGGAAGAGGGGATGCTGTGCCCTAGTGTCCAAGCAGCACGGCTTGGCTCAGTCCACTGGGCTTCTTCCAGCTCACAAACCTGTTTGTTTTTACCCTTCAATGTGAACCAGATGTGGGCACCTCGCTCTCCAGGAGGTCCCTCGCCCATACACCCCCCAGCAGGCATCATTGGCAGCTGCAGCTGATGGACCAGCCTCCTCCCTGCTCTCCGGCCTCTCTCACCCCTACGCCCCCTCCCTCACTGCACCTCCTGCACCTTCCCTTCCCCCAGCATGATTTGAAACAGGAAATGACACTGGACAGATCTCAAAAGTCCATATGTCCTGGACACTCTCTCTAGGAATTTCCTGGGCCTCCAGCTTGCTCTATGTGTCATGTCCTTCCCACTTACAGTATCTGGGGGGAAAGAAGTGCTAAAGGAAAATGAGAGTGAGCGTCCCTCGTCCCCAGTGCTATCTTATCCCATTGTGATCTTTGGCAAGTGATTTATCTATGTCTGCATGGACTCGTGAATGCAATAGGTTATAATCCATGACTCTCACTATTCACTGTAATAATTAAATTATTCCCAGTCCGGGTGTAGTGGCTCATGTATGTAATCCCAGCACTTTGGGAGGCTGAGGCGGGTGGATCACTTGAGGTCAGGAGTTCGAGACCAGCCTGGCTAACATGGTGAGACCCCATCTCTACTAAAAATACAAAAATTAACCAGGTGTGGTGGCACACACCTGTAGTCCCAGCTACTTGGGAGGCTGAGGCACAAGAATTGCTTGAACCTGGGAAGCGGAGGTTGCAGTGAGCTAAGATCGTGCCACTGCACTCCAGCCTGGGTGACAGAGTGAGACTCTGTATCAAAAAAAAAAAAAAAATTCCCAGTTTGGCCAGTGGGAGCCCACTCAAGCTCGCAGCTGTGCCCTTTTCCTTTTGCAGTGACCCACCATTCTTTGAGCTTTCTAGTACAAGCTGTTCCAGGAGCATCTGTATTTTTTTTTTTTTTTTTTTTTTGGTCTCAGCCCTGGAATCAGTCTGTTCTCTGAAGATCCTGGTTCTCTTTTTTTGAAAATGGTATTTAGAAGTCAAGATCTGGATGCTACATGTGCTCACTGCTACTAGGATGAGGCTGTTCCGTGTCCCTCTCAGTGGATACAGCTAGGGAATGTGGATGTGTACACATACATGCACACGCACATATACAGTCAAATCTGTATTCGTTTCTTTATTATTTTAAGAAATTGTGGGCTGGGCATAGTGGGTCACACCTGTAATCCCAGCACTTTGGGAGGCTGAGTTGGGCGGATCACCTGAGGTCAGGAGTTCGAGACCAGCCTAGCCAATATGGTGAAACCCATCTCTACCCAAAATACAAAAATTAGCCGAGTGTGATGGTGGGTGCCTGTAATCCCAGCTACTCAGCAGGCCGAGGCAGGAGAATTGCTTGAACTCAGGAGATGTAGGTTGCAGTGAGCTGAGATCGCACCATTGTGCTCCAGCCTGGGTGACAAAGTGAGACTCCGTTTCAAAAAAAAAAAAAGTGTGGTAAAATACATATAACATAAAATTTGCCATCTTAACTATTTTTATTATTATTTATCTTTTTTTTTTTTTTGAGACAGAGTCTCACTCTGTCACCAGGGCTGGAGCACAGTAGTGCAATCTCAGCTTGTGGCAACCTCCACCTCCCAGGCTCAAGCAATCCTCCCACCTCAGCCTCCCAAGTAGCTAGGACTACAGACACATGCTACCATGCTTGGGTAGTTTTTGCATTTTCTGTAGAGATGAGGTTTCACCATGTCGGCCAGGCTGGTCTTGAACTACTGACCTCAGGTGATCCACCTGTCTCAGCCTCCTAAAGTGCTGGGATTATGGGTATGAGCCTCCACACCCTGCCCCATAATTTTTATTTTTATTTTATTATTTATTATTTATTGTTTATTATTATTATTATTATTATTTTGAGACGGAGTCTCACTCTGTCCCCCAGGCTGGAGTTCAGTGGCATAATCTCGGCTCACTGCAAACTCCGTCTCCAACCTCCATCTCCCAGGTTCAAGTAATTCTCCTGCCTCAGCCTCCTGAGTAGCTGGGATTACATGTGCACGCCACTACGTCTGGCTAACTTTTGTATTTGTAGTAGAGATGGGGTTTCACCATGCTGGCCAGGCTGGTCTCAGACTCCTGACCTCAAATGACCCACCCATCTCGGCCTCCCAAAGTGCTGGGATTACAGGTGTGAGCCACCTTGCCTGGTCTAGATCCATGATTTTTCAACTGGACTAAACACTTTCTTCAGGTCTCAGCAGTTGTCTTACTAATGGCCTCTTTCCCTTCCTGGACCTAATCCAGGACACCATGGTGCGTTGAGTGTCCATGTCTCCTTAGTCTCCGCTGACTGGTGACAGTTTCTGGTCTTCTCATGATTAGACTGGGACTGCAGAATTTTGGGAAGAACACCTAAGAGATGAAGTGCCCTCATCCTATCACATCCGGGATGTGTGATATCAACATATATGAGTCATGTTGGAAAGATGGACAAATGGGGATTCCAAAGCTGTTCATCACAGTCAGCGAATGGTAGAGGAAGGATTTGAACTGGGGCCACTCTGAGATGTGTGCTCATTTCCTTAGTTTGAGAAAAAGAACTGTCTGGTGAGGAAAACAAGGAAAGACCTCCGGTATTGAAGCAATGGTGGGAGGTAGAAGTCTGCACCCAGATGAGGTCCTTCAGGCGGGGTGGATTTGCCACCTGTGGCCTCTTTCCCAGGACCTTGTCCAGCCTTGTCCTAGCTTCCCTCTGGTGCAAGTGGCACTATCTTTTGTCCATTACATGGGATTGTCCGGTCTTTGTGCCACTAGTGCAAGGATGAAAATAATCCAATAATCCATCAAAAATGCATGTTTCATGAGAATTCAAGTTATACAAGAGTCGTACTATGCCAGCCAGCAGTCATAGGTCATCTGTACCCTCCTCCCTGTCCTCCCTGCAACCCCGCCTTCAGAGTTCTTACCGGCTCTCCCAGTGGGATGTCAGCAGAGGAGGCCGTCCACATGGAATTGGCTTATGGCTGTTGGTGGCACTGGCTTTCCTTTACCTGCTGTGGACACCTTTGTCTCGTAGTCATCAGGAAAATCACTGTCACTGCATCAGAAACGCTGGAACATCCTGAAGTTTCAAAGCAGAAATTCCAAACCATGTCCTCTGGGCAGTATTCAACTAGCATATGTGTTTCGTTTGGCCCTCACTTAATTTAAAAAACTTAAAATTAGTCCGCAACGTGAAAAAATCAGAAGCTCATCATAAAAGACTGGATTTTGGCTTCTTTTGAAAAATCAGATGTGGTAATAGATGGCCCACATTCCTGCCTGGTGGCATGAGGGCAAGCGGAGTGGCAGCTGCCCCGGTGGCTCGGGCACATGTCCCCACTCCACCCCTGTCCTCTCCACTCTCCACGAATCACCACCCCCAACCTCATTCATTGGTGGTGTCTGCCTGGCCTCTGAAGGCATTTGAGTCCACAGCCCTTGCATGAGATTCTTGCAGTTCATTCATTCACTCAGCAAACGCTTACTGCGCTTCTACCCAGGCCAAGTTCTGTGAGAGGCTCCCGCATCAACAAAGGATACATTGGTGATTCTAGAGCCACACACTAGGTCCTTGATTAACGTAAATCTTGCTGATGTGGGAGCGTGGATGATGGGTCCGCAGCTCAGCCTGGAGGGAGTCAGGGGAGGCATCCCAGAGACACACACCCCTGGGAATTTGGTTGCCATTTAAATTCTTCTTTTTTTTCTTGAGACAGAGACTCACTCTGTTGCCCAGGCTGGGGTGCAATGGAGCGATCTTGGCTCACTGCAAGCTCCGTCTCCCTGGCTCAAGGGATTCTCCTGCCTCAGCCTCCTGAGTAGCTGGGACTACAGATGCGTGCCACCACACCTGGCTAGTTTTTTGGTAGAGATGGGGTTTTGCCATATTGCCCAGGCTGGTCTCGAACTCCTAATCTCAGGTGATCCACCTGCCTTGGTTTCCCAAAGTGCTGGGATTACAGGCATGAGCCATCATGCCCAGCCTGCCGCCTAAATTCAAGTGAGGTATAAAGAGGACCCTGACCTCGGGCTGAGCCATCTGTCCCTCTGGACTTGTCCTGGAGTTTGCTCTCCAATGCCTCATCTCTGTGCTAATTTTGATGGCCTCTTCACAGAGCAGGACTTTCTGTGTTTATCCAGGGAATGTAGAAAACACAGTGCAGGACACTCTGCTGTGGTGCGAGGCAACATCAGGGCTAGAAATATCTATCACGGGCAGGATGGAGGCCCCATTCTTTGGAGCTTGTGTGTATGTTAGCAGGCAACATGAGAAAGGGCCAAAGCCTTGGAGTCAGGTAGACTTGGTTTAAATCCTGGTTTTGCCGCTTACCAGCTATGTGACTGGGTGGTGATTACACTCTCTCAGTGTTTCCTTGACTATAAAGTGGGGATATAGTGTTTATTCCTAAGGTGACTGTCTGTCTGGTTTGTTTTTGTTTTTATTTTTTGAGACAGAATCTCACTCTGTCGCCCAGGCTGGAGTGCAGTGACGCAATGTTGGCTCACTGCAGCCTTGACCTCCCAGGCTCAAGCAATCCTCCCAGCTCAGCTTCCCGAGTAGCTGAGACTACAGGCACACACCATCATTATTATTTTTTTTCCTGTAGAAATGAGGTCTCACTATGGCCCAGGCTGGTCTCGAACCCCTGGACTCAAGCCATCCGCCTACCTTGGCCTCCCAAAGTGCTCGGATTATAGGTGTGAGCCACCGCACCCGGCCAGTTACTGTGTGTAAAGTCCCAAAAGCAGTGTTGGGAACATAATAGATACACATGAAAGAGACACTCATCTTTTTCTTTTGGCATGTAATTCTATGAAAAAAAAATTTTTGAGACAGGCTGGAGAGAAGTGGCACAATCATAGCTCACTGTAACCTCAAACTCATGGTCTCAAGTGATCCTTTCACTTTGGCCTCTTAAAGTGCTGGGATTACAGGCCACTGAGCCTGGACAAGTTTTATGAAATTTTATCATATGCATAGATTCAAGTGACCATCCCCACAATGAGAACACAGAAGTATTCCATCACCACTAAGAAATTTCTTCCTGGGGCTGGGCATGGTGCCTCATGCCTATAATCCTAGAACTCTGGGAGGCTGAAGCAGGTGGATCACTTGAGCTCCGAAGTTTGAGACCAGCCTGATCTCATCTCAACATGATGAAACTCCATCTCTACAAAAAATACAAAAATAGCTGAGCCCAGTGGCACGCTCCTGCAGTCCCAACTGTGAGGGAGGCTGATGTGGGAGGACTGCTTGAGCCTGGGAAGCGGAGGTCTCAGTGAGCTGAGATCGTGCCACTGGACTTCAGCCTGAGTGACAGAGCAAGACTCTGTCTCAAAAAAAAAAAAAAAGAAAAGATAAAATTTCTTCCTGTTACCCCTCAGTCACATCCTTCCTCCTACCATAACCCCTGGAACTGCTGATCTATTCTCCAACTCTATGATTTTGTCACTTCAAGAATGTTATATAAAGCCAGGTACAGTGACTCATGCCTGTAATCCCAGCACTTTGGGAGGCCGAGGCAGGCAGATCACTTGAGGTCAAGAGTTCGAGACCAGCCTAGCCAACATGTTGAAACCTTCTCTCTACTAAAAATACAAAAATTAGCCGGGCATGGTGGTGCACACCTGTAATCCCAGCTACTCAGGAGGCCAGAGCATGAGAATCACTTGAACCAGGGAGGCAGAGGTTGCAATGAGCTGAGATCGTGCCACTGTACTCCAGCCTGGGCTACAGAGCGAGACTCCATCTCAAAAAAAAAAACAAAAAACAAAAGAATGTTGGCCGGGCACATTGGCTCATGCCTGTAATCCCAGCACTTTGGGAGGCTGAGGGGGCAGATCACGAGGCCATGAGATCGAGACCATCCTGGCCAACATGGTAAAACCCTATCTCTACTAAAAATACAAAAATTAGCTGGGCGTGGTGGTGTGCACCTGTAGTCCCAGCTACTCGGGAGGCTGAGACAGGAGAATCGCTTGAACCTGGGAGGTGGAGGTTGCAGTGAGCCAAGATCAGGCCACTGCACTCCAGCCTGGGCGACAGAGCAAGACTCCATCTCAAAAAAAAAAAAAAGAAAGAATGTTAAATAAATGGAATCAGACTGGCCTTTTGAGATTGGCTTTTTCCACTCAGCAAAAAGCCCTGAGACCCATCCACATTGTTGCATGGATCAATTGCTCATTACCTTTTACTGCTGAGTTACTTCACTGAATGGATAGACCATCATGTGTTTATCTGTTTACTTGTTGAGGGACATTTGGCTTGTTTCTAATTTTTGGCTTGTGATGGTTAATTTTATGTGTCAACTTCACTGGGCTATGGGGTGGCCTGACAGTTGATCAAACAGTATTCTGGGTGTTTCTGTGAGGGTGATTTTGGGTGAGTTTAACATCTAAGTCAATAGACTGAATAAAGCCGACTGCCCTCCCTAAGATGGGTGGGCCTCATCCAATCAGTTGAAGGCCTGAATAGAACAAATAGACTATCTTTCCTGAATAACAAAGAATTCCTCCTGCCTGACTGCCTTTGAGCTGAGACATCAGTTTTTTTCCTGCCTTTGGACTGGAACCGAAACATCTGCGCTTCCTGGGTATCCAGCCTGCTGGCCTTGGCACTGGAACACCACCGTCGATCCTCCTTGGTCTTCAGCTTGGCTGACTGCACATCTTAGGATTTGTCAACCTCCATAATCACATGAGCCAATTCTTTGTAATAAATGTATATATTATATATATATGATTTATTATATACATATCATTTATCTATATAGATCAATATATATCATTTCTTATACATATGTCTTTTTATTTTTTTGAGGCAGGGTCTTGCTCTGTCACCAAGGCTTGAGTACAATGGTGTGATCATGGCTCACTGCAGCCTCAACCTCCTGGGCTCAAGCAATGCTCCCACCTCAGTCTCCTGAGTAGCTGCTGGACATTTTTTTTTTTTTTTTTTTGAGATAGGGTCTCACTTTGTCACTCAGGCTGGAGTGCAGTGGCCTGATCTTGGCTCACTGCAACCTCCACCTCCCCAGTTCAAGAAATTCTCCAGCTTTAGCCTCCTGAGTAGCTGGGACCACACGCATGTGCCACCATGCCTGGCTAATTTTTGTATTTTTTGTAGAGATGGAGTTTCACCATGTTGCCCAGGCTGGTCTTGATCTCCTGAGCTCAAGGTGATCTGCTGCCTCAGCCCCCTAAAGTGCTAGGATTACAGGCATGAGCCACCATGCCTGGCTCACACCTGGCTAATTTAAAAAAATGTTTTTTGTAGAGACGGGGTCTCACTATGTTGCTCAGGTGGTCTCAAACTCCTGGGTTCAAGTGATCCTCCTGCCTCGGCCTCCCAAAGTATTGAGTTTACAGGTGTGAGCCACCATGCCTGGCCATGATTTATTTTATATATAATATATATATTATATTACATACATTATATATATTATATTACATATATTATATATAATATATTACATACATTTTATATAATATATTATATTACATATATTATATATAATATATTACATACATTTTATATATAATATATATTATATTACATGTAATATATGTAATATAATATATTACATATAATATATATATAGTTGGTTCTATTTCTTTGGAGAACTCTGAGAGATATCTGTATGTGTGTACATATATATATAGCTTCTTATATATTTCATTTATATATATGATTTATTATGTATATATCTCTCTTCTATTGGTCCTATTTCTTTGGAGAATCCTGACTGATACACGACTATTACAAATAAAGCTGTTATAATTATTTGTGTACAATATTTTATATGAACATAAATTTTCATTTCTCTGGGATAAATACCCAGGAGAGTGATTGCTGGTTCTTGTGGTAAGTGTACGTTTAACTTTATAAGAAACTGCCAAACTGTTTTCTAGAATGGCAGTACCATTTTGCATCTACTCCTCATTTTAATTATTTTGTTCTATGAGTTAAATGTGTTAACTTCAGCATGGGCTGACATTTGAAGGCTGGTCATGCAGGGATCTTTGCTTACTTGAATTATAATCACCACTGCGACACACATCCTTGTTTTAACTTTCACATATGTAAGCCAAGCACAAAGGTCTGAAGGTTTAGAGATTTGAAATAACAAACCTGGCTGCCTCAGATTTTCTTGGCTGGCACCAGGCCTTGCCAGGCCTTTGAATCAGCTGGGTGCAGGGAAGGGTCACCAGGAAACTCAGGCTGCCTGGACCGACAGGAAGCGTGGGACGAAGCTTACTCCGGGTCTGGCTCGTGGTCAGCCTGGCTGGGGCCTGAGGCTTCCAGGCCGGCACAGTGTGCATGGTCAGGAAACAGCCTGGACTCTTGAAATCACCCCACCCCTGAAAAATGAATTCATAAACAGAGACGCTCCAAGCTCCTTTCTTTGAGAAGTAGCATCTTTTAGCCTGGAATAAAATCAACTTGCAGAGCTGCTATGGTTCCGTGTTCCTCGGGCTCTGCGCACCTCTGCATCAGTGGCAAGTGGCTTTGGGACTTGTTTTCCTGGAGAAGACGGCTATGAAGTTTTCTTTTCTTTTAATTTTTAATTAACTTTTTGTTGTTGTTTTAGAGATGGGAGAGTCTCACTATGTTGCCAAGGCTGGTCTTGAACTCCTGGCCTCAAGCAATCCTCCTGCATCAACCTCTCAAAAAGCTGGGATCACAGGAGTGAGTCACCATGCCTGGCTCTAGAGTTGTTTACTGATGCTTAATATTATTACTTTCTCCTTTCCACCCTCCCTGCACCCCTCACCTCAAGTTAACATGTACAAATATATATATAATATATATCTTTATATATATATTTTTTTATAGAGATGGGGTCTTGCTATGTTGCCCAGGTTGGTCTCAAACTCCCGGCCTCCAGTGATCCTACTACCTTGGCCTCCCAAAATGCTGTGATAACAGGTGCGAGCCACCACACCCAGCCCATATTTTTTATCTTGTCTATGGTTATTATTACCTAACACTATAAGGTTTCTGAACATACTGCATTTGGGTACTGTTTTGACAAATAGATTCAATTAGATATTACAATGGTATGGACCTTTCTAGTTTTATATTATCTCACCTGAGGCAGGTGAACTGTTAACTCCATTTTATCCAGAATTTCTCAGGGCTGGAACCTATAGATTCAGAGCTTTTTTTTTTTTTTTTTTTTTTTTTGAGACAGGGTCTCACTCCCTTCACCCAGGCTGGAGTACAGTGATGCAATCTTGAATCATTGCAGCCTTGACTTTTGGGGGTTCAATGACCCTCCCACCTCAGCCTCTGGGGTAGCTGGGACTGCAGGCGTGTGCCACCATGCTGGGCTAATTTTTTTCTTTCTTTTTTTTTTCTTTTTTTGATTCGGAGTTTTGCTCTTGTTGCCCAGGCTGGAGTGCAATGGCCTGATCTCG
Source organism: Homo sapiens (assembly GCF_000001405.40). Taxonomy (NCBI): domain Eukaryota; kingdom Metazoa; phylum Chordata; class Mammalia; order Primates; family Hominidae; genus Homo; species Homo sapiens. The sequence goes on along the minus strand of NC_000017.11, from coordinate 64,723,258 downwards.
GCTCACTGCGGCCTCCACCTCCTGGGTTCAAGTGATTCTCCTGCCTCAGCCTCCTGAGTAGCTGGGATTACAGGCACCTGCAACCACGCCCGGGAAACTTTTTTATTTTTGGCAGAGATGGTGTTTCACCATGTTGGCCAGGCTGGTCTTGAACTCCTGACCTCAGGTGATCCACCTGCCTTGGCCTCCCAAAGTGCTGGGATTACAGGCATGAGCCACCTCACCCAGCCCCCCGTCTGTCTCCTTCCTTTCTTCCTTCCTTCCCTCTGTTTCTCTCTCTCTCTCTCTTTCTCTCTCTCTCTTTTTCTCTTTCTCTTTTTCTTTCTCTTGCAGTGTTTTACTCTGTTGCCCAGGTTGGAGTGCACTGGCATGATAAGGGCTCACTACAACTTGGATTTCCCAGGCTCAAGTGATCCTGATCCTCCCACCTCAGCCTCCCAAAGGGGATTACAGGTATGAGCCACTGCACCCGGCCTTATATTTTTATTTACATATATTTTAGACATTGGAAATACTACAGCATTCAGATCTGCGTACAAAATGTATAAAAATGACTGCTTATCAAGAAGACTACCATGACTTTGTGACATGACTATAGCAGTCTTATAAGTAAATTCTGAGTAGTTAAGCAGATCTAAAATATGGAGTGACATTTAGGCTGGGCGCGTTGGCTCACGACTGTAATCCCAGCACTTGCAGAGGCCGAGACAGGTGGATCACTTGAGGCCAGGAGTTCAAAACCAGCCTGGCCAACATGGTGAAATCCCATCTCTACTGAAAATACAAAAAAAAAAGAAAAAAAAATTAGGTATGGCGGTGCATGCCTGTAGTCCCAACTACTCAGGAGGCTGAGTCATGTGAATCGCTTGAACCCAGGAGGCAGAGGCTGCAGTGAGCTGAGATCATGCCACTGCACTCCAGCCTGGGCAACAGAGCAAGACTCTGTCTTAAAAAATAAAATAAAATAAAATATGAAGTAACCTTTTAAACCATCACATGCCACTCCGAAGCTCACCTGTTTCCCACAATTAAACATTTGCTTGGCTATAGGAGAAAGTGGCAAACATTCTTGATGACCACACTGCAGTGTATAAAACTGGATTTCTGACACTGGGCTCCAGCTTCATTTCCTCAGGGTCTTTGTAGGAGGGCAAGCATTTGAACAGTGTCCAGCTCACACTCCCATTATGCTGTCCTGAACCTCCTCCTAGGGGCAAATGGTGGAGGCGATATAGAAATGGGCAGAGCAGACCACAAACTTCAACATAAGATTCTCCGTGTGTGTGTGTTTTTAATTGAGGTATAATTGATGTGCCATAAAATTAACCCTTGTAAACTGTACATTTCAGTACTTTTACTGTATTCACAGAGTTATGCAACTATCACCACTATCTAATTTCAGAAGATTTCTTCATTCCCTAAAAGAAACTGAGCATCTATTAGCAGTCACTCCCCATTGATCCCTTCCTCCCCAGCCCTAGGCAACCACTCATCTACTCTCTGTGTCTATGGACTTGCCTACTCTGCACATTTTATATACATGGAATCATACGCTCTGTTGTCCTTTGTGTCTGGCTTATTTCACTTAGTGTGTTTTCAAGGTTTATCCCTGTTGTAGCATGGATCAGTACTTCATTCCTTTTTATTGCCAAGCAACATTCCAATGTATGGAGATACCACATTCTGTTTATCCATTTGTCAATTGAAGAGCATTTGGGTTATATCCACTTTTTGGCTTTTATGAATAATGCTGCCATGAACATTTGTGTACAATTTTTTGTGTAAATGTATGTTTGCAATTCTCTTAGATGTATAGCCAGAAGTGGAATTGTTGGGTCATAAGGTGACATAGGGCAACTCTGTGTTTAAGATTTTGAGAAAGCCATCAACATGGTGAAACCCAGTCTCCACCACAAACAAACAAACAAACAAATAAAAAACTCAGCCAGGCGCGGGGTTCATGCCTGTAATCCCAGCACTCTGGGAGGCCGAGGTGGGCAGATCACCTGAGGTCGGGAGTTCGAGACCAGCCCGACCAACCTGGAAAAACCCCACCTCTACTAAAAATACAAACATTATCTGGGTGTGGTGGCAGGTGCCTGTAATCCCAGTTACTTGGGAGGCTGAGGCAGGAGAATCACTTGAACCCTGGAGGCGGAGGTTGCGGTAAGCCAAGATTGCGCCATTGCTCTCCAGCCTGGGCAACAAGAGCGAAATTCCATCTCAAAAAAACAAAAACAAAAACAAAAACAAAAACAAAAAAAGAAAAAAAAAACACCCAAAAAAGTAGCAAGGCGTAGTCCCAGCTATTCAGGAGGCTGAGGTGGGAGGATTGCTTGCACCTGGGAGGCAGCGATTGCAGTGAGCCGAGATCGCACTACTGCACTCCAGCCCAGGTGACAGAGCGAGACTCAGTCAAAAAAACAAAAATAAACAAAAAAAAACTTCAGCATGCTTTCAATTTTGTTTTTGAAATTTATCCATAGTGATATATGTGGCTCTCGTTCTTTTTTTTTTCAGCTGTATGCAATTTGTTTCTCTGGCCTTCTGTTGATGAATATTTGAGTTGTTTGTAGTTTTTTGCTATTACAGACAGAGTTGCAGCGTGCGTTGTTGTTTACTCCGTTTCGGGCAAGTGTGTGAGCTTATGGTGTATATCCGGAAGCAGAACTGGTGGACTGAAGGATTTGTTCACCACTGATTTTACTAGCTATGGCCAAATTGTTCTTCAAAGTGACTGTAGTAATTTACACTCTGGCCAGCAGTGTGTGTGAGTTCCCATTTCTGCGTGTCCTTGCCAACACTTGCCATTGTCAGTCCTTCAAGCTCCTGCCAAGCTGAGGGATACAAAGTGGTCTTTCCGGGTTGTTTTAAGTTTCATTTCCCTGTTAATGAGTTTGGAGGCTCTTTTCACATGCCCTTGACCATTCTGTGAGTTTCCTTTTAATATCCTTTGCCCATTTTCCACTTGGGTTGTTTGTTATTTTCTTCTTGATTTTATGGGAGTTTTAAAAAATATTTTCTGAAAATGAATCTTAAAGTCTGTGGCTTTATTTTCAGTGTTGTTATGGTTTTTAAATTTTCCTTCTTGTTTCCTTTCTTTCTTTTGGTAAGAAGTTTCTAAAATAATTTTATAGTATATCCTTTTTCTGTCTTATTTGAGAAACTCTTTTCTACTCTGCTATAAACAAAATCCCCTATATATTTTTTCTAACCATTTTTGGAGTTTTGCCTCCACATTTAGGTCTTCAATTCACCTATAATTTATTTTTGTGTATGCTATGAAGTAAGGATCAAGCTATTTTCTCCCATTTGGGTAACTAATTAGGCCAGCACCACTATCTTCTTTTCACTGATCTGTAATGTCTTCTCTGCCATATATTGTTTTCATATGGCATGGGTCATTTTCTGGTTATATTTTGTTCCACTGGGTTCTTTGTTTCTCCCTGAACAAATACTACACTTTTTTTTTTCTTTACACTGGATCTGGCTCTGTCGCCCAGGCTGGAGTGCAATGGCACCATCATGACTCACTGCAGCCTCTGCGGACCTCCTGGCTTAAGCAGTCCTTCCACCTCAGCCTCAGCCTCAGCCTCCCAAGTAGCTGGGATTACAGGTGCACACCACCATGCCTGGCTAATTTTTGTATTTTTAGTAGAGACAGAGTTTCATCATGTTGGCCAGGCTTGTCTCAAACTCCTGGCCTCAAGTGATTTGCCCGCCTCGGCCTCCCACAGTGCTAGGATTACAGGCATGAGCCACTGCACCCAGCTGGATTTATTCTTAAGCATTTTATAACTGTTGTTGCTATTGTAAATGGGACTTTTCGTTTTTGTTTTTGTTTTTTTTTTGAGATGGAGTCTTGCTGTCATCCAGGCTGGAGTTCAGTGGTGCGATCTCGGCTCACTGCAACCTCTACCTCCCGGGTTCAAGAGATTCTCTTGCCTCACCCTCCTGAGTAGCTGGGATTACAGGCGCCCGCCACCATGCCTGGCTAATTTTTGTATTTTTAGTAGAGACAGGGATTCACCATGTTGGCCAGGCTGGTCTTGAACTCCTGATCTCAAGTGATCCACCCATCTTGGCCTCCCAAAGTCACAGGATTACAGGCATGAGCCACCGCGCCCAGCCTGGCCCTCCAGTGTTAAATAGAAATGGTGACAATGGGCTTTCATTCTTTGTTTCTGCTCTTAAAGAGAAGGCTTCCACATTTCCATTATTATTTCTCCTGTGTGTTTTGATAGAAAATGTTCATCATGTTAAGGAAGTTGGCAGCTAGTCTAGTTTCCTATGGATTTGTTATTACTGTTATTTATTTATTTTTGAGATGAAGTCTCGCTCTGTCACCTAGGCTGGAGTGCAGTGGCGTGATCTCGCCTCACTGCAACCTCTGCCTCCCGGGTTCAAGTGATTCTCCTGCCTCAGCCTCCTGAGTAGCTGGGATTACAGGCACCTGCCACCGTGCCCAGCTAATTTTTGTATTCTTAGTAGAGACGGGGTTTCACCATGTTGGCCAGGATGGTCTTGAACTCCTGATCTCATGATCTGCCCGCCTTGGCCTCCCAAAGTGCTGGGATTACAGGCGTGAGCCACGGCACCCGGTCACACTTTGGTTTTTTTAGTAGGGACGGGGTTTCACCATATTGGCCAGGCTGGTCTCAAACTCCTGACCTTGTGATCTGCCCGTCTTGGCCTCCCGAAGTGCTGGGATTATAGGCGTGAGCCACCACGCCGAGCCTATTACTGTTATTTATGAATGTTGAATGTTATTGCATGCTTTTTCTGCTTTTATTAAGATGATCCTACATCTTTCCTCCTTAGTTATTCATTTTCTTTATTATGAAATACTTCAAAAACAGAGAAATAGAGAATAGTACAACAGCTTCAGTAAGAGTTGTCAGTCACAGGCCATAGGAGCCAACTCTAGCGGTTTAGGTGGTAAAATGATTCATGAGGAGGAGAGTGGCATCTCTCTGAATTACAGGGAAGACTGGTTCTCTGAACTGTAGATGCTGCTGCTTGCTCCTCCCACCTCTCCAGCACTGAATCCTTCAGACTGCCAGTAGCACTGCTGCACCTGCTCCAGGAACTCTATCCTATGCCACTGGAGGTGGGGCTACTCATGTTCCATTTCACTTAGGGCTGAGTGTTTTTATTTTTAATTTTGTTATTTTTATTTTTGAGACTGAGTCTTGCTCTATCGCCCAGGCTGGAGTGCAGTGGTGCCGTCTCGGCTCATTGCAACCTCCGCCTCCCAGGTTCAAAGGATTCTCCTGCCTCAGCCTCCCAAAGTGTTGGAATTACAGGCATGAGCCACCACGCCTGACAAGGGGCTGTTTTTATATAGCTGAGCCCAGGTCATCTGCTTATACCGTAGATATATAGGAAGAAGGTTCAGATGTTGGGTGGCCAAAAGGAAAGACATTTGTCTTTCCTTCCCTGCCTGCTGGATCAGTGACATGAGGATCCTCAGATGGCCTGAAGGAAGCCTTAGCTTCCAATTTATCAGAACCATGACCATGGTAGTACAATCCCCTGGTAGAAACAGTTCCCACCTCAGGCACTAGAATATTCAGACTCCCAAATCCAAGGTCATAGGGATGGGCAGCAAGAGTTCTTCAAGTGTGTTCTTAGGTGTAAGCATGAGAGTAGCTACTCTTTCACCCTCTGTTTCCTAGATATACGCTTTCTTTTTTCTTTTCCTTTTTTTTTTTTTTTTTTGAGACAGAGTCTTGCTCTGTTGCACAGGCTAGAGTGCAGTGGTGCAATCTTGGCTCACTGCAACCTCGGCCTCCCAGGTTCAGGTGATTCTCCTGCCTCAGCCTGCCAAGTAGCTAGTATTACAGGAGCCCACCACCATGCCCAGCTAATTTTCTTTTCTTTTTTTTTTTTTTTAATTTTTATTTTTTTAATTGATCATTCTTGGGTGTTTCTCGCAGAGGGGGATTTGGCAGGGTCACAGGACAATAGTGGAGGGAAGGTCGGCAGATAAACAAGTGAACAAAGGTCTTTGGTTTTCCTAGGCAGAGGACCCTGCGGCCTTCCGCAGTGTTTGTGTCCCTGGGAACTTGAGATTAGGGAGTGGTGATGATTCTTAACAAGCATGCTGCCTTCAAGCATCTGTTTAACAAAGCACATCTTGCACCGCCCTTAATCCATTTAACCCTGAGTGGACACAGCACATGTTTCAGAGAGCACAGGGTTGTGGGTAAGGTCACCGATCAACAGGATCCCAAGGCAGAAGAATTTATCTTAGTACAGAACAAAATGAAAAGTCTCCCATGTCTACTTCTTTCTACACAGACACGGCAACCATCCGATTTCCCAATCTTTTCCCCACCTTTCCCCCCTTTCTATTCCACAAAACCGCCATTGTCATCCCGGCCCGTTCTCAATGAGCTGTTGGGTACACCTCCCAGACGGGGTGGTGGCCGGGCAGAGGGGCTCCTCACTTCCCAGTAGGGGCGGCCGGGCAGAGGGGCTCCTCACTTCCCAGACGGGGTGGCTGCCGGGCAGAGGGGCTCCTCACTTCTCAGATGGGGCGGCTGCCGGGCGGAGGGGCTCCTCACTTCTCAGACGGGGCGGATGCTGGGCAGAGGGTCTCCTCACTTCTCAGACGGGGCGGCTGGGCAGAGACGCTCCTCACCTCCCAGATGGGGTCGCGGCTGGGCAGAGGCGCTCCTCACATCCCAGACGGGGCGGCGGGGCAGAGGCGCTCCCCACATCTCAGACGATGGGCAGCCGGGAAGAGGCGCTCCTCACTTCCTAGATGGGATGGCGGCCGGGCAGAGACGCTCCTCACTTTCCAGACGGGGTGGCGGCCGGGCAGAGGCTGCAATCTCGGCACTTTGGGAGGCCAAGGCAGGCGGCTGGGAGATGGAGGTTGTAGCGAGCTGAGATCACGCCACTGCACTCCAGCCTGGGCACCATTGAGCACTGAGTGAACCAGACTCCGTCTGCAATCCCGGCACCTCGGGAGGCCGAGGCTGGCGGATCACTCGCGGTTAGGAGCTGGAGACCAGCCCGGCCAACACAGCGAAACCCCGTCTCCACCAAAAAAGTACGAAAACCAGTCAGGCGTGGTGGCGCGCGCCTGCAATGGCAGGCACTCGGCAGGCTGAGGCAGGAGAATCAGGCAGGGAGGTTGCAGTGAGCCGAGATGGCAGCAGTACAGTCCAGCTTCGGCTCGGCATCAGAGGGAGACCGTGGAAAGAGAGGGAGAGGGAGACCGAGAGGGAGAGGGGAGAGGGGAGAGGGGAGAGGGGAGAGGGAGAGGGAGAGGGAGAGCCCAGCTAATTTTCATATTTTTAGTAGAGACGGGGTTTCACCTTCTTGGCCAGGCTGGTCTCAAACTCCTGACCTCCTGATGCACCTGCGTCAGCCTCCCAAAGTGCTGGGATTACAGGCGTGAGCCACCACGCCCGGCATCTAGATGTACACTTTCTAGTTTTGAAGGAGACAATTCCAAATGTTAGCAGCTTTTAAAAGACATAACTGCAACCTGTAGGCCAACACTTGAAGCCAACAGGGTGTTGTCTCCAGGCTAACCCTGTAAATGAACTTTCAGCAGCCATTTCACCGCCCTCTAACCCAGCTGCTTCTGGGTGGTGGAACTTTAACTTTACGTCTCTATTAAGTCAAGTCTGAGTTAGCCATTGTAGACTATTCATGCCAACTCCAAAGCCCAAACCTGGGTGAGTGTATCAGTGAATTCAGCCCAATCAAGCCTTTTATTTATTTATTTATTTTTATTTATTTATTTATTTTTTGACACAGATTCTCACTTTTTCACCCAGGCTGGAGTGCAATGGCACGATCTCGGCTCACTGCAACCTCTGCCTCCTGGGTTCAAGCGATTCTCCTGCCTCAGCTTCCCGAGTAGCTGAGACTACAGGCATGCACCCACCACCACGCCCAGCTAATTTTTTGTATTTTTAGTAGAAACAGGTTTCACCATGTTGGCCAGGCTGGTCTCAAACTCCTGAGTTTGAGGAGTTTGAAGAGTGATCCGCCCGCCTCAGCCTCCCAAAGTGCTGGAATTACAGGCACGAGGCTCTGTGCCCAGCCAAGCCTTGTGTTTACCATCTTTAGGCTAACACAATGCTTAGAATCCTCTCCGACACGTGCTCCCAAGACCCTTGTGGATTTGAACTGGCAAGGTCCTGCCACTTCTTTAGTGTATAGACATTCTCTTTCTAGAGCAGGCCTTGTACTGCCCAAGTGGGCTATGTTGGGATCTAACTCTCCTTTTGATGCTGGAGGAATGAAGAGAAGATCTGGTGTCCCTTTTTAGTGAAGCAACTGTCCTAGGTGCAGTCACAGAAGGTTCCTTAGGCAGGGATAAGTTGGTTACCTCTACACGGGAGGACCTGCCTGAACAGACAAGGGAGCTTTGAAGGATTTGAGAATTCAAAAGTGCCAGAGTCTCAGCCTTGTCTGTGACCACTTAGATGCTCCTATTCTAAGTCTCAGGGTCCCACTACGTCCCCACTATGCCCTTTCCTAAGCATTTACTTGGAACTCCTACATGCACAATGAGGCCCTGGGCTGAGTCTTCCATCATATCCACCCTGAAAGTATAGGAGATGAAGGCTCCTTCGAAGATGCCACCAGACCTTTCTTGCTGTCTATTGCATTCTCTGTTCAAGATTCACAGCATTTTTTTTTTTTTTTTGAGATGGATGGAGTTTCGCTCTTGTTGCCCAGGCTGGAGTACAATGGTGTGATCTCGGCTCACCACAACCTTGGCTCACCGCAACCTCTGCCTCCTGGGTTCAAGCGTTTCTCCTGCCTTGGCCTCCCGGGTAGCTGGGATTACAGGCATGCACCACAATGCCCAGCTAATTTTGTATTTTTAGTAGAGTTGTGTTTCTCCATGTTGGTCAGGCTGATCTCGAACTCCTGACCTCAGGTGTACCCTTAAAGGAAATGCATGCCTTCCCCTCCTTTTTATTGCATCTGTAGGCTGCAATGTGGCCACAGTGGGGGGAGCTGTATTGAACTACACAAGCAACAAAATAGAGTCTGAATCCCCAGCAACTAAGAACTGCTAACAGAGAGACAGGAACAGTTTGGGTGTGACACTGGAGTCAGGCAGCCTTGGGTTCAAACACTGATTCTGCTAATCCCTAGCTGTGGACCTCGGGTGAAGAATTTAACCTCACGGTCTTCAGTTTCCTTAGCTGTAAAATGCTGGGAGGATGCAAGGAGCTGTCATAACGAAATTGCCTAGCAGTGTTCATGGTCCAGAGCAGGGTTTTAACGAACAGAAGCTGGCATGTCACCACTCTCTGTCCCTAGGAGCCTTGCCTTTTGCCTCCCTTTTCTGCCTTGATCCGCGCCCCCACCCATCTCTCCTCCCGTTCTTTCTTCACTTTCACTTTCTGGTCTGCCTCTTCCTTAAGCTGGACTCTGTGACTGTAGGTGTGTTTAATGTTTGGCTGCCTTCAGGAGGCCAGCAAGGCTCCCTGGCCAACATTTTACTTTTTTTTTTTTTTTTTTGAGACGGAGTCTCACTCACTCTGTCGCCCAGGCTGGAGTACAGTGGCGCGATCTCGGCTCACTGCAACCTCCGCTTCCCGGGTTCAAGTGCTTCTCCTGCCTCAGCCTCCCAAGTAGCTGAGACTACAGGTGCTCACCACCACGCCCGGCTAATTTTTGTATTTTTAGTAGAGAAGGGGTTTCACCATGTTGGCCAGGCTGGTCTTGAACTCCTGGCCTCAAGTGATCTGCCCACCTTGGCCTCCCAAAGTGCTGGGAATACAGGCAGGAGCCACCGTGCCCGGCCATGGTTCCCTGGCCAACCTTTTACTTATTCCTCTCCCTTCTACAATGATGCTTCTCCACCACATCAAAAGGTCCTCTCCTTTCCTCTTCCACAGCCATTGGCTGCAGGGAAATCGCCAGGGACAGAGCTGCAACTTGCCAGGCCAGCCCTGGAGGCAGCCCTGGAACCCTCTTGCTCCCTCGACCTTCTCCCTCCCCTTTCCCGGGAGGCCCAGGAAAGGGAGCTGGCACCCTGGGCCACTGAGCCAGTGGCAAGGCTCAGCCAGCAGGAGGAGAGCAGCGGATCAGGACTGCCTCAGACCTTTGATAAACCAGGTCTTGGAAGAAGGCCACTTACTCTTCTTTGTGTTTCTCTGTGTGCTGATTCCTGAGATTTGCAGGACATGTTTAATATTTGCTTGGAGAATCTATGAAAAGAAAAAGAAAAACAGAGAGGGAAGGAAACAGGAACCAAAATGCCACTTATCCCATGAGGGCACTGAGGCCTGGGCTCTGAGTCTCTCTGTTGCTGGCGGGGGCCAGGCTTCCTGTGGTGGGAGCGGCAGGCCTCCCTTCTCAGGCGTGGGTTCCACCACGGCTTGAAAGCCCCAGACCACCTCGCCCCTCCCTGGGAACTCAGCCTCTTGTGCAGCCACATAAAGGTAACCAGTGTCTGGTGGCTTGATAGGACAGACTTGTGAGGGACTTCCTGCCTTTTGATGCATGCCATTCCTGAGAGCTGGGCCGGGCCTCTGAAGAGGAGAGGTCCCTTTCAACTTCCTGAGTGTCTCAACGTTCAGACTCTTGGGGTTTGTGGTTAGAGACACTGGTATGAAGATTGTGTTCTATAAAGTATGCCCTCCGGGTCCCATAAAGCTAACAAGGCAAAGCTTTGTGAAAACACCCCCTAACCAAATGGACCAAGAGGGTCTGAAAAGCCCTTGACCTTGGAGCATTTTTTTTTTAATTTTTTGAGACAGGGTCTCGCCCTGTCGCCCAGGCTGGAGTGCAGTGGCATGATCTCAGTTCACTGCAACCTCTGCCTCCTGGGTTCAAGTGATTCTCGTGCTTCAGCCTCCGGAGTAGCTGGGATTATAGGCACACGCCACCATGCCTGGCTAATTTTTGTATTTTTGTAATTTTTTTTTTGTAGAGACGGGGCTTCACCATGTTGGCCAGGCTGGTTTTGAACTCCTGACCTCAAGCAATCCACCCACCTCGGCCTCCCAAAGTGCTGGGATTATAGGCATGAGCCATCATGCCCTGGCCCCTTGCAGCCTTTAGTGAAGAATGAGTGAAGGACTGGAAGGTCCGGGCAGTATGAGGGGATCTGCCCGAGGGAAAGTGTGTTAACAGCAGGACCCTTCTGCGAAGCCACCCGACTCCACTCCAGTACCTCGGAGCTGCCTTCAAATGTAACATGATTCCTCCAGCACTCACGGTTGCTAAGGGCCAGATAGACATTCTTTTCGTTTTTTAATTTAAATTTTTTTTTTTTTGAGACAGAGTCTCACTCTGTCACCTAGGCTGCAGTACAATGGCACCATCATGGCTCACTGTAGCCTCAACCTCCCAGGCTCAAGTGATCCTCCCACCTCAGCCTCCCAAATAGGTGAGATTACAGGTGTGCATCACCACACCCAGCTAATTTTTTAACTTTCTGTAGAGACGGAGGTCTCTCTTTGTTGCCCAGGCTGGTCTTGAACTCCTGGGCTCAAGTGATTCTCCTGCCTTGATCTCCCAAAGTACTGGGATCACAGGTATGAACCACTGCACCTGGCCTCATCCCTGCATTCTAATCCTCTTCTCACAGATGGGGAAACTGAGGCTCAATGAGGTTGAGTGACTGCTCCAAGAGCACACAGAGGTAGGATTGGAGCTCAGAGCTGGCTGACTCCAGATCCAAGATCTTTATGCTTCACCAGACTGCTCCCCACAAGACTATAGGGTGTCAGCAAAGTTGAGAAACACAGGACATACACGCTCACTCTCTCCGCTATTAATTACCTGGCTGAAGTAGTGTTTGTCAGTTTCTCCACTGTAAAGTTACTCTTTTCTTCCCGTTTTCCATACCATCCTCTTTGGTCATTCACCATGTACAACCCACGTTTAAGGAGTGGGAGTTATGAGGTGGAGTATCTACAGGAATTATCTGGAACACTACATGGGAGATTTGTCTTTTGTCTCTATTACTTATTTATTTACTTTTTTTTTAAGTGTATGCTACTGACATTTTCAAATAATATGCTCATTATGTTTTCAGGCAAAGTATCTTTTTTTTGTTTTTTGAGATGGAGTTTCACTGTCTCCCAGGTTGGAGTGCAGTGGTGCAATCTCGGCTCACCGCAACCTCTGCCTCCCAGGTTCAAGCGATTCTCCTGCCTCAGCCTCCCGAGTAGCTGGGATTACAGGCACCCATCACCATGCCTGGCTAATTGTTGTGTTTTTAGTAAAGATGGGGGTTTCACCATGTTGGTCAGGCTGGTCTTGAACTCCTGACCTCAGGTGATCTGCCCGCCTCAGCCTCAAAGTGCTGGGATTACAGGCATGAGCCATGGTGCTCAGTGGGCAAAGTACCTTTACATTGAGGTTTTTGTTTTGTTTTGTTTTAGTTTTGAGACAGAGTTTCACTCTTGTTGCCCAGGCTGGAGTGCAATGGCACAATCCTGGCTCACTGCAACCTCTGTCTCCTGGGTTCAAGCAATTCTCCTGTCTCAGCCTCCTGAGTAGCTGTGATTACAGGCATGAGCCACCACACCCAGCTAATTTTGTATTTTTAGTAGAGACGGGGTTTCACCATGTTGGCCAGGCTGGTCTTGAACTCCTGACCTCAGTTGATCCACCTGCCTTGGCCTCCCAAAGTGCTGAGATTACAGGTGTGAGCCACCTTGCCCAGCCTTGTATTTTTTTTTTAGATGGAGTTTTGCTCTGTCGCCCAGGCTAGAGTGCAATGGTGTGATCTCAGCTCGCTGTAACCTCCACCTCCCATGTTCAAGCTATTCTCCTGCCTCAGCCTCCCAAATAGCTGGGATTACAGGCACCTGCCACCATGCCCAGCTAATTTTTGTATTTTTAGTAGAGATGGAGTTTCACCATGTTGGCCAGATTGGTCTTGAACTCCTGACCTCAGGTGATCTGCCCACCTCAACCTCCCAAAGTACTGGGATTATAGGTGTCTGCCTGCAAAGTACCTTTACATTGAAATTAGTGGGTTCAATTGTTAAACTAAAAAAGTACCATACATGTGCCAAAGAGTGTCTAGAAAGCCTGGAAATACAGGGAAAGTAATGCATTTATTGTGTATTTTCCAGATTAACAATAAGACCCGTTGGTTGAAATGTAAAAAGAGGCATTTTACCTGAAGCAGTGTTGGAAGGCTGAATTGGAGCAAATGGAGTCGATTATTTGAAAATTGTTCCTGACATTTTGCTTAAACATGAGCCTATCCTGGTTGCCTGACTTTGCTGGCCCCGAGGGTCTCCCACAGCCCAGCAGTGGAGTCGGTGTCTTCTGCCTTCGCAGGCCTGCCCATTGGCCACAGCTCCCCTCAGACCTCCTGAGATCTCGTTTCCAGATTGGCTCCTCTGAGAATACTGACACTCAGGTGGGAGGGAAAGCCTAGGGTCTCCTTCCAGAGTGGTCCCCTCCCTAATACCACAGATGGGGAAGGGCCTGGGAAGCCCTGCATTTGAGGACAAATGGAGAAACTGGGGAGAGGTCAGGCTGGCTTCAGACATGTGAAGGCTTTGTAGAATGGGACGTGCCTGTTTCCTGGTGGGCGGTTCTCATCTGCCTCCTCTGCATCCACTCTCTGTCCTGGCGATTATCTCTGGGGTGGACATGGGACTCAAGCAGGCCCAGCTGGAGAATCTCCGTAGGTATGCCTTCTGGAAAATTCCAACCTGACCCTTGTTGGAACTGTGAAAAGGGGACCTCCAGCAGCTCTGTCAGGATTGGCCATGCCTCCAGTTCTGGGAGTGGGCTGACCAACTATCTTGGTTTTCTTGGGGTTGTCCTGGTTTTAAAACCTGAAGTCTCACAACTCAGGAGACCCCCTAGTCCCAGGCAAATGGGGATGGTTGGTGACTCTCCCAGGAAGAATGGTTGCTTTGCCTTCATCTCCAGCTTCTAGAAAGGAAGACATGAGCTTGGGGCAAGGTGAGAAGAAATTGCAGGGATTTGGGGAGCTCTAGACAGCCAAGGGGTGGTGCTTCCTCGGCTTTCTGGCTGTAACAGGAAGTGGGGCTCAGACTTGAGATGCGCCAGTTTCTGCTGAATATGAGAAAGGGCTGAAGTGTGAGCTCCTGGTCACAAGAATGTTCACCGCAGCCGCAGCCGGGAGGAAGAATGGATGCCTGGCTGGGGCCCAGGGGCCTCTATGGCCACGCCCACTTCCAGGCTATTTCCTACAAAAGCTCTACCTCTTTCACTGAGGAAGACCCCTTAGTTTCTTAGTTTACAGAAAGCACATAGAACCGTGTAGATGTATACATACCGACATGAAAAGATGCTCATGATCAACTGTTTAAACAAACAAAAAAGCAGCTTACAGAATGTCTTGCACCATAGGGGCTCTTTTCTGTAAATAAATTAGAAGCAGCATACTGGCATGACACCTCCTGCTATATTTAACCTCTTATCAAGGACAAGTTTAGAGATGCTTGCTTTGGCTTTCAGAGAAGAAGAAAAAAATACCACAGCTTTTATGAACATAATATTAATGCTCACAATAACATTCTAGGCTTTGAGCTGCTTCCTGCATTTCATCGTAAACATAAGGCCCAGAACCTGTCTAGAGATTGCTGTGGTTACTCAGTGTTGGGAGAGTTTTCTAGCTTTTTCTGCCCTTCTGGAAACTTGCATCGATGCCTCTGTCCATTTCCATGTTCGGCACTGTGTTTGTGGGTCTTTTCTTAAACAGCCAAGTTGTTTTTCTTCGCAAGCTTCCTGGTGTGGGTTTTATGACATTAGTGCCCTTTGGCCTACAGGCAGAGTCCAAATTTGAGAGCCCACCAAGGCAGAGCCCCTGGGGAGTGTCTGTAGGGACTGTTTTTCTCTCTTTGGGCTGCAAAATAAGACTTATGGCTGGGCCAGACCAGGTGCAGTGGCTCACGCCTGTAATCCCAGCACTTTGGGAGGCTGAGGTGGATGGATCACCTGAGGTCAGGAGTCTGAGACCAGCCTGGCCAACATAGTGAAACCCCATCTCTACTAAAAATACAAAAATCAGCCGGGCATGGTGGCAGTCACCTGTAATCCCAACTACTCGGAAGGCTGAGGCAGGAGAATCGCTTGAACCCAGGAGGTGAAGGGTGCCACTGCACTCCAGCCTGGGCGACAAAGCAAGACCCTGTCTCAAATTAAAAAAAAAAAAAAAAAAAAAAAAAAAAAAAAAACCCAGGCGTGGTGGCTCACACCTGTAACCCTAGCACTTTGGGAGGCTGAGGCAAGTGGATCACCTAAGGTCAGGAGTTTGAGACCAGCCTGGCCAACATGGTGGAACACTGACTCTACTAAAAATACAAAAATTAGCCAGGCATGGTGGTGGGCACCTGTAGTCTCAACTACTCGGGAGGCTGAGGCAGGAGACTTGCTTGAACCCAGGAGGTAGAGGTTGCAGTGAGCTGAGATTGCGTCGCTGCATTCCAGCCTGGGCGACAGAACAAGACTCCATATCAAAAAAAAAAAAAAAAAAAGCCTCTGTGGCCTTGGGGCTGGACCAGCTCAATGAAGTAGGGGGCTCCCTCTGCCAGGCTGCCTGAGCTTGAGGCCCCAGGGCTCAGTCAGGCCGATCTTGCCTCTTTACCCGCTACTGGGGAAGGTGCAGGAAGCGGATTTCCTAAGAAACACCTGGGCAATGGCCTTCTAGACTTGTCTACTTCTGACCTCAAGTCAAGGAAGAGAAGATTGGTTAAAATGACTTTCTACCATGCTATTTTCTTTGTCAGTTCCTGCAGAGCCTCCAACAAGGTGTGTGGGCATCCTCTGTCCTTCAGCATCAGTCACCCAAGCTGGGAACCCCAGAGGAGGAAGCACCTGTTTTTGCCCTAACTTAGGGAAGGGCTTTGGATTCTCCGCCATTCAGAATGAGTCACTGTGAGACTGCGGAGCGGATTTTACTCATCCCCCAGGAATGGACCCTTGGAAGGCTCCAGAATGACTAGCCTCAAGTGTTCTGTCTCAGGCACGGGGCATTTTCCCCCACTCCACGTCTGCAGTCACTTCCTCTCTGGACACATCCTGTTTCTGGGAGCAGGCGGCATGCCAAGCAGATTGCAGCCTCTGAGCAGACGGGCGGAGACATCCTTCCTCTTATTTCTAGTACCTAATCCCATCTTCCTTCCCAGTCAGAGATATCGATCAGCATCTCTGCTTTTCCCAGGTCCCTGCACGCCAGGGAGGGAGAGTAGAGAAGGAACATGTTTCTATTGGCAACTCCAACTTATTGGAAGTGCTTAGAAACCTCTGCTGATTTCTCACCAGCTTCTGAAGCACAGGTAATCAAGAGAAGATCTAGGGCAAGGAGCCATCTATTCATTCACTCAGTAAATATTTATTAAGTGCCTACTATGTGCCAAGCCCTGTTCTGGATGCCAGGCTACGGTTGTAAACAAAACATAGAAATCAATGTCCTCATAGCAATTACGTTCTGCTGGGAGGGACAGCTGATAAACAAGATAAAAGATATAAAAATTATAGCATGTGAGATAGTGATAAATGCTGAGCAAAGAAAAAAAGCTGGGAAAGCAATATGTAATGTCAGGCATTGGGGAAGTATGAAATGTCAAACCAGGGGGCTGGGAAAGTCCTTGCTGAGAAAGGAAATTTCGAGTAGAGACTTGACAGAGGCAAGGGAGTGAGCTGGCAGTTAGCTGGGGCAAGGGCATTCTAGGCAGTGGGAAGAGAAAGTGTAAAGTTCCTGAGATTAAGAGCTCACCTGGGCAGTTTGATGAACAGGGGAAAGGCCAGTTTGATGAACAGCATGGCTGGAATGGAGTGAGGACGGGAGCGTCACAGGAGTTAAAGTCAGTGTGGCTAAAAGGAGCAGTATCTTGCTACAATTTGTGGGTGGTAGTATGGACTTTGGTTTGCACCCAGCATGATACAGGAAGCCACTGGAGGGTTTTAATGGAGAAGTGACAGGCTCTGATTTATGTTTGAACAGGATCTTTTGGGAAGCGGCACCGATAGTATCCTGAACAGGGTGAGAGCAGGATGTGGGAGCAGCAAAACCACTTAGGAGGGCACTGCAGGCCAGGCGCTGTGGCTCACCCCTGTAATCCCAGCACTTTGGGAGGCTGAGGTGAGTGGATCACTTGAGGTCAGGAGTTCAAGACCAGGCTGGGCAACATGGTGAAACCCCGTCTCTACTAAAAATACAAAAATTAGCCGGGCATGGTGGTGTGCACCTGTAATCCCAGCTACTGGGGAGGCTGAGGCAGGAGAATTGCTTGAACCTGGACAGCGGAGGTTGCAGTGAGTTGAGATCACTTCAGTGCACTCCAGTCTGGGAGACTACATCTCAAAATAAATAAATAAAATAAGAGAAAAAAAGTAAAAGGGCACTGCAGTAGGCTAGGAGAGAGAGAATGGTGGTTTGGACAGGTAGTGGTAGGGAGTGGTAAGCTGTGATTCCAGAATATTCTGAAGATAGAGCTCACAGGATCTGCTGATAGACCAGATGTGGAGCATGAGAAAATAGAGAAAAAGATATACCCATGTTTCCAGCCTAAATAAATGGAAGAACAGAGTTGCTGTTAGTAAAGATGGAAAACCCATAGGAAGAATTGGCTCAGGGCAGAATATCAGAAGCTGTTGGCCATGGAAAGGTGGAGATGCCCATTGGACATCCATGTGCAGCTGTCAAGCAGACTTTGGAGATAACGGTCTGTAGTTCAGAGGAGAGGTTCTGGCTAGAGGTACAAATCTGGAGTCATGCTTTCAGTGCTGGGACTGGTCAGGTTGGATTTTGTTTCATATGGTGAATATTTAAAAAATGTAATCTTTCAAAATTTATAGTATGTGACCCTTTAAAGATGTAAGTCAGATTATGGGATTTTTCTACTTTGAACCTTCAAATTATTTCCCTTTTCATTCAGTTTGAAAAGCAAAGTCTGAAGATAGTTTGGTAGCATCTATCAAAGTAAAACCTAGATGGCTAGGCATGGTGGCTCACACCTGTAATCCCAGTACTTTGGGAGGCCGAGGTGGGTAGATCATTTGAGGTCAGGAGTTTGAGGCCAGCCTGGCCAAAATGGCAAAACCCCGTCTCTACTAAAAATACAAAAATTAGCCGGGCATAGTGGTGGGTGCCTGTAATGCCAGCCACTCAGGAGGCTGAGGCAGGAGAATCGCTTAAACCCAGAAGGTGGAGGTTGCAGTGAGCCAAGATTGAGCCACTACACTTCAGCCGGGGTGACAGAGTGAGACTCCATCCCCCGCTACCAAAAAAAAAAAGTAAAACCTAAACCTAATAATCTCACCCTGAATGCATACTCATGTGTTCCAAATGACACAAATGAGAATGGTCATCGCAGCGTTTGAAATAGCCCCCAAACTGGAAACAACCCAAATATTGATCCATGGTAGAATGGACAAATCAATTGTGTTATATTTACACAGTGCAATATTACAGGGCAATGAAAAAAAATGAAGCATCACTATGCACGATAACATGGACAAATCTCATAACCATAACACTGAGGGAGTGAAGCCTGACACCAAAGGGTAATACTGTGTGATTCATAAGCACAAAGTTCAAAACAGGCAAAACTGATCCAGTGTGGACTGAAAGTCCAAAATCAAGTAATGACAGGAGGCGTGAAAGAGGCTTCAGGGTTGCTGGTAGTGGTTTTTTGTTTTTTGTTTTTTGTTTTGAGATGGAGTTTTGCTCTTTTGCCCAGGCTGGAGTGAAGTAGCGTGATCTCGGCTCACTGCAACCTCCGTCTCCTGGGTTCAAACGATTCACCTGCCTCAGCCTCCAAGTAGCTGGGATTATAGGTGCACGCCACCACGCCTGGCTAATTTTTGTATTTTTAGTAGAGATGGGGTTTCGCCATCTTGGCTAGGCTGGTCTCAAACTCCTGACCTCAGGTGATCCACCCGCCTCGGCCTCCCAAAGTCCAAGGGTTGCAAGTGTGAGTCACTGCGCCCGGCCAGGGTTGCTGGTAGTGTTCTTTTTTTTTTTTTTTTTTTTTTTTTTTAATCTCAGCTCACCTCAACCTCTGCCTCCCAGGTTCAAGTGATTCTCCTGCGTCAGCCTCCCGAGTAGCTGGGATTACAGGTGCGCACCACCATGCCCAGCCAATTTTTGTAATTTTATTAGAGACGGGGTTTCACCACGTTGGCCAGGCTGGTCTCAAACTTCTGACCTCAGGCGATCCTCCTGCCTTGGCCTCCCAAAGTGCTGGGATTACAGGCATGAGCCCCCACACCCAGCAAGCTGCTGTTAGCGTTTCATAGCTTGGTTGGGATGATGGTTTAAATGGGTGGGTTGGTGAAAAATCAGGCTGGGTGCAGTGACTCACCCCTGTAATCCCAGCACTTTGGGAGGCCAAGGCAGGAGGATCGCTTGAGCCCAGGAGTTTGAGACCAGCCTGGCAACAAGGTAAAACACTGTCTCTACAAAAAATACAAAAATTAGCCAGGTGCAGTGGTTTGCATCTGTAGTCTCAGGTACTCAGGAAGCTGAGGTGGGAGGATCACTTGAGCCCCAGAGGTAGAGGTTGCAGTGAGCCAAGATCCCACCACTGCATTCCAGCCTGGGTGACGAGAGTAAAACCCTGTCTCAAAAAAAAAAAAAAATGCACTGAGTTGTACACTTACGATGTTTCCTTTTCTCTATATGTGCTATATTCCATGAAAAGCTTACACAAAGTCCTTGTCTAAAAGGCTCCACATGATAATACCACTCCCTCTCCCTAATCATATTTCTGGTTGAATTCCAACTTTGTTCACTCCATTCTGTATTTTTTAATTTAGTTTTATTTCTTTAAGGCAGAGTCTCGCTCTGTTGCTCAGGCTGGAGTGCAGTGGCACAACCTTGGCTAACTGCAACCTCTGCCTCCCAGGTTCAAGTGATTCTCATGCTTCAGCCTCCCAAGTGGCTGTGGTCACATGCACGTGCCACCATGTGTGGCTCATTTGTTCACTCCATTCTTGCGACCCTTTTCTCATTGCTGTTCTCCGACAGAACACTGTTGGCTGTTTCCTCCTCTAGGATCTTGCATTTACAGCTCCATCTTCTCCCAGATATCCACATAGACTGCTCCCTTGCCTAATTCAAGTCTCTGCTTAAACTTAGCCTTATCAGAGAAGTCTCCCCAACTAACCTATGTGAAATAATGTCCTCTGCCACTCTTGTTCCCTTACCCTCCTTTATTTTTCTTTTCTAGAAAATTTAAAAACAATAGAATTTATTGTGCATAGTTCTAGAGGCTGGAAAGTCCAAAATCAAGGCATCAGCTGATTTGGTATCTGGGAAGGGCTTGTTCTCTGCTTCATAGAGGGTGCCTTCTTGCTACATACTCACATGGCTGACGGGCCTTTCTTTATTTTTCCTAAGGCTTTATCATCACTTTGCATGTTATGGGTTTATTTGTTCGTGTATTTATTGTCTATTTGTCTCACTAGAATCTAAGTCCATGAGAATAGATATTTTGTTTTTGTTCACTGTTTTATCCCAGTGGCCTGGCACATGGTAGATGTTCATAAAATATTTCCTGAATGAATGAAATGAAATATGAAGCAGCAGGCCAGGCGCAGTGACTCACGCCTGTAATCCCAGCACTTTGGGAGGCCAAGGCTGGCAGAGTACTTGAGGTCAGGTGTTCGAGACTAGCTGGCCAACATGGTGAAACCCCGTCTCTACTAAAAATACAAAAATTAGGCGAGTGTGGTGGAACACACCTGTAGTCCCAGCTACATGGGAGGCTGAGGCAGGAGAATTGCTTGAACCCAGGAGACAGAAGCTGCAGTGAGCCGAGATTGTGCCACTTGCACTCCAGCCTGGGCGACAGAGGGAGACTCCATCTCGAAAAAAAAAAAAAAGAAGAAGAAAGAAAAGAAAAGAAATACGAAGCAGTAAATAAGACAGAGATACAGAGATGGTTCCTTCTCTCATGGAGAAAAGTATGCTTAGGTCTTTAAGAGAAGTATAAATAGTCTAGCTAGCTCTGAGGTGGGGATCATATTTCTTCATATTTTCATATGATCTGCGACAGGTTCTGACTTATAGAGTGGATTTTCTTTCCTTTTTTTGGAGACAGAGTCTCACTCTGTTGCCTAGGCTGGAGTGCAGTGGCGCAATCTCGGCTCACTGCAACCTTCTGCTTCCTGGGTTCAAGCAATTCTCGTGCCTCAGCCTCCTGAGTAGCTGGGACTACAGGTATGCGCCACCACACCCAGCTAATTTTTTGTATTTTGGTAGAGATGGGGTTTCACTGGTTGCCCAGGCTGGTCTTGAACTCATGAGCTCAGGCAATTCTACCGCCTCAGCTTCCCAACGTGCTAGGATTATAGGCATGAACCACTGTGCCCAGCCTAGAGTGGATTTTCTTCCCTTTTTTTTTTTTGAGACAGAGTCTCGCTCTGTCACCCAGGCTGGAGTGTAGTGGCATCATCTCGGCTCACTGCAACCTCTGCCTCCCGGGTTTAAGCGATTCTCCTGCCTCAGCCTCCTGAGTAGCTGGGAGTACAGGGCCCAGCCACCACGCCCGGCTAATTTTTTGTATTTTTAGCAGAGACGGGGTTTCACCATGTTGGCCAGGCTGGTCTGGAACTCCTGATCTCAGGTGATCCACCTGCCTCGGCCTCTCAAAGTGTTGGGATTACAGGTGTGAGCCACTGCGCCTGGCCTAGAGTGGATTTTAAATAAATGATTATTGTGGTCTTCAAAGCTACATTCCTGGGCTTAGAAATTCATTCTCTCAAAGAAAGGTTTAAAAACAATCAATTAAAGGAATGAATATTTTTAGCCCCATCTGGTTTCTCAGCCATAGAAAAGAGACTGGATCCAAGCCCACCAGGTCATGGAGTGTGTGTGTGTGTGTGTGTGTGTGTGTGTGTGTGTGTGTGTGTGTCCCTCCTGAGCAGATGCATCTGCCAACACCATCCATTTATTGGAGATAACTAAATTTTTACCACATTCCTGTATCTTGGCAAGACTGTTGTAATCTGAGCAGAAACTCTAGGTCATTGGGGCTCCCAGGGTGTGGAAGCTGGACTTGTCTTGATGATTAGGAGCAAGACAAGGCAACAAGAGACACTAGGTGAGAGTTTAAGACAGGGCTCCTTGGCCGGGCGCAGTGGCTCACACCTGCAATCCCAGCACTTTGGGAGGCCGAGGTGGGTGGATCACGAGGTCAGGAGATCGAGACCAGCTGAGACCATCCTGGCTAACACGGTGAAACCCCGTCTCTACTAAAAACACAAAAACAAAATTAGCCGGGCGTGGCGGCAGGCGCCTGTAGTCCCAGTTACTCAGGAGGCTGAGGCGGGAGAATGGCATGAACCCGGAAGGCAGAGCTTGCAGTGAGCCAAGATCATGCCACTGCACTTCAGCCTGGGCGACAGAGTGAGACTCCAAAATAAAAAAAAAAAAAAAAGACAGGGCTCCAGATCTGGAGAGGAACAAGGTTACTGGATGGGAGGACCAAGGAGGACATGTTACTAGCTCTAGGGGAAGTAGCTGCCCAGGAAAGCATGGGGGCTGGTGTCTTGACTGGGAGCCTCACACCCATTCATGCCTTTGCAGTTGGCCATCCCTACTCTGTTTTCACAGGGATGAGTATTTGGCCAAAGCGTGCATCAGGCTGCACCTGCAGCTGCCTAGCTATACACCTGAGTGCTGGTCCTCTGTGAGCATGAGAGGATCAGAGGGTTTAAAGGGTTACTTAGGCTGGGTGAGGTGGCTCATGCCTGTAATCCCAGCACTTTGGGAGGCCGAGGCGGGTGGATCACCTGAGATCAGGAGTTCAAGACGAGCCTGGCCAACATGGTGAAACCCCATCTCTACTAAAAATAGAAAAAATTAGCCAGGCTTGATGGTGAGCGCCTGTAATCCTGGCTACTCAGGAGGCTAAGGAAGGAGAATTGCTTAAACCTGGGAGGTGGAGGTTGCAGGGAGCCGAGATCTTGCCACTGCACTCCAGTCTAGGCAACAGAGCGAGACTCCGTCTTGAAAAAGAAAGAAAGAAAGAAAAAGAGAAAGAAAGAAGGAAAGAAAGAAAAAAAGAAAGAAAGAAGGAAGGAAGGAAAGAAGAAGAGGAAGGAAGGAAGGAAGGAGAGAGAGAGAGAGAGAGAAAGAAAGAGGAAAAAAGGGTTACTTGACTGGTAATAACCCTCCTCCTGTCAAGTCTTTTATCCCACCAGCTCATATACCTTTTCTCAAACAGCAATTAACTCTCCCCACAGCTCGAAGTGGAAGCCAGAGATGTTAAACACAGTGTCCCTTGTTCAGTTGGGAGAAAAGAGGCATGAGCACTTCTCCGTGTCTTGGCCCAAGGGCACACACCGTGAGTCAGCGATGTCTCCCAGAAGGGGTCTGGAGTCCCATCCACAGGTGACATGTTTTACTTTATTCACGCCCCACCCAGGCCTTCTGGTTGCTTCCTTCACATCTCTGTGGTGTCTGTTACCACTCTATCATCAGCTTGCTGTCTCCCACAAACATGCTGGGATTTTCCAACCATGAGATCTTCTCTTCCTCTTTTATTCTTTTTTGGACTTGTGAGTTTGTAATCTTTTTATTTATTTATTTATTTATTTATTTATTTATTTATTTATTTTTGGGACAGAGTCTCACTCTGTCACCCAGGCTGGAGTACAGTGGAGCCATCTTGGCTCACTGCAACCTCTGCCTCCCGGGTTCAAGCGATTCTCCTGCCTCAGCCTCCTGAGTAGCTCGGACTACAGGCACATGCCACCATGCCCAGCTAATTTGTGTATTTTTAGTAGACAGGTTTTCACCATATTGGCCAGGCTGGTCTCAAACTCCTGACCTCGTGATCCGCCCACCTCAGCCTCCCAAAGTGCTGGGATTACAGGCATAAGCCACTGCACCAGGCCATCTTTTCATTTCTTTACCATCATTTCCATGAATTCTCTTGAGGCAAAGGAGAAAAACACACACGGACAAAATGCCGTTATTAAAAAGTGAAAATAGACCAGGCGCAGTGGCTCACGCCTGTAATCCCAGCACTTTGGGAGGCCGAGGCTGGTGAATCACGGGGTCAGGAGATCGAGACCATCCTGACTAATGCAGCGAAAACCTGTCTCTACTAAAAATACAAAAAATTAGCCAGGTGTGGTGGCATGCACCTGTAGTCCCAGCTACTCGGGAGGCTGAGGCATGAGAATCACTTGAACTCGGGAGGCAGAGGTTGCAGTGAGCTGAGATCGTGCCACTGCACTCCAGCCTGGGTGACAGAGCAAGACTCTGTCTCAAAAAAGAAAAAAAGTGAAAATTTGAAAATTATGCCAATATCATCACTTTACAAAAGATTTGGAGGGAAAAAGATCGGGGAAATCTCTCCTCTCATATCCCAATAACTTTGCTATCATCCTTCTGGTATTTTGCTCATGGGATTCTTTTCTGTGCATTTTTTCACAGTGTGGTCATATTCTTGGTTTGCATAAAGTTTATATTCTTTCTTTTTCACTTGACATTTTCATCAGAAGTATTTCCCTCATGTTTTAACATAATCTTTATAATATTTGTTTTAAAAGTTGCATAGTACTCCATCAGGGAGATGTAAAAGAATATACTTCAACCAAAATTCTATGGTTGGGCTCTGTTATCAAATATTTAAGGTGTTCCTGATATGGATTGATAAATGTAGTGGAGAAAGGGAGTGAAATAGGGTGCCTACGCCTAGGACGTTTCGTTCATTTTTTAAAAGAAGCTATCATTGAATGTTGCCAGTGGGATTTAATGTATGATAAGGGTGGTATAAATCAATGGGACTGATAGGTAATTTAAAAAACAGTGTGGAGACAACTGAGTGGCCATCTGGGGGGAATATTGGATACGTATCTTTCACTGGGACGAATTCCAAATGTACCCAATATTTAGATGTGAAAAAAAAAGAAAAACTATGAAATACTTGAAAAATCCATTGGAGAGTTTTTTTTATTATTTCATAAATGAAAATTTTGTCCAACTATAAAACTAAGTTCAGAATCCATAAAATAAAAAATGGATATAAAAATCTATTTTCTTCATGGCAGTAACCATTATAAGTTAAGTCAAAAGACAAGCTGGGAACAGTATTTCTTTTTTTTTTTTTTTTAAGATGGAGTTTCGCTCTTGTTGCCTAGGCTGGAGTGCAATGGCGCATTCTCGACTCACTGCAACTCCCCACCTCCCGGGTTCAAGTGATTCTCCTGCCTCAGTCTCCTGAATAGCTAGGATTACAGGTGCATGCCACCACGCCCAGCTAATTTTTTTAGTTTTAGTAGAGACAGGGTTTCACCATGTTGGCCAGGCTGGTCTCGAACTCCTAACCTCAAGTGATCCACCCGCCTTGGCCTCCCAAAGTGCTGGGATTACAGGCATGAGCCACCGCACCCGTCCTGGGAACAGTATTTTCAATTCTGAATACAGAAAGGACTAGTTTCCCTAATATATAAAGAATTCTTACAAATTGATATGGAAACAAGCCAATAATTTAATGGAAAAATGGGCAAATACTAGGTATAGACAATTCACAGAAAAATAAACAAACTAAGCTATGATACAATGTTTACTCTTTCGTAGTAAGAGAAATTCACATTAAAATGACTGAAAAGTACCAGTCTTTAGATCTCAGACTGGCAAATTTCAAAAAGGTGGCCAGGTGCAGTGGCTCACACCTGTAATCCCAGCACTTTGGGAGGCCAAGGTGGGTGGATACTTGAGCTCAGGAGTTCAAGACCAGCCTGGGAAACAAGTAAGACCTTCATCTGTACAAAAAAAAAAAAAAAATTAGTGGGGCATGGTAGCATGCCTGCAGTTCCAACCACTTGGGAGGCTGAGGTGGGAGGATTGCTTGAGCCCAGGAGTTTGAGGCTGCAGTGAGGTATGATCACAACACTGCACTCTAGCCTGGGCAACAGAGTGAGACCCTGTCTCAAAACAAACAAACAAAAAACATCAAAAAGGCAGTTTACCTTGGTGGTTATGAGGCTGAACTCTGGCCTAGAGAACGTGAGTCTGAATCCCAGCTCCACCTGCTATGAGTTAGGTGAGTTACTAAATCTCTATGGAGACCAAATTAACTGGTGTTATCTACCCAAATTCAAAGTATACTACAGATGCATTTAATTCATTTTGTCATGTTCAGTGATGCCTATTAAGGATATCTGTCGCATTGTTGATTGGTTAGCAAAAGACTGGAAACAACCTACTAAGGGATTGTTTAAGTAAGTTATGATGCATCCAAACAATTTGCAGAAGCTGACTGTGCACAGAAATGGAATAAGAAAGCAACATGCAACGTTTTACAAATTCAAAATAGAGACTGCCAATGGTGGTACTGATCTTCAAGAAGATCCCCTTGAGTGGTTCTTTGTGGTTAGGTAGACGCAAGGCAAGGGTTACCCTATGTTCTGGGGAAGGGTGAGGCTACACCACCCATTATCCTTGGAGCATACCACACAAAAGTTGTTGGGGAGAGGGTGGGAAAATCTGCCCTTATGAGGCTTAATGGTATTAGAGTCTCTCTGGTAGACTGAGCTGATCCTCACTGAGGTCATCTGAAGGACATAGGGGCCTGGAGGAGAGACTCACCAGGGTGCACCTGGGAGGGACTGAGGCTGCAACTCCTGGGACCTGCCATTGTGTGGAAATGAGCAGGAGTGCCATCCTGTGCCCAAGTCACTAACAGTCTCTTCCCAACTGTGACACTGTGGGAGACCAACCCAGCAACCATCCCCTAGTTGGGCCCCTTTGGAGATGGACCAGTTTTCTCTTTGCAGAAGCCTCTTGGGATAAAAGGAAAATGTCCCGTGAGTCATATTTCAGTTATTAAGAAGGTGGGCCCTTATTTTTGTACCTTTTACTGGAGAAGAAGGAAAAAACAGTGATGCTTAAATAATATCATGCTTAGAAACTTCCTACCTAGTACCTTCTACGTGTATGTTATTTATTTGAGTCAGATTCTGAGAAATGGGATAATGGAACTTAAAAATATAGACATTTTAGGCTGGGTGTGGTGGCTCATGCCTGTAATCCCAGCACTTTGGAAGGCTGAGGTGGGCGGAACACGAGGTCAAGAGATGGAGACCATCCTGGCCAACATGGTGAAAAATTAGCTGGGTGTGGTGGCACGTGCCTGTAGTCCCAGCTACTTGGGAGGCTGAGGCAGGAGAATTGCTTGAACTCAGGAGGTGGAGGTTGCAGTGAGCCAAGATGGCACCATTGCACTCCAGCCTAGCGACAGAGCAAGACTCCATCTCAAAAAAAATAAAAATTAAAAATTTTTTTAAAAATAGACATTTTATGTGTGACTTTTTCAAAGAGTTGCATCACATTAATATATTTTCAGAAATGTAAAAGATGAAGAGTTCTTCCGTATGAAAACTTGTACATGAGGCCAGGCGTGGTGACTCACATCTGTAATCCCAGCACTTTGGGAGGCTGAGGCAGGTATATCACTTGAGGTCAGGAATTCAAGACCAGCCTGGCCAACATGGTGAAACCCTGTCTCTACTAAAAATACAAAAACTAGACAGGTGTGGTCGTGGGCCCCTGTAATCCCAGCTACTCGGGAGGCTGAGGTAGGAGAATCACTTGAACCTGGAAGGCAGAGGTTGCAGTGAGCCGAGATGGCATCACTGCACTCCAGCCTGGATGACACAGTAGATCATGTCTCAAAAATTTTTTTTATCTACATAGCAGAATAGGCACAAAAAATGATCTAAAGTATCTTTTTTAAATTTAATTTTTTTTTTTTTTTTGACAAGAGTCTTGCTCTTGTCGACCAGGCTGGAGTGCAATGATGCGACCTCAGCACACTGCAACCTCTGCCTTCCCGGGTTCAAGCAATTCTCCTGCCCCAGCTTCCCTAGTAGCTGGGATTACAGGTACCTGCCACCATGTCCAGCTAATTTTTGTATTTTTAGTAGAGATAGGGTTTCATCATGTTGGCCAGGCTGGTCTCAAACTCCAGACCTCAAGTGATCTGCCTGCCTCAGCCTCCCAAAGTGCTGGGATTACAGGTGTGAGCCACTACGCCTGGCCCTGGGCATCTTTTTAAACTGCAGGCACTGATTCAGTAGGTCTGAGCTGGGGGCTGAGACCTAGTCCTTGTCTAATGGGCTTCCTCTGAAGCCAGGCTGCAATTCTGCACCACACTTTGAGGAGCAGGTTCAAGACCAATGTATCTTCTGCCATTTCAAACTACTCAAAAATCTGTTCTCCTATCTCAAGGTCTGTCTCAGTATAATTCCAATTACAGCCCCACCACACTGGTCCTGGCTACTTCCTGTAGAACCACATGGAACAAATTTAATTGACCTGAACTTGATAGCTTATCAGGTATGTTAAGGCAGCTAGCTGTTAGTGTCCCCTGAGTTTTCTTTTCTTTTTCTTTTTTCTTTTTCTTTTTTTTTTTTTTGAGACAGCATCTTGCTCTGTCACCCAGGCGGGAGTGCAATGGCGCAATCTTGGCTCCCAGGTTCAAGCGATTCTTGTGCCTCAGCCTCCCTAGTAGCTGGGATTACAGGCGTGCACCTCCATGATCCTGGCTAATTTTTGTATTTTTTAGTAGAGATGGGGTTTCGCCATGTTGGCCAGGGTGGTCTCAAACTCCCAGCCTCAAGCAATCTGCCCACCAAAGCCTCCCAAAGTGCTGGGATTACAGGCGTGAGCCACCGCGCCCCGCCCCCTGAGTTTTCTTTCTCAGCTTCTCCAAACATTGCTTGCGGTACATGACTCGAAGTCCCTAAGCACTTTAATTCCTCTCCTCCTTGTCCCATTTACAGTAAAGCACCCAGAACTGAAAGTATTGCTTATGGCGTAGGCTGCTGGGCTGCTGGCAGCAGGTCACCATCATGTCCTTGATCCTCAGTGCAATTCTTTGGCCAAGAGCCCATGTCCCTAGAATGACTCACACCGAGCCCATTGTCAACTAAAAGCCTGAAGTCATTTCCACAGAGGCTGTTCTTGACTCACACCTCCCTCAACTTCTACTTTAGCAATTGATTCTTTGGATCCAACTAACCCTAGGAACCACTGTTAAGCTCCAGTTTTCTCACTTGAATTTGGCCTGGGGTTGTTCCTGACGACATCAGAGAGAGGTGCTCTGACCACAGGAACGGGGCAGTGTTGAGTTAGGGAACCCCTCTACCATTAGGACCAGTATGAAGGTGTCATTGCTACTTGCAAATCACGTCTTTATCTGCTTCATTTAGGGATCCTGCTATTGACAATTACACATATTTTTTGTTTGTTTGGTTGGTTTTTGTTTTGTTTTTTGAGATGGAGTCTTGCTCTGTCGCCCAGACTGGAGTGCAGTGGTGCGATCTCGGCTCACTGCAACATCCACCTCCCAGGTTCAAGCGATTCTCCTGTCTCAGCCTCCCGAGTAGCTGGGATTACAGGTGCCCGCCACCACACCCGCCACCACACCCGGCTAATTTTTGTATTTTTAGTAGAGACGGGATTTCACCATCTTGGCCAGGCTGGTCTTGAACTCCTGACCTCGTGATCCACCCACCTCAGCCTCCCAAAGTGCTAGGATTACAGGCGTGAGCCACCACACTCAGCCGACAATTAGACATCTTTAAAAGAAAGACTCTATAGCAGTTGATGATAACGCAGAAGTTTTTAGTCTTAGTTTATTGAAGTGACCCTTCTAACTCTGTAATCACTTATCTTCCTCTTCCCATTCATCTAATATGGGGTGATATAATATGTGATATTACCAATGTAATTCTAATATATACTTTTTGTGGAAAATTCAAAAAACATCAAAGCTAAATGTGAAAATTTGCCGGGCAAGGTGGCTCACCCCTGTAATTCCAGCACTTTGGGAGGCCAAGGCAGGCAGATCACTTGAGGCCAGGAGTTCAAGACCAACCTGGCCAACATGGCAAAACCTTTCTCTACTAAAAATACAAAACTTAGCCTGGCATGGTGGTGCACACCTGTAGTCCCAGCTAGAGGAGGCTGAGGCAGGAGAATCACTTGAACCCAGGAGGCAGAGGTTGCAGTGAGCCAAGATTGTGCCATTGCACTCCAGCCTGGTCAACAGAGCGAGACACTGTCTCAAAAAACAAACAAACAAACAAACAAACAAAAAGAAAGTTGAAAATCTCAGATGATGCCATCATCTACTGGTAACCACTGTTGACATTTGGTATATTTATTTTATTTCTTTTCTATTTGCATATTTTTTCTTGCTAAAATTCAGTATCTTACCTGTTTTAACAATAGATGTTCATTATAGAAAAAAGTAGAAAATGCAAATATGCCAAAGAAGAAATAGAAATCCCCATGGTCCCATTATGTAGAAACAACCTCTAGTTACATTTTGATGTGTTTCTTTTAAGATGTTTAAATTGGTTGGGTGCAGTGGCTCATGCCTGTAATCCCAGCACTTTGGGAGGCCGAGGCAGGTGGATCACCTGAGGTCAGGAGACCAGCCTGACAAATATGGTGAAACGCCATCTCTACTAAAAATACAAAAATTAGCTGGGCATGGTGGTGGGTGCTTATAATCCCAGGTACTTGGGAGAAGCTGAGGTAGGAGAATTGCTTGAACCTAGGAGACAGAGGTTGCAGGGAGCCGAGATCACACCACTGTACTCTAGCTTGGGCGACAGAGTGAGACTCTGTCTCCAAAAAAAAGTTGAAATCTGCATATATAATATATTTTTCTGTTAAGAGATGAATTTATACAGTAATACTATATCATAAAAGTTTTTTTCCACTTAACAGCATGTTGGAAGCATGTTTTAGAGAACATTTAGTGAACTGACTCTATGTTTTTACATTGTGAAGATTTACTCTGTAAGACTATTATTTCGCCTCTATTTAGAGAAAGTTGCTTGTTTTGGCAATCTCTCTTTTGTTATGAGCATTCACATGAGCCAAGTTCCACTTTCAGAAATGCTATTGGCCAAGCTTCATGCTGTTCATGAATTCATACATAAAGACTATAAATTTCAGCCAGGGGTAATGGCTCATGCCGATAATAGCTACTCAGGAGGTTGAGGAAGGAGGATCGTTTGAGGCTAGGAATTAGAGACCAGCCTGGGTAACAGCTAGATTCCCTCTGTCTTCTCCTCTAAAAATAAATAAATAAATAAATTAGCATGGTGGCATATGCCTGTAATCCTAGATACTAGGAAGCCTGGGGCAGGGAGTATGGCTTGAACCCAGGAGATCGAGGCTGCAGTGAGCTATGATTATGCAATTGCACCCCAGCCTTGGCAATAGAGCAAGAACCCACTCTCTGTTTTTTAAAAAAGGCTGTAAATTTCTGAATGAGTTCATAAGATGAACTACAACTTACTTGTGCCCACTGCCTTTTCTTAGAAATTAACTCCAAAGGCCAGGCGCAGTGGCTCATGCCTGTAATCCCAGCACTTTGGGAGGCCGAGGCGGGTGGATCACCTGAGGTCAGGAGTTCGAGACCAGCCTGGCCAACATGATAAAACCCCATATCTACTAAAAATACAAAAATTAGCCTGGCATGGTGGTGCATGCCTGTAATTGCAGCTACTCAGGAGGCTGAGGCAGGAGAATTGCTTGAACCCGGGAGGCAGAGGTTTCAGTGAGCCAAAATGGCGATACTTCAGCCCAGGCGACCGAGCAAAACTCTGAATCAAAAAAAAAAAAAAGAAAGAAAGAAAAGAAATTAACTCCAAAATGTAAATGCCTACATACAGTATTTAAACTGTGTTTTATTTTGTTTTGATTTTTTGAGATAGGGTCTTACTCCTGGTGGCGCGATTTCAGCTCACTGCAGGCTTCACTTCCTGAGCTCTAGTGATCTCCCACCTCCACCTCCTGGAGTAGCTGGGACCACAGGTGTGCACCACCACACTCGGCTAATTTTCTATATTTTTCGTAGAGATAGGATTTCACCATGTTGCCTTGGCCTCCCAAAGTGCTGGGATTACAGGCATGAGCCACCACGCCCAGCCTTTAAACTGTTAGTGATAGCAGTGAATGAGTTCAAATGAATTCAGAAAAAAGACATATAGATTAGACCACAGTGTTTTTGTTTTTGTTTTTGTTTTTGTTTTTGTTTTGAGACAGAGTCTCACTCTGTCGCCCAGGCTGGAATGCAGTGACCAAGATCTCAGCTTACTGCAACCTCCACCTCCTGGGTTCAAGCAAGTCTCTGCCTCAGCCTCCTGAGTAGCTGGAATTACGGGTGCCCACCACCACGCCCGGCTAATTTTTGTATTTTTAGTAAAGACAGTGTTTCACCATCTTGGCCAGGCTGGTCTTGAGCTCCTGACCTCGTGATCTGCCCACCTCGGCCTCCCAAAGTGCAGAGATCACAGGAGTGCACCACTGTGCCCGGCCAGCGCCACATTTTCTACTATCCTGGTAAAGTAAATATTTGTGTTAAACCCCACCAAACTTGAAATGAATGGAATGTTCTTAATTTTCAAGGTGCTATCTTTAAAGATCTTCTCCAGAATGACCTGTGATATCTTTATAGGGGCCAGGGGGTTTCCCCTCAATATCAGAATTTCTTTACTTACAAGATGATAATCTTGTAAGTAATTATAGAATCTTGTAAGTAATTATAAGATTATAATCTTGCAAGTAATTATGGAATCTTGTAAGATTATCATCTTGTAAGTAATTATAGAATCTTGTAAGTAATTGTAAGATTATAATCTTATGAGATTATAATCTTGTAAGTAAAGAAATTCTGATATCGAGGGGAAACTCCCTGGCCCCTATAAAGATATCACAGGTCATTCTGGAGAAGACCTTTAAAGATAGCACCTTGAAAATTAAGAACATTCCATTCATTTCAAGTTTGGTGGGGTTTGGTACAAATATTTACTTTACCAGGATAGTAGAAAATATGGCACTGGCCAGAAGTGGTGGCTCACGCCAGTGATCTCAGCACTTTGGGAGGCTGAGGCGGGCAGATCACCTGAGGTCAAGAGTTTGAGACCAGCCTGGGCAACATGACGAAACCCCGTCTCTACTAAAAATACAAAAATTAGCCGGGTGTGGTGGTGTGGGCCTGTAATCCCAGCTACTCAGGAGGCTGAGGCATGAGAATCGCTTGAACCCAGGAGGTGGAGGTTGCACTGAGCAGAGAGATTGTGCTACTGCACTCCAGCCTGGGAGACAGAGTAAGACTCCGTCTCAAAACAAAACAAAACATATATATATGTGTATGTTTGTATACATATGCTTTGGTCTCTTGATTGCCATATGGAATGTGTTTTTTGGTTTTGGGGCAGGCACAAATAGACTGGGTGGAATCTTGTCTTAGGGTTTAAATATTTGGCTTTCAGATGCTCTCCTTGTGTGGCCCTATCCCAGTCTCAATCCATTGACCATGGTGCTGCTTTCCACCTCTCTGTACTGAATCCATGTCCTGTTTTTTAGCCCCATCTTCTAGCTCTGGTTAAGAGTACTTGTCCCTGAG
Organism: Homo sapiens; assembly: GCF_000001405.40. NCBI lineage: Eukaryota > Metazoa > Chordata > Mammalia > Primates > Hominidae > Homo > Homo sapiens. The sequence goes on along the minus strand of NC_000017.11, from coordinate 64,689,884 downwards.
GAGCCTAGGTGATGTTGGCTGTGAAACAGACCAACCTATTGAACACCTCCCTGAACTGAGAACATGGGAATGGGGCATTTACCACTGTTGCATCTGCCTTTCTGTAGAATGAGAAAATAAAATTCTTTTTTAGTTCAGTCCTCACTTGAAAAGTAATTTTTCCTAGATCCAAACAAGGCCTCAAGAGGACTTAGGCATTTCTTTTTTTTTTACTTTTGAGGTGGAGTCTGGCTCTGTCGCCCAGGCTGGAGTGCAGTGGCGTGATCTCAGCTCACTGCAACCTCCGCCTCCCAGGTTCAAGCGATTCTACTGCCTCAGCCTTCTGAGTAGCTGGGATTACAGGCCCGCACCACCATGTCTGGCTAATTTTTGTATTTTTAGTAGAGATGGGGTTTCACCATGTTGGCCAGGCTGGTCTCGAACACCTGACCTCAGATGATCTGCCCCTCCTCGGCCTCCCAATGTGTTGGGATTACAGGCGTGAACCACCATGTCTGGCCGCCTTAGGTATTTCTCTCCCACTCTTGGCACCCTGCCCAGCCTCCATATGCACAAGCACAGCCTAACCTGCTGAAGGGTGACAGACCATGTGGAACCAGCCCAGGAGTCCACCAGGGGTGACCTTAGACCAGCCAGTCCCCAGCTGACCAAAGATGCATGAGTGAGTCCAGGTGAGACCAGAAGCCCAGCCCAAATTGCTGAGCCATATAATTGTGAGCTAAAGAAATTATTGTGCTTTTACTTGCTCCATTATGGGGTTGTTTGTTCTACAACAAACCTGAACGGTACACCCTGCTAGGGAGGCTTGGTGACATCACAGGGTTTTTGTTTGTTTGTTTTTATTTTTATTTTTTTGAGACAGGGTTTCACTCTGTCACTAAGGTTGGAGTGCAGTGGTGATTATAGCTCACTGCAGACTTGACCTCCTTGGCTCAAGCAATCCTCCTGCCTCAGCCTCCTGAGTAGCTGGGACTACAGGTACAGATCACTATACCTGGCTAAGTTTTAATAGAGACGAGGTCTCACTATGTTGCTCAGGCTGGTCTCTAACTTCTGAGCTCAACCCATCCTCGCTCCTTGGCCTGCAAAATGCCGGGATTACAGGTGTCAGCCACTGTGCCCGGCCTATTTGTTTTTAGAGATGGAGTTTGGCCCTGCTGCCCAGGCTGGAGTGCAGTGGTGTGATCATAGCTCACTTCAGCCTCAAATTCCTGGGCTCATGTGATCCTCCCTCCTCAGCCTCTTGAGTAGCTAGGACTACAGGTGCAAGCCACTGTGCCCAGCGACATCACAGGTTTTACAAGTGGCTCAAGTTTACCTGATTTTGAGGCAAGCTTTGCAGCTATTCTCTTCTTTCCTGAACTCAGCTTTCCCACCATAGCACTTGAGTGCAGTGGCTGAGGGAGTGGGCGCTGTAGTCACAGACCTGGGCCTGAATCTAGTCTCTTTCATTTAGTAGCTTTGTGACCTTGACCTAGTCACTTTCCCCTCTCTGACTTATTTTCTCATCTCTAAAACACGGAAACTAATATCACCTGGTCATGGTACTTGTGTTGTGGTCATATCGCTTGGTTGCTTATTCAATATCCATTTCTGGCCCCCATGTTTTCTTCCTACCAGAGCCCTGGTTTTATTCAGATATTCATACAGCCTCTACAGGCACACCCTTCCATCCCCCATATCCTCTACATAGCCAAGATCAGGAGAGGATTCCTCATTACTCAACTAATCTTGGAAATTCCATTCCCCTTTCTAATAATTGAGAGTGAGCCCATGATCAAATTCTGACCATTAAGACGTGAAAGGAGGACGGGTGTGGTTCCTCATGCCTGTAATCCCAGCACTTTGGGAAACCGAGGTGGGAGGATCGCTTGAGCCCAAAAGTTCAAGACCAGCCTAGTCAACATAGTGAAACCCTGTCTCTAAAAACAATTTTTAAAAATTGGCTGAGCATGGTGGCACATGCCTGTAGTTCCAGCTACTTGGAAGGCTGAGGCAAGAGGACCTCTTGAGCCCAGGAGATCAAGGCTGCAGTGAGCTATTATTACACCACTGCACTCCAGCCTGGGTGACAGAGTGAGACCCTGTCTCAAAAAAATAAAAAACAGAAAGGAAACATCCTGGTATGGAGGAGCTTCTGGGAATGATCTCTTCATCCTAAAAAGACAGAGGAAGAGATGATCTGTTTCTTCTAAAGACTATTTGCTCTGGATATGTGGCTTGTAACTGTAGTCACCATTTTGTGGTCATGAGGGGAGTGACCTGAGGGCAAAGCTCAAGCCCCAAGGAAGGAGGAGGCATGAGGTGGAAAGAACCTGTGTCCTTGAACAAATCAGGAAAGCACTGCCACTCCAACCACAGAATCAACCCTATCTTAAAACTACTTGGGGCCGGGCGCTGTGGCTCATGCCTGTAATCCCAGCACTGTGGGAGGCCAAAGCTGGTGGATCGCCTCAGGTCAGGAGTTCGAGACCAGCCTAGCCAACCTGGTGAAACCCCATCTTTACTAAAAATGCCAAAAAATTAGCCAGGCATGGTGGCGGGTGCCTGTACTCCCAGCTACTTGGGAGGCTGAGGCAGGAGAATGGCGTAAACCCAGGAGGCGGAGCTTGCAGTGAGCTGTGACCGTACCACTGCGCTCCAGCCTGGGTGACAGAGCAAGACTCTGTCTCAAACAAAAACAAAAACAACTACTTGGTGTATGAGATGTTCTATGAGATGAAAGCATTCTAAATGATACATCCCTTGGCATAGCCTCTGGCACATAGTAAGCCCTCAAGAAATATGAGCGCTTCTTATAATTTTATTGGCTTCTTTCTTTCAACTATTAAATGGTTTCAGATTTTATAGATTTTGGAAAAATACTTTACTGAATCTTAGTGACCCTTCCAGGTTTGGTAGTTTTCTGTTTGCTTATAGCTCTAGTTCTAGAGCAGGGGTGGGCACCATGCCAGTGAGCCAAATCTAGTCCACTGCCTGCTTTTGTAAACAAAGTTTTATTAGAACACAGCCACACCCATTCATCTATGGCTGCATCTACATTACAGTACCAGAGTTGAGTAGTTGCCACAGAGCCTCTATGGCACACAAAGCCTAAAATATTTATTATCTGGCCCTTTACAGAAAAAGTTTGCTTTTTGGTTGTCCCCGTTCTGGAGCAAATTCTTCACCTCCTCAATACAGATTCACATGGGAGGCCAGGCACAGTGGCTCATGGCTGTAATCCAGCACTTTGGGAAGCCCAAGGTGGGCAGATCACTTGAGGTCAGGAGTTCGAGACCAGCCTGGTCAACATGGTGAAACCCAGTCTCTACTAAAAATACAAAAATTAATAGGGCATGGTGGTACGTGCCTGTAATCCCAGCTACTTGGGAGGCTGAGGCAGGAGAATCACTTGAACCCAGGAGGTGGAGTTTGCAGTGAGCTGAGATTGTACCATTGCACTCCAGCCTGGGTGACAAAGCAAGACTCTGTCTCAAAAAAAAAAAAAAAAGATTCACATAGGGACCTAGTTAACAATGCAGATTGCAGCTTCCACCCAGAGATTCTGCTTCACTGGATATACTAATTAGTTCTTCTCTCTCTCTCTCTCTCTCTTTTTAGACAGGGTCTTGCTCTGTCACCCAGGCTGGAGTGCAATGGTGTGATCAGGCTCACTGCAGCTTCAACTTCCCATGCTCAAGGGATCCTCTTGCCTCAGCCTCCCAAGTAGCTGGGACTACAAGCATGTGCTACCATGCCCCCCTAATTTTTTCTATTTCTTGTAGAGGCGGGGTCTCGCTGTGTTACCCAGGCTGGTCTCGAACTCCTGGGCTCAAGCGATTCTCCTGTCTCGGCCTCCCAAAGTACCGCGATTATAGGCATGAGCTGCTGTGCCCAGCCTAGTTGGAACTCTTATGGGCTAGTGACTGAAAACCTGACCCAAACTAGGTGGAGGCTTTATGAATGGCTTCCTACAGGGCCTCCCATGGGAAAATCAAGATCAGATTTCACTCTCTTCATCTCTTGGCCCCTCCTGGTCTGTGTTGACGCCACTCTCAAACAGTGTCTGCCACTGAGTACAATGACCCAGTAGTGTCCGTCCTTCTTCGTCCATGTCCAATGCGAAAGGGGTATAATTTTTGTCTCAACATATTCTTTTTGTTTTTAATTGCCTACAGTACCTGTTTCAACATTTTCAGTAAGGCTGGAGAATCACTGTGATTGACAACCTCAGCACTGAAAATGCATCCTAGAAAACAGCGGAAAATTCTCTTCTTACCTTTCGTATTTTATGTATTGTCTCTTTGTTGGTTATCTGTCTTCCTCCACTAAATTACAAGCTCTAAGAACAGCGCTTAGCAACTAGCATATTCTTTTTTTTTTTAGATGGAGTCTTGCTCCATCCACCAGACAGGCTGGAGTGCAATGGTGCAATCTTGGCTCACTGCAACCTCCACCTCCTGGTTTCAAGTGATTCTCATGCCTCAGCCTCCCGCCTGGGATTACAGGTGTCTCCCACCACATCTGGCTAATTTTTTTGTATTTTTAGTAGAGATGGGGTTTTGCCATGTTGGCCAGGCTGGTCTCAAACTCCTGACCTCAGGTGATCCACCCACCTTGGTCTCCCAAAGTGCTGGGATTATGGGCATGAGCCACTGTGCCCAGCACCTAGTATATTCTTCGTTTTTTTTTTTTCTTTCACATCCCTGTCTAGTCACCCATCTGTATGTAGATCACTGATGATTACACAAATGAGGATAAGCAGTATTTATTGAGCTCTTTCTCCCTCTCATGTTTCACTTCTCTGTGGTGGAAAAGGAAAAAAGAGGCTCTGATGGGAAGTTGTGATCATGCCTGAGGAAGCTGAAGGCAGGCTGACTGGAAGAAGGGCATCCTATGTGATACTCCCATACCCAGGCACCCTAGGAATGCATCTCAGTTTTTTTTTGTTTTTGTTTTTTATTTGAGACAGAGTCTCGCTCTGTCACCAGGTTGGAGCGCAGTGGTGCAATCTCAGCTCATTGCAACCTCTGCCTCCTGGGTTCAAGCGATTCTCCTGCCTCGGCCTCACAAGTAGGTGGGATTACAGGTGCCCGCCACCACGCCCAGCTGGTTTTTGTATTTTTAGTAGACACAGGGTTTCACCATGTTGGCCAGCCTGGTCTCGATCTCTTGACCTCGTGATCTGCCCGCCTCAGCCTCCCAAAGTACTGGGATTATAGGCGTGAGCCATCGCACCCAGTCGCATCTCAGTTTTATAATGCTGGGGCTGCCTGTCTACCCTGTCCATCAACCCACCCCACCTCCACCCCCAGCAAGAAGAGCACGGTCGGGGATGGTCCAGTCTCATCTCATCTGGTCCACCCAGGCCATTTGGTGGAACTCTCGCTGGAGGATTTGAAAGCAGCCTCAACGTGGTTCCCCTGGGGTCACCTCTCAAAGGCCAGCCTGGGGAGGGTGGTGGTACATGAGAGGGGACTTCCATTCCCAGAGCTCCCTTGAAGGTGGCAGGCAGCCAATGGGGGACACTGAGCCAGAGACATCTGCCAGGATATGGATCTGGGAACCTGTCAGTCCCCATGCGTCTCCCATGGCAGGGCCTGGAAATCCCACCGTGGGGCCCAGTGCTCCTAGTAGATTCTTAATAAACATCATTTTGAATTAATAAATGTATGGGTATATTTGTTTTAAAATTGGGGTTGGGATCATTCCTCACATATATTTTAGTTCTCTGCTTTTTAAAAATTTATATATGTATATTATTAACATTCCCTTATGTCACTAAATGAATGAAGTATGAAAACCTGCGCAGAAAGAGTACATGCCAAATTTGTGGTAGTTCTTTTCTCTAGGGAGCCTAGGAAGAGACAGAGGGAGGGGAATTCTCTTCTTATTTTTTTCATATAAAAATATCTGAAAGGCCGGGTGCAGTGACTCATGCCTGTAATCCTAGCACTTTGGGAGGTTGAGGTGGGAGGATCACTTGCAGCCAGGAGTTTGAGACCAGCCTGGGCAACATAGTGAGAAAGAAAATTTTAAAAGTAATAAAATTAGCTGGGCCTGGTGGCACATGCTGGGAGCCCTAGCTACTTGGGAGGCTGAGGCAGAAGGATTCTGTGAGCCCAGGAGTTCGAGGTTACAGTGACCTGTGACCATGCCAGTGTTGTCCAGCCTGGATGATGGAGTGAGATCTTGTTTCTATTAAAAAACAAACAAACTATATATATATATATATATATAAAATATACACACACACATATATGAAGAAAAAATGTCTTTGGGAACATTATTTTCAATGATTACATAATAGTTTTTCAGGCCGGGCACAGTGGCTCACACCTGTAATCCTAGCCATTTGGGAGGCCGAGGTGGGTGGATCACCTGAAGTCAGGAGTTCGAGACCACCTTGGCCAACATGGTGAAAACCCATCTCTACTAAATGTACAAAAATTAGCTGGATGTTTTGGCACGCACCTATAATCCCAGCTACTCAGGAGGCTGAGGCAGGAGAATCGCTTGAACCCCGGGGGGCGGGGGCGGAGGCTGCAGTGAGCCAAGATCACGCCATTGCACTCCAGCCTGGGCAACAAGAGCGAAACTCCGTCTCAAAAAAAAAAAACAGTTTTTTATACAAGTATACCATATATTTTAAAACCAATCTCCTTTTGTGCATTTAAATTGCTTTCACTTTGTTGTCCTTGTAAACAGTATTGGATGAATATCCTTGCATATGTCTGTATTAGTCTGTTCTCACACTGCTATAAAGATAGTATCCGAGAGTGGGTAATTTATAAACAAAGGAAGTTTAACTGACTCACAGGTCTGCATGGCTGTGGAGGCCTCAGGAAAGTTACAGTTATGGCGGAAGGGGAAGCAGGCACCTTCTTCACAAGATGGCGGGAGAGAGTGTAAGTGCAGGAAAAACTGCCATTTATAAAACCATCAGATCTCATGCGAATTCACTCACTACCATGAGAACAGCATGGGGAAAATAGCCCCCATGATCCAATCACCTCTCTCCCTCCACACGTGGGGATTACAATTCGCGACGAGATTTAGTTGAGGACACAGAGCCAAACCATATCAGTGTCTTTGGGCAGACCTCTGATGATTTCCTTAGAATAGATTCCTAGGAATGTAACCTTACCATGTGCTTTGATATTTATTTATAAATTCCTTTCCAGTAAGGTTGAAACCAACTCAGTGGATAGGATTTTAAACACACAATGACAAGTTTTAATAAAGGAATGGCCACTGGGGGGTCTAATACCAAAAACAATTACTTAGAAATCTAGAAATTCTAGTCCGAGTGTGTTTATGCACCTCTGTAGGTAAAGGGCCCTTCTTGCTTCATAAATTTCTCCACAGTTAACAGTATCAGCTTTCCCAGATAATGGATGCAATTAAATATTCTCCTCTGTCATTTGGAAAATATGAAATGACATTGCTTTGTAATGATCTTGACATTCATTGATTCGGCCGTTAGTGAACAGCAGGGGGAAGTTTGCTTCTTACTCAACTCCTGAAGTTTCCTTACATGTGCAAGGATATTAATTAATGGAATACTTCTGACCTCTCACCGCCCCTTAGTTCACTCAGGCCTTGGAAAGATAGAACAACTTTCCCCACTGTGGATTTTAGAGTTTCTCTTGGTACCCAGTTGCTTACAGAGCACTTTGTCTTTTCTTTACTTCCTCCATGCCATTGGTCTTATTGGGATGAGCCTCCCATGATAGAAGCCCTGGGGAAGTCCAGCCTTACCTCAGGGGAGGCCTGAAGTTTTTATCTGGAATTTGGTGGGGGGTGCTACCTTAAAGACCCTACTAATGAAGAGGATGTATTCCAATAATTGACTTTGTTGTCAGAGTCTGTGATTATCACAATTATACACACTCTAAGAGGCTTCTGAGTGTCTTTTCTTTTCTTTTTTTTTTTTTTGAGACAGAGTCTCACTCTGTCACCCAGGCTGGAGTGCAGTGGCACGATCTCTGCTCACTGCAACCTTCACCTCCCAGGTGCAAGTGATTCTCGTGCCTCAGCCTCCAGAGTAGTTGGGATTACAGGCACCCACCAACATTCCCAGCTAATTTTTGTATTTTTAGTAGAGACGGGGTTTCTCCATTTCAGCCAGGCTGGTCTCAAACTCCTGACCACACGTCTCAGCTTCCCAAAGTGCTGGGATTACAGGCATGAGCCACCATGCCCGGCCCTGACTGTTTTTTTGTTTTTGTTTTTGTTTTTTTGAGATGGAGTCTCGCTGTGTCACCCAGGCTGGAATGCAGTGGCACGATCTCGGCTCACTGCAAGCTCCACCTCCCGGGTTCACGCCATTCTCCTGCCTCAGCCTCCCGAGTAGCTGGAACTACAGGCGCCCGCCACCATGCCTGGCTAATTTTTTTTTTTTTTTTGGTATTTTTAGTAGAGACGGGGTTTCACTGTGTTAGCCAGGATGGTCTCGATCTCCTGATCTCGTGATCTGCCCATCTCGGCCTCCCAAAGTGCTGGGATTACAGGCATGAGCCACCGCGCCCGGCTTTTTTTTTTTTTTCTTGAGATGGAGTGTTACTCTGTTGCCCAGGCCAAAGTGCAGTGGCACGATCTTGGCTCACTGCAACCTCCACCTTTCAGGTTTAAGCAATTCTCCTGCCTCAGCCTCCCCAGTAGCTGGGATTACAGGCATACATCACCATGCCTGGCTAATTTTTGTATTTTTAGTAGAGATGGGTTTTCCCCATTTTGGCCAGGGTGGTCTTGAACTCCTGACCTCAGGTGATCCACCTGCCTCGGCCTTCCAAAATGCTGGGATTACAGGCGAGAGCCACCGCACCTGGCCCTGTCTTTTTTTTTTTTTTTTTTTTTTTTTTTTTTTTTTTTTAATGAGACAGAGTCTTGCTTTGTCGCCCAGGTTGGAGTGCAGTGGCACTATCTCTGCTCACCGCAAGCTCCGCCTCCCGGGTTCATGCCATTCTCGTGCCTCAGCCTCCCGAGTAGCTGGGACTTCCGGTTGCCCACCACCACGCCCGGCTCCGGCCCTGACTGTCTTTTAAGATGTTAAAAAAAAAATAGCCTAATTTTCTTCATCCAGAGGGAGGTGAACATGGTAGATGATCTCTGGTGGTTCTCCCATTTAAAATTATATCATTAATTAAAATGAATGAGGCCAGGCACGGTGGCTCATGCCTGTAATCACAGCACTTTGGGAGGCTGAGGTGGGTGGATCACCTGAGGTCAAGAGTTTGAGACCAGCCTGGCCAATATAGTGAAACCCTGACTCAACTAAAAAAAAAAAACACACACAAAAATCAGCCAGGCATGGTGGCAGGTACCTGTAATCCCAGCTACTTGGGAGGCTGAGGCAGGAGAATCCCTTGAGCCCAGGAGGCAGAGGTTGCAGTGAGCCAAGATTGCACCACTCCACTCCATCCTGGGCAACACAGTGACACTCTGTCTCAAAAAAAAAAAAAAAAAAAAAATTAACGAAAATGACAAAACTCTAAGTAATATATTATCAGACACATTCACACCACAATATAATTTATGAATCGATCAAGTAGTCAATTACACGATGTAAAATACTCATATTATATGCTTTCCTGTTTGGATAGGCCAGACAGATGGGAAAGCAGGTGCCTACTTACTGACTGAAGGTGAGAGGAGAAACTGAGCTCCATGAGACAAAAGGAACCTGAAAGATGAGAGTCTTGAGTTCTTTGGTACAGGCAGGGCAGAGAAGGAGGAAATAAGGCTGGAGGTGGGCAGGGGCCCGGCAATGCTGGAAATGCCACACAAAGCTCTCTGGACTGGGTCCTGAGGGCAATGAGCAGCCATTGAGGAATTTTAAGCAATGGTTTGACATTGACCCACAGGCTTATGAGTCATGTTGATCTCATTCTGGCCCATATTCTCTGCATTACCCATAAAGACTGCATCGTACAAATATTTCCACTTCTCCGCCCATCTCGCCCTTAGAGAATTGTGTTGTAGCTACTACAGTTCGTATTTTGAGGATGATTGGATATGACTTTTTTTTTGAGCCTGTTCATGTTGCTCAGTCGTCCAAAGTAGTTGCAGTCGAGTGATGCCCCGGCTCCCTTCCCCCGGGGCTGGAGCTGCTACCTCATCCTGAAAAGATGTGTTGCTTCATGCTATCGTCTTACAGCAAAACATGCATAGATAACTTTTCAAACATTTAATTGTAATACTTCCATGCTTAAATCACCAAATTGGCTTTGGAAAATATGCAATCTCTTCAAATTACATTCTCTTTTATCTCAGAATTCACAATATAACAGACTAGTGTGTATACTTAAAATGGGTGCATAAAATGGTCTAGATTTACATGATTTTCTATTTTTAAAAAAGTGCAGCATTATAAATGCAACAAAAAATGAAAACCTGTTGCAGAATGTGTTTTGTTATCTGTATCGTATGTGATAAAGTATGGAAGAGACTTAGAAGTATTCATTTCCCAGGGCTCCTGAGACAAAGTACCACAAATTGGGTGGTTTAAAACACAAAACAATACAGTTCTGAAGGATAGAAGTCCAAAATCAAGGTGTCAGCAGGGCCACGCTCCCTCTGAGACTTTGGGTAGAATCTTAGGTTGCCTCTTCCTGGCTTCTGGTGGTGGCTGGCAATCCTTAATATTCAGTTTGCAGCTGCTTCACTCCAATCTCTGCCTCTGTCATTACATGGCATTCCTCCTGTGTGTCTCTGTCTTCACATGGAATGTTTCTCTTCTTAAAACGACACAGGGCCAGGCACGGTGGCTCACGCCTGTAATCCCAACACTTTGGGAGGCCAAGGCAGGCAGATCACTTGAGGCCAGGAGTTTGAGACCAGCCTGGCCAACATGGTGAAACCCTGTCTCTACCAAAAATACAAAAATTAGCTGGGTGTGGTGGTGGGCACCTGTAATCCCAGCTACTTGGGAGGCTGTGGCAGGAGAATTGCTTGAACCCAGGAGGCGGAGGTTGCAATGAGCCAAGATTGCACCACTGCACTCCAGCCTGGACAATGGGGTGAGACTCTGTCAAAAAAACAACGAAAAAGAATGCAGTCATATTGAATTAGGACTCACTCTAAAGCCTCATCTCAACTTGATTACATCTCCAAAGGGCCCATTTCCAAATAATGTCACATTCACAGGTACCAGGGATTAGGACTTCCACATATCTTTTTGGAGGTCACAATTTAACCCATAACAGAGGTCATCTAGCCCACCTCTCTACTGCACACATGAATCTGCTGTACAATCTCTGTCTAGTTTTAAGACTTAGGCACAGGAACGATGGTCAATGTAAGGCAAAACCAGGTAGGTGTGGTAGGGGCTGAAAGAAAATCTTAACACTAGATTGTTTCATTCTCACCAGGGTGAGATAGTTGCTGTTGAACTGACCTCGCCATAGAAATTAATTAGAGAGCTGGGTGGGTAAGGTAAGGCCTGAGGGGTGAGGTAGGCAAAGTCCGATGTTGGGCGGAGTGCAGAGCTAGCCAGTGGCAAATCCAGCTTATGTCAAATATTCTGGAGGTACATACGTGAATAGTCATTACCTCTAGGTCACCACAGTCCAAAAGACATACAATGAGAGCCATATTTGTAATTTCAAATTTTCTAGATGAAATGAGCTTCAATTACTACATATAGTATATATATATACACTATATATACAGTATATATAGTGTATACATATACAGTGTATATATATACAGTGTATACATATACAGTGTATATACACTATATATACTATATATATAGTATATGTACAGTATATATACTATATATATAGTATATATACAGTATATATACTATATATACTGTATATATACTATATATATATATATATATATATATATTTTTTTTTTTTTTTTTTTTTTTTTTTCAGACAGAGTCTTGCTCTGCACTCTGTCACCCAGGCTGGAGTGCAGTGGCAAGATCTCGACTCACTGCAACCTCCACCTCTAAGGTCCAAGTGATTCTCATGCTTCAGCCTCCCGAGTAGCTGGGACTACAGGCATCCACCACCACACCTGGCTAATTTTTTGTATTTTTAGTAGAGACAGGATTTCACCATGTTGGCCAGGCTAGTCTTGAACTCCGAACCTCAGGTGATCCACCCTAGGCCTCCCAAAGTGCTGGGATTACAGGTGTGAGCCACTGTGCCTGGCCAATATTATATTTTATTTAACCCAATGTAGGTATATCCAAAATATTATTTTAACGTGTCATCAATATAAAAAATATTAATAAGATATTTTGCTTTTTTCTCCATACTGAGTCTTTGAAATCCACTGTGTATTTTACACTTGCAGCCCATCACTAGCCAGGTTTCAAGTGCGCACTAGCCATATGTATTACGCCGCTCTAGATTGTAGAAGCGTGGCAGCTGGGTGGTGGGATCCAAGCCGTGGGCTGGGTTCCAGGTGAGAGTCCAGTTCTGGGGAAAACATGGGCAGGAGCAAGACAGACAATCAAGGATCTCTGAGGATGAGCTTAGGACAGATCTGAAAAGGAAAAGGGGTTTCAAGTGGAGACAAAGTAAATGCAAGGAACAGGGGCCCACTTAAACTTGCTTAAGTAAGGGACAGGGTGGTTATTCACTGGGGGACCTCTTGGAAATGGAGTGTGAGAAGTACACCTGAGCCAGGAGAACTGGCAGGGAATCTGTCAATCACTCTCTTTGTCTCCCTTTCGAGGGTTGAGAAGTTTCTTAGCTTCTCTCTGTTTGTCTGCTTTGTCAGTCTCTTTCTATGAATTCATTTCCTTTTTTTTTTTTTTTTTTTTTTTTTGAGACAGGGTCCTGTGATGTTGCCCTGATTGGTCTCGAACTTGTGGCATCAACTGGTCCTCCTGCCTCACCTGCCAAAGTGCTGGGATTACAGGCGTGAGCCACCATGCCTGGCCTTCAGTTCACCATTTATTTATCTACTGGAAAAGACCTGGGCCAGATGCAGTGAAGGGTAGAAGTCCAAAATCAAGGTGATGAAATCATCCAATCAATCACCCAATCACAGAAGCTAGGGTCACATTTCCTACCTGTGTCTCTGCAGATCTGGGCTCCCCCATGCCAGTTGCCTTCTGCCTTCTCAGGGTGGTAAGAAGGTAGTCCCTACACGCATCTCTTCCTGAGGAAATCTGCCCTCGTCTGTAGCTCTAATACAGCGTCCCAGGCTCCATCCCTGGAGATGCTGATTCTGTAGGTTGGGGTGGGGCCCATGAATGTACATTTCTAATGCTACTGGTGCAGAGAACCCACCTTGAGAACCACTGCCTTACAGCAGGTATAAGCCCAGGTAGCTGTGTTTGTACTAAGGGAGCTTGGCCTCCACTGACGGAGCCAAACGTGTGTGGCTGACCAAAAAGCCAATGAAATTTTCTCTCCTTAAAACATGAGATGGGGACACTGGGAGATTGAACTAGACACGAGGAGCTGAGTTGAGAGGTCCTAGAGTTGGCAGCTGAGAAAGCCACTTTAAGACTACAGGCCAGTCACAGTGGCTCACACCTGTAATCCCAGCACTTTGGGAGGCCGAGGCGGGCAGATCATGAGGTCAGGAGTTCAAGACCAGCCTGGCCAACATAGTGAAACCCCGTCTCTACTAAAAACACAAAAAATTAGCCAGGTGTGGTGGTGGGCGCCTGTAGTCCCAGCTACTTGGGAGGCTGAAGCAGGAGAATTGCTTGAACCTGGGAATCGGAAGTTGCAGGGAGCCGAGATCTCGCCCCTGCACTCCAGCCTGGGTGACACACCGAGACTGTCACACACACACACACAAAAAGACTACAGTAAGGTCTTTTCATTTTCATTTCTTTCTTTGTGTGTGTGTGTGTGTGTGTGTGTGATGAAGTCTCACTCTGTTATCCAGGCTGGAGTGCAGTGGTACAGTCTTGGCTCACTGCAGCCTCCGCCTCCCAGGTTCAAGCGATTCTCCTGCCTCAGCCTCCAGAGTAGCTGGGATTACAGGTGCCTGCCACCACACCTGGCTAATTTTTGTATTTTTAGTAGAGATGGGGTTTCACCATGTTGGCCAGGCTGGTCTCAAACTCCTGGCCTCAAGCAATCTACTCACCTCGGCCTCCCAAAATGCTGGGATTACAGGCATACGCCACCGCACCTGGCCAAATTAGTGATATTTTCAAAGTGAAAGAAAGTTAACTTTTAAGCAGTGGTATAAATTGCTGAGCACTTGATGTTAGCCTCTTCTATGGTGGATAAGCTGTATTAAATTTGAAATTTACACTACAAAAATAGCTTTGCAGGAGTACAAATATTAATATAACCTTACCTCAGACAGATTTTTTATTACTGGAAACAACTTTTGTATGTAAAAATATATATTAATGGCTGGAGCAGAAGAAAAATACCAACCACAGATGGTAAGCATTTTCTTGCAGAGTCACATCAAATTTTGACATTAGCCCTGGAAAACAGAAAAATGTTTTAAACAAAAGCTTTGAAATATTCTGATAACCATGTGTAGATTTTCACTTATGGTCTCGGATGCTATCATAAAGAATACACCTTTAAGTGATTAGTAAAATACATTAATGAAAAAGTTTAAAACTTTTGGTCGGCTGGGTGCAGTAGCTCACGCCTATAATCCCAGCGCTGTGGGAGGCCAAGGCAGGAGGACTGCTTGAGCCCAAGAGTTTGAGACCAGCCTGGCAACATAGTGAGGCCCTGTCTCAAAAAAAAAAAAAAAAAAAAAAATCAGCGGAGTATGTTGCCATATGCCTGTAGTCTCAGCTACTCAGGAAACTGAGGAGGTAGGATTGCTTGAGCCTGGAAGGTTGAGGCTGTAGTGACCCGTGATCATGCCACTGCACTCCAGCCTGGGCAACAGCGTGAGACCCTGTCTCACACAAACAAAAAACATTTTCTTAGAAAATGCTATTGAATGAGTTGCTGTTATAGCATTTCACTGGACAGTTATATTAAATATCATTTATGGGAAAGGATTAATTTTATTGGTATAAAACAGGTGGTGTCACTATATTTGAGACAGATACCTAAAACAATGATTTGATAAAACATGAACAATTCTCCTGAAAATAAATTAGAAGTCATAAGGGAATAAAAATGATTTGAAAAGATTTTCTGCAATTTTTATACCCATCAAAGGCATGTGCATGCACAATTTACTTTCGAAGTAGATTTCCATTTTAGGAAGAGAGTAAAGGGTGAATTCCCTAAGAATTGTTATCTCTCCCATTTTTTTTTCTCAAAAATATATCTAAAACTGTTGCTGTGATAAAGCACAGTTGCTGTGATAAAGCAATTGGGTGCATTTAATGCTGAAAGTTTAGCTTTCCTTAATACTGTAATTTAGAAGAGTGCAGTTCATTTTGTTGTTGTTGTTGTTGGCTTAGAACAACACACATTTATTTCCTTTACAGTTCTGGAGGTCAGAAGTTTGAAAATGGGCCTCACTGGGCTAACATCAAGGTGTCAGCAGGGCTGCCTTCCTTCTGGAGGTTCTAGGGTACAATCTGTTTCTTGCCTTTTCCAGTGTATAGAGGCCACCTACATTCTTTGACTCATGTCCCTTTCTTTCACCTTCAAAGTCAGCAGCATAGCATCTTAGTATCTTCCTTTTTTTTTTGAGATGGAGTCTTGCTTTGTCCCCCAGGCTGCAGGTGCACTGGTATGATCTCAGCTCACTGCAACCTCTGCCTCCCAGGTTCAAGCAATTCTCCTGCCTCAGCCTCCGGAGTAGCTGGGATTATAGGCGCACGCCACCATGCCTGGTGAATTTTTGTATTTTTTTTAAATAGAGACAGGGTTTCACCCTGTTGGCCAGGCTGGTCTTGAACTCCTGACCTCAAGTGATTCGCCCGCCTCGGCCTCCCAAAGTGCTGGGATTACAGGCATGAGCCACCACGCCTGGCCAGGAGTGCAGTTCTTAAAGTGTGGTTCCCTGATGAGCAGCATCACCTGGGACCTTAGATACGCAATTCTAGAGCCCCACCCTAGACTGTCCCTCTGAGAAACTCTGGAGCTGGGACCCAGCAATCTGTTTAACAAGTTCTCCTGGTGATTCTGATGCAGGCTGAAGTTTGAGAACCGCTGGGATAGCGGTTCCCAAACTTGGTTGTTTGTCAGAGTCCCCTCTGGAGCTTTTATAAATACTTCTCAGCCTGACCACAGAAAATTTGGATGCAGTAGGTCTGGGATGGGGCTAGGAACCTGCTTTTTCAACCACAGATGACCTGGGTTTGGGAGCCATTGGTTAAAAAGCATTATTAATGAAATTTAGTCCAGGTTGTTAATGAGTCCGTCTCCCTCCCTTCCTCCTTTCTTTTCCTTTCCCTCCCTGTCTCCCTCTTTCCCTCCCTTTCTTCCTTCTTTCTTAAAAAAATTCTCTTTCACAAGACTGTCCTTTAATTATTATAATTTTTCCATCTCAGTAATCAGTAACTTCAAGGCCTAGTACAGTGCCTCGAACATATAAATTAATAAATGCTGGTGCTCATGCTTGTAATCCCAGGACTTGGGGAGGCCGAGGTGGGCAGATCACCTGAGGTCAAGAGTTCGAGACTAGTCTGGCCAACGTGGAGAAACCCTGTCTCTACTAAAAAATACAAAAATTAGCTGGGGGTGGTGGCAGGCACCTGTAATCTCAGCTACTTGGGAGGCTGAGGCAGGAGAATCTCTTGAACCCGGGATGCGGAGTTTGCAGTGAGCCAAGATCGAGCCACTGCACTTTAGCCTGGGTGACACAGAGAGACTCTATCTCAAAACAAAACAAAACGGTGATTGAATGAATCTCATAATAATATTTTGATGTGTAAAGAATGGTCCTGTTTTCATGTCCAATGCTATTTTCCTTTTCTCAAAGACTTTTACACCTGAATGCATGTAATTGATTTTATATAAGATTCCCATCTGTTAATTTTCTGCTTTATCTTTCCCAAGTTCCAGCTATTAATTTGGTAGTTCCCTACATGTTGTCATTATAATGTACATACATCCCCCTTTGGGGACATAACCATGTCCCCAAGGGAAGAGAAACATATACACTTTTCTTTTTTTAAAGGTGTCTAACCCAATCATCTCTGAAATCTGAGCCTGGACTAGTTGAGGCCATTCACCTAAGAAAGGCCTGCAAAATTACTTTCTTATTAGTAGTATTCTGTGTGTGTGTGTGTGTGTGTGTGTGTGTGTGTGTGTGTGTGTGTGCGCGCGTGTGTTTTGTCACTTTGTTGCCCAGGCTGCAGTGCAGTGGCACAATAATGGCTCACTGCAGCCTTGACCTCCTGGGCTCCATGATCCTCCCACCTTGGCCATCCAAATTGCTGAGATTACAGGTGTTAGCCACCACGCTTGGCCCCTATTCTGTTTTATTTTTTCTTTTATTTTACTTCATTTTATTTTATTTTATTTTTATTTATTTATTTATTTATTTTTGAGACAGAGTTTCACTCTTGTTGCCCAGGTTGGAGTGCAATGGCTCGATCTCGGTTCACCGCAATCTCTGCCTCCTGGGTTCAATTGATTCTCCTGCCTCAGCCTCGAGAGTAGCTGGGATTACAGGCATGCACCACCATGCCCAGCTAATTTTGTATGTTTAGTAGAGACATGGTTTCTCCATATTGGTCAGGCTGGTCTCAAACTCCCGACCTCAGGTGATCCGCCAGCCTCGGCCTCCCAAAGTGCTGGGATTACAGGCATGAACCACCGCATCTGGCCTAATTTACTTCATTTTAAACATTTAGTTACTTAAAAAAAAATCTACAGTCAATGTCAAATAATATTTAACATGGCAAGGAAAACAAGATGAACATCCATGTACCTGCTTTAAAAAAAAATCATTACCAGTAGTTTTTTTTTTTTTTTTTTTTTTTGAGATGGAGTCTTGTTCTGTGGCCCAGGCTGGAGTGCAGTGGCATGATCTTGGCTCATTGCAACCTCCGCATCCTGGGTTCAAGTGATTCTCCTGCCTCAACCTCCTGAATAGCTGGGATTACAGGCACAGGCACCTGCCACCATGCCCGGATAATTTTTGTATTTTTAGTAGCGATGGGGTTTCCCCATGTTGGCCAGGCTGGTCTTGAACTCCTGACCTCAAGTGATCTGCCTGCCTCGGCCTCCCAAAGTGCTGGGATTACAGGTGTGAGTCACTGCACCCGGCCTTCTTTCTTTTTTTTTTTTTGTTTTTGAGGCAGAGTCTCAGTCTGCTGCCTAGAATGGAATGCAGTGGCACTGGAATGCAGTAGTGTGATCACGGCTCACTGCAACCTTGACCTCCGTGGACTCAGGTGATCCTCCTATTTCAGCCTCCTGAGTAGTTGGGCCTATAGGTGCATGCCACCACTCCTGGCTAATTTTTTGTAGATATGGGGTTTTGCCATGTTGCTCAGGCTGGTTTCAAACTCCTGGGCTCAAGTGATTCCTCTGCCTCGGCCTCCCAAAGTGCTAGGATTACAGGCATGAGTCACCATGCCCAGCCCTTGAATGGTTTTAAAGTGTTATTCTTATCCGAATATTTGTTTTAAACAACAGGATTTAAACTTACAGGAAAACCTAAATACAGACCTCTGCACGTTAACCCTATATACATTTTTCTATGCTGTCACTTACATATTTGAATGTACTGCTTTCAACTTCAAAACAAGCAGTCTCCCCCAGGTCTCCCATGACGTTCTGAAATCCTAACTTCTATTACCTAATACAAGGCTACAAATTATGTTAGTTGGGTGGTTGGGAACAAAGCATGTGCCATAAAAATAAGGCAAATGTGAATGTGTACATTTGCTAAGTTTTTTGCCACTGTCTGCCCTCTTAAATTGTGGTAGCAGCTATTGTTCACATTGATATATTACATTGATATTGATATTGTTCACATCGTATGGGCATGGGGGAAAGAGAAAGGGAGCAAAGGGAGAAAGAGACAGAGAGAGAGAGAGAGAGAGAGCGAGCCAGAGAGCGCGTGAGTGCCCAGGAGGCAGGAGAGAGGTGCGTCCCATTGCCCCAGAAGGAAGCTGGGAGCTTCTAACGGAGGCTGTACCCCTCACTCACATATATATTTATAGTACAAGGAAGCACTTCTAAGGGACCTTGTTCATTGCTTTGCACAAAATAGCCACTTAATATTTGAAATCATGCAGACTCTGTTGTCTGGTCACAATGGAATCAAACTAGAAATCAGTAACAGAAAGATAGGAAAATATCAAAACACTTGGAAATTAAACAACACACTTCTAAATAACCCAGTGGTCAAGGAGGAAGTTTCAAAGAAGAGCAAAAATACAGAATTTGTGGGACATGGCTGAAGGGGAGCTGAGAGGGAAATTTATAGCAATTAAGGTATATATTAGAAATAAATAATCTAATAATAAATAATAAATAATCTAAGCTCCTGCTTCAAGAACCTAGAAAAAGAAGAAAAAAATCAAAAAGAAAAAAGAATATAGTAAAGACAAGTGAATATATCAAATAAACTGAACATAGAACCTAATTCATAAAATCAATACAAAAATTTGATTTTTTAAAAGGATAAAATAATTGGCAAGCCTCTCACAGGGAGAAAAAAAGACACAAATTGCTAATGTTACAAAATAAAATGAAATGGGCTGGTGCGGTGGCTTACGCGTGTAATCCCAGCACTTTGGGAGGCTGAGGCGGGTAGATCACTTGAGGTTAGGAGTTTGAGACCAGCCTAGCCAACATAGTGAAACCCTGTCTCTACTAAAAATATGAAAATTAGCCGGGCATGGTGGCGGGCACCAGTAATCCCCAGCTACTCAGGAGGCTGAGGCAGGAGAATCGCTTGAACCTGGGAGGCAGAGGTTGCAGTGAGCTGAGATTATGCCACTGTACTCCAGCCTGGGCGACAGAGTGAGACATCGTCTCAAAAAAAAAAAAAAAAAAAAAAAAAGAAGAAGAAGAAGAAATGGGGGATATATATTCTACAGACATTAAAGAGATGATTAGGAAATACTAAAACTAATTCTACATAAATTCAACAACTTAGATGAAATGGACCAATTCCTCAAAAAAATGAAAATAACCTACCACAATTCATCCAATATGTAATGGATAAGAACAGCCCTATGACTATTAAGAAAATTAAATTTGTAATTAAAAAATTCACAAACAAGAAGTCTCCAGACCCAGATAATTTTACTAGAGAATTCTACCAGTTAAAAAATAATTAACACCAGCCGGGTGCAGTGGCTCACACCTGTAATCCCAGCACTTTGGGAGGCCGAGGTGGGCGGATCATGTCAGGAGATCGAAACCATCTTGGCTAACATGGTGAAACCCCGTCTCTACTAAAATACAAAAAATTAGCTGGGCGTGGTGGCGTGTGCCTGTAATCCCAGCTACTTGGGAGGCTGAGGCAGGGGAATCACTTGAACCTTGGAGGCGGAGGTTGCAGTGACCTGAGATCGCGCCACTGCACTCCAGCCTGGAGATAGAGCAAGACTCCATCTCAAAAAAATAAAAAATAGATAAATAAATAAATAAAAATAATTAACACTGCTGGGCGCGGTGGCTCATGCCTGTAATTCCAGAACTTTGGGAGGCAAAGGTGGGCGGATCACAAGGTCAAGAGATGGAGACCATCCTGGCCAACATGGTTAAACCCCGTCTCTACTGAAAATATAAAAATTAGCTGGGCATGCTGGCATGTGCCTGTAATCCCAGCTACTTGGGAGGCTAAGGCAGGAGAATTGCTTGAACCTGGGAGGCGGAGGTTTCAGTGAGCCGAGATCACGCCACTGCACTCTAGCCTGGGCGACAGAGCAAGACTCCATCTAAAAAAAAAAAAATTATTATATTATTAACACCAATTCTGCCTAAACTCTTTCAGAAAATAGAAGAGAACACCATCGCTCAATCATTCTAAGAAGTTAGTATTTACTCTGACACCAAAACCAAAGAAAGCACACACAAAAAAGGAGAAAACTGCCAACCAATACACATCATAAATAAAGATGCAAAATCCTTAACAAAATATTAGCAAATATAATTAATCAATATATAAGAATTACACAACATGACAAAGTGGGGTTTATTCCAAGGATGCATAGCTCATTGATATTTGAAAACTAATCAATGTAGTCTACCATACTAAAAGGCTAAAAAGAAAAAAAAAGAATGTCAATTAATTTCAGAAAAAAAGTATTTGACAAAATTCAACACCAACTCATAATAAAATTGAGATAAAATAGGTATATGGAGAGAATTTCCCCAATTTGATAAAAAAAAAAACTGCCAAAATATTACAGTTAGCATTATAAAGTGCTGGGATTACAGGTGTGAGCCACTGCACCCGGCCTTCTTTCTTTTTTTTTTGTTTTCGAGACAGAGTCTCAGTCTGCTGCCTAGGATGGAATGCAGTGGCACTGGAATGCAGTGGCATGATCTCGGATCACTGCAACCTTGACCTCTGTGGACTCAGGTGATCCTTCTATCTCAGCTTTCCGAGTAGCTGGGTCTATAGGTGCATGCCACCACTCCTGGCTAATTTTTTGTAGATAGGGGGTTTTGCCATGTTGCTCAGGCTGGTTTCAAACTCCTGGGCTCAAGTGATTCCTCTGCCTCGGCCTCCCAAAGTGCTAGGATTACAGGCATGAGTCACCATGCCCAGCCCTTGAATGGTTTTAAAGTGTTATTCTTATCTGAATATTTGTTTTAAACAACAGGATTTAAACTCACAGGAAAGCCTAAATATAAACCTCTGCACGTTAACCCTATATACATTTTTCTATGCTGTCACTTACATATTTGAATGTACTGCTTTAAACTTCCAAACAAGCAGCCTCTGGCTGGGCGCAGTGACTCACTCCTGTAATCCTAGCACTTTGGGAGGCCAAGGCGGATGGATCACAAGGTCTGGAGTTCAAGACCAGCCTGGCCGAGATGGTGAAACCTGATCTCTACTAAAAATACAAAAATTATTTGGGCACGGTGGTGGGCGCCTGTAATCCCAGCTACTCAGGAGGCTGAGGCAGGGAATTGCTTGAACCCGGAAGGTGGAGCTTACAGTGAGCCAAGATTTCGCCACTGCGCTCCAGCCTGGGCAACAGAGCAAGACTCTGTCTGAAAAAAAAAAAAAGAGAGAGGAAAAAAAAAAGAAGCAGCAGCCTCCCCCAGGTCTCCCATCACGTTCTGAAATCCTAACTTCTATTACCTAATACAAGGCTACAAATTATGTTAGTCGGGTGGTTGGGAACAAAGCGTGTGCCATAAAAATAAGGTAAATGTGAATGTGTACATCAGTTTGCTAAGTTTTTTGCCACTGTCTGGCCTCTTAAATTGTGGTAGCAGCTATTGTTCACATTGATATATTACATTGATATTGATATTGTTCACGTCATATATATTTGTAGTACAAGGAAGCATTTCTAAAGGACCTTGTTCATTGCTTTGCACAAAATAGCCACTTAATATTTGTTGAATGAATTGCTGGCACTATCTCTGGTGTTTTAATTTTTATTTATTTATGTATTTATTTTTGATATGGAGTCTCACTCTGTCAACCAGGCTGGAGTGCAGTGGCACCATCTCGGCTCACTCAACCTCCACCTCCTAGGTTCAAGAGATTCTCCTGCCTCAGCCTCCCAAGTAGCTGGGGATACATGCATGCGCCACCACGCCTGGCTAATTTTTTTGTATTTTTTTTTTTTTTTTTTTAGTACAGACGTAGTTTCACCATGTTGGTCAGGCTGGTCTCGAACTCCTGACCTCAAATGATCCGCCCGCCTCAGCCTCCCAAAAGTGCTGGAATTACAGGCATGAGCCACTGTGCCTGGCCTATCTCTGGTATTTTTAGTACGATGTCAAGAACTTCATATATTTTTTGGATCACTTTAATTGTAAGGTCGTATCCAGACTGATGAAATGCTCTTGGAGGTAACTATCCTGAGAAGCAACTTCACTGATGCATTAAAAGCAGTGACTGGCATGGAATAAGGATTAAAGTATATTAATCCAAAACATGTAAAATTGCATTAATGTTATAACAACCTAAAGCAAAACTAATAAATCACATAAAAAACTCTCACGTTATTTTCCTTAGTAGTTTACATTGTGCTAGATACTTTTGCATGTACATGCTTACAACTTTTCTTCTGTTTTTAAACTTTGCATTACATATAAATTCTACCATATTATATGATCCTCATAAAAATCGTCGGTTAAATGGCTGCATAAAAAACCATGCGGTTGGCCGGGCGCAGGGGCTCACGCCTGTAATCCTAGCACTTTGGGAGGCCGAGGTGGGCGGATCATGAAATCAAGAGATTGAGACCATCTTGGCCAACATGGTGAAACCCTGTCTCTACTAAAAACACAAAAAATTAGCTGGGCATTGTGGCGCGCGCCTGTAGTCCCAGCTACTCGGAGGCTGAGGTAGGAGAATTGCTTGAACCTGGGAGGCGGAGGTTGCAGTGAGCCGAGATGGCGCCACTGCACTCCAGCCTGGCGACAGAGGGAGACTCCGTCTCAAAAAACAAACAACAACAACAACAACAACAACAAAACCCCAAAAGACCATGCAGTTTACGGATCATTATGCTGTTCCCTCATTTCTTTTTTGTTATTAATGGAATTTAGCAAAGAACATCTTCTGTACTATTACTTATTTTTCAAGAATAGGGCCGGGCGCGGTGGCTCACGCCTGTTATCCTAGCACTTTGGGACACCTAGGCAGGCGGATCACCTGAGGTCAAGAGTTTGAGACCAGCCTGGCCAACATGGTGAAACCCCACCTCTACTAAAAATACAAACATTAGCTGGGGGTGGTGGCAGGTGCCTATAATCCCAGCTACTCCGGAGGCTGAGGCAGGAGAATCACGTGAACTTGGAAGGCAGAGGTTGCAATGAGCCAAGGTCGCACCACTGCACTCCAGCCTGGGTGACAGAGTGAGACTCCAACTCAAAAAATAAAATAAAATAAAATAAAATAAAATAAAATAAAAATGGTGGCTGAATGAATCTCATAGTAATATTTTGATATGTAAAGAATGGTCCTGCTGGGCACAGTGGCTCACGCCTGTAATCCCAGCACTTTGGGAGGCCGAGGAGGGTGGATCACAAGGTCAGGAGTTCGAGACCAGCCTGACCAGCATGGGGAAACCCCCGTCTCTACTAAAAAAAAAAAAAAAAATACAAAAATTAGCCAGGTGTGGTGGTGGGTGCCTGTAATCCCAGCTACTCAGGAGGCTGCGGCAGGAGAATCACTTGAACCCAGGAGGTGGAGGTTGCAGTGAGCCGAGATTGCACCACTGCACTCCAGCCTGGGCAACAGAGTGAGACTCCGTCTAAAAAAAAAAAAAGAATGGTTCTGTTTTCATGTCCAATGCTATTTTCCTTTCCTCAAAGACTTTTACACCTGAATGTATATAATTGATTTTACCTAAGATTCCCATCCCTTAATTTTCCGTCTTATCTTTCCCAAGTTCCGGCTATTAATTTGGTAATTCCCTACATGTTGTCATTATAATGTATATATATCCCCCTTTGGGGACATAAACATATCCCCAAGGGAAGAGAAACACATAAACTTTTTTGTTTTTTTAAACTTTCTAACCCAATCGTCTCTGAAATCTGAGCCTGGACTAGATGAGGCCACTCACTTAAGAGAGGCCTTCAAAATGACTTTCCTATTATGAGTATTCTGTTTTTGAGTGCATTTGTTTTTTGAGGTAGGGTCTTACTCTGTTGCCCAGGCTGGAGTGCAATGGCATAATCATGGCTCACTGCAGCCTCAACCTCCTGGGCTCCAGTGATCCTCCCACCTTGGTCTCCCGAAGTGTGGGGATTACAGGTGTTAGCCACCACGCTCTGCCCCTGTTCTATGTTTTCATTTATTTTACTTCATTTTAAACATTTAGTTACTTTTAAATAAATGTTTACAGTCAATGTCAATATTTAAGATGGCAAGGAAAACAATAAAATGAACATCCATGTACCTGCTTAAAAAAATCATTACCAGTACATTGATTTTCTTTTTATTTTTGTGATAGTCTCAGTATGCTGCCCAGGATGGAATGCAGTGGCACTGGAATGCAGTGGTGTGATCACGGCTCACTGCAACCTTGACCTCCACAGGCTCAGGTGATCCTATCTCAGCCTCCTGAGTAGCTGGGCCTATAGGTGCAGGCCACCACTCCTGGCTAATGTTTTGTAGATACGGGGTTTTGCCATGTTGCCCAGGCTGGTTTCAAACTCCTGGGCTCAAGTGACTCCTCTGCCTCGGCCTCCCAAAGTGCTAGGATTACAGGCATGAGTCACCATGCCCAGCCCTTGAATGGTTTTAGTGTTATTCTTATCTGAATATTTGTTTTAAACAACAGGATTTAACCTTACAAGAAAGCCTAAATACAAACCTCTGCACGTTAACCCTATATACATTTTTCTATGCTGTCACTTACATTTTTTAATTTACTGCTTTCAACTTCAAAACAAGCAGTCTCCCCCAGGTCTCCCATGACGTTCTGAAATCCTAACTTCTATTACCTAATACAAGGCTACAAATTATGTTAGTTGGGTGGTTGGGAACAAAGCGTGCTGTAAAAATAAGGCAAATGTGTATGTGTACATTAGTTTGCTAAGTTTTTTGCCACTGTCTGCCCTCTTAAATTGTGGTAGCAGCTATTGTTCACATTGATTTCTATATATTTGTAGTACAAGGAAGCATTTCTAAAGGACCTTGTTCATTGCTTTGCACAAAATGGCCACTTAATATTTGTTGAATGAATTGCTGGCACTATCTCTGGTATTTTAATTTTTATTTATTTATGTATTTATTTTTGATATGGAGTCTCGCTCTGTCACCCAGGCTGAAGTGCAGTGGCGTGATCTCGGCTCACTGCAACCTCCCGTGTTCAAGCGATTCTCTTGCCTCAGCCTCCCTAATTGCTGGGACCACAGGCATGCGCCACCAGGCCCGGCTAATTTTTTTGTATTTTTTTTTAGTACAGACGGGGTTTCACCATGTTGGCCAGGCTGGTCTCAAACTCCTGACCTCAAATGATCCGCCCACCTCGGCCTCCCAAAGTGTTGGAATTACAGGCGTGAGCCACTGTGCCCGGCCTATCTGTGGTATTTTTAGTGTGATGTCTAGAACTTCATATACTTTTTTGGATTACTTTTAATTGTAGGGCTGTATCCAAACTGATGAAATGTTCTCGCAGGTAACTATCTGGAGAAGTGAGTTCACTGATGTATTAAAAGAAATGACTGGCATGGAATAAGGATTAAAATATATTAATCCAAAACATTTAAAATTGCATTAATGTTATAATAGCCTAAAGCAAAACTAACGAATCACATAAAAAATCCCCCACGCTATTGTCCTTAGTAGTTTACATTGTGCTAGATACTTTCGCATGTATATGCATACAACTTCTATTCTGTTTTTAAACTTTGCATTACATATACATTCTTCCATATTATATGATCTTCATAAAAATAGTTACATGGCTGCATAAAAAACCATGCGGTTCCTGGACTATTATGCTATTCCCTCATTCCCCTTTTGTTATTAATGGAATATAGCAAAGAACATCTTCTGTACGATTATTTGTCAAGAATAGGGCCGGTGCGGTGGCTCAGGTCTGTAATCCCAGCACTTTGGGAGGCCGAGGCGGGCTGATCGCTTGAGGTCAGGAGTTCGTGACCAGCCTGGGCAACATGGGAAAACCTAAACGTCTCTACTAAACATGTCTCTACTAAAAATACAAAAATTAGTGGGGCGTAGTGGTGCACACTGTGGTCTCAGCTACTCCAGAGGCTCAGGTGGGAGGATCACCTGAGCCCCGGAAGTTGAGACTGCAGTGAGCCGTGTTCGCACCACTGCACTCCAGCCTGGGCGACAGAGGGAGACCCTGTCTAAAAACAAAAAAATAAAAAATAAATTTCTAGCAGTACAGTTACAATGTCAAAGGATAAGGTACACATTTTTTAAAAACTTTTCTCTTTCTCCTCCTGAGATAACGAAATACAGTAGCGTATGAACAACTCTTCATACATTACTCTCCAAGGTTTATCTTGTTAATCCTTTAAGACGTATCATCTCCCCATCCTTGGCTGCACCTGAAAAGAGCGGGAGTCGGCAGGTAACCTGATCTCCTCCACCAGGTGAGTCCCGGATGGAGGTGTCAACTACAAGACCAGGAGCAGAGCATTCCTGGGGTTTTGCTGGAACCATCGGCGTGGGAATGCTTTCTCTTCCCTCGCCCGAAAGACGCCAAGTTCCCGGCAGGCAGCGGACTCGGTTCTAACCTTCCTCGCCCCAGCCTCTCGGAGCGCCCTGCACGCAGTGGGCGTCTAATAAAATGCAGTTGGCCCTGCTTGGACAAAAGTTCTCCCTTAAGTGGCCCGGACAGTAAACCCCTCCAGGTGCCACAGAGCTGCCGCGCCCGCCGCCGCTTTGCTCCCTGCCTGCTCCCTCCCAGCGTTCCGCGTGGGACCCTCGGCGGCAGCTCACACCCTCCCTGACTGCCGGTGCCCGCCAGGGCACCCTGCGCGCGCCCGCCGGCCCCGCCCCGGCCCCGCCCCGCCCCGCCGGCCCCGCCTCCCGTCTCCTCCCCGCCCCCCGGAGCCGACGAGTGGCGGCGGCGGCCCCAGGTCCCGGGTCCCTCAGACAAGAGGGCGGGTGGAGGAGGAAGCGGCCGAGCCCAGAGTTCTGCTCCGGCGCCCCCGAGCACCGCCCGCTTCAGCCGACCAGCCCCGTCGGCTACTGGGCCTCGCCGAGACGAGAGGAGGGAAAGGCCTCGGCGGCCGCGAGGAGGCGGCGGGGGCGCGGGCGGAGGCGGCGCGGGCGGCCGCGGCTGCCGCTTTGTTGTGCGGCCCGGGCCGAGGAAGGAGAAGTGGGAGGAGGGGGGAGCTCGGCGTCCCGCTCCCTCCGCGGCTCATGGCGACGACTCTCGGCACATCCGGGACCCTCCGGCCGTGGCGGCCGAGGCGCCGGCTGCTCGGGCCCCAGCCCCGGCCGCTGTGGTGACTCCGCCGCGCCTCGCCGTCGCCCCCGTGCCGCCCGCCGCCCCCGCCGCCCCCGCCGCCGGGGACATGTCTAACCCCGGAGGCCGGAGGAACGGGCCCGTCAAGCTGCGCCTGACAGGTGAGGGGGGGCGGCGGGCCGGGCTGGGCAGCCGCGGGGTGGGCGAGCTGGCGGGGGGTGCCTGTGGCCTTGGGAAGGGCCAGGGTCGCGATCAATGATGAGTTGGGGGTCGGAGGAATGGGAAGGCCTAGTTCAGGGAGAGTAATTGGAAAACCACTTGCTCTGGTTTGGACATTGTTTAAAAAGCCGAGGATGACTCGGGGCGGGGGGTGGTGTTTTGTGGAGGGGAGAATACACCGGTTCGCATCGCAGGCGGATTTCAGGTCGGAAAGTCTTGGTCAAGGAGCCAGACGCTGCCTCCCGGGGCTCGGGGAACAGCCCCTGGGCTACCGCCCAGGTGAGATCGTGAAGGGGATGAAGAGCTCCCGTGGCGAGGATTATTGAATCCGGTTGCTGACTGCGCGCAGTAAACACTCCTTAAAGATGGAGCGCTTAACGGGAGGGTGTGCGTGTGTGTTCCCGGGTTGTTACCTTGCACACACCCAGTTATGCCCGCATGAAAAACCTTTACTCCCCGCCGCCGGCCACCGCTGCCCGGGCCACACACCTTAAACTCATGTCTCTGAGGTGAGGAGACAGGTTGACTTTTCCGGTGTGCCTGTCTGATCCGACGGCTTGGGCTCATTGTACACTGTGTTTTGGAAGTGTCTGATTGTAGGGTGGCATGTTTGGGGTTGTTCCTTTTAGGCCGCAGAACTTGTGTCTAACTTCTAACGCCAGACCTGCTTTAAAAACACACTTTTTTGGGGGGGGTGCATTGCTAAGTATGTGCTCATACAAACTTTCGAGCAAACTTTCTGTTACTCTCCCCACCCTCCCCATTCCTTTTTCGAAATGGAAAAGAATGTCCGGAGGGGTTGCCAGATAGAAGACTACACTTACAAAGTGTTTATGATTCCAGGTGCATGAAATCTTTAACATTACAGGTACGTTTTGCTTACAGTGCCATTTTTGGTATTCTTACATGGACATGCCACCCCCGTTTTAGGAGAACTTTTATTTGGTTTGTAAAGGAATTGGAATCACGGCGTTATCCTACCTTCACCATTTACCCCTGATAAATTGTCCACGTTTGTATTCGGGTGAGTGGTGAGAAAGATAATTTTCCGTAGAGGATTTGTGTGTGCGTGCACGTGTACGGATAAACTGTAATTATGTTTGCCCACACTAGACTTTGAGATTTATTTGGACTAATTTTGTAGTTAAATGCCTGTGTGTCACATCCCAGTCCACTGGCTGAACTTGCTGGATGAAAACTTGCAGTGAATTTGGTATTTGAGAATTTAGCTTGAATGTATGTTGGCTGCAATTTAAATAATATATTACTTTCATGGCAGTTTTCCTTTCCCTAGGGAAAATTGCAGGGAATCATTAACTGAGTGATTCTTAATGGAAAACCTGGATTGGAGGATACTTGTATTCCACCCCCTCCCCCCTCATTCAGTGTCCTTACATTGGGAGGAGTCAGTGGAAACCTTTATAGGGGATCTTTGTTGCTTTAGAGTTTATCTGTTGCTGTTGCTGTCTGTAGTCAGTGATCGTGGAAAGAACATGTGATCCCAGGTGTGCAGAAAGCATCAGAAATAGGCTGTTTCCATTTACCCTCCTCTGGGCTATGTAGAGAAAATGAGGGAAAAAATTGGGTTTTTGATTTTCTGCAGATAAGGTTAGTTGAGGTTTTTAGTATGACTTAATAGATCTTAAAGTGTTTATC
Source organism: Homo sapiens (assembly GCF_000001405.40). Classification (NCBI taxonomy): domain Eukaryota; kingdom Metazoa; phylum Chordata; class Mammalia; order Primates; family Hominidae; genus Homo; species Homo sapiens. Next base: position 64,660,114 of record NC_000017.11, on the reverse strand, counting down.
TGTGGTTTCCGTACTGCCTATGATACATTATAAGAATTTATAATTAAAGTTTATTAAGAGGAAAGATTATGCTTATATTTTAGGGGAAGGGGGAATATTGAACTACATTTATAGTGATTTTGTTTCAGGTTTTTCTGAGGAATTTTAAATACCCTGTGTCCTCTTAATAGTAAAAACAGTTTGAGGTACTCTGAGTTTCTTACAACTATTTGTCTCTGAATAGTTTTCTCTTAAAATTTGACAAATATTAAAAACATTGTCCTTCCTTCTTTGGTTACAGTGGAGTCTCTTCTGTTTTGCCAGGAAAGTTAACATATTTTTTCTTCCATTTTTGTTCATCATTTATAAATTAGATGGTATAGATTTTAGCAAATAGATCTCAAGAGCTGGATTCAATTAGCAGCTTTTTAGGACATAAACATTAAAGGGTTAGATGGAAAAGATTGTTTTGACTGACTGGATAAATGACAGGGCTGTGTTTGATGTGCGTCCAGGAATTGGTCTGGAGCTGGTGCCCAACTTCTCAGTCCATCTTGAGAAGCCAAATAAAATATTTAACCTAGGCCTCATTTTGTTTAAAAAAAAAAAAAAAAAAAAAGTTGATTCTTTGTGAAGACCTTAAGAAATGTTTGGCATACCTTTAGACTAAGTGTTTAACAGTTCATTTAGATCTGGGTTGCCTAATAGAGGAAAAAAAATCACTTAAAAAAAGACAGATCCCACAGTGAATTTATATTTGGTTTACAATACACTTGGGCTATAAGGTGTTTTAAAATTATTGTTCTTTGCTTTAAGTTAATACCATATTAGTATTTTAAATTTATAGAGTACCTTTGATTTCAAGATGCTGTATAAACTTTAGTTACTTGATAATAACTTTATTGTGGAATTGCCCCTTTGCTGAAAGGTATAAACATTTCTTACATGGTGATGCACACACTCACACACACACACTCACACACTCATACACACTCTCTCTGAAGAAGAGGAAATATTTAAGCCATGAGATCTCTGCCCACAATTGATATTAAACCTTTCCACATATTATTCTTAAAACCACAATCAGTGAACTGTTTGGTATTTGTCAATGCTAAGAAGGTGGGGCTAATTTAATAATTTGATCCCAAATTTTAGATTCCTCAGGCAGTTGGGGGTTAGAATCTGATTTCATCCATCAAGCTACTTCTGTTCTTTATGACACATTAACATATGATCATTGAAATGGGCTGTATGGTAACACTATCAACTTCAACTACTGTTTCTATAACATTGATTACAAAATGTATAATGTCTATATCATTATACTTATATCTGATACAGGCTTTTCTTTCAATGGTTTGGATAGAAAAATATTCTTTACAGTAAAAACTTTGGGATAATTTTTTATACCATTATTGTTTCTGAAAACCAAAGGCTGGAAAAAGCAGTTTAGTGTAATTTCTAATATTTTAAATTCTTAGGTATGGAGAAGCAGAATAAGATTACTCCTCCAGAACATTTGTTTCAGACCTTTTTATACATTTAATGTTTTTGTATGCTGCTTCTCATGTTATTAATTTCAAAGCCCTTGGCAATAAGGAGGTTAACCTTGTCTATAATGTAAGGAAGTTTAACTTTAAAAATTTCCCTTTAGATATGCTAGCGTCTTAATCTTGTTTCACTACATATTTTATCGATTCAAGGCTTTAAAAATTGTAGCTTAATTCTATTTCACAGGTTTTTAAGTATGCCTATACATCATAATGACTTTATTTATTTATTTTTTGAGTTGGAGTTTCACTCTTGACTGGAGTTGAAGGGCTTGATCTCGGCCCACTGCAACCTCCACCTCCCGGGTTCAAGTGATTCTCCTGCCTCAGCCTCCCGAGTAGGTGGGATTACAGGCGCCCACCACCACGCCTGGCTGGTTTTTTTTGTATTTTTAGTAGAGACGGGTTTTGCCACGTTGGCCAGGCTGGTCTCAAACTCTGGACCTCAGGTGATCCGCCCGCCTTAGCCTTCCAGTGTGCTGGGATTACAGGCATGAGCCACGGCACCCGGCCCATAATGACTTTATATACTAGAGGTGTTAGTGATTTGAATGTCCCCAATTTGTTTTATTTTCTTGGTTTCTGAGGAGGAAGCCAGTGTAGTTGAGCTCCTTCCTTTTCTTTTAAATTCTGTCTTCTAGTCTGACCCTCTTCAGGCAGGCAGTAGAACATGCCAAGGTCCTTTTTGTAGTTTGGTATTCGTAATAAAGTCTGTGTATTTTAGTCATCACTTTTACTTTTTTCTTGTTGGTTGAGCTATTACTATCACAACATACTAACATCTCATTTAACATAACTCAGTTTTAAAGATAAATGAAGGGTCATGCTTAGGCATACAAGATTTTTATTTTAGCCTTTTTTTTTTTTGAGGCAGAATCTCATTCTGTTGCCCACACTGGAGTGCAGTGGCAACAGCGTGCAGTGAGCAATCCCGGCTTACTGCAGCCTTGACCTCCCGGCTCAGGTGATTTTCCCACCTTGGCTTCCCAACTGGCTGGGACTACAGGTCCATGCCACTGTGACTGGCTGATTTTTTTACCTTTTTTTTTTTTTTCCAGTACAGATGGGGTTTCTCCAGGTTGCCCAGGCTGGTCTTGAACTTCTGTGCTCAGGAGATCCTCCTGCCTCAGCCTTCCAAAGTGCTGGGATTACAGGTGTGAGCCACCATGCCTGGCCTATTTGAGCCTTTTTTGGTGAGAGTCTTAAAGACGTAATATGTCCTCCTCTTTTCAAATAGACCATACTTAGTAGAACTTAATGTTTTATTCATGACTCAGTATAATTATGAATGCCCTCGCCCCTAGCAATACTTGCCCATCTTTTAAGGCTCAACTCAAAGATTACTGTTATCCCTAGAACTTTCCCTGACCTGAGTTGAACTGTCCTCTATGACTCTAAGAAGCTCTTCTAGTACCAGACCTAACCCACTGGTAGGCGTTTATTGTTCCTATGCTTTAAGTGCCATGAAGCCAGCATCCTTGTGTGAGTATGGATTAAGACCTTTTTGGCATTTTATTTAATGAATGCTGGAGAGCTATAAATACTTCCGAATAGTTCTGCATGTGTTCTTTATGGCTAATGCATTGGGTATGAGTGGCAAGAGGTGAGGCTCTAGACAGGGACCAACCTAGTTTGGACCTTACTGTAGTTTGCCAAGATGTTCATTTTTTTTAAGGTGGGGGGAACCATTGCAGGATTTTAAGCTTTAATATATTTGCTGTTTAGACACAATCTGGGAGCAGTATGGAGGATGGACTGGAATGGGAACCATGAAGACTGGTTTTAGGATAACTGGTTAAGCAGATTCAACAGCAACCATCGTTCAGATTTTTTTGTTTGAATGTTTATTTCCAAATTTTTTATTACAAATAATTGCTGTAAACATCTTGGTGTAGGTAACTTTGATTTTTTTTTTAAGGATTCTTTTTTTTTAGGATGCTTCCATAAAAATAGTGTTACTGAGTTCAAGTGTGTGGATATTTTTAAGGTTTCATGAGTAATTTTTCCTTTAGGCTGCTTCTTACAAGAGTTGGACCTATTTAGAGCAGCAGTAAATAAAGATGTCCCTTTTTACTATTCTGTTATAAGTATAAGCTAATTGCATTTTACATTTTTTGCTAATTTCATGGCATGTGCCATTTAAACATTCGTGAAGCAGAATATTTTCCTGTCTGTTTACTAATGATATTTATTTTCATTGACTTGTTTGGCCTTGTCCTAGTTATGTTAGAGCCTTAGTGTTTTTCTTATTGATCTACCTGAGACTTACAAATATATTAACCTGTTGTCATATTTGCTACAAACATTTCCATGATGAATTATTTGTCTTTTAATATTGTTCATTGTTTGGACATGTAGAAATGTGTTATCTTAGGAGTCAAAATCTGTCCAACTTTTGTTTTGTTTTTCCTATTCTATACTTGGAAGAACTTATTCTCCAAGAAGTTTGATAAATAAGTACATTATATTTAATGTTTTTAAAAAATGGTTTAATAAACTATTTCCCCTGCAATTGCTATTTAGCCATCTTGTCATTATTTATTAACCAATTCTTCCTTTCCACAGTGATGTAGTATCTTTTCAGTTATATTAGTTATAGAGTCAGATATAGCTCTTGTTCAGTGCCATACTGTTTTTTTTATTGTAGCTTTATAATTTAGTTTAGTATTCTCACTAGGCCAGTTTTTTAAAGAGACGGAGTCTCACTCTGTCACTCAGGCTAGAGTACAGTGGCGTGATCTTGGCTCACTGGAGCCTCTGACCCCTGGGTTCAAGTGATTCTCCTGCCTCAACCTCCCTAGTAGCTGGGATTACAGGTGCATGCCACCACTCCCAGCTAATTTTTTTTTGTATTTTTTTTGGGTGGAGATGGGTTTACACCATGTTGGTCAGATTGGTCTCGAACTCCTGACCTCAAGTGATCTGCCCACCTTGGCCTCCCAATTTCTTTTCATTTGTTTTGGTAGTCTTATTTTTTTCTTCCACATAAATATTAAACTTGTTAAGTTTAATAAGAAGTTTCATTGGGGCCGGGCATGGTGGCTCACGGTTGTAATCCTTGGACTTTGGGGAGGCTGAGGATGGTGGATCATCTAAGGTCAGGAGTTTGAGACCAGCCTGGCCAACATGGTGAAACCCTGTCTCTACTAATAATACAAAAATTAGTTGAGTGTGGTGGCACATACTTGTAATCCTAGCTACTGGGGAGGCTGAGTCACAAGAATCGCTTGAACCTGGGAGGTGGAGGTTGCAGGCGAGATCATGCCACTGCACTCCAGCCTGGGCGACAGAGTGAAACTGTGTCTCCAAAAAAAAAAAAAAAAAAAAAAAAAAGACATTTCATTGGGATTGTCATTAGAATTGCTTTACTTTGGGAAAAAGAAGTATCTAAGTTTATTTAGTTTTCTCACCCAGGAACATGATATGTTTTTTACATTTATTTAAGCTTTGGCCCATATTGTTCAGGATAGCTTTATAATTTTCTTCCTGTGTTTGAATTTAATTTCAGATAATTTATATTTGTGTGATTTACGTTGTGTTTTCTAATCCTAGTTATTGCTTGTATTTAGGAATGCAGTTATATGTATTTTGCTTGATTAGAAGAATTTTGGCTGGGTGTGGTGACTCACGCCTGTTATCCCAGCACTTTGGGAGGCCAAGATGGGAGGATCACTTGAGCCCAGGAGTTCGAGACCAGCCTGGGCAACATAGTGAGACCTCATCTCTATATTTATTTATTTATTATTATTATTTTTTGATACTGAGTTTTGCTCTTGTTGCCCAGGCTGGAGTGCGATGGCGCCATCTCGGCTCACTGCAACCTCTGCCTCCTGGGTTCAAGCGATTCTCCTGCCTCAGCCTCCTGAATAGCTGGGATTATAGGCATGTGCCACCGCGCCCGGCTAATTCTGTATTTTTAGTAGAGATGGGGTTTCTCCATGTTGGTCAGGCTGGTCTCAAACTCCTGACCTCAGGTGATCCGCTTGCCTCGGCCTCCCAAAGTGCTGGGATTACAGGCATGAGCCACCGCACCCAGCTGATGGCTGGTTTTCTAGGTGTCAGTGTTTGGTACTTGTTACAGTTGAATGTTAACACTTAAAATTTTTCTTTTCTCTCGGATTTCTCTCCAACATATAAGTAGTTGAACAAAGTGAGAAATTTTATTTCATTAAAAATTTTTTAAATACGAGCAGTCTTCTGAACAAGAATAGTTTCAGACCAACTCTGTTTTAGAATAGCTTCTGATGGCATTGGCTACCTTTTTTAAAACCACATTTGATATTATATTAAAAAGTGTCAACAGATAATCTGAAGTTTGGCAGTTTGGTTTGGTTTTGTACAAAAATTGGTAGCAGACATAAAGTTTAAATTTTTAAATAAACCTCGATGATTCATTTTTAGGGAGGAATTACCACGTGGATGATTGCAATCATGCAATGTTCTTCCCATTTCTTCCCAAAAAGTTTCTTCCCAAAACATTTTCTCTTACCTCTTTGTAGCCAGTTGTCTTCTTCAATACCGAGAACTTGTCAACCACTGATCTGTTTTCGGTCACTATAATTTTGCCTTTTCTAGGATTTTGAGTAAATGGAATCATACTGTCTGCAGTCTTTTGGGTGAGGCTTCTTTTAGCGTAATGCTTTTGAGATCCATTCATGCTGGGTATCAGTACTTTGTTCCTTTTCATTCCTGAGGAATACTGCATTGTACACCAATTTGTTTATCCATTTATAAATATCTGCAGACATTTGTTGTTTCCAGTTTTTGGCCATTACGAATAAACATTTGAGTACATGGCTCTTTGTGAACATGTTTTTCTTGCCCTTGGGTAAATGAGTGGGATTGTTGCATCATACAGAAAGTATGCATTTTAACTTTTTAAAAATCTGCTGGGCGGATTGCTTGAGCCCAGGAGTTTGAGACCAGCCTGGGCAACATGGCAAAACTCCGTCTCTACAAAAAATACAGAAATTGGTCGGGTGTGGCCTGTGCCTGTAGTATCAGCTACCTGAGAAGCTGATGGAGGATTGATTGGGCCTGGGAAGTTAAGGCTGCGGTGCTGTGCTCACACCACTGCATTCTAGTGTGGGTGACTCTGTCTCAAAAAAAAAAATTTTTTTTTTTTCAAAGTTGTACCATTTTGCATTTCTACCAGCATTGTATGAGTTTCAGTAGTTCCTCATCCTAGTCAGCACTTGATACTGTCTTTGATTTTAGCCATTCTAATTGGTAGGTACAGATATTTCATGGTACTTTAATTTTTACTTCCTTAATAACCTACAGTTTTAAGCACATTTTAATGGACTTATTTATTGTCCATATAATCTTTGGTGAATATCCAAATCTTTTGTTCATGTTTTAAAATTGGATTGTTTTCTTATTGAGTTTTGAGAATTCTTTATGTATTCTGGATATAAGCCTTTTATGAGATATATACTTTGCAAATATTTTCTCCCGGACTGTAGCTCCCCCACCGCCCCCCAAAAGATGTCCCAAAGAGAAGAAGTTTTGAATGCTGATGAAACCTGTTTATCAGTGTTTTTCTTTTGTGGTTCATGTTTTTTGAGTCCTAAGTCTTTTTCTAACCCAGAGTTCTAAAGATTTTCTCTGTGTTTTCTTCTGCATTATTTATAATTTTAACTCATACATTTAAACTTATTTTCAAGTTAATTTTTTAATATGCTGTGAGAAGTAAGTGTCATGATTTTTTTTTCATATGGATATTCTATTTTTGTAGCCCTATTTGTTGAAAATACTTTTGTTTCCTCCATTGAATTGTCTTGGCACCTTGGTAGAAAATCAGTTGACAGGCCAGGTGCGGTTGCTCATGCCTATTCTTTGGGAGGCCGAGGCAGGAGGCTCACATGAGGTCAGGAGTTCTAGACCAGCCTGGCCAACATGGCAAAACCCCGTCTCTACTAAAAATAAAAAATTAGCCAGGTGTGTGGCAGGTGCCTGTCATCCCAGCTACTCGGGAGGCTGAGGCAAGAGAATCACTTGAACCCAGGAGGTGGAGGTTGCAGTGAGCTGAGATTGTGCCACTGCACTCCAGCCTGGGCGACAGAGCGAGATTCTGTCTCAAAACAAACAAACAAACAAATCAGTTGACAGTATACATAGAATTCTATTTCTGGACTCTCCTGTGTTTTCTTTATGATTCTACCCTTTAAGTTTATTTGTTTTAACACTATGCTGTCTTGATTACTATAGCTTTAAAATAAAGCAGCTTTCAAACAAATTGAGTCTTTGATTTAGGATCTTGTAGTGCTTTGGAGCGGCTGTTTAATTTGTTCAGCCAATAAGTATTTATCATTTTTGATCTGTGACAGATATTATTTTTATTACGTGGTGCCATAAATGCAGATATAAGAAATTAGGAAAAGCCTAGATTGGGCCCTGTAGTTTTCCTTTCAGAATTTCTATTATGAACCTTACATTTTAAAATTATTAGTCTTTTTCATCTCTTACTGATGTGATGAAAGAGGATTGCAACAACCATGACTTAACGTAAGTGTCTGTTTACCAGCTATCAGTCATGTTTTTGGAAAAAGGTGGGATATAAAGAATAAACATATCTAAAATGTGACCATAGAAAAGAAAGGAGGTGATTGGTGTGTTAAGTGTGGGTTGGATTATGAGTATTTATCGTTTTTGCTTGTATTATTATTTTTGTGACAGGGTCTCTGTCACCCAGGCTGCAGTGCAGTGGCACAATCAGAGCTCACTGCGATCTTGAACTGGGCTCAAGTGATCCTCCCGCCTCAGCCTTCTGAATAGCTGGGTTACAAACATCCATCACCGTGCCCAGCTAATTTTTTTATTTTTTGTAGACATGGGGCCTCACTGTGTTACCCAGGCTGGTCTTGAACTCCTGGCCTCAAGTGATCCCCTGCCTTGGCTTTCCAAAGTGCTGGGATTACAGGTCTGAGCCATTGCTGCGCCTGGCCTGTTTTTGCTTGCATTATTTTATGTGTATATTTTTTCTTTTCTTTTCTTCTCTTTTTTTTTTTTTCTGAGGTAGGGTCTTGCTCTGTCGCCCAGGCTGGAATGCAGTGGCACGATCTTGGCTCACTGCAACCTCCACCTCCTGGGTTCAAGCAGTTCTTCTGCCTTGGCCTCTGGAGTAGCTGGGACTACAGGCGCGCGCCACCATGCCCGTGTAATTTTTATATTTTTAGTAGAGACAGGGTTTCACCATGTTGCCAGGCTGGTCTTGAACTCCTGACATCAAATGATCCACCCGCCTCAGCCTCCCAAAGTGTGGGATTACAGGCGTGAGCCACCGCGCCCAGCTTTATGTGTATATTTTTTCTCCAAGGCAAAAGAAAGGAAGAAACTTAATTTTATTAAAATGTAAGCATATATATATACACAAAAATATATATATTTCTGAGACAGCCTTGCTATGTCGCCCAGGCTGGAGTGCAATGGCGCGATCTCAGCTCACTGCAACCTCCGCCTCCTGGGTTCAAGTGATTCTCCTGCTTCACCCTCCCAAGTAGCTGGGATTACAGGCACCCGCCACCATGTATTTTTAGTAGAGACAGGGTTTTGCTGTGTTGGCCAGGCTGTTCTTGAATTCCTGACCTCAGGTGATCAGCCTACCTCGGCCTCCCAAAGTGCTGGGATTACAGACGTGAGCCGCCGCGCCCAGCCAGCAGATTTTTTTTTTTTTAACCACCGTGCATTCCTAGGCACTGTCACAAAGCAGAAATCCATAATGTAGATCTCATTTTCTATGTAAGATATACTTGGTAATTTTGTTTTTTTGAGACACAGTCTCACTGTATTGCCCAGGCACGATCTCCACTCACTGCAACCTCAGCCTCTCAGGTTCAAGCAATTCTCCTGCCTCAGCCTCCCCAGTAGCTGGGATTACAGGTGCCTGCCACTACACCCAGCTAATTTTGTATTTTTAGTAGGCATGAGGTTTCACCATGTTGGTCAGGCTGGTCACGAACTCCTGACCTCAAGTGATCCGCCCACCTCGGCCTCCCAAAGTGCTGGGATTACAGGCATGAGCCACTGTGCCTGGTCATTTTATGAGAGGTAGTCAGAATGTTGTGGAGAGTATAGAATTGGAGGCAGAAAATGTGAGTTCGTATCCTAGTTATGCCATGTATAAGCTTTGTGCATCTAAGCAAATCACTTATTTTCTCTGTGCTTGTGCCTTTAGTTATAAATGCATGCTTAAAATGACAGCGTTAAAACCAGGTGTGAAAATACCAAAAAAAAAAACAAAAAACAAAAAACCCGTGTGATGGTGTGTGCCTGTAATCCCTGCTGTCTAGGAGGCTGAGACTGGAGGATTGCTTGAGCTCAGGAGTTCGAGACCAGCCTGGGCAACATAGTGAGACATGGTCTCAAAAAAAAAAAAAAAAGGCAAGTCTTATTTATTTTAGCAATATGATGGAATAATGTACATGAAAGATACTGTTCAAGGTGTAAAGTTTTTTGTAAACGTACTTTGTCATTTTTGACCACGGATTTTGTTTTAAAGAAATTGGTGAAAACCGATTATATTTTATAAGAGCAGGTACGACATTAATAATGATTAATATATATTTATTTAAATGATACATGTCTTTTAAAGTAAGCATTTTGGATTGAAATCCTAGCTAGGCAAGAAAAAAAAGGCATAAATGTCTTGTATCAGCATATCATGAAGTATTCATATAATGAAATATAATTAGGTATTTATGTTTCAATATTTTAATCAAATATTTTCAATATTTTATTTTTGAGATGGTGTCTCGCTCTGTCACTCAGGCTGGTGTGCAGTGGTGCAATCTCAGCTCACTGCAACTTCTGCCTCCCTGGCTTAAGCAGTTCTCCCACCTCAGCCTTCCCAGTAGCTGGGACTACAGGCACGCACCACCATGCCTGGCTAATTTTTTGTATTTTTAGTAGAGACAGGGTTTCACCATGTTGGCCAGGTTGTTTCTCAAACTCCTTATCTTAAGTGATACGCCCGTTGCAGCCTCCCAAAGTGCTGGGATTACAGGCATGAGCCACTGCACCCGGCCTCAATATTTTAAATATTTAAAAATATATTTTTATAAACCATTTTTATCTTAATATGGCAGCCATTTAACCGATTAACTATACTTCTCTGTTCCTTCCATCCCCCAATGTTTGGTAAGAAGTAGAAGATGGCTCAGGATTTTGGAGTTGGATTGTAGATTGGGGAGCTGTTTGGATGAACTCTTTATGACTTGATAAATTCCTCTGTAGCATGCTGGCGCTTTCAAAAGTAGCCTGTAGCGTCACCTCTTGCCAGTAGATGGGGGTATTTCTGCACTGATAGATGTCAGGGTATGTAAAAACCTGTAAAACTGAAACCCAAAGTCTAAATGAGTGTGCTTGGAATAAATGGTGTTGAAGAGTTAGAAACTGAAAATTTGACTCCAATGTGTAATGAAAAATCATACTTTAGTGTGAGCTTTCTTATGTAAACTCTTTAAATGCTACATGTTGTAGGAGTAGATAGTAGAGTTGCAAACATTAGTAATTCTGTTTTTATTTTTGTGATTTTTGTGTCATCAGGCTTTACATGTAACTTTCTTCCTCCAGTGAAGAAGAAAACACTGATTGGTTGGTAAGATTATTCAGAATTGTATGAATCTAATACCATAAATAAGGTTGATAGAGATTTTTTACAGTTGAACTTGGGGAATTTTGTAGAGAAAGAAGGATGGAAAAAAAACTATAAGGAAAAGTAAAACGGCATTTGATAGATTCAAAATACCATCTCTAACATAGTGCTGCATATGTAGTACTTCAATAAATTGTGTGTGTGTGTGTGTTTTGTTTTTTGTTTTTGTTTTTGTTTGAAACAGGGTCTCACTCTGTCGCTCAGGCTTATGGCTCACTATAGCCTTGACCACCTGGGCTCAAGTAATCCTCCTGCCTCTGCCTCCTGAGTAGCTGAGACTATAGGTATGTGGCACCATGCTGGTGTAATTTTTAAATTTTTTGTAGAAATGGAGTCTCATTATGTTGCCCAGGCTGGTCTCAAACTCCTGGCTTCAAACAGTCCTCCAGTCTTGACCTCCCAGAATGCTGGAGTTACATGTGTGAGCCATTTGTGAATTAAAGAATGATGAAATTGAAAACAGGCTTTCGTGATCTCAGGGACCTCAGTTGAAACAAATAAGATCTCTCTTTGTGATGTCATTATTGAATTAACTAACATTTATACCTTAGTAATTTCAACATCATTAAGTTATAAAGATATAGGACTGAAGTGTTCATTTGTTAATATTTGACTTGATGGATAGAACTGTTTTACCACACTGCAAATTTTGCTGCTTAACAAAATGAAGATCACTAACATTCACTGGAATAAAATCTGTTGCTGGATTATCATCTAAGAAAAGTCACATGTAAGTAGTCTGTCAATGTTAGGAAGATAATTTAACATTTTTTTTTAGAGTTCTATGGTTTTAAGATATTCTCATTTATTGTCTCATTTAATTACTATTGAGATCCTGTTTTTTTTTTTTTTTTTTTTTTTTTTTTTTTTTTAAGAGATAGGGTCTCACTGTGTTGCCCAGGCTGGAGTGCAGTGGCATGATCGTAGCTCACTTACAGCCTGGAACTCCTAGGCTCAAGCAGTCTTCCTGCTTCAGCCTCCTGAGTAGCTAGGACAATAGTTGCTCACCACTGTGCCTGGCTAATTAAGAAAAAAAGTTTTTAAGGACTGGGTCTCACTGTTGCCCAGGATGGTCTTGAACTCTGGGTTTCAAGCAGTCCTCTCACCTCAGCCTCCCTGGTAGCTGGAATTACAGACATGAGCCACTGTGTCTACCAAGGTGTCTTTGTAGGTAATCTGAACCAGTGAAAGTGAAATGAGCACCTTTTATCTGACGAAATTTGTTCCCTAAATCTTTTTTTTTTTTTTTTTAGACAGAGTCTTACTCTGTCACCCGGGCTGAAGTGCAATGGCATGATCTCGGCTCACCGCAACCTCCCCCTCCTGGGTTCAAGCGATTTGCCTTCATCAGCCTCCGGAGTAACTGGGATTACAGGTGCCTGCCACCACCATGCTTGGCTAATTGTTGTATTTTTAGTAGAGACAGGGTTTCACCATGTTGGCCAGGCTGGTCTCAAGCTCCTGACCTCAGGTCCGCCCGCTTCAGCCTCCCAGAGTGCTGGGATTACGGGTGTGAACCACCGTACCCGGCCTCTATTCCAGTTCTTTAGAAATGAGGATAGATGTACCAAAAGTTCATTGTGATAAAATTTGAAGCTTCATATATTTTAGTTTTCTCTTTCCCAGTTTCTTCTGATTTTTTTTTCTTTTTTTTTCAGTTTCTTCTGATTTCCAGCTTAGTTAACCCCTAATTGTATTTTTTCTAGCAAGGAAGAAGACTAAGAATAATGATGAAATATGCTCATATTTACATATTCATTCAGTAAACATTTGCTGGGAGTCTTACATGCACCTAACACTGAGATGTAGGCTCTAGGATTTTAAGAAGAGGTTAAGACCTTTATCTTGCTTTCAGGGAACTTGCAGGTAACCAAACAGATAAGACTTGATGGATGAAATAACCACAGTCAGTGCTAGAGTTAATGGTGTATGCAGTAAGGGTGAAATAAAATAATGAAAGCCCATAGGTATTTCTAAGGGGGCTTTCTAGATTCTACGATTGATCTTTCATATTTTCTACCTTCCACTTTACAAAGAAAGGCACATTAGCCAGACATCCCAAATAGTACATTGTGGTGAGAGGCCTTCCACACCACCAGAGAGACAAATCAGAATGTTGGTGAGAAGGCAGTGATATCAATGACTGGGTAGCATCTTTTCATAAGTCAGGCATATTTCTCTCTGTAGTTTTCAACAAAATTGAAGGACTTGATCAAGTTTTAGCTGGTCATTAAAAATAATTTTTATAGGGCCAGGAGTGGTGGCTCATGCCTGTAATCCCAGCACTTTGGGAGGCTGAAGGGATGGATCGCTTGAGCTCATGAATTCGAGACCAGCCTGGGCAACATGGTGAAACTCCATCTCTACAAAAACTACAAAAATTAGCCTGGTGTGTGGTGCATACCTCTAGTCCCAACTACTTGGGAGGCTGAGGTGGGAGGATGGCTCGAGCCCAGCAGGCAGAGGTTGCAGTGAGCCGAGATGGTGCCACTGCACTCCAGCCTGGGCGATAGAGCCAGACCTTGTCTCAATTTAAAAAAAAAAAAAAAGAAAGAAAAAAAAAAAGAAAAATTCCAGTGGCTCATGCCTATAATCCCAGCACTTTGGGAGGCTGAGGCGGGCAGATCACTTGAGGTCAGGAGTTCAATACCAGCCTGGCCAATGTGGTGAAACTCTGTCTCTACCAAAAATACAAAAATTAGTTGGGCATGGTGGTGTGCGCCTATAATCCCAGCTACTCGGGAGGCTGAGACATGAGAATTGCTTGAACCTGGAGATGGAGGTTGCAGTGAGCTGAGATGGCACCACTGCACTCCAGCCTAGGCAACAGAGCGGGACTCCATCTCAAAAAAAAAAAAAATTATAAGAAATAGTGAAGTCAAATGCCATTTCCCAGAAAGTTTTTTAAAATTATAGATCTTGGTAATTTTTTTTGGCATCTAACTCAAAGAATTTAATGGCATTGCTGTAACAAAACTTCTTTCATTACCTACTTATTTATGTGAATAGGTTTTCTTAGCATTTATATGTATAAAATGAAAAATGGGATTAGAATTTATGTTGTACCCTCATTCCAGCAATAAGTAATAGTCATTAATAGACACATGAAGTAATTGAAAGTAAGAAAACCCCATCCATCTCATTAAGAGATGCATGTCCACCTGGGTGTGGTGGCATATGTCTGTAATCCCAGCTACTCATAAGGCTGAGGCAGGAGGGTTGTTAAGCCTAGGCGTTTGAGACCAGCCTGGCAACATAGCGATACCCTGTCTTGAATTTAAAAACAAACAAAAAGGAGACATGCATGTCCAATTATTCTCTTCCTTGTCTTCCTCCCCACTTTTCTATTTTTCTTAATTATTTTTTTAGGGACAAGTTCTCACTGTGTTGCCCAGGCTGATGTGTACTAGTGTTCACAGGTGTGAACATAACACACTGCAGCCTTAAACTCATGGGCTCAACCTATCCTCCTGCCTCAACCTCCAGAGAAGCTGGGACTACAGCTGTACACCACTGTACCTGATACCCCTCTCCCTTTTTGAGTAAGTGGTTTGTTTAATCAGAATCCGGAAGAGGTCTACACATTGTATTGGGTTGGTATGTCTCTTAATTATCGTTTAAACTATAGCTTTCTCTTTTCTTCCTCTGAATTTTCTTTTTCTTCAAATTTATTTATTATAGAAAACAGATTTATTAAATATATCAGCATCTCAAAACTCTTTATCATTTGGCCCTAGCCTTCCCATCATACCACTGTGTTCTACCACTCTGAACTCCTTGTCTTTTCTTAAATTTCATAATCTCTTGTATCTCCAAGTTTTTGACAGTGCTGTTGCCTTAGATGATGCTGTTACCCATCTTCCTCCTTCCCCACCTAGTCTTCCTGTCGAATCTACTCAGCACTTTGTTTTGTTTTTTTTTTTTGAGACAGTCTTGCTCTTGTTATCCAGGCTGAAGTGCAGTGGTGTGATCTCGGCTCACTGCAACCTCTGCCTTCTGGGTTGAAGCGGCTCCTGCCTCAGCCTCTTGAGTAGCTGGAATTACAGGCGCCTGCCACCATGCCTGGCTAATTTTTGTGTATATGTATATTTTTAGTAGAGACAGGGTTTCACCATGAGACAGCTTCCCAAGTAGCTGGGATCACAGGCACGCCACCATGCCCAGCTAATTTTTGTCTTTTTGGTAGAGTTGGAGTTTCGCCATGTTGGCCAGGCTGGTCTCAAACTCCTGATCTTAGGTGATCCGCCCGTCTCAGCCTCCCAAAGTGCTGTGATTACAGGCGTGAGCCACCATGCCTGGCTACTCAGCATTTTTTTTTTTTTCTTTTTTTTTTTGAGACAGAGTCTTGCTCTTGTCACCTAGGCTGGAGTGCAGTGGTTTGATCATGGCTTACTGCAGCCTGGACCACCCAGGCTCAAGCATTCCTCCTGCCTCAGCCTCCTGAGTAGTTGGGACTATAGGTATGTGCCACCATACTTGGCTAATTTTTTTTTTTTTTTTCTATTTTTAGTAGAGATGAGGTTCTGATGTGTTGCCAAGGCTGGTCTCAAACTCCTGAGCTCAATTAGATCTTCCTGCCTTAACCTCCTAAATTGTTGGGAGTACAGGCATGAGCCACCAAGCTTGGTGCTCCAGTTTTAAGACATAGCTGAGGCTGGGCGCGGTGGCTTATGCCTGAAATCCCAGCGCTTTGAAGGCTGAGGCAGGTGGATTGCCTGAGCAACATGGTGAAACTCCGTCTCTACAAAAACTGCAAAAATTAGCCTGGTGTGTGGTGCGTACCTGTAGTCCCAACTACTTGGGAGGCTGAGGTGGGAGGATGGTTTGAGCCCAGCAGGCAGAGGTTGCAGTGAGCCAAGATTGTGCCACTGCACTCCAGGAGTTTGAGACCAGCCTGGGCGATATGGTGAAACCCCATCTCCACTAAAAATATAAAAATTAGCCAGGCTTGGTGGCGCGCACCTATAATCCAGCTACTTAGGAGGCTGAGGCAGGAGAATCGCCTGAACCCAGGAGGCAGAGGCTGCAGTGAGCCGAGATCACACCACTGCACTCCAGCCTGGGCCACAGATTGAGACTCAGTCTCAAAAAACAAACAAACAAAAAACGTAGCTGAAGCATCATCTCCTCTGAGAATTCTTCCCAGGCTTCCCCAGACTGAGTTAGGTGTCCCTCTCTATTAGTATCCTGATAGGAAACAAGTAACACTCTTAATTAGGTCAAAGAGTGTAATGAAGCAGGTATTTACAATGGTATGGGAAGGGTTACGGGAATCCAGCAAGGAATAGTGCAGCACCTAGGGACTAGCAATGATAGGAAGTTGCACCATATTTGGCCCAGCAAGGGCAAAGGGAGAGAGTAGTTGTGGGAGTCCAGAGAGACCCTGGTTGTTGCTTCTCATTTATTGAACCCGATTTAAAGCCAGAGAACAAAGAGCCCAGTTTATGTAGTACATGACGGCAGCCTCCTAGGGCACAGGGTAAAGGATGGAGAATAGATCTGGAGGATTAAATAGAAAACAAAACATCTAGCACACCCTTATTTATTCTCCTGTACTACTTTAGCATAATTCTCATTGTATTAATATATTGATTTAAAATTCAATTTAGGCCGGGTGCAGTGGCTCATGCCTGTAATCTCAGCACTTTGGGAGGCCAGCGCAGGTGGGTGGCTTGAACTCAGGAGTTCGAGACCAGCCTGGACAACATGGCAAAACTCCGACTCTACCAAAAAAACAAAAATTAGCTGGGTATGGTGACGTGCCTGTGATCCCAGCTACTTGGGAAGCTGAGATGGGAGGGTCACTGGAGCCCAGGAAGTTGAGGCTGCAGTGAACCGTGATGGCGCCACTGTACTCCAGCCCAGGTGATAGAGCGAGAACCTATCTCAAAGTAAAAAATAAAGGGTAAAATTCAACTTAAGCCTGGATAACAGGGTGAAACTCCGTCTCTACAAAACATACAAAAAAATTAGCCAGGCGTGGTGGTGCATGCCTGTAGTCCCAGCCACCAGGGAGGCTGAGGTGGGAGGATCTCTTGAGCCTGGGAGGTCGAAGCTGCAGTGAGCCATGAGTGTGCCACTGCACTGCAACTGGGGCGACAGAGGAAGACCCTGTCTCAAAAAATAAATAAATAAATAAATAAAATTCAACTTAAAATTGGTTGGTTGATGTTTTCTCCATAGCACTGTGAACTTCTTTATAGCTATAGACTCATTCATACTAATATTTGCCTACACACAGTGCTTAATAGATATGTGTTAATTAAATGAATGAAAGTTTTAAAAAGGGATGGCTGATAAACATAATTTAAAAGATCTGTCTGTCCTTCTTAGTGGTAATGTGTGATAATTCTTGGTTCAAAAGAGTAAACTTAATTTTTGCTTTGTTTGGCAGTTTTGATGCTTCTGCAATAAATGGCTCACTCATTTTTGTTTCAGGAGAGGCCAGGGATTAATTTAGGCCATAATAAATAACTACTACATTTAGTAGGATTATATAGTGCAAGGCTCTCAGTTGACTACTCAGTGGCCTGATAAGTATATTTATCCATTCTCTTTTGCTATAGAAGAATCATGATGCAGGTAAAGAATCTGTAGAGATTATAAGGCCAATTATGCTGACTTTAGGGAGGATGTACCTTGCTTTCTGTGAGTTACAGTAATATTACATAGCTTTTCCAGATCCCTTAGATACTTGGAAGCTGGAAAATCGACCTGCATTGCTAGCCAAACAAATTCTTCTCCTCCTCCCAATTATTCACATGAATTATCACATATTTGCTAGAAAGGGCTTATTAGAATTGCTGCATAAAAAATGACCCTAGGGCCGGGCGTGATGGCTCACGCCTGTAATCCCAGCACTTCGGGAGGCTGAGTCGGGCAGATTGCCTGAGCTCAGGAGTTTGAGACCAGCCTGTGCAACATGGTGAAACCCTGTTTCTACTAAAATACAAAAAATTAGGCAGGCATGGCGGCATGCACCTGTAATTCCAGCTACTCGGGAGGCTGAGGCAGGAGAATTGCTTGAATCCAGGAGGTGGAGGTTGCAGTGAGCCGAGATTGTGCCATTGCATTCCAGCTGGAGTGAGACTAATAGTTTTATCATCTCATGGTTTCTGTGGGTCAGGGATTTGGCAAGGGGCTTAATTGGGTCATTTTGGCCCAGAGTCTATTGTGTGTTTATTCAGATGGTGGCTGGAACTGGAATTGCTGGGGGGTGGCTGGGCATATCTCTCACTTCAGGTCATGTCAGAGCCTCCATGTGGTCTGTCTACATGGGCTGGTTTATGGCAGCTTTACGGCAGCTACACTGCTAACATGACTGACTCAGGGCACCAGCAGGAATTGTCCAAGGAACAAAGTGAAAGTTACATCTCCTTTTCTGACTTAGCCTAGGAGGTCCTACCTGCATTCTATTGGTTACAAAACAAGTTAGTTACAGGCTATTCTAGATTCAAGGAGAGGGAACATGAACTCCCATATCTTGATAGAAGAAGTTTCAAAGAATTTGCAGCCATTTAAAAAATTGTCACAGGTGGTGGCAGTGGCAGCAGGTGCTGCTACTTTTTGTTTTTTTTGGGGGGTTGGACTATTTATTCTTTGATATATTAATCTAATAGATAAAAATTTTCAGCTTTTATAATTTATTTTATGTTCTACCTTTGAATTTCCAGGAATTTTATTACAGAGCACTTAACAAATGGCATAAAAATTTTCAGCAGCTTCTAGAAGAGTTATGATAGCTTATTAAAGTATAAAATCCATAAATTATTTTGATAAAGGATTATAAAGGTCATAGAGAAGCAGATTGGTAAAAAAGCAGATACTATCTGAATAAAATAATTTATATGAATATGTGAATTTAATTCTTTAATTCTCTGAAATGTTTTTTTTTGGAATGATTTTTGTATTGAAAAAATATTATAATTCAGGGTTAAGAATAAAATGATGTTAGTGCTTCCCTATAGGGTCTGCATTGTTTTTCTTTTTTTTCTTTTTTCTTTTTTTTTTTTTGAGATGGAGTCTCACTCTGTTGCCAAGCTGGAGTGCTGTGGCATGATCTCGGCTTACTGCAATCTCCGACTCCCTGGTTCAGATGATTCTCCTGCCTCAGCCTTCTGAGTAGCTGGGATCACAGGCACCCGCCACCATGCCCAGCTAATTTTTGTATTTTTAGTACAGACGGGGTTTCACCATGTTGGCCAGGATGGTCTTGGTCTCCTGACCTCGTGATCTGCCTGCCTTGGCCTCCCAAAGTGCTGGGATTATAGGTGTGAGCCACTGTGCCCGGCCTCATTGTTTTTCTTTAACCCGTCTATAATCCATTCTCCACAGTATAGCTTCATGAATTAAAAAAGAAAAAAGTAAATTGGATGATTTTACTTCCTTGCTTTAACCCTCCAGTGTCTTTCCATTATACTTTGAATGAAATAGACACTATTTATCCAAGACCTTATATAATCTGCCCCTGTTGACTGGGCTTTCCTTTGCTCATTATGCTTTAGTCACGTGGATTTTCTTTTAATTTCTTGAAAAGGCCAATCTCTTCCACCTCAGAGTCTTTGTATATATTCTTTCTTTTGAAGGAATTTTCTTTCTCTTGTTTCTTCTTATTTTTCTGTGTCAGTTGTATTATCTCAAAGAGTTCCTAAGTAGTCTGTCTAAAGTAGTCTCTACTCTCATTATGCTACCTCCATAATATCCTGTTAACTTCTGAGAACTGAACACAATTTCTTTTAATATTCATTTATTTACCTGTTTACTGTCTTTTTAAAAATAAACTTTTGATTTTAGAATACTTTTAGATGTATAGAAAAACCTGTAAGTCTAAAGATAAGAAAAATCTGTAAATCTAAAGATCTGTAAATCTGAAGATAGTATAGAATTCCTGTATTTCCATAACCAGTTTTCCCTATTAACTAAACTAATCTTACATTAGTATGGTATATTTGTTATAATTAATGAACCAATATTGGTACACTTTTATTAACTAAAATCCATATTTATTCCGATTAGTTTTTACCTAATGCTGCTCATTGTTTTTTAATCCCTATTAGATGGGGAGCACCCACAGGGCAGGGATTGTGTGTGTGTTTCATTTACCTAATGTGATGCCAAACAGTAACGGGTACTTGGGAAGTATTTCTTGAGTGACTACTGGAAAGAAGTCTTAGAGTTTATAGTCTGACTTAAACTTCCCCATTTTAGGTGAGAAAATTGCTTAGGGAGGCATATGTGTCTTCTCCAAGTCCCATGGGTAATTCATGGTATAGCTGGTATTAGACACCACATCTTATGATATCCAGTTGCTATTATCTCTTTGAAACTAATGAACCTTAATTTTCTTTTTTTTTTGAGTCAGAGTCTCGCTCTGTCGCCCAGACTGGAGTGCAGTGGTGCGATCTCAATTTACTGCAACCTCCGCCTCCCGGGTTCAAGTGATTCTCCTGCCTCAGCCTCCCAAGTAGCTGGGATTACAGATGTGCACCACCAGGCTTGGCTAATTTTTGTATTTTTAGTAGAGACAGGGTTTTCCCATGTTGGTCAGGCCGGTCTGGAACTCCTGACCTCAAGTGATCCACTCACCTCAGCCTCCCAAAGTGCTGGGATTACAGGTGTGACTCACCACGCCCAGCCTGAAGCTTAATTTTCAAGACCCAATCTGAGGGTCTGGGAGGGACCCTAGCAATGTGTTCACTTGGTTAATTTTTAAAAAGTTTTATTGGTATATAATATATGAATGAGAAAATTCATAAATATTATAAGTGTGTAGTTTAAGATTTTTCACAAACTGAACACACATATATAACTAGCATCCAGATCAAGAAACAGAACATTGCCAGTATGTGGTCACATATCTTTGAAGAATTTGCAAATGTAAGTTATCTAAACCACAGTCAGCTAAAATTGCCGTCTTTTTACCTGACTTCCCCTTTGTTACACTCTTCCTTATGTTGGGTGGCATTGGAATGGCTGTGGGCACTTTTGGGGTCTGGCTATGGGGAAATTGACTTGGAGAGATATTTAGTTGGATTTTAGCAGGATATGTTTACATGGTTCATAGCCTCTTTGTGTATAGTCAAGGTATTACTAGCCATCCCAGTATGGGAATGGTTTCTAGGAATACTCTATGTCTGTTGTGCTAACTCATGGGGCATTGTGACATAAACGTGCATAGCTAGAGGTTGTCTAGCAATATGAATGTGTCCTATGGCATCTGGCACCCAAAGTGTGTGGTTAGTAGAGGAAAAACAAGGTTTGATGTCAAAAGCCAGTCTGGGGAAAATTCTTTAAGATTTTGTAGCTTTAATGAAAGAGACTTGTTAAGAATTTTCCCAGGTTTGACCATAGTCCTAAAAGTTGATATAACATTATTTATTGATGATGTTCCTGTGCTAAAAGAAAACTTTTCTAAGCCATCAATAACAACAGGCTGAGCGTGGTGGCTTACGCCTGTAATCCCAGCACTTTGGGAGGCTGAGGCAGGCAGATCACTTGAGGTCAGGAGTTTGAGACCAGCCTGCCCAACATGACGAAACACTGTCTCTAATAAAAATACAAAAATTGGTCAGGCGCAGTGGCTCATGCCTGTAATCCCAGCACTTTGAGAAACTGAGGTGAGTGGATCACTTGAGGTCAGGAGTTCAAGACCAGCCTGGCCACCATGGTGAAACCCCATCTCTATTAGAAATACAAAAATTAGTCGGGCTTGGTGGCACATGCCTGTAATCCTAGCTACTTGGGAGGCTGAGGTAGGAGAATCACTTGAACCCAGGAGGTGGAGGTTGCAGTGAGCCGCCAAGATCGTGCCACTGCACTCCAGCCTGGGCAACAGAGTGAGACTCTGTCAAAAAAAAAAAAAAAAAAAAGAAAAAGGAAAAAAAAAAAACTCATGGGAAAGTGTGGTACTGGTGTAAGGATTGAGATATAGATCAATGGAATAGAATAGAAAGTCCAGAAAGAAAATTATACATTTGTGGTCAGTTGATTTTTTTTTTTTTTTTTTTTGACTAGGGCGCCAAAACCATTCAATGGGGAAAGATTAGTCTTTTTAAAAAATGGCATTGGGACCGGGTTCTGTGGCTCACACCTGTAATCCCAGCACTTTGGAAGGCCAAGGTGGGTGGATCATTTGAAGTCAGTAGTTTGAGACCAGCACGGTCCACATGGTGAAACCCTGTCTCTACTAAAAATACAAAAATTAGCCAGGCATGGTGGCACACGACTGTAGTCTCAGCTACTGGGGAGGCAGAGGTGGGAGAATCGCCTGAACCTGGGAGGCAGCAGTTACAGTGAGCCAAGATCGCACTATTACACTCCAGCCTGGGCAACAGAATGAGACTCCGTCTCAAGAAAATAATAATAATAATAATGTGTTGGACCAACTGGATTTCCACATGCAAAAGAATGAAGTTGAACCTCTACCTCATGCCATATATAAAAATTAACTCAAAGTGGATTAAAGACTAAATGTAACAATGCAAGCCATAAGACTCTTAGATGGATGGCTGGGTGTGGTGGCTCACACCTGTAATCCTGGCACTTTGGGAGGTCGAGACGAGTGGTTGTTTGAGGCCAGGAGTTCGGGACCAGTCTGGCCAACATGATGAAACCCCGTCTCTACTAAAAATACAAAAATTAGCCAGGAATGGTGGCAGGCACCTGTAATCTCACTTACTTGGGAGGCTGAGGCAAGAGAATCGCTTGAACCTGGGAGGCGGAGATTGTAGTGAGCCGAGACCGTGCCACTGCACTCCAGCCTGGGTGACAGAGCAAGACTGTGTCTCAAAAAAAAAAAAAAATCTCTTAGATAGAAACACAAGACTTTGGATTGGATTCTGTCAATTTAAACAAAAATCTTATTTATTTATTTTTGTAAAGATGAGGTCTCACTCTGTTGCCCAGACTGGTCTCGAACTCCTGGGCTCAAGAGATCCTCTTGTCTCGGCCTGCCAAAGTGACAGGATTACAGGTATTAGCCACTGCACCCAGCCTAGACTCTATCAAAATTAAAAACGTTTGTGTCCAAAAGGACACTAATAAGAAAGCTAAAAGATAACTCATAGAATGAGAGAAAATATTTATAAATTATACCTGATAAGGGTCTAGTATACAGAATATATAAAGAACTCTTTTTTTTTTTTTCTTTTTTTGAGGCGGAGTCTTGCTCTGTCGCCTAGGCAGGAGTGCAGCAGCATGATCTTAGCTCACTGCAACCTCCACCTCCTGGGTTCAAGTGATTCTTCTGCCTCAGCCTCCTGAGTAGCTGGGACTACAGGTGCACACCACCATGCCCAGCTAATTTTTTTTTTTTTTTTTTTTTTTTTTTGAGGCAGAGTCTGGCCCTGATGTCCAGGCTGAGTGCAGTGGCATGCAATCTCGTCTCACTCAACCTCCACCTCCTGGGTTCAAGCGATTCTCCTGCCTCAGCCTCCCGCGTAGCCGGGATTACAGGTGTGTGCCACCACGTCCAGCTAATGTTTATATTTTTAGTAGAGATGGAGTTTTGCCATGTTGGCCAGGCTGGTCTTGAACTCCTGATCTCAGGTGATCCACCAACCTCAGCCTCCCAAAGTGCTGGGATTACAGGTGTGAGCCACCGCACCCGGCCTTAAGGAACTCTTAAAACTCAACAATAAAAGGACAAACAATCCAGTTAAAAAATGGGCAGCTAGCCAGATGTGTTGGCACATGCCTATAGTCTCAGCTACTTGAGAGGCTGAGGTGGGAGGATCCCCTGAGAACAGCCTGGGCAGCATAGTGAGACCACATTTCAAAAAAAAGGGCAAAGGGTTTGAATAGACAGTTCTCCAGAGAAGATATATCAGTGGCCAAAAAGCACATGAAAAGATGCCCAATATCATGAATCATTAGGGAAATGAAAATGAAAACCACAATGGGATACTACTTCACGACCACTAGAAGGGCTATAATAATGGGAAAATAACAAATGTTAGCAAAGATGTGGAGAAATTGGAACCCTCATACATTGTTGGTGGGAATGTAAAGTAGTTCAACCACTCTGCTAAACAGTTTGTGGCAGTTTTTCAGAAAAATTAAACATAGTTACTACATGACTCAGCAATTCCATTCCTAGGTACATACATAAGAGAACTGAAAACATATGTTCACACAAAATCTTGTGCATAGTAGCATTATTCATAACAGCCAAAATAGTTGGGTGGAAACAACTCAGATGTCTGTCAACTGAATGGATAAACAAAATATGGCATATCTATACAATGGAATATTATTCAGCCATAAAAGGGAATAAAGTGCTGATGATGTATGCTATAGTATGGATGAGCTCAAAAAATTAGGTTGATTGAAAGAAGCCAGACACAAAAAGCCATATTGTTTAATTCCACTTGGCAAATCCATAGACAGAAGGTAGATTTTCAGGTTGCTAGGGGATGGGGGAGGGAAGATGGGGAGTGACTGCTAACAGGTAGTATGGGGGTTGTTTTGGGGTGATGGAAATGTTCTGGAATTAGATATTGGTGATGGTTGTACAGCACTGTGACTATGCTAAAAATTATTGAATTATACAGTTTAACTTGGTGATTTTCATGTTATGTGACTTTTATTATTTATTTATTTATTTTGAGACCTAGTCTCGCTCTGTCGCCCAGGCCAGAGTGCAGTGGTGTGATCTCGGCTCACCGCAACCTCCACCTCCCTGGTTCAAGCAATTCTCGTGCCTCAGCCTCCCAAGTACCTGGGATTACAGCTGTGCACCACCACGCCCAGCTAATTTTTGTATTTTTAATAGAGATGGAATTTCACCATGTTGGCCAGGCTGGTCATGAACTTCTGGCCTCAAGCGATCCACTCACCCTGGCCTCCCAAAGTGCTGAGATTACAGGTGTGAGCCACCATGCCTGGCCTTATGTGACTTTTATCTGGAAACAAATGGGAAAAAAACTTGTCATAACAAATATTATTATTATTATTATTAGGTTATGATGTTTGTGGCTTTTGCCAGTTTGTTAAAATTTATGATTTATTTTCTCATTCTAAATTGAATATTGGCTGTCAATACCCAATTCTGTGCTCTTAAAATGGAGCCTCCAAACTCTGTAAACTCCAGGCTTCATGAAATCTGAATGCACCCAGGATATGTATTAGCATCAGATAAAAATCATTCAAGGACTGTGTCTTCTTTTTAAGCTTGAATTGAACAAATATGTTTATTTCTGCTCTGTCCCCAAGCCCCATTCACAGTGAGTAAGAGAATGAAAACAGCATAAATCTGCAAGAGCAGAAAGAACAGGAGACAGTAAATAAGTGGTATAAAAAAACTTCAGGGAAATGGAAGGTGGTTGGAGTAGATTAATTAGCTGAGAAAGTGGAATATAAAATATCTACAGAGGCGGATACCAATTCCTTGCATGATTCTAGCCAGTTCATATCACCTATCTCTAGGAAGACTCAGGAATTGAAGGTGCCAGGTATCTCTGAGGGTGCAAGCAAGATGTGAAGCTGAAAGCAGGAAATGGTTTAAAGTCAGTGGAAAGTTCTATACATGCCTCATCCTAGGCAAGCAGATGAGTGTTCTTACCCAACCTCACAAAAAAGTCAAAGATTTATCTTGTGGAGAAAGCCAGACTGCCTATAGACCCAGGAATACCTGGTGCTGTGGAAGGTGGTAAAGAAATGCCCAGCTGAAAATGAGGGGATTTGCCACATCTTTAAATGGTGAAACTCCCAGCCCCCTTGTATTACTTAGCTCCAAGAATGCTAGCAGCCAGTTATTCTCTTTTTGTTTTTGTTTTTTGTTTTGAAACAGTCTCACTGTCGCCCAGGCTGGAGTGCAGTGGTGGGATCTCGGCTCACTGCAACCTCCAGCTTCTGGGTTCAAGCTATTTTTGTGCCTCAGCCTCCCAAGTAGCTGGGATTACAGGCGCGCACCACCACACCTGGCTAATTTTTGTATTTTAGTAGAGACAGTTTCGCCATGTTGGCCATGCTGGTCTCAAGCTCCTGACCTCAGGTGATCTGCCCACCTCGGCCTCCTAAAGTGTTGGGATGACAGGCATGAGCCACCACACTCAGCCTATATAAATTTTATGTTTTTACAGTAACTTTGTATGGAGAGTATAAAACTCTTCACAACATTTTTTTGGGGGGTGGGGGGCTAATCTCTTGGTAGTTGCCTGTGTTTATAAGTTACCTCTAAAGTTTAGAATTGAAAGTTGTTTGGTGTTTTCAGCATATTATTGAAGGCTCAGAATTGTAGGGACCAGAATTATTACTGATTCTCTAATGCCTCTAATCAACTGAAGTTGTAAGATAATTCATGTTATGTGAAAAACAAACCAATGATGCTAGTTGAATCCTGGAATTTAAACTTGCAACAAAGTGAATATGACATATTTAATGGTTATTCTTACTATATTGTATTGTAAATATATGGTAAAGGGATTTATGTATTTATTTTTACCCAGCTAATAAACATTTTCACCTGGGATGGAATGATACCGGTGTGGGTATGGAGGGTTTAAGTGGAAAGGGAGTGTTCTTTCTCTGTTTTTATACTCTGCTTTCTCTTTGAAGTTGTTCTTTCCTCTATTTGATTTTGAGGGACCCTGATTGACTCCCAGTACCTGGATATAGAAGAATCTATAGGTAGAGATCTGTTTTTTTGTTTTGTTTTGTTTTTGAAACAGGGTCTTGCTTTGTCACCCAGGATGGAGTACAGTGATATGATCATGGCTCACTGCAGCCTCGGCCTCCTGGGCTCAAGCCATCCTCCCACTTCAGCCTCCCAAGTAGCTGGGACTATAGGTGCGTGCCACCACGCCTGGCTAATTTTTGTGTTTTTATAGAGACAGGGTCTCCTCAGGTTGCCCAGGCTGGCCTCGAACTTCTGGGCTCAAGCTATCTCCCTGCCTTGGCCTCCCAAAGTGCTGAGATTACAGACTTGAGCCACCACATGCAGCCTCTACCTTCTGTTATAACAATAAATACTGTGTATCCCTATTTGCAAAGTTTTAAGAAACTCTTTACCTAAGTCATCTCACTTAATCCTCAAAATAATACTCTGAAGTAGGCGAGTACAAATACTATCATATTGTCATCAGAAAACACTGATCTCAGAGAGGTTAAGTCATTTGTCCAAGGGCTCACAGCCCTTCTCTTAAGCGTGGGAAGCTGGAATTTGAAACCAGATGTGTTTTATTCCTGTCTCTAAGCTCTGTGTTACACTGTCTTCCTAAATTGTTTAGGTCTCTTGACAGAAGTCTGGAGGCCTTTGAACAGTTTTTTTCCCCAAGACTTGTCTCATTTTCCCCTTCAGCTGAAAAGAGAATATAGGAAGCATTTGTAACTTCCTTAAGACCAGGTTTTAGGTCAAATAGGCTGACTATGTGTTTTGAATTAAGAGAAGTTTTTGTTTGTTTGTTTCCTGCCCATCTCTCTTTCCCACAGCTGCCCTGAGTATAAGTCAATTGGAAATGGATTTGGTTTAATAGACACACATTTCCTGGGAGGGTTGATGTTAGGAGTGTGTAGGGGCATGGTCAGTTATTAACCATGTGGTGTGGATTGCACGACACTTTGGCCAGTCTAGCTCCGGACATCTGAGCTAATGTATAAATTTGTGATTGATGTGGCAAGTCAAAATTTCTGGAGATTAAAATTTAGCTTTGCTTCCTCCCACCCACCCCTTTTTAAAAAGAGGTGGTGGCTTATGCCTGTAATCCCAGCACTTTGGGAGGTCGAGGTGGGCAGATCATTTGAGGTCAGGAGTTTGAGACCAGCCTGGTCAACATAGTGAAACCCCGTCTCTACTAAAAATACAAAAATTAGCTGGGTGTGGTAGTGAGCGATTGTAATCCCAGCTACTTGGGAGGCTGAGGCAGGAGAATTGCTTGAACCCGGGAGGCAGAGGTTGGCAGTGAGCCGAGATCGCAACATTGTACTCAGCGTGGGCGAGTGTGCCTCTGTCCACCCCCCCCCCCCCCCCCCCGCAAAAAAAGAGAGTCTTAGAATAATACTAGGGTGGTGGGTGGTTAATAGATGTTGAGAGGCAGATATGATAGCAAAGTGCAGTTTTGCTGACCCCATGTTGCTGATCCTGTCTGGTGTTTAATGAGCTAATCCATATAACGTGCATAAGCACCATGTCTGAGAAGTAGTAAATGCTCAATGCATATTAATTATTGTGTAAATATTTCTTACATCCAATAAAAAGTGTGAAAATGAGGGCAGAGGTGGAATTAGGGTCATGTCAAATTTCTGTTTTTTGTTTGTTTCATGGTGTTTTGTTTTTTGGGAGGGGGTGTTTAAGTGCATTTTATGTTCTGAGAGAGGAGATTTTAGGAGCTGGGCTGGTTTTCAAAGATGACCAGTCAAGGTGTGTTCCTCACCTGTGAAGGTTAGTTAATTCTCCTCTCTGGACTCTGGAACTTTGTCCTATTAAGTACTCTTTTTATCTTCTTTCAGAATTTAAATATCCACATGTGTCTCTCATCTTTAAAGTCCTTTCTTAGCCCATTTCCTTCAACCCCTGCATTTCTTCATTTTAGGTCTGACCTTTACAAAGAGTAGTCTGCTCTTGTGATGTGTATCCTTGTTTTCATCTCTCTGTCTCTCTCTCTCTGTCTCTCTCTCTCTCTCTCTCTCTCTCTCTCTCTCTCTCTCTCTCTCCCCCCCCCCCTCTCTCCCCCCCACCTCCATTCCTCCCTCCCTCTCCACCCCACCTCACCCCCGTCCCTCTCTCCCTTTTTTTGACCTGAGTAGCTGGGACTACAGGCACACGCCACCACACCCGGCTAATTTGTAAATTTTTTGTAGAGATGGGGTCTTGCCATGTTGCCCAGGCTGGTCTTGCACTCCTGGACTCAAGTGATCCTCCTGCGTTGGCCTCCCAGAGTGCTGGGATTACAGCATGAGCCACTACACATGACCTTCACCTTTCATTTATGCACTAACCCAGCCTTTGCCCACTACTCTTATGAAGCTGCTCTTAGGGAGGATACTAGTGCTCTAACTGATGAAACAGACTTTTCTGACTTGACCTTACCACTGCATTTGACTAATAGTTGCTTTTCAAGGACTCCCTAGAGATAATTGAGTGCTGGTTGAAAAGTAGGGCCTTCAAGGATATGTTTTAAGTTCTCCGCAATGATATAAAGGACAGCCCTTAGCTGGAGCCTTCAAGAAGTTTGTATAGGAACTTGTTCTTATCCTTATCAGTTCAGCTAATGAGAGGCAAATTCTGAGAGGCAAAATTCTTATAATTTTCTAAGGATAGTTATAAAACCTTTTTCTGCTAAAATTGTTTCAACTCTGGGTGGACTGTCATTTGTCCCCTTGCCCCCAGTAGTTGTCCCCAGTAGAGCCTTTAAATATAAGGTTTTAGGTTTCACAATATTATAGTTCTGCCTTACTGCTTACCCCTAACCTGTTGCGCCAGTTTGGGTGTGATGGCAGGAACTAATTTCTTGTGTTTTGGCCAGTTAGCTCTCTGCACACTTGCAGAGTAACAGGTTCTTTTTCTTTTGTGGCATTTAATTTGAGTAAGACCTTATATTTTTAGAAATTCCCAGTTAGCTGGTAATCTCTCAAATGAAGTGGTTTTTTACTTGATGAGGGCATGAAGACTTTTAAAAATCAGAAGCCTCTTATAAATAAATATCTTCTAGGATTTTTGCTAACCACTTAATTTGTATTAACTTTTTTTTTTTCTTTCTGAGACGGAGTCTTGCTCTGTTGCCCAGGCTGGAGTACAGTGGTGCGATCTCAGCTCACCACAACCTCCGCCTCCCAGGTTCAAGCGATTCTCCTGCCTCAGCCTCCTGAGTAGCTGGGACTACAGGCGTGCACCACCATGCCTGGCTAATTTTTGTATTTTTAGTAGAGACAGGGTTTCACTGTGTTGGCCAGGCTCGTTTCGAACTCCTGACCTTGTGATCTGCCCACCTCGACCTCCCAAAGTCCTGGGATTACAGGCGTGAGCCACTGTGCCCGGCCTCCTTTCTCAGTTCTTAAAGGATGATTACTTTTCTAGTACCTGAATTATTTATGGATTCAACATCCCCCCAGGACAGTTCTTTCCTCTACCAGTCATAGGAGGTATTGTTAGACTTTGAATGAGTTGTTTAATTTGAAGAGACATATGGTTTTTAAAAAATTTGTTTAGAGTTCTTGGACAATATTCTGTTGTAATTCATGTAGATAATTTATTTGCCAATCCACTGACATTCTTCCCACTAATCTATTTCTGGTTTTAATCCATTAAAGGAGGCTGAAAAGGCCATTTAGCTCTGCCTCTAGGTCTATAAAAATATTGCCTAAAAGTTTCTAAAATCTTCTGATTACAAATGACTGCTTGCAATTTAGGATTTTGGTGTAATCTACTTTGGTAAGAAAGACTTCGGGGATGGTGTGAAGCAGATACTTTTCCTTCTACTTGTTTTATCTTAGAGACAGGGTCTCTCTCTGTTGTCCAGGGTGGAGTGCAGTGGTGTGATCACAGCTCACTGCAGCCTCAAACTTCTGGGCTCAGGCTATCCTTTTGCCTTAGCCTTCCAGGTAGCTGGGACTACAGGCAAGCGCCACCATGCCTGGCTAATTAAAAAAATTTTTTTTATAGAGACAGGGTCTCACTATGTTGTTCAAGCTGGTCTCAAACTCCTGGGCTAAAGGGATCCTCCCGCCCTGACCTACCAAAGTGCTGGGATTATAGGTGTACACACACTTTTCTTAAACTTTCTTCTGATTAGTGATACCTGATCTGCATTAGGGTTCCAACCTGTTTTTTGGAACCATCTTCGACCTTCTTAGGGAAACTAGTAGTCTGTAAGTTTGTGAGGTTCTGGTGGGCATGGGAGTATTAGATATGTAAAAGTTTTCTAAACTCAGAAAACTTTTGGTCTTTTTAGTGGGTTTAGGGATTTTGCCTGGGGCTGGAGTTTAAAAACAACAGCCTGGCTTTCTTTTGAAGGGTGGGGGTAAGTCCTTAATGGAAATTGTGGGGTTGTCTGTCCCATACTACATGGGTGCTCAGTAACAGGGGAGGAGATAGAACTGTGATATCTAAGGCAGGAAGATGTGAGGGAGCCCTGTGATGATCAATTGTGAGAGTAGTGTGAGGTCCTCATCTGAAGAGTCAGAACATTAGGATTCTAGCAGATGAGTTAAAGGCTGAGCTTTCAAGGCAGGAAGTCACGGAGAAAGAGCTGCCCTTTCTTTACCTCTTGTTAGAGAATCCTTCAAGGAAGTTAATTTTGAGTTATTGAGCCATTGGTTGTCTTAGTGTTAGAGTTTAAGAATGTAGACTATTGCTTTGGGGGTTTTACCTCCTTTGGTTCTAAGGCATTGTGGGAGTGTAAGCCCTCGTTGAAATTGCAAGTTCCCCAAAGTGGCCGCGGTAATTTAGAAACTATTCTTGGTATAATTTTGCCATAGTACTTATTAGACATGTATATGAATTTGGACTATAATGAATAACATAAAAGATTCAGGAGTCCTGACAGGATTTGACTCTTTTACTTAACAGACCCCCATAACAAATACCAAAAAGGAGATTTATTTCACTATTTGATAGAAAATGTATACATAGAATACTTAGTCAGTTGAGGCAGACCCAGTAGTCTAGGACCTCCAGCCTTTGAATCTGGTCCAAACGTTTGAGTTTTCTGAGTATTCTCTTAGGACACAGGTGGACTAACAATGGAACATACACAGAATAGACCCACTCTTTTTGTATCACTCAAAGAAGAGACCAAATTTCCTCTCCATGTCTACCCACAAGAAACCAGAAGGCTTCAAACAAACTTGCGAGACAGCAGAACAAACTCATAAAGTCAGCGGAATCACCATCAGAAGGTGATGGAAACCAGGGCTTACTATGTTCTCAGGTGTTGGTGGCTTGTTGGCTTCATCGGATGGCTCAGTCATATGATCTGTGTGGGACTTCCAAACTGTTAAAGTACAAAGACTGTTGGAGACCAAAGATTGTGTACTGAGTGAAAAAACTTTATTGCCAAGCAGGAAGCCTAATCCAGCACAAAGTCTAAGCGCGCTGTCAGGGATGGAGATCCTTTAAAGCCAAAAGATCATGAACTGTCCTTTTCCATATTAGAAAAGCCAAATTTTTGAGTGTTCTTGATTGGTTGGTGGTGATATCTGGGTTTGTTGGATGGTAAGCAGGGAACTGGCTGGAGATGGTCTATAGCATACATGTGGTATGAAATTATAACATCTAACTGCCTCTGTTTTGTATGTGATATACCTGAGTTAGGATTATGTCACCTGCTTACATCTGCATTGGCCGCAGCAGACTAGGTGTCCAGATTAGGGTTTGTCAGAGTTTAGTAGTCATTTGGATATGAGGATGTGGATATTAGGGGAGAGGTCTGCGTGTAGTTCAGTAGCTATATACTTTGAAAAGTGGTCTAATGGAGAAAACTGTCAGCTTGACTGGGTTTTAATCTGTTTCTCAACTCATCTAAAGGTGTTCTAATTATCTAACAATGTTTAGCAAAGTGTCTCAAAACTTAATGGCTTAAGGCCAGATGCAGTGGCTAACGCCTGTAATCCCAGCACTTTGGGAGGCTGAGGTGGGCGGATCACTTGAGGTCAGGAGTTCGAGACCAGCCTGGCCAATAAGACGAAACCCCATCTCTACTAAAAATAACAAAAATTAGCTGGGCGTGGTGGCACATGCCTGTAATCCCAGCTACTCGGGAGGCTGAGGCAGGAGAATCACTTGAACCCGGGAGGTGGAGGTTGCAGTGAGCCAAGATTGTGTCATTGTACTCCAGCCTGGGCAACAGGAGCAAGACTCCATCTCAAAAAAAAAAAAAAAAAAAAGGAAAAAAACTTAGTGGCTTAAAACAACATTTATTTTGTTTGTGAATCTGTAATTTGTACAGGGCTTGGCAGGATCAGCTTGTCCTCACTCAGTATCAGTTGCGGTGGCTTAAAGACTGGAGCCTATCATATTTGTACATCAGCTTTAATCTAGAGGTTTTTGTTTGTTTTTTTTTTTTAGGGGAATACGTGCATGTCCTTCATGTGATAGTTTAATGTTATTCCTAAGTGTTTTTCTGTTAAATCTAGATATAGATTTTGTCTATTTTATAGTTATAATTTCATCAATTTTTTAATGACAAAGTGAGATTGTGTTCAGGTAAGTTTTGTTTTGTTTTGTTTTGTTTTTTTGATGGAATCTTGCTCTGTCGAGCAGGCTGGAGTACAGTGGCACAATCTCGGCTCACTGCAACCTCTGCCTCTTAGGTTCAAGCGATTCCCTTGCCTCAGCCTCCTGAGTATCTGGGACTACAGGTGCCTGCCACCACGCCTGGCTAATTTTTGTATTTTTAGTAGAGATGGGATTTTGCCATGTTGGCCAAGCTGGTCTTGAACTCCTGACCTCAAATGATCCGCCTGCCTCAGCCTCCCAAAGTGCTGGGATTACAAGTGTGAGGCACTGCGCCTGGCCCAGGTAAGTTTTTAAAACAGAATCTTCCTGCTCTATGTTAATTAGTAACTTGAATGAAATAGCCTGTGCTTCTTAAAAAATTCAAGATGAATGTGTAAAATAACTTACAAGTAAAAGTTCCAAGTATATTTGGAAAACATGGCTATATATGACCCTGCATGGACATGTATGACCCTTCATGAATATGTATAATCCTATGTTTTTTGTTTTTTTTTTTTTTTTGAGACCGTGTCTCACTCTGTCACCCAGCCTGGAGTGTAGTGGCATGATCTCGGCTCACCACAACCTCCGCCTCCCAAGTTCAAGTGATCCTCATGCCTCAGCCACCCGAGTAGCTGGGATTACAGGTGCACACCACCATGTCTTGCTCATTTTTTTGTATTTTTAGTAGAGATGGGGTTTCGGTCTCGAACTCCTGACCTCAAGTGATCCGCCTGCCTCGGCTTCCCAAGGTGCTGGGATTATAGGCATAAGCCACCAGGCCCAGCCCCTATGTTGTTCTTTAATGAGGTTCTTAATGTAGAATCATTTGGAAGAGTATGTGGATGAGCTTTTGAGTTTCTGTAAACCCTTTAAAGTGTGTGTATTGTCTAAGTACATAGTTTTTCTTAAATTTTCAAAGGAGCGCTTTACCATCACCATCTCATTCCCCTAAAAGTAGAGAGCCATTATTTAAGGCCGTGGTTTTCAAAGTCTGGTGCTGAGACCAGCAACATTGGCATCACTGGGAATTGAGTCATGGGGCCCCATATAGACCTACTGAATTAGGAACTCTGGAGTTAGGACTCAGCGGTGTATTTTAACAGGCCCTCTAGGAAGAGATAAGATACGTGCTAAAGTTTGAGAACCATGAGGACCATGACTTTAAGGTGATAGAGTAGACATACACCAACCAATACCAGTTCTACATATGTGGGCTCATAATCTACACTATGTTAATTTGCTAGTGTCATAAAACAGAGATCTGTGTTGAATACAAAATTGTATATTAGAAGCATGTTCATGTGTTCTTATCTGCATAGCAATTTTTTGAACACATGTCATTTTTGTTAATATTTAAGATTAGGACTAACATTTGAAAACATTTTAACTTGTAAAATGTTAATGATTTGGGGATTTAACACATTTGCATTTTTGCTTAAGTGTGCTTTTTGGCATATGACAGTGCTTTGGTAAGCACTGCAGATTCCCTTTATCTTCAGACATTTTTGGTTGCAAGTAACAGGAAAGCGACCCATTCAGACTAACTTAAGCAAAAAGAGAAATTATTGGGAGGATATAGTTTTGGCACCCAAAGGGGAAGGTGTGTGGCCTGGCTTTGGAGAGACAGGATCCAGAAACTGGAAAGCCTCAGAAACTGAGATTGTTATTACCAGTGGCCCCCTAGAGTCAGGAGAACCATCTTTCTAAATGCTTATGCTTCCTTCTCTGTAGAGGCACTGGCTGTGAATGCTAGTTTCCCAAGAGAGAGGATCTGACTGGCTCATACTGGATGTGGTAGCTGCTTATTATCCAATTAGCAGTGGCCAGTGGGTCAGGATCACATACTGCAAATGTGGCCACAGATCACTTATCCTCTATGGCTCATACTCTCTATAAATGATATTTTATTGAGGCAATACTATTTTCTTTCCCCCTCCCCTCTCCTTCCCTCCCCTCCCCTGTCTTGCTCTGTTGCCCAGGCTGGAGTGCAGTGGCATGAACACACAGCTCAATGCAGCCTCAACCTCCTGTGTTCAAACGATCCTCCTGCCTCAGCCTCCTGAGTGGCTGGGACTACAGGCATTTGCCACCACACCTTGCTAATTTTAAAAAGTTTTTTGTAGAGATGAGGTCTCACCATGTTGCCCAGGCTGGTCTTGAACTCCTGGGCTCAAGCAGTCCTCCAGCCTCAGCCTCTTGAGTAGCTGGGTCTACAGGCATTTGCCACCAAACCTTGCTAGTTTTTAATTTTTTTAATTTTTTTTTTTTTTTTTTGTAGAGGCCTGGCATGGTGGCGTGCGCCTGTAATCCCAGCTACTTGGGAGGCTGAGGCAGGAGAATGGCTGGAACCTGGGAGGCGGAGGCTGCAGTGAGCCGAGATTACACCAGTCCACTCCAGTTTGGATGACAGAGCAAGACTCCATCTCAAAAAAAAATTTTTTTTTATAGAGATGAGGTTTCACCATGTTGCCCAGGCTGGTCTTGAACTCCTGGGCTCAAGCAGTCCTCCCGCCTCAGCCTCCCAAAGTGGTGGGATTACAGGCATTGGCCACTGTGCCTGACCTAAGGCAGTATAATTTATAGCATTTTGATATCGTATTAAGGTTGAAGGAGGACTCTATTGTAGGATTATCAGACTTGCTTTTTAGTCAGTAGTGTGTCATTTGTTGTAGCTTTATTTTTGCATGCGGTAACTTTCTCTGAAAAACAAGCCATCACAAATTAGTGAATATTGTAATTATATCATAAAGTTGTTTAGTAGAACCACCCCATTATAATTTTAGCTTATTTTGCATATATATGGATAAGCTATGGAGGGAACCATGTCTTCACATTATCAAATATGTATAGACAAGACAACTTACGTTTAACTTAAGCTTTTTCCTGTCTACGTATAGATTTGTCAAGGAATATTGGTAGGGTTTAGATGCTTTTACATACATACTAACTAGGTGTTTTGAGGGCATTATGTCCAACTTGGTATCAGTAGATTTTTGTCAGTAATTTTTCTTCTGCTGCTAATGTTGATAAGGATTTGGCATTATGCCTTTCATTTAAACTCTACATAGCAAGTTAAAAATGGTAATTTCAATGGAACTCGGAAAAGGATGATGTAAATGGCAATACGCCATTATAGAAAGAATCTAGGAAATGTGATGTATATTCCTTTGCACTGGAAATTTTACTGGGGAATACTTAACAAAACTTCTGGCTTGCGATGGAATAAAAGGGAGGAGCAGTGGAAAAAGGAAGCTTTTTGTTTACTGTAAAACAATGCAGTGAATTAGACATAGTGGTGTTAGAACAGGAGTCTAAACATGAGAAATCTAGGCAGATTCCATTGGAATGATGAGTTATGTTATGACTCAATCTGGAGCCACCTTCTGGAGTCTCAGAGGTTCGGTGTTTATAGTAGTTATTGAATGCCTACTGTGCACTTTTTTCTAGACTCTGGGTATACAGTGGAGATCAAAGTTAAGTTCTTGATATCATGGAACTTAATGATCTAGTGAAGGTAGACCTTAGGAGCTGAAGGGTTCATTGGCTCAACTGTTTATATTTGAAAATTTTGGGTCTTTATGGATGTTTAAATTTGGTAATTCCTAGGGTTGCTTGGAGAAATGACTAATTCTGAGGCCAGGGTAGGGAACTTAAATGAGCCTAGAGCATTTTCCATCAGTAAGAAAGAGCTCTTCCTTTCCCCTCAATGATGGAAGTATGTCAAAGGAACACACGAACCAATGGAAAGAGCTCCCAATGGCCAAAGCTGGAAAAATTTGAGCAATAAAATAAAGTAGTATTGGATTATAACCCAAAGTACAAAACAAATGTTTGTGAGTCCATACTGATATAAATGATTAGATAGGGGATAGACAAATCTCCCATGCAGAATAATTCCAAACAATTTATGTAGATATCCCACTCTTAAGGAGGTATAGTATAACTCTCTAGTCCTTATGTGTGGGTTTTGTATAGTGACATCCTTCCAAAGAGTACAGTATAGAAAGGGGGAAAAAGAGGAACTTTACAGTGGAAAAACTTGACAAACACTACTTTAGCTAGGTCAAGGTTAATATCAACAGTGATAAATCATGTTGATAGTATGTACCCTTGATATGATGTTATGAGAATGGTACCTTTACCTTTGTGGTCTTCCTCCCAACAACTCATAAACCCCGTCTAATCATGAGAAGTTAGACAAATCCCAGTTGAGGAGCATTCCACAAAATACCTTACCAATATTTTCCTCAAAACCATCAAGGCCATAAATAACAAGTCTGAGAAACAATAGGAAAGCCAGAGAAACTATTACAGCCACAAGGAGCATTAGGAGACATGACTAAATGTATTACGGTGTTCTACAGTATGTAAAAAGTAAGGAAATCTGAATAAAACACCAATTTTAATTAATGTATAATATTAATGTATAATAATGTATTGGTTCATTAATTGTGACAAATGTCCCATATTAATGTTAGATGTTCATGATAGGATAAGTGAGTGTGGATATGTGGGAACACTGTACTAACTTTGTAACTTTTCTGTAAATCTGAAACTATTCTAAAATAAAAAGTTTATTACATTTATGAATTCCCTATTAACCCAGGAATTATTTCAAAAATATATAGTTGTATAGAAGTATTTTCTTATAAATTATACTGCTTTTTATTTTTATTTTTTTAAATTTATTATTTTTATTTTATTTATCACTTATTTTGGGGACAAGGTCTCACTCTGCCACCCAGGCTGGAGTGCAGTGGTGCGATGATGGCTCACTACAGTGCTTTTTTTTATTATTATTATTATTATTATTATTATTATTATTGCGATGATGGCTCACTACAGTGCTTTTTATTATTATTATTATTATTATTTATTTATTTATTTATTTATTTATTTTGAGAGAGAGTCTTACTCTGTAACCCAGGCTGAGTGTAGTGGCGTGGTCTTGCTCACTGCTACCTCCGCCTCCCGGGTCCCGGTTCAAGCAATTCTCCTGCCTCAGCCTCCTGAGTAGCTGGAATTACAGGCACGTGCCACCATGCCCAGCTAATTTTTGTATTTTTAGTAGAGATGGGGTTTCACCATGTTGGCCAGGCTGGTCTTGAACTCCTGACATTGTGATCCACCCACCTCGGCCTCCCAAAATGCTGGGATTACAGGCATGAACCACCGTGCCTGGCCTATTATTATTTTTTGAGACAGAGTCTCGCTCTGTCACCCAGGCTAGAGTGCAGTGGCATGATCTCGGCTCACAGCAACCTCTGCCCCCTGGATTCAAGCGATTCTCCTGCCTCAGCCTCCTGAGTAGCTGGGACTACAGGCACACGCCACGACGCCTGGCTAATTTTTGTATTTTTAGTAGAGACGGGATTTTGCCATGTCGGCCAGGCTGGTCTCAAACTCCTGACCTCAGGTGATCCACCCACCTCAGCCTCCCAAAGTGCTGGGATTACAGGCGTGAGCCAGCACGCCCAGCCTACAGTGCTTTTTATAGTTGCAGTCTTCTTTCCTATTTGTGCTTGTGGCCTGTGTTTTCAAATGGAGCGTATTTGGAAAGCTAAATACCTTTGCACTTTGTTTTCTTAGTAGATCATCAGGTATTTGAGTGACTACAGTTTTTCAGAGTCTGGAAGAATGCAGAAGATGTGGAAGTTTACCTTTGTTTACAATGTTACAGAAACAAGGCAAATAAAATTTTAGAACATTATGGGACAATATACTTTTCTATTGTGAATGAGAGAGAAGGCTCAGTGAGATCTGTTATTAGATAAGTAGTTGGGCCCTAAGGAATGGGTACGCAGAGTACTTATGAATAGTTAAGGAAGCCATCCTGATTTGAACATAAAGAGTTACTAGGTTAGGGGAAACAAGGAGTGAGCTGCATGTATCCTTTACCTTTTAGTTTGCACATCCTTATAACTCGTCAGTGGTTTTCTGAGGATTTTATTTGATTCAACAAGTATTTGCATATTATGTTTAAGATATTATATAATAAACTGTAGAAGAGGTTTATAGCTTAATGAGACAGAGGTAAGACATCACATGAATAACTTTAACAAGCAAAATGAGAAAGCACTATAATAAAACAAGTAGAATCCAAGTGTTGGAGGTTCACGGGAAGGAAGAGATCAAAATCAGACTGAAAAAGGAGAGTCAGAAAAGGCTTCACAGAAGTTTGATGAATGGATAAGATTTTGAGGGCCAGTGGTTGGGATAATAACATTTAAGGTGGGAAGAACATTATGAATAAAGGCAAAGGCAGAAAAGTCCTGGGCTTATTTGAGGGAAGAGGATGAGCTTGTCAGTCTAGGGGTTAATGAGAGAGAAAACAGGAATCATTGACACTGCTTGAGTGAAGGATTTATAGAAAAATAGGATGGAGCCTGAATTCACAATGCCTAAACTCTTTTCCTAGGTGGCAGTTAGGGGTGAGCCAAAACATTCACTTACAGTTTTTCTGTGGATATTAGATAACTCACAAGCTTTAGGGGTTAAAGAAAACAATCTATGTAGAAGTTTTTTGGCACATTGTAAAATACTCTAGATGTATTATTTAAATGTGAACACTGGAAATGGAGATAAGCAGAGGTATGTGATAACCGGCTATAATCTGGCAAC
Source organism: Homo sapiens (assembly GCF_000001405.40). NCBI lineage: Eukaryota > Metazoa > Chordata > Mammalia > Primates > Hominidae > Homo > Homo sapiens. The sequence continues at coordinate 64,620,156 of NC_000017.11, read as the reverse complement.
TGCTTTAGGTATGTGAGGTGGTCAGGGAGAGGAAGAGAGATAAAGACATTGCTTTCTGGATGACTGGAAACGTGGTGCAGTTCACAGCACTACGGAGGTCAAAAAGAAGAGCAGGTTCACTAGGGAAGCTGATGAATTCCATTTTGAAAAAATATAATTTGAAGTGCTGGTGAGGAATCTAAATGGGTGTATGAGTTCGGAGCTTGGGAAGAGAGTGAGGCTAGAGAAACAGATTGGGACTCAATTAACAGCATTTACTGAAAGCTTGCTAGGTACATAAGCTTTGCTATGAATGGAATGTGTCCCCCAATATTCCTATGTTGAAGCCTAATCCCCAATGTGATGGTATTTGAAGGTGATGCATTTGGGAGGTAATGAGGTCATGAGGGTGGAGCCTTCATGAATAGGATTAGTGCCCCTATAACAGGAGACATGGGAGAGATTATGGGGGCCATGCAAGCATACAGGGAGAAGGTGGGAGTATGCAAACCAGGAAGACGGCCCTCACCAGACATTGACTCTGCTGGCACCTTGATCTTGGACTTCTCAGCCTCCATTGATTTGTGAAAAACAAATGTTTGCTGTTTAAGCCACCTAATCTATGGTATTTGTTTTGGCTAAGGCAAACGTCTTGCCAAATTATATTCTTCTTCTTTTTTTTTTTTTTTTTTTTTTTTTGAGACAAGAGTCTCGCCGTGTCACCCAGGCGGGAGTGCAGTGGTATGATCTCGGCTCACGGGAGGCTCTGCCTCCCGGGTTCAGGCGATTCTCCTGCCTCAGCCTCCAGAGTAGCTGGGACTACAGGCACATGCCACCATGCCTGGCAAATTTTTTGTATTTTTAGTAGAGACGGGGTTTCACCATGTTAGCCAGGCTGGTCTCGATCTCCTGATCTCATGATCTGCCCGCCTCGGCCTCCCAAAGTGTTAGTATTACAGGCATGAGCCACCGTGCCCGGCCATGTTCTTTTTTAATGTGTTTGCAACCTCGTAGGTTAATTTTATGAGAAATTTTAGAGTTGAGTAATAATAATAGCCAGTGTTTATTGAGCACTTGCTGTGTACCAGGTACTGGTCTCATGTTCTCTGTGTTTCAATTTGTTTAATCTTTAAAACAACACCATGAGGTGGCTCTTAGTATCCTTCTGTCCTCATGTTTACAGATGAGCTATCTGAAGCAAAGAGAAGTTAAGTAGTTTTTAGGGTCACAAGTTCATAAGGGATAGCACCAGGTTCAAACCCATGCATTCTGACCCTAATTATTTAACTCTTTTATAGTGCTTATAGCTTAACACACTATATTACACTGCCTCTATAAGTGTCTCTAGAAAAAGAAGGTAAAGGAAGGAAACTTGGGAGTGGCCAAAAAGTGATGCAAGTCTTTTTCTACATATAAAATAATGTTTAGGCTTCATTGCAAGTATATACTTGAACTTTACAATAAGGTTTCCTTCTCTCGGCATCCTTATGAAGAAAGTAAATTGTGTGGTTTAATTTAAATATACAATATTCATCTCTTGAACAGCCATCAGTTATGAGTGGGTCTGTTTGAATGAAGGAGTCCAGTAGAGAAGGTGGTGGTTGAGTCTCCAGCAGCAGCAGACAGGATAATGTTTGGTCTGCACACAGCATAGGTCTTTAAGTCATGGTGAATTTTTGAATGGAGAACGGTACTTTTGTGTATTTTCATCCTCATATAGGAATAAAGAATTCACAGAAATACTGGTTTAAGATATATAACAAATCCTTTCAGATGGTTTCTCAAAATAATAGCTTTCGTAGAGTGCCTGCTATGTACCAGATACCTAGACCAAGTGTTTTACATTTATCTCATACTGAATGTGCTGCTTGGCTTTAGCTGAGCTTTTACTTTATTTATTTATTTATTTTAGAGGCGGAGTCTCACTATATTGCCCAGGCTGGTCTCTAACTCTTGGGCTCAAGTGATTCTCTCACCTCAGCCTTCCAAAGTGCTAGGATTATAGGCGTAAGCCACCGCACCCAGCCCTTTTTTATTTTTAACATGTGAACTTACACCAGAAGTTGATTATTATGCTTGTTAAGATAAGCTTTACTTTAAAATTACCTCTGATCACGATAAGTAAAAAAAATTATAATTGTGACTAGAATAAAATCTATAATTCTGACTAGATTTCTTTAAAATCTGCATTTATTATGTCAAAGTAGATCTATTATTGATAAACTTGCACTCAGTGTTTAGAAAGCTTATTTGTATAGTCTCATCTTGTTTTATTAATGTAAAAAGTACGCATGTTTGTGAGAACTTTACCAAAATCTTCATCTTTGTTGAAAAAAAATTTTTAAGTAGTTACTTAAAAGTTGTTTGATATGAGTGGACTAGAAAGGTCATTTTAAATTTGTTAACTGAGGCTGGGCGCAGTGGCTCATGCCTGTAATTCTAACAGTCTGGGAGACTGAGGTAGGAGGATTGCTTGAGCCTGGGCAACATGGCAAGACCCCATCTCTGCAAAAAAATTTTAGACATTAGCAAGGCATGGTGGTGTGCGCCTGTAGTCCCAGGTACTCAGAGGTTGAGATGGGAGGATCTCTTGAGCCCAGAAAATTTAACTGGAGTCTGCAGTGAGTCGTGTTTGCGCCACTCCATTCCAGCCTAAGTGACAGAGTGAGATCATCTCAAAAAAATAAAAATATAATAAATTTTCTGAGAACCAATTTTGCCTTGTTGAAATGTTTAAATGCTGATACTGTTCTTAGGATAATTACCTCAGAACCTGTATCTTTTAATACATCATCAAACATACTAATTAGATTAACTACTTGCCAGGTACTGAATATATTAAGTTAAACTTAAGGGCCTAGTTTGTTTTGCAGCATGAATGAAATGAATTGCCTAAAATTCCTTCATTAAATGACAAGATATTTACTTAAAAGCAGGGCTAATATGATTGTTGAGGTAAATTACTATATCTGTTGAAAGAGGAGAATTCTGAATCTTTTGCAGAGCACCCTTCTGTAACCTAGTTTTCAATTAACCGTTTTGTGAACCTGTGTCACCAATAATTGCTTTAACTGGACTAAGATTTTTTTTTTTTTTTTTTTTTTTTTTTTTTAGACAAGGTCTCATTCTGTTGCCCAGGCTAGAGTGCAGTGGTGTGAACATGGCTTACTGCAGGCTCAGGTGATTCTTCCACCTTAGCCTCCTGAGTAGCTGGGACTACAGGCACACACCACCATGCCGGGCTATTTTTTTTTCTTTTTTTGTATATTTTTGTAGAGATGGGGTTTTGCCCTGTTGCCCAGACTGGTCTCGAACTCCTAGGCTCAAACCATCAGCCCGCCTAGACGTCTCAAACTGTTGGGATTACAGGCATGAGCCACTGTGCCAGCCTAGAGTAAGATTCTTTAAAAGGAAGTACTAGCCTGAGAGAGTATGTTTCACTCTATATGGTAGTTGAGTTTGGGTTCTAGAATTAATCTACTTGAGTTGGAATCTCAGCTCTAGTTCTTTTTTTTTTTTTTTTGAGACAGAGTCTCGCACTGTCGTCTGGGCTGGAGTACAGTGGCGCGATCTCAGCTCACTGTAACCTCCGCCTCCTGGGTTCAAGTGGATTTTTCTGCCTTAGCCTCCTGAGTAGCAGAGACTGTATACAGGCACCTGCCACCACACATGGCTGATTTTTTGTATTTTTAGAAGAGACAGGGTTTCACTATGTTGGCCAGGCTGGTCTCAAACTCCTGACCTCATGATCCGCCCACCTCAGCCTCCCAAAGTGCTGGGATTGCAGGCAGAGCCACCGTGCCCAGCCAACTCTAGCTCTTAAAAGCAAAATCACTGGTAAGTCTCTATGCCTGAATCTCAGTTTCCTCATCTCTAAAATGACGGTAGTACTACTACTTATTTCACAGGGTGGTTGGTGTACACTTGCACATAGTAAATATTTGATAAATGTTATCCAATATGTTTATATTCTTTACTAAAAATATATTTTATTAAATGTACTACATGTAAAAGGACTTTTAATAGCATATTAAGAAAATATTTTCTAAGCCGGGTGTGGTGGCTGACGCCTGTAATCCCAGCACTTTGGGAGGTCGAGGCAGGTGGATCACTTGAGGTCAGGAATTTGAGACCAGCCTGGCCAACATGGGGAAACCCTGTCTCTACTAAAAATACAGCAATTAGCCGAGTGTGGTGGCGCATGCCTGTAATCCCAGCTACTCGAGAGGCTGAGGCATGAGAATCACTTGAACCTGGGAGGCAGAGATTGCAGTGAGCTGAGATCGCGCCATTGCACTCCAGCCTGGGCAACAGAGCGAGACTGTCAAAAAAAAAAGGAAATTATTTTCTTATCCATCAATAAATAAATACATTTACATAATCTTTAATGGCTGTGTAATATTTCAACTTGCTGTTTGCTATCATTTACTTAACTGATCATTTTTATGCATATAGAATTATATGTGATATATTTGCTTATTTTAACATTTTGTAATAACACCTTGAATGTGAATCTGTGTAATACTCTTGTTTCAAGCAACAATAACTAAAACACATAAAAAATTGTGTAGAAGTTTTCTGTAGCATTTAAATTTCATTTTCATTTCATGTTTAGGGGTTGAGATAGAGGCTGTTTCTCAGAGCAGAAAGATGTAAATTGCTGTCATGTGCCACTGGTCAGGAATGGTGTACATCAGTTGATACTTCTGAAGCACTGGGCCACCTGCTGGAATTTGTATAGGAATGTTATCCTGAATTTCGGTTTTATTTTACAATGATAACATAAGTTTAAAGCACATGCAGAGAAATCTGTGTTCAAAAGCATTTATGCTACTTTTGAGTTGCAGGGACAGTATTATAAAATCTTTTTGTGGGGTGAAGGAAGATGGGATGTCTGAGTATTTTTTTTTTCTCTCAAGCAGTCTCATTCCAATCAGCAGTGTAATTGGAATGCAACTCCAATCTGGAGGAGGAAGGGGAATTTTTGGCAAGGATATACTAAGTAGTTGGGAGCTTTATTCACATTAAGCGTAGATAGCCATTCATTATGAAAACAACTCAGTAAGAACAAGCATAGCATTCTCTTTCTACAGCTGCGATTTACTCTGATACTATTACCTGGTTTGTTGCATATAGATAACTCCTTTCCTACCAGAAAAATAAATTATTGACCTAAATGAAAATGGTAGTATTTACTGCCATCTGTACTTCTGCAAATGGTTTTCTCTAATCGCTGCCTCAAATGAAGTATAAGATTTCCATAAAGTTTAAAACCGTATCTTGAGAAAACAACAATAAAAGGCATTTATGACATGGTATTTGAATTATACCTGACCTGTGAGCTCTGAGAGCAAAGGACTATGTCTTATTTTTCTTTGTATCTGCAGAAACTGTCATAGCACTTGGCACAAAGTGAGTGTTCAGGAAATGTTGAATGAGAGAGTGAATGATGTAGGAGTATTCCTTTCTCCCTAAGTATCTCAAGATGATCACACCTGCATCTGTGTGAAATGCAGAGGCTTTATCCAATATGGCTGATGTCAGTTCATTTTGATCATCTCTGCTAATCATTTCAAACCATCTGTCTGAAAAAGGAGTGAGTACAATAGCTAGAACAAGCTAGGTTCTGGGAGTGTAGACTTAAGAATGAAATGCTTTGAAGGAATTTGAGAAGGGTAGTAACATGATGAAGTAGTATAAGCAGACTTAATCTAGTACAAATATATGGGCTGTTTGAGACATTGTCCCTGGTGGATTCTGCAGCATGGTACTGTGGTGGTGTAATGCTACATTTGTAGTTAGCACTAATAAAAATTGACTTGTGCCTACTAAATATCTGTAGTCCAGTATAATGTTTTGCTTTAACACAAAAATTGGTGAAAATTAATTGAATTAATTCAGATACTTCAGATTTTTGTGCCTTTCTGTATATATAATTTCAATTCCATATATATAAGCTTACTAAACATTAAAGATATTGAAATACTGATTGCTGTCTAGGCCAGGGGTCCTCAACCCTGGGCCATGGGCTGCACAGCAGGAGATGAGCCAGTGAAGCATCATCTGTATTTACAACCACTTCCCATCGTGTATTACCACCTGAGCTCAGCCTCCTCTCAGATCAGCAGCGGCAATAGATTCTCATAGGAGTGTTAACCCTACTGTGAACTGCGCATGCGAGGGATCTAGGTTGCCCCTCCTTATAAGAATCTAATGCCTGATGATCTGTCACTGTCTTTCTTCACTCCCAGATGGGACTGTCTAGTTGCAGGAAAACAAGCTCAGGGCTCCCACTGATTCTACATTATGGTGAGTTGTATAATTATTCTATTATATATTACAATGTAATAATAATAGAAATAAGTGCACAATAAATGTAATGAGATTGAATCATTCCCAAAACCCCCTTGCCTGCTCCCCTCTGCCCCCCCTCCACACACACACACACACACACACACACACACACACACACACACACACACACACACACACACACACACACACTGGTCCGTGGAAAACTTGTCTTCCATGAAGCCAATCCCTGGTGCCAAAAAGGTTGGGGACTGCGGTCTAGGAAAAAGTCTGTACCCCATAGCCTTTGTTCTGGCCTCGCCCACCTAACAAGATTTCTCTCCTGTTACTCCCTTACTGCCCAGCATTTCTCAACATTTTTACCTATTTTCTTTAAGAAACATTTAGAAAGCAGAAATGAAACTTCTCCCACACTGCCACCCCTCCCTAGTCCCATGATTCCTAATCTTAGTTCTACTTTCCATAGTTTCTATTACAAAAGATGATAGATTAATTTTCTCCTAATATAAAATTATAATATTGTATATACATTCTCCAGGGGATTCTGATACATACCTCCTTAGTTGAGAATTTGCTGTGGTGACATAATCAGGAGTTTGTCATATTGAAATTCATGGATTCTTTGAGCATTTACCAATCTTCTGTGATTAGAACAGAGAATGAAAAGAGCAATGGGCTGTGGTTCTAGTCCCCAAGGTACATTCCCAAGAAAAAAGAACAGTGCAGTAAAGGCTCCAGGATGTGAAAACAATTTATTTTTACAGATAAATAACATTACCAGTTCTCAGGTCATGTTTTGACAATCTTCCTTTTAAAAGTTACAAATCAGAGTTTTTGCTTCCAGGGCAGAAAGTAATTTAGTAAAGCTGGCTGGAACTGCTTAGATCCAGCATGAAGCATAGCGGTCTGACCAATCTTGATATTATTTCTTTGTTTTAAGTTAATCTTGTTTCTTCTAGAACACTAATGTTATTTTCCTTAATCTCTTGATTACTAAAATGTAATTTCTCCTCATAAGCTTTGAACTTGATTTTAAAGTTCTTTGTTCTTTTGATTTTTCAATTGTTCTTTGAAACTGAATGTTAAACATTCTGTGATTTTTTTTTAAGAATTGGTTAAACACGACCGGATAAGTATGTTTTAAGTAAAGAGAAATGATAAAAATAAGATTTTTTTGAGGGGTGGAGGGAGGGGGACAGTGTCTCACTCTGTTGCTCAGGCTGGAGTGCAGTGGTGTGATCTCAGCTAACTGCAACCTCTGCCTTCCAGGCTCAAGTGATTCTCATGCCTCAGCCTCCTGAGTAGCTGAGACTACATGTGTGTGCCACCACACCTGGCTAATTTTTTTTTTTTTTTGTATTTTTAGTAGAGATGGGGTTTTGCCATGTTGCCCAGGTCTCAAACTCCTGGCCTCAAGTGATCTGCCCGCCTTGGCCTCCCAAAGTGCTGGAATTACAGACATGAGCCACAGTACCTGGCCTAAAATAAGATTTCTTAAATCAAAATTATGATTATGTGAGGATTGGCCATTGTTATATAGTATAAAAAGTTATTTAGATTATTTTAGGGTCTATTTCATTCATTCAACAGATATTTATTGAGTACCTATCAAGTGCCAGGCGTAATGTGTGCTTGGTGCAGGAAGAGATGAGGCAGGCATGATTCGTGCTGTATGGAGTTTACCACCTCCGCAATTATAAGCAACATTCCAAACTTAAACGAGAACAGTAAAATGTGATAAGTGTTTATAAAAGTATGAGCTTCTGTGAAAATACAAGCGGGGAAAGCTTGAGAGAAACATGTTCTAAAAGGCATCCTTCCCTTTTGAGACCAGGAGATGAGTAGGTGAAGAAGCCTAGGAAGAATGTTTCAGGCAGAGAGAATGGCACGTGAAGGCTGTGGGTGAGAGAGATACATTTGAGAAAGTGAAGGTTAGTGTGGCTGGATCTTAGACTTGAGGGCCTGGAAGGGAGCTGTGGTGATGAAAAATGAGGTCAGAGAGGTGAGCAGGAGCCAGGGCTTGAAGGGCATTGAAGCCAATATAAGTTTGGGCCAGAAGACCTTTGGAATGTTTTAAGGATCTTAGAAGGGGAAATGGATGGAAAGACTTAATTAGATTTTTAGCTCACTTCAGGTCCAGCGTGGAGAACTGGAAAGAAGTGAGGCTTTGAGGCAGGGGAATGTTGTAATTACCTAGACAGTAGATGGTGGACTAAGGTGTTGGCATCGGTAATAGAGAGAAGTAGACAGATGAAGGATATTTCCGAGGTAGAATTGCTGAGAATTGTAATTGTCAGGATGTCAGGAGGGAATACAGTGAAGGTTGCTATGGAGATTTCTGACTTGGGTAGTGGAGTGGAAAGGAAGGCTATTTATTGAAAAGAAAGTCAACTGGAGGGAGGAGCAGGTTTGCGGGGAAGACGTGATTTTTGGGGGGAACGCATATTTGGTTTGTGGACCTGGAGTTCAGGAGAAAACTAAGGATCGGGTTTTATGAATTTAGGTATCATCATAACCATAGAGTAAATGGTAAAGACCAGAGAGAATATATGGAAAAGTGGCTCTTCGGATTTTATTTTTTGAGAGAGAGGAAGAGTTCTGTCAATCTATTAAGCTATGAACTCTCTCCCAGGAAAAATGTGGATTCTCTCCCCAGAAAATAAACATATATGTAACAGTTTACGTATAATTGCAAGATTTACAAAAATGGACACTGTGATCCTCAGGTTACAGAGTGAAATAAGAGAACCTAGGGCAAAACCCTGAAGAACTTCAAGTTTTATAGCACAGCAAGATCTGGCAAAGAGAACTTAGAATGAGTTTTATGCCGTGTAGAACCAGGTGAATGTGGTGTTAAACAGAACTGGAAGAGAGGGTTTCTAGAAGAGGGAGTAGTCAGCAGTGGCAAATGCCCATGAGGGGGTCAAGTGCCATAAAGAATGAAAAATGTCCATTGTATGGACTTGGTAATTAGGTCTCCAGGGCTTTGTAGCAGCAGTTCAGAGGCAATGGTGAGGGAGGAAGCCAGATTGCAGTGGATCAGGGCATTAGTGGGAGGTAAAGAAGTAGAGTCAAAAAGTGTAGGCAGTTCTTTTTAAAAATGTTTTAAAATTATACTTTAAGTTCTGGGGTACATGTGCAGAACGTGCAGTTTTGTTACATAGGTATACATGTACCATGGTGGTTTGTTGCACCCATCAACCCATCATCTACATTAGGTATTTCTCCTAATGCTATCCCTCCCTAACCCCCAACCCGCCAACAGGCCCCAGTGTGTGATGTTCCCCTCCATGTGTCCATGTGTTCTCATTGTTCAACTCCCACTTATAAGTGAGAACATGTGGTGTTTGGTTTTCTGTTCTTGTGTTAGTTTGCTGAGAATGATGCTTTCCGGCCTCATCCATGTCCCTGCAAAGGACATGAACTCATCCTTTTTTATGGCTGCATAGTATTCCATGGTGTATATGTGCCACATTTTCTTTATCCAGTCTATCATTGATGGGCATTTGGGTTGGTTCCAAGTCTTTGCTATTGTGGATAGTGCCACAATAAACATACATGTGCATATGTCTTTATAGTAGAATGATTTATAATCCTTTGGGTATATACCCAGTAATGGAATTGCTGGGTCAAATGGTATTTCTGGTTCTAGATCCTTGAGGAATTGCCACACTGTCTTTCACAATGGTTGAACTAATTTACATGCCCACCAACAGTGTAAAAGCATTCCTATTTCTCCACATCCTCTCCAGCATCTGTTGTTTTCTGACTTTTTAATGATTGCCATTCTAACTGGTGTGAGATGGTATCTCATTGTGGTTTTGATTTGCATTTCTCTAATGACCAGTGATGATGAGCTTTTTTTCATATGTTTGTTGGCTGCATAAATGTCTTCTTTTGAGAAGTGTCTGTTCATAATCCTTTGCCCACTTTTTGATGGGGTTTTTTTTTTTGTAAATTTAAATTCTTTGTAGATTTGGAATATTAGCCCTTTGTCAGATGGATAGATTGCAAATTTTTTCTCCCATTCTGTAGGGTGCCTGTTCACTCTGATGAGTTTCTTTTGTGTGCAGAAGCTCTTTAGTTAGATCCCATTTGTCTATTTTGGCTTTTGTTGCCATTGCGTTTGGTGTTTTAGTCATGAAGTCTTTGTGCGTGCCTGTGTCCTGAATGGTATTGCCTAGGTTTTCTTCTAGGGTTTTTATGGTTTTAAGTCTTACGTTTAAGTCTTTAATGTATCTCGAGTTAATTTTTGTATAAGGTGTAAGGAAGGAGTCCAGTTTCAGTTTTCTGCATATGGCTAGTCAGTTTTCCCAACACCATTTATTACATAGGGAATCCTTTCCCCCATTGCTTGTTTTTGTCAGGTTTGTCAAAGATCAGATGGTTGTAGATGTGTGGTGTTATTTCTGAGGCCTCTGTTCTGTTACATTGGTCTATATATTTGTTTTGGTACCAGTACCGTGCTGTTTTTGTTACTGTAACCTTGTAGTATAGTTTGAAGTCAGGTAGTGTGATGCCTCCAGCTTTGTTCTTTTTGCTTAGGATTGTCTTGGCTATGTGGGCTCTTTTTTGGTTCCATATGAAATTTAAAGTAGTTTTTTTCAATTCTGTGAAGAGAGTCAATGGTAGCTTGATGGGGATAGCATTGAATCTATAAATTACTTTGGGCAGTATGGCCATTTTCACAATATTGATTCTTCCTATCCATGAACATGGAATGTTTTTCCATTTATTTGTGTCCTCTCTTATTTCGTTGAGCAGTGGTTTGTAGTTCTCTTTGAAGAGGTCCTTCACATCCCTTGTAAGTTGTATTCCTAGGTATTTTATTGTCTTTATAGCAATTGGCTCTGTTTGTCTGTTATTGGTGTATAGGAATGCTTGTGATTTTTGCACATTTATTTTCTTTGAAGAAGTTTCATTATGAGAGGGAAGAGGTAGATGATGGCTGGCTGAAGGGAGGCTTGGGTAAGACTTGAGTATGTTTAAATGTTGACAAGGTGATTAGAAAAGGGGACAAGATAGAGGATATGTATAACAGCTGTGAAGATCCCCGAGAACATGGTGGTTTAGATATGAGATAGAGGATAGTCTTAGAGAGGACAGTAGACATTGTCAGTGGAAGGAAGGGAAAAAGAATGAATATGTAGGTTTGGTGGCAGTGAGTTGGAGGAGATCTCATGTTTTCTCTTTCTCTGAAGTCGGATGTGAAATCATTTCACTTCATGAATCATAGGATAGTGGTTTGTTTAAAAAAATCATCATTACCTCATTAAAACTGAAGATTGTAATTTAGATTTTTGTGTGTGTTACATGTGTATTGATCCTGAGTATTCTGTTCAATTTATATTATGACAAAAGTTTGGGGAGGAGTTCTCTAAATCTAGTTTGTGATTTCTTATTCTTAGTTATGGCCCTAGTTTTCATGATTGATTGAGTTTTTATGTTTTTAAAAACAAAACTCTAAGACATGGCCTAAGGGACTCTGCCTAGTATACCAGTATCTTGTGCTTACTTAATAATTTTATTTATTTAGTGATGACATCTGTTTTCAAAAGGTTTTTTTATGTGAACCCTTAGAGTGATTAGTTATATTTATTTAGATTCATTCCCAAGTTTATGTCAAATGAGCTTTTATACACTAAACTTCCAATAACTGTAATTCATTTAAACTGTTAGTAGAAGTGGATAGAAATACCAAACATTACATTCATAGGTATTTTATGAACTAAAATTTACATATATGAAAATTGATGTTTTTCTTTCTCTTGTATCAAGTTTGAGTTAAAGAAGTTTTAAGTTTATGACTCTATAAGCAGATTTATTTATTTATTTATTTATTTATTTATTTATTTATTTATTTATTTATGACAGAGTCTTGCTCTGTCGCCCAGGCTGGAGTTCAGTGGTTGCAATCTTGGCTCACTAGTACAGTGGTGCAATCTTGGCTCATTGCAGCCTCCACCTCCCAGGTTCAAGTGATTCTCGCACCTCAGCCTCCTGAGTAGCTGGGATTACAGGTGTGCGCCACTACACCCAGCTAATTTTTGTATTTTTACTAGAGACACAGTTTCATCATGTTAGCCAGGCTGGTCTCAAACTCCTGACCTCAAGCGATCCAGCCACCTTGGCCTCCCAAAGTACTGGGATTACAGACATGAGCCACTGTGCCCAGCCTGTAAGCAGTAATTTTAAAATTGATATGTAACTCATATACTATAAAATCCTTTTTTTTTTTTTTTGAGACAGTCTTGCTCTGTAGCCCAGGCTGGAGTGCAGTGGCGCAATCTTGGCTCACTGCAACCTCCCTCTCCCGGGTTCAAGCGATTCTTCTGCCTCAGTCTACTGAGTAGCTGGGACTACAGGCGCACGCCACCACGCCCAGCTAATTTTTGTATTTTTAGTAGAGACGGGGTGTCACCATATTGGCCAGGCTGGTCTCGAACTCCTGACATTGTGATCCGCCCGCCTCGGCCTCCCAAAGTGCTGGGATTACGGGTGTGAGCCACTGCGCCCGGCCAAAATTTATCCTCTTTAAAGTGGGCAATTCAATATTTTTTAGTGTGTTCACAAGGTTGAGCATCCATCCGTGTAAGTAATTTAATGCATATTAACTTGGAAAATGTGGATTTGGGATATCTAGTTTTAATATATTAACTTTAAATTCTTAAAAGATATAGTAGACATATCTTGTCATTTAACTGATGATTTAGGAGAAGGTAATTTGATTTCTCCCATGAAGTTTCTGTGGCATTTAGATGGAGAACAGAATGTTATTTAAAAAAAAAAAAAAAGAAAAAAAACTCATCTATATCAGGAAAGCTTTATCTTTATTTGTGATCCTCTTCAGTATAAAATTATTTCATCCTTAAAATAGATATAACAACCTGACTTTACATATCTCCTTTGAACTATTTTTCCTATTGCCACTGAGTTTCTCAGAGAGTAGATCTTGATGGAAGATAGGAATTGAATTTCTACCTTATTATTAGAATATCAGATTTATAAACTTTCTTGCCCTCAGCTATTACTGGTGATCATTGAAAGTTGCAACCACTGGTTCAACTGTCTTTTATTTGCTAGTTCGAAAGTTTGTGGTCATGTTTCATACCTTGCTATAGTTAGGGTTTAACTATTCACTGCTGTTTTCCGTGTTTTAAAATGTAACAGTACACTCTTAACATTTTAATTTTTCCCATGTATTTTTTGTTTTTTTTTTTTACAGTACTCTGTGCAAAAAACCTGGTGAAAAAGGATTTTTTCCGTAAGTAAATTAACTTTAAATCTTGTGTATTGTATGTAGATCTTTGGGAACAGCGTTTTCAGAATTCTCTGGTTTAGGGGTTTCTCTATTCAGAAGTATTGTCAGTGTTATTTTATTATGAATGCTTCGGTTCAGAGCCATTTGGCATCACATTTTTTTTTTAGAAGGTTTTGTGCTTTTTAGGCTTAGCCCTTTCCTTTTATTCACCTCTCCCACGTATTTATGAGAATGAGTGTGTATGCAGGTGTGTAAATGCAGATGTGTGTAATGTATATTGAAGGTGTGCATACTACTAGAGTTCTAGAAAAGGTTTAAGAGATTATTTTGTGAACACTTTCTTCCTTTTGAAAATTTCATGGGAAACTTTACTCATTCAAGATTCATTGGAAGGTAGAAAAGTCATTGAGCCTGCTTGGAATTTCCAGAGTGTGGGAAAGAAATCTCTGCCACATTTGATCCTAGATGCTCTTACCTCTCAGATTCCAAAGCAGATGTTTGGTTCCCATATATGCCTTATATTTACCAATCTGTTGTAATTTTTTTTTCTGGCTTTATTTAGTACTAAGTTTTATGAGAGGGGATTGGGAAGTACCCAGCATGTATATTACAATCTTTATTCTGTTGTAGCTTTAAGTTATTGGTTAAAAATGATATAATTTTTAGTGAAAAAAAAAAACTTCAGCCAACAAAATTTTTTATGTAAAACATTTGAAATTAGAATAGAGATGATTCATTAAATTTTTAAATTCAAGTCACGGGCTATGTGTGCTGTTTGATTTCATGTGATAGTAGATGATTTTCAGGGGCTTGATTAAAAGAAATAAGATATATATATATATATATATATATATATATATTCTTTTTAGAGACAGGATCTTGCCCTGTCACCCAGGCTATAGTAGAGTGGCACAGTCATAGCTCACTGCAGCCTCAAACTCCTGGGCTCAAGGGATCCTCCTATCTCACCCTCCTGAGTGGGTGGACTGCAGACACACTTCACCACGTCCAGCTAATTTATTTATTTATTTATTTACTATTCTTTGTAGAGGCAGGATCTTGCTATGTTGCCCAGGCTGGTCTCAAACTCCTGGTCTCAAGTGATCCTCCTACCTCAGCCTCCCAAAGTGCTGGGATTACAGGTGTGAGCCACTGTGCCCGGCCAATATAATTTAAAATTATACTTAATTCATTCCACTTGAAATTTTATTATTTTGAGTTTTTGTAGAGCAGAACCTGAATTAAAGTTTATAAAATAACATCTTATAAAACTATATAGTTATAAATGTTTATGGTTATCTTTCTGCTTATATGAGAAAGCAAATAGGATAATTTGGAACATAGGACGCAAATTATAAGCAGTTTAAATTTATGTACCATGTGCCTTCTCGCCAGAAGCTTGTCACAGTGGAAGGTCCCAATGGCCACAGAACTTCCCATCTCTCCCTGTTGCCTCCAATCACTGTTATCTGTCTCAGGCTGCTGCTCACTTCCTACCTCATCCCTGTTGCTACTAACTGAGGTGTACTTTTTTTTTTTTAACCTTTGATAAGGTTGATCTAAGGTAGGATTTATACTAGTGGGCTTGCAAAGTGGCAAATAGGGTTGGACAAGGAGAAAAGGGAGGGAAGTAAGGGGAGCACTTTTCCTTTTTTTTTTTTTAGACGGAGTCTCACTCTGTTGCCCAGGCTGGAGTGCAGTGGTGTGATCTCGGCTCACTGCAAACTCCACCTCTCGGGTTCAAGCGATTCTCCTGCCTCAGCCTCCTGAGTAGCTGGGATTACAGGTGCACGCCAACACGCCTGCCTAATTTTTGTATTTTTAGTAGAGACGGAGTTTCACCATGTTGGTCAGGCTGGTCTCGAATGCCTGACCTCGTGATCCTCCTGCCTTGGCCTCCCACAGTGCTGGGATTATAGACATGAACCATCGCGCCCGGCTGAGAGGAGCACTCTTACAGCTGCTTCTGCACTCTCCAAGACATCTGCTCTGGTTTTGAAGATAAAATCTTCAGTTTTGTCTCCCAGCTTTCCTTTTCAAATTTCCTTCCTCTCGAGTCCCAAGACACAGCTTCTCTAATAAAATATCCAGATATTCTTACCTCATTTTTCCTAGGATATCTAGAGGAATCATATATTAATGTTTTATAAACCTTTGAGAGCTGATTGTTAACCCTTATATGATCTTTGTCCTTAAATTGTAAGTGAAAGAAAGAAGGAAATCTTTTCCCTTTTTCATGGGTGTAGGCAGTAAAAATTGATAAAAATTCTAAGAGTGTGAACTTGCTTTAGGGATAAGATTAGGGGAAACAGTGTGATTATCTTTAAAACTTAGAATGGGAGACTCTTGATGGCCTGGAAAGAGAAACAGGAATGGTAATCCTTAGGGCTTCAGAGGGGAGTTAGCCAGGAATGGAAGTTACCTCCCAGGTTCACACTGGCCAAGGTCGCAGGTCCATTCTGTGGTAGATTTACATGTATACTTATACAGATTTTTGACCTGTTAAGGGTTGCCCACATTAATTTCAGAGACAGTAATTCCTAAA
Source organism: Homo sapiens (assembly GCF_000001405.40). NCBI lineage: Eukaryota > Metazoa > Chordata > Mammalia > Primates > Hominidae > Homo > Homo sapiens. The sequence goes on along the minus strand of NC_000017.11, from coordinate 64,604,059 downwards.
TTCTTCAATTAAATATAAATGAATGTGTGTTTATTGATCAGTGCAGTTATTAATAGTAAAATATAGTTAAGTTTTTGCTTGCGATTCAGTTAAAATTGTATTGAATGAGAAAAGCAAATTTTAATACAAAGTACGACTATAGGGTGATGAAATAGATATATATTTTTCATCGCAGGAAAAAATACACTGCCATGTGTTGTCTTTTGAAGAGTAATTTGTATGTGAGGTAATACTGTTTATTGGGCGCTATCCTTGTTGAGAAAAGTTTTTTTAACTCATGTTTTTGAACTGTTTTCAAGCTTATTGGCTTTTAAAAATAAGTCACTTCCCCTTTCCCCCAGAATTTTAGCAGGAAAAATTTCAAACATAAAGCAACAGATAAAATAATTTTATAGTAAAGACCCACCATCTAGATTCTACCATTAACTTTATCACATATTTACCCATTTATTCATTATGTTTTTTTTTTTTTTTTTCCCCCGACGGAGTCTTGCTCTGTCCCCCGGCTAGAGTGCAGTGGCGTGATCTCGGCTCACTGCAACCTCTGCCTCCCGTGTTCAAGCAATTCTCCTGCCTCAGCCTCCCGAGTAGCTGGGATTACAGGCATGTGCCACCACACCCAGCTAATTTTTGTATTTTTAGTAGAGACGGGGTTTCACCATGTTGGCCAGGCTGGTCTCGAACTCCTGACCTCATGTGATCCGCCTGCCTCGGCCTCTCAAAGTGCTAGGATTACAGGCATGAGCCACTGTGCCCTGCCTTCATTATCTGTTTTATGTGTATTTTTTATATGAAAAGGAATGTTTTCATTTAGATTTGTTCTTCTGCAACATTTTAAAAAAGATTTCTGTGTAAGGTAATAAGGTGTTTTATAGGGGGCCAAATTGAAGTCATTTAAAACCAAGATGGGTTGGCTAAATGTTGTGTATGTTTTTTTTTTTTCTTGGCCCAATTGAAAATGAAGCTGTTTTCTTTGGAAGGTAGCACACTTTTGAGTTGAAAATGTTATTTTATTATTATTTGCAGCTTTTCAAGTGCATTTGTGTAGTAAGGAGGTTTTTGAGCTTTAGCTATTTTACATGTCTCAGAAATGATGGGGGAGAATTGAGACAAAAAAAAATTTTTTTTTTCCCTTGAGACAAAGTCTGTCTCTGACACCCGGGCTGGAGTGCAGTGGCGCGATCTCGACTCACTGCAACCTCCGCCTCCCAGGTTCAAGCAATTCTGCTTCTGCCTCCTGAGTAGCTGGGACTACAGGCATGTGCCACCACACCCGGCTAATTTTTTGTATTTTTAGTAGAGATGTGGTTGCACCGTGTTAGCCAGGATGGTCTTGAACTCGTGACCTCGTGATCCACCCACTTCGGCCTCCCAAAGTGCTGGGATTACAGGCGTGAGCCACTGTGCCTGGCTGAGAAATTTTTTAAAATGCAGAAAGTTCTCTAGCCACTTTGTGTTTACCACTAGATGTCTCACTAACTTCAGAAAACCTGATAGTTTTTGACCACATGGGAGTAACTTGGCTCTCAAGTTAAATTTTTGGAGAATAATATAATCAGGTTAAGTTGAAACCTATGTATTTTTTTATTAAGGTATTGAACTGGTGTTTTTGTTTACTGTGTTATTTAACAGAAAGGGAACATAAAAGGCTGTGACTTTCCTACTTAATTAAGGATCTGGAAGCCACATTTTGTATGGAAAAAATTGTTTTTCTTTTATTATTTTATTTTTTTATTTCAATAAGTTTTGGGGGAACAGATGGTGTTTGATTACATGAATAAGTACTTTAGTGGTGATTTCTGAGATTCTGGTGGACCCATCACCCAAGCAGTGTACACTGTACCCAGTGTATAGTCTTTTATCCCCTGTTACCCCCACCCTTTCCCCCAGTCCCCATAGTCCAGTATATCATTCTTACGCCTTTGCATCCTCATAGCTTAGCTCCCACATGTGACTGAGAACATACGATGTTAGGTTTTCCATTCTTGAGTTACTTCACTTAGAATAATAGTCTCCAATTTTATCCAGGTTGCTGTGATTATTTCTTTTTAATGGCTGAGTAGTATTCCATGGTGTATGTATGTATATGTGGTGTGTGTGTGTGTATATGTAGGTGTGTATATATATATATACACACACATATAATTATATATAAATATATACATATATAATTATATAATATAAACATATATATACACACACACATATACACACACACACACACCACATTTCTTTACCCACTCGTTGATTGATAGGTGTTTGGGCTGCTTCAGTATTTTTGCAATTGTGAGTTGTGCTGCTACAAACCTGCGTGTGCAAGTATCTTTTTCGTATAATGACTTCTTTCCCTCTGGGTTAATACCTAGTAGTGGGATTGCTAGATCAAACAGTAGATCTACTTTTAGTTCTTTAAGGAATCTCCACACTGTTTTCCGTAGTGGTTGTACTAGTTTACATTACTACCAGCCGTGTAAAAGTGTTCCCTTTTCACTGCATCCATGCCAACATCTGTTATTTTTAAATTTTTTGATTATGGCCATTCTTGCAGGAGTGAGGTGGCATCGCATTATAGTTCTGATTTGCATTTCCCTGATACTTAGTGATGCTGAGCATTTTTCATTATGCTTATTGGCCTATCTTGTTGATATATCTTTTTTTGAGAATTGTCTATTGATGTCCTTAACCCACTTTTTGATGGGATTGTTTGATTTTTTCTTGCTGATTTGTTTGAGTACTTTATAGATTCTGGATATTAGTCCTTTGTCAGCTGTTGTTTTTCTTAATCCTTAATCTTTTTTTCCACTGAGATAGGGTCTTGCTCTGTCAACCAGGTTGGAGTGCAGTGGCATGATCATGGCTCACTGCAGCCTCGGCCTCCCAGGCTCAAGCAATCCTCCCATTTTAGCCTCCTGAGTAGCTGAGACTACAGACGTATGCCACCATGCTTGGCTAACTTTTAAATTATTTTGTGGGGGATGGGGGGTGGTCTTACTATGTTGCCCAGGCTGGTTTCAAACTCCTGGGCTCAAGTGATCCTTTCGCCTCAGCCTCCCAAAGTGCTGAAATTACAGGTGTGAGCTACTGTGTCTGGCCAGTCCTTAATTCTTTTTCATTTTATTTTTTTAAAAAAGCAAGAAACCAGAGAGACTTAATTCTTCAACTAGTTTAATAACACCCAAAGGGAAAGTTTAGAAATGTGATTTTTTTGTTTTTGCTCATAAATACACATTTATATGTTTATTTATTTAAATAGTAGAGTGAAAATAACAAGATAGAGTGAATTCTTCCCAGGAGGAAATCTTCATTTATTGAGGGTGGAGGTAAAAACATTCTTCCATTGAACACATTTATAAATGGTTAGGTGTTACTGAAATACTATGCATAGCACTCAGCTTCAAGAACAATATAGTCAAATAGATTTAATACCCTAACTTACCAAGTTTCTTTGAAACTTAACGCCTAAATTTTGGTCCTCCTTTATTATTTGGAAGCGATAGATCACAGAATCATAGAATTGGGGAACTGATAGGTGATTTGTCTGTCCTTGAAACTTGGCAAATTAGTATCTTAAAAAAATTAGCATTGATACCAACATGCAAAATTTCTCCAGTCACCAACACTTAACGCTGTTTTGTTCTAGTATTTTCAGCTGTCCACAGGAAATCTACTCTATCCCAATGTCTAACACATGAAGTGACATTTTTGTCTCTCTAACATTTTTAGTTCCACCTTTTAAATTTTTGTCAAAAGAATCATTTTCATTATTGCTTTGGGCTGAAAACTGTATTGTCATCTTTGATACAAGTTTCTTATTAATTTGTATTAGATCTTTCAGAATAGCTCTCTTGTCATTTCCTTTCCCTTTCCACATGACTTCCCTCATTCAGGGTCTTTTCATCCTACTGTTGGATAATTACAACAGCTTCATATATGGTCTGCCTCTAGTCTTTCTTTCTCCTAGTGGGCCCTGAATACCACTGATAGAAAAATATGACTGTAGTTACAGCCATGCTCAAGAACCTGAAATGGCTCCCTGTTATCTACCTCAATCAGTCCAAGCCCTGTTGCCCGACTTTTAAGCCTCTCTTACTGGGTCAGTCATATTTCCAATAGTATTTACTTTTACACCTTAGCACAAGCTCTTTGGTTAGACTCTTCAAAGTCTTTTAAATATTGTATTGTCATACCCTCCTTGGTGCTCTTCCTTTTGCTAGGAAAGTCCTCCTTCTCCTGTATGCCCTTTAAAGCAGCAGCCCCCAACCTTCGGCACAGGGACCGGTTTCATGCAAGACAGTTTTTCCAAGGACATGGGGAGCAGGGGATGTGTTGGGATGAAACTGTTCCATCTCAGATCATCAGACTTTAGATTCTCATAAGGAGCGCACAACCTAGATCCCTTGCAAGCGCAGTTCACCATAGGGTTCCAGCTCCTATGAGCATCTAATGCTGCCGCTGATCTGACAGAAGGCGGAGCTCAGGCTGTAATGCTTACTCTCCCACCGCTCACTTCCTGCTTTGTGGTCCGGTTGTAACAGGCCACGAACCTGTACCGGCCCATGGTGCAGAGGTTGGAGACGCCTGCCTTAAAGCCCAGATGAGTTCCCTCCTCCCTCAAAGCCCTTTCTTTACTGTTCAGATTCAAACCTTTTCTCCTGTTTTTCTGAGCTCTTACTTGTACTCACTGTTGGACCACGTAGTAAATAAGAGGTAAAATACAGCATAGTGGTTAAGAGCATGAAGTCGAGAGCCAGACATGGGTTTAGAATCTACACTTTAGATTCTGGCCCTGCCATTTACTACTCTGTGACCTTGGGCTAGTTAATTGACCCCCTTGTGCCTTGGTTTCCTCATCAGTAAAATAGGGATAATAACAGTGTTTACCTCGTAGGGTTATTGTAAGGATTAAGGATAAATGTATTTAGAATAGTACCTAACATAGTGATATAAGTGTTTGCGTTACAATCAGTATCACTAAGCACTTGTTTATTCTCAGGTATTTTTGGTTTTGTTTTTCATGTATAGTATTTTTATTTTTCCAATTAGATAGTAAGCTCTTTTAAGGCAGAGTGTTACATCTTTTGTTTCAGTCTGATTTTTCCTGGTAGTTATTCAGCAAAACTCATTTGCTAATTTGATTTCTCTGTAGCCTGTGTTCCTGTATAAAAACCTTTAATAAGCTTTTTCTTTAAATGAGCTACTGAGGGAGACATTTGGAAAGAAAAAGCCATGAATGGTTACAAGAATTCATGTAACCATTCATGACCCCATTCCTCGGGTCAGAGGGCTGGTAACAACCTATTAAAAACTTCCACATTATGAGGTAACCTCTAGATTTTGGTAGTTTAAACTGGGACTATTTTGAGACAGAAACGAGAAAAAATATAGTTTTGGTATTTAATGTAGAAGTAACTTTAGTCTTTTTTTTTAAAAAATGGACTATTCATTTATAGCTAAATGTTAAACTTTTTTAAAAGAATGGAATAATCTTTTGTAGCAAATGGAATGCTTGTATAATTAATCTTCTATCTTAAATGTCAAATTATTAATTTTAGAAAATCTTTTTTCACAGGACTTCCTGATCCATTTGCTAAGGTGGTGGTTGATGGATCTGGGCAATGCCATTCTACAGATACTGTGAAGAATACGCTTGATCCAAAGTGGAATCAGCATTATGACCTGTAGGTTTCAACAATTAGTTTGAAATGGAACATATCATTAAATTATTTGATATAGTCTTTGAAAATAATCATGGGAAATGATCTGGGTTTCATCTGTGGTATAATTTGGTCATCACAAAAGGGGTAAAGAAAAGCCCAGTGGGAATGTGCTTTGGCTTATAGACAGGTTTTGAAAGATGAGGTATCTCTAAAATTCTATGAAGAAGAAAATGAAACTGGCTCACAGTAGAGCAATCCCCCACCTCTTTTTTCAATTAAATAAAGGTATTAATTCACCACTTTAGACCAATTATAAAACCAGAAATAAGGATTTGGGTTGCACTGAATAGGCTTCTTTTTGCCTTTATATGGATGGTTTCTTTCTTTTAAATTTTATTTTAAACCATTGGAGTATATGCACCTTTTTAAAAAGGCAAATGATACAATAAAGCTTTTACTGGAAAACAGCAAGTTCCCTGCTCCATTCTCATTCCTGATTCCCATCCTCAAGGCAACTGCTTTAATAACTTTGGCTGTTTATTCTGGTATTTTCATCTGTTTCTAGATATGTATTTTATTTTATAGCATCACAGTTTTCTTTTTTTAGTTTTAGGTAATTTTTTTTTTTTTTTGAGACAGTCTTGCTCTGTCACCCAGGTTGGAGTGCAGTGGCACCATCTCGGCTCACTGCAATCTCTGTCTCCTGAGTTCAAGCATTTCTCCTGTCTCAGCCTCCCGAGTAGCTGGGACTACAGGTGCCCACCACCACATTCAGCTAATTTTTGTATTTTTAGTAGAGATGGGATTTCACCATGTTGGCCAGGCTGGTCTCGAACTCCTGACCTCAAGTGATCCGCCTGCCTCGGTCTCCCAAAGTGCCGGGATTACAGACATGAGCCACTGCGCCCAGCCTAGTTTTAGGTATTTTTGAATTTCCTACCTAGAAGATGATTCGGCTTTATTTTTTATTATTAAAAATTCTTTTAAAATTAGAAACAGTCTCACTCTATTGCTCAGGCCAGAGTGCAGTGGCATAATCATAGCTCAGTGTAGCCTCTAACTCCTGGACTCAACTGATCCTCCCACCTCACCCTCCTCAGTAGCTGGAACTACAGGTGCATGCCACCATGCCCAGCTAATTTTTTTTTTAAGGTAATTTTTTGTAGAGATGGGGTCTTGCTATATTGCCCAGTCTGGTCTTGAATTCCTGGGCTCAAGATTCTCCCTCCTTGGCCTCCCAAAGTATTTGGATTACAAGCGTGGGCTGTGATGCCCAGCCCAGTGGTTCAGCTTTTAAAATTGGTATTCAGCATCCCCATTCTCATGACACAAGCCTCTTCCTTTCTTTAGTCTTCCAATATAATTATATGAACCTTTTTGGTTAAACCATTGTTCCATGTTTACATTATTATGATTATGTAAATATCCATAGTTGGGTCACAGGGGTACAAGAATTACATTTTCTTTCTTGACAACTTTTGTTTTTTCTGAAGTTAGTAGCTACTTTTCCCATTTGTTTAGTTATCTATTTATCTCCTAGATAGAAATGAGAAGTTATATGTCATAATCCTCAGACTCTCCTATAGAACTAAAGATCTTTTCTCCATATATTCAGTTCTGTCAGTATTCCATTGGCTTTTTTTCTTCTTGGAGATAACCCTCCTGGGAGTCTGTGTTCTCTTTCTTTAGTCTTGTGTGATGGTTCTCTAAGACCCACTGCGCAGTTGTCCTGGGACTTGCCTTTATTGTTATGTTGGCAATTTCCTTTGTCTCTTCTAGGTTTAGTGACTTCCTTTTTTTTTTTTTTTTTTTTTTTTGTTTACTCTCCTGTTTCGGTGAACTTTATCTTCCATTGTCATTTTGAGAAATAATACAAAGATGGGAAGAAAGTTGAGATCTTATCAGAAGATATACTTTGACTTCTTATCTTTTGATATGGTTTGAATATAGGCTTCTAGGTGAAATATCACTTTACCTCCAAATGTTGAATACATTGCTCCATTATCTTCTAGGTTTAGATCCATACTGTTGAGTAGAAATATAATGTAAGGCACAGATGGGAGCTCATCTATAATTTTAAATTTCCTAGCATCCACGTTAAGATAAGTAAAAAGAAACAGATGACATTAAGCATAATAAACTGGGCATAGTGGCTTGCACCTGTAATCCAGCTACAACATAACGAGACCCTGTTTCTTAAAATGAAGCATAATAATATATTTTATTTAATTCAGTATATCAAAAATACTTTCAACATGTCAGTATAAAAATATTGAGCTACTTACACATATATGTATATATACATATTTACTATGTCTCTAAAAAATCAGCGGTTTTCTCATTTTATGTTAAGAAAAAAAAAAATCAGTGGTTTATTTTGCAGCTTGCCTCAATTTGGACTAGCCACACTTGAAGTCCTCAAGGGTCTCGTGGTTGGTGGGTACCATTTTGGAAATTGTAGGTTTAGAGTATTGCTGATGGCATCCTGATTTTGATCTTTCATGACTGTTGTTTTCCACTGGAAGTTTCTTTATTCCTCTGTCACTGTTATTTTCTTTTAAAAAAAATTGTGGCCACCCTAGTGGGTATGAAGTTGTATCTGGTCATGGTTTTGAGGTGCATCATGACTAATGATGTTGAACATCTTTCTTGTACTTATTAGGTTTTATCTTACAATTAATATTAATTGGCTGTCAGAAGCATCTCTTATGATTGTTTCCAAAGTCATTTTACAAAACCCTTGCCTTTAATTGGCTAAGTATACAAACAAAATCTAATAATTAAATTTTAGCCCAAAATCCTGAGTACATATTTTGGTCTATATGGTAACATTGTATTCACCTATAGAGGTGTCCCTCTCTCCCTTTCAACAAAACATCCTGAAACTTGTTTATAAATCATGTATTTGTTAGTAAGTCAAAGTTTTAATAGAAGCTAATAGAGCCCTCTATTTAACTTTCAATTGCAAAAGGAATTTACTGTTTTTGTTGCCATGTATGTTATATTACATGAGGTTTCATTAAAGTGAGAGCATGTACTTCTCTATGTATAAGAAAAGGTAATATTTTGGATTCATTTCTGGCCCAGGAATATTTGGACAGAATGTTTGTGACATGTACGCTTAAGTAATACAATATATTTCATAATTTTTAGTAATTCAGAGTTAGGCTATCTTCCAGAAGGTCTATAATTAGCAATTTCTTATTATGATTTAATGTAGAGCTTCCCAACCTTTTCATATCATGGTACACATAAAAAATATGGCACATTGGACTACACAGATGAAGTTGCTTAAGCCAGTGGTGCGTTGCCCTGAGGACTGAGGTAATCAATATATGTATTTCAGCATACCTGTAAACCAGGCTTACTAGTTGGACAACTGGTTTAACGTAACTTTTTTTTTTCTTTTTTTGAGACGGAGTTTTGCTCTTGTTGCCCAGGCTGGAGTGCAGTGACGCAATCTAGGCTCACCACAACCTCCGCCTCCCGGGTTCAAGTGATTCTCCTGCCTCAGCCTCCCAAGTAGCTGGGATTGCAGGTGCATGCCACCGTGCCTGGCTAAGTTTTTTTGTATTTTTAGTAGAGACAGGGTTTCTCCATGTTGGTCAGGCTGGTCTCGAACTCCTGTCCTCTGGTGATCTGCCTGCCTCGGCCTCCTAAAGTGCTAGAATTACAGGCGTGAGCCACCGCGCCCGGCCTAATGTAACTTTTTAAAAAATGTTCAGCTTGGGTAATTCAGCTACTTAATACTTGATTCTGGCTCTGGAATTACATGCCAGTAGATACATGCCAAGATAGAACTGGTAGGTGTATTCGAAAATTGGTACATGCATACTGAACAATATTTTAATTCAGATTTTTTCATTTGCAAGCAACAGAGACCAAATTCAAATTGGCTTAATTTTTTAAAAGGGAATGTACTGATTTGCATAATTAAAAGCCTGGGGTGGGCATTTTTTAGGCACAGCTGGATCCCGGGGCTCAAGTGTACCTTCCATGTCACTTATTTAAAAGCTTTAGTCCTTACTTAAATGGTTTAGGCTTTTCTGTATACTAGGTGAATTTTTCTGATATTGTAATTTATTGAATGATACTTTAAGATCAAGGTTGCTGGACCAAAAATTTGACCTCTTATTGTCATTGAAATAGAGCTAGGATTCTACTGACATGTTATTTTATTATCTTTTTGCATGGGTTGATGCCATGTTAACAATTGGCTGTGGTAGAGCTTTTACATACTTACAGGCATATGCACAGACAAGTACAGTAACGCTTTTCCCTGCTCTGCTTGTCTGCAGGCAGTGAAGTGAAATCTGCAAGAGTCCTGCTCGCTCAAGGCCTGCATACAGGAAAGAAGCAGGGGAAAAGCGTTACAAACAGCTTTTGTTCTACAGCATTTTAAAATATAACAGGTAGGTCAGATTTTTGGTCTGTCAGCCTTGACACTATCCCTTGAAAAGTAGGTCATGTCATCGACATGTATTTAAAATGTGACTGTGATAAAAGTTTTTAAGATTCTTTTTCTTGCAAAGAAGTTATTTAATAAACTCCCTTAGTGTTATTAGACATTAGCTACTAAAATAGCCTTTTTACTGACTAGAATTATAGCCCAGCTTGAGAGTGGCAGATGTGATAAAAATATACTAAAATTTTCAAGATTTTTAAAAATTTAAATTCAATCCTGTGGATTAACTCAAGACATATTTTGCATAATCTAGCCAGATTCTGAAGCATATTAGTAACTTTAGAATATAAAAAGAACAAAAGAAAAATTTTACGCCAACTGCCTGTAACTACCAAGTTACTCATGCAGCCGTTTTGTTTTTTAGGTATATTGGAAAGTCTGATTCAGTTACGATCAGTGTATGGAATCACAAGAAGATCCATAAGAAACAAGGTGCTGGATTTCTCGGTTGTGTTCGTCTTCTTTCCAATGCCATCAACCGCCTCAAAGACACTGGTTGTGAGTAGATACGAGTGCTTTTCCAATTAAAAAACATATATGTGTGTGTGTGTATATGTATTTGTGCATATACATATATACATGCACTATATATGTATCCTCAAATATATATTTAAAAATAATATATATATTTGAGTATGTTGGTAGGGCTTCAAACACAACTTCTTGTGCATGTCTGAAACATTGGTAAAAATTCCTGATCTAAATTTATTTTGTAGACTTAAAAAAAAAAGAAACATTTTAAATATGTGAAACTTACAGCCAAATCAGGGCTGATGCTTCATTTCCAGCTAATTTAAAAGTATTAAGAAATGATTGATATCCAGAATGGCAAAAATAAAGGTATCAGGATGTATATGCCTTTTAAAATTTCTTAGTATCCTTTTCTGGTTTTGGTGGATTTGTGGATGAAATGCTTTTATTTAGGTGATTGGAGTATTTAAGCTGGCAGTTAAAGGGCAATTACGAAGGGGTAAGAATGGTATAATACATAAAACTGCTGTGACAAAATTAAAAGTTAAAGATTAAACGTTATTTTGAGTGTACAACAGCTGTATTAACTACTTAACTGTAGCTGAGTTTATCATCAGCCTGAGGATTTAGAAGATTAGACCAAGATCAGGACATTAGAAGTGGTTTTCATAATGGATTTATAAGTTGACTTAGCATAACCAGGTGAGTCTTTTGGATGGGTCTTTCCATTGGAACATAAATGGGAATTCCTTTTTCAACAGGTTTTTTTTGTGTGTTTGTTTCTATAGAATTCTTTTTTATATAATGTAAAAAATACCGTTAGTCATCGTCATGGGATTTTAGCCCAGATGCATATGCTAAACAAACTCACATAAGATCTAAGGAAATTAATAAACAAAAAAGAGTAAATTTAGCATTGACTATTAAATATATCAAGAGATTGTCTCTTTTAATGTAGTATGATACCACAGCATAGGTATATATTGACCTTGTGAAAAAGAAAAGGGCAGAAAATTGAGCTAGAAGTTCTTAGTCCAAGATATTTAAAGGCATCTAAGAAATTCTTGTATTTCTGGGCTGACAGGGTAACCAACAGTAGAGAAAAGACACTGGGATTGGAAAAAATGAATTGCATATAAAAGTAAACTGTTTTATTACTCAGCAAACTGAAAACTTATAGGTCAAATGTCTGACATTATCCCTAGTTCAATAAGTTTACAGTTATTGAAGACTTAATGTGCTACTGTTCTAAACCCTGGCTGTATAAAGGAGAAAAAGGCATGAATCCTGTCCTCTGAGAAGGAAGGGCAAAGGCCTGCTGGCAAAGGGAGCATGCCGCATTGGAAGGACTGAATAGGAGAGGAGGAGTTAGTTGCTCTGCAGAATCCACTGTATAGCCAGCTTAGTAGCACCCATTTATTTTGCAAAGGGAAAAATGTCTGTATTTTTGGTTGGATAAGTAGGGACTGTAGTTTAGGGGCATGGATTTTTCTGTTTCTTGTGACTGCTTCATTGTATTAATTTATTTGACTTTTTTGATGTGCAGTAATATTGAATTTATCAAATATTTATTGAGCACCTACCTGATGTAATGTTCTACCAGATTGGAGTGGAAAATACAAAGACTAAGATATGGTCTCCTCCATTTATCAATTCACAGATAAGTAGACAGATGGCATACAGTTGTAAAAGCATTCAGCTATAAGTGCTGTAATCAAAGTAAAACCAGCGTACTTTAGGTGACATTGTTCCTTACTGTAACTTTCAGGGCCAGGTCAGTGTTATATCTCTTTTACAGATGAGGCATCTGAGAGAAGAAATGATTTGCTCCTAAATGAATGAGTGACAGAACTGATGCAAACCCAGATTTTACAGTTTATTCTTGGCTTCTTATGAATACTTTTTTGGGTCCATGTCATTTGAAATGGTTAGTTAAAAAATGATAATGACAACTAACATTTGTTGACCACTTATGTGCCAGGCACTATGCTGAGAGTTTGGCATAATTATCTGATTTAATCCTCAAAAAAATATGAGGATTCACATATTGTCATATGTGAGAAAACCAAGGCTTAGGGATAAATTCCTTAAGACCAACAATTATTAAGACTCAGACTAAAGTGGTCTAAAAGTTTTGGAGAGAAAGTGACTGCATGTTGGCAATGTAATACACCAGTGTTTGGTTTTTGAAATCTGAACTCTTTAAATGATAGGTTTGATTTCTAATGGATTGTGGAAATTTATTGTCACTCTATAGATGTTAGAATCTCTGATACCAGCTAATTTTTTCGTTGCTTTCTTTGTTGACTTCAAATAGATCAGAGGTTGGATTTATGCAAACTCGGGCCAAATGACAATGATACAGTTAGAGGACAGATAGTAGGTAAGTGTGGAATTTAAAGTTACATGAATTTTGGTTTCAAACTGACCTAAAGTGTAAAATACCTTTTAAATCAAAGTATAATAACTGTAGCTTCATTGTGTTGGCCTGAATTAAATGAGCCAGGTAAAATGTTACAGTGAATCCAGGATCCAGGTTAACTTAATTTAAAAAACTTTAATGTAAAAAAAAAAAAAAGTTTTGTGAAGAACTGTTGATCCTTCAGGATATAATTCTTTCAAAGTATCCTAATATAGTAGAGCACTAAGTTCAGACTTTATAAATGTTATTAAAGTTTACTGAAAATAATTCTCAAACTAGTTTTTTTAGTAAGAAGAGAACATTCTATTGAACTTGTTTTAATGTTTAATGCTTTACAGCTTTAAAATCTATGCTAATTGAGAAAAAACAGAATGAGCAATGGTAGTGTAACACTGGAAAAAGGGAGAAATTGTTACCTTACTCATGAGGCACTTAGTAGCCTTATATGGTATTTAGGGTGTCTTGAATTGACCTGGAGGGAAGGGCTTGATATAAAATTTGCTGAGACCTTTCTTAAGAATTGATAGAGATTTGATCAAGATGCCTAGTATGGAAGGACACTGTTCATCTTAGAGGCTTCTTAAATTAAAGAAGAAAAATGTGGCCAGGCACAGTGGCTAACACCTGTAATCCCAGCACTTTGGGAGGCTGAGGCGGGTGGATCACCTGAAGTCAGGAGTTCGAGACCAGCCTGGCCAACATGGTGAAACCCCATCTCTACTAAAAATACAAAAAATGAGCTGGGCATGGTGGCAGGTGCCTGTAATCCCAGCTACTCGGGAGGCTGAGGCAGGAGAATCGCTTGAACCCAGGAGGCGAAGGTTGCAGTGAGCCATGATCACACCATTGCACTCCAGCTGGGTGACAAGAGCAAGACCCTGTCTCAAAAAAAAAAAAAAAGAAAAGAAAAATTCAATAGGAATGTCACACTTCATGATAGAACAGAACTTAGTGAGATTATTTTGTTATGAACCCATCAGAGAGGTTTTAGTTACTGAAGGTACTTTATTTTACAAGGCAGTGAATTGGGTTCATAGTTAGAGAACCATCAGAGTAGCCACATAGCAAAGCCCTATTGTGGTTATCCCAGGGAAGTATCTATACCAGCGCACCCCACCATTTTTGGTACCAGGAACCGGTTTCATGGAATACAGTTTTTCCATAGACCAGGCTGGGGGTGGAGGTGGTTTCAGGATGATTCAAGTGCATTACATTTATTGTGCACTTTATTATTATTACATTGTAATACATAATGAACTAATTCTACAACTCACCATCATGTAGAATCAGTGGGAACCCTGAGCTTGTTTTCCTGCAACTAGATGGTCCCATCTGTGGGTGATGGGAGACAGTGACAGATCATCAGGCATGAGAGTCTCATAAGGAGCTGGCCTTGTGTGTGCGGTTCACAATAGGGTTCGTGCTCCTATGAGAATCTAATGTCGCCACTGATCTGATAGGAGGCAGAGCTCGGGTGGTAATGCTCACTCACCTGCCACTCACTCCTGTTGTGCGGCCGGGTTCCTAACAGACCCTGGACCAATACCCCACCCATCCATGGCCTGGGGGTTGGGGATTCCTGATCTACACTACATCATTACTGATAATTCCTGTCATTCTTAGATTGAGAAGGGAGCAAAAAAAAAAAAAAACTCAAAAATAAATTCAGTCATACAACACTTTCACATGTAAGTGTTCCTTCTGTATTTGATTTGTTATGTTACATAATGCTTGCCAACTACTGTCTAGTAGTAACAATAGTTTTACTAGGTATGAATTTGCATTTATATAAATAGCAAACTTTGTTAGACATTAGAAGTATACCTACTGGAGTACACCACATAGAAAACAAATGTTTTACTCTTAAATATGTGTATGCCTGTATATATGTATTTATTTAAAGCTCTTATGTGAATCTGGTGTTCATAATAGGACCATTAATAAAGAGAGAGGCAGGCTGGACTCAAACATTATGATTCTTTAGTTTTGTCATTCAAAAACAGAATGAGTTCCAGTTCGTTCAGAATGAGCCCTCTAACAAATAATTGTAAGTAGGTATATATACTTTTTGGAAAATGGAGAAAAGGACACTAGAAGACTAACTTTAAAAACTGTATTCCCGGGCCGGGCACAGTGGCTCACGTCTGTAATCCCAGCACTTTGGGAGGCCAAGGTGGGTGGATCACGAGGTCAGGAGTTCGAAACCAGCCTGGCCAGCATGGTGAAACCCTGTCTTTACTAAAAAATACAAAAATTAGCTGGTGTGGCATGGTGGTGTGTGCCTGTAGTCCCAGCTACTCAGGAGGCTAAGGCAGGAGAATCGCTTTAACCTAGGAGGTGGAGGCTGTGGTGAGCCAAGATCTCACCACTGCACTCCAGCCTGGGCAACAGAGTGAGACTCCATCTCAAAAAAACAAAAAAACAAAAAACAAACAAAAAAAACTGTATTCCCCTCTAGTATTTTTATATACATAAATATGTATATAAAATGTATATGTCTTTAATTCCAGTGAACATTAACTTTTTACTTTGCTTTCTTTCACTTAACCATAATCATTTTTAGTATTTATAATCTTTGTAATTAATTATTTTTAAAGGATGAAGTATATAGATATATCATAACTTAATAATTAAAAAATTTTTTTGCTATTATAACATTGAAACTTGCAAATATTTTTGTACACTTTGCTGTATTCTTTTTTAGAAAAGAATCTCCCAAATTTAGATAATTGATTCAAGGAGTACAAACTTTTTTCCTTGTTTAAAACTGTTATGCCCCAGCTACATTGGGAGGCTGAGGTGGGAGGATTGTTTGAGCGTGGGAAGTCTAATGTATCGTTATTGTTATTACTTGAATGTATACCTTTTTTGTGATTTTTTTTAGAGGAGATTATACTGAATTTTTAAAAACTGGTTTAAATTTATCATAAACATCTTTTTTTTTTTTTTTTTTGGACCATAAACACATTTCTATAGCATTGTTACTTGTTTTTTTTTTTCCTACTTTGCATTAAGGCTTGCAAAATCTGTAGCATTTTTAATGTGTGATAGCCCATGGTGGGTATGTAATTCATTTAACCAGTTAATAGCTGTGCTATTAACATAGCATTCTGGAGATGTAAATTGAAGCCCATGAAATTCTTTAGCTTTGAATCTTACTATTATTCTAAACAATGCTAATGAGAAAATACATTGTTTCTACTATGATTGTATTTTGGTACGCATTTCACTTGTTTTATCTATTTAAAAACTGATTGATACAGTTGTCTAGTACAGTTTTCATATAATGTTTTGTTTACATTTGCCAAGTAGGTGTTCATAGTGTTCTCTCCTCTAAATGGGACTTAATATCAAGGAGCTCTGTGTTGAACTGATCTTTCAAAATGTTTACAGAGCTGGAAGATTTCAGAATTTTGAGACCCTTCTTTGAATGAAGGGTCCTTAGATGTAATACTTGTTGTGCTGACCTATTATTTAAGAAGTTGGATTTATAGCCAAGTTTGACTACACCTCCTTCTGTCTTTTGGGAGAGTTACCAGAACTAGAATTAAACAATACTGGAGTGGCAAAGAAGGACTTCAGAGATATAATTTAACGTAACTTTTTCATTATTCAGACAGGGATTATCTACACCTTAAGTATATTAAGTGTTTTGTTCAAGGTTACAGTGCTAAACTAGTTACTAGAGCCTGCTCTAGAATTCACATCTCTTCCTTCTTCGTTCTTTGTGGTGGTTTTATACTACACTGGATAATGGTGTCCTGTTAAAACTCCATCAATCCAAGAATTGCTCTTTTGCTGGAATACCAGGATGGCCCTCTTGCTAGAATACAGTGTATTTTTATTTATTTATTATTTATTTATTTTTTTGAGACGGAGTCTCACTCTGTTGCCAGGCTAGAGTGCAGTGGTGCAATCACGGCTCACTGCAACCTCTGCCTCCCAGGTTCAAGTGATTCCCCTGCCTCAGCCTCCCCAGTAGCTGGGACTGCAGGTGCACGCACCACGCCCATAGTTCCTCACCCGGCTAATTTTTTGTATTTTGTAGAGACGGGGTTTCACCATGTTTGCCAGGCTAGTCTCGATCTCCTGACCTCATGATCTGCCTGCCTCGGCCTCCCAAAGTGCTGGGATTACAGGCAGAAGCCACTGCGCCCAGCCCAGTGTATTTTTTAGATGGTCAGATGATCAAGTATTAAAGTCAAATTAATATGGACTTTTCAAACTTCTTTGTACATGAATACACCCTTAATATGTTATGCCTCTTCCTTTTTTTTTTTTTTTTTTTTTTTTTGAGACGGAGTCTCGCTGTATCGCCCAGGCTGGAGTGCAGTGGCGCGATCTCAGCTCACTGCAAGCTCCGCCTCCCAGGTTCAAGCGATTCTCCTGCCTCAGCCTCCCGAGAAGCTGGGACTACAGGTGCCCACCACCACGCCTGGCTAATTTTTTTGTATTTTTAGTAGAGACGGGATTTCACCCTGTGTTAGCCAGGATGGTCTCGATCTCCTGACCTTGTGATCTGCCCGCCTCGGCCTCCCAAAGTGCTGGGATTACAGGCATGAGCCACCGCGCCCAGCTATGCCTCTTCTTAATTAAGTACAGTAGTGACTCTGCTATGCACCATTACTATGGTGAAAAAGGAATTAGGCTTCTTCCATGAACGTAATAAAGTGTAGAAAACCTTAGAATTCTAATATTACTCCTAAAGGGAAAAATCTATGGGAAAAGAAATTATAAATTTTAGTAGAAACCAAAGAGTTCATTCTAAAGTATTAAAATAAGCTAAGTCAGATGTCTTCTGAAGATAGAAATTTTAGATTATAATAGTTCTTTCTAGTTGTATGAATCTTAGTAATATTTCTGTCATTTAATAGTAAGTCTTCAGTCCAGAGACCGAATAGGCACAGGAGGACAAGTTGTGGACTGCAGTCGTTTATTTGATAACGATTTACCAGACGGGTAAGCTAACATCACTGAAATCATTAGAGAAATATATAGATAATATCCTTAAAAGAATAGAAATAAGTGGGTGTTTATTGTATATTAAATGGTGTTTATCGTATATTGAATGTAGATTTTCCTTCTAATTGTAAAATTAATGGAAGATCTTGTCTCGACAAATTTATAAAATAAGCCACAAATTAGATGTGTTAAATTTGGTTATTAAGAGTTTTGACTAGGAGACAAATGAAATTTCTTGACAAATATAACTCTCTTGTAAATATTATCTAGTTAAAAAAATGTTGCTTGATTAAATTATTCAAAACAGGCCATGCAAGTGCTAAATTAGAAACATTGCTATATTTAAGAGGGATGGGATGGATAATTTGTGTAATAGTAATTAAAATAACATAGTAAGATTTCATTGAGCATGTATATGGCAGATACTGTTATAAGCACTTTATGTACATATCATTTAATTCTCATAGCATCTTGGAAGGCAGTATATAGCCATGCTTCTGAAATCAGACCACCTGAGTTCTAATCCTTACTATTCTGTGTATTGGCTTTATGACCTTAATTTATTTAACTTCCATATGCTTTGGTTTATATTTATTTACAAAAGAGTATGAGTGATAATAGCATACTCATAAACTGTTGAGAGGATCAAATGAAATAATTCAGGTAAGGCACTTTAGCACAGTGTCTTGCATAAAATAAGCGCTTAGTAAATAATTAGCTACTATTATTTCTATTGCTACTATTATTGTTACCCTCAAAAACTAAGAGAGAAGTTATTTGCCTAAGGCCACATAATAAATGGCAGAGCCAAAACACACAAACCTGTCTTGATTCTAAAGTCATGATTTTTATGACTGGTCTCTTTGATACTAGTTCTAACTCTTTTCTGATTTTATTTTTAACATTCAAAGTATTTTTAACTAACTTCGATGAGATATAACTTACATGTAATAAATTGCATCCATTGAAGTATATAAATGGTTAAATTTTAACTCCAATTATTTTTTATACAAAATTTTATACCCAGGTTATGGTATTTACTCATTTTTTAAACTGTTAAAAATCACTATAATTAACTGTTCGTAGGTCACTTTAGCTTCTAGATATGTCTGTTAGCTCTTTTATAGATATGAGGTAGATTATGGTATTTTTGAAAAGGAAATTTAGGATGAAATAACTAATCAATATTGAGAGAGTGCCAGCAGTAATAAGGCTTATTGTTCTAAACTTGCCCTACATTATTGTACTATAATTGTAATCACAGGAGGGAAAATACCCTAGCATCTCTTTATTTTCTGTCTTTTAGAGCCCTTCAACCTCTGCCAGTATCTTTGTAGAAATATTAACATTATCACATTTCTGTAGTCATTTGGCTCTTTTTCATTAAATTAATTATGGTAAAGAGTTGATAGAAAGTAGCAGTCTTGGCCAGGCATGGTGGCTTACGCCTGTAATCCCAGCACTTTGGGAGGCTGAGGCGGGAGGACTACATGGTCAAGAGATCAAGAGCATCCTGGCCAACATGGTGAAACCACGTCTCTTCTAAAAATACAAAAAGTAGCCAGGCGTGGTGGTGTGCACCTGTAGTCCCAGCTACTCAGGAGGCTGAGGCAGAAGAATCGCTTGAACCCGGGAGGCGTAGGTTGCAGTGAGCTGAGATCGCGCCACTGCACTCCAGCCTGGCGAAGGAGCAAGACTCTGTCTCAAAAAAAAAAAAAAAAGAAAAAAAAAGAAAGTAGCTGTTTCGATTTTTTTTTTTTTTTTGAGAAGGAGTTTCGCTCTTGTCACCCTGGCTGGAGTGCAGTGGCATGATCTTGGTTCACTGCAACCTCCGCCTCCCCGGTTCAAGCAATTCTCCTGCCTCAACCTCCCGAGTAGCTGGGATTACAGGCGCATGCTACCACGCCCGGCTAATTTTTGTATTTTTAATAGAGACAGGGTTTCACCATGTTGGCCAGCCTGGTCTTGAACTCCTAACCTCAGGTGATCTGCCTACCTTGGCCTCCCAAAATGCTAGCCTCCCAAAATGCTGGAATTACAGACGTGAGACACCGTGCCAGCCAATAGTCTTCATTTTTAAAAAATTAGTTTGGGTAGGCTAAATGCTTTGAAAAGCTTTTGGCCGGATGCGGTGGCTCACACCTGTAATCCCAGCACTTTGGGAGGCCGAGGCGGGTGGATCACGAAGTCAAGAGACCTCGTGATTTTATGGTTAAATATATTCTTAGTATAGCCATTTTCCATATTCTGGAGTAATTAGTATGAATTTAATTGTGTATTGTTGACATTATTAAAAATTCTCAGAGTTTGGCTGATGGAAAATATTTGTTACACCTCAGCATAAATACTTTAGAAGCTTCAGAATCCCATAAAATATATTACAGAGTTCTAAAATAAGTTGAAAAAATTATATATTCTGTGAATTGATACTTCGGGTTGGCATTCCCGATTTGTAACAGCAGATGTCTTACTGGCTTGCTTGTTGCACTGTGTCCAAGTTTCCTATTAATGCCTTATCACTCAATATTTTTATTTAAGCTGGGAAGAAAGGAGAACCGCCTCTGGAAGAATCCAGTATCTAAACCATATAACAAGAACTACGCAATGGGAGCGCCCAACACGGTAAGAACATACAAATATTTTCTCATGATCTATGCCAGCCACCCTCCTGAAGTCCTTTTCTATTTATCTGTCAGCTTTACTAGATTTTTTTTCTTGGTTTTTGCTGTCGTAGATCAGTAGATCTTATAACAGGTGCCATTGTTATTTTTTAAAAGTGATCTTCAACAGTTTGTTTGACAGGTCATGCTGTCATTGTAGCTCCAGGGCCTGCAGTGGTACTCAATAAATATTTATTGAATGAGGCAGGGCGTGGTGGCTCATGCCTGTAATCCCTGCACTTTTCGAGGCTGCCTGTAATCCCTGCACTTTGGGAGGCCAAGGCATGTGGATCACTTGAGTTCAGGAGTTTGAGACCAGCCTGGGCAACATGATGAAACCCTGTCTCTACCAAAAAAATTAGCTGGGCATGTGACTTATGCTTGTGGTCCCAGCTACTTGGGACGTGGAGGTGGGAGGATTGCTTGAACATAGGTGGTGGAGGTTGCAGTGAGCCAAGATCGTGCCCGTGCACTCTAACCTGGGTGATAGAATGAGACTCTGTCCCCAAAAAAAAAAAAATATTGGCCAAGCATGGTGGCTCACCACTGTAAGCCCAACACTTTGGAAGGCCAAGGTGGGCGGATCACTTGAGGTCAGGAGTTCAAGACCAGCCTGACCAACATGGAGAAACCCCATCTCTACTAAAAATACAAAAATTAGCTGGACGTGGTGGTGGGTGCCTGTAATCCCAGCTACTCAGGAGGCTGAGGCAGGAGAATGGCTTGAACCCAGGAGGTGGAGGTTGCAGTGAGCCGAGATTGCGCCACTGCACTCCGGCCTGGGCGATAGAGCGAGACTCAGTCTCAAAAATAAAACAAATAAAATAAAATAAAATAAAAATCGAATGAATTAAATTGATAAGCAGAGGAATCTCTGAACTAAATCTTGAAGAATGTCAGGTATGGTCACTTCATGGAGCTTACTGTATAAAGACATTGGGATGCAAGATAAATTTTGGGAACTGCAAAGAGGTGCTTTTGAAGTAACTGAAAACAAATAGTCTATGTGGCTGAATCCCCTTCTCCTCACCCTTTTAAGTGAGAACAAAATTTGCCATCTTGTGCAGTGTTTTGTTTTGCCTGTTTTCCCCTTCTTGAGCAGGACTGGCACTAGGCATAAAATACCAAATTCTTTTCATTAGCTGCACCTACTTTTATTTATACAGAACTAATTGCTTAACTCATTGGATCACAAGGTTTTCTCTTTTACATTATAATTCTCAGGTAAAAGCTTAGCTCATGTTGCCAAGTTGCATTTCTAGTATTAAACTGCCAAGGAATTTATTGAAGTACCCATTTTTATTATATCTGAGCACAAATGAATATGTACTTGTGTCAGTGTTCAAGGTTTCACTTGAACACCAATTTCCTTCTGACTCATTTAACCAGTAAAATTAGCTTGAATTTCTACATGTATAAAAGGATGATTGTTGTTTTAAATGTTAATTTTTTTTTTTTTTTGGAGATGGAGTCCCGCTCTATTGCCTAGGCTAGAGTGCAGTGGTACGATCTCGGCTCACTGCAACCTCTGCCCACTGCAACCTCTGCCTCCTGGATTCAAGCAATTCTCGTACCTCAGCCTCCCGAGTAGCTGGGACTACAGGCGCCCGCCCCCACACCCGGCTAATTTTTGTATTTTTAGTAGAGATGGGGTTTCGCTGTGTTGGCCAGGCTGGTCTCAAACTCCTGACCTCAAGTGATCCGCTCGCTTCGGTCTCCCAAAGTGCTGGGATTACAGGTGTGAGCCACCATACCCTGCCATGTTAATTTAAGAATGAACTCTTGATTATTTTTTTATTTTGAAAGATCTGCAATAGTAGACTGGAAGCCCCTTAAAGAGACAAACTGTCTTCTTTCCTTTTGTGATGTATTGTCAAATGACTGGGTGACTTTTTTAGATTGGGAGGTCTGAGGGACCTCTTAGGAGGCAATAATAAACTGATTTGAATGACAAAAAAGAGCCAGGCCTAGGGAGAGTAGGAGAAAAGAATATGCCAGATGGAAGGAAGAGCAACTGCTCTCAGGTGGAATGACCTTGGCAAGTTCAAGGAACAGGAAGAATATGAGTGTGGCTGAAGCAGAGTGGGAGGGAGAATGGTGGGAAGTCAGGTCTGAGGGAGAGGCTATAGCTAGATCAAGCAGTGTTTTGTAAGCCAGTCTCACATCCACAGATACGTATGGATTTTATATCAAATGTCATTAAAGTCATTTAAATACATAGTTGATGACATGCTTATCATTTGCATTTCTTTGGTGCTTAGAGACTTCAGGTTTGCTTTTACTCAGAGTTCTTGAAGTCATTATACTTGTATTAGTCATTCTGTTTTCAGACATGATAAGTGGTTGTTACTGCAGTATATATATATTGTCTAGAGAACTCTACTTTTGATATCTAAATTGATAACATCTTTTCCTTGTTAATTTTCAATAGACCGGCATCCGAATATTCTAGCCCTGGCAGACCTCTTAGCTGCTTTGTTGATGAGAACACTCCAATTAGTGGAACAAATGGTGCAACATGTGGACAGTCTTCAGATCCCAGGCTGGCAGAGAGGAGAGTCAGGTCACAACGACATAGAAATTACATGAGCAGAACACATTTACATACTCCTCCAGACCTACCAGAAGGCTATGGTATGACAACTACAAAGGAAAAATAAAATGTGGTTTACTGATTTCAGTTTGCTGAGGAAGTCAGAAAATATATTTTGAAAAAGTTATTAATCTGAGCTTAGGGATTCTGCATGAAAATAAATATAAAACCTCCCAACTTTGAAAAGTCTTTGAAGTGGTAGATGACTACCTAACCAACAGTTTGACCTTGTGCTCATCATTCAGCCTCAGCGTTTGTGCTCTTCTATAATGAAGTGAGATGACTAGTTTATAACAAAGGTAGTGTGAGAAGCATACGAAATGAAGTGAGACTGTTTTGTAAATAGGCACTGTATAGAAAGGTAAGATGGTATTGTTACTGATAACGGTAATCTGAAGTTCAACCTATGACATAATTTTTTAGACATATATATTTAGAAATAATTTTAAAGGCATATTTCTGATCATATATTTGTATTGTCTGTAATTTTGGATTATCTGATTGGATTGTTGTAAATGACTGAGTCACTTCTATGTTTGTATAAAATGATTACAATCTTATATAAAATCCTAGATTATAAAGTTTCATGTGGAAGATAACATGAGTCTTCTCCTAATAGAATACGGAAGTTTCTAATTTAATACCATCTTGTGAATCCTTGTATATAGTCTGAACTTGACTTCCTCTTCTTGCCAAAAGCTCACCAAGGTTACTTACATCTTTGCCCTCTTAACAGACTATAGATAAACCACTTTGGATTGATGTTGACATCTAATGACCAACACTGGGAATTGCCACATCTAAGTTTTATTTTACTCAAGAATATATTTTAAAACTCTTCTGCAAATGCATGATTCTTATTTTAGTTTTAAATGTATTTTAGCTCTTTAATTTGAAAAAACTTGTCCATTAACTGTGCTATGACTCAAAGGTTAACTTTTAGCACAATCATTAAATTATAGGCTTGAGTGACAGACAGACTTAGGACCTAGGTTCGTATCCTGGCTTTGCCATGTAACACCGAGCACATTATTTAACCTCTTTGAGCCTCAATTTTATCCTCTATAGAGGAAAATAACAGCACCAACCATCTAGGTTTGTTGCAAGAAATCAGTGATATCTAATTTCATGTGAAATGCTGGCACAGTGTCTGGCATAGTAAATTTTAACTGTCATTATCAGTGTTCAGACCTGAGAAGAAATACTCTCCTGCCATTTCTCTTTGAGATTATAAGGCAAGCTCTTTAGAGTGGGAGTGGTTATACTTCTACAATATTTCTGTGATTTGAATTTTAAAAACTGTACAACCAAAACATAAAAATAAAGTGGATACCAAGGCTGAAGTTATTACAGCTGTCCTCTATAGTAATATGATTTTGTTTATAATCTGTGAAAGTTTAAAGTTTAAATTTATTGACATTATACGTTTATAAACAAATTAGATTTATACTAATAAATATTAGTAATAGTTTTTTATGTATTGAAGTTTCTCACTGGATTTTGTCTAAAGAAAAGTGGTTCTGTTGTTCTAAAAAAAAAAGACAAAACAAAACCCACCATAAAGAAACCCTTTTAGAGATTGTTCTCTTCACCCTGGCCTTTCCTCTGTCTTCCCAAGGATTTTGAGTTCATTTTGTCCTTGACTTTTTTCTCCCCAGTGTGCGTGCTTGCTCTTTAGTCCTCTTCTTTCTAATTTGGCTATTTTTCCATCTCTATCTGTTTATGACATAGAATGTCTCCCCAGTATCTCATCTGTTTTGCTTCTCTTTGAGCTCAAATGTAATCTTGAGAATATACCTTTGTCTAGCAAAGAGAAAACATAAGTTTTGGTATAAAATTAGGCATAATAAGCATTATCAACCTCCAGACTCTTTGAAAATTTCTGGAAGTTCCTCCTCAAATCTTCCCAATGTTGGCCAGCCTCTTTCTCAGAGCCTTTTATACATCATTTAAAATTTTTTAGTTATTAGTATTGTGACAATCTTGATTTGTTTTCCATTGCAACATATTTAGTATTTAAGCCACGTTATAAGTTTAGTTTGTTTATGGATAGCTGGCCTGTGGCCCTCATCATTTGTAAAATTGTTTCCAAGAGACAGAACAAATGATTTGTAAAGCCCTTTTTTGATAATAAATAAAATAGATTGGTAATTTGGAGATTTTTCCCTATTAGTATATCATCTTAGTGTATATAACTGTCTTTGATCTGGACACTCTGAATGTTTTTGTTATCAGTGTTTATTAATTTTACAGAACAGAGGACAACGCAACAAGGCCAGGTGTATTTCTTACATACACAGACTGGTGTGAGCACATGGCATGATCCAAGAGTGCCCAGGTAAGAACGTATTTTAAGCACTCTTTAGACCATCAAAGAGCCATTTCACCTAGGATTTCTTTGATTTTTAAGAAATTTTTACCTTTTAAAAATAGTTTATGTAAAAGTTTGACTCTTCTGATAGTTACTTCAGTTTTAACGTTTAGTAGAAAGTCCTGCCTACTGCTCTGCAATCCCACCTCAGTTCTCCCCTCCCTCACCAGTTCCTAGCCACCCTCCCCTGCTTCCCCTTAAAAAAAAGTGGAATAGGCAGGGCATGGTAGCTCATGCCTGTAATCCCAGCACTTTGGGAGGCCAAGGTGGGCAGATCATGAGGTCAAGAGATCGAAACCATCCTGGCCAACATGGTGAAACCCCATCTCTACTAAAAATACAAAAATGAGCTGGGCGTGGTGGCGCGTGCCTGTAATCCCAGCTACTCGGGTGGCTGAGGCAGGGAATCGCTTGAACCCAGGGAGGTGGAGGTTTGCAGTGAGCTGAGATCACGCCACTGCACTCCAGCCTGGCCACAGAGCGAGACTCTGTCTCAAAAAAAAAAAAAAAAAAAAAAGTGGAATGAAAACATGGATCTTTTAGGAGTTTGAAATTTGTCCTAGGGCACCAAGCAGGTGGCTCTTACCTGTATTCCCAACACTTTGGGAGGCTGAGGCATGAGGATCACTTGAGCCCCAGGAGTTTGAAACCAGTCTGAGCCACATAGACCTGGTCTCTACCAAAGATTAAAAATCAGCTGTATGTGGTAGAGCACATCTGTTGTGGTCCCAGTTGCTTGGGAGGCTGAGGCAAGAGGATTGCTTGAGCCATGGAGGTTGAAGCTGCAGTGAGCCTTGGTCGTGCTACAGCACTCCAGCCTGGATGACAGAGCAAGACCCCATTTCTCTCTCTCTCTCTCTTTTTTTTTTTTTAGTGTTTTATTTATTTATTTATTTATTTATTTTATTATACTTTAAGTTCTAGGGTATATGTTCACAACGTGCAGGTTTGTTACATATGTATACATGTGCCATGTTGGTGTGCTGCACCCATTAACTTGTCATTTACATTAGGTATATATCCTAATGCTATCCCTCCCCCTTCCCCCCACCCCACAACAGGCCCTGGTGTGTGATGTTCCCCTTCTTGTGTCCAAGTGTTCTCATTGTTCAATTCCCACCTATGAGTGAGAACATGCAGTGTTTGTTTTTTTGGCCTTGCGATAGTTGGCTGAGAATGATGGTTTCCAGCTTCATCCATGTCCCTACAAAGGACATGAACTCATCCTTTTTTATGGCTGCATAGTATTCCATGGTGTATATGTGCCCTTAATCCAGTCTATCATTGATGGACATTTGGGTGGATTCCAAGTCTTTGCTATTGTGAATAGTGCCGTAATAAACATACGTGTGCATGTGTCTTTATAGCAGCATGATTTATAATCGTTTGGGTATATACCCAGTAATGGGATGGCTGGGGCAAGACCCCATTTCAAAAAAAGAGAAAGAAAATTCGTGTAGTCCCAGCTGCTCGCGAGGCTAAAGTGGGAGGCGGAAGTTGCAGTGAGCTGAGATCACACCACTGCACTGTAGCCTGGGTGACAGAACGAGACCCGTCTCAAAAAAAAAAAAAAAAAAAAAAAAAAGGATAGAAAAAGAAAATTGACCTGGGGAATAACGGAACACATACCCTTTAAAAACGGGTAGTAGGTTGATATTCTTAATTATGGTTCAGCTTAAAAAAAAATCTTTGAAAAATTTAACCTCATAAATGCATTCAATGTTCTGTTATGTGTTCCTTAATAAAATTCCATTTTTAGAAAACAACGTAATTTAATTAATTAATTAATGTTTTTGAGATGGAGTCTCATTCTGTTGTCCAGGCGGGAGTGCAGTGGTGCAATGTCAGCTCACTGCAACCTCCGCCTCCCGGGTTCAAGTGATTCTCCTGCCTCAGCCTCCTGAGTAGCTAGGATTACAGGCACCTGCCACCATACCCAGCTAATTTTTGTATTTTTAGTAGAGACGGGATTTTGCCATGTTGTCCAGGCTTGTCTTGAGCACCTGACCTCAGGTGATTTGCTCACCTCGACCTACCAAAGTGCTGGGATTACATGCGTGAGCCACTGTGCCTGGCCCTAATTTAATTTAAATATCCAAACTTGTGTATTTCAGCTGCAGATATTGCATTTCCTAACCAAAATGTCAATTACTTTTAACTTCAAAAAGATGAAATGACACACAAATAAATTTAGTGATTTACCATAATTTTTGGAACATTGTTTTCTCCCTGCCTCCCTCCCTCTCTTTTTTTTGAGACAGGATCTAGCTCTGCTGTCCAGGCTGGAGAGCAGCAGTGCAGTCCTGGCTCACTACAACCTCTGCCTCCTGGGTTCAAGTCATCCTCCCACCTCAGCCTCCTGAATAGCTGGGACTACAGGCATGCGCCACAATACCCCGCTAATTTTTGTATTTTTAGTAGAGATGGGGTTACGCCATGTTGCCCAAGCTAGTCTCAAACTCCTGAGCTCAAGCAATCTGTGCACCTCGGCCTCCCAAAGTGCTGGGATTACAGGCATGAGCCACCATGCTTGGCCCTATTTTGAGTTATTTTTTAATGAACAGATGCAAAGTACCAAGTAGTCCAGTTACAACTGGAAAAAAGCTTGAATTCTAAATTAAATTCTAAATCAACTTTGTATGTTGCACATACAAAGGATTTGTAGGATGTGGATATTTTATGTTAAGCACAGCAGCGCCCCTCCTCCAAAACAAACCCCCAGAACAACCCACAGAAGGTTGTTTTTTTTTCCTGCCTAAAGCTTATGCTCAGGACTCTATTGTGTATTTGAATAAAAAACAGATGTGACTAGCTAGTCTTGGGTTGCTTTGATACTCTCTATTTATAAATAAAACTGTGATTATGAAAATGTCTTACTTTGTGTTATAGAGCTCAGAATTCTTTGAGGGTGGCAACCAAGGGAATGTGCTATTACTCATTACTTTATCAAGGTTGCCATTTCCATGTCTTGACAATATAAGCTGTTAGTTTTTAAAAAGTAGTGGGGGCCGGGCTCGGTGGCTCACACCTGTAATCCCAGCACTTTGGGAGGCTGAGGCAGGAGGATCACTTGAAGTCAGGAATTTGAGACCAGCCTGGCCAACATGGTGAAAACCCGTCTCTACTAAAAATACAAAATTAGCCAGGCATGGTGGCATGTGCCTGTAATCCCAGCTACTCAGGAGGCTGAAGAAGAAGAATTGCTTGAACCTGGGAGGTGGAGGTTGTGGTGAGCCGAGATCGCACCGTGGCACTCCAGCCTCGGCAACAGAGCAAGACCCCATCTCTAAAAAAATAAATAGATAAAAAGTAGTGGGGAGGAAATTTTACTTTTTTTTTTTTAAGCTTACTAAAAAAAGAAAAAAAAAATCCAAGGGCCTAACTTTTCAAAATCAGTTTTATTATATAAATTGTAAAAAGCTTTTTGGATTCTGTTTATCTAGTTGAAGGTCAATAATAAGCTTTTCTTTAAATTAATTAGAAATTACTTGTAGGAAATGTATAGAATAACAATGATCATTTTTTTTAACTAAATGATTTACAATAGTGAGAAAGTTGACCTTGAGTTACATGTTGAAAGAATAGTATGTAAGCTGGCAACAGAAATTGAAATTGAGACAGATTTCAGCACCACTGTTGGTAACAGGCTCTTATTCCAGAGGAAACATGTCAGTTTTTTATTAGTGAGTAAAGGATTTCTGCGAAGCTTTAAGAATATCTCATGTTGAGTATTGACATGTATTTTGAATGATGATTTTATGAAATAACACTTGGGATTATTTTTCTTATTCTGTATCCCCCAAATTACCTTAAAAACTTACATCTTTTGTTTTGGAGGATCCTTTAGCAAATATGCCTTTTGTATGGAAGATCTTTTATGAAAGTATACTATAAATATTTAGTTTCTATTACAATATCACTATTCGAAGATATTTATAAAATTGCAAAGTCAGACTCTTTAAAACAAACTTTATTTAAAGATATCCAGGATACCTAGATTTATCCAAGAAATCTCATTTCATCATGTTTTGCATTTCTCTTTAAAACAATGGTTAATGCCTTGTTATTTGTTATATTGCATACTGAGTGACTGTAGTCTTGAAATACAGATCTGTGTTACTTTGTATGACTGTATAACATTCCATTTTTCTTTAACCAGCTCCCAGTGAGACATAAAGATTATTTCTAGTGTTTTGCTCTTTTAATCAGTGCTTTAGCACTCTCCCGTGTATGACTGTAGATTTATAAAATTCTAAATAAAATGACATGAAATGAAATTCTACATTTTATCAGTAGAATTGTTCATTTTTTATTTTAATTTTTTTTTTAACTTTTAGGTTCAGGGGTACATGTGCAGGTTTGTTATAGGTAAACTTGTGTCATGAGGGTTTGTTGTACAGATGATTCTGTCACCCAGATACTAAGCCTAGTACCCATTCGTTATTTTTGCTGATCCTCTCCCTTCTTCCACCTTCCACCCTCTGATAGGCCATAGTACCTGTTGTTCCTCTCCATGTGTCCATGTGTTCCCATCATTTAGCTCCTACTTATAAGTGAGAACATGCAATATTTGGTTTTCTGTTCCTGCTTTAGTTTGCTAAGGATAATGTCCTCCAGCTCCTGTTTTTCATTTCTAAACCATTAAAAATCTATTTGGGGCCGGTGCAGTGGCTCATGCCTATAATCCCAGCACTTTGGGAGGCTGAATTTGGGAGGCTGAACTCCCTGAGTTCTCAGCTTGGGGAGGAAGCTTCAGGTTTCCTATCCCAGTCTTGCTGCTGGCCTGCCCTTCTGCCTACCTGCCACTCAGGTACCATCTTTACTCAGTCCCCCGAACTCCCTTTTTTTTAAAATTTGAGGAGAATTCTTGGAACTTTCCCTTGCCTCTTTTGAGACTAGCAGTGTTTCAAATGGTGTTTTTTCCTACACTTTAGCTGTTCTGTAGCAGGAGTCTCTTGGAACACCTATAGCAGAAGTCAGAATGATTGCTTTGGCAAATATAGGTCCCTGTGTGCCCATCATTGGTTTCACTGTGACTAAGGAGAAGTCATCTCAGGAAAAACATTTTTCTAGTATAACTTTTAAAATGTGGTTTTGATGAAATTTGTGATTACTTATAATTATCTGTTACAATTTAAATTTACATAAACATGCTGCTTTTATCTTCTCCTCCTCCTCCTCCCCCTCCTCCTCCTCCTCCTCCTCCCCTCCTCCTCCTCCTCCCCTCCTCCTCCTCCCCTCCTCCTCCCCTCCTCCTCCCCCTCCTCCTCCTCCTCCTCCCCCTCCTCCTCCTCCCCCTCCTCCTCCTCCTCCTCCTCCTCCTCCTCCTCCTCTTTTTTTTAATAAAAAGAGGACCACAAAAACAGTTTTACTATCTAGATGCTTGAGTTTGCTTGGTCACTTTCAGAGTATGTCGTTTCTTTGGTATTTACACATGGCTCTGGTAACCTAAAGTATTCATTTAAGGCAGGAAATGACCTGATCATATCATACATTGTTACACGCAGTCTCAATTATGTCACCAAGGGCAGTGACTTTTCTCTTCTGGTGGATGACAACAGCAATTTCCACACTTTGGAAGCTTCACTGAAATATTTTTTTCTAACAGTGTAGAGGATAAGAATTTGCAGTTCTATTGCCAGTTTATTACAGAGGCTACAACTCTGGAACAGCCAAATGGAAGCAATGCTTAGGACACAGTATGGGGGGAGGGCAAGGAGCTACCATGCCCTCTCTGGGCAGGCCACCGTCCAGTACCTCAGTGTGTTCACCAACCTGGAAGCTCCTTAACTCATTCTTTAAGGCCCTATTAATCCTTCTCTATATATACTAGTATTTTAAGAATGTATAATATAATAGCAATAGTCTTTGGTCCATTAAAAATCTTAGCTTTTCTTATTGCAGTGGTAACCCTTAGAGCACTCTTGGTAATGTATCTTAAACAGGTTCTTCATTGACTAACTTTACAGATTTTAGAATTGCAGTTTATTCTTTAAAAATATGCTGTGATTATTTTCAGGATCATAATTTCAGTAACATTTCCAGTTTTGCTTTGTTGGCGAGCTTAAAATTATGGAATGGACATTTTATGCAAATTTTATGGTATAGTAAAGAAATGAAGGGACATTTTAGAAAGCATTTAATTCTTTATGTCACTGACACTTGTAAAATTACTTCCTGTCAAACACGTGTTGAAATACAGTTTATGTTGGCAAATATTGGGATTGATTTTATATTAATTTAAATCTGTATTACATTAAAGCCTAGGAAATTACTAAAAAATGTAGGCTATGTGATAAGTTTTTCTGAGCCATTTATGGATTGGGCTTTGAAGATGAAAGTTTGTTAAACCATTGGGAATTAAAGATTCCAGCTGAACATCTCAAGTTTCTGAAACAATACATTTTCTCACACTTTGTGGAATTGTTCTGTGTCATTTACACTTGCTTGGTTCAGCAGGGCGAGCAATGAGGTATTTTTTATTTTATATTTGTTTTTGCAGGGATCTTAGCAACATCAATTGTGAAGAGCTTGGTCCATTGCCTCCTGGATGGGAGATCCGTAATACGGCAACAGGCAGAGTTTATTTCGTTGACCATAACAACAGAACAACACAATTTACAGATCCTCGGCTGTCTGCTAACTTGCATTTAGTTTTAAAGTAAGTTTTTGAAACAATACATGTTAAAATGGGAGTTAAACATGATGAAACGCATAGATGCTTTTAATAATAAATGTGAGTCTCGATACAGTGGCTCACGCCTTTAATCCCAGTGCTTTGGGAGGCCGTGGCAGCAGGATCACTTGAGGCCAGGGGTTTGAGACTAGCCTGGTCAATATAGTGAGACCTCATCTCTACAAAAAAAAAGTTGTTTAAATTAAAAAATTAGCTGGGTGTGGTGGTGTATGCCTGCAGTCCTAGCTACTTGGGAAACTGAGGCAGGAGAATCGCCTGAGCCCAGGAGTTTGAGGCTGCAGTGGACTATGATCACACCACCCCAACTCCAGCCTGGGTGACAGATGGAGACCCTGTCTCTTAAAAAATGAAAGAACATCTACTTTCATCAGTTATAATTTACTTTTATTGAGCAAAATTTATGTAAGAGTGTGACAAGGTTTACTCTGATATGAGTATTTTAAACCTACTATGCTTTTAGGTAGGAACCTGTCTTGGAATGTTAGGAAAAGGGTTATTAGAGGTGCTCAAGATGGCCTTTTACAGAGGCAATATCTTGACAGGAGAAGTAGGGGTTGAACAGGCTAATTTTGTGTTGCCATTGTAATACAAAATTATTAATAATTTATATTAATGGCTAACACCTTAGTAGCACTTACTGTGTGACAAGCATTGTTCTTTATACTTTACATATGTTGGTAAGGCCAGGCATGTGGCTCATGCTGTAATCCCAGCACTTTGGGAGGCTGAGGTTGGAGAATCACTTGAGCCTAGGAGTTCAAGACCAACCTGGCCAACATGTGAGTCCTATTCTCTTCAAAAAATTTTTTTAAAATTAGCTGGTCATGGTGGTGCGCACCTGTGGTCCCAGCTACTCAGGACACCGAGGTGGGAGGATCTCTTGAGCTCAGGAGGTCGTGGCTGCAGTGAGCTGTGATCGCGCCACTCATTCTAGCTTGGGCAACAGAGTGAGACTCTTGTCTTTAAAAAGCAAACAAACAAAAACACCCCAAGTTCGTAATTTCATCCTCAGAAAAACTCTGTGAGTTAGCTACTGCCATTTTTACAGATGAGGAAACTGAGGTATAGAGGTTACATGACTTTCCATACGTTGCCAGTGGTGAAGTCTGGAGTGAAACCAGGATGCTCTGGCTTCAGCTGCCTGTGAGGCACTATACTGAGTATTGTGTGTATATTATTTGCATCCTTTGCTTTTCTTTTCTCTCTAGCTGCCTCATTTCTTCTAACTCTGTTACTTATTAGCATTGCCTTCTGAAGAATGGGGGCAGGAGGAGGAAAAGAGAGAACAGGAAAACTTCATTACTAAGCTAAGTAGCAAAGTGTCTTTTTCAACACTTCTGGCAAAAACACTGAGAGTGGTATAGCAACAAGGATTTTAGGCTAAGAACTTGGAGAGCAAGGTTCACTCTGACCCCTGAATAATTCATTTTAGCTTCTCTAAATGAATGGTGACATTACCTGCTCTGTCTTATTCATTTGTTGTAAAGTTCTTATGTATGTTAAAATGTTAAAAACACAACAAAAATAATAATATACTTTAAAATGACTTCTGAAAATGTCCTTGTTTCATTAATTTTTGGAGTTAGGTTAATAAAGCAAAAAATTTAAATGAGAACTGGCTACCAGTTTTTTAGGATAATAGGAGAAAACATTGAAAATGTGTATCTTTGGTTCCTTCTTCGAAATATGTATAATTATCCTGGCAGTCTCATTATGTCAGCAGATCTTACTTTATTGTAGATAGAAGATTCTAAAACCTTGCTTACAAATGAAGGTCGCAAGTATTTGAAAGCCCTAATGTAAAAGTATCTGAAGAAACAGAGAAGTATGGACTGTTTCTGTGCATTAGGGTCTTTATAGCCTAGATAGCAAAATAAGTGTCATCTGCAGTCTACCCTTTGAGTAACACTGCTCTAGGGCGCTTGCCTGGTTGTGGAATTGCTATGTCGTAGAATATTTCTATCTTCAACTTTAATGTATAAAGGTAACTTTTCTAAAGTGGCTATGCCAGTTTAGTCTTTTACCGGCAATATATGAGTTCCTGTTGCTGCAGAAGCTTGCCAGTACTTGCTGTTGTTGGACTTCAAAATTTTTGCTGTTCTGATGATGTTTAATGGTTTCCCATTGTAACTTTAACTTGAATTTTCCTAATTACTGATGAGGTTGAGCACCTTTTTATAGGTTTATTGACTATTTGGATTTCCTGTTTTTGTGAAGGTCCTGTTCACAATTTTTTGCCATTGTCTATTGAGCTTGAACAGCTTTTTTTTGGCCTATTGACCAGCTGCATCAACTTTTTTTGTTAATTTATATCTTTTTTGCCTATTTTTCTAATGTAATCTTTATCTTCTAAAATTCACACTACAAGTAAATGTTTTTAATACATTTATAGTTTTGTCTTTTACTGTAAAGTCTTTAATCCATGTGGACTTTACTTTTGTGTATGGATTTTTTTTTTTTTAGATGGAGTTTCCCTGTTGTCACCCAGGCTGGAGTACAATGGCGTGATCTCAGCTCACTGCAACCTCCACATCCCGGGTTCAAGCAATTCTCCTGCCTCAGCCTTCCAAGTTAGCTGGGATTATAGGTGCTTGCCACCACGCCGAGCTAATTTTTGTATTTTTAGTAGAGATGGGGTTTCACCGCGTTGCCCAGACTGGTCTCGAGCTCTTGACACCTCAGGTGATCTGCCCGCCTCGGCCTCCCAAAGTGCTGGGATTACAGGTGTGAGCCACCACGCCTAGTTCTGGAATTTTTTTTGAGATGGAGTCTTGCTTTGTTGCCCAGGCTGGAGTGCAGTGGTGCTATCTCAGCTCACTGCAACCTCTGCCTCTTGGGTTCAAGCGATTCTCCTGCCTCAGCCTCCTGAGTAGCTGGGACTACAGGCGCGCACCACCACGCCCAGCTAATTTTTGTATTTTTAGTAGAGACGAAGTTTCACCGTGTTAGCCAGGCTGGTCTCCAACTCTTGGCCTCAAGTGATCCTCCTGCCTCAGCCTCCCAAAGTGCTGGGATTACAGGTGTGAGCCGTTGTGCCCGGCCTGGGTTTTTTTAAAGGGCATATAGGGGCAGCAAATTGGAATTTGGGGAGATGATAAGGAATAAAAGATGTTGGAGCACTCTACAGAGGGCTTTTGTTTTACTTTTGTATCTTAATTGTTTGTTACCTTTCTGCTTCCCCTACTAGACTTTGAATTACTTAAGAAGACGTGTATCCCATTTATTTTTGCTGCTTTAGTATGTAACATACCCAAAGTACTTGACAAATGTACAATGGTAATCAAGAGCCAGTATGGCTCTCTGAGAGGCCCAGGAAGCCTCCAAGAGGTGGTTGTGCTTTATTTACCTCCTGCCTCCAGGATCATCCCTTTAGGTCAAGCTTGTCCAACTCACGGCCCTTAGGCTGGGCCCAGGACGGCTTTCAGTGTGGCCCAAAACAAGCTGGTAAACCTTCTTAAAAACCATTATGTGGGCAAGGCATAGTGGCTCAACGCCTATAATCCCAGCACTTTGGGAGGCTGAGGCGGGCGGATTGCCTGAGGTCAGGAGTTCGAGACCAGCCTGGCCAACATGGTGAAACCCCGTCTCTACTAAAAATACAAAAATTAGGCCAGGCGCGGTGGCCCACACCTGTAATCCCACCACTTTGGGAGGCCAAGGCGGGTGGATCACAAGATCAGGAGATCGAGACCATCCTGGCTAATACGGTGAAACCCCATCTCTACTAAAAATACAAAAAAATTAGCTGGGTGTGGTGGTGCACGCCTGTAGTCCCAGCTACTCGGGAGGCTGAGGCAGGAGAATTGCTTGAACCAGGGAGGCTGACTTTGCAGTGAGCCGAGACAGCGCCACTGCACTCCAGCCTGGCAATAGAGCGAAACTCCGTCTCAAAAAAAAAAAAAAAAAAAGCCAGGTGTGGTGGCGGGTGCCTGTAATCCCAGCTAGTTGGGACCCAGGAGGCTGAGGCAGGAGAATTGCTTGAACCTGGGAGGTGGAGGTTGCAGTGAGCCAAGATCACACCACTACATTCCAGCCTGGGTGATAGAGCCAGACTTTGTTTCAAAA
Source organism: Homo sapiens (assembly GCF_000001405.40). Taxonomy (NCBI): domain Eukaryota; kingdom Metazoa; phylum Chordata; class Mammalia; order Primates; family Hominidae; genus Homo; species Homo sapiens. The sequence continues at coordinate 64,567,696 of NC_000017.11, read as the reverse complement.
ACAAAGCAAAACATTATGAGATTTTTTTAACAGCTCATTAGCTATTGTTAGTGTATTTTATGTGTGGCCTGAGACAGTTCTTTTTCCAGTGTGGCCCAGGGAAGCCAAAAGATTGGACATCTCTGCTTTAGGTAATAGATGTTTGCCTTGATGTTGCCAGTAGAATATTTCAGTAGAACAGTTACAGATCTTCCATCTTTTTGCTGAATAGTTAGTTGTATTAAATAACTGAATGAAAAATAATGTTCTGAAGGAATAACTACAGGTGGGATGATTAGAAATGTCTGTTGTCTTTTCTGTTTGTTGGAGTAAATGACAGGAAGTAACTTGAAGAACATTTGACTAGTTTTCTTATAATTGTTAGTTTTCCAATTTTGTTGATTAGTTTCCATTAATATGGCCAGCATTTGCATTATCTGGAAGTTTTATACATATTCCTAATAGAAAGTTTTCATTTGAACATTTTTGTATTTTAGTATTAATTTGTTCCTCTCTTCAATATCTTTGATTTCAAGTTACTGTGCTATGAAAAAGCTTAAGGCTGGGCATGGTGGCTCACACTGGTAATCCCAGCACTTTGGGAGGCCGAGGCGGGTAGATCACTTGAGGCCAGGAGTTGGAGATCAGCCTGGCCAACATGACAAACCTGTCTCTACAAAAAAAGTAGGCGTGGTGGTGCATGCCTGTAATCCCAGCTACTCGGGAGGCTGAGGCATGAGAATTCCTTGAACCTGGGAGGTAGAGGGTGTAGTGAGCTGAGATCGCGCCACTGTACTCCAGCCTGGGCGACAGAGTCTCTATCTAAAAAAAAAAAAAAACTCTCTGTCAGCGGGGCACGATGGCTCACGCCTGTAATCCCAGCGCTTTGGGAGGCCGAGGTGGGTGGATCACAAGGTCAGGAGTTTGAGACCAGCCTGGCCAATATGGTGAAACCCCGTCTCTACTAAAAATACAAAAATTAGCCGGGCATGGTGGCAGGCACCTGTAGTCCCAGCTACTCGGGAGGCTGAGGCAGGAGAATAGCTTGACCCTGGGAGGCGGAGGTTGCAGTGAGCGGAGATTGCGCCACTGCACTCCAGCCTGGGCAACACAGCGAGACTGTCTCAAAAAAAAAAAAAAAAAAAAAAAAAAAAAACCAGAAAGCTTAAGCATTTCTACATCCGTTTTTGTTTTGTTTTGTTTTGTTTTTTTCTTCTTAAGGACAGGATTTCACAACTCCAGCTACTAGTTCGGTAAAGTCCCTAACCTGATAGATCCTCCCTGGGGTTTATATTCGTGTTACATTACATAAAATATATAAAAATTATTTGCAGCATTAAAGTTTCTGTCATAAATTAACTTTAAAGTGATAAATTAGTTTTTATTCAGCTATGTAATGTAGTATATAATTTATATGTGAAACAATTTATTGAGATACATAAGAAACAATTTTAATCTTAAAATTGTAGTTTTAAAAAGATTCATAAGGCACTAATTTTAAATTATAACAGTTAATTTATTAATCTTTACATATCAGGATATGTCGGATAGAAGTATCTTTTCTATTAATGTTTGATTTCTATTTTTTAAAGATTTTTAAATTGGGGGGTTTTTCTTTAGACAAGTGTTAACGGAGTTTTGAATCTATGTCTATGAGCCGTCAAATATAGTATTACCTTATTTGGTACATCTATTATGGTTTTTATTGTTTTTCTCTCTTGGAAATTTTTTTGGCAAAAATGTCATTAGAATATAAATTATATTGCAAAACATTGCCATTGGGGTTTAATAAATAACTTTGCCAAGGAAGCATATTCTTCTAAGAAAGCATTTTAGTCAGTTTTTTTTTTTATTTCCTTTGCTTGAAAAGCATGTTTTTGTAACTCAGTAACTATCTTAATAGTAGCTATAGTAACTGATATTTATTTTGCACTTACCATGCTCTGAGTGCCCATGTCATCTTCATTGCAATCCTGGGCTACCTCTTTCTCATCAGTGAGAAAAATGGGGCCTCAAGCAGTTACAGAACTTGTCCAGAGGTGCATAAAAGGTGCTAGAGCTGGGATTTGAATCCACCCAGTCTGACTATGGAGGTTTTTTTTTTTCCCTTCATGTTTTGATTCCAGTAACACTAATTACTTATTTCCCTTCCTTTGACTGGCATTGCATGAAGATATTCTGCCTTATACCCTTAAAGGAAGCTTTTCTTTTTAAAGAAAAAGATGACTTATGGGCAAGGGGATTACAATTTGAGTCTTTTCCCTGCTTATCAGATCTACTTGATTTCAAGAAAATCATTTGCTTGTTTGATAAAGCCTTTAGACATTGGCAGAGGCCCTAAAGGATAGACCAGCACCCCCACTGTTTCCTGGCCTGCACTCTCACATCAGCCCTTACAGAACTGCCCCTTGCACCCTAGCACACCTGAAGAGACAGGCTGCTTTATTGGGTAGTTAGATTTTTTTTTTCCCTGAGTGCATCAGGAACAATAGTTCCAGGCTAGCTGCCCACATCCCAGAAGGATTTTCTCCTGTGTCCGTTTTTGTCCTTCAGCTCTAAGCCACCTTTCCATTTGCATGGCTTGGTCTTTCACAGGAGGCTTTGTGAAGAGGCCTGATATCTGCTGGATTTTTTAAAATCAGCCTTATTGAAATATATTGACATACAATAAACTGAATATTTAAAGTGTACAGTTTAAGTTTTGATATACACCATGAAACCATCACCACAGTGAAGATAGTGAACATATTCACCACCCCCAAAAGTTTTCTCTTGCCCTTTTGTGATTTCTTCTGTCCCTCCCTGTGGGACTTCCACCCTGTGTTAGTTTCCCAGGGCTGCTGTAACAAAATACCACGAACTGGATGGCTTAAAACAACAGAAATTCATTCTCTCACAATTCTGGAGGCAGAACTACAGGGTAAGGGGCTGACTCTATAGTAAGTGATAATGAGTTCCTTCCAGAGGCTTTGAGAGAGAATCTGTTCCATGCCTCTTTCCTAACTTCCCAGTGGTTTCTGGAAACCTTGGTGTTCCTTGGCTTGTAGACAAATTGCTCCAGTCTTTGTCTTCTGTCCTCCCATAGTCTTCTTTCCTGTATGTATGTATCCTAATTTCCCTCTTCTTATAAAGACATCAGTTTTTGGATTTAAGGCCATCCTAATCCAGTATGATCTTACCTCACCTTAATTTTATCTGCAAAGACCTTATTTCCAAATAAGGTCAAATCCACAGGTTGACCAGATGTTGAGCCTTCAGCATATCTTTTGGGGGACACACAGCTCAACCCATAACACCCCATCTCCAGCCAACTGCTGACCTGCTTTCTGTCAGTATATTAGTTTGCATTTTCTAGATAAATGGAATCATGCAGTATGATTTCTTTTACTCACATAATGAGATTCATCATTGTTACATAGTTCATTTCTTTGTATTGTTGGTGGTATTCCATTGTATGGGTATACCACAGTTTATTCATTTATCTACTGATGGGCATTTGGGTTGTTTCCAGTCTTTCGCTATGACAGATAAAACTATTATGAACATTTATGTGCAAGTCTTTGTATGTATATGCCCTCATTTCTCTTGGTTAAATAAATAACCTAGGAGTAGAATGGCTTCTTTGGCAGAATCTTTTGCCATGCCCCCAGCCCTCCCAAATCGAGCAGCTCAGTTTTTTGTTGAGTTTTGAGCTTCTTTAGATATTTACATATCTGATATATGCTTTCCAAAGGAATTTTCCTAGTCTATGACTTGACTTGTCTTTTAGTTTTCCTAAACAGTGTCTTTTGAAGAGCAGCAATTTTCTTTAAGCTGAGGGTGGTATTGGGTGCCTGTAGTTCTAGCTACCAGGAGGCTGAGGCAGGAGGATCACTTGAACCAGGAGTTCAGGGCCAGCCTGGGCAATATAGCAAGACCCTGCCTCTTTAAAAAAAATTTAAAAATGGATGTTCTGTTTATCCATTTGTTCTTTCATGGATTGTGCTTTTGGTGTTATATCTAAGAAATCATTCATTGCCTGATGTATGTCATAACAAATTTTCTCCTGTGCTTAGAAGTTTTATGGCTTTGGATTTTACATTGATGTTTGCAGTCCATTTTGAGTTACTTTTTGTATCTGATATGAAATATACCCAAGTTCATTTAAAAAATAAGATTATACAGTTGTTTATGGAATGCATTTATGTACACGGTAATCTGTTTTGATTTTGTGTGTATGTTAAAACATCTTTATTATAGTATTTGTAAGAGTAGTTAATATTGACTTGGCATTTTAAACAAAGGTGTATTTTCTTTGTATGGTCATATGTTTTAGGTATAATATTTGGCCTGGTGTATAAAAAGAAGGGATCCCTGCCAAGCTGCCTTTCAGACTCCTGTTTGGCTCTTCCAGAAAGAAAGAGTCTAGATAACAAGCAGTGTTTGGCACATGCCTGAATTTTAAAGTGGGTGATGGTAAACTCTGTAGGGGAAAATGGAAGCTATATTGGAAAAATTTGTCCTCAGAAGCTGTATAAAGCTTTATGGATAAAATTCCATTATCCAATTCTGTCAGTTTATGTGGACTATGAGAAATAAACTTTGTAGCTGGTTTATTGCTGCCAAAAAATGTCAAGCCAAGTATATGTTCTACTAAGGCTTGGAAAATGATAGAGCTAGACTTGCTTTATAATATGATGCTATTTTAAATCTATAATTGCAATTTTTAAAATTTGATATACTTTAATAATAACATCTATGTTTACTTCTAGTCGGCAGAACCAATTGAAAGACCAACAGCAACAGCAAGTGGTATCGTTATGTCCTGATGACACAGAATGCCTGACAGTCCCAAGGTACAAGCGAGACCTGGTTCAGAAACTAAAAATTTTGCGGCAAGAACTTTCCCAACAACAGCCTCAGGCAGGTCATTGCCGCATTGAGGTTTCCAGGGAAGAGATTTTTGAGGTAAATTTACGAGCCTTATTTTGTTTTACTATTTTTTTTTCCAGAAACCCATTGCTTGCTAATACAAACCTTATTTTAAATTAGAGAGAAATTGGCCGGGTGCGGTGGCTCACGCCTGTAATCCCAGCACTTTGGGAGGCTGAGGTGGGCGGATCACCTGAGGTCGCAGCTCGAGGCCAGGCTGACTAACATGGAGAAACCCCATCTCTACTAAAAATACAAAATTAGCTGGGCATGGTGGCACATGCCTGTAATCCCAGCTACTCGGGAGGCTGAGGCAGGAGAATCACTTGAACCCAGGAGGCGGAGGTTGCGGTGAGCCGAGATTGTACCATTGTACTCCAGCCTGGGCAATAAGAACGAAACTCCGTCTCAAAAAAAAAAAAAAATTAGAAGTTAAATTTGTTTTATGCTCTTTTCCAAGAATACCGAGAGTGCTAATTTTTCTCTCTCTCTCTTTTTTTTTTTTTTTTTTTTTTTTTTTTGAGACGGAGTCTGTCGCCAGGCTGGAGTGCAGTGACGCAATCTCAGCTCACTGCAACCTCTGCCTCCTGGGTTCAAGCGATTCTCCTGCCTCAGCCTCTTGAGTACCTGGGACTACAGGCACACGCTACCACGCTCAGCTAATTTTTGTATTTTTAGTAGAGATGGGGTTTCACCATGTTGGCCAGGATGGTCTCGATCTCTTGACCTCGTGATATGCCCGCCTCAGCCTCCCAAAGTGCTGGGATTACAGGCATGAGCCACTGCACCTGGCCTCTTTTTTAAAAAGAGACAAGGTCTTGCTCTGTCACCCAGGCTGGAGTGCAGTGGCATGATCATAGCTCACTGTAGCCTTGAACTCCTGGGCTCAAGCAGTCCTCCCACCTTAGCCTTCCAAGTAGCTAGGACTACAGGTGCATGCCACCATGCCCAGCTATTTAAGAAAAAACTTTTTGTATAGACAGAGTTTCACTATGTTGCCCAGGCTGGTCTAGAATTCCTGGCCTCAGGTGATCCTCCTGCCTCAGCCTCCCAAAGTGTTGGGATTACAGGTGTGAGCTACTGCACCTGGCCAAATTTCACCTTATTTAGACTTGAGTTTTTTGGATGGATTGGCAGGGAGAGATTAAGTAATAGGCTAAAAGGACCTAATAGTAATAGGGTATTAAAAATTATTTTTTTCAGGAATCATATCGACAGGTCATGAAAATGAGACCAAAAGATCTCTGGAAGCGATTAATGATAAAATTTCGTGGAGAAGAAGGCCTTGACTATGGAGGCGTTGCCAGGTATGGACTTGCTTGCCAGCTTATGACATATGGATCTTTGTACTTACAAATTTAAGCTACTTCCTGTGGTGTAACTTTCTCATCGACATTTATTTTTTGTTATTCCCTAATGTTTGTATCACTGAGGATATCCTAATAGATATATTCATAATGAGGTTAGGGTGGCACTGCTACCGGACAAGTATTCTGGAACTCCCCAGTAGACCATCTGAGTCCCATGAGACTGCAGGCCCTGTGTTTTCTCCATCTCTCTCTTTAAGTACATTATTGCCTCTGCTTTACATTGTCAGGAACAGTTTTGAGATTTAAATGATATATAACCTGAACTGAATACTGGTTCTCTTTGCTTCCATTTGTTATGCCTTTTTTCCTTGTTAAATGAATGTGTATGCATGCATGTGTGTATACACATGTACATATCATGATGGTCCTCAGAATGTTTCAGTACAGAAGGTAGAATGCTTCTGCTACATTTGTAACTCACAGGTCAAGTCAAATTAATTTTCTTTCTTTTTTTTTTTTTTTTTTTTTTTGGAGACAGGGTCTCCCTCTGTCACCCAGGCTGGAGTGTAGTGGCGTGATCTCAGCTCACTGCAACCTCCCCATCCTGGGCTCAAGAGAGCCTCCCACCTCAGCCTCCTGAGTAGCTGGGACTACAGGTACAAGCCACCACACCCGGCTAGTTTTTGTTTTTTTTTTTTTGTAGAGATGGGGTTTTGCCATGTTGCCCAGGCTATTCTCGAACTTCTGAGCTCAAACAATCTGCCTGCCCCAGCCTTCCGAAGTGCTGGGATTACAGGTGTGAGCCACCACACCCAGCCAGTGATTTATTTCTGATATTATATTTACTACAAGAATTCTTTTCTATGTGTGAAAATTCGTTTTATATAAATGGAGAAACACTGTAGCTCTGTATTGAAATGTTCCAAGGATCATTGTGGTAATTCTGCTTTCCCTAATCTTAAATCCAACCAAAATTATGTTTTCAATAATTCCCATTAATTGTTATTTAGCATTACATGTGTGTATTTGTAGCCTTATTTTCATTCTGTCACCTTTTAAACCTACGGATGGATAGTTTCTTTAGTGTGGATTTTTAAAAATAATCCCTTGTACATCATACTTAGGACTTGACAGTTTCTGTGGAATTTGTATTACTTACTCATAACTAGAGTGAATGTTTATTGGGAACACTTCATCATCAACTACTGGTGGCATCTAAGTACTATAATTATATGTATAGATCAAATAAGTAGTTTATTTTATTTATTTAGTTTTTTAGAGACGGGGTCTCACTCTGTCACCCAGGCTCCATGGAGTGCAGTGGTGTGATCATGGCTCACTGCAGCTTCGAACTCCTAGGTACAAGTGATCCTCCTGCCTCAGCCTCCTAAAGAGCTAGGACTATAGGCACATGCTTCCATGCCTAATTAAAAAAAAAAAAATTTGGCCAGGTGCAGTGGCTCACACCTGTAATCCCAGCACTTTGGGAGACTGAGGTGGGCAGATCACGAGGTCAAGAGATTGAGACCATCCTGGCCAACATGATGAAACCCCGTCTCTACTAAAAACTAAAAAAAAAAGATTAGCTGGGTATGGTGGCGCACACCTGTAGTCCCAGCTATTCGGGAGGCTGAGGCAGGGGAATCACTTGAACCCAGGAGGCAAAGGTTGCACTGAGCCGAGATCGTGCTACTGCACTCCAGCCTGGTGACAGAGTGTGACTCCGTCTCAAAAAAAAAAAAATTTTTTTTTTTTTGGTAGAAACAGGATCTTGTGTTGCCCAGGCTGGTCTCAAACTCCTGGCCTCAAGTGATCCTCCAGCCTCCGCCTCCCTAAGTGCTGGAATTACAGGCGCGAGCCACCATGCCTGGCTCGTAGTCAGTTTTTTTTGTTGTTGTTGTTTTTGAGATGGAATCTCACTCTGTCGCCAGGCTGGAGTGCAGTGGCGCAATCTCGGCTCCCTGCAACCTCTGCCTCCTGGGTTCAAGCGATTCTCCAGCCTCAGTCTCCCGGGTAGCTGGACTACAGGCGCATACAACCACGCCTAGCTAATTTTTGTATTTTTAATAGAGACGGGGTTTCACCATGTTGGCCATGCTGGTCTCAATCTCCTGACCTTGTGATCTGCCCGCCTTAGCCTCCCAAAGTGCTGGGATTACAGTCATGAGCCACCGAACCCAGCCCAGTTTTTTGTTTTTTAACCTTACTACTGTCAGGGTTTGAGCAGAATAAATGGAATGTGACAGTGATCTGCTTTTTCTGAACTTTATTCCATAGTAGAATCTCAAAGTAGTTGAGTTCTGCTCTTATTTGTGTTCTAAATACTTGGTAAAACAAAACAAAAATTTGGATTTTCTTTTTAAAAAACACATACACACACCAAAAACACAAGACACATCAGATGAGTGTTATGTTGGGAAGGCTGCTTATGTGGAGACGTTACTTCTTTTTTTAATCTCTAGAGTAGTTTTTCAAATGTTACATAATGGTAGTAATTTAATTTAGACTCCATCACATAGAATTTTGAAACAGTTTCCTTTAACTAGTTTTAATACTATTCTGCATTTGCTCAAAAATATTATTCAATCTGTTTAATCCATAATATCAAAATATATCATTTAAATAACCTTCCCTAGCCAAGGAATGACAAGAATTAAGACTAGAACTACATCTCTTAAGTCCTAGACTAGTGAATTTCCAAAGTGAGTAACAAATTATCTTTTATACTTTGAAAAATTTGAAGGTTTTAATAAATTCAAGGTGGAAGTACTTTTTATTCCAGGTTTTAAAAACATTGATTTACATTGAAGTCAAGAAGTGGTATGGAACATACCCAAAGAATGCACGTTTGCCCTTGAGTCCATACCTACACCAAATGCCTTGCAATCCTTGCCCACTTATATTTTTATCATGGTATGTTTCAGGGTTTATACAGTGAATGATAATGAAATGAATAATGAAATGTCCTTAATACTACAACAAAATATAGCCTTGTCCAAAATGAAGAGTAAATCAATACTATATTATATGTCTGTATAAACTGGTCGTGATAGGAGTAGACCAGGATAATAGAGATGACGTGGACTTTTTTTTTTTTTCTTTGAGACAGGGTCTCTGTCACCCAGCCTGGGGTGCAGTGGTGCAATCTCAGCTCACTGCAGCCTCAACCTCCAGGGCTCAAGCAATCCTCCCACCTCTGCCTCCCAAGTAGCTGGGACTATAGGCACTTGCCATCAACCTGGCTAATTTTTGTATTTTTTGTAGAGATGGGATTTCGCCTTGTTGCCCAGGCTGGTCACAAACTCCTGAGCACAAGCGAACCACCTGTCTTGGCCCCCCAAAGTGCTGGGATTACAGGTGTGAGCCACCGTCCCCAGCCTCACATGGACATTTTGAAATAAAACCATATTCTTCCTTTTGTTTTATGTTTATTATGGATTACAAATTTATTTGGCAATTAAAAGTAACAGACCACTGGACCGTATCATCTCGTGAGTAGCTGAACTGTTGGATAATACTTTTATACTCTTTGATGCTAAAATATAATAAAATTGCCTAAATTTTGCGTGAGATGTTACTTCAATATAATAGAGTTTTTATATGCTATTTGGGTACGGTAGATTTTTCCAATGTGATCTTATATAACTGTAGTTAGTGCTTTTTTGCCTTTTATTAATTTAAATAATTATTTGCTAAAATGATTAGTTAATGACATATCTTAATAAAAATGTATACATTAACAAAAAAATTCCTTGGTCATATCTTGTTTTCTAGGGAATGGTTGTATCTCTTGTCACATGAAATGTTGAATCCATACTATGGCCTCTTCCAGTATTCAAGAGATGATATTTATACATTGCAGATCAATCCTGATTCTGCAGTTAATCCGGTATGATTTGAAGTTATGATGTGAATTGTGACCAATAATGCTTTTCATGTTTACATGTTAATGTAGTTTATTATATAGAAATTATTTGTCCTTGTCTTAGTTGTGCCCTTTGACTCAGCAATTCCCCTTCTATAAAATTTTCCCAAGCAGATGATTATGGATATATGCACCAATTTGGAAACAGGGATGTTTATTGTTTATAGTAGCACTCAACTGAAAACAACATAGTTGTCTTCAGGAGCGGGGACTGATTAAATTATGACATGAAGCAGAATAATGCAAATGATTAAAGGCATAGGTTCTGGAATTAGAAAGACGTGTCGTGGTCTCATCACTTACTAGCTTTGTGACCTTTCAGGGCAAGTTCATGGACTTAAGCTTCAGTTTTGTCATTGCTAATAAATACATTTGTACCTCAAAGAGGGGTTATGAGAATGAAATGGGACCCTGCACATTAAGCACTTAGCACAGTGCTGTATGTTATTCACTCTACAACTCTATCAACTACATTACTAAGCACTCAACAGAAGTTAGCAGTTATTACTAATGTATTGTTTTTATATTGTCTTTCCATATAAGGGCATACTATACAGCCACTAAAATGATAATGTGGGATAATAGTTAATGATATGGAAAGATGGTGTTTATGATGTGTTAAGTGAAACGAAGGTTATCAAATAGTATAATGCAACTTTGGTAAATATATATGTTTGTGTGCGTGCGCGTGTGTTACTTTTAAAAAAGAAACAAAAACAAGATAAAAGGTTTAAAGACGAGCTTAAAAGATTACTTAGTAAATAGAGAGGTAAAAGAATTTAAAAATACAAACATCTAACAAAACAATCTGTGACGAAAGACCAAATATATATAAAAGGGTAGAAATGTTAGATTTGTTTCAAGAAGTTATTTAGGGAGGATTTTGAGGTGAAGGTTCTTTTTGGAGGGCCCACTACTGCCCCTGTAGTAACAATAGCCCAGACTCATTGACTGCTTATAACATGCCAGGTCCAGTTCCATGGGTTTCAAACATCACCTCATTTTACTCCTCATAGAGATGCTTTTTAGATACTGTTATTATCCTCATATTTCCAGATGTGGACAGTTAGTCTTACGGGGGTTAATTTGTCCATATGCCATTGACTGGCAGAATCGTGATTCTAATTCAAGTCTGACACCAAGTCTGTGCTCTTAAATCTATGGTGTTTTGATGTTTAATTTCTGGTTAGGTCAAGGAAGTAGGGAGGTTTAGGATTGAAAGATTTTTTTTCATGACAAAGGGCTCAGCAGGAGGTGAGAGAAGGAAGAGAAAAGGATCTGCAAGTAGTTGAATGAAGCTCCGGGACCATAGTTTGGACTTAATTTCTAAAAGATAAAATTTACAAAATGACTGGCCCCTGCGAGAAGGGCATATTACCCTGTGTAATATGCTGTTCTCTGGTGATCTAGAGACTCTGGAGCATGCCCTAGAGAAATACTCCCTCCTGACTCTATTGAAGAGTAAAAATTTTATGCTTATTCTCAAAAAGATTAATGTTGCTGAAATATTTCATTTTTATTAAAATTTTCCTGGGTAGTGCCTAACGAGTATATATACTGTTTTCAATTTCAGGAACATTTATCCTATTTCCACTTTGTTGGACGAATAATGGGAATGGCTGTGTTTCATGGACATTATATTGATGGTGGTTTCACATTGCCTTTTTATAAGCAATTGCTTGGGAAGTCAATTACCTTGGATGACATGGAGTTAGTAGATCCGGATCTTCACAACAGTTTAGTGTGGATACTGTATGTATTGAGTCTTCTATCTCTTCATTATAAACTCTGAGCTTTAAAAAAAAATATGTTTCAAAACTGATGTACTTAAAAAAATTACACAGAAAATATTGAGTGGTTATTTGAGTGATAGGATCGCATATGATTTCCCCCTTTCCTGTAGCTTCTTTATACATTTCAAATTCCTTAAACTTAGCAAGTGTTACTACTTTAAAAAGGAAAAAACAACTAGTATATTTCTATTTTTAAAAGTACTTTATATAATTGTTTCCTCAATGTGATACAAATTCTGTTCCAAACCTGCGTGTGTTAGAATAGCAAATTCTTGGCTGCTGTTGCTTTTAATGAAGTGGCGATTGTTGGAACCGTACTTTTAGAATAAGAACTAATTGTTGAATTTAAGCTAAGAACTGATTCTGTTTTGCAAGAGGTCATTATTTTGTGAAGATACACTGGCAATGTTTATTTTTTATAAAGTATACAGTAGCTTTCTCACTAGGGATACACAGGCACTTGGCCCCTTGGAGTACAGTACCGAGTAGGGCTCTTCAGAATGCCAAATGTAACTGAAATTGTCCTATATTGGTGGTTCTAGCAAGGCCCAGCTTTGACCAAGGCTCTTTCTCATTACTCAGGAAGTTAAATGTTTTCTGTGTTTATGAAGGTTAAAGCTCTTTGACTTTTCTGTCCAGAAAGAACTAGGTGGTATGGAAGCAGAATCTGACCTCACATTTGTTATATTATAAAATGATCTTAGTTTTATCTCACCAATTAATACATCTATAGGGTCTGTATTTTAGGTTTCCCAGTTACATATCTTTTCCTCTTTCCTATCCAGTGAGAATGATATTACAGGTGTTTTGGACCATACCTTCTGTGTTGAACATAATGCATATGGTGAAATTATTCAGCATGAACTTAAACCAAATGGCAAAAGTATCCCTGTTAATGAAGAAAATAAAAAAGAATATGTCAGGTAAACACTCCTGTGTTCTCAAGGCTGAATTTTTTAAAATGTTCTAGAATGTTAGTATGAACAAACTTAAATATTTAGATAGTACTACTTAGTGTTACAAAATCCGCTTCAGGAGAATTTAGTGGCTTATTTAGAACAGACATTTTATTATTTCTCACAATTCCATGGGTCAGGAAATTGGGCAAAAGAACAACATGGATGACAACACTGGTGTTCCACAAGATGTCAGCTAGGCCTGCAACACCAAGATGGCCTCTTCACTCATAACTAGGATAACTCAAATGGCTGAGGGCTAGCTGGCATGGCTGTTGACTGGGGTCACTGTCTGGGGCCTTGTTCTCATTGTTGGCTGAGTTCCTTGGTTCTCCCTATGTGATATCAAAGGCCATTCCCTCTCTCCATGACCACTCCCTCTCCCCATAGCCACTCCCTCCCCCCATAGCCACTCTCTCTCCCAACAAGATAGCCAGACTTCTTATGGGGTGGCCAGCTTTCTAAAGCTCAAAAGCAGAAGCTGCTAGATCTTTTTAAGGCCTAAGCCTGGTCCTGGCCAACATGACTTCTGCTGTCTACTTCTGGTTAAACTGAGACAGCCAGCCCAGTTTCATCATGGAGGAGGAGCTGTACAAATGTGTGAATACCAGGAGATGTGGGCACTGGGGCCACATGTGGTGTAGCTATCACAGGTGGCAATTCAGAAGGGCTTTTGTGCTTTATCTTACTAACACTTAGCCTGTTTATAAATGAGCACATTGTGAGTTTAGGGATAAATGTAAATAAATGTTTTTCAGATTTCATAAAGTAAAAATTGAGGAATTTTTATGTATTGGGCTAATTTGGCTTATGAGAAATAAAAAGTCCTCTAAATATAGAACTATGGTAATCAGTTTTGGGAGTTTGAACTTGAACTTTATGTACACAGAAACTTGCATGATATACTTTCTGTGTATAGATTATGTTCCCAAATCTTACTAAAATGTTTCCTAGTTTAAATATGAGGTCCACTTGATTGGAGTGAACACTGGCATAGCTTTTCTGGAAAGCAGTTTGATACCAGCAGCATGTGCCCTTCAACTAGCAGCTCTGTGTTTAGGGCTCTTCTGCAGAAACACACATGTAACTGAACGAATACGGGGAAAGACGGTCAATTAAATGCTACTTGTGAAAAAAAGTTACACTACTAAAATGGTTTTAGAGAAGAATGATTATATTATACATTCAGCAGAATATTATGTGGATATTTAAAAGTGCATAAGCTGTCAAATTTTAAAAGTAAGTCTTAGAAGAATTATGTAGGAACAAAATCCATGGTTTTTTTTTTGTTTTTTGTTTTGTTTTTTTGGGTTTTTTTGAGGTGGAGTCTCGCTCTGTTGCTCAGGCTGGAGTGCAGTGGCAAGATCTTGGCTCACTGCACCTCTGCCTCCCAGGTTCAAGTGATTCTCCTGCCTCAGCCTCCCGAGTAGCTGGGAGTACAGGTACGCACAACCACACCTGGCAACTTTTTTTTATTATTAGCAGAGATGGGGTTTCACCATATTGGCCAGGCTGGTCTCAAACTCCTGACCTCGTGATCTGCTTGCCTCAGCCTCCCAAAGTGCTGGGATTACAGGTGTAAGCCACCGTGCCTGGCTGTTTTTTTATGATTATACTGAAGATGTTCAGGAGGCTGCAACCAAATAAAGTTTTTGCCTAGGATGAGGGAGTGGAGATGATGCGACTGGAAATAGGAAGGAGAAAGAGGGTAAAAGAATGGACTTTCATATTTTACTGTCTCCATAGTTAATGTTTGATTTTTTTGTTATATACGTAAAAAGTATGTATTACGTTTCTACTTAAAAAAAATGAAAGAACAGGCTGGGTGCAGTGGCTCATGCCTGTATTCCCAGCATTTTGGGAGGCCAAGGTGGGTGGATCACCTGAGGTCAGGAGCTCAAGACCAGCCTAGCCAACATTGTGAAACCTTGTCTCTACTAAAAATACAAAAATTAGCTAAGCGTGTTGGCAGGCACCTGTAATCCCAGCTACTTTGGAGCCCGAGGCAGGAGAACCGCTTGAACCTGGGAGGTGGAGGTTGCAGTGAGCTGAGATCGCACCACTGTATTCCAGCCTGGGTGACAGAACGAGACTCCACCTAATATAAATTAAAAATAATAAAAAAAGAACAAATGAGAATTTCCTAAGTCTTAGCAGTGTCTCCTTTTCAAGACCTCGTGTGTCCTACTCAGTCCCTGGATCCCACTCTTCAGGGTTCAGTCGTGTTTACAGCACGTAATAATCCCTTGCCAACTACAGTTATTAGATTAAAAATTCAAAGAAAAACTTTTACAGTTACACAGTTTTGCTGTCCCCTTAACCCAACAAACAAAAATACGGTCCTCCAAAGGATATAATGTTAAGTAACTTATTTCTTAAAGTAGAGAACCATTTCTCCAAATTTGGAAATGTTAACAAATTTGACAGATGAGTAAGTTCTGTGATGCATGAGATGGAGAAGTTTTCTTGGGTAGATAAATAAAAACAATTCACTTATAAATCGTACATTCACACAATAGATGTAGTTTAGTGCATTTTTTTATTGGTAAAATTACATCTTCCAGAATTTTTATATCCTCTAGAGAACAATGATTATTTAATCAAAAAGTGCTTGCTATTGGCTTTTACTATTTATTCTTCTCATTTTTGGTATGAGGATTCTCTACCTCCTCTTCTCCCGTAGGCCTCCCTCAAATAGAAACAAAACACCCAACACATTCAAATTACATTTGCAAGTAAAATCAGAAAAATAAGTCATTTTTGAGTGAAAGAGCTCTTTATTCTAGTTATTGGCATGTATGCTGTAAGTTTAGAAAGAAATTTCATCAAGACTCAGCTCTAGTAGACGTCCTGTTTCCTGGGAGCTTCTCTGATTTGAAGGGTTGCTCTGCTGATGCTGCTTTTGTTAGTAGTTTACCACTTTTCATCAACATTGAACTGTGTCACACCTCAGGGTTCATTTATCCCCATTAGTCTGAGATTTATTGTTAGACTTGAGGCTAAACCGTTAATGTTAGATGCTTGTAAGATGCGGTGTTGCTAAAGTAGAGATTTATAATAATAATTACCAGATCTGAAAATACATGTGATTATACGAAATCCTGCCGAATGTTTACAGGCTCTATGTGAACTGGAGATTTTTACGAGGCATTGAGGCTCAATTCTTGGCTCTGCAGAAAGGATTTAATGAAGTAATTCCACAACATCTGCTGAAGACATTTGATGAGAAGGAGTTAGAGGTTAGTGCATTAGTATTATAACATCACTAGTGTAACAAGGAAGGATTGGGAATTATTTTGTTACTTAGTTTTAGAGGAAAGCATATTTCTGGTGCTTTCTAAGTTTCATGGTTCTATGCTTGAGAATTCTTATTCACAGGAAAAGTCTTTCATGCTTTTGAAGGCCTTTCATGCTTTGGAATTTCTGTGAGTGAACAATCTGTCTCTCTCTCTCTTTTTTTTTTTCTGAGACAGGGTCTCACTCTGTCACCCAGGCTGGGGTGCAGTGGTGCAATCATGGCTCACTGCAGCCTTGACCTCCTGGGCTCAAATGATCCTTCAGCCCCTCAAGTAGCTGAGACTACAAGCATGCACCAGCACCCCTGGCTAATTTTTTTGTTTTTTTTGGTAGAGACAGGGTTTTGCCATGTTTCCCAGGGTGGTCTCAAACTCCTGAGCTCAAGTGATCCGCCTGCCTTGGCCTCCCAAAGTGCTAGGATTATAGGCTTGAGCCACCATGCCCAGCTGTGAGCAGTCTCTCTTATATTGTGAAAATTTTTAATTTATTTTTCTATCCTGTACTTTCTTGTTTTAAACAGATTTCGTGACTTATATGTACATTCTTCCAATATATGTCTATTCCCTAACTTAGTGGTTACTGATTTAGTTAAGTAAAACCTCATTAATCTACCATTTTGAAATTTATTTGGGTAAGAGCCTACTCTGAATTAGTTTTACACTAAGCTTGCAAGAAAGCATTTGATAGACAAGATCATCGAGAAAATAACTAAAACACCTAGGATAAATTGAATCTAAATGTCTCTCTCTTTTTTTTTTTTTTTTTTTTGGAGACAGAGTTGCCCAGGCTGGAGGGCAGTGGCACTGCAACCTCCACCTCCTGGATTCAAGTGATTCTCCTGCCTCAGCCTCCCAAGTAGCTGGGACTACAGGCACCTGCCACCACGTCCAGCTAATTTTTGTATTTTTAGTAGAAACGGGGTTTCACCATGTTGGCCAGGCTGGCCTGGGACTCCTGACCTCAAATAATCCACCCACCTCGGCCTTCCACAGTGCTGGGATTACAGGTGTGAGCCACCGCACCTGGCCTCTAAATGTCTTTAGATTAACGGCCATACTAAACAGTGAATAGTTTTTTGTTTCCTTTTAAAGCTGGCCCTTAAACACCCCAGGTTTTGTAATTAAGACCTTAAACAAATGCATCTGAATTTCCTACTGAACAACTAAAAAACACGAGGTTTAATTCTATTAAAGGTCCCAAATTTATTTAGTAGTTAGGGATAACACAAATATTTGAAGTCTACTAATAATTTGAAACATGATTTTATTCAATGCCTTCAATGTCCTTTCTAAATAAATCTGTTAATAGACCTGTTAGCAAACAAATCTAAAAAGGTTGGTTTTACTTAATACTCTCCCCATTCCTTTTGTGATTGAATTGTTCATAGTGAAATAGCCAGAAGGAAGTAGTTAGAAGGAGAACATAGCAGGAATGCCGATAAGGTTGAAATATAATGCATTTTCATCTCTTTATACAATAAACGAGGATTTGGCCTTCTAACTGCCATTCCTCTGAAGAAAAGAATTTAGGAGGTGTCTTTTATGTCATTAAATACACCCATAATCCTTTTCGGATAACCTCCTCCCTGTTCAGTGTGGTGTTAATTCAGTGAACCCTGTAGAAGCTTTGTTGGAGATTTTATTTCAGAACCCCATAGAAGCCTTACTGGAGACTTTATTTGGTAGGGTTAGGATTTTTAATATAGTTTCTACTGCTAATGGGTCATGAAACTTTGTTTTTCTTCTCTTTTTTCTTTTTTTTATTTGTGGAGACAGAATCTCACTCTGTCACCCAGGCTGGAGTACAGTGGCACAATCTCCACTTACCGCAACCTCTGCCTCCCAGGTTTTCAAGCGATTCTCGTGCCTCAGCCTCCTGAGTAACTGGGACTTCAGGTGTGCACCACCATGCCTGGCTAATTTTTGTATTTTTAGTAGAGATGGGGTTTCACCATGTTGCCCAGGCCGGTCTTGAACTTTTTAGCTCAGGCAATCCACCTGCCTCTGCTTCCCAAATTGTTAGGATTACAGGCGTGAGCCACTGCACCAGGCCTGAATCATTAAACTTTTTATTTTTATTTTTTGAGATAGAGTCTCACTCTGTTGCCTAGGCTGGAGTGCAGTACCATGATCCTAGCTCACTGTTAACTCTTATGCTGAAGTGATCCTCCTACCTCAGTCTCCCCAGTAACTGGTACTACAGGTGTGCACCACCACGCCTGGCTAACATTATTTTGGCTTTTTTTTTTTTTTTTTTTTTTTTTGGAGACACAGTCTCACTTGTCCCCCAGGCTGATGGGATCTCAGCTCCCTACAACCTCTACTTCCTGGGTTCAAGCGATTCTCATGCCTTACCTGGGATTACAGGTGCCCGCCACCACGCCCGGCTACCTTTTTGTATTTTTAGTAGATACAGGGTTTCGCCATGTTGGCCAGGCTGGTCTTGAACTCCTGACCTCAAGTGATCTGCATGCCTCGTCCTCCCAAAGTGCTAGGATTACAGGCGTGAGCTACCACACCCTACCAATTTTTAAAGACAATATGTATAACATTTATTTTAGCATTGTATATATTAATCCTGGGTGTAATTCTATAAAATACAGGATTTGCAAGTTATGTTTTATAGTATACATGGAATTCACTGCTATAAACAAACATGTTAGATTAGTATGGTGAGTTAGTCTTGAACCCTAGGGAGACATATTAATGATAGTATAAAATGATTTGGATATAGTTCATCTGTGTGACCCTCCATCAGGATGTGTTTAGCAGAGGTCTGTATCAATGTGCTCATGTATTTTGTGCTTTAATATCAATTTAATATTATTAAGCAAATGTAGGCCAGGTGTAGTGGCTCACACCTATAATCCTAGCACTTTGGGAGGCTGAGGCAGGCGGATCACTTGAGGCCAGGAGTTGGAGACCAGCCTGGCCAACATGGCGGAATCTCATCTCTACTAAAAATACAAAAATTAGCTGGGCATTGTGGTGCATGCCTGTAATCCCAGCTACTTGGGAGGCTAAGGCAGGAGAATCACTTGAACCCGGGAGGCAGAGGTTGCAGTGAGCCTAGATCATGCCACTGCACTCCAGCCTAGGAGACAGAGCAAAATTCTGTCTTAAAAAAAAAAAATTATTAAGCAAATTGTATGACTCACTTATTCAACACCCATTTCTGAAGTTTCTGTGCATTATCGGTTGCTTCCCCAGGATGTAGTGAAATGGATGTTACTACCATATTACAGCAGAGGAATTGATTGAATTGCCCTCAATCAACAAAGCTAATAGGTATTGAAACTAGTAGATGATGCAGGTCCAAAGAAGGCACATATCTGTATTTACTCTTTGGGTCTCAATTTCTGTCCATTTTTTTTAAAGCTTTATAATTTTATTATGAACTTATGAAACATTCTCAATTGTTTACCTGGTCAAGTCTATCACAGCTGTGGTTCTCAGACCCTGGAGAGGGAGTTTGCAGTGAGTAGATATCTCTGGAGCTTTTTAAAATATAGATCCCAACTGTCACCCCAGGTGCACAGAATTAACATCTCTGAGCCTAGGACCTGGAATGTCAATTTGAAAAGCTTTTCAGATGATTCTGATGTGCATCTTTAATTAGGAACCACCAAATGACAGCCAGCAGTACAAACCTAAAGTTCTCTTTTGAGGAATTTTTGGTCTGGCTGTGGTTTCCACAGGTTCATTACTGTGTACTATTTTCACAGCTCATTATTTGTGGACTTGGAAAGATAGATGTTAATGACTGGAAGGTAAACACCCGGTTAAAACACTGTACACCAGACAGCAACATTGTCAAATGGTTCTGGAAAGCTGTGGAGTTTTTTGATGAAGAGCGACGAGCAAGATTGCTTCAGTTTGTGACAGGATCCTCTCGAGTGCCTCTGCAGGGCTTCAAAGCATTGCAAGGTAACAGCCTGAGGTGCAGGCAAGCTGGGCAGCGGGTGGGGGCGGGGCTGTCAGCGTGGGGTCTGTGGAGATATTTTGTAAACCATGTGCTTAGAGATTCTCTTTTTCACTTCTTATCTGTGACTCTCACATTGTGATACCTTCTTCTCCCTCCTTTCTTTTGTTCCCTTCCCAAGAGCCTTTTCTGCGGGCTTCTCTGATTGTAGTGAGTGCCGCATGCTAGAGACCGTACGTGGTGATGCTCTGCCTTTGTTTTCTGGTCACCTTACTTTTAATTCTGTTGCACATTCCTGTAGGGAAGTCGTTCACTTCCATGTTCACATCTTGACCTGGTGAAACGTTTACCTGCCTGGGATGCCTCTCCCCTCTACTTTTCGTTCTTTCTCTTATTAGACAGAAGCAGCATGGGTCATGGAAACCATCTGTTCGGTCAGAGCATTTTAATTACTGCATGGCATCAGACCATTTGTTTACAACCATATTCCTTTTTTAAGAATGGTTTTCTGTGGAATAAGCTGGTTAATTTTGGGAGGAGCTGGTAATATTGCTAATGATTGTGGTGCTTCACTGGGTGGCAGTTGCTTCCTTTACCTCTTAAGCACTTCATTTTCAAAGCTGCTGGTGATGAATAAGGACACACAAAGCGACACTGGTACATAATTCGACAGTGCTGCCCACAGCGCATGCGCTGAAATCCCTGGGGGGAGAGCGTGCTTTCAGCTGTGCTGCCCTTCTCTGTAAGGAGAGCTCCTCATCCTCACACTTCCCAGATGCATAAAGTGAAGTTGTATTTCTGCTACATGTATTTATATGGGGTGCCTGTGCGAACTGAAATGGATTCTATAGACGGCTCTTTTGCTGTCAGCCCAGTTTGAGTCATGAAATCTAAATTTGCATCAGGTCGTCATCTTTTTGAATGTGTGCCTATGTATTTTACCTTGGATTTGCCTGATTACTTTTCTTCTCATGCTTTTGGGATATTGACTTTCTATAAAAGATAGAAATTGAGAAAGGGATTTCAATCTTGAGTTTTTTCTCAAATGGAAATGTGAACCTATTACGGAATCTAAGCCTTATCCAAGGTTAATTCTGGCTCTTAAAACCCAGATGCTTTTCCTGCTGCCCTTTGGTAGTATGTGTGGATTCATTAGCATTCCCCTATCCCCAGATCCTGTGGTTAACTTACCAGTTTTATTCTTAAGATTTTGGAGACTAATGCACGCACCTGCAGTGATTTCATCCACATTTCCTTCATTTGCAGGTGCTGCAGGCCCGAGACTCTTTACCATACACCAGATTGATGCCTGCACTAACAACCTGCCGAAAGCCCACACTTGGTAAGGTATTTTTGTAGCTGTATTCCCCATTCCATGTACATAAGTGTTAGTTCCAAACAGATTTGACTTTTTATTTATTGTACTTACTAGTGTTAAATGGGCCTTTAAAGGGAATGATAAGCAACTTAAGTGATTTAAAAGTTAAGATTATTCGGAAATTGGTAGGAAAACCCAAAAGTGGTCATCTCTGTTTTAGAGAAATACCTTTTAGTTTTCTGTGTGACACAGAGTGATGTGGCTATACTGGTATACACTTGCTAGGCCAGTTTACTTATTTTGAATGAACTGTATAAAATTTGATTTGCTTATTCACAGCTTCAATCGAATAGACATTCCACCCTATGAAAGCTATGAAAAGCTATATGAAAAGCTGCTAACAGCCATTGAAGAAACATGTGGATTTGCTGTGGAATGACAAGCTTCAAGGATTTACCCAGGACTCTATTTATACAACCCTGACTGACAGCCTCCTTTCAGCAGAGTTTCAAAGAATATGCTGAAATACAGGAAAACACTCCCCCCCCCCCCCTTTTTTTTTTTTTTTTTACATTTTAGGACACTGTGAGGGGAAAGGACAATTTTGAAATTCCTTTTCAAGGAAAAAAAAGGTCT
This sequence comes from Homo sapiens, assembly GCF_000001405.40. Lineage (NCBI taxonomy): Eukaryota > Metazoa > Chordata > Mammalia > Primates > Hominidae > Homo > Homo sapiens. Next base: position 64,545,650 of record NC_000017.11, on the reverse strand, counting down.
TTATGCTTTGCCATGAGGCCACATTCAGCTGCTATTTAAACTTAATATCTTGAACCTAAAGAATGCTGACTTTTCCTACATTTCCAGAGTTAGGCAGTATTCTACACTTAAAGACTACTACTATTTTTATAAAAGGTAATCTATTCAAATTTCTTCACAGATTTCAAGTCTCTCAAACATCAAGACAACTTCAGCAGTCGGTACAAGTCACATTTCATTTTGATTGAATACATGATCTTGAACAGCTCCTGTACTTGCTCTTTGTAAAAAAAAATAAAATTATTTTGAATTATTCTACCTTTGTAAACAATTGGCTAAAAGAATCATCTTTAAGAAATTAAGCCATTTACATGTTTGTGTTTTTCTATAGCAGAGCATTATATTTTGCATTATATGTTTCAACCTAGTCTAAGTGGGTCTTTTTTACATTTTTCAAGAACGGATTTCCTGGAATACAGCGATATAATTTTGGTTGTCAAATTCCTAATGCAACCATTTAGTCTAAACTTAGTCATTTATTTGTGACAATAAGATGTGTTCAGGGGCTCCCTGTTTTTAAGAGACTCTTTTAAAAAAAAAAAAACCTAATGTTTTTATCTTGAGTCAATATGATTAGGTATTTTGGATTTACTTTTAATCTTAAAATACTGCATTTTTATAGCTTCTCAGAGCATGTGGATGGGATGGGATTTTCGTTATTTTGCTGGGTCAGCTTATCTTTAATATATGGACTATTCCTATAAACCAAAGTCTCTGACAAGTGCACCTAATTTATATTGTATTTTAACTACAGTGTAAGTTTCCATTAACAAAACCATCCTAAAGCGTTAACTGCTCATAATTTTAATCAGCTACAGTTATGAAAAAGGAAGAATTTTGCTCTAAAGATTATTAATAAGCTTAGAAAATCCTGCTTTTACCTAACAGAATGAAGTGGGGTTGAGGGGCGGTAGTATGAACAGTGATTCTAACTCTATGGCGTAAATTACTTTGAAGAGTTCATTTTGGAAGTAAGGGAATCCCGCTTCCCTTGGTGTTGAAGATCTGCATCTGATTTTGAAACGTCCAGATTTAGCTTTCAAGGTGCGTGCATGTTGAATGATCCAGAAGCAACGAAAACTCTGGGGTGAGGGATTGAAAAAATCTGAAATCACAGTTGGATTTTTAAATTCAACCATCAAAAATATGTACTATCAGTTTTTTTTTACATTGATGTGAAATAAGCAAATTTTCATGATAATTAAGCTGCAAAATTTAAAGTTATCAAGTAAATAGGTCCTCTGTGTTCTGTTTCATGTGATGGAGTGGGTTTCAGTCTGTGTTCTTGGAGCCAAAGGGTTCCTCAGGGGTGCCTCAGGAGTAATGGTTTAAGAGAAGAGGGGCAATGAGAGGGAGCGAGGGGGAAGGCCTAGTTGGTATTTGAGCAGGGGCCTTAGGCTCCATATCCCCACCCCCTTTACCCAGAACAGCCCATTTTTCTTATGTATATTGGAATTTCAAGTAAGCTTTCATGGGGTGCAGTGGGGCGGGGAGGAATGGATGGGATAAAAAAAGTGGAGATTTTGCTGCTTTAAAAAAGTTGAGAACTACTTGTGTAGTTTTTAAGTATTTTAATGTATTTCATTTGGCCAAATTCAACTGCCACAAGCAAGCTAGTCATAGTTGTAACTGTGCAGTGGTAATATGCTTATGCCTACCTTTTTCCTCTCAAACAATTTGTTTTTTTTACATTGCATTCTGAGTACTGAAGAGCATCTTGAAATGTATGGAAGTGGTTTCTATGCTATTTGATAATCAGTAATGTTCAGCTGTCATGATAGTACTTTACTGGTTGCAGACCCATCTCTCTTTTATATTAAAGCACTAGTGCAGTTTATAATTGTGCCTACTTTTAAAATCTTTCAGTAAAAAAGTACATAATGAATACAGAAATCATAACTGACAGGGATACAGTAATAATGAAATGCTACTATCACTTATTTTAATATACAATATAAAGCAGGCAAATACCATTGCTTTTTGAGTGCCTTTTTAACTTTATACTAATGACTTAATAGAGCTTTAAAAGAAAGAAATTGGCTGGGCATGGTGGCTCACACCTGTAATCCCAGCACTTTGGGAGGCCGAGGTGGGCGGATCACCTGAGGTCAGGAGTTCGAGACCAGCCTGGCCAACGTGGTGAAACCCTGTCTCTACTAAAAATACAAAATTTAGCCGGGCATGGTGGCGCACTCCTGTAATCCAACTACTTGGGAGGCTGAGGCAGGAGAATTGCTTGAATCTGGGAGGCAGAGATTGCAGTGAGCCGAGATCGCACCACTGCACTCCAGCCTGGGCGACAAGAGTGAGACTCCGTCCCCGCCCAAAAAAAAAAAAAAAAGAAATTACTCTCCATAACAGTCTATGTTATCACCAACATATATAAAAACATGATTTAGATTTCCATTTCAAAGTTACATTACCCGATTACTTCCAAATAGGTGCTAAGCAAAAACCCCCAATGTATTATTGAACCATGGACTTGCACCTCATGTTTAATGTGAATATTTATTTCCATGTCCCTCTTAACTGGTTTTTTCTTGTCTTCCCTCTAGCTGTATTGTTATTTCAGATATGTGATATCTGTTTTCATACTCTTGCCTTTCCATCATGAATGCTTAGTTATGAACAGAGATTCCTTTGTAGAGCTCATAGGCAGTACAGAGAGGTAAGTCTTGCCTCAGAGGGCCTTGTATCTTGGTGTAGTTTTTAAATAGTGCATAGTGTATAGTGTATAGTGTACATTTTGTTTTGCACATAGTTTGTTGCCCCGAATGGGTTTTTTACCAAGCCTTTTTTTCTTTCATGTATTTACAGTCCGGAGCACAAGATTCTCTTCTTTCAAATACAATGTAATTCGCTTTACTTTACAACACTAAATCTGGGCTTTGAATTTCCAGTGCATTGGACTGATTGGATTGTTGGGAGTTAGAGGCTGTTCCAACCATCCTTAGTTTGGGAGAGTGGCTCCTTCTGCTTGTTTTCTAAGCGTACAGTCAACGGGTGCCATTTGTGGTATTTAACATGTTAGGATGATTGTTCCAAATGCTGAGTTGTTTTATTTCTAGATGTAATTAGTTCACTTTATGTAATATTCTTCTCTCAGACTGACTTTAAAAACAAAGTTTTATCATTTTCATTGTATTTGTATTTATTACAGAGTGTTTTAGCTTTGATATTCTTTGTATTTTCATTCATTTGTTACATGAGCTTTATCAGTAACATCTGTATAAATGGTTTTTAAAAATTAACTATGTATGTGCCCATGCCGAAGTCGAGCAATAAAATCAATGCTGTTTGCACTGTCACAGCATCAACGTTTTTAAAGAATATTGAGTTTGTAATGAATCGTTTTGAAAACATTTATGGTTGGCTCTATGGAGGGTGACAACATGAGTCACAAAATGAAAAGTTCAAGAACACATGCCATCCTGAGTTGATGCCTCTGTCATGTTGCAGAGCTCAGCTTTCTGTCTCCTCGCAGAGCAGGGAAGGTGCCCGTTTTCTCCGGCCGTGGTGACTGCTCAGTTGGTAGTACCTGTTGGGGGTACCGCATAGGTGGATTTCTGAGGGGGGTCAGGGGCTAGTGGGGAAGAGCATCTTGGTCCTGTCACCAGTCTGCAACCATCTTTGCTATAATACATCTCCGCTCTGTAGGGCAGGCCTATGACAGGGGCTCATATTTGCCAGCCCTACCTTGGTATGTCGAGCAGTAAAATTCTCAAAATGAAAAGGAGAAATCAATTGTATTTTTTCTAGAAGCTGTGGATTTTAAGGTTTATAATTCACTACTGTATTAATGATAGTGGACTAAAGTCCAGCTAACTCTATGGATAGAAAAGGAATGAATATGGTCTGTGTAAGTCTACACAGCATAGGGTACAACAGAAGGGAACACCTGGGAAATGTGTAAGTAGTAGCAGTGTATTAAAGTTCAAAGGGTGAGCATGCTTTTGTTTATATGCTTTAATATTCTTTTGAATATTTTTGTTTTGCTTTGTCCCTCATTGCTGTGTTTACTGGTTTTATCTAAAATTTATAAAGTTTTAGTACATTAAAGATTTTTGGCCGGGTGCAGTGGCTCGCGCCTGTAATCCCAGCACTCTGGGAGGCTGAGATGGGCGGATCACGAGGTCAGGAGTTCAAGACTAGCCTGGCCAACATGGTGAAACCCCGTCTCTTTACTAAAAATACAAAAATTAGCCAGGTGTGGTAGTGGACGCCTGTAATCCCAGCTACTTGGGAGGCTGAGGCAGGAGAATCAGTTGAACCCAGGAGGCAGAGGTTGCAGTGAGCCAAAATCACGCCACTGCATTCCGACCTGGACAACAGAGCAAGACTCTGTCTCAGGAAAAGAAAAAAAAAAAATTAGGCCAGGTGCTGTGGCTTGCGCTTGTAATCCCAGCACTTTGGGAAGCCAAAGCAGGTGAATCTCTTGAGCCTAGCTTGAGACCAGCCTAGGCAACATGGCGAAACCCCATCTCTACAAACAATATGAAAACTAGCTGGGCGCAGTGGCACGTGGCTGATAGTCCCAGCTACTGGAGGTGGGGCTGAGATGGGGGGATTGTTTGAGCCCTGGGAGGCCGAGGCTGCAGTGAGCCATGATTGAGCCACTGTACTCCAACCTGGGCAACAGACTGAGACCTTCCTTGTCTCAAAAACAATTTTTTGTTTTTTAGTATTATAATAGTCTACAAATTATCCAAGTTTGATTTGACTAATGATCAGAAGTTTAACCTGAAGTTTGTCCCTTCATTGTAATGAAGGTTAACCATGTTACCCACTGCATTGATTTGTACTTCATATACCAAATGCTTACTATATATATATATATATATATATATATATACACACAATAAGATATATGCAACAGAACAAGAGCCTAGTAACAGGATAAAGGAGGTAATCACGCAGGAGAAGTGTTACTTTACATTCCTATGTTAACATTCGTAGCAAACTAGACAGACCAGATTTTAAATTTTACTTAAAAGGTATCTGCCCTAAATGTGACTTGTCTGCTGCTCATTCAACAAATATTTACTATGCTCCTGCTACATGCCAGGCTCTGTACTAGCTGATAGCCATATAGCTTTGCATGGTGGTTAGAAAGTGAACTTCCAAAGTCATGCTTCTAGTCTGTGTCTCACTGTGGGCCAAGTTCAAACTTAAGTGCTCAAAGCTCAATTTATGTACAGCAAAGTCAGTCATGATGGGAGCACATGAGTAAATACCCACCTCAGCAAGGCCCTGAATCCCAGACTTGAATGTGTGTTTGTGGTCTCACTGTGTTGTCCAGGCTGGAGTGCAGTAGCTATTTCACAGGCGCAGTCATGGTGCACTGTAGCCTGAAACTCCTGGGCTCACGTTGATCCTATGCCAGCCTCCCAAGTGGCTGGGACTACAGGTGAGCACCACCACGCTGTGGTGCAGTCTGTGGGATTGGCAAGGGAACCTAAGATGTTTCTCCTCCCCACTTAAGTATTCTTAATGCTTTTTTTTTTGGTAGGAGTCTTGCTCCATTGCCCAGGCTAGAGTGCAGTGGTACAATCTCAGCTCACTGCAACCTCCACCTCCCAGGTTCAAGCGATTCTCATGCCTCAGCCTCCCAAGTAGCTGGGATTACAGGGTATGCGCCACCATGCCCGGCTAATTTTTATATTTTTAGTAGAGATGGGGTTTCACTAATGTTGGCCAGGCAGGGCTTTTCATTAATTTTAAATATTGTCTGGTTAGTCCCTTATGATAGATGAGGCATTTAGTTCTAATACCAAGCACCTCACTCTGTAACACCCCCCACAGGACTTTCCAAATGCATGACTGTGATGAATCTTTCCTGGGCTGCTCCACGCTGACTGGCTTGATGCACACAATCCACAGCACTTGAATCGCACTGTCCTCTGCTTGCTAAGCTAGTCTGGTGAAGTGATCTTTATTTGCTTTTGATTTTTCAAAAATATGTTGTCTCCTATTTTCTGACCTTTGCTGAGCAATCCTATTCCTTCCCTGACCAATTCTCTCATAAATTCTTTCTCTTGTTGTTTATTCCTGGTTACTTTTTAGCTTGGTAAAGAGCACCAGTTCCCACCAATCACCAGAACTAGCAACTTCAGTCTTCCTAAAATATTTTACATTTAAAAAAAAATCATAATAAAAGCATCGTTAGGCTTGTGTTAACAGATCTAATGGTATTATATAATCTACCACTCAAGAGTCACATCTGCCATGCTTCCGGATCTTTTCTGTATCATATTTATATTGCATCATATGTATAATACCCACTCATACCATGTTTTTTTCTATAAAACTGCGTATTTTGTAGTCTAAAACTTTTTTACTCAGTATTTTATGGCTATCTAGATCTACTTTATCTTCTGCTTAACATTTTTTAGAACTTATGTTCCAGCTCTTGCGTATCTAGCCTCATCTTGTGCATTTCCTGTCCTTTCCATTCACCTGTGCTTGCTGAATTGTCACAACACATCACAGGGGTCTGTATGTCATTTACTGTGCTCCAGACACACCCAGTCCATCAAGCCTTTCCCCGCTGGAAGCTCCCGCCTGCCTGGTGGCCCACCCTTCTGCCAGTTTCCATTCCAAGAGCTCAGCACTTGGAACCACAGCAGTTGATCCAGATGTCTTCTCTCTAGGTCAGTTTTCACTGCTTCAGGCCTCCTGGCCTCTCATCATACATACACTCATCCGCACAGCACTCTCTATGCTCTAATGGAAGCCTCTCTCTGCCACTCCCTGGCTTCCAAGTCCCCATATCCTCAACTGCTCTGAAGCTTCCTCTAGCTTAAAAGAAGTGTAGCCTTCCCTTTTCATTGATGACGCCGCCCCCAAGTGGGTTTTTTTTCCTCGTATTCCTCCATACCAGATATGAGGCTGGTGCACTCTTGCCCACTTGAAACCCATCATCATGCCTCCTTCCCACCTCAAGTCACTAATGCGTCTTTGAATGACAGCCTGGCTTTCCACCCTTTATCTATCTATCTCTTCTCACTGCTATCTATCTATCTATCTATCTTCTGCCAACCAACAGAAACCATAATGCATTTTTTATTATTTTTTTGAGAAAGAGTCTCACTTTTGTTGCCCAGGCTGGAGTGCAGTGGTGCAATCTCAGCTCACTGCAACCTCCACCTCCCAAGTTCAAGCGATTCTCATGCCTCAGCTGAGTGCCACCATGCCTAGCTAATTTTTGTATTTTTAGTACAGACAGGGTTTCACCATCTCTGTACTAAACCAGGGAAACCAGGTTTGGCCAAGCTGGTTTCGAACTCCTGACCTCAAGTGATCCACCCGCCTCAGCCTCCCAAAGTGCTGGGATTATAGGCATGAGCCTCTGCACCCAACTGCCGTAATGCATAGTCTCTCATCGTCCAGCCATGTTATGAAGTCTACACATACATGGTATTGTCAAGGTTCTCCGAGGCCCACCTCTGATAACCACCCACCTTTCTTCTCTCATGAATCAGAAATAATATAGTATTTTTTTGTCCTCAAGTGCTAATTCTTAATTAATTATTTTTGTTGACTTAAAGCAACAAACTTCAGGAGCTGGCTGCTCACACAAGGCTTGTTACTTGCTTTAGCACAAATACGACTAATGATTATTTTCCCCTTTTCAGGTGTCAGGTCATAAATTCAAAAGCAATAAGCTTTTAGAAAACAATTTTTATTTAAAAAATCATAAAAAGTACTGGAATGAAAATACAGGTAAAGCATTTGAAAATTATTTTTCTGGCTTAGACTGTTTACTGGCTCGATTCTAGCTCTGTCCTGGTAAAGGCCTCCAGAACCTTCACCTACTATTATCAAGTCTGGCCTCATAGGGAGGGACTTTTACTGTACTGAAAGGAAGCCAGCTGAAGCCGAGATCTGAAGCGCTCAGCTTCCAGTTCCCGGAAGAAAACATCATCATCATTCTGTGTTATCATGTCCTGCAGCTGCTGAATTTCCTTCTCCATCTTAGATCTCAGCTCCCTCTTCACCTTATGTAATGTCTGAAAAAAGAAGGCATGTCATCCCGCTGTTCACAGCATTTATCCAGGCCCTCATCTATTGTTCCCTCTCCATCTTCCAGCTAATCAAACTCCTCCAAAATTTTCAATAATCTAGCAACAGCAGCTCTTACAGAGACCTAACTAAAGTTAAAATCATAGGATAAAAATGTCTTGGGTCATAGATGGATTGCCTTATTAGTCTTCTCTCCATTCCCTTTACAGGTATAATACATTTGGTTTTCTACTTCCTAAAAATGTAAATTAGTCATGTGTCACTTAATGATGGAGATATGTTCCAAGAAATGCATCATTAAATGATTTTGTTGTTGTGCAAAATGTCAGTGTACTTACACAAACCTAGAGAGTACAGTCCACTGCACACCGGGGCTATATGATACAGCCTATTGCTCCAACCACCAATGTACGAGGTCCCTTGCTGAAAGAAACATTGCCATGCAGTGCATGACTTGGCTTCTATCTTAATTATTACCTGGGCCTGAGATTTCTCTCTGGCTTTAAGTTCTTGATGTTCCTGTGATATGGCTTCTGCCAGCAATGAAAACTGTTTATAGGAAGAAAAAAAACAAATATTATATTTAATGTTTGTAGTCCAAATGTAACATTTCTTAATGTTCACAGGCTTAAAATCATTTTAATGGAAATAGGGAAATATACTGTACTATGGTCAGGTATTATTTGATCTTAAATTTCAATCTTGAAATGGGGTCCTCTAATCTGTAGAGTGCAAACTTCAGTTAACACAAGGTTTATTGTCAACAGACTAAGCAAGTTTTGCCACAAGGGCAAGTGGTCAGGACTAAGCACAACAGCGTAAGCAAGTGCCAGGAGCCCACCTGGTCCTTATAGTAGTTCTCCATGGAGTCCAGTTCATCCTGGTGGCGTCTCCTTTGTTCATCTCGCTTTTCTTTGGCATAGTTTCTTAGGTCTCGTAATCTTTGCTTTTGAATGTTTAAACCTTCTTCAAACAGTTTCTTAAATATCTGTCAGTTATTTAATCGTAAAAATAGTCATTGAGGAATATCATTTTGGCCAACTAGAGGTATATACTGATTGTATTTCCCAAGGTTTTTTTTTTTTAAATACTAGTTTTATTCAGATGTTTTGACATACCATAAAATGTACCTCCTTTTTCTGAGACAGGTTATTGCTCTGTCACCCAGGCTGGAGTGTAGTGGGGCAGTCACAACTCACTGCAGCCTTGACCTCCCAGGCTCAAGCAATTCTCCCACCTTGGCTACCCAAATAGCTGGGACTATAGGCATGTGCCACCACGCCTGGCTAAATTTTTAATTTTTTGGAGAGATGACGTCTCACTATGTTGCCCAGGCTGGTCCCAAGCAATCCTTGCACCTCAGCTTCCCAAAGTGCTGGGATTACAGGCGTGAGCCACTGAGTCCAGCCTTACCCTTTTAAAATAAATAATTCAGTATGTTTTATTATACTCAGTTGTGCAACCATCACCACTACAGAACATTTTTACCACCCCAAAAAGAAACCGTATACTGACTAGTGCTCATTCCCCCTGTCCCATCCTTAGCAGTCACCAGTCTGTACTTTCTGTCTCCATGGATTTGCATATTCTGGACACTTCCTAAAAATGGAATCATGTAATTCGTGGCCTTTCGTATTTGGTTTCTTTCACTCCGCATGTTTTCAAGGTTCATCTATACTGCAGTATGTATGAATACTTCATTCCTTTTTATTGCCAAGTAACATCCTACTGTATGAATGAATGCACACTCTTTATCCATTCATTAACTGATGGACACTTTGGGTTGTTTCCCCTTTTAGGCTATTATAAGTAATGCTATGAACATTTGTGTTTTTTGTGTGATTATATAGCTAGGAGTGAAATTGCTGGGTCATAGGGTAACTCTATATGACCTTTTGGTAACCTTCTGAGGAACTGCTAGATTGTTTTCCAAAGCAGCTGCACCATTTTACAGCCCCAAGTTCTCCACATCCTTGCCAACACTCGTCCTCTAACTGTGGTTCTGAGTCGTATTTCCCTAATGACGAAGGTGTTCATTATCTTTTCATGTATCACAGAGGTTCTTTACAACCTTCAGAAAAGCAGTGTCAAGCAGCCATGTACATAGGGTAAGAACGCCAAGAGCAGAAACATGCCACACCTACACATGTACATCACTGAGGAGGGGGAGTGATCATTTGGGGAGGCCACCGGAAAACACACTGCTCAAAGGGCTTGGATATGCGCACTTGTCCTCCCTTCATCAGTGTAAATTCTGGATAGAAAAACTGGTTCTGACGGCGACGCATTCATGAGCTACAGACAAGTTACTTACGCTCTCCTCAAAGCCTTCCTCTAGAAATATGTCCAAGTCTTTAGTAAACTATAATTACTAAAATATTTTACAGATGAAATTTATTGCTAGCTTGGGATCTCAAAAGGTTAATCATTTCACAGCCTGATTAGGATGACATAGCAAATGTCATCCTTGTGGAAAACCCCTCACAGCACAGCTGGACACTAGTCCTGATTTTATGTGGAATGCAAGGTCATGTTATCACACTAAATTTGTCTCTCACATGTTCCCAAACCTCTAAAGTAGTTTTACTGGAGAAGTACCTGTTATGTGTAGGAGGCAGGGAGGAAGTAAGACTTCACATTAAGATGAGGGACACGGAGACTGAGAATGGACGGGAATGCACAATGGAGTAAGAAAATGAAGTGTGGCCAAGCAGAACTCAGGGCCAGCACTATAGGACTTCAGTTTAGATTTTGGATTCAAATTTGGACAAGAGTCACGAACAAAGAAGGTGGTCCTGAAAGATAACAAAGTTCACCTTCTTAACAGGGCTGGACAGAAAAGTCAGACTTACCATTTCTTCCCGGGTCCTCATTCTCATCATTTTTGCACACAACTGAACTCTATAATCATCATAATATTTTCGAGCACGAACGATTTGCTGTCGATTTTCTTTTATCTTTGATTGGGTCAACCTTTGCCTACGAATGCAGTCCTTGAAGTCTTGCTAAGAAAGGGAAAGGGGAGGGAAGAGAAGGGTAAGGACAAGAGGAATGCAGATTCCAGCGTTCTCATCTGCCTCACTCCCCATCACGATGTCTTCAGGCAGTATGTCACGTGTGGGGGGCCAGTGGCCCCAGAAGCCCTTCAGCCTTTGGCAGCTTTATCACCTCAATCTGAAGAGCAGCTCCAATAACACCCCACTGCAGCAGAGGGCAGCAGTGATCCTGGGCACTCCTGTGGAACTGAGGGCTCACTCCCCATGCCACCAGGAAGCTGCTAACAAGGCTGGCCCAGATGCCACCTCACAAGGAGTAGGAAAATGGCACACCCAGACTTTCAAGCAGAGCCTGAGCTGCCAGGAGCATTTAGGCAAAAACTAAGGAAATTAGACAGTATCTGACAAAGGAGTGAAAATAAAATGGGGTCATGTACATAAAGCCTCTTATGTAGGTGTTTCAGATACTAGTGTTTTTTCCCTCCACAGGAAAGTACCATCTGCAGTTCCTGAGATGTCTTCCTGGAACTGTTCAGTATTACAGTTCTCATGGCTTATCTCTACTCCACACTCAGGCAAAGATTTTTAAATCTCTCCCTTTGGCAGATTGTTTCTGACCTCCATCCTCTCCCTTCGTAATTCTCTAAGCACAATTCCTAGTCAAAATTATAACGGAGGCTGATAAATCCTGGAGCTCTCTACTTGGGACCTGAGAAGGATGGGAGAGGGCAAACAGCACTAAGTTCAGCTGCTTGGCACCTAGATGGGTCCATGGAGTCCACAGACAGAACTGGATTAAAATCTCAGCTGTGTCCCTTGCTTATCAGTGAGACCCAGGGCAAGTTACTTAGTATCTCAAAGCTTCAGGGTTTTCATTTCATAGAAAACATCTCTAATACATTACTATGAAGACTAACTGAAACTGTGTATATAAAGTACCTAGCTCTTCCTCCTGCCCATTTTGGGTTTGTGTGTTTTGTTGTTGTTGAGACAGGGTCTCACTCTGGCACCCAGGCTGGAGTGCAGTGGCAAGATCATAGCTCACTGCAGCCTCGCCCTCCCACGTTCAAGTGATCCTCCCACTTCAGCCTCCCAAGTAGCTGGGACCACAGGCAAATGCCACCATGCCAGGCTCATTTTTTCCACACCCATATATATATTTTTAATGACAGGGTCCCACTATGTTGCTGAGGCTGGTCTCAAGTGATCCTCTCACCTCAGCCTCCCAAAGTGCTGGGATTACAGGCATGGGCTATCAATTTTGGTTAAAGACCTAGGCAACACTTCCACATGCAGGTGTTAAGAGGTTAAGGGTCTGTGCAACTGTTGCCCAGCTAGCACAGATAAAGGGAATGAATATAACAAATTCAGAATTATAATACCCAACTTGCTCTTGACATACCAGTCTCTTGTTATGTTCATATTCTTTCTTGACAAGGGTAGTAAGGAGGTCATGCCTTCTTAGGGCTTCTTCTATCTTGAAGGGGGACATGAAGTTAAGTAGGTTAATAATGCTGTTCACTAAATTCTTAAGGATAAGCTCTTCTCATTTAAATTCCTATGCTTAAGACTGACAGTAACTTACTTCATCTTGGAGTTTCTTCTTTGATCGATTTTCTCTACATGCTTCTTTCTTAAGCTGTTCAACCTGTGCAATTTGCTGTTTCCACATTTTGCTTAGTGTTGGGCCAGAAACATAAAGAAACGGAAACTGCTCCAGCATAAGGGGCAGGAGACTGTGTTCACTTACTTTCACTGCAAGGTAAAATAAGATGTTCTTAATCTGAGACGTGGACAAGAACTGTCATCCAACATCCCTGGTAGATCAAAGCTTATGTAAGTGATGTGGTTTTGATCCTGAAAAGAACAATTCTAAATGTACTTATAATAATTTGCATTACTCCTCTGATTGGAGTAAGCCAACTACTGGTAAGGATAAAAATAAGCTCAATAGTTCTGGATTGATGCCATGCTGGTCCTGGGAAGTCCATCCTAATTGCTCAGCCGCTTCAGTGCCTGTGGGTAGATTCTCTACGTACGGTAAAACAAGACTCCTCAACCTTCCCGGTAGGCAAGTGCTTAGAAGAAAAAGTTTCTGGTCTAAAGGATAGAGTAGGAGGGCCAGCAGTCTTTGGGTGTAACAGGAAGCCTGGCATTTCTCATGACTTTGTTTCTTGTAACAAGACTCTACACTCATTGGCACTGTCAATATATAGGAGGTGGACAGGCCATCTGCTTGCCTTGGAGCATCCCTTTCATTCTACCAACCTCCCAGAAATAGACAAAAAGGCAGTCAAAGTGAGTAAGCACACGAGTGAGGCTAACGCTGGAGCAGCAGGTGGCAGTCCTGGCATTCCTTGGGTGCCAATATATAGGCCTCCCTGAAGTACTTCCTTATTGAAGAGTTTTAGCCCTCTACGGAAAACCAGCCACATGGCAGTGATTGGGAAAAAAAAAAAACTTTCTTCGGCTAACTGGTGGATGTTAGCTTTCAGTGCTGTGTCCTTGGAATGTTGCACATGCTTTCAAAGGTTGCCAGTTTTCCATAAAGTACAATTCTGTGGTTCTTACTTGGAACTGCTTTATTTGGCTTTGGGAGGCCACCTCTTAGACTCTGCGTTGTGGTTTTTCTAGAGTAAATCTTCCAGGGCTGACTACATTCTGGAGTTCCTTTACGAACAGCTTCTCCTCTGTATATTTTTTCCTTAGAAGCAGATATAAAACAGAATAAAAATAAAAGGTCTAACAGTTCTTTCATACATCATCTTAAATATTACATACTGACAAAAACAGCTAACGGTAGTTTTTTAGTTTTTTAGCTAACAGTAAGCCAAACCACCTTACTTCAAATTTGTAAAATCTGGTTAATATTCATTTACTCTAAGTTAAATGCACCTTTTGGCCTCTGGCATCCCTTGGAATTTGAAAAAGCACTGAATCTTTTTCAAGTTTCAGTCACCATAGTCCCACACCCTAAATACAACCACTATTAATCTTTTTTTTAACCATTAATGTTTCAATGTACTTCTCTTTTTCCATGTAGATTTAAAAAATTCTCAGGCAACTATGCAGTATGCTTAGTTGTAACCATACTGTACTTTATATCCTGTTTTGTTCATGAATATTTTAGCATAAGCATTTTCCCCATGATTTCACTTAGTTTCTGTAACCATTCTTTTGAAAGGCAATGAAAACTTCTGTTTTGGGTTTCTTACAACCAGGTCTATAGCCAACTAGGATGTTCTGTCTTCTCTTACTCTTCTTTAATTTTGTCAGCCTAGAGTAGTTTTTAAGCCCCTGGTGAACTGCTAAGTCAAATAAACCCTTAAAAACTGATGGGAAGTTTTAAGTAGCGGAAAAACACTACTTTTCTTTGGAACCATGTCTCGTCATATTTTAGCAACCTGAATGCCTTATTAATAAGCAAGTCCTGTATCATGACATGAAATCCTGCCTTTTCCTAAAGAGCTCATGATTAAGGCCCTGTTGGCCCCTTCTTCTTTTAAAAAGATCATCTTTGTACTTCCCACTCATCTGATCAAATGGCATTTATTACAGTGGAGACTTTTACCCACTGTTTCCTCCTCCTTCTCATGTATTCTTAGAGGTCCAATATTCTCTTGAACTTTATGTCTTCTTAGTTCCCTTTCAAATGCTTCAGTAAACGCCTAAAGGGGAAAAGGTCATATATTACAGTTATTAAAAACATACACAACGGGCAGCACCATGGCTTAGCTGGTTAAAGCACCTGTCTAGTAAACAGGAGATCCTGAGTTTCAATTCCAATGGTGCCTCAACCGAGCATCCAAGCTCTTAGCCGCGTGCGGTGAGGATGAGACAGGTGGATCACCTGAGGTCAGGAGTTCAAGACCAGCCTGACCAACATGGAGAAACCCCATCTCTACTAAAAATACAAAATTAGCTGGGCGTGGTGGCACATGCCTGTAATCCCAGCTATTCGGGAGGCTGAGGCAGGAGAATCGCTTGAACCCGGGAAACGGAGGTTGAGGTAAGCCAAGATTATGCCATTGCACTCCAGCCTGGGCGGCAAGAGTGAATCTCCACCTTGAGAAAAAAAAAAAAAAAATACAAAAGAGGAAAAAAATTCACCTAGGATACCTGCCACCCCTAAAATATCAAGCTCATTCACTTTTTAAAAAAATTCCTTTCAGACTCTATATCACAAATGTATGGTTTTCTTGTTTTGTTTTTTGAGACAGTCGCACTCTCGCCCAGGCTGGAGGCAGTGGCACAAACTCAGCTCACTGCAACCTCCACTTCCCGAGTTCAAGTGATTCTCCTGCCTCAGCCTCCTGAGTAGCTGGGACTACAGGTGTGCACTGCCATGCCTGGCTAATTTTTGTATTTTTAGTAGAGATGGGGTTTCAACATGTTGGCCAGGCTGGTCTCGAACTCCCGACCTCAGGTGATCCACCTGTCTCACCCTCCCAAAGTGCAGGGCCACTGCACCTGCCTCACAAATCTCTACATTACTTTAACATATATAATTGGGACATAAAATGAAATTTTACATCATGCGTTTTTTCTGTTCTCAAGTTTTTGCAATCATTTTGATACTCTCCTGAGTGGAAGTTACATGCTGAGTTACAAATGAGTGTAAGATGTCTGAATTGGTTTTAGTTTTTCACCATTATAAATCCTACCGCATTATAAAACCTACTACTGCAAATAAGTGTTCTAAATCCATGCTACATTTCAAAATCCACATTCCACAGTGGAAAGTCTTCCTAGGTAATCATACCAATCTCCCTGTTGTTGAATCCCAACCACCTCCTCTCATTCCTGTCTTGGGTACTTGATCTCATCTTCTCTGTAACTCAAGTGGCCTTTCACGTTTAATCCACCTCAAATTCCCTTCATCTCTGAAGCTCACTCTGAAAATAACAACTCACACTGATCTCCTCTTTCTTAATCTACTGGAACACCAAGCTATGTCCAGCCAGGTTATTTTTTTTAAGAGTTTCATGAGTATAATTTTATGCTAACAAAGACATAAGCTATGTCACATAGCTCTCTATCATCCACTCCGCTCAAGAATATTAAATGTATTTTAAGCCTAAATCAACAGCATGTTCATGGTAGCATCTGGCTGAGGGGAAATGGTACTGGCTGCTGCTTAATGGTAGTCAAGAGATGGGGAAGAACCTGTGCTTGGAATTGGCGGACATCTGTTTCTCTTGGCTTGCGCTGCCTTTTTCTCTCCAAGTGGAACTGTTTGTGTTTGTTAACTGGAGATGGAGAGAGCGAATGGGATCTGTAGGGTGGCTTTCTACGCATGGAAAGTCCTGCAACAGAGAAAAGACATAT
Organism: Homo sapiens; assembly: GCF_000001405.40. Lineage (NCBI taxonomy): Eukaryota > Metazoa > Chordata > Mammalia > Primates > Hominidae > Homo > Homo sapiens. Next base: position 64,529,265 of record NC_000017.11, on the reverse strand, counting down.
AACATTAGTTCCTGATAGCCAGAATGTTATGCTGGAAACCAAAGTTGGTTTTCACTAAATCCAAAGAGACTGATGAGTGAATGTGCTAAAGGGACTCTCTCCTGTAACTAACTTGAATTGGTATGGTAACACCAAGTAAACAGACAAATGCATACAAATGTGTACTGTCTCAAATACTTAGCTTCTACATTCAACTTTGGATATTCAACATGTGGAATGCCTCCTATGCACAAAGGACTATGGAGAGTGCTCTTGGTGATAGGGGGAGATGCAAAGAGAGAAAAGGTAAATTATCTGAGCCACGCATCTGCTATCCTTTTACCTATCTGGGTCCTGAGAAGGTGGGATGTAAGCATACATATCTATCTTATTATATATGCTTATAGGCAAAGTTAATGTGTTAAGCATTGTCTAAGTGGTCTCAATTTTTCCCTACTTAGCAATCTAGCCCTCCTAATTGCACACTGCCAAAGAGATCTAATAAACCATTTCCTTCTACAAACCTTTTTATCCCATTGTCTATAGGTGTGTCTGGGGATCTGCTAGTTGTGAAGAGGGTGACTCCAGTGGGAAAAGCACTTCAACATAGCCTTAAGACCAAGGAAGCTAGTTTGGTACCTTTATAAATAAATTTTCCGAGCTTATTATTTTTTTCACATGCTTTTAATTCAAGTCTTTCACATTTCAAATTCTAAGATGTATTTTTAAAAACTGACTTGCATAATCTATTTTAAATGATAGCTGCTCATGATGTATTTTTCTCTAGAAACTGAAGACGCACTTGAAATAATATTTTAATTTATAACCTGTTTTCACAATAGGATACCATGTGTATGTACATAAAAAGGGAAAGGAAGAGGTTCCTGGATGAGGGTGCCTAGAAATTAGCTGAGTCCTTTTAAAGGGAAGAGAGAGGAAATAATCAAGAGAAGGAAAGAGCATTCTTGAAGGAGTAAAAAACAACTGAAAAAGTTAAGGAAGTTGGATCAGAAAAAGACTATTTCTGAAGAAACAATGGATGACCAAAGTAGATAAAACTAAATGTAAAATATGCAGGATTTTAGTTGGTGGAAGACAGGATAATTGGATTTGAACAATGGCATATCAAACAGTAGAAGTATCTGCAAAGACACGGCAAACCAGAAACTGCTGATACGAGTATAAAGCAGTGCAATCACTTTGGTGGGCAAGTTGGCAGTGGTGAAGAAATGTAGGCCTTATGATCCAGCAATCCTACTAGATGGAGATATCACAGAAACTCTTACACATATTCTAGGCTGTTCATTGCAGAATTTTTATAGTAATGAAAACTGGAAACAACATGTCCAGCAATAGGGGAAATAGATAGTGCTACACGCGTGTGTGTGTGTGTGTATATATATATATATATATATACACACACACACACACACATTAAGTGGCACACTGCAAGAACTCAGTCATGTCCAGCAGTAGGGGAAATGGATACTGCTATACATATACCCACACAAAAGTGACACACTGTAAGAACTCAGTTACACTGCAGTTAAAATGAATGAGCTGGATCTGTAAGGATCAACATAAATAGATTTCTAAGACAATGTCAGAAAAAAACGCAAGTTGCAGAATAATATATACAGTATGTAAATTTTTAAACAACATAAAACAATACTATGTTTAGACAAGTAATGCATGAGCTCTTAAAGTATAAAAACAAGGATCAGAAGAAAAGATGCCAACTTTAAGACAGTGGTTGCACTGAGGGTGGGGAAAAGAGATCTGTGGGGAGAGCAGAGGGGGTTTCTACTGTTTTATTTCTTAAACACAAAGGGGCTAAAGCAAATATAATTGTTAACACTTGCTACTTCTAGATGGGGAAGATCCAGGTGTTTGATATTACTTTTGATCCTTTTATATATTTCTCAACTATTTAAAATTAGAATATAAGTTATTAAGAACAGATGGAACTGCCTAAGTAGTTCACATGGATGTCCCCCTTCTCAGTCTCTCTGGGGTAAGTACCTGGCCTTGACTTCTTTGGCCCATACTCCACGATGCCATCACTGTGCTGAGACAGTGTCTCCTCAGTTCCATCCTCTACCTCCTCATTTCCAGTATTTTCTTCTTTATGGTCAGTCTTTTCTTTAATCCGATCACCCAGAGCACTTTTTAACATCTATTGAGAAAATTCTTTTCAACATCTTTCACTGATTTCAGCAGAATGTAAATTCGTAGGAGTAGGCAGACCTTTAAAAAAGCTTCCTTTGACAGTCACTAATAACAAGTTTTCAGACGCTTATGCATGTTTAATTATTTACTTTTATTTTGAGACAGGATCTCACTCTGTCACCCAGGCTGGAGTGCAGTGGTGCTAGCTGGGCTCACTGTAACCTCTGCCTACTGGGTTCCAGTGATCCTCCCATCTCAACCACTTGAGTAGCTGGGATTACAGGCATATGCCACCAAGCCTGGCTAATCTTTTATTTTTTGTAGAGATGGGGTTTTGCCATGTTGCCCAGGCTGGTCTCAAACTCCTGGGCTTAAGTGATCCACCTGCCTCAGCCTCTCAAAGTGTTGGAATTACAGTTGTGAGCCACCACACCTGGCATACATGTTTAGTTTTAAAAAGGTGTATATCAGTGCTATGGATCACTAAGTTTCAATAAACTTTAGAAAAAGTCACGTAGGGATTTAAAACATTCATTCAATGATACCTTAAAACTGTAATATTGTATTTTGTGAGAATCAGTGATCCATCCAATTTTATACCAGATCTGTCTTTAGCGGCAAAGGGGAACTATAAAGACATATCTAAAGAAAAATGGCTTAACATAATCGTTTATGTTAAATGATTTAGTTTTCATCAGAATTCAATAAAATTTGGATAAATCTGCACCAAATTTAGTTAGATCATGAAACGCTGAGAGATCACTTCCTGTTCTACCTGCTTGACTTACGGAACATTTTCACAGTAACTATTAATAAGACACAACTAATTTTCTAATACCTCACTTTCAATTGAGAGATTACTTAAATGCTCACTTAACCCATGGGAATCTCAATATAGATGAAAAAACAAGACTTGCCCAATCTAGTTCAGAAAGCCGCTGAGAGAGTTTTTCTGATACATCATGTAATTCTTGTTCTGTTAATCTCTTTCTTGGCCTCTGGGGGAAAGGTGAATTGCAGGATGAGGCTGTAGCTCTGTTTTCATTTCTGTAATAAAAGTGACCATTTGACAGTAAAATAGCTAGGTGTCTATTATTTAGTTTAAAATAACTGTAATACGTACTTTAACAAATACTTCATTCTGGTCTTCACAGCTAAATTTGGAGATCATGCCCCTGCATTTTCAAATTCCTTTGTAAACAGACTGTAAACACTGAAGTCTGCAGTAATGTTACCTTTTTCCTTTGGGAGGCTTCCTTGTCCTAGGCCCTTGGACCTGAGCTGGATATACTTCCCATTTGCTGCCTTTAGGCAACTTGGAAATTAAGAAAAGTCCATCATCTAGATCCTATTAAAAACAGAAAAAAAGTTGATTTGAAAAAGCTACAAATAAGAAACATGAACTTTCTGGGAGTGAGGAAGGGAGGAACTGTGGCACAAAGCTACGTGCCTTCAATCTCCGTGTTTTGAAGTGCATTTGTCAAAAGACCCTATTGACACCCAGTGCACCAAAGGACTGGAGCAATGTCTAGAAACTTGTGCTCAGAGAACAAATGTGGCTCAGGATGCCATTCAAATAAAAACACAGGCCAGGTGTTCTCTAAATATGAAATTTCAGGGATTACCACTATACCTGAGCAACAAAAAAATTATCACTAGTACAAAGTATTCAAGTGGCTATCTTTTGTATCAATGTCAATAAAGGCTGTCCAAAATTGAAACAGTTAAAACAAAGACAACACCTCTCAAAATATGAATATAAACCCTTAACATTTTAAATTTCCTTTTTTTTTTGAGACAGTTTTCCTCTGTTGCCTAGGCTGGAGTGCAATGGCTTGATCCGCCTCCCAGGTTCAAGCGATTCTCCTGCCTCAGCCTCCCTAGTAGCTGGGATTACAGGTATATGCCACAACACCTGGCTAATTTTTTTGTGTATTTTTAGTAAAGACGGTGTTTCGCATGTTGGCCAGGCTGGTCTCGAACTCCTGACCTCGAGTGATCCACCCGCCTCAGCCTCTCAAAGTGCTGGGATTACAGGCATGAGCTACCGTGTCCGGCTAAATTTATTTCTTGGTCTTAGAGATAATCTTTTAGAAAATACTTCTTGTGATGAAGAAACATTTAATGTTTGTTTGTTTTTTTGTTTTTTGAGATGGGGTCTTACTGTCACCCAGGCTGGAGTGCAGTGGTGCAGTCTTGGGTCACTGCAACCTCCACCTCCTGGGTTCAAGCAATTCTCCTGACTCAGCCTCCAGAGTAGCTGGGATTACAGGCACCTGCCACCGCGCCTGGCTAATTTTTGTATTTTCAGTAGAGACAGGGTTTCACCATCTTGGCCAGGCTGGTCTTGAACTCCTGACCTCGTGATCCACCCACCTCAGCCTCTCAAAGTGCTGGGATTACAGGTGTGAGCCACCGCACCCGGCCATTTATTTAATGTTTAATGATATCTTTAATTTCACTTCATTATCTTTTTCTATTAAAGTAAAATTAAATACCCTTTAGTAGGCTGGGTATGGTGATTCATGCCTATAATCTCAGCAATCTGGGAAGCAGAGGCAGGCAGGTGAGGCCAGGAGTTTGAGACCAGCCTGGCCAACATGGCAAAACCCCGTCTCTACTAAAAATATTTTTAAAAAAAATCAGCCAGGTGTGGTGGCACGTGTGCCTGTAGTCCCAGCTACTTGGGAGGCTGAGGCAGGAGAATCACTTGCCTGGGAGGTGGAGGTTGCAGTGGGTGCAGACTGCACCACTACACTCCAGCCTGGGCGACACAGCGACACTCTGTCTCAAAAAAAAATAAAACAAACAACCTTTTACTAAATAGCAACTAAAATATAATCATATTTTAATAAAACTTTTAAAATAAAGTATTTCTAGCTCAATGAATTATTTGAAAATAAACACTCCCCTTTAACTGCCACCCAGGTCAAGAAACAGAGTATTACCAACTCAGAAATATCTCTAAAACCCCCACTATGATTCCCCCAAAAGTAAACATTATCTTATGACTCCATTTTAACACCTCTTTTTATCTAATCCCTCTCCTGTTTAGATGCACAGAATGTTGAGAATGTGGTCACCTATTGTTAATAATGCTTATTTCATCTCTGTACTTTTAATGCATTGCTTGAATGTTTAAATAATGAAAATGTATCACTGTTTATATATCTACCCTGTGTACATACCTGCCTGTTGTTTTTCTTATTTTATTTTTTTCTTTTTGAGACAGGGTCTTGCTCTGCTGCCCAGGCTGGAATGCAGTGGTGTGGTCACAGCTCACTGAAGCTCCTGGGCTCAAGTGATCCTCCTGCCTCAGCCTACTAAGTAGCTAAGATCACAGGCATGCACCACCACTCCAGGCTAATTTTCTATTTTTAGCAGAGACAAGGTCTCACTATGTTTCCCAGGGTGGTCTCAAACTCTGGCACTCACATGAGCCTCCCAAAGTGCTGGGATTATGGGTGTGAGCCACCGAACCCAGTCCTGTTCTTTTTAGAAAGATAAGGACAGGATGACTATATAAAAAAGGTTTTTTCTTTTTTTTTTTTGAGATGAAGTCTTACTCTGTCACCCAGGCTGGAGCGCAGTGGCGTGATCTTGGCTCACTGCAATTGAACCAAATAGATCAATATGTTAACAGTGGTTCATGGTGGATAATGGGAATATGCATGGATGGTTATTTTCTTTTCCACTCTGTGTTTTCTAAATTTGAAATTATTAAATTACGGACACAATATGGACTCTGAAGCCAGAATGTCCAAGTTCAAATCCTGACTCTGTAATTGCTGTGTAACCTTGCCCTCTCTACATCAGCTTCCCAACAATAAATAAATATAGTAGCTACTCCAGAGTTGTTATGGGCAGTAAATTATTCAATACCCCTAAAGTATCCAGAACTGCGCCTGGCACAACATAAACATTCACTATGTGTTGGCTCTTATTATTTCCCTTTATATGCATTCGTTTTTCTCCTATCTTCCTAGAACAAGAATGTGCAGGTGTATACAGAGGCAAATTTTAAGGAGTACGATGCTTTGACTAGTGCAATATGCTTGACAATTCTAGCAGACTTCTTTAAATATAGGGGCTTCCTTGACAAAGAATAAAGACTTCACCAATACACATACACACACACGGCCTTCTAATCAATTACCAACACACACACAGACATACATACAAGTGTACTTCTAGCCAACTGAAAGTAAGCTTTTCCACTTACCCCAGAAAATTCCGTATGCTCTCCAGTAGAATTTACGGCTGGGGAGCAGTGACTTGAATGCAAGTATTCTTTTCCTATGGGGCAGGGTGCTCGAGGCTCTGAAGGGTGGTAGGGTGGATGTAAAGGAATAGCTGCTCGGATAGGCTCCCCTAGCTTCCTAGCATTTGGAATCCCACTCACAGAAAGGGTTTCCGCTAGTAAGACAAATTAAAGTGGATATTACGATGCAATTCTAAGAAATAAACCATTTTATATACATACATACATACCTATATAAACATGTTCACATACATTAGAAATATTTTTTAAACTTAAGACAAAGCACATAAAAAAATAATTAAACCAGGGATATAGCCTCAGCACACAGGGATCTAATTAAATTAGGATGTAATTTTTTTTTTTTAATTTTTAAAAAAAGTAGAGATGAGGTCTCGCTATGTTGCCCAGGCTGGTCTCCAACTCCTGGGCTCAAGTGATCCTCCTGCCTCGGCCTCCCAAAGTGCTGGGATTACAAGTGTGAACTACCATGACTGGCCCCGGATGTAATTTTAATGTTATTATCATAAAACTGTTCCCTGAAAGTTACTTTAAAAACTGGAAGCAACTTAAATGGCTTGAAGAATGTTATGTTATGTGAATTATGGTTCGTCCACGTTACAAAACCAGTTAGGCAGTAATATTTTTATGTATTACTACCATATGAAAATTCCAGAGATGATAATAAGAAACAAGAATGATTTTTCCAGGCCGGGTGCGGGAGCTCACGCTTGTAATCTCAGCAATTTGGGAGGCTGAGGCAGGCGGATCACGAGGTCATGAGTTCGAGACCAGCCTGGCCAACATGGTGAAACCCCATCTCTACTAAAAATAAGTTAGCTGGGCGTGGTAGCAAGCGCCTATAATCCCAGCTACTTGGGAGGCTGAGGCAGGAGAATCGCTTGAACCCAGGAGGCGGAGGTTGCAGTGAGCCGAGATCATGCCACTGCACTCCAGCCTGGGCAACAGAGCTAGACTCTGTCTCGAAACAATAAAAAAAGAATGTTTTTCCAGTTACTATACTTTGTTATTTACCAATAATATGAAGACCACCAATAGATGTACTAATGTGTCAGAGACTCTGTCCCATTAAAAAAAAAAGGTAAGTGGTGAGAATTTAGATAATAAAATAGTGGATGCAAAAATATGCAACCAAAGACCATGTTAAGCAGAATTCAGATACCATAATTAATAGCAAACATTTACAAGTAAGATCATGTAAGACCAAAAAGGATCTCATATACAGCAATAAAAGTAAAAAGGCTAATGGCAACAACAATTGCCCCAAGAATGATCATCAGCAGTAAAGAACTAACATCCATTACAACTCACTGTCTTCAACAAAGGATGTCCTACTCTTGGACAAAACACTAGGAGGGTACAACATATCTTCATGTGATTTAGAACTTGGTGAGGCTAAGGCTTTTTTAGACAGCATTTCATTAGGACATTGAGCACCTAGGAAAGAAAATATTAAAGGTAAAATTTTTAACTATCAAAATAGTTTGCTGAACATTATACTAAAAGCCAAGAGTTTTGTACTCAGGAAACAAATATTAAATAATGTTGAACGAAATAATGTTGGTCCAACTGCTCAAAATACCAATTATTATTTTTCTTTTTCAGACAGCATTTCCCTCTTGTCGCCAGGCTGCAGTGCAATGGCGTGATCTCGCTGCACTGCAACCTCCACCTTCCAGGTTCAAGCAATTCTCCTGCCTCAGCCTCCAGAGTAGCTGGGACTACAGGCACCCGCCACCATGCCTGGCTAATTTTTTGTATTGTGACAGGGTTTCACTATGTTGGCCAGGCTGGTCTCGAACTCCTACCTCAGGTGATCCGCCCACCTCAGCCTCCCAAAGTACTGGGATTACAGGCGTGAGCCACTGTGACGGGCCATAATATCAATTATTTTTAATTGCTATCAGAAAGTAAGATGCCATTTTGTAATCCAGAATCATTTATACAATTTAAAAGCAAAGTTTCATACAATGTTTCATTATTTAGCTTTAGAAAAATAGATGCCAGAGTTACGGAAATGCTGGCTGTTTTATGGACATGTCTTGGTATGAATAGACACCAGAGTTAGGGTCTTAGCTAGTACCAGAAACATGGACTCATGGTCCAGGCCAAGCGCAGTGGCTCATACCTGTAATCTCAGTACTTTGGGAGGCCAAGGCAGGCAGATCACTTGAGGTTATTAGTTCAAGACCAGCTTAGCCAATATGGCGAAACCCCATCTCTACTAAAAATACAAAAATCAGCTGGGCATGTGGCACATACTTGTAATCCCAGCCGCTTGAGAGGCTGAGGCAGAGGTTGCAGTGAGCCGAGATTGCGCCACCGCACTCCACCCTGGGTGACAGAGCAAGACCTAGTGTCAAAAAAAAAAAAAAAAAAAGACTATGGTCCATATATTGAAGCTTAAATTAGATGCCTGTGAATGTATATGACAGTTATCTGACACTTTAAATCTCAATATGAAAGGAAGCTGCCATAAGCCCTTTTATCACATCAAACCCAAACACCTTGGCCAGGCATCTCTCTGAATCTTTTTTCCTTTGCCTTAATTGCATTACTCTTAAACACAATTCCCCTCTCTACTTATAATGTTAAAATAAGTAATTCATTTTACAGTAACATCTTTTTTACATAGCACTTGACATCACAGAACCCGTTTCTGCAATCACCATCCCTTCCATTCCCAATCAATCCATCTGATTCTCCTACTTCAAGAAACATTTTTGTAGTATCCACACTTGACTCTGGTCCTTCCGTTTCTGTGCCTATCCCAATGGCAAGCATAGCTTTTTGGTCTACTGGAGGGTGAGTTTGCCAGGAACCAAAAGTAAGGGAGAACATTCCAAGACTTGTGGTCCATATACTGGTTTAGTAATTTATGAAGCCACGGTGGACAGGATGGAGTAGGATGATTGGAGGAGGGCAAGGTTGGAGGCTCAAAATTGGGGCTTGAAAGATATCCGGGTCTACTATGTGCAAGCAATAGGCTGTTGGAAATCTGGCCTGAAGCCTAGAAGAAAAATTGCTACTGCATATACGAACTTATTGGTTCAAACAATGAAAAAAGTGAGTCAACCACCAGTTCAGGAAACTACAATTAAAGAATACCCTGAAAGCGTGACCAGACTATAAGCTGCATCCATAATTCTCTTCCCAGGTTATAAGGAACCGCAAATTACCTAATAACCTTGCATACACTTATTTGCCTTGGACTTATCTGCCCATATGCCTGCGACTTCAGATAAGTGTTCATATTTAATGGGTAGTGGGATATTCTGGAATTTCAAATCCCATGTCCAGTTAGCACTCTATTCTTCTCAATTTTAAACACTCCTACATACCATTTACATTTTTATAGTTGTATGTTGAATAATAACTGATACTTCAGGTTTAACTACTCACCATTACTTCTTAGAGAAAAGGTGTGTGCTGTGTCTCCAAGTCTAATGATTTCACCAGTGGATTCTGCTTCATCTCCATCCCAAGAGGGGCCCAACATCTCAGAAGACAAGGAGCACCTGGAAAAGTTCCCTCCTTCACTCAGGGCCCAGCCTGACCAGAGGGCCCTTCCCCTGAGGACCTGGAGAGCTGCTGGGTGCAGAAAAAGGAAAAGACTCTCCCTTTTGCTGCTTAGCATGTCTTGCTGCTTATGTTTTGTTTTCACTGATATATGAATGGTAGAAATAGCTGTATATAAAGTGTCAACGATTAAATGTATAGGAGAACAGCAAATACTGGTGACTCTAGGGTGTGGGAGTGAAGGGGGTGGGATGCTAACTTTGCATTAAATATCCTTCAATTGTTTCACTTTTGCGCTTATTTTGTTACTTTAAAATTCTTATGGAAAGAAGTTCATCAGGCCGGGCATGGTAGCTCACACCTGTAATCCTAGCACTTTGGGAGGCAGACATAGGTGGATTGCCTGAGGTCAGGGTTTGCGACCAGCCTGGCCAACATAGTGAAACCCCATCTCTACTAAAAATACAAAAAATTAGCTGGACGTGGTGGCAGGCGCCTGTAATCCCAGCTACTTTGGAGGCTGAGGCGGGAGAACTGCTTGAACCTGGGAGGCAGAGGTTGCAGTGAGCCGAGATTGCACCACTGCACTCCAGCCTGGGCAACAAGAGCAAAACTCTGTCTCAAAAAAAAAAAAATTTCATCTTATGATGGTCTCCTCTGAGACACATTTTTTACAATGTACTATACCTAAAAAAGAAGGCATTGCCTGTGCTCTTCGAACCATGAAGACATAGCATTATGCTCAACCTCTAGTTAGCAAGAAGTGCAATCAAACCTGTCATGACAATACATTTTTGTCTATGAAAGAAGCACAAGTTTAAAAACTGTGAAAATGATCAATGATACTGGCTCATGAAGGTCCTGTAACCCAGCATTGCTATACTGTTGGTAAATGTACAGTCATGGCCTTTTTGGAAAACAGTCTGGCAACTTTTATTATTAGCCTTAAAACATTTACACTGTCTTACTCTGAATCTAGCCTCAAGATATGAGGAAAAAAAGAATAAACATTAAGTATCACGTTTTTGATAATATTTAAAAAAACTCTCTACTTTAGAGGAATGGCTTAGTAATTTATGAAGCATCCACATGAATGATGTTATACAGTGATTACAAATTATTATAAAGAATTTAACAACTTGAGGCTGGGCGCAGGGGCTCACGCCTGTAATCCCACCACTTTGGGAGGCTGAGGCAGGCGGATCACTTGAGGTCAGGAGTTCAAGACCAGCCTTGCCAACACGGTGAAAACTCACCTTTACTAAAGATACAAAAATTAGCCAGCCGTGGCGGCGTGCACCTGTAGTCCCAGCTACTCAGGAGGCTGAGGCACAAGAATCACTCGAAACCGGGAGGCAGAGGTTGCAGTAAGCTGAGATTGTGCCACTGCACACTCCAGCCTGTGTGACACAGCAAGACTGTGTCTCAAAAAAAAAATTAAACAACTTGAGAACACTTAATGTTAAGTTTAAAAATGCAGGAAACGAGCCTGGTGAGGTGGGTCATGCCTATAATCCCAGCACTCTGGGAGGCTGCAGCAGGAGGATCGCTTGAGGCCAGGAATTCAAGACCAGCCTGGTCAATATAGCAAGATGCCATCTCTGTTAAAAAAAAAAAAAAAAAAAAAAATTAGCCAGGTGTGGTGGCGCACACCTGTGGTCCCAGCTACTTGGGCTTAAGCTCAGGAGTTCAAGGCTACAGTGAACTCTGATCACGCCACTGTACTCCACCATGAGTGTCAGAGCAAGACCCTGTCTCTTTATTAAAAAAGCAGGGGTGAGGGGCAGGCAACGAAATTATATAGACATATGACTAAATCCAAAAAAGAAAAAAATAGTAAAAAGGACTAAAAAATTTAACAAAATGTTAACAGCAGTTATTTAGTTCGGAATAGATTTTTTTTCCTGCTTTTTCTATTTTGCAAGTTTTTTGCAAAGATGATGACGTACTTTGATGATTAAGAGAAAAACAGGGACCAGGCGCGGTGGCTCATGCCTGTAATCCCAGCACTTTGGGAGGACAAGGCAGGTGGATCACCTGAGATCAGGAGTTCGAGGCCAGCCTGACCAACATGGTGAAACCCCATCTCTACTAAAAATATAAAAATTAGCCGGGCATGGTGGCGCGTGCCTGTAATCCCAGCTACTCAGGAGGCTGAGGCAGGAGAATCCCTTGAACCTGGGAAGCAGAGTTTGCAGTGAGTCGAGATCATGCCACCACACTCCAGCCTGGGCAACAGAATGAGACTCCGTCTCAAAAAAGAAAAAAAAAGAAAAATATAAAAATGAGTAGATAGTTGATACTGAGATTTAGGTATTATATGTAACTCAAGGTTCTTAAAACTCCCTCAGGAAAGTTTAAAATATGAGAAGTTAGTAGAAGTTTCACATTAGCTTTTTTTGGTGCCATCTTGGTATATTACGTGTGATTTTAATTCTTAGTCCAAAAAGCGTAACTTGTTTTCATCAAATTCAGAGACACTAAGTGCTACCTCCCAAAAGAAACTCTTTTCCATGATGATTTAGATTCTTTAGTACTTTCTGGCTCTTCCAAACGTTCTCCTCGATCAGATTCTTTAAAATACTGTTCAGTTTCACCTGTTCAGAACAGATAAAAACAATACCAAAAAACCCCTAAGTGAATACTACTTTTTCTATGTAAGAGGCAGGGAAAGGTAAGGACAGTGAGGCACCCCTAACTTGCCATGGTAAACAGGGTTCTAGTGAAAGTGCAATCAGAAAGAACCAAATCACCTGTAATGAGCATGTATTATTCGAGTAACAAAGAAACAAGAATATTGCTTTAAAAACAGGGTCTACAGTTGTATGAGCAATGTTTTATTTTTTAAGTCAGTGGCAGGTCCATTCAATATTTTTATACCTCTCCATCTGTAAAGGATGTCTGAGGTATATCAAGGTGACAGAAAACGTGATTGTGTCAACATAATGCAAGCTCCAAGATAATCATGCCTTAGGCTGAGTCAGGCTGTATCAGGGCTTGGATGAAATTTTTCTTAAGACCATCAGTCTTTTTCCACCCCACCATACTTGAAGAATACATACTTTCACCAGTAGCTATAACTCACTAGGGAAATAATTTCAAAATACATGTAGGTGAAACCTCCCATGATTCAGATTTACCCCTTTGGATATTCTCATGCCCATGTCTAGAGATTCACCATTCAAACACCCACCTTCATTTTTTTCTACTTCCATATTCACCAAGCAACATTTCAATAACATCAATTAACATTTATTATGCATTTACTCTGAGCTAGGCTGTGTGCCCAACTGTTTACACACATCTACTTACTTAACTTTCACAACAACCATGAAAGAATTTCAGATGAGAAAACAGGCTTAGAGAGCTGCCATCATATAGTGAGAGGAAGAACCCAGCACTGAACCCATGGTCTTCCTTCGAACCCCTCCTTCTTCAGTGGTAAATGATAATGCTAGCTCAGGTCCCAGGTTGAAGCTGCCCTGCACAGCTGATATGATTAGTGATAATAAAGATTTGTTTCCCATTACTGTTAACTGGCATTTTGAAGAACCTGATCAGCTCTAGGAAATATTGCCAGGTAAGTATATATTAGACCTGCAAAGATGAGAAGCAGACTGTAAGAAAATGCTGTCCAGCTAAGGTACTGTCATATAGGGAAGCCTATCTGAGCAACTTCCCCAGTAGCTCACCACATACTGCCGATCTCCCCTGGGAATATCCTTCAGTCTTTCACCACCACCAGACTCACATAAAAGTATCTCTCAGTTGCCTCCTCCTCTCTTCATCCCCACTGCCATATCATTAGCCAGGCACTACCATCCCTCCCCTTCCTGCGAGCAAGCACTAAACTGTAAAAAACTGCTGCTCTCTTTACATTTCAAATTAATCTCAATCTCTTTACTTAGAGGTTGTTTTCTACCTCTTAACCCTGTTACTAAAAAGACTAGAAAGGTACACAGCATACAAATACCTACTGGTAGCCTTGAATTAGGTGAGTCCCACCTGTCAATACTCTCCCCTAGTTCTAATTCCCCCTTTATGCTTTTATTGTATGTAGTTATGGCTGTCTCCCTGACTCAAGTACAGGTTTGAGAGTATCAACATGACAAGCAGCTTGGAATCCTCCCAGAGTACCCAGACGCCTATAAAACACTCAATTTTTGAAACAAAGAAATGTCCAGTGTGGCAGACTTTTCAATTTTCCCTCCCAGTTTTTAAACAGTTTAGTAACAATGATTAAAGGTAGGAAACTATCTCTAACTAAAGACTTTAAGATTAATTTCAAATGTGACTATCACAGGTCTCACTATAAACAAAGTGAGAATGGAGGATGAGCCTACCCCAATTTTTTGTCTTAATTTGTATTCGAATTTATGTAAATTGTGGTTGCTGCTGAAAGTTTATTTTTGATAACTTTTCAACATAAGAACAGGTAATATATTATTCCATTCGTGACCAACAGCATTATTTACTTAATCTCAAATTATTAAGACAGTTAAGTTCTTTCACTTTTTGCAATGACAAATATCTGAAATATTTAGGCTGTCACAAATGTAAGTGCAGGCTAAAGACACAAATGCACCAATTCTTCCTGTTGATGCCTCAGTAACATCCAAATATTTACCATAAATAGCAGTTCTGACACACGAAATTTTGGAGAAAGAAATTTTATGCAATCATAGGACAATAAATAATTTAGCCAGAAATTTATCTTTCTAGTATAAATTAGTTTTGAAGTAATTTATGAGCAACATCCAAGTTGATAAAGAACATGATGACAGTCTAAGACAGTTTCCAACCAGCTGGAACAATAAGAATTTGAAATTTACAACTACGGTTATCAGGTATACTGTATTAGTGAATCTGCTTCCTATGAAGAAAAATACACAAAAAGATAAAAGGCAAAAGGGACACATCATAAAAGGTAAACCAAACCAAATTTCCATTCTTAAACTTACTTTTCTCATGAGATGTTTCACTGATGCGTTCTGTAAGATACTCCAACAAACCATCAAATATTTCCAGGAGATTCTTAATAGATTCTTTATCTCCTTTCACTATATTTTCTCCTGGAGACAGAATATAGAGCTATTAAAAAATTTAACCATGAAATCTGAAAGCTTCATAATCTTGAAACTTGGATATAACATTGTGAAAATGCTATTTAAGAATACAGGCGATACATACCAACTTACAGCTCCTTGGAGATTAAATAAAAAAAAGAATACAGGTGAAACAATTATAAATATTAAGAACAACAATTTCCTGCTGCCTGATTATATTTGAAGAAAAAAAGGGGGAAGCTTTAAATATGGCGTCTAATAATTCACTGGCATATTCCTTCCTTTTTTGGAGAAGCAAAATAATTGGACTTAAGAAAACATGTCTAGTAAGATTTATACCAAAATATATTGCAGCTAAACAGAACTTTACCAGATTGGTGGGAAAAAGTGGCAGGAGAGAACACTTTCAGATTGTGGTATCCTATTCTAAATGGTGGTTTGTTCAGAAGATTATAGCAGCAGAGTAACATCAAAACAACAAAAAAAAACAATAAACTTGTTGGGATACTTTCATCAGAAATTCCTGAATTCTCCACCATAACCCCCCATATTTGTTAACTCCTCATTTTGTATAGATCATACCATTTTTCTGATTAAAATCCTTTCCCTGGCTCCCTTTCTGAAATATAAGCCCTGCATATAAAACCTTTTTAAATCTCACTCCATCTTCAGCGTCTCCAGCTACATCTCTTACCATATCCACTTCATATTCATAACTTACACTCATAGATCATAGCACAGTCCCTAGCACAGTACCTACTCCGTAACAGATTTTTAATATAAATGATTAGGTTGAAATGTTGAATAGAAATGGGTTGGCAAAAAGCATGGAAACTTGACATATTTAATGTCACCTGAAATGGACTCCAAATCAACCTCAGGTATAGATAGTACTTAACCCTTGTGACACTCTGATTGTCCTTTGGGAGATCATGCCTGGCATTCTCATGAGTTCACACCAATATGGGAAAAGCAGTGTAGAAATTTGACATTTGGGAGAATCTAGCCATTCGTAACCTCAGCCATGATGCAAAACAAACCTAAACCAGAAATTTGACGTTTTATACTACTACTAGTAACGACAACGTTTGAGTTTTTTCGTTTAAAACAATGAACCAGAAATCTTGGTTTTGGACGTGTTTTTCCGGCTTAAAAATACCTAAGTATATCCCAAGAGCATCCTCAAAACTTTTCAGTTTCTAGGATGGGGAGTATACTGACAACCTAGCAACTAAGACTGCCAGCCAGAATGCAGTGCTTCATGCTGCAGGAGAAACTGTTTTACAATTTTTCATAGGGTGGGTGTAATCTGTCAAAGACAGCTCTGCATTAAAGAGTTTTACAAACATGTATGTTTATAACCCTGCTATAGTATGTTTAACAAGCACAAATACCAGAACTTGTCCTACTTGGGTGATAAAGCAATTACAAATTGCAAAAAAAAGAGGGAAACTATGGGAGTAGCCCTCAAATTATCTCCGAACTGATTTACCCATTCACTCACCTAGAACTGCATTAAAAAACTTAAGACAGAAGAGTATTTTATTCTCTTCGCAAAAATTTGTTCTTGTCAGTATCAAATTAAGAGATGTAAATCAGGACTTATCCTGATTAACATTTATCTCCTTTTACAACTATCAAAGAATAAATCAACAGTATAAATCCTCTTTTTGTGATTATAGTTTCACATTGTCAATATTCCCTCTATTCATAAGCTTGAAATAACTTACTGGAATAATCATTCATTTCTAAACATAAATGAAATACACATAATACAGTGATTTATAAATATATTTGGTATGCTTAGTTTTAGAATACAGTATAGTATACTTTATTTTGGAGATTTAATTACAGAAAAAAACTTCTGAATAGATAACATGGTTCAAAATTCAGCAAGTGCAAAAAGTATACACTGAAAGTTCTTGTCCCTTTGTCCTGCAACCCTGAGGTTCCCTTTGTTGGAAGCAATCAGTATTACGAGTTTCTTGTATATGCTTCTAGAGAGTTCTTCCGATTGCAAACAACTGCAAATACTTCTGCACACCTTTGTTTTTACAAACACTAGCATACTACTCTGCACATTACCATTATAATTGTACTACATTTTTCTCGCATCACATATGCTAGAGATTGTTCCCAACACGGAACATTGTGCACAAAGAGCATATTCAGTCATCTTTTACAGCCACAGAGCAGTCCACTGTATGCAGCTATCATGATTTATCTAACCAATCCCTACTAATGGACATTTAGGTGTTTCTAATTTTTAGCTATCACAAACAAGTAGCATTAGTATGCTTTAAAATAAAACAATACGGCCAGGTGTTGCGAGAAGTCAGGGACCCCAAACAGAGGGACCGGCTGAAGCCATGGCAGAAGAACGTGGATTGTGAAGATTTCATGGACATTTATTAGTTCCCCAAATTAATACTTTTATAACTTCTTATGCCTGTCTTTACTGCAATCTCTGAACATGAATTGTAAAGATTTCATGGACACTTATCACTTCCCCAATCAATACCCTTGTGATTTCCTAGGCCTGTCTTCACTTTAATCTCTTAATCCTGTCATCTTGTAAACCGAGGAGGATGTATGTAGCCTCAGGACCACGTGATAATTGCGTTAACTGCACAAAATTGTAGAGCATGTGTGTTTGAACAATATGAAATCTGGGCACCTTGAAAAAAAGAACAGGATAACAGCAATTGTTCAGGGAATAAGACAGATAACCTTAAACTCTGTCCGTTGGTGAGCCGGGCGGAACAGAGCCATATTTCTTTTCTTTCAAAAGCAAATGGGAGAAATATCGCTGAATTCTTTTTCTCAGCAAGGAACATCCCTGGGAAAGAGAATACACGCCTGGGGGCAGGTCTACAGACGGTCCCCCGGGCGTGGCCATCTTTTATGGTCTGTAGACTGTAGGGCTGAAATAGACCTCAGTCTCCCATATCGCTCCCAGGCTTATTAGGAAGAAGAAATTCCCGCCTAATAAATTTTGGTCAGACAGGTTGCTCTCAAAACCCTGTCTCCTGATAAGATGTTATCAATGACAATGGTGCCCAAAACTTCATTAGCAATTTTAATTTCACCCCAGTCAGGTGGTCCTGTGATCTCGCCCTGCCTCCATTTGCCTTGTGATATTCTATTACCTTGTGAAGTACTTGATGTCTGTGACCCACAACCTATTCGTATACTCCCTCCCCTTTTGAAAATCCCTAATAAAAACTTGCTGGTTTTTGCAGCTTGTGGGGCATCACGGAACCTACAGACATGTGATGTCTCCCCCAGACGCCCAGCTTTAAAATTTCTCTCTTTTGTACTCTGTCCCTTTATTTCTCAAACCTGCCGATGCTTAGATAAAATAGAAAAGAACCTACGTGACTATCGGGGCAGGTTCCCCGAAGGCCAGGCACAGTGGTCCAGGCCTGTAATCCCAGCAATTTCACGAGTGGAGCCAGGTGGATCAGCTGAGCCCAGGAGTTCCAGACCAGCCTGGGCAAATGGCGAAACTCTTGTCTTTACAAAAAATAGAAAAAATTAGCCAGGCATGGTGGTGCACACCTGTAGCCCCGGCTACCCGGGAGGCTGAGGTGAGAGGATCACCTGAGCTTGGGAGGTTGAGGCTGCAGTGAGCTGTGATTGCACCACTGCACTCCAGCCTGGGCAACAGAGACTCTGAATCAAAAAATAAAAATAAATAAAACAACATAACATAAAAACAAAAAACACACCTCAAATTACCAGCTAGGATATTTACGTTTCAGACCCAGATCAATTGCAAAATCAATGTTCAGCTCTCCTGGAAAAGTTCTCATGTATGGACCTGACCTCTATCAGTTGATTGTCTTAGCTCAATCTTACAATTTGGTCTACTCCATAAGCTCACTCATTTGGTTAAGTAAACAATGTCTACAGTTCTAACAATTATTTTTACTAAAATGCATAATTATGTGATAGTTATACATATACCAACCTGTTATGTGAGACAAGCTGACCTGCAAGTAGTCCAAGGCCAGTGAATCAATTACTGCTTGTACATTGTGTGCATCATCTTCTTGACTCCTAGGAATAACTATGAGGTCTGGGGGGGGAAAAAATCACATAATTTTGTATCCATGAGAGGCCAAGTTTTCATCTCATTGTCTCTGACTAGGCTACTGAATATGCTCAACTGCTATAAAGGCTCTGCCCAAACAGAACATGCTGTAAAGTACAGATAAAGTTAATAAACCCTGAACTCTACACAGCAGAATCTTTACTGGTTGAGTATTTATTGATTGAACCGATTTATCAATATTAGACTGGTTGAATACGGTTGAATATTTATTACACCATATATATATATATAGATATATAGATATACATGAATATGCTTTACAAGAAGCACCATGTTAAGGAAGATAAAGTGGTCCCTAAATTCAAAGACAGCTAATAGTCTAATAAGGGAGCCAAGACATGATACTTTAACCCATAACTATGGGCTACTTTCTACGAAGAAAAAAAAAACACAGCAGGCATTCAAGGAGCGTTCTTATATATACACATATGTATGTTTATTTATTATTTATTGAGACAGGGTCTCGCTCTATCGCCCAGGCTGGAATGCAGTGGCGTGATCTTGGCTCACTACAACCTCCACTTTCCCGGCTCAAGCAATTCTCTTGCCTCAGCCTCCCAAGTAGCTGGGTTTATAGGCGTGCACCACTATGCCTGGCTAATTTTTGTATTTTTAGCAGAGATGGCATTTTGCCATATTGGCCAGGCTGGTATTGAACTCCTGGCCTCAGGTGATCCACCTGCCTCAAGTGATGAGCCTCCCAAGGTAATGGGATTAGAGGTGTGAGCCACCGCGCCTGGCCCTTATATGTCCTTTTGAATAGCCAACTAGAATTATTGGTATAAAGATTTAAAAGGTCAGCACAGGCTGGACGTGGTGGCTCATGCCTGTAATCCTATCACTTTGGGAGGTAGACGGGAGGATCACTTAAGCTGAGTTGGTACCACCCTGGTCTTGAACATAGTGAGATGGTGAGCAAGATGAAAGGACATATGCGCTTATTAACTGTCTTGGTAAATGAGGTTCATCATCTACAAGCATCAATTCTTATCCCTAGCACTGGTTAAGTAACAGAATCCAATAAATTCCCAAGCTCCACTCAATTTTACAACCTTTGAAGGTACATTTACAGAAAAGATGCAACTTTCACAAGGCAGTAGCCATGATTAGGTTAAGCCGTGATTATCAGGAGCCCTCAAACTGATCTGCTCAAGGCCGTTATTATGAGTGGGTTCCACAGGGTATTCCTTAAGGAATACAATATTATAATTATACAATATGTGATATTAAATACAATTTAATATACAATATTTATTTTAATATTGTATATTAATATAGAATTTAATATGCAATATTAAAAAAAGAAACAAGCAAAGAGAAAATGAAATTTTATAAATATCAAAGAATCTAACTAAAGGACTAAAAACTTTTGGCCTAAGATATAGGCAAAATTACTCCTGCTTTTAGTATTCTTACCTGGTACCTTTTCTCCCAAAATAGACTGATAAAGAGCAATAAAAACATTAGCATCACAGTCTTGAAGTTCATGTATTCTCAGATGTATATGACACTTAAAAAGAAGGTTATTGGCAATGGTTACCCACTCTGTTGGGAAAAAGGGGGAAAGATCAGTCTTAAAAACCACCAGAAAAAAATCACACAGACATTTAAAAAATCCAACAACCTCCCCCCCAACAAAAACAGACACTGAACTTTGCAGAAGATAAGGAATTTGATTGTTAGAGAATTTCAAAGACCCTTTAGGCATGGTTTTTAAAAAGATGTATTTAATTTCTTGGGATGATTTCCAGAGTGCTGTAATTTCTACATAGTCAAAACTATACTGCAAATTCAATTGATACTGTTGCAGCCTAAAATCTTAAGTTACTTATATAAGCCTTACATGGGTGTTTTTAGTTAAAACATATTTACAAGTAAACAGGAATATTATGTCATAAACAACAGTTTAATGATAATCCGAGGTTACCAGAAACTCATTAATGGAGGCTGCTTCGCACTTGCAATAGTATTGGTCTTGTGTTTACCCAATTATCTTGTGCAAGTCAGGGTTTCTCTGGTGCCGGAAAAAGTGGTGATTAAACTTAGGCTGTTAAGAACTGGTATAATAACAACATCAACGGTAATGCATTTGTTAGTTTTTCTTTTTTATTATATCGATCTATATGAAAGAAAATATGGGAAGTACATGAAGCTCAGAATTATCAATACTGTTGACGTTTCCTGCGTACCACATTCTCCTCTCCCCTAGATATTGCTGGGATTTGCAAAGTTTAACGGTTTCTGTACCAAAAGTAACTTAGCTTAAAATACTTGTTCCTTGAAATGCCTGGGAATTGGTAGGAAAGCACTTTCAATCGGTATTAGAAACAAACATCTCCACTATGTTCTGGACACGTAACGTTCTGGAAACGAATGAGAGTGTATTTTCCATGCACATAATCCCCCTCCCCACGCCCATTTCTCACAGCTGGCCAAACCATGACAACTGGTTTGTACGCAGTCCTTGTGAAAAGGATGAAAGCGTCCTAGACAACCAAATTAATTCGCTCTTCAAAAGCGGTGCTAGACAAAGCCCATGACTCTAGAGGGCACTGAAGAGAAAAAAGCACAACTATTCTACAGGGGCATATTCTACTATTCTGCAGGGGCATAATAAATCTTAAGAATGCTGTTCCTTTAAAGACCAATACAAAAGCAGGTACGACCTCAGGGCCCATAGTGCAAGGGCGGAGGGCACACGGACAGCGGCTAGACGCCCCACAGAAAGACAAGTCCGGGGACGACCCTTCTGACCGCTCTTTTTACAGCCAGGACCCAAGTGTCCTACCGGCCTCGCCCCAGTGCCTCTCTCTCTCCCACAGCATACTGCTGTTCCACGGCCTCGAAGCGAAGAGGTGGTGAAGCTGAGAGACCCTATCCAGGGAACCCGCCAGCGCGACGCGGCGTCTGAAGGTCACGAGCCCCGCCGACAGCCCAGACCCAGTCCGGGCTAGCCCGAGGCCTCCCTGGAGGTGGACGGTTTCAGTCCACACATACTGGGACCCCAGGGAGACACTCACCAGCATCCGAGCCTGCCATGTTTCAGAGGCAGGTCGCCGCCGGACTCCGACGCGGCCGGGAAGGCGACGGTGTCCTGGAAGGACCGATCCACGCAGACCCGACACTGGGGCGCGGACGCACGAACCAAAGCGCGGGGAAGGAGGCGTGAAAGAAGGACGGACGTTAAAAGAGCTTCTCGCCGCTGATTGGTCATCAGAGGAGCACTTCCTTTCACAGGACGTGAAACGGGGGCGGTTTGGGAAGTTTAGAGACCATTCTCCGCCGACCAAAACCCGTCAAAGGATTATCAGACACGCGGGTCGGACGGTCCACATCAGCCGGCAGCCCGGGCGGGTCCCGGGGTGCGAGCAGCGCACTTCCGGTGAGCTATTTCGTTTTGTATCCCTCCGCCGACGTCAACGGGAAAGTAGTGCGGACCGCTCTCTCGGTGGTCCGGGGTGGTACAGCCACGTGACAACGCCAGGCCCCGCCTTCCCCCTCTTTTGGTTACAGACGTGAGGGCTCTTTGGAGACGTAAACATCTCCGAGTGGCGAGGGTGGGCGGGGCTGGGCTTGGGAAAGGGCGGGGTGGCTTGCTTGAGGTGTGGAAAGACCAGAAGAAGGTGAGGTCAAGAGAGTGCAGAATGAGGCATTCCAATGGTGGGTGGGCCCTGACCTGAGAGAGTGGCGCGGGGAGGGGTGAAAGCGCGGCGATCCTGGAACGCCAGCGGGCGTTGCGGCCTATGCGCGAGGGGCGGGGCGATTAGGTCATAGAGCGGCTCCCAGCGTTCCCTGCGGCGTAGGAGGCGGTCCAGACTATAAAAGCGGCTGCCGGAAAGCGGCCGGCACCTCATTCATTTCTACCGGTCTCTAGTAGTGCAGCTTCGGCTGGTGTCATCGGTGTCCTTCCTCCGCTGCCGCCCCCGCAAGGCTTCGCCGTCATCGAGGCCATTTCCAGCGACTTGTCGCACGCTTTTCTATATACTTCGTTCCCCGCCAACCGCAACCATTGACGCCATGTCGGGTTATTCGAGTGACCGAGACCGCGGCCGGGACCGAGGGTGAGTTTGGGAGCCGAGCTGTCAGGCCTGGCGGGTGGGGGGATGGGAGGGCGGGTCAGGGTGGCGGCCGGCGGGGGCTTTGCGGCTTGGACTTGGCCTTTCCGGGCTATCTTGGGACTTCCTTTCCCGAAGGCTTGCGCCATTTTGATATTCACGTCACAGTGATTGGAAGAGATTTGACGGTGTAGTGTCTTCAAGCTTGCTTTTTGTGTGGGGATTGGGGAGCTGTCGGGGCGGCTGCCATTTGGTAGCTGTTGAGGGAGTTGAGAGGGAGCGTATTGTGCGGATGAAAGCGGGACGCTTCGAGGCAGACGAAGGAACATCTGTTAGGTGCGGCGTTTCGGGAGGTGTTTTTGGGGTGGCCGGGCATTCTGTGGGAGCGAGGGGACCACTTCCAAAGCCCTGGTGCTGTTGGGGTAGGAGGGCGGCCGGCATCAGCCATGTGGCTGAGTCGCGAGTACAAAATGCCGGCCTCGGACATGGCGGCGGCGCCTTTGTTACCCCGCCCGGCGGAGGAGCTCAAAATGGCAGCGTCGAGAAAATGTGGCGCAGAGAGAAATGCGAGACAAAGGGGGAAGCGCCGCCCCAGCGGGAACGCCGCCCGGCCGACTCCGCCCGGGCCGGGACTCCTCCCCCGGTAGTCGCCGGCTCCTCCTTTTCTTTTTTCCTGCGTTATATAATTTTGATTCGTTGATCCGGAGCTCTACCGCGGCGTTCCCCCAGCTGGGTTTGCTAGCAGAAGTGTTTCTGAGAAAACCCTTGTTCTGTTATCGCTGACTGTACTGTTTAGGTTCTTACCACTAAAGCTGTTTGGTTCCAAAACGGCCATATGAGTAACATCGTCGTGATGCTCTTCGGTTCATGTAGCCTTGTTATTGCTGATAGTGAATTGCTAGGCTGGTGGGGAAGATTACAGTAACCACAAGAAGTGGTGTGTGCCAGAATCCCAAATTCTGGCATGTGGGTGACAAGTTTCCGACATGATAAATCCCCGGCTTCCGACATGATAAATCCCAGGCTGTTTACATGACCTAAGTAATGTGTACTTGGGACTACGGGAAATGTTAACTGTGGCTGTTGAGAGAGAGAGAGATTTTCACGAAGGACAGTGCTAGGTTTACCTCTCGAAGTCTGTTTTCAGTGGTTTTTAGCTTGTGCCAATGGATGACAAATCTATACAGAAACCTGGGTATAGCCATTTGAAAATGTGAATAACGTTTTTTTTCATTCCAGGTTTGGTGCACCTCGATTTGGAGGAAGTAGGGCAGGGCCCTTATCTGGAAAGAAGTTTGGAAACCCTGGGGAGAAATTAGTTAAAAAGAAGTGGAATCTTGATGAGCTGCCTAAATTTGAGAAGAATTTTTATCAAGAGCACCCTGATTTGGCTAGGCGCACAGCAGTGAGTAAATTCATGTGGCTTCATCAGGCTGTAACTCGATCGTGGATTCTAGTAAATGAAATTCTGACAGGTGTTTTGCAAATAACTCAATTTTGGTAGAGTTACATGTTCTGACTTCATAATTGGGAAAGGTGTGACTCACTTTTGGATATAGGTGGCTTTGGGATTTTTACTTAAATTAGGTTGAGTATAACAATAAATTTTTTTTTTCATAATAGGGTGTTCATAGGTGGGTCCAGATTAAAATGAAGGCTACTTTAAACTAGTTACTAAATTATGAAGTTAGGGGCTTATCAATTACGTATTTAGCTAGGGGTGGTTGTCATGAATTTTAAGACTGTTATAATTTGTTTTGCAGCAAGAGGTGGAAACATACAGAAGAAGCAAGGAAATTACAGTTAGAGGTCACAACTGCCCGAAGCCAGTTCTAAATTTTTATGAAGCCAATTTCCCTGGTAAGTGCTACTTTTCAGTTCTACCTACCCGTGTTTTTGTTTCCACCTACCCCCTCTTTTTCTTGGCATCACTAATTTTTACTAAATATCTGTTACTAATTATAGCAAATGTCATGGATGTTATTGCAAGACAGAATTTCACTGAACCCACTGCTATTCAAGCTCAGGGATGGCCAGTTGCTCTAAGTGGATTGGATATGGTTGGAGTGGCACAGACTGGATCTGGGAAAACATTGTCTGTAAGTTTGGGAGAACTCTTGAGTTGATCTGATATATGCAAGAAAATGTAATGGTAATTTAAAAACGAGTATTTTAATGTGATTTCTGTTTGTCCCCACTTTCACCCTAAATAGTATTTGCTTCCTGCCATTGTCCACATCAATCATCAGCCATTCCTAGAGAGAGGCGATGGGCCTATTGTAAGTATATATTTTTAACTTTTTATTAGAAGCATAATGTGTAGATTTTAGACTACATAGCTAAAGATGTAATCATTTGTGGTGGTTTTATATAGAGGTTAGCTCACCCTATTCAGCTGGAGCTGTTTTGGGTATTGGACAACACATGAAGAAAGGATCTGCTAGTATAATAAGTTAGCAGTTTAAAACTAGTATCCAGGTTTGTGCTGAAAGCTGTTTCTCTTTCCTTAGTGTTTGGTGCTGGCACCAACTCGGGAACTGGCCCAACAGGTGCAGCAAGTAGCTGCTGAATATTGTAGAGCATGTCGCTTGAAGTCTACTTGTATCTACGGTGGTGCTCCTAAGGGACCACAAATACGTGATTTGGAGAGAGGTATGTAATGAAAAGGGTTTTATTTGTCATTGGTGCTAAATATCCTAGGTATTGTAGTTACACTTACGTATTTAATTAAAGGTGTGGAAATCTGTATTGCAACACCTGGAAGACTGATTGACTTTTTAGAGTGTGGAAAAACCAATCTGAGAAGAACAACCTACCTTGTCCTTGATGAAGCAGATAGAATGCTTGATATGGGCTTTGAACCCCAAATAAGGAAGATTGTGGATCAAATAAGAGTAAGTGTCCTTTGAAATATGTGATCAAACTGAATTGTGTTTTCACTCTTAAGAGTCTGATACTAATTTTTCCCCCCAAAATCCATTAGCCTGATAGGCAAACTCTAATGTGGAGTGCGACTTGGCCAAAAGAAGTAAGACAGCTTGCTGAAGATTTCCTGAAAGACTATATTCATATAAACATTGGTGCACTTGAACTGAGTGCAAACCACAACATTCTTCAGATTGTGGATGTGTGTCATGACGTAGAAAAGGATGAAAAGTAAGTTTTATTAACTCTGTTATATTTGCTTCCTAACAACTTTGCTGTAAAATTGAGGGATCATTGTTTGGTGAGTTGTTTTAGGTTATTTCAGTTGGTGTGATTTCATTTAGTTAGCCTACTAATCCTGAAAATTTCTTGAATCCTTCAAATAATGGCTGTCACCATTTATAGCTTTCCTATAGAAGGAATTCATGTGTCCCCTGGTTGACTTAAGGACCAAGGGTCGAACTGCTCGATAAGTGGATTAGCAGGCGTTTCCTCTTTGACTTCCAGCCATGTAAATTGAACTTAATGTTTTGCTGACCATAAATGTGTGGCCCTAGCAATGGTCTTTTAAAACTCAGGATTTTTCCTTTCTCTCTCCTATTATTAGACTTATTCGTCTAATGGAAGAGATCATGAGTGAGAAGGAGAATAAAACCATTGTTTTTGTGGAAACCAAAAGAAGATGTGATGAGCTTACCAGAAAAATGAGGAGAGATGGGTATGTGTGAGCTCCTCCATTGAAGCAGATTGATTAAAACAGCTTAGGAAAGGGCAAACTTGGATCACGAGCAGTGGATTTTTTTCATATCTGATAGTGAATTTAACTTTTTCATTTCTGGCGAAATTAAAGAGATCTGTGACCAAAAGTGGTCAAGCACTGGAGTCTGAGGTTTTCAATGTGAGTTTAATAACACAACTTGTCTTTTAACTTAGGTGGCCTGCCATGGGTATCCATGGTGACAAGAGTCAACAAGAGCGTGACTGGGTTCTAAATGGTAAATATTTCAAATGAAGTATTTTTCCCCCTTACTTAACCTAGCTAGAATTCTGCTCAGATAATTGATCATGTATATGCCTTCCTTTGTAGAATTCAAACATGGAAAAGCTCCTATTCTGATTGCTACAGATGTGGCCTCCAGAGGGCTAGGTTAGTACAAACTCGCATTCATGGCTTGGTTTCCCAGAAGATCTCCATTTAACTTTTTTAAAGAAAGTTTATTGCTTTCTTTAACCTGCATTTTTTCTAAGTTTTTTTTCACATAAAGGTGCTGTCTTTGTGGCAAGGCCTAGGCATGACAATCGGAGGACTCGAGGGGGATGGAGGACTAGTGATCGGCTGGCTGCTTCCAGTCGATTAGAGAGGTGAAAAAGCTGAACGTGTGCCAGTAATCTTCAAAAGGCAGAACATATCACCTCTGCCCCGTAAACTGTTCTCTCCGAGGGAAAAAATGGAAGTTATCCTCACAGTTCACTGCCGTGGTATTTCTTCTGTCCCATGCTTTGCATGACTGCCATGGTACAGCCTTGTTTCAAACTGTTCACTGTGATCTGTGGGTCTTTGAGTTTCAGTGAGTTTGCTGAAATGTCGAAGAAGTAGTTCCAAACTTCAATGTTCAATGAAATTTTTGTTCAAGTTTGAAATGGAGAGAGCAGCTTTAAAAGGTACTAAGCCTTTTACAAATTGGTGAGTACTGGCACATGAGATCTAGAGCAGGAGCAACTTCTCACACATAGTAAGTGGGAAAAGAAAGTGCTTTGAAAGTTCCTCCCTCACCTACACAGTAGTCGTCATGTCGAGACCTGCCAGAGAGAGACACATTCTCAAGTGAATCCTGGCTTCTTGGAAGCGCTTGCCTAGACGAGACACAGTGCATAAAAACAACTTTTGGGGGACAGGTATGTTTTCTTGCAGCTGCGGTTGTAAGGTCTTGGCAAGACAAGCAGTGTGGCCAGAATTTTGAACTTCTGATGAATGTGTAATGCAAAGGACCTTGTACATTTTTTTGTTTCAAGGTCCTCAAAATGAGCACATGAAGAGGTTGCTGTGAAACTTTAAGTGGCCCTACTGCGCAGAAGCATTCAGATGTCACTTGATGATCTGTAAGGGAACTTGCTGATTTGGGAATGTGCTTAGGGAACACACATTCCTTTTGACAGGGTCTGTCACTGGGTGGGTGATGAATTATACAGATGACATGTGCTTTTTTTTCTTTTTTCAACCTCAATGGTATTCCTACAGGAAATGGATAACCATTTTAACTGTATTTTTTGCAGCCCGTACCTTCTTGGGAATACAATTGTCTAACTTTTTATTTTTGGTCTGGCTGTTGTGGTGTGCAAAACTCCGTACATTGCTATTTTGCCACACTGCAACACCTTACAGATGTGGAAGATGTGAAATTTGTCATCAATTATGACTACCCTAACTCCTCAGAGGATTATATTCATCGAATTGGAAGAACTGCTCGCAGTACCAAAACAGGCACAGCATACACTTTCTTTACACCTAATAACATAAAGCAAGTGAGCGACCTTATCTCTGTGCTTCGTGAAGCTAATCAAGCAATTAATCCCAAGTTGCTTCAGTTGGTCGAAGACAGAGGTTCAGGTAAGGATGACTGATAGGAAATGTTGGTAGTTACGAGTCACATCGTTGTCTACAAATCCATTTAAATGGTATTGGAGGGTGAGTAAAACCTTGAATGTGAAAACTTAAGCTGAAAAATTGTAAAAACATTTCACGCCTACCATGAATAGATCTGTTTCTTTCTGTCCACAATGATTTGTGTCATAGACATAATTGATCAATTTGCAATTGTTTTCTTGACAGGTCGTTCCAGGGGTAGAGGAGGCATGAAGGATGACCGTCGGGACAGATACTCTGCGGGCAAAAGGGGTGGATTTAATACCTTTAGAGACAGGGAAAATTATGACAGAGGTTACTCTAGCCTGCTTAAAAGAGATTTTGGGGCAAAAACTCAGAATGGTGTTTACAGTGCTGCAAATTACACCAATGGGAGCTTTGGAAGTAATTTTGTGTCTGCTGGTATACAGACCAGTTTTAGGACTGGTAATCCAACAGGGACTTACCAGAATGGTTATGATAGCACTCAGCAATACGGAAGTAATGTTCCAAATATGCACAATGGTATGAACCAACAGGCATATGCATATCCTGCTACTGCAGCTGCACCTATGATTGGTTATCCAATGCCAACAGGATATTCCCAATAAGACTTTAGAAGTATATGTAAATGTCTGTTTTTCATAATTGCTCTTTATATTGTGTGTTATCTGACAAGATAGTTATTTAAGAAACATGGGAATTGCAGAAATGACTGCAGTGCAGCAGTAATTATGGTGCACTTTTTCGCTATTTAAGTTGGATATTTCTCTACATTCCTGAAACAATTTTTAGGTTTTTTTTGTACTAGAAAATGCAGGCAGTGTTTTCACAAAAGTAAATGTACAGTGATTTGAAATACAATAAATGAAGGCAATGCATGGCCTTCCAATAAAAAATATTTGAAGACTGAATTAAGTGGAAATTGTACTTTATTTTATATAATGTCATGTAAAACTTTGCTTAAGATGGTCTGGTTTTTTTTTTGTTTTTGTTTGGTTTTTTTTTTCCATGAAAACAAATGACTGTTCCTTTTTATTTAATTTGGGAGGCAGGGGGAA
The DNA here is from genome assembly GCF_000001405.40 of Homo sapiens. Taxonomy (NCBI): domain Eukaryota; kingdom Metazoa; phylum Chordata; class Mammalia; order Primates; family Hominidae; genus Homo; species Homo sapiens. The sequence goes on along the minus strand of NC_000017.11, from coordinate 64,499,472 downwards.
TCAGAAGGCCCTTCTTTATAATGAGCTATTCATATTGCAGGAGTCAGAATGAATTGATACAGGTGAATTTTTAGTTACAGGCTAAATTGCATAAAAGCTTTGTCAGCTTCCAGCATCAGGGGAGTCATTTAATAGCCTTTTTCCTTATTTGCTAGTATGGTTAAATGAGAAAATAGTAAAATAGATACAAAGTCATCTATATAGTGTGAGAACGTGGGTGACTTTTTCAAAGTTTATAATTTAAAAAGCTCCAAATAACTGGCTTTTTCAAGAGACTTATACTCATGCTCTTGGCTATACTGTGAATTACTGAAATGTTGAACAAACCTGTGAAAGACATACATTAGCCCTTTAAGATGGCCAGGAGCTAAGCTTGAGTCTCCTTTACTGAATTTCGTTCTTAGTGCAGGTTACTTGTAGATTCTAGTCTTCACAGGCTCCCTGGGGCTCTTAACTAGTCACACTGGGAGTCATGAATGTCTTTCCAATAATTCAGGGAATTCTAGAGATCCTCAAACTGTAAGGTCTATTCATACTCAACACAAGGAAAAAACCTCATTAAAATTAATGACTAATCAGGAGGCAACGTAACCAAAAGCACAGTGAATGAAAGTTTTCATGGTAGGTTCAACATGGGTTTATTGCTAGAAAGATCCAGGGGATAGCTTTAGGTTTAACTTCGGCTCACCAACGTAACTTTCTAATCATTTATTTCAGTAATAGCTAGAAGTGGGTCTGAATGTTTTCCCAGAGTCTGATACGTGTTTTTTTTTGCCAGAAGAGAGGTCTTCAGGAGACTTCATTTAAATTCTGATTATTAAACTGAGGCTTTAATTGATGTTAATGCCTTATGTCAAATGTAAAGTTAGAATTTGCTAGGGCTGGGATAGGGAGTGATATTTCTAGGACTTAGACATTGAAAACTAATTCAGCCTGTAGTAACCTGGATGGTTTTCAATGGCATGGTTAGTCAAATTCATGGTTTTAAACTTAGAAGCAGCTTTCGGGGGAGAGGGTAGGTTGGAGCATTTATTACATATTTTACTGTTTAATGTCTTAACCGTGGGCCTTTTAATTTGTAAACACTGAAATGATTGTTGGGCTGTGGAAAACATTTACCTATTTACCTTGGAAGTTTTAAAAGACAGTCCACTTTTTAGCATGTGTGTTGTGTCCAGCCTGTGGTCGTCTTAACTAATAAATGTGATTTTTCTCCCCATTCTCTCTTTTTATTTATTTGCGTATAGGCCTTTTACCTGGTGTGAGTTCCTGAATGTGGAAAACACCTGGCAGTAGTACCCAGCTTTGCAGTTAATTACTATCTAGCTGGCCTTTTTTTAAACCCTTGTATACACTTGTAAAGAAGAACTATTTCCTGAACCTGGTACAGCACTTTACTAATGATAAAACTTTACTCCTGAATTACATTAACTCAATTGCTAAGCTGTTACCCCTCTTAATCAGGTAGTAGTTTGGTAGTCTCACAGTGAAATGTAGATTGTTCCTTTTTCCCTGAACCTCTTTAAAGGTTTTCGTAACTGAGGCTGGTATAAGAAATCATGGACTTTGGAATCAAACTTCCTCAGTCTGGGTATACCACTTTTCCACTTTCTGGGTAGGTCTTAAGGTCTCGACCTATTTAAATAGAAACTGCAAAATCAGAAACCTGCAATTTAATCATGAGTCTCTTAATAATAACAGTCACAAGTCTCATTGTTTTGATGAACCCATAGAAGGGGCCCCTGGAAGAAATTGCACGTACGTGGTTTTCTCTGACACCAGGAGGGTTTAAGACATGTCAGGGCCCCTTGGTTTATTTCTAGTGCATTCCCAGGTGAGGCAGATGCTGCTGGCTGGGGACTGCCCTTTGGAAGCCACTGCAATATTTAAAGTGACCATACCACTACCCTAGTCACGAAGCCTATCGCCCCCCTCCCCGGAAGCTTAAGCGTCAAGACAACGGCTCTGGGGTTAGGCCTAGGCCACCTGGCGGCAGCATTTGCCTAGTTAAGAAGGCCTGGGCTTACAAATCACCGTAAAGGACTAAAACTGTTTAAAGGGAAACCAAATGCCAAATTTAGTCCAAGTGCTTGATTGAGGTGTATATAGAAGGTGATTTGGATAATACTGAAGTATTTTAATTTTCTGGACTGCAAAACAGTGGCAGAAGGAAGTGACTCAAGTGGCTACACCACGGTTATAAATAGGTGGGAATAACCTTTACTGGTGCTTACGAGGAAAGAAAAAAGTCAATCTGAAGGGAGGGGCGCGACGCGAACGGCAAGCTAGCAGAGAACCATCCGAGCCGGCGTCCGCCATGGTGGGCGGGGGACGGCTGCGGCCGGAACGCAGACATGCGCTTCCGGGGTGGGGCCTGCCGCCCGCAAGCACGCTCACCTCCGTTGCGCCTGCGCCGTGGCCTCTCCGGATTCTGTTAACGGTAGTGGTGGCTTGTTGGGATCCGTTGAGTGATGGGAGAGTGTGCTCTTTAACTTCGGAGAGAGATGCGCTCTCGTGTAGCCGTCAGGGCCTGCCATAAGGTCTGCAGGTGCCTGTTGTCTGGGTTTGGGGGTCGAGTAGATGCGGGGCAGCCGGAGCTGTTGACGGAAAGGAGTAGCCCCAAAGGAGGGCATGTGAAGTCGCACGCGGAGCTCGAGGGGAACGGCGAGCACCCAGAAGCCCCCGGGTCTGGAGAGGGAAGCGAGGCGCTGTTAGAGATCTGTCAGAGAAGGCATTTCCTAAGTGGAAGCAAGCAGCAGCTTAGCCGGGATTCTCTTCTGAGTGGGTGCCACCCCGGCTTCGGACCCTTGGGCGTAGAGTTGCGGAAGAACCTGGCCGCAGAATGGTGGACCTCGGTGGTGGTGTTCAGGGAGCAGGTATTCCCGGTGGACGCCCTCCACCACAAACCAGGCCCTTTGCTACCCGGGGACAGTGCCTTCAGGTTAGTTTCTGCAGAAACTCTACGCGAAATCTTGCAAGACAAAGAGCTGAGTAAGGAACAGCTAGTAGCATTTCTTGAGAACGTATTAAAAACTTCTGGGAAACTACGGGAGAACCTTCTTCACGGTATGCTTCACGATTTCATGCTTCAAAACAGGTGTCGGGTGGAAAGGCGAGGCAGTCTTGCTGGATCTTGGGGATTGCAACTGGCCCTGTATTCCCATGCAAGGAAGTTAGTTAGTTCTCATCTTTTTGAAGTAGTCGGATATATTAACAGTGCTCTACCCTGGAGAAAACTGGTCCATGGAATCATTGCTGTTCCTTAAACAATCTGTCCGAAGGACCTGGGAACGCTCTCAATTTCACGGGGCAACTTCTGAACACAGTGCTGTCATTTAGTGCAATGTAGTCTAAGTGCATAAGGAACTACACAGACATTTTGAACTTTTCTTAGATTTATTCTAAGTAAAAATGTTGAAATTATAATTCTGAAACTATTTCATGTATATCATAGGATAAATCAAGGCCAGGCGCAGTGGCTCACGCCTGTAATCCCAGCATTTTGCAAGGCAGAGGCGGGTGGATCACCTGAGGTCAGGAGTTCGAGACTAGCCTGGCCAACATGGTGAAACCCCGTCTCTACTAAAAAGACAAAAATTAGCCGGCCGTGACGGCGAGCGCCTGTAATCCCAGCTACTTGGGAGGCTGAGGCAGGAGAATCGCTTGAACCCAGGAGGCAGAGGTTGCAGTGAGCCGAGATCACGCCACTGCACTCCAGCTTGGGTGACAAGAGCAAAACTCCGTCTTAAAAAAAAAAAATTCAAATAGTTGGGTTAGTTGTTATTAGGAACCAAGATATTCATTGTAAAAGAAGAGATAATATGTAAAAGAAGGTACGTATAAACTAATGTTAAATATGGATTGGTAAATTAAATATGAATTGGTAAATTAAAATTGAATATGGGTCTCACTCTGTCACCCAGACTCGAGTGCAGTGGTGTGATCATGGCTCACTGCAGCCTCGACCTCGGGCTCAAGTGAACCTCCCACCTCAGCCTCCCAAGTAGCTGGACTACAGGCACATGCCACCACACCCAGCTAATTTTTGTGTTTTTTGTAGAGATGAGGTTTTGCCATGTTGTCCAGGCTGGTCTTGAACTCCTGAGCTTAAGCAATCCGCCCATCTTGGCCCCCCAAAGTGCTGGGATTACAGGTGTGAGCCACAGTGCCCAGCCTCATGATTTTTAAAAATATATTTCCTAACTTTCTTCGTTTAAAGTTCCTAGAAGCAATGACCCTCAGTAGCAATGAGCACACCTAGTGCCCAGATCCTGGTTCCTTTTTTTTTTTTTTTTGAGACAGAGTCTCGCTCTGCCGCCCAGGCTGGAGTGCAGTGGCACAATCTCGGCTCACTGCAAGCTCCATCTCCCAGGTTCACGCCATTCTCCTGCCTCAGCCTCCCGAGTAGCTGGGACTAGACTACAGGCACTTGCCACCACGCCTGGCTAATTTTTTGTATTTTTAGTAGAGACGGGGTTTCACCTTGTTAGCCAGGATGGTCTCTATCTCCTGACCTTGTGATCCGCCCGCCTCGGCCTCCCAAAGTGCTGGGATTACAGGCGTGAGCCACTGCGCCCGGCCTCCAGATCTTGGTTTCTAAGATGAACCAGTACTGGGAGAAATGGCTGATTCCGGGTCTGGGGTTAGGGAAAGTACAAGGTGAGTTTGAAACACTTTATGGTGCTAAAAAGCAAAGAATTGCTTGAAGACTAATGGGTCATATAAAAAGGTCACAGATGCTGGCTTGAGGAGGGTTGTCACTGGCCACATCTAGGACAAATTGAACATTAAGATACATATTAATGGTAATGGATCATAACACATTGACTAAAATCTAAGAGTCAATAGTATTAATCAAAAACAAATAATTGACCCTAGAGGTCGGGGGCGGGGGGAAGAGGTAGAGAAAGCTTATGTTTTTACAGAAGCTATGGAATAAATGTAGAAGGAAAGATACATTAGAAAATTCACCATTTCATGATATTGCAAACCCCGATATCATTGATTCAAGCAACAGTCATCAATGGATTCTAAAATACTGGGTGAAATACTGTTGGGGAGCAGGATATTATTGGGGAGTGGATATTTACTACCTTAACCAAGTAATCAAATTTGGTGTCTTCAGTAGTGGAATAATTTGATAACATGTTCCTCATGTTATGATGCAATAAGATACACACATCTACTATGTAGTATTTTGCTAAAAATGATTAGCCGAAATTAAATCATAAGGAAACAATCAGACAAATCCCAAATGTGAGACAATCTATGACTAACCTGGACTCACATCAAAAGTCAGTGTCATTAATAGCAAAATTAAGGGGGAAAGGAGGCAAGGGAAATGTTCTAGATTCAAATGGATGAAAGAAACCTACTCAGAATGCAGTACATGAATCTTAACTGGAAAGAGAACAGTAAAAGATATTTGGGGTGAAAATTGGAACAACTAAAATATCACCATATGTTAGATTATATTGTGGTATTATGGTTAACTTTTTATGGTGTTATAATGGTATATAGGAAATATTTTTATTTTTAGAAGATGTATGCGGCAGTATTTGGGAGTGAACAAGAAAAAAATGTGGCAAAATGTTGATAATTGATGAATCTAGGTAAAGGGTATACAAGTGTTCATTGTATATGGATGTTTATTATTTTTTCAACTTTCTTATAGATTTGAAAATCTTTGTCGGGCGCGGTGGCTCACGCCTGTAATCCCAGCACTTTGGGAGGCCAAGGCAGGCAGATCATGAGGTCAGGAGATCGAGACCAACCTGGCTAACACGGTGAAACCCCGTCTCTACTAAAAATACAGAAAAAATTAGCCGGGCGTGGTGGCGGGCGCCTGTAGTCCCAGCTACTCGGGAGGCTGAGGCAGGAGAATGGCATGAACCCGGGAGGCGGAGGTTGCAATGAGCCGAGACCCTGCCACTGCACTCCAGCCTGGGCGACAGAGCGAGACTCCATCTCAAAAAAAAAAGAAAATCTTCAAACTAAAAACTCAGGGTGAAACTACCTAGAATTAAGTGGTGATCTGTCTTTTTTTGTTTTTTTTTAAGACAGGGTTTCACTCTGTTGCCCAGGCTGGAGCACAGTGGCACCATCCCAGCTCACTGCAACCTTGGCCTCCCAGACTAAAGTGATCCACCTCCCAGCTTTCCAAGTAGCTGGGACTACAAGGCACACACCACCATGCCTGGCTTATTTTTGTATATTTTTAGAGATGGGGTTTTGCTGTGTTGCCCAGTCTGGTCTCAGAACTCCTGAGCTCAAGCAATCTGCCCACCTCGACCTCCCAAAGTGCTGGGATTATAGGCGTGAGCCACCAAGCTTAGCCAACATCTGTCTTTATGCTGTGTTAACGTTATTACTACTATTAATGTGTCTATTGACAAAAATGATTTGGGTTTGTGGACTAGATGTATACAATGATTGATTTATCTTTTGACAGGTGCCTTGGAACACTATGTTAATTGCCTGGATCTGGTAAACAAGAGGCTACCTTATGGCCTTGCTCAGATTGGAGTGTGTTTTCATCCTGTTTTTGACACTAAGCAGATACGAAATGGTGTTAAAAGGTATAAAAAGTGGCAAATAACTTGGCCTTGTATTTAAATAGTCAAAAACCAGTCATTTCCACTTGGGATAAATTATATAATTTTCAGATAAGCTAACTTCCTGATACGTTTTATATCTAAAGTATTGGTGAGAAGACTGAAGCTTCGTTAGTATGGTTTACTCCTCCGAGAACTTCAAACCAGTGGCTTGATTTCTGGTTACGTCATCGACTCCAGTGGTGGAGAAAGGTACTGCAATAATTACCTTTAATTTAATAGTTAATACATAAATTGTCTTAATGTGTCAGTGGTAATTCTTCTGACATACAAGAAATTATATTTGATGTATGTAGCTATTAATATATTATACAAATACAAAAACTCTTTGTAACAATTTTCATTGTTCTAGATTACAAAGTTACTTTGGTAAAAACATTTGTTGGGCTCAGATGTGTTTGTTAATTAGCCTTTCTGTGTAAGGTAAAATTCAAAGCCCTCACCTAGCATTCCTGGCTGATGTAGAGTTTGACCCTTGACCATTGTCACAGCTTCAGCTTTTGCTACCTACCTCCATGAACTTTCCATATTAGTCAAAATGGCTCTGTAATTGATGATCAAGTTTTAGTACTCACTGAAAAAAAAAGAGTTGAAGTAAGCATTTTTGTCTTGCCATGTGTTATGTTACCATTTCCCGACTCAAACATCCCCAAATACCCATTTAAACTGTATGAAATAATCACGAGTCATCAAGAACTTCGCAGAAGGGTAAGAATGAGGACTATGTGATACTTTCTTCTTTATCCCACTTTAGTCATGGTTAACTTCCCCTCTTCATTGGCCATAAAAGTCTGGATAACATCAACAGTTTTTTCTCTGTAGTTCTTTCCTACTAAAAAACAATATGTTAAGCAATATACTCAGTATTTTCACTTTTTATTTTATTTTATTTTTGTTGTCTGTTTTTGGTTTTTTTTTTGTTTTTTTTTTTTCACAAGTACCAGTCATCTTTTATTTGGAGGTTAATTCCCATTAGGATATGAAAGGATTCAGCAACAATCGAGATTGTGTTGCTTATGGAGGGGTTGCAGCCAAGAAGGTTGCTGGGGGAGTGCAGAGCATGTCTTCTTCAGTGGTACTTGCATAGCCGCTCGTGCTTGAGCTCCTTGTAGGAAAGGCAGTAGATGAAGAGCATGTACCCTGCCAGCACCATGGTAAACCCCGAGATGCTCCCCTTCTTCACGTTGATGTACTTGTTGTAGTACCAGTAGTAACCTCTTTGAAACGCTCCATCAAGGCCACTAGGGCTGAAGTCCCACATCAAGATCCAGCTTGGCAGCTCCCCTAGTTTGACCTCCAGAAGTTTCTTGTCCTTCACTGGTACAACTGACTCCATCTTGGTTTTTTTAGAGACATAGTCTCACTCTTTTGCCCGGGCTGGACTGCCGTTGCACAATCACAGCTCACTGCAACTTCTTTTATTATTTGTAGAGATGAAGTCTTGCTCTGTTACCCAGGCTGGTCTCGAAGTCCTAAGCTCAAGTGATCCCCCTGCCTCAGCCTCCCAAAGAGCTGGCATAACAGGCGTGAGCCACTGTGCCTGGCCAGTATTTTCACTTTTTAAAAATTAAATTTCAGCAACCTGTGGTCCCAGCTACTCTGAATCCTGAGGCAGGAGGATTGCTTGAGGCCAGCAGTAGGAGGCAGCAGTGAGCTATGATTGTACCTGTGACTAGCCACTGCACTCTAACCTGGGCAACAGAATGAGACACATCTCAAAAAAAAATGTAAATTAGAATAAACTTTAAAATTTGTATTCGGGACTTGACTAGTTTCGCACATTTGCTGAATAAAAAGTATCGGACAATTTAAATTCTTACAGATAATTATGGGAGTTAAATTAGTGTTTATTTAAATATGTTAAGACAAACTTAAATTTTCTTTTCCAGTTTGCCATGAGTCCATCTAACTTCAGCAGCAGTGACTGTCAGGATGAAGAAGGCCGGAAAGGAAACAAACTTTACTACAATTTTCCCTGGGGAAAGGAGTTAATAGAAACCCTGTGGAACCTAGGAGATCACGAACTTTTACACATGTATCCTGGCAATGTGTCTAAATTACATGTATGTTTTACCTGGAGCTCCTATGTATTTTTTACCCAGATTCTCTATAATCATTTCCGAACCATTTGAGAATAAGGTGCAAACGTGGTGTCTTAACACTTCATTGTGTATTTTTCAGATGCAGAGACACTCACCTACATAACTACAATCCAGTCATCAAAATCAGGAAATTAACAGTAATCCACTATTGCCACAGAGCCCTACAAATTGAACTGATTATCTCAATAATGGCATTTATAGGTCCAAGATCTTGTCTTTCATGTAGTTGTCATATGCCTTTACACTCCTTCAAATGAACAATTCCTCTTGTCTTGCGTGACCTTGACATTTTTGAAGAGTACAGTCTAGTTAATCTGTAGAATATGCCTTGGCTGGGATCTGTCTGCTGTTTCCACGTGATTTATGTATTTTTGTCGGGAGTACTACAGAAGTGGTAGTACTGAGAAGCTCTCTTCTCAGTGTGTCATATGAGGAGTGTTACTGGTGATGTTAACTTTTATCATTTAGTTAAGATGGTTTCTACTAGATTTCTCCAGTGTAAAGCTAATAAATAGTTTGTATTTATTAATTAACGGCCAGGCGCAGTGGCTCACGCCTGTAATCCCAGCACTTTGTGAGGCCGAAGTGGGAGGATCATGAGGTCAAGAGATTGAGACCATCCTGGCCAATGTGGTGAAACCCCATCTCTACTAAAAATACAAAAATTAGCTGGATGTGGTGGCTTGCCCTTATAGTCTCAGCTACTTGGGAGGCTGAGGCAGGAGAATCGCTTGAACCCGGGAGGTGGAGGTTGCGATGAGCCAAGATCGTGCCACTGCACTGCAGCCTGGCGACAGAACGAGACTCTGTCTCAAAAAAAAAAAACAAAAAAATTAACTAGTAATTAATAAGTGTTGTGGGCAGATACTTTAAGATGATGCAGACAATTTCTTTGTCACCAAATTTTGCCTTACTGGTTGCAGCATCCATTGATGATTCTTGCCCAGATCAGTTACTAATGTGAGGTTTGCCAAATGGTGATTTTTTTTTTTCTTTATTTGAGACAGGATCTCACTCTATCACTCAGGCTGAAACACAGTGGTATGGTGATAGCTCACTGCAACCTCAAACTCTTGAGCTCAAGCAATCCTGCCTCAGCCTCCCAAGTAGCTAGGACTACAAGCATGTATCACCATGCCCGACTGATGGTTTAATATTTGTAGAGACGGGGTCTAGCTTTGTTGCCCGGGCTGGTCTCGAACTCCTGGGATGAAACAATCCCCCTGCCTCAGCCTCCCAAAATGCTTGGATTATAAGAATGAGTCACCATGTTTGGCCATGTCACCAAATTTTGCCTTACTGGTTGCAGCATCCCTTGATGATTCTTGCTCAAATCAGTTACTACGATGAGGTTTGCCAATGGTGTTTTTTTCCCCTTCCCTTTTTTTTTTTTTTAAAAAAAAACAAATTCCATCATTCCTTCTAGATTTACTGGTCAGCAATATACTGTAGAGCTTTTCCTTCTCCTCCATTTTTTTTTTAAATTGGTATTTCACAGATTACTTTCTCAGGGGGTTACAGTGTGTTACTGTCATTATTTATTTTGATGGTCAAATTGTCCTAGACTTGGCCAGTGTCCTTTTGACATATTTCCATCATTGTCTTGACGAGCACTTCCTTACCTTTTGTAGCAATATATTGTTCCAGGATCATCAGTGAGCCAAGACTGTGCTGCTGCACTCCAGCCTGTGCAACAGGATGAGACCATGTCTCAAAAAAAAAAAAAAAGAAAAAGAAAAAATATATAGCAAAAACATAGGAGTTTATATATAATGAGTAGAAAGTAGATTAATTTTTATTTTTTTATTTTTTGAGACAGCATCTCACTCTGTTGCCCAGGCTGGAGTGCAGTGTCGCGATTCCCAGGTTCAAGCAGTTCTTCTGCCTCAGCCTCCTGAGTAGCTAGGACTATAGGTGTGCGCCACCACGCCCGGTTAATTTTTGTATTTTTAGTAGAGACAGGGTTTCACCATATTGACCAGGCTGGAATTTTTAAATATGAATAACTAATGAAAAACTAGAAGGCTTATTAACTGGTGAACATTTTCCTTTAACTCCACCACCATCACACTTCATTTTGGGGTACTCAGCTCTCAAATGAAACTTATTGGTTATTATCATAGTTAACGAACAGCTCAACCTTGTGACTAGGGATTTAAAGATGATTTTTGTATTGTGGCTATTAGTGTCTTATTTTGTTCTTTTTTTTCTTTTGTATGAAGAATGGGGTCTCGCTATGTTGCCCAGTCTGGTCTTGAATTCCTGGGCTCAAGCTGTTCTCCTGCCTCTGCCTTTCTGAGTGCTAAGATTACAGGTGTGAACTACCATGCCCAGATTATTTTGTTCTTTTATTGGTATCATTTTCACTAATGAAGAGTTTTCCTATTGCAGAAATTTTTCTCTTCCATGACATTGTTCCTTTTCTGTTTCCAGAGTTCACAAAATTATTTATCATTAGTTGAACATGTTATAAAATATTAAGTAGAATTTCTGTCATTTAGTATGCTTTCTTGAAATGTTTCTGAGGCCATTTCTTTCTTTTTTTAAAATTATTTAATAGAGATGGGGTCTCGCTGTGTTGCTCAGGCTGGTCTTGAACTCCTGGGCTCAAGCAATCCTCCTGCCTTAGCCTCCCAAAGTGCTGGGATTATAGGCGTAAACCACTGCACCCAGCCTCTTAGGCCATTTTGTATCTGTTTTTAGTTGATTTTATGGTTAATGTCCAAATATATTTTTTAGAGAACAGTGAAGCAGACCAATAAAGGCTGAAGAACAGTTAGGATAGAAAAGAATTTATTCTGGATAGTGTGAGAAATCAGATATTGTTGGAAGAGTTGCCACCAGATATCCTGACATTGTTGGATATCCAATTTTCAAAAAATTAGAAAACAATAAACAATCTTTTTTGTTTGTTTTAAATAGGGATGGGATCTTGCCATGTTGCCCAGGCTAGTCTCAAACTCCTGGGCTCAAGTGATCCTCCTGCCCTGGCCTCCCAAAGTGCTAGGATTACAGGAGTGAGTCACTGTGCCCAGCCTAAAGCATTCTTCATAAAGATTCAGATTTAGATTTTGTTTGATTCAAAGCGCACCACAGAATCTTTCAGTACTTGAGTTTGTCTTTTTTTTTTTTTTTTTTTTTTTGAGATGGTGTCTCACTCTGTCACCCAGGCTGGAGTATAGTGGCACAATGTCTGCTCACTGCAGCCTCCACCTCCTGGGTTCAAGTGATTCTCATGCCTCAGCCTGCTGAGTAGCTGGGATTACAAGCATGCACCACCATGCCCAGCTAATTTTTGTCTTTTTAGTAGAGGTGGGGTTTTACCATGTTGGCCAGGCTGGTCTCGAACTCCTGAACTCAAGTGATTCGTCCACCATGGCCTCCCGATGTGCTGGGATTACAGGCATGAGCCACTGCTCCCAGCCCAGTTTATCTTATTAACTATCAGTTCGACGATAACTGTGTGAAATACAACTGGTAGAATAGAGTCCCAGGTATCAGAAAGTTTACTGCCTTTGAGGGCAAATTCTTGTGAATCTTTAAAGTATCATATGCAATTCAAATAGGTTTAAAATGTCAGTACATATATGTATTAATGAAGACTGTGGTTGATCATGAATAATTAACAGAAGCTGAGGATTTAAATTTGTGGGGTTTTCTCTCTTTTTTTTTTGTTCTGTGACTCTAGCTAAAGGTGGTTATTTAAGTATTTTTAAAAATTACATGAATATCCAGGTGAACAATGATTTACAAAAAAAGAAAGATGAAAGTGGAACTGTTTTTATCCAAAACTTAAGAAATTTCTAGGATTGAAATTTTTAAGAAGTTTGAAATGATTCCTCTTCAGTTTAGAGAAGAAGTAAGTCTGTTTATCAATACTTAATTCATATCATGTACTATGTGTAGTTTGTTTTCATAATTATGGCTTTAATGCAAAAAGTAAGTTTTTGAAAGATTTCTTTTTTATGAAAATAACTTTACGTTTCAGAAAATTATACTCCAAACCCCTTTCCCTAAAGCACACCATTTTTTTCCCTAAGGCCTCTTTTGAATAATCAGCAAACAATTTTTACTTAAAAGTGTTACCTTTCGAGGTAGGGCGCAGTGGCTCACGCCTGTAATCCCAGCACTTTGGGAGGCTGAGGTGGGCTGATCACCTGAGGTGAGGAGTTTGAGAACAACCTGGCCAACATGGTGAAACCCCGTCCCTACTAAAAATAGAAAAAAATTAGCCAGACATGGTGGTGTGTGCCTGTAGTCCTAGCTACTCAGGAGACTGAGGCAAGAGAATCACTTGAACCCGGGTGGCAGAGGTTGGCAATGAGGTGAGATCATGCCATTGCACTCCAGCCTGGGTGACAGAGCGAGACTCTGTCTGTATTAAAAAAAAAAAAAGTGTTACCTTTCTGAATACTAACTCTGAGCTCGGAAGCATTAAAGAAATAGTCTGTAGGGCTATTGAAAAAATTGATGCCTAAGTCCCTCTCCAGTTGAGTTCGTTCAGAATCTCTGGGATAGAGCCCAACCAAGCACCATAGTTTTAAAATTCACATTTGGGCCTCGCTGATGAAACACTGAGCTCAGTGAGAGCAGAGAATGCATCTTTATCGTCTTCGTGGGCCCAGTGCCTACCACAGGCCTGGTACAGAGTGGGTGCTTTGTAAAATGAAACTTTACTTTTGTATTCTGATTGTGTAAGTCTAAAATATGTACTCAGGAGGCTGAGGCAGGAGAATCACTTGAACCTGGGAGGCAGAGGTTGCAGGGAGCTGAGATCATGCCACTGCACTCCAGCCTGGCCAGGTGACAGAGTGAGACTCCGTCTCAAAAACAAACAAACAAAAAAAGTTCTGTGAAATGATTATTTTTCTTCTGTTTTTCTGTGAAGGGCCGAGATGGACGAAAAAATGTGGTTCCTTGTGTTCTCTCTGTAAATGGGGACCTAGACCGAGGCATGCTGGCCTACCTCTATGATTCTTTCCAGCTGACAGAGAACTCCTTTACAAGAAAGAAAAATCTTCATAGAAAGGTGCTGTTGATATTTCAGAGATAGACTTGGGAAACTAAAAATATGGGTTTGTTTGTTCTTAATGTTAGTGTGCTCGGTTTCTAACATAAACTCTAAATAATAAATTTAGTGCATGTAGTCTAAGTATTTTTCAGTTTTTTTAGAATCTGGCCACAGGAATAAGAATCAGGTTCTCACAGAATAGAACAAGGCATCCCTAATAAGTAATCCCAAAGGCATTTCTGTTTAATTGTGAACAGACAGCTATCTCTATGACTCCTAGCCCCTGAACCTTTCCACTGTGGGCTTCCATTTGTATCAGAAGCTGAAGCATTGGTACATAGGAGGAAGAAAGACCCGGATCAGGGAGACCTGTGCTATTGACCTCTCTGCCCCAGGTGTCTGGCTTCTGGTCTTGTGCCACATGGCTGGTTCCTGGATCAGAGGAGCTAGATGTGGGCCTGGAAAGGCTGATTTTAGTGCATGAACATGCACTTGGAGCATGTTTATGGGTCAAAGAAAATCGAGAGGAGAAGTTGAAGTTATAGGAGAGAAAAGAAATGATTAATGGGGCAAGATGAAGGAAACCGGAGGGGTCAGGATGGGATCAAGAGCCCAAGTAGAAGAATGTATCTTGAAAAGGAGATATTTGAAACAGCAGGGAAGAAGAAAAAGGATAGTGAGATATAAAAAGGCTACTGGGCTTTTTGGTCTTTGAAGGACATTTTACTGATGCCCTCTATTTTCTCAGGGAGTTAGGAGGCACTATTAGTTTAAATGTGGAAGAGTGGGGGTTTAAATGGCACGAGTGGGGAATAGTCATATACCCTTTGAACATAAAAGGAAGCTGCCCCAAATCAAAAGTTTTAACAAATAATGTTGAGTGTTCAGCTGGGATTGGGAACCATGAGTTTGTAGGAAACCACTCTTCTTAGTTAAGTGATTTATTATACAGTGTTCATTTAGCCTGCTATAACCATAGAGAAGTCTGATTATAGAATTATTCTGGGGAATGGGGTTTATAAATGGTTTGTAGCTAACAAAAAAAGGAATCCTTTCTTTTTCTTACACTCCACTTCCAAACCATCAGCAAATCCTGTTTGACTCTAACTTCAAAACGTATCCTGAGTCTGACCACTTCCTAGCCTGTCTACTGCTACCACCCTGCTATAAGCCACCGCCACTCCTCCTCCCCTGATAGAGTGGCCCTGTTAAAAGGTGCATGTTGTGTTGCTCCTTTGCTCAGAACACTCCAGGAAAGCTTCTCATCTCACTCAGGAAAAACCGAAGCCCTCTTTTTGATCTGCTGTTCTCCACCTCACTCAGTCTGCTCCAGCAGCACTGACCTTGCTATTTCTAGAACATGCTGGAGATGCTGCCAGCTCAGAGCCCTGTCATTTGTATTCCCCATTGCCTAGAGTGCTCTTTCTTCATCATCCATGTCTCGTCCCCCCACCTTCTTTCGAGTGTTTGCTCAAGTGTCACCATAGGGAGAGAACCTTTTCTGACCACCTTAAAGTTGCTGAAAACCTCCCCCAGCCTGCCTCTTGCCAGCATGTTCCATCTTCTTCCTTTTTTAGCACCTACCACCTTCACATATATTATTTACTTATTTTTATTGTCTGTTTCTCCCTGCCACGAGAGACGGAGATTTTTACCCCTAGCACCTGGAACTGTTCCTGGTATCAGAGGCATTAAAATGTTTGTTGGATGGACTAATGAATGAGAAGAGAAGGCTGGGCTGAATGGCTCACGCCTATAATCCCAGCACTTTGGGAAGCCAAGGTGGGTGGATCATTCAGGTCAGGAGTTCGAGACCAGTCTGTCTGGGCAACATGGCAAAACTTCATCTCTACAAAAAAATACTAAAACTAGCTGGGCGTGGTGGCGTGCACCTGTAGTCCCTGCTACTTAGGAGGCTGAAGTGGGAGGATGGCTTGAGCCCAGAGGTGGGGGTTGCAGTGAGGCAGTGAGTGGAGCATTCTAGCCTGGGCAACAGAGCCAGACCCTTTAAAAAAAAAAAAAAAGCAAATTTCATTTAAAAATTTTTTTCATTCAAAAAAATATATATAAAAAGAGAAGAACAGTAGGTTTTGACAAGAGAGAGAAAGTTGAAATGGTAAGCCACGTGGCCCAGGCTGGTAGGGTCCAAAGTGATGCTGAAAGAAGCATTTTGACTGAGGGAGTTGTCAGAAAATGGGAGGGTCTCAAGTTAATTTGTTTTTTTTTTTTTTTGAGACAGGATCTCACTCTGTCGCCCAGACTAGAGTGCAGTGGCACGATCTTGGCTCACTGCAGCCTTGACCTCCCGGGTCAAGCATTCTTCCCACCTCAGCCGCCTGAGTAGCTGGGACTACAGGTATGCGCCATACCTAGCTAATTTTTTTGTATTTTTTTGGTAGAGAGAAGTTTTCACCGTGTTGCCCAGGCTGGTCTCAAACTCCTGAGCTCAAGGAATCCACCTGCCTCAGCCTCCCAAAGTGCTGGAATTATAGGCATGTACCACCATGCCTGGCCAAATTAATTTCTTTCTGCCAAACATCTAAGTGGAGAAATCTGGGGGGCAGCTGAATATGTTACTACATGGTGTTTTTATGACCTCAGCTAACTTCTGTTTTCACACAGAAAATTATAACTGTTAAGAAACTGTTTGTTAATACTTGTGTTATATTTAAACTTGTGTTATATTTAAACAAACTATGCTTTTTCCCCTTTCCTGTCTTCTCCCTCCCCCATTTAATTGCCTTAGGTACTTAAACTTCACCCTTGTTTAGCCCCTATTAAGGTTGCTTTGGATGTAGGAAGAGGCCCCACATTGGAACTAAGACAGGTGAGTTAAATGAGTTTAAATGTCATTTTAATTACAGATTGAGTATTATCCAAAAACGCTTTGGACCAGGACCATTTTGGATCTCGGATTTTTTTGGTATATTTGCATCTCTAATCCAAAAATCCAAAATCTTAAATGTTCTGATGAGCATTTCCTTTGAACTCAAGGTTTCAGGTTTTGGAGCATTTTGGATTTCGGATTTTCTGATTAGGGATGCTCAACCTAACCCTTACTCTAAGTAAACTTGATAGCTTGCCATTTAAAATTTTATTTTGATTCATTTGCTTTTTAAAATGTTTTAGGTCGGGCGTGGTGGCTCACGCCTGTAATCCCAGCACTTTGGGAGGCCAAAGCGGGTGGATCACGAGGTCAAGAGATCGAGACCATCCTGGCCAATATGGTGAAACCCCATCTACTAAAAATACAAAAATTAGCTGGGCGTGGTGGCACGCACCTGTAGTCCCAGATACTCAGGAGGCTAAGGCAGGAGAATCACTTGAACCTAGGAGGCAGAGGTTGCAGTGAGCTGAGATAGCACCACTGCACTCCAGCCTGGGCGACAGAGACTCCGTCTCAAAAAAAAAAAAAAAAGTTTTTAATTTGCCTGGCCAATATGGCAAAACCTGGTCTCTACTGAAAATACAAAAATTAGCCGAGCATAATGGTATGTGCCTGTAATTCCAGCTATTCAGGAGGCTAAGGCACAAGAATCACTTGAACCTGGGAGGTGGAGGTTGCAGTGAGCCGAGATCGCAGCACTGCACTCCAGCCTGGGTGACAGAGCAAGACCCTGCTTCAGAAAAAAAAAAAAAAAAAAAAAAAGCTTTAATTAAATAATGAACTGTGGGTAAGTACTGTGATTATATATAATTTTGAAGTGTGTTAAAGAAGCTGAATACAGTTCATTGGGTTTGCTGTTCATGCCCATTCATAGTTTCACTTTTTAGTGAGTAGACATAGTAATTAAAATATTTGTACACATGTTAGTGAATGTGAATTATTTCTTTCCCCTTTGAACTTTTTATTTATTTATTTATTTATTTTGAGACGGAGTCTTGCTCTGTTACCCAGGCTGGAGTGCAGTGGCACGATCTCGGCTCACTGCAACCTCTGCCTCCCAGGTTCAAGCAATTCTCCTGCCTCAGCCTCCCTAGTAGATGGGATTACAGGTACACACCGCCACACCTGGCTAATTTTTTAGTATTTTTAGTAGAGACAGGGTTTCACCATGTTGGCCAGGCTGGTCTCCAACTCCTGACCTCAAGTGATCCGCCCACCTCGGCCTCCCAACGTGCTGGGATTACAGGCGTGAGCCACCGTGCGCAGCCTTTCCCCTTTGAACTTAACACTTTTGGTAACTGACTATATTCAGATATTCTAGATCTATAATTTTATTTTGATTTTTCTAATTTGTTCTAATGATTAAATACTCTTAAGAAAGGCCATGGGGGATGGCTTTCATTTCGTTCCAGAGACTCCTTCAGCAGTCGTCATTTCTGTCTGGGTGATTGAGACCCAGCCCAGACCTGAATGCGGACACTAAAAAGATTTAAAGACTTTGAGAGTCCCCCAGCTTTCTGACCCTGGCTTTTGTGGAGAGGTCTGGGAAGATGGGAGATAGTGAGCTCAAAGAAGGAGAAGATAATGGCGTATGTCCCACATTTTCTCCCAGGGTATGGCAGCCTCCCTAATACCCTTATAAGCTAGGAAGCTCCTAGGATGCTGTAGCTCAGTCACCATTTAGTAATGTCTGGAGAGATTTGTGGTTGTCCTAAGAGTGGGAGGGTGCTGCAGGCCTCTCCTGGAGGCCAGGAATGCTGCTAAACACCCTGGGTCAGCAGTGCAAGGGTGAGGAACCCTGCTCTGGACTGTTGGTGCTAGACTGTTAAGGGGTTTTTAAATTTTGCTTTGTTTTGCTTCCCTATTGCTTGTAAAGAAAACAGTTAAGTTTACTGTGTCATTTATTCATCGTTACTTCTGTATTTCCAGTCAAGCTTTTGTCTCCAGCATTCCAGTGAAATGGGTTGATCAGTCTCTTCTTGAAACATTTTCCGGGGTTTGCTTCTGGAATACCACTCTCCTTTTTCTCATCCTTTTTCTTTCCTGGCTCTTCTGCCTCTTCCTGACTTGGTGGTATAACCTAGGGCTCAGGTCTCACCTCTCAGATGAGGGCTCTGAGTTCATACAGCCCTTTGGATCTCCTGGTTTTTTTCTGACAGAATCTGTTTTGGTTTTGTTTGTGTTTTGAATGATACTAAGGGTAATAAAAATTCTTATTTGATATACAAATTTCTCAGAAGATTGGCATTTAGTATTCAGCTTTGCTATGCTTAATTACTTCATTTTCAGAAGAAGTATACGATTTATAAAGTATATGATATGGAAGTTATAAACATTAACATCACATAATTAAAGAAACATACCCATTTTAGAGATTGAAGAGGGTGATTTGTGGCTTCACAAAAATAGAATAATCACTCTAGCTACCATTATTTCTTTCATATTTGAAGTTTTTCTATTTCTTTCTAGGTTTGTCAAGGGCTATTTAATGAGTTACTAGAAAATGGGATTTCTGTGTGGCCTGGTTATTTGGAAACTATGCAGTCCTCATTGGAACAACTTTATTCGAAGTAAGAATTGTATTTTCATTAAAGAGTGTATTTATTCAAGAGTTTTTGATTATGTTTATGAATTACAGAAACAAATCTCTTCTAAATTTATATATAAAATATAATTTTAAATTATTCCTCAGTTTCCCTTTTACAGAACTATGTGCATTTAGTTAATTGCCTCAGCAGGGAACAGTATTCAGCAAGTATGTTTGAGCACATGCTGTATGTAGTTCCAAGACTTAATGTCATGAAGTATGTATACCTCAGCTTATCCACTTATGGATGAAAGTATGTATGTAGAGAGCATGTGTTGAATCAAGACTGAAGGAATATGAGTGGAATGCCTTTCTTTGCTGGCATTGTGGTCCATTCTGAGACTGAGTGGAAGGGAATTCTATTCTGGAGGGATGGTCTGTTCTAGTCTTCTAAGGGATTGGCACCTCTGTTCACCCAATTGCTCAAGACAGAGAAACTGGCTATCATCCTTAACTCCTCCCTCTTCCTCATTCTCTACATCCAGTCTATCATCAAATGCTGTCAGCTTGCTTCCTAAATGTATCTCATCCATCTCTGTCTTCGCTGCCACTACCCAAGTTAGAGTCACCAATATCTCTTGCCTGGATTATTGAAATCATCTCCTAATTGAGCTCTCTGTGTCTAGTCTCACCCCATGCTATTTCATTAATTGTTGTTTTTAAATAATCCATTCTTGTTATTTTTTTTAAGCTTTTTGTGTTGAATATGTATCTTTTGGGTGAAAAGTTGTGAACCATTGTGTTTTGATCTTCAGTTCTCTGAACATTTGTTAAAATACACCTTCCAGGCTGGGCGCAGTGGCTCACACCTGTAATCCCAGCACTTTGGGAGGTTGAGGCGGGCAGATCACCTGAGGTCAGGAGTTCAAGACCAGCCTGGCCAACATAGCAAAACCCCGTCTCTACTAAAAATACAAAAAATTACCTGGCCATGGTGGCTTGTGCCTGTAGTCCTAGCTACTTGGGAGGCTGAGGCAGGAGAATTGCTTGAACCCAGGAGGCGGAGGTTGCAGTGAGCTGAGATCAAGCCACTGCACTCCATCCTGGGTGACAGAGCGAGACTCCTTCTCAAAAAAAAAAAAAAAAAACACCTTTCAGATGATGTCCAAAGAAAAGTAGTTTTCTATAATTAGAGCATCTAATGGTTTTATTATGTGTAAAATGAAGGGGCAGCACTTGAACTTTCTTGTCCTCTCAGGTTCTCAATTCTTATCCTTTGAGCCATGTGGACATTGTCAAGTTGCAGTTGTTCTTTATATGGTAAAGGTTTTATTGTCCCAGGATATTTTTATGAAATTATTATTAAACACGTACTATGTTTTATTCACTTTGCTATAGTGGTGAACAACACAGAAAAATGTATCATTCTTTTTTTTTAAGACAGAGTCTCGCACTGTCGCCCGGGCTGGTGCAATGGCGTGATCTCGGCTTAGTGCAACCTCTGCCTCCCGTGTTCAAGCGATTCTCCTGCCTCAGCCTCCCGAGTAGCTGGGATTACATGCGCCTGCCACCACGCCCAGCTAATTTTTTGTAGTTTTGGTAGAGATGGGGTTTCACTATGTTGGCCAGGCTGGTCTCGAACTCCTGACCTCATGATCCGCCCATCTCAGCCTCCCAAAGTGCTGGGATTACAGGCATGAGTCACCACGCCCAGCCATACTATTCTTGTTAAGCTTATATTCTAGTAGGACAAAATAGACAATAAATAAACAGAGAAATAAAAAGTTTCTGATGGAGTCCTACAAAGGAAATAAACAGTAATGAGATAGTGTGACTTGGTAAGCATACAGAAGGTCAGCCGTGCATCTATCTGTTTGGTTATTGCTGAACTAGAAGCTATAAGCTAGCTACTCAATAAAGGAAACATGATTTTGGTATAATTTGTTATACCAAATTGCATCTTTATTATAATATTGTTTATTGTAAGAGACTTCAGTCTAAAATAATTGTTCTTGGATTGCATCCAAGAACCAAAAGGCTGAGGTTATTATGCGGTTCTTCTGTGATATCACCCCAAATGATGTGTTGAGGTACCAGTGTTTATTCTCAGATTTTATTTTCTTTTATGACTTTTCAGCTCTAGCAATAAGTTAGAAACTGTCTGAAAATATTACTTTAAATACAATTCAGAAACTTTAAAAATGTTGGGTTTTTTTGGTCCACCCTTAAGCCCTGAGTCTGTGACTCTTGAGAGTGCATGAACACTGAATTACAGCTGGCAACGTGGAGGAATTTATTATTTACATTTGTGCTCATGTGTCTGTTTAACTACTTTTTTCTTAGGTATGATGAAATGAGTATTCTCTTCACAGTTTTGGTTACTGAAACTACTTTGGAGAATGGATTAATACATCTGAGAAGCAGAGACACCACAATGAAGGAAATGATGCATATATCCAAATTAAAAGACTTTTTGATTAAGTATATATCATCAGCTAAGAATGTATAGATTTTTATATTTGTATAATAAATATTCTTCTCTCCTAATTTGGTTGTCTTATGTTCACTTAGATTTATTTCTAGCCCCTTTGCACTTATAAAGTGGACATTTGTGGTGCTTGCTTTCATTCAGTGTTTATATTTTTTATGTCTTTCATTGTATCAGGAATATGTTCAGCTACAAGAAACAAAAATCTACTATACTGGATTAAGCAAATTGGGGTTTGTTTTTCTTACATACAAGAACTCTAGCGGGTAGACTGTCCAAAGCTAGTATTACTGTTTCTATAGTTAGGGACCCAGGCACTTCCCTTCTGTTCTGCCATGTTTAGTACGCTGGTGTTTATCATTGTTGCTTCGGGATCTTAGGTGGCTGCTGTATTTCCAGCCTAATTATCATTCTAGTTAGGAGAAAAGTTAAAGAGACAAGAGCTAGTCAGCCAACACTCTTCCCTTTTAAATTAGGGAAGTAAAAACTTTTCCAGACATCCCAGTCGGGAGATGTCTTTACATCTCTTTGGTCAGAACTAAATCACATGATAATTTCTAGGCAAATCACCATCCAAGGGAATGAAAATGATCTGATTTAGATCAAACGCAATTTATCCCTTGAGGCTGCAATAGTATCTTACTCTCTCAGAAATGGGCTTTGTTACCAGGAAGGAAAAGGTCTTTATGGAATCTGCCACATCTATACTGTCAGATATCAAAAATTAACCTAAAACTAAACTTTTAAAACTTAGAGTATTTACGGATTTTTGAAAAGCAACTAAAATATATGTTAGATGTCATATATTGTAGTTTGTTTCCTGTCTAATATCTATGTTTATAAGAAATCTTTTAACTTTTATGTGTTGATATGATTGTGTAAAATATCCCATTGTTACCAACTTGACAAAAATTCCAACTGATAGTGCCTGTAAAATATTTCAAAAGTTTGACTGACTTAATTGATTTTACTTGGTAGGTTTTTCTCTTTTTTTTTTTATTTTAATTTTAATTTTTTTTGTAGAGACAGGGTCTCACTATGTTGGCTAAGCTGATCTTTCACTCCGAGCCTCAAGTAGTCCTCCTGCCTTGACCTCCTAAAATGATGGGATAACAATTTTGAGCCACTGCACCTAGCCTTGTTTTGGTTATTTTATGCTTTTTTTTATTATGGAGAATTTTAAAAGCAGACATATAATTGTACTAATTCTATGTAGTGATCATCTAGCACCAACAACAATCAACCTTTGGCCAGTCCCACCTCATCCACTAATACCACCCTTCCATATTATATCAGTAATTTATTTATTTACATTTATTTATTAATTTAAGAGACAGGGTCTCACTATGTGGCCCAGGCTGGTCTCAAACTCCTAGGCTCAAGTGATCCTCCTGTCTCAGCCTCCCAAAATATGGGGATTACAGGCATGAACCACCTCACCTGGCCTCCTTGAATATTATTTCAAGGCAGATAGCAGCTACCATTTAATCTGGAAATATTTAAGGATCTTTTGTTAATAACCACACTATTATCACATTAAAAAAATAACACTACATGATATCAAGGAATTATTTACAATTTTGTTGGGTGTGATAATGGTAGTATGTTTATATTTTTCTTTTTAAAAAAATCCTTGTCTGACAGATACATACATTTATGGTAATTGAGACTTGCTTTATAATTCTCCTGTTTAAAACAAACTTTTTTAAGTGGTGGGAGATGAAATAAGAATAGCACTGAGTTGGCCAGTGGCTGACGCTTGTAATCCCAACCCTTTGGGAGGCTGAGGCAGGTGGATTACCTGCGGTCAGGAGTTTGAGACCAGCCTGGCCAACATGGTGAAACTACTAAAAATACAAAAAATTAGCTGGGCGTGGTGGTGGGCGCCTGTAATCCCAGCTACTTGGGAGGCTGAGGCAGGAGAATCGCTTGAACCCAGGAGGCAGAGGTTGCAGTGAGCCAAGATCGCGCCATTGTACTCCAGCCTGGGTGACACAGTGAGACGCTGTCTCAAAAAAAAAAAAAAAAAAAAAAAGGAAGTGGTAGTAGTGTCTGTTTGTTTCTTTTTTGGGGTGGCCAGCAACCATTGATTAATACCTCAAGTGGTGAGTTCATTAAAGCTTGCAAAATGGTGATATTCTATCTTCCTTCTTTGTTGGCTAGAGTACTTTTTTTGTTGTTTTTTTTTTTTTTTGAGTTGGAGTTTCACTCTTGTTGCCCAGGCTGGAGTACAGTGGCGCAAACTCAGCTCACTGCAACCTCCGCCTCCGAGGTTCAAGTGATTCTCCTGCTTCAGCCTTTCCAAGTAGCTGGGATTACAGGCATGCGCCACCATGCCCTGCTAATTTTGTATTTTTAGTAGAGATGGGGTTTCTCCATGTTGGTCAGGCTGGTCTTGAACTCCCGACCTCAGGTGATCCGCCCGCCTCGGCCTCCCAAAGTGCTGGGATTACAGGCATGAGCCACCGCACCCGGCCGTTTGCTAGAGTACTTCTATGAAGAAAAGCTTCTCACCGAGTATTTGCTTACCTAGAGGTATGGGAAAGGTAGGATAAATGCTGGATTATTTAAAGTAATTATTCCTTTTGATGCTCAAATTGTCCCATCTTTGGCCAATGGGAACCTCAAGTTGGCCTCAAGTCTTTTTTTTTTTTTTTCTTGAGACAGTCTTGCTCTGTCACACAGTCTGGAGTGCAGTGGTGCGATCTTGGCCTACTGCAACCTCTGCCTCCCGGGTTAAAGCCTCCCTGCCTCAGCCTCCTGAGTAGCTGGGATTACAGGCGCCTGCTACCACACGTGGTTAATTTTTTGTATTTTTAGTAAAGTTTCACCATATTGGCCAGGCTGGTCTTGAACTCCTGACCTCAGGTGATCTGCCCACCTCAGCCTCCCAAAGTGTTGGAATTACAAGTGTGAGCCACTGTGCCTGGCCAGCCTCAAGTCTTTTTGACACACCTTACTAGTCTTTGATAATTTCCTTCTAATAACTACTGTAGAGATTGTATATTCCAAGGAGCTCTGGGGTTTTTTTTATTGGAAAAAAGTGGACACCATACTTTGGATACTAGGAATGCTCATTGATAGAAGGCAGTCTTTGTTTCTAGGCCTTTCCAGTATTAAGAGCTAGCAAATATAGGAGAGTGTGTATTTCCTCCCTGAAAAAAAAATTGGCCAGATGTGGTGGCTCATACCTGTAATCCCAATACTTTGGGAGGCTGAGACAGGAGGATCACTTGAGTCCTGGAGTTCGAGACCAGCCTAGGCAACATAGACCACATCTCTAAAAAAAAAAGCTTTGAAAATTAGCCAGTCATAGTGGCTCAGGCCTATAGTCCCAGCTACTTGGGAAGCTGATGGGTGTGGACGGCTTGAGCCCGGGGAGTCAAAGCCGCAGGGAGCTTGGATCACACCACTGTACTCCTGCCTGGGCAACAGAGCAAGACCCTGTCTCAAAAAAAATAAAAAATAAGGCCGGGCACGGTGGCTCACGCCTGTAATCCCAGCACTTTGGGAGACTGAGGTGGGTGGATCATTTGAGGTCAAGAGTTCAAGATCAGCCTGGCCAACACGGTGAAACCCCGTTTCTTCTACAAATACAAAAATTAACTGGGCATGGTGGCAGGCGCCTGTAATCCCAGCTACTTGGGAGTTTGAAGCAGGAGAATTGCTTGGACCTGGGAGGCAGAGATTGCAGTGAGCCAAGATCATGCCACTGCACTCCAGCCTGGGCAACAGGGTGAGACTCCATCTCCAAAATAATAATAATAATAACAAATGAAAAATAAATTATGAGTTCACACCAATATTTTCCACTCAAATTCAGGACTGCAGAGGGTCTGGGGTTTGTATGTCTGTTTTAATCAGTTTTATTAAGATACAATTTACATACAATAAATTTACCTCTTTTAAATGTACAAATTGATGAGTATTGACAAATGTATAACCATCTCCACAAAGGCAATGTAGAAAATTTTCATCACCCCTTAAAGTCCTTTTACACTTTTTTTTGAGACTGCCTCAGTAGTAACCACTGCTAAATTTATCAGAGAACTGCACACCTGGATTGTATTTTGACAGAACTTCCTTCCAACCCAATTGCTTTTAATAATTTTTTTATGATAAATTTTTACCCAAAATGTTATAGAATTTATTTACAAAGAAATTTCGTAAGTTGTATTTCTCCTACTGGTGTGGTATTATGCTAAGGAAACAGGTCTGGAGTCATGAAATCCTTAGGTGTCTAATTTTTCTAACCTGTAAGTTTCTGTGCTACTGCAGATCTCAGTTACTGTCTCTGGTGGTGGGTGTGTGCTGCGGAAGAGTCAGAGGTAAGGCACTAGTCCATTTCCTTCCAGGACAGTTGAGAAAGAAGGAAATGAACTCCAGTCATCACAAATCCACTGTTGATGATTCCTCTGGCCAGGTCTCCCCTTTAAATCCTTAGGGAGAAGCAACACTGAGAAAAGATAACTTCTTCTTTTTTTTTTTTTTTTGAGACGGAGCCTTCCTCTGTCGCCCAGGCTGGAGTGCAGTGGCGCGATCTGGGCTCACTGCAAGCTCCGCCTCCCGGGTTCACACAATTCTTCTGCCTCAGCCTCCCGAGTAGCTGGGACTACAGGTGCCCGCCACCTCGCCCGGCCAATGTTTTTGAATTTTTTAGTAGAGACGGGGTTTCATCGTGTTAGCCAGGATGGTCTTGATCTCCTGACCTTGTGATCCACCCGCCTCGGCCTCCCAAAGTGCTGGGATTACAGGCGTGAGCCACCACGCCCGGCCAAAAGACAACTTCTTTAGTTGTAATCCCCCATCCCTGAGAGTAGAAGAGGCAGAAGGCCAAAAAGTCGACCACACATGTTTGCAGCTCCTCATCCCAGCAAGATTTCTGTGCTGCCCTGGTGTTACCCTGCAGATGCCACCTTTTCCCAGTTTTCTACTGGATTATTGGTCTTTCTCTTAATGATTTGTAAAAGCTCATAATATTATGAAACTTCATACAATATCTGAGACCTGGGCTCAAAATACAGTCATGCTTCACCTAACAGTGGAGGTCACTGTTTGAACAGCATAGAGTGTACTCACACAAACCTAGATGGCATAGCCTGCTACACGCCTAGGGTGTGTGGGATAGTCTATTCTTCCTAGGGATAAACCTGTACAGCATGCTACTGAACACTAGGCAATTGTAGCACAATGGTAAGTATTTGTGTATCTAAATGTGTCTAAACATAGAAAAGGTACAGTAAAAACACGGTATTATAGTTTTTTGGGACCCCATTTTATATTTGGTCCATGAATGACTGAAATGTTATTATGCAACACATCATGGTGTTTTCTCCCTAGTTATTCTTTTTTTTTTTTTTTTTTTTTTTTTTTTTTTTGAGATGGAGTCTTGCTCTGTCGCCCAGGCTGGAATGCAGTGGCGCGATCTTGGCTCACTGCAACCTCCACCTCCCAGGTTCAAGCAATTCTCATGCCTCAGCCTCCCCAGTAGCAGGGACTACAGGTATGTGCCACCACACCAACTAATTTTTGTATTTTTAGTAGAGACGGGGTTTCACCGTGTTGGACAGGCTGGTCTCAAACTCCCAACCTCAGGTGATCCACCTGCCCCATGGGATTACAGACGTGAGCCACTGCGCCCGGCCCCTAGTTATTCTTTGGATTTAGTTTATGATTTCTAAATGTAATTTTTAAATGTTTCATCTAATTAAATGATTTATCTAATTAAATTTAACAATCCTTTATGTTTTCTGGGTTGTGAGTCATACCTATAAAAGTCCTCCCCACTTCAAGATTATTTTTAAATCCCCTGCATATTCTTCTAGCTCTTCTGTGACTACATCTATCAGAATTAATTTTGTTGTAAAGAATGAGGTAGGAGTCCAACTTTTTTAATGTGATTCTCAAGTTTTTACAATATGTTGAATAATCCATCTTTTCCCCATTGATTTAAGATGCCATATTTATCCTATACTAAGTTCCTGTACATATTTAGAACTACATCTGGACTTTCCGTTCCATTGTTCTACTTGTTCAATCACATACAAATATGTTTGTAGAGACAGGGTTTCGCCAAGTTGCCCAGGCTAGTCTTGAACTCCTGGGCTCAAGCAATCCTTCTGCCTTGGCCTCCCAGGGTATTGGGATTATAGGCGTGAGCCACCACACCCACCCCTATTGTTGCCATTGTTCTAGTTGCTGTGATAGAGGAAATGTTGGGAGGTGGTGTATCTGCCACCTCTGTGTCCTGTGTCATATCCCTGGGCCTTCCCTCTGACCCAGCAGCATCTGAGGGTCTACTCACTTTGCACTGATAGTGTCTTGCTTCAATTGCACAATACACATGTTCACTTTCTGTCCTGGGGTGTTTGCAGTGCCTGGGGTGAGACACTGAGGTAAGCCTGCTTGGAATACCCACATGCTAGTCTAGAAGTGGGGGAGGTGTCGCTTTCTGGGGTGATCCTCAACCAGTGAGCGTTGGACACCAGTGGATAAATGCCTCTCACTATCAATCCTCAAGTGGACAATACTGAGAAGAGGCTCTTGGGCTCTTCAGAAGATTCCAGTGGGCTCATGTCCAGCTGCCCACCACAGTGCTCAACTCAGCAAAACACCCTGGTACTGGTTTTTCCCATGGCGCATTGGGCCTGCTTCCTAGGGCCACCTCCTACATAAATGATGTGCATAGAAGGCCTTATTTCAGGCTCTGCTTTCAGGTCTGGTCCAGGATAAAACAAGCGACCAGAAGTCCCTAGAAAGCAGCCTCAGGGAACAAAATTACCCCCTAGGGATGGATGGCAACAAGGACTCCCTTGCTGGTGATAGGTAGGCAGTGAGAACCCTTAGAACGCCACAGCTCCACAATTCCTAAGACCTTCCCCTGCCATGTGGAATGAGGTTTAGAAAGAAATGAGGCACTAGTGGACGCCAGCATTCCAGCACTTGAAAGGTTTGGGGCAATGCTAATTATGTGGATTGTGAAGTTAATTGGCTTCTCTTAGCTGCCTTAGAAGATTTGCAAGGAGAAAATGAGAGGCTACGGTTCAGGGCAAGCTGTGAAACCCTGATGACAGGGTTTAAGCCACTCTCATTTATCACAGCCAGCTGGAAGGCTGTGCTGAAAGCCAATTCCAGGATCTGATCGAAAGGGTGGGCCAACCATGGAGGAGATGGAGTGAGCACATCTAGCAGTTCTGCTCTGCTAACTTCTGACACTGACAGGGACGGGGTAGGCCTTGGGATGTGGACATTTGAGAATAAGAAACTCCCAATGCCCGCGAGCGCTCTTGAGAAGGAGAACAGCCCCTCTTATTAGAAGACCTCACATGAGGCAGGCGCTTCACAATATTTTTTAAATTATTGTGGTAAGTTATACATAACATAAAATTTTTTACCATTTTAACCAATTTTAGGTGTGTAATTCAATGGTATTAAAAACATTCATTCATATTGCCGGGCGCAATAGCTCATGCCTGTAATCCCAGCACTTTGGGAGGCCAAGGCAGGCCAATCATTTGAGGTCAGGAGTTTGAGACCAGCCTGGCCAACATGGTGAAACCTCATCTTTACTAAAAATACAAAAATTAGCTGGGCATGGTGGTGGGTGCCTGTAATCCCAGCTACTTGGGAGGCTGAGGCACAAGAATCGCTTGAACCCGGGAGGCAGAGGTTGCAGTGAGCCGAAATCGTGCCCCTGCACTCCAGCCTGGGCAACAGAGAGAGACTCTGTCTCAAAAAACAACAACAACAAAACTCATATTATTGTGCAACCATCACCACCTTCCATCTTTTTTCCAGAACTTTTTTGTCTTTCCAAACTGAAACGCTGTATCTGTTAGCCAGTCACTCCTCGTTGTCCCCTGCCCCCATCCCCCAGGAACCACCATTCTATTTGCTTCACTACATTTTGCTTGTCTTCTTTAAGATCCATCCTTGTCTCCCCTATAGCTTAATAACCAGGGTCGGGTCTCAGTAGAGCCTGACAGGGTAAAGGCAGTTCCTGATGTGAGTGGCAATTGCTGAGCCACACAAAGACTGCAGCATCTGCGGACGCACTCTTCCAGGAGCCAGAGGAGCCCACAGCAGCGTGGGTCTGAGCGTGCTGAGGTGGTGAGCGTGGATATAAGACTAGATCAGGAAATGGAGGGCCAGGCGAGGTGGCTCACGCCTGTAATCCCAGCACTTTGGGAGTCCGAGGTGGGCGGATCACTTGAGGTCAGGAGTTGAAGACCAGCCTGGCCAACATGGCAAAACCCTGTCTCTACTACAAAATACAAAAATTAGCCGGGCATGGTGGCACACGCCTATAATGCCAGCTACTTGAGAGGCTGAGGCAGGAGAATCGCTTTAATCCGGGAGGCGGAGGTTGCAGTGAGCCAAGGTCGTACCATGGCACTCCAACCTGGGCGACAGAGCCAGACTCCGTCTCCAAAACAAAGGAAATGGAGGTTTAGTGTCATGTCAAGGACACCTGGAACTGGCCCTAAACATGCATGATGGGTCTCCTTGAAGCTTGGATCCCACAGGACTCTACAGCTGAGTGGTCCAATACAGGATCCACAGCAAACCAGAGGCAATGCTACATTCTGAGGGAAATAGGGTAGTTGTACTTGTTAAAATGATAGGATTTTGGATATGCTGGGTTAAATAAAATATATTATTCCAATTCATTTCACCTGTTTCTCTTCTTTTCTCTCTTTCCTTCCTTCCTTCCTTTTCCTTTTTCTTTTCTTTTCTTCTTTTCTCTTTTCTTTTCTTAACACAGGGTCTCACTCTGTTGCCCAGGCTGGAGTGCTGTGGTGCGATCTTGGCTCACTGCAACCTCTGCCTACCAGATTTAAGCGATTCTCATGCCTCAGCCTCCTAAGTAGATGGAATTACAAGTGCCCGCCACTGTGCCCAGCTAATTTTTTTGTATTTTTAGTACAGACGGGGTTTCACCATGTTGGCCAAGCTGGTCTTGAACTCCTGACCTGAAGTGATCCACCCACCTTGGCCTCCCAAAGTGCTGGGATTATAGGCGTGAGCCACCGTGCCCGGCCATCTTTTCATTTTTTTATTGTGTCTACTAGAAAGAGTGACAAGTGCCCATGTGGCTGACATTATATTTCTATTGGACAGTGCTGACCAGTGGAAAAGATCATGGAGATGCCAGACAGGTGTGAGCAGAATATTGAAGAGTCAGAAGGCTCAGAGAAGGATGCATGTTCGGATGAATTTATTCTTGGAGACCCTTTATTTACTAAAGCGATTCAGGGCCGGGCACGGTGGCTCAGGCTTGTAGTTCCAGCACTTTGGGAGGCCGAGGCAGGCAGATCATCTGAGGTCAGGAGTTCAAGACCAGCCTGGCCACCATAGTGAAACCCCATCTCTACTAAAAATACAAAAATTAGCTGGGCGTGGTAGCGGGCACCTGTAATCCCAGCTACTCGGGAGGTCGAGGCATGAGAATCGCTTGAACTGGGAAGATGGAGATTGAAGTGAGCCAAGATCGCGCTACTGAACTCCAGCCTGGGCAACAGAGTGAGACTCCATCTCAAAAAAAAAAAGAGAGAGACAAGAGAGAATATAAAAGGCCACGTGAAGACAGAGGCAGAAGTTGAAGGGAGGCAACCACAAGCAATGTCTGGAGCCCCAGAAGCTGGAAGAGGCAAGGAGGGTCCTCCCCACAACTTTTGGAGGGAGCATGGCTCTACAGAAATGGTTGCTCTAAGCCACCAACTTGTGGTCATTTGTGGCAGCAGCCCTAGGGGACTAAAACATTCTCCCTCCCCCACAACTCAACTCTGTGGGCTCTCTCCCTGGCAGCACATCAAGGCACACCTTTGGCATTAGCTAAATCTGGAGGGCTAGCTAAATCATGAACATCAATGAATATCAATATCTTTTTTTTTTTTTTTTTTTTTTTTGAGATGAAGTCTTGCTCTTGTCGCCCAGGCTGTAGTGCAGTGGCACGATCTTGGCTCACTGCAACCTCTGCCTCCCGGGCTCAAGTGATTCTCCTGCCTCAGCCTCCCGAGTAGCTGGGACTACACACACACACCACCACACCTGGCTAATTTTTGTATTTTTAGTAGAGATGGGGTTTTTGCCATGTTGGCCAGGCTGGTCTCGAACTCCTGACCTCAAGTAATCCACCTGCCTCAGCCTCAAGTTTGCTTTTTGTTCATGGAAATCAGCTTCATAAAAAGCATCTTACCCTGAGATGTAGTTTGTTTCTGTAAATTTCAGAAGTTGAGTTCAGAATAGACATATCCAGATTTATAAGAATCACAGGCTTCTGAAATATAAAAGGGAAAATAATTTACTTAGGATATGTGACCAGCAAGGCTGTTTTTAAAAATCCTATTTCTAGTAGCTGGGTGGCCTGACAGAACCAGGTATTAACTAATTTTTTCCTGGACTGTGTTAAATAATTTATTCTTGAAAATGTTAGCTGGGCATAATGCCTCATGCCTGTAATCCCAACACTTTGGGAGGCCGAGGCAGGAAGATTGGTTGAGCCCAGGAGTTCAAGACCAGCTTGGGCAATATAGCAAGATACTTGTCTCTATCCAAAAAAAAAAAAAAAATTAGTCAGACATGGTGGTGCACACCTGTAGTCCCAGCTACTCAGGAGGCTAAGGTGGGACGACTGCTTCAGCCCAAGAGGTAGAGGGTGCAGTGAGCTGAGATTGTGCCACTGCACTCTAGCCTGGGCAACAGAGTGAGAGTCTCAAAAAAAAGGAGAAAGGCAGGAAAGAAAGAAAAGAAAGAGAAAAAGAAAGAGAGAGAGAGAGAAAGAAAAGAAAGAAAGAAGAAAGAAAGAAAGAAAGAAAGAGAAAGAAAGAAAAAGAAAAAATAAAGAGAGACAGAAAGAGAAAGAAAGAAAGAGAGAGAGGGAGGGAGGGAGAGAGGGAAGGAAGGAAGGAAGGAAATGTTTGAGTAGTGATCCTGTATCCTCCTCTCTGGGTTTTTTTTCTATGACATTCCCCCACCACATCTTTCCCTCTTCCTCACCCTCCATCTCCTGATGAGATTTTTTTAGGAGCTGGGGTGCTGGTTGCCATTGGTTCCTTGCAGTGTGCCTGCATTGCTCCCATCCACCCCATTAACGGGCTCCTGAAGCCCCTGAATATAATGACATCAGAGGGACCACCTGTCTCATTTCACCAGTACCTCTTATCCCAACCTGTGGCTCACCTTGCTCTCTTGGTGCCACCTCCTGGAACACGGGGGTGGCATACTGTAGCTCCTGGGAGTGTTTGGCCTCTGGGCAAAAGATAAGGAATAGGAATTATTGGGCCAATTATGTGAATTTCTAAGCGCATGAGGGCAGTGGAATAGACTCTGCAGAACATGCTCACCATCTTGGGCTGTGGAAACACACGGCCTGGATCCCACTTCTGGCACAGATTCCTCCTCTGTAAAATGAGAATGACATAAATTGGGGGTTGGTGGCGTTTGTGTTAGAAAAGGTCGGTAAATTGCTCAGCAATGCGTCTGGAATGTGGCCATGTAGGCTGGGACTGTTCCATTGTCAGCTGATGATAGGGTTTGACTGTGTCCTCACCCAAATCACATCTTGAATTGTAGTCCCCATAATCCCCACATCTCATGGGAGGGACCAGGTGGAGATAATTAAATCATGGGGGTGGTTTCTGTCATACTCTTCTAGTGACAGTGAGTTAGTTCTCACAAGATCTGATGGTTTTATAAGGGGTTTCCCCCTTCCCTTGGCTCTCATTCTTCTCTCTCCTACCGCCTTGGGAAGAAGGATGTGTTTGCTTCCCCTTCCACCATGATTGTAAGTCTCCCGAGGCCTCCCAAGCCCTGCGGAACTGTGGGTCAATTAAACCTCTTTCCTTTATAAACTACCCCATCTCAGGTATGTCCTTATAGTAGCATGAGAATGGACTAATACATCAGCCGAGGCGCTGGGTCTTGTTTACTGCAAAGCAATATGCAATGCCTGCTTTGAGAGGTGACCGTGAAAGACTGTGAAACACAGTGTGGATCATTCTGAACAGATGTGAAAAATCTCCAAGATACGTTGTTACATGAAAAAAAAACAAAATCATGGTGTAGAAAGTCATACCTACAATATGCTACAATCACTACCATTTGTTTATTATACACACAGAATATCTGTGGAAGGATTTAAAAAACTGGTTATTACCCCTAGAAAGTGGGACTGGGCATCAATAGACATTGAACTCTATCCCTTTTGCTCCACCCCCCACTCCCGTATGTCTGTACAACCTTAACAAAATAAAAAGACAAAAACCTGAAACCACCCAAAACACGCAACAAAGTTCTCTTACTTGCTTGTTTTTCAAGGATATTTGCATAGATTCCAACTTCCATGGCTGTGTCTCCACGGTCCCTGGGCACATTATTTCTCATAGCTTTTCCTACGTAAATAGGTAGGAATCATCAAATTAAACCAATTCAGCCACATTTTTCTCATCTCCTCGGCCAAGGAGCAGAATTCCCTCAAAGTTCTGAAACAGAGAGTGACTTGCTCCAATGGCCCAAACTGTTGTCTAACAAAGGAAAACTATAGACTCAACAGGGAGTCTAGACACCGCTCCTCCAAGCCAGGGGCTGTTCTGATTTATTTTCCTGGCCTTCAGAGGAACATGCTTTGCCTATCAGATTATGCCTGAACTAGCCAGACTTATTTTCTTTCCTTCGCTGAAGAGAATAGTCTGTGGAAGCTTTGTAATATCTTCAAGAGAGTGTAAATGGCCTATTGAATTCTTTTTTTTTAAGATGGAGTCTCGCTCTGTCGCCTGGGCTGGAGTGCAGTGGCACTATCGTGATCTCGGCTCACCGCAACCTCCGCATCCTGGTTTCAAGCGATTTTCCTGCCTCAGCCTCCCGAGTAGCTGGGATTACAGTTGTGCACCACCATGCCCAGCTAATTTTTGTATTTTTTTGAGACGGAGTCTTGCTCTGTTGCCCAGGCTGGAGTGCCATGGTGCAATCTCCGCTCACCGCAACCTCCGCATCCTGGTTTCAAGCGATTCTCCTGCCTCAGCCTCCTGAATAGCTGGGATTACAGGCATGTGCCACAATGCCTGGCTAATTTTTTGTATTTTTAGTAGAGGCGGGGCTTCACCATGTTAGCCAGGCTGGTCTCAAACTCCAGACTTCAGGTGATCAAAGTGCTGGGACTACAGGCATGAGCCACTGTGCCCGGCCAGCCTCACTGAATTCTATTGTAGCTCCAGCCAGTAATCAAAAATATTAATGCCACTTTTGCAAGAACCTGGACTTTTTATAAGAAGGAGAAACATGTTTTTAAGACATATGAGATGTGGGCCAGGGTGCAGTGGCTCACGCCTGTAATCCCAGTGCTTTGGGAAGCTGAGGTGGGAGGATCACTTGAAGCCAGGAATTCAAGACCACCCTGGGGAACATAGTGAGACCTTGTCTCTAAAAAGAATTTTGTAATTAAAAAAAAAACAAAAAACTGTAATCCCAGCACTTTGGGAGGCTGAGGCAGGAGGATGGTTTGAGTCCAGGAGTTCAAGACTAGCCTGGGAAACATGGTGAAACCTACAAAAAAAAAAAAAATTAGCCAGGCATGGTGGTGCGCGCCTGTGGTCCCAACTACTCAGGTAGCTGAGGCAGGAGGAGGCCTGGGAGGTCAAGGCTGCAGTGAGCCATGATTGCACCACCGCACTCCAGCCTTGGGTGATGGAAGTGAGATCCTGTCTCAAAAAAAAAAAAAAAAAAAAAAATGTCAGGCGCGGTGGCTCACCAGCCCCAGCACTTTGGGAGGCCGCGGTGGGCGGATCACGAGGTCAGAAGTTCAAGACCAGCCTGGCCAACATAGTGAAACCCCATCTCTACTAAAAATACAAAAATTAGCCTAGCGTGGTGGTGGGCGCCTGTAATCCCAGCTACTCAGGATGCTGAGGCAGGAGAAACGCTTGAACCTGGGAGGCAGAGGTTGCAGTGAGCGGAGATTGTGCCACTGCACTCCAGCCTGGGCAACAGAGCGAGACTCTGCCTCAAAAAAAAAAAAAAAAAAAAAAAATTAGCCAGGAGTTGTGGTGCATACCTGTATTCCCAGCTACTAGGGAGGCTAAGGTGGGAGGTTACAGTGAGCTATGGTGGCACCACTGCACTCCAGCCTGGGCAACACAGTGAAGCCCCATCTCTAAAAAAAAGAAATGAAATAAAATAAAATCTTAAAGATGCATCAGATGTATAACTTGTGACCTCTGTGTTCAAGTTTTATGTCAACTGAGTCCCTGACTTCTCTGAGTTGTGACTCTCTGGAGATGGTTCTCAATTGGTTCTCTTGCCAGTTCTGACAATATCTCCATGGCCCATTCCACAACTCAGAACACTGAGGCTCAGAAGCAACAGCCTGAGGGGCTTGTCCAACAGCCCTCAGCTTGCTGATGGGGGCCAGTGCTGAGACCCAAACTGTCTTTTGTGTAAATCTTCATATCCTTCTGCACTCGTGTACCAAATGAAAAAACCACTTTGAAGGCTTAACCAGTGGTGGCCATAAGACGTGAGGAATGAAAAGCAGTAACTGGGCTGAGTGCAGTGGCTCATGCCTGTAATCCCAGCACTTTGGGAGGCTGAGGTGGGAGGATCGCCTGAGTCCAGGAGTTCAAGACCAGCCTAGGCAACACAGTGAGACCCCGTCTCTAAAAAACATTTTTTTAAAAAAGCTGTAACTGAGGCTTCTAATAACATTGACAAGTTTTCTGCTGGATGTAGCACTTAAGGTGGGGAAGAGAGAAATGATGCTTTTTTGTTTCTGTTTTTGTTTTTTTGAGTCTGGTGTGTTTAATAAAGTTTTTTAAAAAATCTTATAGTAGAATAGATTATACTTCTACATTGAAAATCTAGAAAGCATAGAAATGTAGAAATAAAAAATATGTATATATTAGGTTGGTGCAAAAGTAACTGTGGGCCGGGCGTAATGGCTCACATCTGTAATCCCAGCACTTTGGGAGGCTGAGGCGAGCAGATCACCTGAGGTCAGGAGTTCAAGACCAACCTGACCAACATGGTGAAACCCTGTCTTTACTAAAAATACATGGTGGTGGGTGCCTGTAATCCCAGCTACTCAGGAGGCTGAGGCAGGAGAATCGCTTGAACCAGGGAGACAGAGGCTGCTGTGAGCCGAGATTGCACCACTGCACTCCAGCCTGGGCAACAGAGCGAGACTCCATTTCAAAAAAAAAAAAAAAGTAATTGTGGGTTTTGCCATAAAAGTATGGCAAAAATTGCAATTACTTATGCACCAACCTAATATTTTCAATACTTCCAGCCCCAAACAATTGTAAACCTTTTGAAGGTGTCTTTTGTGCTAATGGGATGACGCTTGTTTGTCCTCATGCACTGAACCTCCCCTACGTATGTGGCAGATCTAGAGTCACTCAAGGCAAAGCTCTCGCTTGAGGCACTTGCAGTCAGGAGCAGCCGCACCACTTGCAGCGCCCAGTGCGAAATGAACACTGTTCACAGGCCTTAAACTTGTGTTTAATTAAGAACACAAGTTCTTGGCCCGGCACAGTGGCTCACGCCTATAATCCCAACACTGTGGGAGGCCGAGGTGGGAGGATTGTTTGAGCCCAAGTGTTCGAGACCAGCCTGGGCAACATAGTGAGGCCCCGTCTCCATTTAATATAGAATAAAAAAAGAAGAGAGAGAGAGAGAAAAAAAGGAACACAAGTTCTTAAAGTCAGGACCGAGTACATCTTTCACAAGCAGTCATACGAGGAAAAGGGCCTCTTGTTTAAAAACATTAATAATTTCACACCCACGTTCCTAGCATTATTAAACAATAGACAAAAGGTGGAAGCAACCCGGGTACCCATGGGGGATAAATGGATAAACAAAGTGTGGCGTATTTATGTACAATGGGACATTCTTCAGTCTTATCAAGGAAGGAAATTCTGACACATATGACAACATGGATGAACCTTGAGGACATTAATCGAAGTGAAATAAGCCAGTTATGAAAGGATAAATGCTTCCACTTCCATGAGGTGCCTAGAGGAGTCAAACTAATGGAGATAGAAAGCAGAATGGTGGTTGGCAGAGCCCGGGGGAAGAGGGGATGGGGAGCTAGTGTGTAATGGGGACAGAGTTTCAGTTTGGGAAGATGAAAAAGTTCTGGACATGGATGGTGGAGAAGGGTGCATGACAATGGGAACGTGCTTAATGCCACCGAACTATGCATTTAAGCAGGTTAAAGTGGCCCATTTAGTGTTATGTATATTTTACCACCATTAACAATTTTTAAAAGAGCGTACAAAAAATTATGAAGAATTTCAAGATGCAGCCGGGAGCAGTGGCTCACACCTGTAATCCCAGCACTTTGGGAAACTGAGGCAGGTGGATCACCTGAGGCTGGGAGTTCGGGACCAGCCTGGCCAACATGGTGAAACCCTGTCTCTACTAAAAATACAAAAAATTAGCTGGGTATGGTGGCGGAAACCTGTAATCCCAGCTTCTTGGGAGGCTGAGGCAGGAGAATTGCTTGAACCCAGGAGGCGGAAGCTGCAGTGAGCCGAGATCGTACCACTGCACTCCAGCCTGGGGAACAAGAGCAAAACTCTGTCTCAAAAATAAATAAATAAATAAATAAACAAATACCAAATGTGGAGTTCTTCTTGGCACAGGGCCCTGTGTGACAGCACAGGCTGTACGTCTGTGAAGCCAGCTCTGCTTGCCCTCAAACAGAAAAGGCTTTCCCTGGAGAAAGAATTACCCTCTGCATGAACCGTTCAGGAAGTCTATTCCATTCCCGCCCCCCTTTCTCATGTTTTCCTCCTATTTTCATTTTCTCCCTATTCTATTTCCAATCCCCTTTTCTCTTTCTCCTCACCCTCTGTCCTGCTGTCTGTATCCCAAGCCCACGGGAAAACGGGTGGTAAAGCGACTAAAAGAACTTACTTGTTTTGTATTTGGGCAGTACCCAAAAAGCCAGAATTAGGATTATCACCACCAGCAACAGTAATAACCCTGGAAGTAGTAGCTTCAGACAGAAAGGACAGCTGTCTCCGCCTGGAAGAAGACCGCATCCATTGGTGACCATAGCATTTTCTTTTCCAATGACATTAAGCCAGTAAGTGTTTTAGAAAAGGTGATGTCTCCCAAGTTAACCAATGTACTATGCACCCAGGTTCCCAAATGGTCATGACATCTAAAACTCACGGGACTTATTAGTCAATAAAGTTCTTGACTGGGCGTGGTGGCTCACACCTGTAATCCCAGCACTTTCGGAGATCAAGGTGGGAGGATTGCCTGAGGCCAGGAGTTTGAGACCGGCCTGGGCAACATAGTGAGGCCCTGTTTCTACAAAATAAATAAATAAATAAAAATTAGCCAGGTGTGATGGCATGTGCCTATGATCCCAGCTACTCAGGAGGCTGAGGCAGGGTGATCGCTTGAGCCCGGGAGGTGGAGACTGCAGTGAGCTATGATTGTGCCACTGCACTCCAGCCTGAGGGACAGAACCAGACCCTGTCTCTATAAATAAGTTAATAAATAAACAAAAATAGGTTGAGCTCAGTGGCTTACACCTGTAATCCTAGCACTCTGGGAGGCCAAGGCAGGTAGATCACCTGAGGTCAGGAGTTTGAGACCAGCCTGGCCAACATGGTGAAACCCTGTCTCTACCCAAAATATAAAAATTAGCTGGGCCTGGTGGCGCGTGCCTGTATTTCCAGCTACTTGGGAGGCTGAGGCATGAGAATCGCTTGAACCCAGGAGGCGGAGGTTGCAATGAGCCGAGATCGTGCCATTGCACTCCAGACTGGGTGAGTGAGACTCCATCTCAAATAAATAAATAAATAAATAAATAAATAAATAAATAAATAAATAAATAAATAAAATAAAATAAAATAAAAATAATAAAGTTTAAAAAGTCATGACCAAGCACATCTTCCACAGGGGCCACCCAAAGAAGAGAAAAGCAGCACAGAATTTAACAGGACGAATACCAGCAACATTTCTGGGGTCATGAGCACCAGAAAAGCCTGGGTGTTTACTGGGCAAGGCCCTGAGCCCTGGCAGCATGTTTCGTGTCATCCAAACAACTGCCAGTTGTTGAGTTTTAGCTGCAGGCCAGACACTGTGTTAGGCACTTCACCTGTGTTGCCTTATTTATCCCATTGGCATCACTCCCATTTTATAGATGAGGTGAGTAAGGCTCAGGGAGGTGAAATGACTTTCCTAAGGTCACACAGCCAGTGAATGGAAGGGCTGTGACTCATAGCCAAGTGCCTGACTCCAGCAGGCTGCCTCACTTGTTAGACCACACTCACTGAATACCAGGGCGTGGGCTCTGTTCTGAGGACCTGGCTGGGTGAAGTGGTCAATGTCCAAGTGTGCCTTGTGCCTTTGCTAACCTAGTTTTTCTTTTCTTTCTTTTTCTTTTTCTTTTTTCTTTGAGACAGGGTCTCGCTCTGTTACGCAGGCTGGAATGCAGGGCACGATG
Source organism: Homo sapiens (assembly GCF_000001405.40). Lineage (NCBI taxonomy): Eukaryota > Metazoa > Chordata > Mammalia > Primates > Hominidae > Homo > Homo sapiens. The sequence continues at coordinate 64,459,386 of NC_000017.11, read as the reverse complement.
ATCACAGCTCACTGCAGCCTCGACCTCTCAGGCTCAAGCAATCCTCCTACCTCATCCTCTGAGTAGCTGAGACCACAGGCATGCACCACCACACCCGGCTAATTTTTTTATTTTCTGTAGAGACAGGGGTTTTGCCATGTTACCCAGGCTGGTCTCAAACTCCTGGGCTCAAGTGATCTGCCAGCCACAACCTTCCAAAATGCTGGAATTACAGGTGTGAGCCACTGCACACGACCTAGTTTTCCTTCTATCCTCCTACCTTGACAAATGCACCTTCAGAAGGACCTGGAAGGTCAGGTTTGAATCTGGAATTCTCAGACTTTCCAGAGTTTGGCATCAGGACGTGGCAGCATGGACAGAACCCACTGAAGTCCCGGGCTGCCCCGCTCCCGACCTGGGCTCTGACCTGCACCCTAAGGGGCCTTGCATGCACGTGGACGCCCCAGCCCACATGTGCAAACACCATCCACACCCCCCATAAACAGCTCCCTTGGCTCAGGTTCAGGGATGCTCATACCCTTACTGTGGGCCACCCTCGGGAGGATGAGCTGGGGGAGAGACTGGTACAGGCCCTGGAAATGGCTTCTGATCTGATTGGGCAGGGGATTTTGGTCCAGGTACCTAGAGTGTGGAGCAGAAAAGTGGGAGTATAGGGTTCAGGTGGCTGCATCCCCACGGCTCCCTGAACCCCTCAGCCTAGGGGAAGGTGCATAGCCTGGAGGTACCAGACCAGAGCCCACTAAACACAGGGCTTGGCCAGAGGCCTCTCTTGCCCTGAGCCAAGGGTGGTGCAGGAGTCTGGACCCATCATCATTAGCAGTGGAGCAATAAACAGCCAAGCAGGAGGGCATGGTATTAGAAATCAGTACAAGATGGCCAGGCACAGTGGCTCACAGCTGTTATCCCAGCATTTTGGGAGGCCGAGGTGGGCAGATCGCTTGGGGCCAGGAGTTCGAGACCAGTCTGGCCAACATGGTGAAAACCCGTCTCTACTGAAAATACAAAAATTAGCCAAGCGTGGTGGCGGGTGCCTGTAGTCCCAGCTACTCAGGAGGCTGAGGCACAAGAATCTCTAGAACCTGGGAGGCAAAGGTTGCAATGAGCTGAGATCACACCACTGCACTCCAGCCTGGGCAACAGAGTGACACTCTGAAAAAAAGAAAAGAAAAGAAAGAAGGAAGGAAGGAAGGAAAGAAGGAAGGAAGGAAGGAGGGAAGGAAGGAAGGAAGGGAAAGAAAGGCAGGCATACAAGAAGGAAGGAAGGAAGGAAGGAAAAGAAAGAAAGGCAGACATACAAATGATGAAAAAACAAAGAAAACTAAAAGACCTGGCAGTTCTAAGACAGATGCAAATTGGAAAGGCAGGGCAGAAAGTTTTGCCACAAGTCCCCCTCCTGCTCCAGTTTCTAGGCCTTTCTGTGGTTCCTTTATGGCAGAAAGCAACCCCATGAGAGTTTGCATGGACTCTACCAAAGAGACCCTTCAAGTGATCTGCCAGCCACAACCTTCCAAAGTGCTGGGATTACAGGTGTGAGCCACTGCACACGACCTAGTTTTCCTTCTATCCTTCTACCTTGACAAATGCACCTTCAGAAGGACCTGGAAGGTCAGGTGGCCATGGTGGGAAATGGGTGGGCAGAGGAGCAGCTGCAGTTTCTGGAAGTGAGTTCAGACCTGGCTGAAAGAACTCAGGTTGCTCTTACCTGTTGAGGGCATGGTGACAGGGTGACTGTATGTTGCATAGTTAGGCAATCTGTTTTTAGCTTCACACCTATACTCTTCCTCTTCTCCAGGATTCTTCTTGGTTAAGTTAAATTCAGCAGGCTCCCTGTCATACTTGGAAATAGCTGGTGATATGGCAACATGGTTTTCAAAGAAAGTGTAATTGATGGGCAGCGAGCCATTGACTGAGAGGCAATGTAATGTTATATGTCGGTCTGTTTCTGTTTGAATGACCATAATGTTCAGCACTGGGGAAGTCACCGGGTCTGGAAGAATGAAAGTGAACATGAAAAGGATAAACAGACTGGGTGTGCTCACTCAGACCACAAATATGAGTGGAACCCTTACTCCACTCCAGGCTGTGGAACCAAGATGAACGACCCCCTTCCTGAGAAGTCAAGAAGCTCACGGCCCACTGGGAAAGGCCAATGGGCATGTGGCCAACCCCGTGCAGTGTGTTGTTAGCCGAGGTTCTCAGCTGAGTGCTGAGAAAGCCAGAGAGTGGAGGGCATCTCTCTGCTTTGAGGAATTGGGGTGCAAGCTTGCCCTTCCTAGAATTCACAATCTATTTATTGTTAATAATGAATATAATTTTGTCAATGATCCAGTTCTAAGTATGAAGCTGAGAAGTGCTTTTTTATGTTTATTTTTTATAGACATAGGGCCTTACCATGTTGGCCAGGTTGGTCTTGAACTCCTGGCCTCAAGTGATCCTCCCACCTTGAATTCCCAAAGTGCTGTGGTTACAGGCAGGAGCCACCACACCCGGCCCAAGAAGTGCTTTTATTCTCAATCCTTGTAAATTTACAGTGGGTTTTTTTAATCCAAAAATATCATTTTCTTTTCAATGTATTTATTTATTCAGAGACAGGGTTTTGCTCTTTCAACCATGCTGGAGTGAAGTGGCACAATTATAGCTCACTGTAACCTCAAACTCCCAGGCTCAAGTGATCCTCCTGCCTCAGCCTCTGTAGCTGGGACTACAGGTGCACACTGCTGGCTAATTTTTAAATGTTTTGTAGAGACAGAGTCTCACTATGTTGCCCGGGCTGGTCTCAAACTCTTGGCTTCAAGTGATTTTCCCACCTCAGCCTCCCAAAGTGCCGGGATTTCAGGTGTGAGCCACCATGCCCAGCCCCAAAAATATCGTTTTCTCCAACTGTACTTTTATTTATAGAACTCAGCTGCACAATTATCTTTCACTTCCTCCAAAGAGCAGGAAGTAACCCTGCTAACTAGATTCAAGAGAAATTCTCAACAGGAAATGGGTCTGCTACACTCTGTTAGATCATAGCCTATTCTATGACCTAACAGAAAAACCCAGCTATACATTTTATTATATATATATATAATGCATTAATAAGACAGTATTATAGGAAAGGAAGAAAAGCTGTTAAGTATCTATCATGTGCCAGGCGTGCCAGTCACATGATCTCATTTGACCTTCACGACAGTCTTGTAGTGTGGATAGTATCATGCCCATTCCACAGATGAACCAACTGTGCTTCAGAGAGATTGAGAAATTTGCCCAAGGTCACACAGCTAGTAAATGGCCGAGTTGGGACTGACTTCAAGAGTCCACACTTAAAAACAATTTTTTTTTTATTTACTTTCTTTTCTGTTTTGAGACGGAGTCTCACTCTGTCACCCAACCTGGAGTGCAGTGCCACGATCTCAGCTCATTGCAACCTCTACCTCCCAGGTTCAAGCAATTCTCCTGCCTCAGCCTCCCAAGTAGCTGGGGATTACAGGTGCCCACCACCATGCCTAGCTAATTTTTGTATTTTTAGTACAGACAGGGTTTCACCATGTTGGCCAGACTGGTCTTGAACTACTGACCTCAAGTGATCTGCCCCCACTCAACCTCCCAAAGTGCTGGGATTACAGGCGTGAGCCACTGCAGCCGGCCCTGTGTTCTCTTTAAACATTTGATGAGTGAGCACTTTGGGAGGCCGAGGTGGGCAGATCACGAGGTCAGGAGATTGAGACCATCCTGGCTAACATGGTGAAACCCCGTCTCTACTAAAAATACAAAAAAAAAAAAATTAGCCAGGCGTGGTGGCAGGCGCCTGTAGTCCCACCTACTCGGGAGGCTGAGGCAGGAGAATTGTGTGAACCCGGGAGGCAGAGCTTGCAGTGAGCCGAGATGGTGCCACTGCACTCCAGCCTGAGTGACAGAGCAAGATCCATCTCAAAAAAAAAATTTTTTTTTGATGAGTGAATCAGTGATTAATGAATTTGTGTTTATGGCTCATAGTTTCAACCCTTACTGGGTTGGAGACAACACTATGTTTTAGGCCTCATTAAAAACCCAGTAGTACAATTGCTTGCATGGAGTAGGTACTCCGTAGTGCCTATTGATCTGGCCTAACTGAAGATGATACAGTTTTATAATCTACCAAGATAGTTTTATTACCAGACTGTGTAATTACCCTAACAAATTGCAGGAAGGTCGTGCACAAAAAACATATGAACTGATGGGCTTATTGCTGAGTGCAGCAGGAGTCTGACCACTAGAGAATACCATCAGCTGTGTTCCTGCCCTCACATATCCATCGTATTCCAGTACCATGTTTGCAGGGATTTTCCCCCTCCTTCTTCCTTTTCCTTTCACAAGGAATATACTCAGTTTATGTCCAAAGATCATTGGGATTTTTTTTTTCTTGAGACAGGGTCTCTCTCTGTCACCCAGGCTGCAGTGCAGTGGTGCAATCACAGCTCACTGCAGCCTTGAACTCCTGGGCTGAGGCAATCCTCCCAACTCAGCCTCCTGAGTAGTTGGCACTATAGGCACGCCACCACGCTCAGCTACATATATATATTTTTTAACTTTTTGTAGACACACAGTCTCCACATAGTTCCCAGGCTGGTCTCAAACTCCTGGGCTCAGGTGATCCTCCCGCCTCAGCCTCACAAAGTGCTGGGATTACACCTGTGAGACAGCGCACCTGGCCAAGATAATTGGTTCTAACCTGGAGTCCGTAGCATTCTCTAAAACCTTATGCAGAAATTTGTATACGTAGTTTTATGAGCATTTCTCTGGAGAAGATATTCATTGCTATCATTGGATTATTAAGACAGTTATAACCTAAAAAGCTAAGAATCACTGAGCTACAGCAATGTCACCCAGTAGAACTTTCTGTGATGATGGGAATGGTCTACATCTGTGTTGTCCAATGTGGCAGCCACCAGCTACAGGTGTGGCTATCAAAGCCTTGAAATGTAACTGAGACTGTGGAGGGAAATTTTTTATTTCATCTAATTTTAATTGACTTGATTTTAATTATGGCACGTGCTTGTAATCCAAGCTATTCAGGATGCTGAGGTGGGAGGATCTCTTAAGAACAGGAGTTTGAGGCTGCAATGGGCTTTGATTGCCTGTGAGTAGCCTCTGCACTCCAGCCTGGGTGACATAGGCTATTAAATAAATAAACGTTGGCCAGGAGCAGTGGCACACGCCTGTAATCCCAGCACTTTGGGAGGCTGAGGTGGGTGGATCACCTGAGGTCAGGAGTTAAGACCAGCCTGGTCAACATGGTGAAACCCCATCTCTATTAAAAATACAAAAATTAGCTGGGCATGGTGGTGCATGCCTGTAATCCTAGCTACTCGGGAGGCTGAGGTGGGAGAATTGCTTGAACTCGAAAGGCGGAGGTTGAAGTGAGCTGAGATCGCACCACTGCACTCCAGCCTGGGTGACAGGGCGAGACTCCATCTCAAAAAAAGAAAAAAAGAAATAAAATAAAACAAAATAAACAAATAAGTTTAAACAGTACCGTACTGGATAGCATAGACATAGAGGACCACTCAAGAGTTATCAGGAAGTCAGGGTCCCTACGCTTTGAAGACTCCAGGTATAACATACATGTGTTACCTAGAAGCCTTCTCTCCTCCCACAGGAGTCCATTATCAAGGTCACCTTCACGGATGAGGCCCTTAATGCTAGGCAGTAACAGGCTTGGGGTAGGAAAATGGGACAGAAAAACACAGAAGTAGTGAGATGTGGCTAGGCAGGAAGAGTGCTAGCGGATGGGGCCCCTGACACTAAGGAAGCGGTGGGAAAGGCGTGAGGCTTTGAAGACCCTCTCCAAGGGGCCCAAGGCTTCAGAAAAAAAAAAAAAAAAAAAAAGCGATTTTTGCCCACACAATGGGAATCACAGAATAAAGTTTCTAGAAAAGACCTCCACAATTATTGTTGAGATATAAGACTTTTGCCTAAAGATATAAGACTATTATCTGACATGGTCGAAAGTCTTTGAAAGAGAAGGTGAAACGGAATGATTAAGAATAGAGAACTCACTGGGCATGGTGGCTTACATCTGTAATCCCAGCATTTTGGGAGGCTGAGGCAGGCGGATCACCTGAGGTCAGGAGTTCGAGACCAGCCTGACCAACATGGTGAAACCTCGTCTCAAGTAAAAATACAAAAATTAGCCAGGCGTGGTGATGGGTGCCTGTAATCCCAGCTACTTGGGAGGCTGAGGCAGGAGAATGCCTTGAACCCAGGAGGTGGAGTTTGCAGTGGACCATGATTTCACCACTGTACTCCAGCCTGGGCAACTGAGTGAGACTCTGTTTCAAAAAAAAAAAAAAGAATAGAGATCTCAAAAATTAAAAAATTAAAAGATACTTCCTGTTGACCAGGTCTAAAAATAAATAAAAAATAAAAAAAGAATAAAGCTCGCAGTAACATACTTTCCAGGTTCTTAAGTGTTCACAAGGATCATGGAGAGCCCCTCATAGAACCAGAAAGCACCCTATAAATTATAGGGGCTCCAAGGAACAGGCACTCTACTTACCGACAATCGTGAAGCTGAAGTCACGACTGTATTTTGAACAGCTGGTAACTTGGGCTTTGCATTTGTAGGGGCCTGATTCATGGGCTTCTGTGATGCTTAGGTTAAAAATCGCAGGTTCACCTTTTCCATCCTGGGTTCCCAGGTGTGTCTTACGTCGAAACAATGAATAGGTGATCTGCAGTGATTTGTTCTTATGGGAACAAAACATAGATACATTTTGACCCTTCATAACCACCTTAGTCTTTGAGTCCAAACATGGAGAAGGGAATTCTGAAAAACAAAATGACACAAGAAAAAGTCCTTCTTAAGATCCTGGCCGGGCAAGGTGGTTCACGCCTGTAATCCCAGCACTTTGGGCGGCCGAGGCAGGTGGATCACTTGAGGCCATGAGTTTGATACCAGTCTGGGCAACATGGCAAAACCCTGTCTCTACTAAAAATACAAAAATTAGCTGGCATGGTGGTGGGCACCTGTAATCCCAGCTACTCAGGAGGCTGAGGCAGGAGAATTGCTTGAACTAGGGAGGCGGAGGTTGCAGTGAGCCAAGATCATGCCACTGCACTCCAGGCTGGGTGACAGAGTGAGACTACCTCAAAAAATAAAAATAATAATAAATAAAAAGTTCTTGAAGTTGGGTGTGGTGGTTGACGCCTATAATCCTAGCACTTTGGGAGGCTGTGGTGGGAGGGTCACTTGAGGTCAGGAGTTCGAGAACAGCCTGGGCAACAAGTGAGACCTCGTCTCTAATTTTTAAAAAACAAAACAGAACAAAAAAAAAAAAAAACATAGCTGGGACCAATGGATGGCTTGGGTGGAAGACAGATTTAGACTCTTCAAAAATGCTTTTAAAAATGCAGTAAACTCTCCTCCCACTCTTTGATCTGGACAATTAACATTTTCTCAGTCTTATATAAGCTCAACTTTTTTTTTTTTTTGAGACAGAGTCTCACTCTGTTGCCCAGGCTGGAGCGCAGTGGCACCATCTTGACTCACCACAGCCTCCACCTTCCAGGCTCAACTGATCCTCCTGCCTCAGCCTCCTGAGTAGCTGAACTATAGGCACACACCACCATGCCCAGCTAATTTTTGTAGTTTTGGTAGAGACAGGGTTTCACCATGTTGTCCAGGCTCGTCTTGAACTCCTGACCTCAAGTGACTGCCTGCTTCAGCCTCCCAAAGTGCCGGGATTACAGGTGTGAGTCACTGTGCCCCGCCATATAAACTCAACTTTAAGACAAGACCTAAACTACCTTTCCAACCAAATAGCCATCCCTAAGTTTTTTTTATCTAGGAATGCTAGAGCTTTTGTGGCCAGTAAACATGAAAAAGATGCTCAACTTCACAAGTAATGAGGCAACTGCAAATTAAAACAACACTGAGATATCATTTTTCACTCATCAGATTGGTACAAAGTTTAAAAATGATTGGCCAGGCATGGTGGCTCATGCCTGTAATCCCAGCAATTTGGGAGGCTGAGGCAGGCAGATCTCTTGAGTCCAGGAGTTCGAGACCAGCCTGGGCAAATGGTGAAACCCTGTCTCTACTAAAAATACAAAAATTAGCTGGGCATGATGGTGCGTACCTGTATGGCACTACTCAGGAGGCTGAGGTGGGAGGATCAATTGAGCTTGGAAGGTCGAGGCTGCGGAAAGCTAAGATCGCACCACTGCACTCCAGCCTGGGCGACAGAGCAGAGACTCTGTCTCAAAGAAAGAAAGAAAAAAAAAAACCCTAAATAAAATTTAAAAGTAAAAGTGATTATATCCACCACTGGGGAGTGGGTGGGGAAACTCACCCACCGTTGGTGACTGATAGGATACGATCAGCCTTGTTGGGAGGGCAACTTAGCAGGGTCTGTAACAATTTAAATGTGTATGCCCTATGACCTTGCAATTTCAATTCTAGAATTTCATTCTACAGAGATGCTTTCAAGCTCTCATGCATCCACAAAGGACGTTGTGTACAAGGATGTTTATTGTAGCATTGTTTATATTGCCCCCAAAAAGCAGGGCAATAAATAAGGATGGTTAAACGAATCATGGCTGAGTCTTAAAATACCATGCAGCTGTTGAAAAAGAGGAGCTAAGGCTGGTGTGGTAGCTCATGCCTGTAACCCCAGCACTTTGGGAGGCAGAGGCAGGAGGATCACGAGGTCAAGAGTTCAAGAACAGCCTGGCCAACATGATGACACCCCGTCTCTACCAAAAAACAATACAAAAATTACCCAGGCATGGTGGCACGTGCCTGTAATCCCAGCTACTCGGGAGGCTGAGGCAGGAGGATCCCTTGAACCCAGGAGGCGGAGGTTGCAGTGAGCCGAGATTGTGCCACTGTACTCCAGCCTGGGCAACAAGAGTGAAACTCTGTCTCAAAAACAAACAAACAAAAAAAGATAACGAATATAAAGTGACTGTTGATAACGGCTGCTTCTGGATAGGAAGGGGAGAAGAATTGGAGGAGGATTGTAACAGAACTTTTACATTTTATACAGTAACAACCACCACCTTGGCTATCACTTACGGATGGTTTACCATATGCCTGGCACTGTGACGAGGAGCAGGGATTGTCTCATTTGATCTGCACACTAGCCTACCAGGTAGGTGCTTTTATTAGCCCACTTCACAGATGAAATAAATTACAGTGTCTCACGCCTGTAATCCCAGCACTTTGGGAGGCCAAGGTGGGCGGATCACGAGGTCAGGAGATCGAGACCATCCTGGCTAACGATGTGAAACCCCGTCTCTACAAAAAATACAAAACATTAGCCAGGCTTGGTGGCACACGCCTGTAGTCCCAGCTACTCGGGAGGCTGAGGCAGGAGAATCACTTGAACCTGGGAGGCAGAGGTTGCAGTGAGCCGAGATTGCACCACTGACTCCAGCCTGGGCGACAGACTGAGACTCCATCTCAAAAAAAAAAAGAAAGAAAGAAAGAAAGAAAGAAATTAAGGTCAAACTGGGTATGTCATGAGCTCAGGCTGCTGGCTAGTAACTAGTAGAACCAGAGGTTAGACCACTTCCCAATGTATATTTCTAGTGTTGCTTGAATTATTTCACAATAATTCTGTGGGTTTTTTTATTTTGTTTTATTTTTTTAAGAAACGAGGTATCACTATGTTGTTCAGGCTGGTCTCAAACTCCTGAGCTCAAGCAATCCTACCCCATTAGCCTTCCAAAGTGCTGCGATTACAGGCCGGAGGCACCACACCCAGCCTGTGTGTTGGCTTTCTAGTTAAAACACAACAACCATAAAACAACAATAACAAGGAAAGTTAGAAAACTTTCATTGTGAAAACAAATTTCATTATTTTTCTCACTGAGTCTCAGAAAAAAATGCTGCAATCCCCTCCCTAAAATCATTTTATTTTAAATGATAGATAATTGAAAAGACTGTTCTTTGGTTGTTCATAAAAGCTCAGAAACACTTTTGAATGGACGCTTATGTTGCAATCAGACTGTCTCACCACTTCAGTGAAAATGGTTTCAATAAGAAAGAAGTAAATGAAACTTACCATTTGTTTTCATTGCCTCACAATCCAATACAGCTTTTCTACCTGAAACAGAAAAGGAACACGATAAAGCTCACTTTCCACATGACACGTTGGCTTGGAGGTTCGAGCCTCAGAATGATAAGGGGGGCTTACAAGTGACAGAAGAAAATATGCTCCAGAAGAGGAGCCTGTTCAAATGGCTCCACATTCTCCCAGTTGAAGTCCAAGACGGGGTCAGAAGGCATAGTAGAACCACAGTGGTGAGTAACTCGGAGAACTTCCTCTTTTTCTTAGCCAAGTTAAGGAAATCAGAGGGTTTGGATGAGGTTTGCATAATACTGGTTTGTTCGACCAATCTGTCTTCCTCTGTGAGTTCCTGTAAGAAGAGAGATATTTGGTAGATTGCCACTCCCCCGCCCCCCCCACCCCCCCACACCCCCACATCGTCCCATGCTGGCTGGGAAAGAGAAGAGGTAAATCTGACTGTTACATTGTCTATGTAAACCCATCTGATCTCCTTGCTCTGGACTCAGTCTATGCCAAAAGGAGTTTGGTGGAAGTTTGATTTAGTCTTTGGAAGCAAACCGACTGTCTTAAGCAGATACATACAAATATTGTATCAAAAATGCCTGCTTTTTTTTTTTGAGACTGGCCTCACTCTGTCACCCAGGTTGGAGTGGAGTGCTGTGATCATAGCTCATTGCAGCCTCAAACTCCTGGGCTCAAGTGCTCGTCCCACCTCAGGCTCCTGAGTAGCTGGGACCACAGGTGTGCACCATCAGGACTGGCTAATTATTTTTATTTGTAAAGACAGGGGTCTAGTTGCCCAGGCTGGTGTTAAACTCCTGAGCTCAAGTGATCCTCCCGCCTCAGCCTCCCAAAGTGCTGGGATTACAGGTGTGAGCTACTGTGCCTGGCCAAAAATGCCTGCTTTTGTTAAACGTTGATTCCTAGACCCCACTCCAGACTTACTGGGTTTCAAGTCCAGGACGCTGATTTTTTTTTTTTTAAACAAGGGCCCTGAGCAATTCTTACGCACAGTGAAGGCTGAGAAATATCTGTACAAGGTGCTGCTGCCTCAGTGATTTCTGAATCAAGGGAGCCTTGGGGACTTGATATTACGGCAAGCCCTCCAGTGCCAGGAGATCTGAAGTAGGAGTTACCTTAGATCAGCCTTTGAAATAGAACGTGCAGGCTGGGTGCGGTGGCTCATGCCTGTAATCCTAGCACTTCGGAAGGCTGAGGCAGGCGGATCACCCGAGGTCAGGAGTTTGACACCAGCCTGGCCAACACAGCGAAATCCCATCACTAGTAAAAATACAAAAAACTTAACTGGGTGTGGTGATGCGTGCCTATAATTCCAGCTACTTGAGGGGCTGAGGCAGAAGAATCGTTTGAACCCGGGAGGTGGAGGTTGCAGTGAGCCAAGATTGCACCACTGCACTCCAGCCTGGGTGATAGAGCAAAACTCTGTCTCAAAAAAAAAAAAAAAAAGTCAGTTGAAATAGAATGTGCAGAGCCACTTCTTGATGGAGTGGAGATCACCAAAAGGATAGAAAGGTATGACTATAGGGCTAGGTGGGCAAGACAGCTGGTTGACACTTGCAAGAATTGACAGGTCCACCAAGAGAGGAAGCAAGGAGTTGAATGGCTGGGGCAGCCTTGAGCTGGGACATTCATCTCTGTACCTTAGGTCCCAAGATGTAACCAAATCCTTCCTTATTGACTCAGCGTCACCTAGCTAGCATCCTCTAGCTAGGAGGTTTGATACTGAATCTTGCTCTGTCTCCCAAGCTAGAGCACAGTGGCACCATCTTGGCTCACTGCAATCTCCACTTACCAGAATCAAACTATCTTTCCACCTCAGCCTCTCTAGTAGCTGGGACCACAGGCACAAACCACCATACACTACTAGGTTTTTAACTTTTTTATAGAGATGAAGTCTCACTATATTGCCCAGGCTGGTTTTGAACTCCTGGGCTCAAGCGATTCTCCTGCGTGTGGCCTCCAAAAGTGCTAGGATTACAAGCATGAACCACCATGCCCCACCCTTACTACAACAACTTTACAGCACTTTATAAAAGTTTGGATGGGTGAACTGTCAGATACATGTGCAAAATTCCATCAACTTTTTCTTTTCTTCACGTCTGCAATGTTTTTCATCAGCATCCTGTCACTTTTTGGCTACCACTGCTGGCCAGCTGGAAAAGAACAGACAACCATAGAATCATTCCCCGCACCCACATTTTCTTTCTCTCTCTTTTTTTTTTTTTTTTTTTGAGATGGAGTCTCGCTCTGTTGCCCAGGCTGGAGTGCAGTGGCGCTATCTCGGCTCACTGAAACCTCCACCTCCTGGGTTCAAGGGATTCTCCTGCCTCACCCTCCCAAGTAACTGGGATTACAGGTACGTGCCACCACACCTGGCTAAATTGTGTATTTTTAGTAGAGACGGGATTTCACCCCATTGGCCAGGCTGGTCTCGAACTCCTGACCTCAGGTGATCTGCCTGCCTCGGCCTCCCGAAGTTGTGGGATTACAGGCGTGAGCCACTACCCCCGGCTCCACATTTTCATATAGACCCATGGAAATGGTTTCTCTATCAGATCCAGTACAAATTGCAGACAAGTCTGGCAATGGAAAAAATATATATTGGCAACTTCTAGTATTTTCAAACTGGAGTAATAGCTGCAGTGGCGCCATCTCGGGCCACTGCAACCTCCACAGTTCCCAGGTTCCCAAGTAGCTGGGATTACAGGCACTTGCCACCACGCCCAGCTAATTTTTTTAATTTTTACTAGAGATGAGGTTTCGCCATGTTGACCAGGCTGGTCTCAAATTCCTGATCTCAAGTGATCTACCCACCTCAGTCTCCCAAAGTGCTGAGACTACAGGCATGAGCCACTGCACCTGGCCTCACACATTCTATTTCAAAGGCTGATCTGAGTTTACTCCTACCTCAGTTCTCCTGGCACTGGAGGGCTTGCCATAATAACAAGACTTCAAGGCTGCCTTGATTCAGAACTGCACTTTTGAAAGACACTGTCTCAAAAAAAAAAAAAAAAGAATTTTTAATGGTGATGTAGAAGAACATTTCATGATGTGGTAAGAGAATCACAATATACTTAAGAAAAGAGAAAAGGTATTATTAACAGTTGTAATAACATAAATCATTTTTCTAAATAAGAAAGTGCATAATTTGTATACATAGAAAAACTATCTGGAGGCCGGGCACAGTGGCTCATGCCTGTATTCTCAGCACTTTGGGAGACTCATAATGAGACTTTGTCTCTAAATTAAAAAAGGAAAAGAAAGGAAAGGAAGAAAGAAAGAAAGAGAAAAACTATCTGGAAGGATATTTTCTCAAAATGTTAACAATAGCTATATCTGGAGAGTAGAATGTTATTTTTATTTTTTTTATTATTATACTTTAAGTTCTAGGGTACATGTGCACAATGTGCAGGTTTGATACATAGGTATACATGTGCCATGTTGGTTTGCTGCACCCATAAACTCATCATTTACATTAGGTATTTCTCCTAATGCTATCCCTTCCCTAACCCCCAACCCCCCGACATGCCCCAGTGTGTGATGTTCCCCTCCCTGTATCCAAGTGATCTCATTGTTCAATTCCCACCTATGAGTGAGAACATGTGGTGTTTGGTTTTCTGTCCTTGTGATAGTTTGCTGAGAATGATGGTTTCCAGCTTCATCCATGTCCCTGCAAAGGACATGAACTCATCCTTCTTTATGGCTGCATAGTATTCCATGGTGTATATGTGCCACATTTTCTTAATCCAGTCTATCATTGATGGACATTTGGGTGGGTTCCAAGTCTTTGCTATTGTGAATAGTGCCACAATAAACATACGTGTGCATATGTCTTTACAGTAACATGATTTATAATCCTTTGGGTATATACCCAGTAATGGGATTGCTGAGTCAAATGATATTTCTAGTTCTAGATCCTTGAAGAATCACCACACTGACTTCCACAATGGTTGAACTAATTTACACTCCCACCAACAGTGTAAAAGCGTTCCTATTTCTCCACATTCTCTCCAGCTTTTATTTTCTTATTCTAGCTCCTCTTTCTTTTTTTTCGAGATGAAATCTTGCTCTTGTCCCCCAAGCTAGAGTGCAACGGCATGATCTTGGCTCACTATAACCTCTGCCTCCTGGGTTCAAGCAATTCTCCTGCCTCAGCCTCCCAAGTAGCTGGGACTACAGGTGCCTGCCACCACGCCTGGCTAATTTTTGTATTTTTAGTAGAGACGGGGTTTCACCATGTTGGCCAGGCTGTTCTCGAACTCCTCAGGTGATCCGCCCTCCTTGGCCTCCCAAAGTGCTGGGATCACAGGCATGAGCCACTGCGCCTGGCCGCTCCTCTTTCAATTATTTCTTTCTGCATTAATATTCCTATTATGGAGAAGGAGGAAAGATGGGATAATGGCAGACCTTGACAACACCTTTCCTTGGTCCTCCATAAGGAGAAAGAGCCTCCTCTAAGCCTGGTAGTATGGTGCACTGAGTGAGGACAGGAGGTTGGGACATTTCCCAGAGGCTTGGGTTCAAAACCACTGAGGTATTGAGAAAGATAAAGTAACTTTTACATGAAAGATAAAAACAAGATCCTTTCCTCAAAAGACCTACCTGGAGCCCATACTTGCCCTCAGGCAACCCATAGGCTTGCAACAACAGTGTCTATTTTTTTTTTTTTGAGACAGAGTTTCACTTTTGTCGCCCAGGCTGGAGTGGAATAGTGTAATCTCGGCCTACTGCAACCTCCGCCTCCCCGCCTCCCCAGTTCAAGCGATTTTCCTGCCTCAGCCTCCCAAGTAACTGGGATTACAGGCATGCACTACCATGCCTGGCTTATTTCTTATTTTTAATTGAGATGGGGTTTCACCATGTTGGCCAGGCTGGTTTCGAACTCCTGACCTCAGGTGATCCCCCTGCCTCGGCCTCCCAAAGTGCTAGGATTACAGGCGTGAGCCACCACGCCTGGCCAGTGTCTATTTCCTTAAGAAAAAAATATGTGTTTTTTTCCTTAAGAAAAAAAATTATAAAAATCGAAACAGCATACAAAATCCAAAGAAAATATCCAATAGGCATGAATATAATTCATTTCCGCTTGTCCCTGCCCCCAGGAATGTCTTTAGCACCCCGTCCCCTGCATACATTCTTTGTTGGGTATAGCATGCATTGTTAGAAGCAGTTTATCATGAATTTCGGTTCATAGTCATAGTGGCAGCTGTTGTGTATTGACTAGGCCTTGTGTGAAATGCTTTTTCCTCATGATCTCCTGTAATTCTCTAGAGGGTTATTGTCCCCATTATACATTTGGGGAAAATCAGCTAGGAAGTAGCATGGCTGGGATTCAAACCCTGTGTGGGTCGGGTACAGCGGCTCACACCTGTAATCCCAGCACTTTGGGAGGCCAAGACGGGAGAATCATTTGAGCTCAGGAGTTTAAGACTCGCCTGGGGAACATACTGAGACCTTGTCTCTGCTAAAAATAAAAATTAGCCGGGTGTGGTGGTGTGCGCCTGTAGTCCCAGCTACTCAGGAAACTGAAGCAGGAGGATCACTTGAGTCTGGGAGGTCAAGGGTGCAGTGAGCTATGACTTGCCACTGCATGCCAGCCTGGGCAGCTGAGCGAGACCCTGTCTCAAAAAATAAAAATAAAGAATAAGTAAATAAAAATAAAACAAACAAAACTTCCTCATCTGTCTGAAGTCATAGCCTGGGCTCCCAATTCTTTTCCACTGTCTCTGTCTGCCCAGTGCCCACGATCAGAACTTTCTTGACTTGAGGTCTCAGAATCCCTAAATTAACAATGTGGAGTAGCTTGTGGTTGGTTCACTTCTACAGGATCCAGAATTCTCCTGGCTCTCTGAAGTGTACACAAAGTAACGCCACATATTCCAGTCTCATCAGTCTGAAGTGGGAGGTGGGAAATGATGGGAGGGGCTTCCCAAGTGAAAGGAAGCCCTATGATCAGGCAGGGTCACCTGGGTTACTGATTCTTGTCTCCACACAGGGTTAACCCTGTAGGTAGGTCCTGCACATTCCTGTAGACAGGTGTCGTCAGGCCAGGCGAGGTGGCTCAAGCCTGTAATCCCAGTACTTTGGGAGGCTGAGGTGTGTGAATCATCTGAGGTCAGGAGTTTGAGATCAGCCTGGCCAACATGGTGAAACCCCACCTCTACAAATAATATAAAAAATTAGCTGGGCGTGGTGCATGCCTGTAATCCCAGCTACTTGGGAGGCTGAGGCATGAGAATCACTTGAACCTGGGAGGCAGAGGTTGCAGTGAGCTGAGATCACGCCATTCCATTCCAGCCTGGGTGACAGAGTGAGACCCTGTCTCAAAACAAAACAAAACAAACAAAAAACAAAAAAAACCAAAGACAGGTGTCATCTCTGTAGGAAAGCCAGTTCTCTGCCCATGTCCAGATTCTCCTAGGACATCCTCCCCACCCCAGCGTTGACTCACTCCAGGCTCGCCAGGGCCCACCTCCTGGTGGTCAGCCACCCCAGGGGCCACACCCTGCCACCACCAGGGGCCTGCTGCCCTCATCCCACTTCCTCCCTACCTGTCCACCACTGCCTGGTAGCAAATCATCTGTAACCCTCAGTTCACAAAAGGCCTTTATTCCCTCTTACAGTAAAAATTACTTCTCAGGCACTTCCCTTCTAAAAGAGATGACATGGTGCTTTTCATACTGTGACATCAGTGGCAATTTCTCTCAGCAAAGAAGCGAGGATGGAAAGAACCCTACAAGTTTAATCTCTGATGGGATAACTCTCAGTGCTAGAATTTCTGCTAAAGGGAATTGGAGGTTTTGTAAGCATGACAGTTAAGACACTTTCCCCACCAGCGTGTCCTCCATGCTAGCCTGGGCAGAGGGAGGGATGGGGCCCCTGAGATCCATCGTGCCTGGGAGGACTGGGGACCTTTCAGAACAGCTGACATGTCTAGAATTCTCTGCTGCAAGCAGGAAGCTTGCTGACCGCAGATCTGATCCAAAGACAGCAGAGGAAACCAAGGGAAATACCGCTTACAGCTGTTAGCAAACATTGCTAGGAGCGCTTTAGCAAGGCCGTGGAAGACGGATTTGTCAAAAGTGGAATAATATTAATCAGCTGGGCGTGGGGGCTCATGCCTGTAATCCAAGCACTTTGGGAGGCTGAGTAGGAGGCAGGAGTATCGTTTGAGCCTAGGAGTGTGAGATCAGCCTGGGTAGTAGAGTGAGACCCCATCTCTACAAAAAAAAAAAAAAAATTGAAAAAAATTGAAAAAATTGAAACAATTAACTGGGCTTGGTGGCACGTGCCTGTAGTCCCAGCTACTTGGGAGACCATGGCAGGAGGATTGCTTGAGCCTGACAAATCAGGGCTGCAGTGAGCTGTGATTGTGCCACTGCACTCCAGCCTGGGCAACAGAGCAAGACACTGTCTTAAAAAACCAAAACCAAAACAACAACAACTACAAAAAAAAAAGTGGCATAATAAACCAGAGGTGAAGTCTTAAATTGAAAAAGAAAACATTTTCCCCATAGACCTGACACATTTCTCAAAATCATGCCAAATCCATGTTGTTGAGGTCTGCAGTAATTTACCATATTGATAAGACTGACGGTAAATATAGTAACACACAATAAAGTTGCTATATTCCTTTTTGCTGTGCTAAGAGATTCATACTGATAATCTCATTTAATCCTCACAAACTTCTAATGAGAAATGCAGAAGTATTATAAAAAATATTTACTGTCCAGGCAAGGTGGCTCATGCCTGTAATCTCACCCCTTTGGCAGGCTGAGGCTGGAGGACTCCTTGAAGCCAGGATTTTTAGACCAGCCTGGGCAACAAAACAAGACTCTGTCTCTATTAAAAAACAACAACAATCAGTAGGAGAACATAAATATATAACTCAAGACATAAATAAAAGATTTAAAAATAGATTTCACCACTGCCCCCACTTTGTCTCTAACTGACCTATATTACAAAACTACTTATACTTATCAAGAGATAGAAGTTTTCATACAAATTGTTAATCACACCATTCTCATATTTTCCAAGGTTTTGTTGATGTTTAGAAATGGATGGCCGGGCTCACATCTGTAATCCCAGCACACTGGGAGGCCGAGGCAGGCAGATCACCTGAGGTCGGGAGTCGAGACCAGCCTCACCCACATGGAGAAAACCTGTCTCTACTAAAAATACAAAATTAGCCGGGCGTGGTGGCACATGCCTGTAATCCCACCTACTTTAGAGGCTGAGGCAGGAGAATCAATTGAACCCGGGAGGCGGAGGTTGCAGTGAGCTAAGATTGCGCCACTGCACACCAGCCTGGGCGACAATAGTGAAACTCTGTCTCAAAAAAAAAAAAGAAAAGAAAAAGAAGTGGATGGTGTGGTCTTTTGAATCCTGGCATGACTTAACATGGGCCTTGAACTTTTCCAATAAGTTCTTTCAAATTGATGGCCACTGGGTAACGTATGTTCTCCATAAAAAGGGAATTTCTCTTCATACTAATAGTATTATTCATGGTGTTAAATCCTCAACTCCTGATGAACAATAACAATTACAAAATTTAAAAATGTTCTAGCTTGCTGGGCGCAGTGGCTCATGCCTGTAATTCCAGCACTTTGGGAGGCCGAGGTAGGCGGGTCATAAGGTCAGGAGATCGAGACCATCCTGGCTAACATGGTGAAACCCTGTCTCTACTAAAAATACAAAAAAATTAGCTGGGCATGGTGGCAGGCGCCTGTAGTCCCAGCTACTCGGGAGGCTGAGGCAGGAGAACGGCGTGAACCTGGGAGGCGGAGGTTGCAGTGAGCCAAGATTGCGCCACTGCACTCCAGCCTGGGCGACAGAGCAAGACTCCGTCTCAAAAAAAAAAAAAAAAAAAAAAATGTTTTAGCTCAAATGATGATGCTGTTTGAAAATTTTATATACCCAATGATATGATTTCGCTCTGTGTCCCTGCCTAAATCTCATCTCGAATTGTAATCCCCAAGTGTTGAAGGAGGGATCTGGTGGGAGGTGATTTGATCATGGGGGTGGTTCCCCCATGCTTTTCTTGTGATAGTGAGTTCTCATGAGATCCAATGGTTTAAAAGTGTGTGGCAGTGTGGCAGTTCCCCCTGCCTCTCTCTCTCCTGCCGCCTTGTGAAGAAGGTGCTTGCTTCCCCTTTGTCTTCTGGCACAATCATAAGTTTCCTGAGGCTTCCCCAGCCATGCAAAACTGTGACTCAATTAAACCTCTTTCTTCATAAATTACCCAGTCTCAAGTAGTCCTTTCTGTTTTTTTTTTTTTTTTTTGAGACGAAGTCTCACTCTGTTGCCCAAGCTGGAGTGCAGGGGTGCAATCTTGGCTCACTGCAACCTCCATCTTCTGAGTTCAAGTGATTCTCCTGCCTCAGCCTCCCGAGTAGCTGGAACTACAGCCACCCACCACTATGCCCAGCTAATTTTTGTGTTTTTAGTAGAGATGGGGTTTCACTATGTTGGCCAGGCTGGTCTTGAACTCCTGACCTCATGATCCGCCCACCTCAGCCTCCCACAGTGCTGGGATTACAGGCATGAGCCACCATGGCCAGCCTCAAGTAGGTGTTTATAGCAGTGTTAAATCTGGCTAATACAGAAAATTGGTACCAGGAGTAGGGTACTGCTATAAAGATACCTGAAAATATGGAAGTGACTTTGGAACTGGGTAATGGGCAGAGGTTGGAAAAATTTGGAGGGCTCAGAAGAAGACAAGAAGATGGTTGGACATGGTGGCTCATGCCTGCAATCCCAGCACTTTGGGAGGCCAAGGTGTGAGAACTGCTTGAGCTCAGGAGTTCAAGACCAGCCTGGCCAACATGGTGAAACCATGTCTCTACTAGAAATTAAAAAAATATCTGGCCATGGAGGTGCATGCCTGTAATCCCAGCTACTCAGGAGGTTGAGGCATAAAAATTGCTTGAACTTGGGAGGCAGAGGTTGCAGTATGCTGAGATCATGCCACTGCACTCCCGCCTGGGCAACAGAGTGAGACTCTGTCTCAAAAAACAAAAACAAACCCAAGAAGAAGACAGGAAGATGTGGGAAAGTTTGGAACTTCCTAGAGACTTGTTGAATGGTTTTGACCAAAATGTTGATAGTGATATGGACAATGAAATCCACTCTGAGATGGTCTCAGATGGAGATAAGGAACTTATTGGGAACTGGAGTAAAGGTCACTCTCGCTATGCTTTAGCAAAGAGACTTGTGGTATTTTACTCCTGCCCTAAGGATGTGTGGAATTTTGACCTTGACAAATATGATTTAGGGTATCTGGCGTAAGAAATTGCTAAGCAGCAAAGTGTTCAAGAGGTGGGCTGGCTACTCCTAATGGCATACAGTCACATGCATTTACAAAGGGATAATCTGAAATTGGAATTTATATTTAAAAGGGAAGCAGAGTATAAAAGTTTGGAAAGTTGGGGCCAGGTGCAGAGGTTCATGCCTGTAATCCCAGCACTTTGGAAGGCTGAAGTGGGCAGATCACGAGGTCAGGAGTTCGAGACCAGCCTGGCCAACAAGGTGAAACCCTGCCTCTGAAAAAAAAAAAAATACAAAAATTAGCTGGGCGCAGTGGTGCGCACCTGTAGTCCCAGTTACTCAGGAGGCTGAAGCAGGAGAATTGCTTGAACCTGGAAAGAGGAGGTTGCAGTGAGCTGAGATTGCACCACTGCACTCCAGCCTGGGCAACAGAATGAAACTCCATCTCAAAAAAAAAAAAGTTTGGAAAGTTTGCAGCCTGACCATGTGGTAGAAAAGAAAAACCCATTTGCTGGGGAGAAATTCAAGCCCCTGGGCTGCATAAATTTGCATAAGTAAAGAGAAGCTGAATGTTAATAGCCAAGACAATGGCGCAAATATCTCCAGGGCATTTCAGAAATCTTCATGGCAGCCCCTCTCATCACAGGCCTGGAGGCCTAGGAGGGAAAAATGATTTTCCAGGCCAGGCCCAGGGCCCTTCTGCTCTGTGCAGCCTCAGGACATGGTGCCACACGTCCCAGCTGCTCCAGCTCCAGCCATGGCTAATAGGGACCAAGGTACAGTCCAGGCTGTTGCTTCAGAGGGTGCAAGCCCCAAGTCTTGGCAGCTTCCATGTGGTATTGGGCCTGTACGTGCACAGAAGACAACAGTTGAGCTCCGCCTAGATTTCAGAGGATGTATGGAAATGCTTGGATATCCAGGCAGAAGTCTGCTGCAGGGGTGGAGCCCTCATGGGCCTCTATTAGGGCAATGCAGAGGGGAAATGTGGGGTTGGAGCTCCCTACACAGAGTCCCCACTGGAGCATTGCCTAGTTGAGCTGTGAGAAGAGGGCTACCATCCTCCAGATCCCAGAACGGTAGATCCACTGACAACTTGCACTATGTGCCTGGAAAAACTGCAGGCACTCAATGCCAGCCTGTGAAAGCAGTTGTCCCTAAAGGCTATGATGTTAAGGGTTTTGTGGAAAATTTGGTGAGCAGGGGGCTTGGGAATGGGTGTTACTGATTGGTTGAGGATGAAATCATAGGGGTGTGGAAAACAGTCTTCATCAGTTGAGTCCACCTCTGCATGGAGCCACAGGATCAGCTGACTCATGAGTCATGGGTCCAGGTGGGGTCAGTCTGAAAGATCTCCAAAACACCAATTGTAGGTTTTACAATAGTGATGTTATCTACAGTGTTTCCAGAAAGGGGTTCTGATCCAGACCCCAGCAAACTAATGTTTCCTCCCCATTTTAGACCACATAGGGTAACTTCTAGACGTTGCCATGGCATTTGTATACTGTCATAGTGCTGGTGGGAGGAGTGTCTTTTAGCATGCTAATGCATTATATTAGCATAATGAGCAGTGAGGATGGCCAGAGGTCACTTTTGTTGCCATCTTGGATTTAATGGGTTTGGGCTGGTTTCTTTACTGCATGCTGTTTTATCAGTGGGTTCTTTATGACCTGTATCTTGTGCCAACCTCCTATCCCATCCTGTGACTAAGAATCCACAACCTCCTGAGAATGCAGCCCAGCAGGTCTCAGCCTTATTTTACCTAGCCCCTGTTCAAGATGGAGTCACTCTTGTTCCAACACCTCTGACACATTTCTTCCTCCCTTTTACAAGAGGACTAAGTGTTGTAGAGGGAGGAGGATCCATCATCAGTAACTTCTTTGGGCTGAATAGGGGTGGTGATATTCCTGCCTAATTATTAGGGTCTCTTTTATTCAGGGTAGAGAGGAGCTCAGTCAGAAAGCATTAGTATGGTGAGGGCCATTCATAACTCTGAGTTCTGACAAAAAGGTGGTATCTGGAAGATTAATAAGTATTCAATTTAAGAAAATGTTGGCCAGGCACAGTGGCTCATGCCTGTAATCCCAGTGCTTTGGGAGGCCAAGGCAGGCAGATCACCTGAGGTCAGGAGTTCAAGACCAGCCTGACCAACATAGAGAAACCCTGTCTCTACTGAAAATACAAAATTAGCCAGGTGTGGTGGCTCATGTCTGTAATCCCAGCTGCTCGAGAGACTGAGGCAGGAGAATCGCTTGAACATGGGAGGCGGAGGTTGTGGTGAGCCAAGATTGTACCATTGCACTCCAGCCTGAGCAACAAGAGCAAAACTCCATCTTAAAAAAAAAAAAAAAGAAAATGTTGAGTAAGTTTATCCTGCATTCCTACACAAAGAGTACAACAGCCATATATTCCATAATAGTAAAACAAAATAGATAAAATAATTCCAAGTAAACTAAATAGGAAGGCTTTCCATGAACTGGGCAATTGTTGGAACCAAGCTGATATGGAGTTGCTAGCCAATCCCAATGCATGCCCAGAATTATAAACCTGATGCAAATTTTTACATTGCCCATTCCTCCTGTTTCTGCTGAGCAGCAGACAGAGATCACTCATTGGTTCACAAAAATAATCAGGGTCAGTCTAAATAGCAGAAAAGTTCAGGTGTGATGGCTCACGCCTGTAATTCTAACACTTTGGGAGGCTGAGGAAGGTGGATCACTTGAGGCCAGGAGTTCAAGACCAGAGTAGCCAACATGGCGAAACCCCATCTGTACTAAAAATACAAAAATTACCTGGGTGTGGTGGTGGGTGTCTGTAATCCCAGCTACTCGGGAGGTCAAGGCATGAGAATCACTTGAACCCAGGAGGTGGAGGTTGCAGTGAGCCGAGATCATGTCGCTGCACTCCAGCCTGGGTGACAAAGTGAGATTCTGTCCAAAAAATAAAATTTAAAAAGCAGAAAAAACTCAAAAACAATGGATGAGACCAGACTCTAATAACAGATATGTATTAGTCCGTTTTCACACTGCTGATAAGGACATAGCCAAGACTGGACAATTTACAAAAGAAAGAGAGTTTTAATGGACTT